>NC_000011.10:64525074-65811198 GCF_000001405.40 Homo sapiens | reverse complement strand
CTGAGAGGAGGACACGTTCTATTACGCCAATTAATTCTACCCACCGAAAGGGCACATCACATTTTTGGGGTTGCCAAAAGCCGTTCTTAGCAGTAAAAAGTCTGTGAACTGCTGCACTGGGGATTGGCAAAGGCTTGGTAGCCAGCGCATTGAAGAGGGAGGGACAGCAAGCCTCACACCGGGAGTGGATCCTTCCTGTGTTTCTGCCACCACAGTTTGCCAGTTTGATGCCAAGGGACTCTTACTGTTTATGTGTGCATGTTTGTGCTGTTAGATTATCTTCTGAGCAATTTCAAGTTTTAAGAATATGTTGGTGAAGTCAACAATGAACAATTCCAGGAGACTTGGTTCCACCCGGGCCCTGCTCAGGAAAGATGAGGAGCCCCTCCCAACCCCACCCCTGCCTGTCCACATGGCCCTTCCTCCCCATCATCCACCATGGGGCCCTCCTGTGCCACAACATGGCTCTCATCCTTCTGTCTGGACACTTGCCCTGCCTCCTGGAGAGCCAGGCTCCTGCCCTGGCGGGCATGTGAGTGTGCATGTGTGTGAGTGTGCATGTGTGAGTGTGCGTGTTTGCGAGTGTGCACGTGAGTGCACGTCTGAACGTGTGTGGGAGTGTATACGTGAGTGCACGTCTCAACGTGTGTGCGAGTGTGCATGTGTGTGCGAGTGTGTACGCGTGAGTGCACGTGTGCATGTGTGTGCAATTGTGCGTGTGTCTACGTGTGTGCATGTGAGTGCATGTGTGTGTGATTGCGTGTGTGTATAATTGTGCACGTATGTGAGTGTGCATGTGTGTACAATTGTGTGCGTGTGTGTGAGTGTGCATGTGTGTGCATGTGGCACGGAGGGGGAAGAAGAGAGTTCTCCTCTGTGGTGATCGCCACCATTCAGTTGAAGGGTTTAAGCTGAGCCAAGATGAAGCAAGAGTGACACCAAGTGCCAAGAACAAGTGCTTGCTGTGGTATCAGGTGTGCTCTCTCCTCAAATCAGAGGAGCAGAGAGAAGCTCAGTTCCAGTCTGCAGTGTTCACCCCTGTGAGAGGGTGCCGACCCATCCAGAGGTGGCCAGCCCCCTCCAGAGGTGGCTCAGTGCTGGCATGCCACTCTGCCCATTTGGACAAGGGGATGGCCTCTCTGGGAATTGGATGCGGAACCGAAGCTTTGAATAGATTTAAAAAATAAAATCCAAGGTGGGATGTTTTGTTGGCTAGAACATGATGCACAGACCCAGATTGCCGTTCTGGCCCTATTGCTGTCCTTCAGCCCCATTCGGAGAATGACCAGACCCCGAGGCCACAGTAGGACAAAGAAGAAGACTGACCCAGTTCTCTGTTTCCTGCTGCCATGCCCGGGCCTCTGCTGCCAGAAGTCTTCCCCATGAAGCCATAGGTGGGGGACTAAAAGGCATATTCCTGTGGGGTGACCCCGAGAGAGACTGGGCATGGTTTCCACCGAGGCACTGTTGGGGGCAGAGAATTCTTTGGTTGCCGGAGAGGACCACCTGGTGCAGACCAGACCTGCAGCTGCGGCTTCAGGGTAGGAGCATGGCCGCCTTGGTGTCGCCATCTGGCCAGTCCTTGTTCCTACAGTTCCACTCCCAGCCGTGTCCTCAGCTTGTACCCACTTGTTTTTTTCCTTCATGGAAGCTAAGGAGGGGACTGGGTTTGTTTGTCCAGATGCCACCAGTTGGATGACCGTTGCGGGTACAGGAGTGTCTTCACCACGCAGTGCCAGGCCAGGTCCCACCTCACATCTCTATTCCTCATCTGGGAATGCTGGCATCAGCAGGTTGATTCAAAACTAGGAGGTGTTGGGAAACCCCTTGGGCTGGAGATTTCGAACTGAGATTCAGATGAGAAAAAACATAGTGGGTGGGGTTCTGAGGCAGGAAGGAGACAGCAAAAGCTCCTGTCCTGACGCTCCGCTCGATAGCGGGGATCAACAGAGCGGCCTGGCATGGTTGGGGGCAGCTGCGCTGGCTGAACCCAGGTGCAAGGCTGGCCCTGGACGGCCTCTCCCACCTCTGGACACAGAGCCGCCCCGTGCCTCTCCATTCACCAGGCAAAACCACACCTGGAGTGGCGCGTTCAGTCTGGGGCATGTTGGCACCAGCAGGTGTGGATAAATCCAAGGGCTCCTTCGGAGGGAGGGCAGGGGAGGAGGGCTGGCAGGAGTATGGGGAGAAAAGCTGTTTGAAAAGATTGTAAAAGGCTGTGGGAGAATTCAGAGAGGGGGCGAGTGATGAAGGGAGGACCACGCAGCTCAGGAGCCACAGCCTGGGTGGCCTGGGCGGCAAGGGCAGCCCCCATTCTGCTGTTGAGTGGCTGTCTTGCCGTCTGCACTCCCTCGTCATACAGTCCTCCCTGTGCGTTAGCTCAGGACAGCCTGGCATCGGTGGCTCCTGGTGGCAGGTGCCTGTGACATGAAGAGCACAGAGGAAGACGCTGGCTAGATCCAGAGGCAGAGAGAGGAGGACATGAGGAGAAGGTGAGGGAAACTGAGGAACAAGGAGAGGAAGAGCAATTAAAATGATTCCTTGAAAGAAAAGGAGGTAAAACAGAAAACGTGGCGAGGGGTATCCTAGAAGGAGCAGAAAAGGAAGGAAAAAAAGGGTGAACATTGTCTTTCATTTGAAGGACTTGGAGTGGCACAGTCAAGAACGAGTCTCCAAACACAGTCAGTACTCAGAAAGCTCATCATTGGATTTGTAAATCCATTTCATCTGGGTGGACTGAAGAACGTGGTACCCTCTGAGGATGTCAGGGCCCATATTGTGGGAAAGTCAAGAGTGGCGCCGCAACAAACTAGCTAATCAGTTATGAACACGAGGGGCTCATGATTCATGAGCCTGCCCATCTATCTCGTGCAGGGTGGAGACCCATCTAACCGGAACCACCACCCAGCCTCTCCCAGCCTCCTTAGATGACAAGCTCTGGCATCCTCGGTCCACCCAACTCAGCCCCCAAGCATTTCGCCAAAACATCAGTAAGCAGGTATAGGTGAAGGAGGTCACAGGTGTCTCCATTTTGTGCCGTTTTCTCTCCTTCCCAGTGCTCAGCACACGACTAACCAGGGGTTCTCATCAGGGGCCGTATATTCACTCCTGAAAGGGTAGTCAGCAGGTCACCAAACACCTTCCTCTGAACTCAGAATAAGTTTATTTTTACTTAATTTTTTAAATTAAAATAAATTTTTTTAGGCCGGGTGCAGTGGCTCACGCCTGTAATCCCAGCACTTTGAGAGGCTGAGGTGGGCGGATCACAAGGTCAGGAGTTCAAGACCAGCCTGGCCAATATGGTGAAACCCCATCTCTAAAAAATACAAAAAAAATTACCCGGGCGTGGTTGCGCATGCCTGTAATCCCAGCTACTCGGGAGGCTGAGGCAGGAGAGTTGCTTGAACCTGGGAGGCAGAGGTTGCAGTGAACCGAGATCCTGCCACTGCACTCCAGCCTGGGCAACAGTGTAGGACTCTCTCACAAAAAAAAAAAAAAAAAAAAAAAAAAAAAATTCTGGGACAGAGTCTCGTTCTGTTCACACAGGCTGGAATGCTGTGGTGTCATCATAGCTCACTATAACCTCAAACTCCTGGGCTCGAGTGATCCTCCCACCTCAGCCTCCCAAGTAGCTGGGACTATAGGCCCTGCCACTGTATCTGGCTAATTTTTAAATATTTTGCAGAAACGGGATCTCACAATGTTGGTCTGAAACTCCTGAGCTCATGTGATCCTCCTGCCTCAGCCTCCCGAGTTGCTGGGATTACAGGCATGAGCCGCCGTGCCCAGCTAGTTTATTTTTATATTCTGTATTACTGTGGACCGGAAAATCCAAGAGTTTGCCTGTACCCTATGGGAAAATTGTCTCTCAGCTGCAACGTGCCCAGCGTTCTCAGCAGTCAGGGCAAATTCAACTACAGCAGCCACCGCCCATCTTACCGAAGCTAAACCAGACATGGATGTTATTATCTGCTGCATCCAGCATTTGTTTAGAGCTTTCTGCTTCACAAAGCAACTCATTATCTTAATCTTCACCATCATCCTACATTGCTCTTACTTCCACTTTATGAACAGTCAGTCTCAGAAAGCTAAGGCATCTTCCTCAAAGCAGCTGTAGGATTCAAACTGTGTGTCCGGGGACTCCAGATTCTTTGTGCTTTCTACACATTTAGATTTCATGGTAACATCAAAAATCAGGATTCCTGGATCTGGAGCAGTTTATTCCCTCGGCCTTCCTCCCACCCATTGCCATCCCAGCCCATTTCTATAACCATCAAATGGGCAATGTTTTTTTTTTTTTTTTTTTTTTGAGACATGGTCTCACTCTGTCACCCAGGCTGGAGGGCGGTGGCGCAATCTCGGCTCACTGCAACCTCTGCCTCCCAGGTTCAAGCGATTCTCCTGCCTCAGCCTCCTGAGTAGCTGGGATTACAGGCGCCCGCCAGCAAGCCCTGCTAATTTTTTTGTATTTTTAGTAGAGATGGGGTTTCGCCATGTTGGCCAGGCTGGTCTCAAACTCCTGACCTCAAGTGATCCACCCGCTTCGGCCTCCCAAAGTGCTGGGATTACAGGCGTGAGCCACCGCGGCCGGCCTAAATTGGCAAGAATTTTCACTGTTCAATGAAGAACATCCTTTTGCAGCCAATTATTCCAACATTGCCTTCCTGAAGGACTCTTTCAAAATCATCAAGAAGATTTCACTACAAAAGCAATATGGGAATATTGTAGAAAAAAGTACGAAATATAGAAAAAAGAAAATAAAAGTCATAATTCTGCCATTGAACAAGAATTTAAGATTTTTACTTCCATGATTTTTACTACAGACATATGGACTGACTTACGTTTATAAAAATGACAAGGGTGCCTACCCCATAATACTGTTTTGGAACCTGCTTTTAAATTTAATATATTGTAAGCATTTTCCTGAAATATTTTTTGCCATCATATTTAAGAGATACACATATTTCATTATAGTTTTTCTTTTTTTGAGACAGGGTCTCACTCTGTTGTCCAGGCTACAGGGTACAGTGGTGTGATCTCAGCTCACTGCAATCTCCGTCTCCCAGGTTCAAGCAATTCTTGTGCCTCAGTTTCCCAAGTAGCTGGGACTACAGGAGCACGCTACCACGCCCGGCTAATTTTTTTTGTATTTTTTGGTAGAGACGGGGTTTCACCATGTTGGCCAGGCTGATCTTGAACTCCTGACCTCAAGTAATCCGCCTGCCTTGCCCTCCCAGAGTGCTGGGATTACAAGTGTGAGCCACCACACACAGCTTACTTAATTATAATTTTTAATGTACTCAGGTTAAATATTTAGATTGTTTCTACTTTTTCAATATTATAACTAGTTTTATGATAGGCTTTTTTTTTTTTTTTTTTTTTGAGCTAGAGTCTTGCTCTGTCGCCCAGGCTGGAGTGCAATGGCATGATCTCGGCTCATTGCAACCTCTGCCTCCCAGGTTCAAGCTAGTCTCCTGCCTCAGCCTCCTGAGTAGTTGGGATTGTAGGCACGTGCCACCACACCTGGCTAATTTTTGTATTTTTAGTAGAGACGGGGTTTCACCACATTGGTCAGGCTGGTCTTAAACTCCTGACCTGGTGATCTGCCCACCTCAGCCTCCCAAAGTGCTGGGATTACAGGCACAAGCCACCACACCCAGCCTCTTTTTTTTTTTTTTTTTTTTTTTTAGAGATGGAGGTCTCACCATGTTGGCCAGGTTGGTCTTGAACTCCTGGCCTCAAGCAATCCGCCCGCCTCAGCCTCCCAAAGTGCTAGGATTACAAGCGTGAGCCACCACACTGGGCCTTGATAGACTTGCTTATAGGTAACAGATACCTAATTTTCATTTTTATTCCTTGGATTATGAATGAAGTTGAATTTTTTTCATATAATTGTTATCATTTGAAGCTGTTTTATGAATAATCCATACTGTTTGCCAGCTTCCCATGGTACATATTTTATTTTTTATATTTTTATTTTTTGCTCTGTTGCCCAGGTGGAGTGCAGTGGTGCAATCTTGGCTCACTGCAACATGCACCTCTTGGGTTCAAGCAATTCTCATGCCTTAGCCTCCTGAGTAGCTGGGATTAGAGGTGCGCACCACCATGCCCGGCTAATTTTTTGTGTTTTTTTTTTTTTAGTAGAGACAGGGTTTTGCCATGTTGCCCAGGCTGGTCTCGAACTCCTGGGCTCAAGTGATCTGCCCACCTCTGCCTCCCAAAGTGCTGGGATTACAGGCGTGAGCCACCACGCCTGCCTGCCTGCCTGCCTCCCTCCCTCCCTCCCTCCTTCCTTCCTTCCTTCCTTCGTCCTTTCTCTCTCTCTTTCTTTTCTTTCTTTCTTGAGACGGAGTTTCGCTCTCATTGCCCAGGCTGGAGCGCAATGGTGCGATCTCGGCTCACCGCAACCTCTGCCTCCCGGGTTAAGGCAATTCTCCTGCCTTAGCCTCCCAAATAGCTGGGATTACAGGCATATGCCACCACGCCCAGCTAATTTTTTGTATTTTTAGTAGAGATGAGGTTTCTCCATGTTGGTCAGTCTGGTCTCGAACTCCCAACCTCAGGTGATCCACCCTCCTTGGCCTCCCAAAGTGCTGGGATTACAGGTGTAAGCCACTGCGCCCGGCCACCTTTTATTTTTCTTACAGATATGTAGGAACTCTTTATATTAAGGCTGAAATTTCAAACCCCAAACAAATCAAACTTCTTAGAGGGCTCCTCGCCTCCTTAGGGAACGCTTCCTCCCCACCTGGGCATGAAACTCAGCCAGGGCAGCTCTCAGCCCCTCTGCCCTGACTCCAGCACCTACCACCTCTCTTACAGGGCTGTGGCCTGAGGGCTGTGGTGGCCCCACAGAGGTCCCTACACAAGGCTTCTGAGAACCCTGGCAGGAACCTCTTACAGCTCCCGGAAGGGAGTGGAGGGGAGCAAACAGTTAGGGGGCGTTTGAGTCAGAGGAGAGTGTGCTGGTTAGGGAGGGCAGGAGGCACCACCAGTCTGGCACACAGGGAACCCCACTCCTCCAGGGCCCGTGCTCTAGCACGGCCTGAGAGCTGGTGAGCGCGCCCTTGCCCTGTTATTACCTCTGGCGGCTTCATTTGTGCTGCTGGTGACAGGGACACAAGTCCTTCCAGTCCTCCTGGTCTTGCCTGTCCGCTGTGCATGGGGAGGGAAGCGCTCAGGCCTGTTACCTGCCTGGAGTCCTCAACGGGGAGAGGCGGAGGGAGCCGGCTGGACTGGCCCTCCAAGGCCGAGGCGGTGAGGACAGGATGAGTTTCTTACCCACCAAGATCATTACTTTGGAAAATTGGAACTGTAGGGAGGAGTTCAGGGCATGTCGGGGATGGACGTCGGGAGTTCCTTCCAGAGCTCCTGTGGGTTTGGAATGTCCTCGCTCACTCCGGATCCCCCAGCATCTTCCTTCCTGCACTTCCGTCCCACCCTTCCTCCAGGTTTGGGACATTTAAGAGACAGCTGTGGCTGCGACATTAGCAGGAGCAAACACACCTGACAATGGTATGGCGGGGCCAGCCCCGGGCACCTGTGGTCTCCCTCCGGGTCTTGGGTTTAGTTCCCTGCAGTTGGGCTTTGGGGTGTCCCCACTCTCTTTCCTTCTACTTCTACACATTCTTGGAAAGACAGTGGCATGCTCTAGAGAGAGCCCAGGCTCGGAGCCGGGACACTCCGCTCTGCAGGGAACGTGGGCTGACCTTGGCTGTTTCTTAACTTCTTTAGGTTTGACTGCCCTTGTCTAGAAAGTGACAGTAACAGTGCCAGCCTCTCAGGGTTGCTGGAAGATTAAATGAGATGCCATGTGCAATATGCCAGACAGATGGCAGGTAGGTGCCCACCCGTGTTAGTATTTCTTCCTCCTTTGTCTTTTCTCAACTGTCTTGACATGGGGTGACATTCGGGAGCTCAAGAGATTCCTGCTGGAGGGTGGAGTCTGTGGTGGTGGAGTCTCTGTGCCCTGGGGCAGCCTGGCCCCCTCCAGTCTCCACTTCTCACCCTCCTCTTCCGCTGCCTGGACTGGGCCATATTTGTTTCCCCCACTCGAAGGTGACCTTCTGGACGGAGGTCATCTTAGGCATCTTTGCACCCTCAAAACCTGAGCACCGCCCCGGCACAGAGTGGGTGCAGAGACCGAATGTTCGGAGACAAAATGAAGAACTGAAAGGGAAGGAGTTTCATAAGCACTTGAGGACCTGAGAGACAAGAGCCCAAACTTTAGAGTCTAGCAGGCGTCAGGTCAGAGCCCAGCTTCACCACTTGCTCACCGTGTGACCTTGAGCAAGATGGTTAATTTCCCTGAGCCTCAGTTTTTTTGTCTAAAGATAGCAACAATAATAGCTACCTCCTAGGGTTGTTTTGGGGACTAGAGATGATGTCAGAGGCTTCGGCCTGACACGTAGTAGGAGCTCAGGTAGTGCAAGTCGTGATTAGCTGCTATTACAGGACTATTTACTTCTGGCCCCAAAGCCAAATCTTGCCCCAAGAACTCTTGGTCTTTTTTTTTTTTTTTTTCTTTTTTGAGATGGAGTCTCACACTGTTGCCCAGGCTGGAGTGCAGTGGCGCGATCTCGGCTCACTGCAACCTCCGCCTCCTGGGTTCAAGCGATCTCTGCCTCAGCCTCCTGAGTAGCTGGGATTACAGGCATGTGCCACCATGCCCGGCTAATTTTTGTGTTTTTAGTAGAGTCAGGGTTTCACCATGTTGGCCAGGCTGGTCTTGAACCCCTGCTCTCAGGTGATCCTCCCGCCTTCGCCTCCCAAAGTGCAGGGATTACAAGCGTGAGCTACTGCACCTGGCCTCTGAGCACATTTTAAATGATCTGTTTTCTTTGTGTTTTACTCTATTTTATTTTATTTTTATTTATTTATTTTATTTTTTAAGGCAGAGTCTTGCTCTGTCACCCAGACTGGAGTGCAGTGGTGTGATCTCGGCTCACTACAACCTCTGCCTCCTGGGTTCAAGTGATTCTCCTGCCTCACCCTCCCGAGTAGCTGGGACTACAGGCACGTGCCACCACGCCTGGCTAATTTTTTTTTTGTATTTTTAGTAGATATGGGGTTTCACCGTGTTAGCCGGGATGGTCTGGATCTCCTGACCTCATGATCTGCCCGCGTTGGCCTCCCAAAGTGCTGGGATTACAGGCGTGAGCCACCACGCCCAGCCTTTTTTCTATTTTAAAAGATTGATCAAAGTAGGATTGTATGGAATCATGTCACAGACAGAAAGTGAGGAACGGAGGAAATCAGGCACTGATACCCAGCTCTTACAATCAGGAAACAGAGCCTGGAAGATCTAAGTCACAAAGGAGCGCCCTTGCCCAAGACCCCGATCTCCACACTTGAGTCAACCTACCCCTGGCATGGGCCCCACAGGGGCGAGGTACCTGAGCCCCCACATGCAGCCTGCCTGCCGCCTCCGCTGCCTCCATGCCACCTCTGCCTGGGAGAGCTGGGGTGTTGGGGGAGGGCGGTGAACTGGGAGCTGACTGGTTGGTTGTAGGGACTGAAAGAGCCAGGCCCTGGAGCCTAAGGTGGGAGAGCAGGAGCCAGACAGACTCCAGAGCTCAGGAAGAGAGATTTGGCTGTGAAAAGAGCGGGACATCCTGGGTCAGGTGGCTGCCATCGCCCGAGGGAGTGGACCCAGAGGACAGTGAGAGGATCAGAGGGGAGCGCCTGCCCGTGGCGAGTCCAGGTTCAGTGCAGGGAGCCACCTTGCTGCAGGTCTTGCTGTCTGCTCGGCTGTCTCTTCCATCCCACTCAGCTCAGCAGCATTTTCTCCCTGGCTCTGCCTTCTTGGATCTGATGAGCAGGCCTGGAAATCACGGCCAGCGCACTTTGACCTTAGAGGATTTTGTGGCTAGGAGATTTTGTGGCTGTGTCCCACCTGCAGTGCCAGAATTAGGTCCCTTTAGTGAGTCCCAGCAAATGACCCCCAGCCAGGCCAGCAGCCCTCCAGCCGTTCCCAGCAGCTGGGGCATGGGGTGCTTGGAAGTCTCCAGCTGCCTGCACTGCTCTCCTGGCCTCCCCGCCCTTGGCCCCTCCTGCAGGGCAACCTCCCAGCCTTTAGCCTCCTCACCTCTGCCAGTTTGCCAGCAAGTGTCTTCAAGAGTTTTTATGAGGCTGGGCACGGTGGCTCATGCCTGTAATCCCAACAATTTGGGAGGCCAAGGCGGGTGGATCACCTGAGGTCAGGAGTTCAAGACCAGCCTGGCCAACATGCTGAAACCCCATCTCTACTAAAAGTACAAAAATTGGCTGGGCATGGTGGCGGGCGCCTATAATCCCAGCTACTCAGGAGGCTGAGACAGGAGAATCGCTTGAACCCAGGAGGCAGAGGTTGCAGTGAGCCGAGATTGAGCCACTGCACTCCAGCCTGGTGACAAGAGCGAGTGAGACTCTGCCTAAAAAAAAAAAAAAAGTTTTTATGGAGTCTTTAGAGCAGAGAGGAACTGGAACTTTTGGGTTTAGGAGCCCACCTCATTTTATAGATGAGGAAACAGAGGTGGTCACTCGCCTGGGATCACGCAGACAGTGACAGAGGGCTAGGCTCAGACCAGGCTCCTGATTTGAGACCCTGCTCTTCCCCTGCACCACTGATGGGTGCCTGACCAAGCAGAGGGAGGCAGCCTTAGCTGTTGGTGCCACACTTCTGATATTGTCCAAAATCACATTAGTTCTTTTTTTTTTTTTCTGGGAGGTAGGGTCTTGCGCTGTCACCCAGGCTGGAGTGCAGTGGTGCAATCTCAGCTTACTGCAGTCTTGACCTCCCAGGCTCAAGCAATTTTCCCACCTTAGCCCCAGGAGTAGCTGGGACTAGAGGAACATGCTACCATGCCCAGTTAATTTTTTTTTTTTTTTGAGACAGAGTCTTGTTCTGTCACCCTGGCTGGAGTGCAGTGGCTCAATCTCGACTCACTGAAACCTCTGTCTCCAGGGTTCAAGCGATTCTCCTGCCTCAGCCTCCTGAGTAGCTTGGATTACAGGAGTGTGCCACCATACCTGGCAGATTTCTGTATTTTTTGTAGAGGCAGGGTTTCGCCATATTGGCCAGGCTGGTCTGGAACTCCTGACCTCAGGTGATCCACCCGCCTCAGCCTCCCAAAGTGCTGGGATTACAGGCATGAGCCACCACACCCGGCCTAATTCTAAAATTTTTTTGTAGAGACAGGATCTCCCTATGTTGCCCAGGCTTGCCTCTAACTCCTGGGCTCAAGCGATCTGCCTGCCTTGGCTTCCCAAAGTTTTGGGATTATAGCCGTGAGCCGCCACTCTCAGCCATCATTAGCTCTTTTTTGGGTGGCAGGGGAAGGGACCGCCCCATTTTCCTGTTGACCTGTTGAACTTCAGGTCACTGAAAACACCTAAATTGTCTTACAACTGATTGTAAAAATAATATATATTCACTATAAAAAAAAAAAAAGGGGGAGCCGGGTGCAGTGGCTCACACCTGTAATCCCAGCACTTTAGGAGGCCAAGATGGGTGGAATACCTGAGGTCAGGAGTTCGAGACCAGCCTGGCGAACATGGTGAAACCACTCTGTCTCTACTAAAAATACGAAAAATTAGCCAGGCATGGTGGTGGGCACCTGTAATCTCAGCTACTCGGGAGGCTGAGGCGGGAGAATAGCTTGAACCCTGGGAGCCAGAGGTTGAAGTAAGCTGAGATCGTGCCATTGCACTCCAGCCTGGGCGACAAGAGCGAAACTCCGTCTCAAAAAATATATATATTGGAAAATATTCCAAGATAGAATATAAATCTTAATGGCACTTACTGTTGTTGTAAAGCTTTTCCCACCCTGCCCTTGGTTGCTTTGTTTTTAGGTATAAAAATAGGACTCTCCGTTCATCCTTGATAAGGCTGTCTGGCTACATCCCCCAGTTCTCCTGTGTCTCAGAATCTTGTATAGTTACCAGTTCTTCCTGACACCTAGGCGGGACTAGAAAAATGCCTACAGTGTGACTGGCTGAATGAAGAGGCATCGGCTTTAGTGGAAACAGGGACGCCTTCCACCCCGCTCCTGGCTTCGCTCATCTCCCCTGGTGTCTGAGCCCACTTTCCTTCCCCGAAACACCTCCTCCTCTGTTCTACTCACATCCTCCTGTTCTTCCAGCCCAGCCGCAGACCCACCTCTTCCAAGAAGCCTTTGTTCTTTCTGATGCAAAAGACTGCTTTTGGGTTCCATAGTGTTTGTAGTTTGGCCACGCCATTTGTTCTGGGTTAGATAATCTCCTCTCTTTTTCCCAGTCAGCAGAGCCCTGTACACTTTTCATTTCCCTCACAGCTACAATCCAACAGAGCCTGGAGAATATTCTGGGCCTGGAAATGTGACTGGCCCCGCCCTGCTAGGGAAGAGCTCTTCTGGGTGGCACAGGGCACGGCACCCACCTGAGCTCATCTGAGGCATGGGAGGGAGTACAGAGGCTCAGAGGGAGCCTCTTCCACCCCTACACTGCCCCTGCTTCCTGGAGGCTGTCCTGCCTCCTGAAGTTCATGTGGTGGGTAGTCCCCTGGGTTCCCAACAGCGGGATGCACGTCTTGGGATAGGAAATGGGATTTAGTTGGCCTTTCACAGAGAGGCCTCTCTGGATAAGAGAAATCCTTCATGGCCAGCTATTTAGAGACAGAAAATTGGTTGGGGCCCTTTTTAGTCCTGTGGGCGGCTACAGGGAGCCTTGGAAAAGGATGTCTTCCCTCGCCTCACAGCGCCTGGTACCAACCCTTCCCACGCCTCCTGGAACAAGACCAGCGTCCCAGACCTGTAGCTTTCTTATCCATCTGGCCAGGCCATGGTGGAAAACACGAATTGGGACCCAGGGACCAGGGCCCCCAAAGAGATCAGTCTCCCAGAGCAATCCTGGTAAGCGATAGGGAAAGCCAGGCAAGCTCCAAATTTCCTAGTTTGAATTGCCTAGAGGGACCCTACGTCCCTTCCTGCTTTCTCCATCCATAGCGTGAGCAGTTACCGAGCAGACCCTGGGCCAGGCCAGGCGGGTGGCAGCCTAGCTCCACTGCTGGTCAGTTGTGAGACACTGTGTCAGCTACCCAAATTCTGTCTGCCAGGGTGGGGGTGGTCACAGAACCTGCCTCAGAAGCGAGTTGAGTCAAGTGAGCCAATATACATAACACACTTCTGAGTGTGCATGGCACAGCACAAGGGTTGTGCAGGTGCAGCCGTCCCTCGGTGCATGGACACAGGTGTGGCCGTCCCTGGGTGCCTGGACACAGGTGTGGCCATCCCTCGGTGCATGGACACAGGTGTGGCTCTCCCCAGGTGCCTGGACAGAGGTGCGGCCATCCCTCGGTGCGTGGACACAGGTGTGGCCATCCTTAGGTGTGTGGATACAGGTGTGGCTGTCCCTCGGTGCGTGGACAAGGTGTGGCCGTCCCTAGGTGCGTGGACACAGAGTGTGGCTGTCCCTAGGTGCCTGGATGCAGAGTGTGGCTGTCCCTAGGTGCGTGGGCACAGGTGTGGCCATCCCTAGGTGCATGGACACAGCATATGGCTGTCCCTAGGTGTGTGGACACAGAGTGTGGCCGTCCCTAAGTGTCTGACCAGAAGTGATGTGAGCTTTGCACCCTCTTTTTGGGACTGTGGCTCCTTCTGTGGTCTAACCCTGGGAGGGTCCTGGGAGGCCAAGACTGGATCCCCGGGTGACTACATAAAGCCTGGCGGTCTCGGCCTGGCAGAGGTAGATGCAGGGTAGTATGAGGCTGATGGATGGAGCTCAGGGCGCCCCGCTGCTGCCGCTGCTGAGAGCAGAGCATGCTAAACCAGGACTCAGCAGGCAGTGACTGTCTGAGGCCCTGGGCAGGTCACTTAAGCTATCTGGGCCAGGCTCTTGTCTTGACCAGGGCCCCCCAGTGACCGTAACGAGGAAGGGTTTGGATAAGAATGTGTCAATTGTTTCCATTACTTCTCTGCATGGGGAAAAAGGGGCCCATAAGACAAAAACATCGGAAACACAGAAAACATTAGATCTCTAATTTTAATAGTTGAGAGGAAGGTTATAAAATAAAACAGACAACACAGAGCTTCATGACGGCCTCGGATTGGCAGTCAACCCAGGGATACAGAAATGTAAACAAAAACAGAGCTTCCAGATAACATTACTGTGTGCTATGTGACTTTCAGAATACAGCAGCGTCCCAGACACTCTAAAGTCAAGTGAAACAAGAGATTTTAGAATCAATCTATACACATTTCAGAGGGCAGTCCAGGAAGGAGCCTTCCTCTCAGGTCAGCCCAGGGCTGGGCCTGAGCCTGAGCCCGGGGACGTGTAGACACTACCCATTTTGGGCAGGGGAGGCCAAAGTGGTTCTGCTTCAGGTGGGGTTTGGCTTTAAGGGGCTGCCCAGCTGGCTGTGTTCTGGGGACCTCTTTTGCATTTGCCTCTGGCAGGCTGGCTCTGACCCCTGCCTGTTTTTCCCTTTGGCCCACAAGACGCACACCTCTTTACACCCAGAACCCCTTTCCCAGCTGCAGCAAGGGAGCAAGGGAGCCAGCCAGCCAGCCAGGACGGGTCTCCCCACAGCCACTCCAAACCCCAGCCTGGTCAGGTGAAAAAGTCAGAAAAAAGGCAACAGATACAATTTGGTAGCCATCAAATCCTCTCCTCCCTCTGGAAGTTTCTGAGGTGCTGGTCATCATTCTGTCCCATTTTTTGCCACTGTGCTAAGGCTTTTGACTCAACCAAGAAAAGGGCCGGTCTTCCAGCCTGGCCCTGCAAGAGTGTCCTAGTGCTTCAGGTAGTGGATGGGCATCGTCATTCGTCCCACCTTCCTGCCCCCTAAAGCCCCAGGAGGACACACTCTCAGCATCAGGCCAGCTCTCCGGGTCACTGGGGCTTGGCTCAACAGGATGTGCAGGGCAGAGCCGGGAGGGAAGAGCAGAAGATGCCATGGGCTGTTCGCAGGAGCAGCCGTCCAGGGCGCCGCTGGAGGAAGATCTTCTAGTGGCTGTCTCAGCACGTACAAAGAACGGGGGTGGGTTGGGGCAGCCCCCGCCCAGAGCCAAGGCACAGAGGAGGTTTGAAATGTCCAGGATAAATAGAAGCGCACGGGAATGGAGAAAAGCCAGCTCCATCCCACTCTTAAAAACATCGCCATTGGCACCAAAAATATATTAACATCTGTACATTTGTCATCTTTAAAAAATAAAAGGAAATAAAACCTTCTTGGCACCTTGTAGTTTATTTCTTAGAAATGAGGTGATATGTGGAAAGGCTTCCTGTGCGTGCACACACACACAGCAGTGCACACACACAAGCACACGCACACACACGGCTGGGCACACATGTGTGCCTCTCCTTGCCGGAAGGACAGAGCCCTCCAGAACCCTGAGCATTAGAAGCCCTGCCAGGTGGGGGGTCTGCTGCCAGCCCCCACCACAGTTGTTTGCAGGGGTACCCTTTGCCAGTGCTTTTGACTCTGATGTCCACTGGGGACCTGCAGCCCCTGCCCTGTGCTGAGAGGCGGGGGCAGTGGGATCCTAGCTCGAACCTCCTCTGGGTAGGAAGTCCTGCTGCCAGGCACACAGTGCCTGTCTCTGTGGGCGGCTGCTTCTAATTGAAGGCAGCCTTGGCCTCATCCCTTCTCTTGACATAGGTACATCTTCCCAGGCTCAGAACAGCCTCGGCCCATAAGTCAAAAATGCAAAAATGAGCAGAGGTCATTGCTGGGCCTGAGTGAGCACGTGTGCCCAGGGGGGAGACCAAGGCACGGGGGCTCCAGTCCTGATCACTGGTGTTCGGGTGAGAGGTTGCAGGAGGGTGGGCTGGCCAGGCAGCTGGGAGGCAATCCTGGATGCTCTTGGGGCTTCCAGGAGCACCCCCAGGGCTCGAGCCACTCACAGGTGGGGGCTGCCCTGCAGCAGGGAAGTGACAGTGTTCTGTAGTGCCACGGCCACCTTCTTGGAGGTCTTGCGCAGCAGCGGGCTGTCAGGGTGGTGCTCCTTCAGGTGCAGGACGTGGCCCTCCTGGCTCTCAGATGTGCAGCCGCACTCCTCACACACGTACAGCTTGGCCCGCCGCTCCTTGTACGCGTACTTCTGCTGCACACCATGGATCTTCTTGAGGTGAGACTCCAGAGAGCAGCGCTGCGTGAAGGCCTTGTCACACAGGCTGCACTTGTAGGGCCGCACGCCTGTGGGGAGGACAGGGGCCAGCATCAGAGACCTGGCAGGGACTTCAGAGGCTGTCGGCTGCTTCCAGACACAGAAAGGACAGGACCCCTGCCTCTAGGGCCAAGGGATGGACGGAGGCCTGTCCAACACCAACTTCCCGAGTGACTCTCAAATCAAAACTCCTAACTGATGAGCTCAGGAGGACTTTGGCCCTGAGCTCCGGGATGCCCTCCCAGGCTGCCCGTCACCGAGGGAGAGCAGGGGGTGCTGGACTTTTCCCGCACGGCCGCGGCCAGGCGGATCCGGCGTGCTCCTCCCAGCCGTGGGCTTCCACTTACCAGTGTGAGTTCGGACGTGTCTCTTGAGGTCGAAGGTGTCATTGAAGCCCTTCCCGCAGTACGTGCAGAGGTGCCTCTTGACGTCGTTGTGACACTTCATGTGGCGGTTCAGCATGCGCTGGTAGGTGAAGGCCTTCTGGCAGACACGGCAGGTGAACAGGTCTCCACTGGGACTGTCCCCAAGGGTCACCTGTGGGTGAGGACGGCATTGCTGACAGACATCCAGAAGTTGGGGCCACAGGCTGGCAGATTGGGAAGACGTGGATGCCAGCCCCCAGTGTCCCTGAGGAGGGTGGTGCCCACCTCCCAGAGACCACAGCTCTGTGCCGTCTGCCCGGAGATCGGCACTCCTCTGCAGAAACCTTGGCCCAGGTCCCAGGTCAGTCTCTGCCTACATCTCATTTGTGCCATGTCTCATGAGCTGGACGCAGGTCTACATGCACGCCCCCGGCCCTCGGAGACAGCGCGAGTGGCATTACCTTCATCTTGGTGCGCAGGAAGCCATGGTCTCTGCTCTGGGGGTCTGTCAAGTGGCCCATGTCTTCAGAGGGCAGCTGGGCCACCACACAGGGCCCGGGGGCCATGCTGTAGCTAGAGTCTCGAAGGCTCATGTTCAAAGCCAGCGGGCAGGAAGGGGGTTCGGCCACAGAGGGTTCCGGCTCCCGGTAGGGCTGTGGTGGGCAGAAGCCCAGGCTGACTGGGGAGAGAACAGACAGGTGAGAGGCTTGGTGGAGAAGAGAGGGTCCAGCGGGTTTCTGGAAACTTCCCTAGCCATGAGACGGCTGGAACCTGGAGACTCCGTCCCTCCCATCGCAGGCATGCAGCAGAGCGGGGCTGCCCCGACCACCACTGCTGCACCGCCTTCCCGCCCTATTAAGGTAATTGCAGGTGATGCCAGCCAAGCGCCACTGCCCGCTGAGTAATTTGTGTCTTAGCGGAACTGGGAGGACCGAACTGCCCTGCCAATTATCCCTCCGGAGTTTTCTGCCTGCCCCACCTGGGCTGGTCCCTCTGAATTCCAGGCCTCATCCACTCTCCTGCAGGGACAAAGGGCACCAGTGGAGACCTTCTGCCCAGGGACAGCTCTTGGAGCCTCATCAGAAGGGTCCCTGGTGGTCTGGGCCACTCCAGGCCTCTCCAACAGATTTGGCTGCTGGCCTTGGGGGTTTGGGTGGTCCTAGCCCTGCCTCCCACCCCCACCCCAGCAGGCCGGTCCCTGCTGTTGCACCCCAGGGCTCCAGGCTCTCCACTCCCAGCTGGTCCCAGCTCTGCAGGGAAACAGGCCAGGTGGGTGGAACAGGGAGGAGGTCAGGGAGCCGCAGGTGGATGCAGCCTAACAGTCTCGGCAGCCTGCCCAGGCTTATGCAACCCTCCCCCTCGGCAGGACCGCTCGCCGGGGCATGTCGGGCTGGGCTCCCTCAGCAGCGGCAGCACCGATACCTGGCAGCCCTTGGATGCAGCCACGCCCCGAGGCAGACACCTCACACCGAACGGGCCGGGGAGGCTTGGCTTCAGACCCTGAGCCCAGTGCTGACTAGAGAGGACCAGAAAGAGAGCACTCTCGAGGGACACAGACAGGCAATTCTCAAAGCCAACAGAGCCGGGGCAAATTTTTCAACTTAATATTTTTCTTCCAAAGAGCCTGAGCTCAGTACTTGAAACCTGTAAGCTAAGGACATCTTCCAAGCTTCAGAAGGAAAAATCACGAGGGGCCTATGACCAAAAGGATAAGTGAGCTTCCGAGGGAGGCTGATGTGGGATTGCAGAAGCAGGAGCACGGCCCTGTGCACCCTGCCATCCCACAGCCGGCGAGACAGAGAACGGGCTTGGGCCTGGGCAGGAGGGCTGCCGCCCTCACCTCTTCTCCCAGGAGGACAGGGACATGGGGGAAGCAGAGAAATGTGATTGTGGAGCAAGGGTGCGTTTGACAGTGCTGAAGTTTCGGGAGAGGCCCCAGCTCTCGCCCCCTCAAAACACAACAAAGGTCTGAGAGAGAAGAATGCACCCGCCGCCGCCCAGAACCCGTCCTGCAGGCACTGGCGTCCGTCTGTCCGGGGGCCTTTAATGAGCCACCTCATTCCTAGGGTTGATTCACCAGCGCCTGGCCCCGGCCTGGCCTCTGGGCTGGCATTGCACCTTTCTCTGAGTCTGAGTGTCAGGCTCAAGTCGTCGGGGTCTGGCTGTCTACCCAGGCCTGTTCCCCTGCCGCAGGAGCTGTCTGTGCCCACAGGGCTGG
Source organism: Homo sapiens (assembly GCF_000001405.40). Taxonomy (NCBI): domain Eukaryota; kingdom Metazoa; phylum Chordata; class Mammalia; order Primates; family Hominidae; genus Homo; species Homo sapiens. The sequence goes on along the minus strand of NC_000011.10, from coordinate 65,792,491 downwards.
GGGTGGGCAGGGGCGATGGTGAACTTCTGATGCAGGCTCACCAGCTATTGGAGACCTTGGCTGAGAATTCAAAGCTGGATGACAGTTTTCATTTCTCAATCCAGGTGGAGACAAACAGGAACCTCTACCCTCCTCTGCCTGTTAGTACTGGATGGTGTGAGCGAGGTCCCCCAGCTGCACCACAGCAGGGCAGGAGACAGCAGGTGAGGGACGGGCTGAGCCCACAAGGGTGGCTGCTCTGGGCTGCCTTGCTCCACGAGAGGGGAGGCTCATGGTTAGGGTCCTGAGATCCATGCATTTGGGAGGAGACCTGTGTCCTTTGCCCACCTCTGCTGTTCCACACAAACCTGGCTGAGCTGGTGCTGGGAGACCGGGGCCAGGGAGTGGGCCTGCCTGCTTTGGCTCTCTGGTCCACCTCCACCCTGAGCGAGGGGCAGAGGAGGCTGGATGGGCGGCCACCCGCTGCCAGGGTGGGGATGTTTGCCTCATCCCACCCACCCTGCCAAACCTGTCTCCCTGCCACCCCCATGAGCGTGTCCCTTCTGCGGCCACACGCACAGGGAGTGCACACTGGCGTGCCACCTGGCACTGAGTGTCGCTGAGTGGCAGGAGGCAGGAAGCAGAACTGGTTGGGCCCTGCTTGTGGTGCTCTCTGTCCCTAATTAGATGTTTCCGGCAAGGCGGTGGCGCTATGACTACTCATCACCCGCCCACAGCTGTGGAGTATGGCAAGGCCAAACTAGCTTGGCCCTCTTCCTACTGCCTGGGGGCTTATGGGTCCCCTCCTGCTGGCCCTACTTGCCTCTACCTGGACAATGTTGAGGGCCAGGCTCAGAGCAGAGGCACGGACACCGAGGGACTGTGTCCAGGGCAGCTGCCCATCGAGGCCTGTCTCCTGCCTTGGCCTCTGTAAGTCCTCCATCTCTTGGATGGAAAGCTGCTGGCCCAGATGTTGGGGAAAGTGCCGGGTCCCCCCATCCAAGGCCTCAGGACAGGGCTGGGCATGAGGCCTGTCCCTGGCTCTCTGGGGAGAGTAAGTGAAGCAGATGCAAGGATGACCCCCTCCTGGGCCCCACTGACCACATGGGTGCTGCCCCAGAACATGGGGGTCAGCCCAGTTCTGAAGGTGAGACGGGGGCCCAGCATGTCAGCACAGTGCAGCTGGTTCTCAGCAGCCTTGCACCCTTATCAGGAAGGGCTGGTGCCCCCCGTGCCCATCTCCTCTGGTCCCCATAGGTCAGCTAGCAATCATCCAAAAGGACCCAGCACCAGCCAGAGGCAGGCCGGCCCGGTAACGCATGGGCCAGTCTCTTGGCCTTCTGTTTCCACGCTGTGAACTGCCACAGGTCGCCTCAGACAGTGTATTTTCCCTCTTTCCCAACCGCTTTTCACTGGGTATCCACAAAGAAGTTAAAACTGTGCCTCGGCCCTCGCGCCAGGGTGCCCGCCCAGAACAGTGGGAGCAGTGCTTCCTGTTGCAGCCCCCACCCAGCCAGGCACAGGCCCAGTGCCTCTGTGGGACTCCATCCAGGACTTGTTGAAATGGCCGATGATACAAAGGAGCCCCGACTTCACCCATGGCCAGCTTCCCTCGCCATCCTCCCTGCAGCCAAAGGACTCGCCCTCACCTGTTCTTTCTGAGACAAATCATCTGCCAGGTTTCCGCCTCGGGACACCCAAGCTCAGCACAGACAGCCTAGCAGCCTGGGTGACAGGATCCCAGGGGACAGGTAGGAGTCTCATCTAGCTGGCTGCCCAGGCCCATGCTGCTCTTCTGTCTCTGTCCACTGTGTGGCTGTCCACTCTCCCAGCCCCGCTCCCTGGCAAGCACAGCAAACATCTCCTTCGCTGCCAAACACGGCCCAGGAATGACTACAGGGTAACCATCCCATCAGAGGCCGGAGCTCTCACTATCCTCACTCCCGACACATCCTTGGGCCCCAAAGCTCACTCTCAGCTTTCCTGACCAGCTGGAAAGAGATCTGCCCAAGTGCCCACACTACCTAGTGGTAGAGCCAGGCTGGACCACATTCCTTGAAGGAAGCTCCAGTGTCCCACCGCCCAGCCTGCTGGCCTCCCTGAGCTCGAGTGTCCACCAGGCGAGTGGCAGAGCAGACTGTGGCCAGCCCAGTGACAGAGGGGAGGCTGGGAAGCAGTGGTGGGAGGCCTGGGAGAGGCCCTGGGATGCTCCTTGACTCCAGCTTCCAGCCTCAGTCTGTCCTCAGGTCCTTTCCTGGCCTGGAGATTTCACTCAGCATGGGGTGGGGCTCGGGGGAACCAGCTTCAACCCTGTTCCTGGAGCCCTTCCCTGGTGGGTCCAGGAGGTAGAATTTACCCCCTGGGTACAGGTGCCTAGGTTTATCCTCAAGGAACCAGCATTACTCCCTGTCACTCCAAGTCAATATTGACATAACAAAGGAAGGCGAGGGGAGGGTGGTTGGGGGGGTGGGTGGGGGAGCGGTTCAAGGTGGCTTCCTAGCCAGTAATCCTTTCAAATCTCCAGGGTGCTTGCAACCATCTTCACCTCTTCCCAGGGGAAAGATTCTGCCCCGGGAGTAAGAAGCTCTAGAATTCTGCCTTGGGGAGAGAGGCTGATGGGATTGTCAAACTGGGGCCCTGGAATCAGTGCTGTCGGGCTGGGGACCAGTGTCTCTGGCCTGTAAAACCTTCTCCCAAAACCTTCTGGGAGGCTTTGAGGGTCTCAGAGGAACCTGGCAGGAAGGTCAGAACTCAAACACTCCCACATTCCTGGGCCCTCCACTGGAAATGGGGTCAACGCTTAGCTGGTCACAACTTACCAGGAATCTGTGAGGTGAACGGAAACGTGCCCAGCTGGCTCTGGGGTCATGGTTGGCTGGTGATGGAATGGCCCAGCCAGGGGACAGGCCAGCACAAAACGCACCCCCACTCTCCAGCCATCTGAGGCACCCGAGCGTGGACTGAGGACAGTCCCTTTCTCATTGCCAAAAACTGTGGGAAAACTCTCCAGTGGGCCACATGACTTTCAGAGGTAAAATTAAGTTCTCTATCTTCTACCCTTTACTTGACCCACAGGATTCTCTCCTTGCCATGGGGATGAGGACAAATTCTCCCTTCATCCTTGAGATTGGACTCCCGCCACACATCCTGGAGGAGCCTACAGAGAAGCCGGCAGGTCTCCCTCACCTGGATGGTGCCAGCGGGTGGCCTGGACCACCCAGAGGCCCTCTCCTGCACCTGACAGGAAGCCCCTGGGGCATACGTCTCCCCTGCCACTTCCACTGTGGCCACTGGAAGTGTGGCAGAGAAAATAGCTAGGACAAAAAGAAGTCAATGATTTCAACCAACGGAATTTCTTTGTCCTTTGTAAAAATCAACACATGATCTGTTACTGATTGGGATGTGAAATAAAACTAAAAATAACAGCACACTGAGCCTGGCTCAGGGCTCAGCTCACCTTTACCACGGTCCAAGTTCAGTTTATCAGATCCCAAGGAGCAGCTAAGCAGCAAGTCAAACACAGGTGAGGGTGGAGGGCGGAGGGCGGAGCGGGGAGGGGGCTCTGGCCCTCTGCGTGCCCCCACCAACCCCCAGGTAGAGAACCAGCCAGCTCACCAGGGAGTGTGGCCAAGCAAGAAGCTATACACAGAATTCTGAGCCCACACCCTAATCTGCCTCAGGTGGGGAGGCCACTCACTTCCCTTTTTGCCTCAGTTTCCCCACTGGGGTTACCAGGGTCTTCTGGCACATTCCCTTGTTTTAAGGAACGGTGGAAGAGGGGTCCCCTTGAGATCAGGTTAAGCTGTGAAACATCCTGCCAGCGCCACAGGCCACTGGGTCCTGGAAGGTCAGGCCACAAAGACCTCACCAGGACACTGTCTCCAACAGCTTATTCAGGAGGGAAACTGAGCAAGAGCCCTCACGGGGCCCCTCACTGCTGCCCTCATTTCCCCACTTTCCTACAAGGCCTGGGGCGGTGCCAGGGAGTCTGCAGATCAAGGGTCAAAGTCAGTTGGTTAATTACTCCTCCCCTCCCCCCTCGGAGGGGCTGGGCTGGGCGTTCAGAGCGTCCACGCCCCGCCCCCAAGGCCTGGGGAGGGGGCGTTCGGAAGGAAGCAGGCTTTCTCCAGACCAAAGACTTTGTTGGGGGTGGGGGAGGACAGAAGGGGTAGGAGTGTTCTTGGGGCGTTCAGGGGAAGATGCCGCTGGAGGAAGAAGCAACTCTCACAGTCGACGCTGTCTAGGCGTCTGCCAAAAATAACTGGGTACACCAGCTTCCCCGGGCCTGGCCCTCCGCTGTGGGGTGGGCTCCCTGCAGCTGCTTTCCATGCAATTGTGCCCTCCGCAAGGTGAAGGAAGTGCGTTTCTAGCAGAGGTGAGACCCGATCCCACCTCTGCTTTAAGGGCAAGCGGGGCGCAGCGGGCGCCTGTCCCACCGTCTCGGCTCACTGCGCGGGACTAGCAGCCGGAGCCCAACGAAAATTTGGGGGCCCACGCCCCCCACCGGCCCGACCCTCACTCCGACCCGGCCACCAGTGTTGTGGGGGAGGAGGAAGGACCTGTGCGAGCGGCTGAAGCTCTGAGCTTTTAACACAAATCTCGGCCGAAACTCCAGCCCGCTCCCCGCCCCCCAAAGTGGCATCGCTCCAGTGCCTTCTCCCGCCTCATGCGAGTCCCGGTTTTCTGGATTTACGACGTCGGAGCCGAGGGTCGCCTGAGCGGTGACACACCCCGCTGCCTCCTCTGTGCCGCGGTTCAGGGGGTGGGGGTAGGCGGTTCCGCGCCCCCTGGCCCTGGGAGCGGCTCCCCTTCCACCATGCAGCCCCCGCCCCGACCAGCGCTCTTCCGCCGGCCCCGCCCCCGCCCCCCGAGTCCCGGGTCGAGAGCCGCGGGCCCACCCAGCCCAGGCCGCGGCCGCATTCAGCCCCGGCGCCCACACCGCGCCTGCCGCCTGGCTCCGCGGACCTGCGCCCGCCCGCCCGCCCGCAGCCTCGACGCCGCCGCGGGTGCCCCAGGCCGGAGGGCGGTTGGAGCCTCACCTGGCACGTAGATCTCGCCGCGCTCCTCGTCGGGGAGCTCGCTCCAGTTCCTCTTGCACGTGGAGACGCACGGCTTCTTCACCAGGAACGCGCGGGGCATTTTCGAACCCTCGTCGCTGGACACGGGCCGCTTCCGTAACTGAAGCCGGGAGCCGTCCCACCTTTGCGGGGCCGGGCTGAACGCCGGGAACGGGGGCACAACAGGGAAGGAGTCGCTAAGGCGCCCCCACGTTCCGGGGAAGGTCCGAGCCCGGACGGCGCGCGGCGGTTCCACCTCCGCGGAATGTCGCCGTCTTCCCTGAGAACGAGGTCCCTTGCGGCCAGGTGCACCGGGCGGCGCGGGGAAGCGGCAGGTAAGCGTCTCCCGGCTCGACTGGCGTCCCCGCCGCCGCTCGGGAAGTCTTAAAGTGCGAGCCGGACGGACGGGTTCACGCTTTATTGGCTCGCGGCGGTGTGTGTTGGTGGCTGGGGCGGGGGGGGGTGGGGGTGGGGGGCGGTGATCTGATCTAATTAGCTTGGGGTGGCCCGGGGAGCGACGGCGCATGCGTTGGGAAATAACGGTGACAACCCACCTATTTGTTACCTGTCGAACCGGTTTCCATTCCGCTGCGGGTGAGGTGGCCTCGCGGCCCGGGCGGGGCGGCCGGGCGGGGCGGGGTCGGGGGGCGAGCTTCGGGCACTCAGCCCCTGGCTGCCCAGCCGGCCCGGCCCCCGCGGGACCTCCTAGCCAGGCGTACTGGCGTTTGCAAACAGGAGTTTCGGAGCGAGCGGAGCCGGGAGGGAGGGGGCAACGTTATTTGCACCGGCGCTGGCACGCTCCGCGGGTGATGACACGAAACTCGCCCCACTGGGGCCGGCCCAACCCGGCGCGCCCGAGGCTCCTGGGGAGGCGCGAAGCCGCCGGGCGGGAACGGGCGGCCCGGTCCGCACTTGTTGAACCGGGCCTGGGCCCAGGCGGCGCGGGATCCCAAAGGCTTGGCTAAGCAACTCGTGGCTCAGCCGGGGAGGTGTTTGCTGGGCGCCGGCTTTGTGCGAAAAGGCACGCAGGGCCGCAGGAGCGGCCCCGGCCGGTGTGTGGGGAGGCACGGACCGCGCGACCGAGTACCCGTCGGAGAACCCGCCTTCTGCCCGGAGGGCTTCACGGAGGAAGTGGCTTCAACTGCGCGGAGTGCGCCGAGAGCCCGACAGACCCCCGTGTCTTGGCCAGTGGGACTTATGCATCCTCAAAAAAACTCCTCCTTGTCCCAAATGGGTGGATTTCAGGTGCAGCCAGGCTGGTGGAGCGCGGAGGGCTGGGGACCTCAGACCGGGAAAGGCTCAGCCGCCTTTGCCCTGCTGCGGCCACCGCGGAGAGCTTCCTACCCACGGCCTGCCCAGGGCTGAGGTTCAGCCTGGGACCCGCGCCCCCAGCCACTCTTCATACTCTCCTCAGGCCCCAGGCCCACGTGGAGGGATGCCCCCGCTCCTCAGAGGCCTCCATGAAGCCCACACTCTCATCGTGACACTTGGGCGCTGGCTGGGCTTCCTTCACTCGCTGACCTACTTAAGGGCAGGGATGGGGCGTTCGTGTTTGCCTCTTCCCCTGCCTTTCTAAGGGCTGTGACCTCCACTCTGATCCCAGCCAGACCTTTGAGTTCAACTGACATTAAGTGAACACCTGGTATGTGCCTATCTTTTGAGGTGAATCCAGGAGAAACAACCTTAAACACAATCTGTCTAGGACAGAGGTGCAGTTAGTTCATTCATTCAACAAATATTGGTTGAGCAGTTTTGTTGTGCCAAGCCCTGATGGGCTGGTACACAGTGGGTGCTCGGTGGATACTACGGTGAAGTCTTCACAGATGTCCCTAGACACAAGGGGCAGTCTTCCCCATCAAGGGAGCAACTCCAATGTCCAGAGGGACAGGACACTGGGTAGATAAAGTGAAGCCAGCCAGGGGAACCCCTCCCTGCACAAGTGAGTTACAGGATGTGGAATGGGGCCCCAGGTGGGAGGCGGTGTTGTCTACTGCTATATCTCCAGCATCTACAGCTGTGCCTGGCACAAAGTGGGTTATCAATAAATGTTTGTTGAATGAATGAATATCCTCTTTTCTTGACTCCTGTGACCCATTCACCTTTCACAGTCCAACTTTTGGTGGAGACATAGATATGGGAAGACAATACTACAAATTCAGTGAGAAAACACAACTGGCCCTGGCCGTTGGGGAGAACAGAGTTGGGGGGACGGGAGAGAATGTCCCTATCTAAACGGCAGTCACAATCCTGTCATTCAGATGCACAAACCCCACGTGGCCACAGCTTTCCATTTTCCAAGAGAAGCCAGAAGTCCAGATTTGTAAGTGAAATCAACTAATTTTTAAATGTTAGCTCAATTTTTTTATTTTTAAAATAATTTTAAGAGTTGGGGTCTCACCAGGTCGCCTGGCTGGAGCACAGTGGTGCAATCTCGAATTACTGGGCTCAAGTGATCCTCCTGCCTCAGCCTCCTGAGTAGCTGGGACTACAGGTGTTTGCCACCACACCCAGCTAATCAAAAAATTTTAAAACATGGAATGGATCCAACAAAACACCTTTGTGGGTTAGGTTTGACCCACAGGCCGCGGTGTGTGGTGTGGCTGTCTTCACGGGCAGCTCAGGAGACAGACGATGTATGTGACGGCGGGGAAACACGGAGTTGAACTGTGAGTGTCACGAAGGCTGGCGGCCTGTGCTCTGTTCACCACATCTAGCAGTACATCTCTGTTCATCTAGCAGCACAGTGCCAGCTAGATGGTGTTCATTCATCCCGTAATTCTTCCCTTAATTCCTGAGAACCTGCTGTGCCAGGCACTGAGATTCTACAAGGCAAGGCAGACAAAGAAACAAGGAAACAAGCAGAAGCCTAAGATGCACAGAGAACATTTGGCGAGAGAATGTGATGGTGGCAGGTAGGGGTGCTGAGGCCTGAATGAGAGGGTGGAGCCAGCTGTGCAGAGTGGAGAAGATCATGACCAGCAGAAGGAACAGCTGATGCCAAGGCCCTGAGCAGGAGTGAGCCTAGTGTGTACCGCGAACCCAAATGCAACCTGGCCGTGCGGTGGGGGGAAGAGAGGGTAGGGAAGCTGAGGTTGGAGAGGCAGGTGGGCCACACGAGGTGCTCTTAAAACCCAGGCCAGGCCTCCCCTCGGCTCACACCCTCCAGTGGCTTCACTGCAGCTGGAATAAGAGCCTGAGGCCTGGCGTGCTGGGGCCGCCGTTGACCTCCCAATCCCCTTCCAGCTGGGTCCCTGTATGCCAGCCACACTGCTGTCTCCCGCGTCCCCTGAACAAGCCTTGGCCTGTTCCCAGCTCTGGCCCCTCCTCCCGATGCTCCTTCTGCCTGGAACACTTTTCCCTACTGGATTACTGGCCACCTTTCTTCATTCAGGTTTCAACCAAATGTCCCCTCTTCTGAGGGGCCTCTCCATCCACCCCAGCTAAATCCTTGTCCCCTGCCACCTCTGTCCCACTATCCTATTTTCTTTGCCACAACTTTGACTCTGTGGCGTTTCGTTTGTCTTTCTTGTTTATTGTTGGTTCTCCTCCCCACCAGTGCAAGTTCTGAACTTGAGGGACCCCTTTTTATTTTACTTTTTTATTTTTATTTATTTTTTTTGAGACGGTGTCTCCCTGTCGTCCAGGCTGGAGAGCAGTGGCGTGATCTCGGCTCACTGCAAGCTCCGACCCCCTGGTTCACGCCATTCTCCTGCCTCAGCCTCCTGAGTAGCTGGGACTTACAGGCGCCCGCCACCATGCCCAGCTAATTTTTTTGTATTTTTAGTAGAGACGGGGTTTCACCATGTTCTCCAGGATGGTCTCAATCTCCTGACCTCGTGATCTGCCCGCCTCAGCCTCCCAAAGGCTGGGATTACAGGAGTGAGCCACCGTGCCCGGCCTTATTTTTTATTTTTACTTTTTGTGCCCCTGCTGGTCTGGGGTGGGACCCCTTTTTAAACACCATTTTAAATAGCTTTATTTAGATAGAATTCATATACCATCAAATTCACCCTTTTGTAAGATGTACAATTCACTGGTTTTTAGTAACCTCACAGAGCTGTACAACCATCATCACTAAATCTCAGAACATTTTCATGGCCCCAAAGAAAACCCTGTACTCATTAGCTGTCACTGTGTCTCCCTTCCCCCTGGCCCAGCACCCACTATCTGCTCTATCTCCATGGCTTTGCCTATTGACTCGTTCTTTCCTAAGCCTTCCTGTATCCCCAGCAGCCAGTGCTGCGAGAGTGTGTTTGTTGTAGCCCGATTTTACAGATGAGAAAACTGAGGCTCAGGACCCCTTGGGAAGCTGACTTTCCCTTTTACAAGCCTTGTGTTTAGTGTCTGCCCACAACTGGGCTGCATGGGGAGGACAGAAACTCAGCAGGAGAAGAAATGAGGGAGGGCGTGGAGTGGGGAATTCCCAGCTCAGCATCCGGCAGTGGCCCACACCTGGGCCCTCGACTGGGATGTTGCTGTCCCGGGTGAGTCCGGTGACAGTCTGAGCTCAGCTCCATGCCTGGCCTTGCCAGGGACAGAGCCAGCACCACCCGCCAATAGGGGAGCAGACAGGTGAGAACAGGGCCCATCCAGGGACCTGGACACCCAAGAGGGCCGAGGGTACCTGGTGTGGGGGGAGGACCAGGTCAGATGCAACAAGGGGCTGTTTGTGGAAGTCGAGGCTCCACCTCTGAGGGGCTCTGTGACTGAGAGACCGTACCTCTGTGGGCTTCCCTTTCCTCATCTGATACCCACTCTCGGTACCTGGGGTTGCTGTGAGCCTCAGTAAGTCCATGCGGATTCGTCCACTGCAGTATTGGAGACCACAAGTGGGTTCCCTCCCTCCAGACCCTCAGCCTCAAGGAGTCAAGACTCAGGCAGGAGGTGTGCAGAGGCCACGCTGTCAGAGGCTGAGCCGGGGCCAGAGCCAGTGTCAGGCCCCCTGATCCTTGGAAACCTGTCTTCTCAACTCTGCAAGAAGTTTAATGATCATTCCTGCCTCACCGTGAGGGTGGTGAGGGCCGGGGATGTGCAGTTACCAGCACCCTCTGGGCTCAGACAGAGAAACCAGACTGGCTCCTACTGCAGGCTGCCTCCCCTCCCCAGGGCTGCTCTCATCCTGCCTCTTTCATCTTGGGTTTAATTAGCCAGGCTGCCTCACCCCACAGCCTCTTGGGTGGGAGTTATCACTCCCATTTTATAGATGGGGAAACTGAGGCACCTAGAGGGAAGTAGTTTGGGGCTGCTGCCTGTGAGTCAACTGTGGAGCCAGGGCCTAGAGGAGCCGGGACCGGGCCTTCTGGCTGGACCTGTCCCTCCGAGTGGGTCTCTATCTCTCCATCCCCAAGGGCACCCAGACAGCCTCCTTTTTGGCACTCTCCACCCCTCAACTCTCCACCACCTCCCATCTGGAGCAGGATGGGGTAGGGAGAGGCCAGCTGGCACTGGCTTGCATGGGGGCTCAGGCCTGTTTCATCTTCAAAGCGGCTAATTGGAGCCAGAGGGGTGGTGAGGTTTGGGCGCCGGCGGTTCTGTGCCCTGGAAACCGGTGGTCTGTGGGGCACCTGCAACCTGGGCCTCTGGCCTGGGAGAGACCGCCGCCCAGACCCCCGAATGCCCCCAAACAGCCAGAATCCAGCCCACTGAAGTCTGGAGTGCTGGGTTCCGGCCCGGCTTGGCCCCAGATCTCGGTTGGCAAGGCCGCCCTCCTCCTGGGCCTGTTTTCCCCATCGCTAGGCATGCCTCGAGCCCCGTGACCGGCCAGGCCCTGACAGCCCGCACTTCCCGAGTATGGATCCCGTTGTTTTCGACTTAGGGCCCTGCCCCGCCCTCGCCGTCACGACCCCTGCGGGCCGCCAGCGCGGCCTCGGGCAAACAAAGGTCAGAAGCTCCTGGCTGGCCGCAACCGCGGCGCCGGCTCCTCGCCCCCAAGCCGAGCGGGCTGGGGGCCCGGGCAGGCGTCAGGGAAGCGAAGCCAAGCCCTGCGGCGCCCGCCGGACCGGTTCAGCTGGGGCGCTTTTCCTGCGGGCGCCCTGCGACCGCACCTTGGTCACCCCCAGGGGCCACTCCGGGAGCCCCAGGACCCGCACCCACGCCCCCCGGGGCCGCGCGTCTGGCGCAGGGTGCGGTGTGCCCGGGCGCCGGCGGGGGGCGCGCTGGCTGCCGCCCTGCGCGGCTTGGCGGGCGCTGGTGGGACCGGGCCGCTGTCCGCCGAGGGCCGCGGGATCGCAGCCCTGCGCCGCGGTACCCGGCATCTGGGGCCCAGGCCCACCCCGCTCCGCCACCCCTACCCACTCCCCTCCGCCTTTCCTGCCCCGGCCTGCGGCGGTTTCGGGGAAGGGGGCCTGCGCGGCGGGACAGTTAGTCAGCCCCCGCGAAACCTGCGAGTCGACACCTGCGGGAGGCGGTGGCCCCGTTACGCCCCGCCCCTCCCCGCCCGGACTCGGCCGCCCCCGCGCCGCGCCCCGCCCCGCGCCGCCAGCCCGGAAGGAGCCGGCCGGCCTGAGTGCCCGCGGCGGCTGAGTCAGGCGGCGAGCGCGGCCCGTTACCGCCGGCGCCGGGGGCCGGGGTGGCGCTGTGGTTTCGGTGCGGGCCGCGGGCGGGAGGGAGGCGGCCTAACGAGCTCTCGGCACGCACCCTCCCCCGCCCTGCTCCTGTCCTGTCCCGCGAGGGCCCCGGCGCCCAGCTCTGGCGTCGGCCCCGAGAGCCCTGGTCTCACCGTGGGAGCCGGGCGCGGGTCCCGCCGGCATCTGCGCGGCGTCTGGGGGTGACCGCAGCCCCTCGGGGTCGGCAGCGGGCCCCGCGCTCCCGGTGGCTGCGGCCTGAGGGTCCCTCTTCCCTGCGCAGGGGCCCGCGCGCCTCACCATGGGGCCCCTGAGCCGGGACGCCTGGGCCCAGCGCTTGGGGGCCTTCCGGGCCAGCCCGTCTGCCTTCATGGCAGGTCCCGAGGGGGAGGATTTGGGTCGCGACCTGCTGAGCGACCTGAGAAGTGAGAAGCTGAGCGAACAGACCAAGGTAGGCCCCCACGCGTCCCCTGCGCCGTTCCGCAGGGTCACCCCAGCCCGCCGCGTCATGAACCTCATCTTCGTGATTCCCTCCTAATCCCCCATCCAGGTTTCCCTGCTGGCCCTGAGCATGGAGTACCCTGCGCAGCTGTGGCCCGACGCCTCTGCGGCCGAAGTGGCCGCCACCTCCCTGTTGGACACCTTGGTCCTCCTACCCCCGCGGCCCTCAGCTCTCCGTCGGCCACTGCTGCTGGCGGCCACCACTGCCCTGGCGGCGGGCGGCGCGCTGGGCCCCACCTCGGGCGCCTCCTGCCGGCTCCTGCCCCTACTGCTCGGCCTGGCCGCGGGTAGCGATCTGGGGCGAGGCTTTGTCCCCGCCTCGGAACAGCGCCCCTTGCAGGCCACGGCCTGCGAGTGCCTGCGAGAGCTAGAGAGCTGCAAGCCCGGGCTGCTGGGGGGCTCCCTGGGGTTGCTGCGGGGCCTGCTGGGGCAGGAAGGCCCTGTCCAGCCACTCAGCCTGTTGCTGGCCCTCGCTTTGCGCAACACCTTGGTGCTCCAGTCCCGGGTTGGGGCTGGCCTGGGGGGACTGCTCACGGATAAGGTCTCCCCAACTGGGGGTGGTCCCTGGGATTGGACACTAGTGGAGGAGGGCGATGGACGCCTTCAGCCCCAGGCACCCAGCTGGCCGGCAGCTGAGGAGGGAGAGGGGGAGCGTAGCCTTACAGCACGAGAGCACAGCCCTGAGGAGGCGCGGGAGCTGCGGGCTGCGGTGATCCAGCTTCTGGACACCTCCTATCTGCTCACTCCTGTGGCCCAGGCCCAGCTCCTGTGGCTGCTGGGCTGGGCCCTGCGGGGTCTGCAGGGACAGCCACCGGCACTCTTCAAGCCGCAGCTGGTACGGCTGCTAGGCACAGCACAGCTGACACTGTTGCACGCCATGCTTGCGCTCAAGGCGGCCTTTGGTGAGGCCTTGTTCACAGCCCAGGATGAAGCGTTGCTGCTCCGCCGGCTCACCTTGGCTGCCCAGCACCCTGCTCTGCCTCCGCCCACCCATCTCTTTTACCTTCACTGCGTCCTGAGCTTCCCTGAGAACTGGCCGCTGGGCCCTGAAGGTGAGGAGGCTGCCCCACTGCTGCTAGGGCCCCAGCTATGCCGTGGTCTCCTGCCCAGTCTCCTGCATGACCCAATGGCCCTCCTGGCCCGCCTGCATTTACTGTGCCTGCTCTGTGCCGAGGAGGAAGAAGAGGAGAAAGGCCAGCTTCCAAGCCCACGGCACTACCTGGAAGAGCTGCTGGCTGGCTTGCGGCAGCGGGCAGCCCTGGATGGGGGCCCCCGGGCCTTGGCCACTCTCTGCTTCCAGGCCTCGTATCTGGTGGCCTGCTGCCTGGCTGGGCAACCTACGGTGCTGACCCCCTTGATCCACGGACTGGCCCAGCTGTACCAAGCCCGGCCCATGCTGGCTCCCCACTTTGTGGACCTCTTGGATCAGGTGGACTCTGAGCTGAGGGAGCCCCTGAAGGTGGTGTTGCGGCAGGTGGTGGTGTCCAGGCCGGGCAGGGATGAAGCTCTTTGCTGGCACCTGCAAATGCTGGCAAAGGTGGCAGATGGAGATGCCCAGAGTGCTACCCTCAACTTTCTACAGGCCGCGGCTGCCCACTGCACGAACTGGGACCTACAGCAGGGCCTGCTGCGGGTCTGCCGGGCGCTGCTGCGGGCAGGGGTGAGGGGCGGCCTGGTCGACTTGCTGCAGGTGCTGGCCAGGCAGCTGGAGGACCCTGATGGGCGTGACCACGCCCGCCTCTACTACATCCTGCTGGCACACCTGGCAGCACCCAAGTTGGGGGTGGCCCTGGGCCCCTCGCTTGCCGCACCTGCACTGGCCTCTTCACTGGTGGCCGAGAACCAGGGCTTTGTGGCAGCACTGATGGTGCAGGAGGCACCGGCCCTGGTACGGCTGAGCCTGGGGTCCCATCGGGTCAAGGGCCCACTCCCAGTGTTGAAGCTCCAGCCGGAGGCGCTGGAGCCCATCTACTCTCTGGAGCTGCGCTTCCGTGTGGAAGGACAGCTGTATGCACCCCTGGAGGCTGTCCATGTGCCCTGCCTGTGTCCTGGCCGCCCTGCCCGCCCTCTGCTCCTGCCTCTGCAGCCCCGATGCCCGGCCCCCGCACGGCTGGATGTCCATGCCCTTTACACCACATCCACTGGTCTCACGTGCCATGCCCACTTGCCACCCCTGTTCGTGAACTTTGCCGACCTCTTTCTGCCTTTCCCGCAGCCTCCAGAGGGGGCCGGGCTGGGCTTCTTTGAGGAGCTCTGGGATTCCTGCCTGCCAGAGGGTGCTGAGAGTCGTGTGTGGTGTCCACTTGGGCCACAGGGCCTGGAGGGCTTGGTGTCCCGCCACCTGGAGCCTTTTGTGGTGGTGGCCCAGCCTCCTACCAGCTACTGTGTAGCAATCCACCTGCCCCCGGACTCAAAGCTGCTGCTGCGGCTGGAGGCGGCCCTGGCAGATGGAGTGCCTGTGGCCCTGCGGACCGATGACTGGGCCGTGCTGCCCCTGGCGGGGGACTACCTCCGTGGGCTGGCGGCTGCTGTCTGAGCCCCGGGAGACCAGGTGGGGGCAGGACTGTGGCCCTTGTGGGGGCCAAGGCACACTCCTGTAGCTCTGTCGCCAAAACCCTGCATTCCGCAGTGCCCTCGCTGGCTTGTTTTCTTTTGGGCCCCGGTTGGGAGCAGGCTCCTGGGGGTGAGGGTCTGTCTGAGTCTGTTTTTGCTGCTCTAGCAAGATCCCTGAGACGGGGTAAGTTATAATAAACAGAAATGTATTGGCTCAGAGCTCTGGAGGCTGGGAAGTCCATAGTGGAGGGCCCAGAGCCCAGTGAGGACCCTTCTGCATCTTCCCATGACAGAGGACAGAGTGACAGGAGTGAGGGGAGAGAGCGAACCCACTCCCAAGATAACGGCCTGAGTCCACGCAGGAGGGCAGAGCCCTCGTGGCCTGACCACCTCTTAGGGTCTAATCTTATACTGTTACAGTGGCAATCGCATTTCAACGTGAGCGTGGGAGGGGACAAACATTCAAACCATAGCAGGGTCATAGGCCCCAAGAAGGCTTCCAGACAGAACCCGGCACTGTAGAGCTACAGAGTTCCTTCTCACCCAGACACACTAGTGCTCTCCAGAATCTCTGCCCAGGAGGCAGGGGAAAAATCTCCTTTCTGCTTCCCAGAGAGGGTCTGGCCTTGCCCAAGGCCACTCAGTGATTTAGGAAGAAGGCTGAAGCTAGAGTGTGGACCTGACCTGTTGGACAGTACTTTTCTTTCTTTTTTTTTCGGGGAGGGGTTAAAGACAGGATCTCACTCTGGCGCTCTGGAGTGCAGTGGTGTGATTAGGGATCATTGCAGACTCTGCCTCTCAGGCTCAGGTGATCCTCCCATCTCAGCCTGCCTCCGAGTAGCTGGGACTACAGGTGTGAGTCACCACTGTATTTTTTGCAGACAGGATCTCCCTGTTTCCTAGGCTGGTCTCGAACTCCTGGGCTTAAATGACTCTTCTGCCTCAGCCTCACCAAAGTGTTGGGATTACTGGTGTGAGCCCCCACACCTGGCCGAGCCAGCGCTTCTCAACTCCCAAGGTTTGCAAGCTCCCTGCCCCAGGGAGCTCACGCCAGGCAGGCCAGTGGGCCTAAGCCAGAAACAGAAAGACAGCAGTGGCCAGGTGGAGAGCTTCCCAAGCTGTGCCGATTAGAGCCAGCTCTAGGAAGGGCCTGCTAATAAGGTCTAGGGTCTGAGACCAAGTTTTTTCTAATCTCAGCCCCTAAGAAACCTAATTTGTGCTTAGGAATCTTCCCAGGTAAGAAGAACTAGTTCCTCTAGTTGTTGTTTTTTTTTCCCAAACATGCAAACACTGAGGATTGAGCTGTGTGGGGTCAGCTGTGCTGCCAGGCACATGTACGTTGCCTCATTTCATCCTTGCAACAGCTCTGCAGGGCCCCGCAGATGAGGAAATCCGTAGGCAGGAGCGGTTGAGTGATTTTCCTAAGGTCACCCAGCTGTTTGGTAATAGTGTTTTGTCATCTGGTAGCAGGTTTCCATTACCATGCCATCAGAGCAGACCTCAGCCAGGGCCACAGAGGTCCCAACCGTCTCTGCCCTCTTCTGCTGCCCCTGCCTCATGGGCTCCCAGCCACAGGTTCCCCATGGGCCAGCTTTACGCCTCCTGATCCTTCCGATTGGGGCAGACTAGGAGAGGAAAGACGGGCCTGGGCTGGGTGCGGTGGCTCATGCCTGTAATCCCAGCACTTTGAGAGGCTGCGGCGGGTGGATCACCTGAGGCCAGGTGTTTGAGATCAGCCTGGCCAGCATGGCGAAACCCTGTGTCTAATAAAAATACAAAAATTAGCCGGGCGTGGTGGCGGGCGCCTGTAATCCCAGCTACTTGGGAGGCTGAGGCAGGAGAATTACTTGAACCTGGGAGGCAGAAGTTGCAGTGAGCCGAGATCACGCCACTGCACTCCAGCCTGGGCGACAGAGCAAGGCTCTGTCTCAAAAAAAGAAAAAAAAGAAAGGGCCTGGGACAGTGGTACTGTTAATAGGTGGAGTCAGGAGGCCTGTCTCAAACTTGAGATGTGGCAATAACTTGCTTTGTCACCTCGGCAAGTCATTTCCAAATCAGGAAGGGGTCAGTTTCAGGAAACAGAAACTTCTCCAGCTGTTTTTGGCAGAAGGGGATTTAAGGGAATCAGGGTACTTAAAGTACATGGGAAGGCTGGAGAAGTCGCCTCCAGGAAGCTCCCACTGGAGCTGGGATCAGAACGTACTGTCCTGCCTGCCATCCCCTGTAAGCACCCAGGAAGCTGGGCTTGGGCCCTGGGACATGGGGTGGGACTGCCACTCCTGCCTCCTGACACCCACAAAGCCAGAAGCGTGGTGCTGCTGCAGAAGGACTGAACATCTCCAAGGCTGGGCCCGCAGAGCAAACTTCCTTGGCCCTGTGTCCTCCATCCATATCCTTCAAAGGACACCTCATTAGTGGACTCCATTTCTCTCTTCCACGGAACTCCAGTGGCAAGGGAATCCAGAAACGTTTTCTTTTTGCCTGGAGATGCTAATCCTTAGCCTAAGAATAAGGAAACTGGTCCATGTAAGGACTGACCATCCTTTCACCCATCTGTCTGCCCACTTGTGCATCCATCCCATTTTATCCATCCATTCCTCCAGTTGTGGACACCAGATGACTTTCAGCTCCCCCTACCCCAACCAGAACTTTGCTGCAATGGCCATTCTTATATGCCCCTATGGACCCATGGGACAATTCTCTGGGATACATGCTAGGAGCAGAATTGCTGAATCATAGGGAATGCATGTGCTTAGCTTGGCTAAGCAATGTTGGAGTAAAAGCTTTTGGTTTTGCATCTTCTCAGCACTTCTAGGGAGGCACCAAAAGGGAGGATGGCACTGACTGAGCCCACCTGAGATAGCTCCTAGACCCCAGCCCTCTGTGTCCTCAGAATCACACACTGCTGCTCATCACTTCAGCTTCCCGAAGATCATGGCAATAGCAGCATGCCTGTAACTGTCCCAAGTACAACCAAAAATTCTTCCTAAAGAGAGGGAACCAAAGTCACACGGGTCACCTTGTCCACCTGTGTGGACGTTGCTCATGTTCACATACCCTTCCTTGCCTCCTTCAAGGCAGGTCTGGCCACAAGCCCAGCTCTGGCTAATGAAATGTGAAGGGAGTCAAGGGCCGGGGGCGGTGGCTCACACCTGTAATCCCAGCATTTTGGGAGGCCGAGGTGGGTTGATTACCTGAGGTGAAGAATTTGAGACCAGCCTGGCCAACATGGTGAAACCCGTCTCTACTAAAAATCCAAAAATTAGCCGGGTGTGGTGGCGTGCTCATAATCCCAGCTACTCAGGAGGCTGAGGCAGGAGAATCGCTTGAACCCGGGAGGTGGAGGTTGCAGTGAACTGAGATTGGGCCACTACACTCCAGCCTGGATGACAGAGCAGGACTCCGTCTCAAAAAAGAAAAAAGAAATGTGAAGGGGTCAGTTTTGGGGCAAAATATGTCATTGCCAGTGCTCAATTTTCCAGCCCTCTCTTCCTCTGCCATGACCGTTGGGGAAGTACATGTTGAGATGGAGGTGCTAAATAGTTGAGTCATAATCTCACCTGGATACGCTGTAACAAATGCCCTGGATTATCAAATCAGTTATGTAAACTAAAAATCCTAAAACCCCACCGACTGAACAGATGCCACCTCGTGGCCGAGGGAATCTCAGAAAAAACTTAAAACAATTCCTGGCCCTGATGGGTTGGGAGGTCAGATGCAACTTGTTATACCCCATCCCTTTATGGTTTAGACACAGCTGCCGAGCATGAATGAACAAAATAGGGATCATGAGATGGACAGAACAGACACTGTGGCAATAAGATACCAAATTGTAAACAGGACCTAAGGCCATGCCAAGCAAGGGTTAAGTCATGTAGAGCCCACCTTCATGCCCCGCCTCCCCTGCCCCCAACTTATGAATAAACTATGTTCTAACTGCACAAGGTTTTTTGTTTTTGGTTTTTTTTTCCCTGTAGCAGCTAAAAAGCTTAAAAACAAAACAAAACAAAAACCACTTTTTATTTTGTTTGTTTTGAGACGGAGTCTTACTCTGTCACCCAGGCTGGAGTGCAGTGGCGTGATCTTGGCTCACTTCAACCTCTGCCTCCTGGGTTCAAGTGATTCTCCTGCCTCAGCCTCCTGAGTAACTGGGATTACAGGTGTCCGCCACCACACCCGGCTAATTTTTGTATTTTTAGTAGAGATGGGGTTTCACCATATTGGCCAGGCTGGTCTTGAACTCCTGACCTCAGGTGATCTGCCCGCCTCAGCCTCCCAAAGTGTTGGGATTACAGGCGTGAGCCACCGCACCCGGTCCAAGCACTGGCTTTGAGATAAGCAATATTAAAAACATTTTCAGCTTCATCAGATGCTGACTAACTGACCTCCAACCACTGTTCCACCAGCCATAACTACAGCTTTGGTTGGACAAGTGACTGATTTCAGTAACTTTTTCCTGACAAGGTGACTACCCATCATGGACTGGTTCTGGCTGGCTTACAGAGCTCCTGCACTTGCATGTCTTTGTGTCCTGAAAAGACCTTTTGCCATATAGGGCCTAATTATAATACATTTAAATGTTAAGTCTCCACCCCAAAGTGACCATGGGTTGTATGTTGCATGCATGTTTGTTCAATATGCATGTGTCAGAACCACTTTCATGAATATTCATAGCTCCTCATGTAACCTGTTGAATGTGTATGTTTAGTCAATCCATTGAGCATGAAGCTCCTACCCTAACCCCTCCTTCTTTGAAGTGCCTGTCTCTGGTCTTGGCTGGAGACATGCTTCCCAGCAGGTCTCACTCCCTTTCTGAGGCTGGAGTGCAGTGGTGCGATCATAGCTCACTACAACCTCAAACTCCTGGGCAAAAGTGATCCTCCTGCCTCAGCCTCCGGGGTGGCTAAGACTACAGGTGCATGCCACCACACCTGGCTAATTTGTAAAATTTTTTGTAGAGATGGGTTCTTACTATGTTGTCCAGGCTGGTTAAGGCCTCCTGGGTTCAAGTGATCCTCCTGCCTTGGCCTCCCAAAGTGCTGGGATTATAGGTGTGAGCCACCAGGCCCAGCCTAACCCTTTATAAGAAATAAAGTCTCCTCTCAAAATTTATAAATTGTGTATCTTTTCTTTTTTTCGTTAACAATTATCAATAATACACTTTATATGAAACAAGGGAAAAGATGGGGAAAGATATCGGTTAATCTCTATTTTACATGCAAGGAAGAAAGTATGAATCTTTTGTGCAATGAGTTACGAGGCCCTAATTAGGGTTCCTAGGTTTAGCAAATAAAAATATTATATAGGATGTGCATTTAAGTTTGAATTTTGGAGAAGCAATGAATTTTTTAGTTGTTAATAGGACATACTTACACTAAAAAACCAGTAGTTGTTTCTCCAAGGTTCAGATATAAGTGGTGGGTTTTTTTTGTTGTTTTTGTTTTTTTCTTTTTTTTTTGAGACAGTCTTGCTCTGTTGCCCAGTCTGGAGTGCAGTGGTGTGATCTTGGCTTACTGCAACCTCTGCCTCCTGGGTTCAGCCTATTCTTGTGCCTCAACCTCCTGAGTAGCTGAGATAACAGGCATGTGCCACCACACCTGGCTAATTCTTGTATTTTTAGTAAAGACAAGGTTTTGCCATGATGGCCAGGCTGGTCTCCAACTCCTGGCCTCAAGTGATCCACCCGCCTCAGCCTCCCAAGGTGCTGGGGTTACAGGTGTGAGCCACTGTGCCCGGGCTATAACCAGTGTTAAATCTCGTTTAGCCTAAAGCTGCCTCCTTACATATTTTAAGTTTGGCCTAAAGGTTTCTCTGTACATCGTAAACTATAACCTAAATGGACTTGTAAACAGACTGTAGCCAACGCTTGTGGCAATCACTGAGTTTTGGCTAATCAAAGGTGGCCAACTGTTCAAACTGTGTTCAGATAAGACAAACACCAATCTGTAACCAATCTGGCTGGTTTCTATATCTCACGTGTGTTTTCTGTACTTCATTTTCCTTTCTGTCCATAAATCTTCCACCACGTGGCTGCACTGGAGTCTCTGAGCCCACTCTGGCATGAGAGGCTGCCTGATTCTTGAATTGTTCTTTGCTCAGTTAAACACTGTGAAACTTACCTGAGCTAAAGTTTTCCTTTTAACACTGAGCATCCTGTATTTTATCTGTTAACCCTGGATTGATATTTACAACTTCTTTCTTCCATACCCATTCTATGTTCCTTTGGTTCTTTTACTTCATGAGGTGACCCAAACTTCATTCCTGAAGGGTCTGAGTCCTTGGTTATTCTGCTTGTATTGAGTCACTTGAGGCTTTCATTAACACTGTCACTGAACCTGGCAATCCTCAGAGATATTTCAGGGGATCCCCTGGATACGATGGACTCCTTGTCTCCGTTGTATGGCAGCAACAGCTTCTCGGTGGACAGTCAGGGTCAGTCTTCCTCTTAGAGCTCTTGGTCCTGAGGCAAAGCGACAGCGGGGCAGCCTTTACTTCCGGTTCAAAAAAAGCTATGCAGTGTCCATTCCTGGCGGCATTCTCCCTTGGACACTGAGGCCTCTGAACCTTCAATGGAATGGGAAGACAATATTTTGTCAGAGGCTTTCAGGTAGGAGGACAATGGTAGCACTGTAGGTCCCCAGTGTCGCCTAGAAAAACAATATGGAATGAGGAGAAAAGATAAAATTATGCAACAGCAAGCCCTCAGGATAACTTGGAGACAAGAATGCTCAAACTTAAAAAGAACAAGAAAAACAAATAACATAGAAATTACCTGGCCGGGCGTGGTGACTCACGTTTGTAATCCCAGCACTTTGGGAGGTTGAGGTGGACAGATTCCTTGAGCCCAGGAGTTCGAAACTAGCCTGGGCAACATGGTGAAAACCTGTCTTTACAAAAAATACAAAAATTAGCTGGGTGTGGTTGTGTGCACCTGCAGTTCTAGCTACTTGGGAGGCTGAGATATGAGGATTATTTGAGCCTAGGAGGTCCAGGCTGTACTGAGCTTTGATTGCACCACTGCACTCCAGCCTGGGTGACAGAGTGAGACAAGAAAGAAAGAAAAAAGAAAGAAAGAGAAGAGAAGAAAAGAAAGAAAAAGGAAAAACAAATGGCAGCTCAGACTTTCCTTCCCACGCACCCATTCCAGCCCCACCTGCCACAAGACTGGCTGAGGAAAACTGGGGCAAAGGAGAGGAGGGAGTTGTAATGGGGCTTAAGCTTGATCTAAGACCTCACCAAAAACACTAAGTACACCTTGAGCCTGAAAATGTTCAAAAGTGTCTGCAGTAGTGTCAGAGCTGGGACAATAGGTGGGAGGTTTAAAAGTACACGTGAGGCCAGGCACGGTGGCTCACGCCTGTAATCCCAGCACTTTGGGAGGCCAAGACGGGTGGATCACCTGAGGTCAGGAGTTCGAGACCAGCCTGGCCAACATGGTGAAATCCCATCTCTACTAAAAATACAAAATTAGTCAGGTATGGTGGCATGTGCCTGTAGTCCCAGCTACTCAGGAGGCTAAGGCAGGAGAATCGCTTGAACCGAGGAGGTGGAGGTTGCAGTGAGCTGAGACTGTGCCACTGCACTCCAGCCTGGATGACAGAGCGAGACTTTGTCTCAAAAAAAAGTTATACGTGAAATGTGAAGCCACAGTCTTGGAAACACATAGATCCTTGGGGAGCAACTACCCACAAAAGAAAGGAAAAGTGTCCTTTGGCATTTGGGTGTGAAGAGAGAGGCAAATGGAGAAGTTTAATTGCCCTCCAAGACAAAAAAAAAAAGAAGGCCCACAACCCCCACCCCTGCAAAAACAAATTCACTAAAGCATCTGGACTTCACAATGTTGCCAGAAGAGGGCGTGTTATCTAGGGATCTTGTAAAACACCCAATACCACAAAAATGAATAATGAAAAGATAGGTTCATACAGCTATTGCAAAATATCAGAAAATGAATTTCATCACATATGAACCAAGGAAAATTCACACAAACCTCTGAAACAATAGCCATGAAGAAGAAGAAAGCTGTAATACAACACTAAACAGAACCAAATATATGCAAAACAAGCATTTGAAGACATGCAAAACCATTTTGGGTGGGAAATTTAAAAACAAAGAACAGAAATAGACAAAATAGAGGAAGAAATGAAAATAGATTTGGTTGAACTCAGGAAAGAAATGGAATAAACAGACAAAATTATCTAGAAGTAAAGATTAAATTACAAGATGCCCAAGGGAGAATAAATTCAAATAAAAATTTAATAAGGGGCATTGAAGGAATACAGGTAACCAAGCAAGAGAATGAAAATGAGATAAAGAAGTAGGCTGGGTCCAAAGAAAGTAATGGAAACAGAATATACTCAAAGAAGGAATCACATGTGTATTATTGGAGTCCCTGAAGAAAAAATAAACAAGTAAACCACAACTAATATTTAACACTGTAAGAAAACTGTCCAGGAGCAAAAACTCTGCACATTGGAAGAGCCCACTGGGAATGTGGGCAGATTCACTCAGTGTGATCAACTTTGAAACATATCCTAGTAAAACTCTAATTTCAAAGACTCTTTTTTTTTTTTTTTTTTTTTTTGAAACGGAGTCTCACTCTGTCAACCAGGCTGGAGTGCAGTGGCATGATCTTGGCTCACTGCAACCTCCACCTCCTGGATTCAAGTGATTGTCCTGCCTCAGCCTCCTGAGTAACTGGGATTACAGTCACCTGACACCACGCCCGGATAATTTTTGTATTTTTGGTAGAGACGAGGTTTCGCCATGTTGGCCAGGCTGGTCTGGAACTCCTGACGTCAGGTAATCTGCCCACCTCGGCCTCCCAAAGTACTGGGATTACAGGTGTGAGCCACTGTGCCCAGCCTCAAAGACTCTTTTAAAAAAACCCTCAAGGACTCCAGGCAAAAAGATCAAATAACTCACAAAGGCAAAATAATTAAATAATGAGAATGACAGCAGACTTTTTTTTTTTGAGACGGAGTCTCGCTCTGTTGCCCAGGCAGGAGTGCGATGGCGCGATCTCGGCTCACTGCAGGCTCCGCCTCCCAGGTTCACACCATTCTCCTGCCTCAGCCTCCCGAGTAGCTGGGACTACAGGTGCCCACCACCACACCCGGCTAATTTTTTGTATTTTTTTTTAGTAGAGACGGGGTTTCACCATGTTAGCCAGATGGTCTTGATCTCCTGACCTCATGATCCGCCGGCCTCCGACTCCCAAAGTGCTGGGATTACAGGCGTGAGCCACTGCGCCAGGCCAACAGCAGACTTTTTAAACCAGCATACAAAGCAAGACAGCAATGGAGCAGCAGGTTTTAGACATTACACCTTTACAAGTGTGAGCCAGGATTTTATATTCAGACAAACTATCCTTCAAGTATCATGATTATAGGAAACAATTTTCTGTTTTTCAGTAAGTACCTATGGAATTCTGCACCCATGAGCCAGTCTGATAGAGATGTGTTTCATCCACACCAAAGAGAACGATTATAAATACTATATATGGGCTGAGCATGGTGGCTCACACCTGTAATTCCAGCACTTTGGGAGGTCAAGGTAGGAAGATAGCTTGAGGCCAGGTGTTTGAGAACAGCCTGGGCAACATAGTGAGACCCTGTCTCTACAAAAATTAAAAAAAAAAAAAAGAAAAAACACAACAGCCAAGTGTGGTGGCGCATGCCTGAAGTCCTAGCTGCTCAGGAGGCTGAGGCAGGAGGATGGCAGCTTGAGCCCAGGAGTTCAAGGTTGCAGTAAGCCATGATCACACCACTGCACTCCAGCCTGGGTGACAGGGTGAGGCCTTGTCTCAAAAAAAAAAAAGAAAAAGAAGGCCGGGCACGGTGACTCATGCCTGTAATCCCAGCACTTTGGGAGGTCAAGGCGGGCAGATGACTTGAGGTCAGGAGTTTAAGACCAGCCTGCCCAACATGGTGAAACCCCGTCTCTACTAAAGATACAAAAATTAGCTGGGTGTTGTGGTGGGTGCCTATAATCCCAGCTACTCAGGAGGCTGAGGCAGGAGAATCACTTGAACCTGGAAGGTGGAGGTTGCAGTGACCCGAGATTGCGCTATTGCACTCCAGCCTGGGCGACAAGAGCGAGACTCCGTCTCAAAAGAAAAAAAAAAAACACGTTTTCCATGCCTTGGCAAATTGTCATACTCCTTCCTAAGTTTGGATCAACTTTCAACATCTTATCCTTTGTACTTCCAACGTTGTGAAATATCTCCAAGTTCTTTTAAACTTTTTGCCAGCGGCATTTCTTCTAGGATATCTTTATCCTTTTTGTAACCACTGCCTGCCGTAATAATTATCCTTGATCCTCGTTAGTATAGTGGTTAGTTAAACAAACAAAATCAGCTGGATGTGGTAGCTCATGCCTATAGTCCTTAACATTTTGGGAGGCTAAGGCAGGAGGATTGCCTGAGCTCAGGAGTTCAAGACCAGCCTGGGCAATATAGTGAGACCCCATTTCTAGAAAAAAAATTTTTTTTTTGTATTTTTAGTAGAGATGGGGTTTCACTATGCTGGCCAGGCTGGTCTCGAACTCCTGACCTGGTGACCTGCCCTCCTTGGTCTCCCAAAGTGTTGGGATTACAGTCGTGTGCCACCATGCCTGGCCTAATTTTTGTATTTTTAGTAGAGACGGGGTTTCACCATGTTGGCCAGCCTGGTCTCAAACTCCTGACCTTAGGTGATCCGCCAGCCATGGCCTCCCAAAGTGTTGGGATTACAGGCATGAGCCACCGCCCCTGGCCTCTAAAAAAATGTAAAAACCTAGCTGGGTGTGGTGGCACATGCCTAGCATCTAAGCTACTTGGGAGGCTGAGGCAGGAGGATTGCTTGAGCTCAGGAGTTTGAGGCTGCAGTGAGCCATGATTGTGCCACTGCAGTACAGTTTGGGCAACAGAACGAGACACTGACAAAAAAAAAAAATCCTTGACATCTGGGGATAGATTTCACAGCAACATCCTCATCTGTGCTTGACAGTTTCACATTAATCAATTCATGCCAACTTCTGAAATGATGAAACAAACCACTCTTTACCGTTAGTAAAAGTTTCTGCAGTCTCCTTGAAATTACTGTTTTCTGTCAATGTGGCAATTAACTTCAATGCTTCAGCCTGAATGCTGGCCAAACCAATGGGGATTGTTAACAAATTACAGTCTTCAGTTCAACATAGAAGTAAACATTCCATTTCAACCACGAACGACTTCTGTTTCCAGCGCAATTTAAACTAAAAGATGTTGAAGCAGCCTGGGCGTGGCGGCTCATGCCTGTAATCCCAGCACTTTGGGAGGCTGAGGTGGGAGGATTGCTTGAGCTCAGGAGTTCGAGACTAGCCTGGGCAACAAAGAAAAAAAAGTAAATTAAAAGAAAAAAATTTAAAAAAAATATGTTGAAGCAACTTTACCTTGTTTATTATATGTATTAGTTTATTTTGTGTTGCTCTAAAGGAACACTGGAGACTAGGTAATTTATACAAAAAAGACGTTTATTTGGGTCACGGTTCTACAGTCTGTACGAGAAGCATGGCACCAGCACCTGCTTCTGGTGAGGCCTCAGGAAGCTTACAATCATGGCAGAGGGCAAAGAGGGAGCAGTGTATCACATGGCAAGAGAGGGAGCAAGAGAGAGGGAGGGGGAGCTGCCACACTCTTTTAAATAACCAGTTCTTGTGTGAATTTACTACCACTCATTACCTCGAAGAGGGCACCAAGCCATTCCTGAGGGATCCACTCCCATAGCCCAACACCTCCCACTAAGCCCCACCTCCAACATTGGGGTGGTCACATTTCAACATGACAATTGGAGGGGACAAGCATCCAAACCATATCATGATATTCATCAGACTTTCGATATAGTTCATGCCACAGCTTCATATACAATTTCACTTCCAGTCTTATCATCCTCATTTTTTTTGGCTGCACTTTTATATTTGTTAGCCATTCCCCCTTCCAATTATCCATCCAATTTATTTTTTATTTATTTATTTTTTGAGATGGATGGAGTCTCACTCTGTCACCCAGGCTGGAGTGCGGTGGCACAATCTCGGCTCACGGCAACCTCTGCCTCCCAGGTTTAAGTGATTCTCCTGCCTCAGCCTCCGAGTAGCTGGGATTATAGGCGCCCACCACTACGCCTGGCTAATTTTTGTATTTTTAGTAGAGACAGGGTTTCACCATGTTGGCCAGGATGGTCTTGAACTCCTGACCTCAAGTGATCCATCCACCTCAGCCTCCCAAAGTGCTGGGATTGCAGGTGTGAGCCACTGCGCCCAGCCCAATCATTGAATTTCATAAAATGTTATATCTGTTGATCACTGAGAGATGAGGAGGCAACCCACCTATACACTTGTCTGACGTCTGCATGAGCTGAATAACACACCGGCACTGACCAGCCAATCACCACTAGTCTTCGAAAGCAGTGATGTCCTAATCATGATGCCCATCTGTTATTTATGTCATTTTTTTGGACTAAAGAGCCAGCAGCAAGGTTTGCACCTTATACAATTCGTTAAAATTCCATGGCAAATGAAGTTTGAACCATGCTGGTGGGGAGGACTGGAGTTATTAAACTAAAATGTGGTAAGCCAAATATGTCCATATGGGGACTGGGCAAAGCAAAGACTGCCCACATACAGCACCTTAGCCTTTGTATGAGTTAGGAAACAATGGACTGTTTTTCCTTCTACATTCACACTCAACATAGAATGCTTCTGATCACCAAAATGTGTGGGTGATCAAACCCACACACCAAACAATTCTCTAGTGGACACTAACAGGGTGTCTTATAATTTAATTCAATTCTGACACCATCTACCTGGAGTTACAGTCAGAACCCACAGGTTAAGGGCTCAGTCCTGCAAGACTGTGCACACCTCAGAAGCCAGTCGCAAGCCGCAGGCTGTGACCTGTGCCTCTGTCCAATGAGCTATAAATAGGGGTTCCCACAACCCCATCCTGGAGTTTGATAATTTCTAGGCCAGCTCACAGAACTCAGGGAAACTTTACTTACGTTTACCCATTTATTCTAAAGACTATTAAACAGAATACAGATGCACAGGGCAAAGCATGTCAGAAGACCCGCTAAGCTTCCCTGCCCTCTCTGGGATGTGCCACCATCTAGGCACCTTCACGTGTTCAGCAGCCCAATAGCTCTCCAGATTCTGTAGTTCCAGGATTTTTATGGAGGCTTCATCACCCAGGCATGGTTGATTATTAACTCAGTCTCCAGCCTCTCTCCCCTTCCTGAAGAATGGGGGGTGGGACTGAAAGGTTCAAGCTTCTCATTATGGCTTGATCTTTCTGGCGACCAGGCCTCATCCAGGAGCCAGCAAGAGTCGGTCCTCTTGTTAGGACAGAAGATGCTTCTACCCCCACAATAATATTGCCATCTGGGGGAAAAAGGACTTGTTAGCAGTTCATGTTTGTACTCCTAGAAGTACTTTCAAGAAGTATAAAAATGAATACACAGATATTTAAATGTTAAAACATTTGTGTTTGTGGTCAGTCAAGTTTCTACATAAGAGTGAGGTGCAGAGTGATAAACCAACTTCAAATAACATGACGATTCTCCTCTGATGTAATGTTGCCCATTCTAACAAAGTGTTTGCGAAACCTTAATTACTTGCCCTATTTGGTGAGAATCAGGCAACGAACAGAGAATCACATTTAATATGGATATAGAAAATATTTCGACCGGGCCCAGTGGCTCACACCTGTAATTCCAGCACTTTGGGAGGCTGAGGCCGGGGATTACAAGGTCAGGAGTTCGAGACCAGCCTGGCCAATATGGTGAAACCCCATCTCTACTAAAAATACAAGAAGTAGCCAGGTGTGGTGGCATGCACCTGTAATCCCAGCTATTCGGGAGGCTGAGGCGGGAGAATTGCTTGAAACCGGAAGGCAGAGGTTGCAGTGAGCCAAGATCACACCACTGCATTCCAACCTGGAGGATCCGTCTAAAAAAAAAAAAGGTAAAATTTTCTGTAGCCACTATATAACTATTCACTTTCAGATTAGTTTTGCATAATAGAGATTCCTTTATGCCACTAAGTGGAGAATAAAAGGTTTAAAAGTCAGAAAATCGCTCTCCCTCTCCCCTTTCCACGGTCTCCCTCTCCCTCTCTTTCCACGGTCTCCCTCTCCCTCTCTTTCCACGGTCTCCCTCTCCCTCTCTTTCCACGGTCTTCCTCTGATGCCGAGCTGAAGCTGGACTGTACTGCTGCCATCTCGGCTCACTGCAACCTCCCTGCCTGATTCTCCTGCCTCAGCCTGCCGAGTGCCTGCGATTGCAGGCGCGCACTGCCACGCCTGACTGGTTTTCGTATTTTTTTGGTGGAGACAGGGTTTTGCTGTGTTGGCCGGGCTGGTCTCCAGCTCCTAACCGCGAGTGATCCGCCAGCCTCGGCCTCCCGAAGTGCTGGGATTGCAGACAGAGTCTCGTTCACTCAGTGCTCAATGGTGCCCAGGCTGGAGTGCAGTGGCCTGATCTCGGCTCGCTACAACCTCCACCTCCCAGCCGCCTGCCTTGGCCTCCCAAAGTGCCGAGATTGCAGCCTCTGCCCGGCTGCCACGCCATCTGGGAAGTGAGGAGCGTCTCTGCCTGGCCGCCCATCGTCTGGGATGTGAGGAGCCCCTCTGCCTGGCTGCCCAGTCTGGGAAGTGAGGAGCGCCTCTTCCCAGCCGCCATCCCATCTAGGAAGTGAGGAGCGTCTCTGCCCGGCTGCCCATCGTCTGAGATGTGGGGAGCGCCGCCGCCCTGTCTGGGACTTGAGGAGCGCCTCTGCCCGGCCGCCCTGTCTGGGATGTGAGGAGCGCCTCTGCCCGGCCGTGACCCTGTCTGGGAGGTGAGGAGCGTCTCTGCCCGGCCGCCCCGTCTGAGAAGTGAGGAGCCCCTCCCCCCAGCAGCCGCCCCGTCTGAGAAGTGAGGAGCCCCTCCGCCCGGCAGCCACCCGATCTGGGAAGTGAGGAGCGTCTCCGCCCGGCAGCCGCCCCGTCCGGGAGGGAGGTGGGGGGTCAGCCCCCGCCCGGCCAGCCGCCCCGTCCGGGAGGTGGGGGCGCCTCTGCCCGGCCACCCCTTCTGGGAAGTGAGGAGCCCCTCTGCCCGGCCACCACCCCGTCTGGAAGGTGTACCCAACAGCTCACTGAGAACGGGCCATGATGACAATGGCGGTTTTGTGGAATAGAAAAGGGGGAAAGGTGGGGAAAAGATTGAGAAATCGGATGGTTTCTGTGTCTGTGTAGAAAGAAGTAGACATGGGAGACTTTTCATTTTGTTCTGTACTAAGAAAAATTCTTCTGCCTTGGGATCCTGTTGATCTATGACCTTACCCCCAACCCTGTGCTCTCTGAAACATGTGCTGTGTCCACTCAGGGTTAAATGGATTAAGGGCGGTGCAAGATGTGCTTTGTTAAACAGATGGTCGAAGGCAGCATGCTCGTTAAGAGTCATCACCACTCCCTAATCTCAAGTACCCAGGGACACAAACACTGCGGAAGGCCACAGGGTCCTCTGCCTAGGAAAACCAGAGACCTTTGTTCACTTGTTTATCTGCTGACCTTCCCTCCACTATTGTCCTATGACCCTGCCAAATCCCCTCTGCGAGAAACACCCAAGAATGATCAATAAAAAAAAAAAAGAAAAGAAAAAAGAAATTTCCTATAAATGGAGTGATAAAAAAAAAAAAGTCAGAAAATCATGTCTTGGCCTCTGAAAGATATCAACAAATGATATTTTTCAGTTGACTATGATTGTTGATTTGGAGGTCAACTTCTTATAACATTGAGACAATATATCAAGGCTATGAGAATTCTATCTGATACTTCTGTAGTATGATTTGCTACTAGAATTATGAAAATTCATTCTTCCTAATAAATAGATTTTAGGGGAAAATACATGCTCCTATAGCTCAGGAAATTCCAAAGGATTAGAAGTTCTATGCCAGAAAATGGTACAGAATTTCTTATTATATCCCAACATCACAGCTTTAGCCAGCATCTTACTTAATAGGGAAATACTAAAAGCATTTTTCACTTGGCTCAGGAACAACACAAAGATGCTCACCATCTCTGCTACTATTCAACATTGTCTAGAGGTATTAGCCATTGCAATTCAACATGATAAATCAGTTCAAAGCATAAGATTGGTAAAGAGGAAGTAAAATTATCTCTATTTGCCAACAATGCTGGAAAAACTCAAATCAAAAATAAAATTAACTAAAAAATTCAGTAAAGTGACAGCATACAAAGCTAACATACAAAAATCAATAACTTTCATACAAACAAACAATAATCAGAGGGCATAATGATAAAATTCGTTTATATAGTATTGAAGAAGATTGAATACTTAGAAATAAAAGTATCAGGAAATGTGCAAAACTTATATGAGGAAATTTTAAAATACTCCTGAAAGTCACAAAGATAGACTTACATAAACGGGTAGAACTCAACATTATAAAGATGTTGGCTTTTCTTAAGTTACTTTATAAATTTAATGCAATCCCAATAAAAGTACCAATAAGCTTTTATATGGCATTATGTAATTGATAACTAATATTTACATAGAAAAAAATGCAAGAATACCCAGAAAAATACCAAAAAAAAAAGAATAACTATGGTGAAGACTAGCTCTGTCAGACATTAATACAAAATATATCCACTGAATTTCTGACTGCTTAAAACAAATAGGTCAGATGCAGTGGCTGACGCCTGTAATCCCAGCACTTTGGGAGGCTGAGGTGGGAGGATCACTTGAGGTCAAGAGGTTGCCTGAGACCAGCCCAGGCAACAAAGCCAGATCCTGTCTCTACAAAAAATTAAAAAGTTATTCAGGAATGGTGGCACATGTCAGTAGTCCTAGCTACTTGGGAGGCAGAGGCATGAGGATTGCTTGAGCCCAGAAGTTCAAAGTTGCAGTGAGTTAAAATGACGCTACTGCATTTCAGCCTGGCCAACAGAGTAAGACTTCATGTTAAAAAAATAAAATCCACTAGGCACAGTGGCACATACCTGTAGTCCCAGCACTTTGGGAGGCTGAGGTGGGCAGATCACTTGAGGCCAGGAGTTGGTGACCAGCCTGGGCAATACAGTGAAATACTTTCTCTACAAAAAGTACAAAAATCAGCTGAGCGTAGTGGTTTCTGCCTGTGGTCCCAGCTACTCAGGAGGCTGAAGTGGGAGGATCCCTTGAGCCTAGGAGGCAGAGGTTGCAGTGAGCCAAGATTACACCACTGCACTCTAGCCTGGGTGACAGAGGGAAACCCTGTCTCAAAAAAAAAAAAAAATCCACAGACAATAAAATAAGAGAATGATAGCTTGACTATATTTTTTAAATTGCATGGCAAAAATCACCATAAACAAACTAAAAAGAAAACAGAAAACCTCTTAGAACTAATTGAGTTCAGCAAAGTTGCAGATGAAGAGTAACATAAAAATCACTCACATTTTTATATACTAACAATGAACATATGGAAACCAAAATGTAAAACACAAAACAATGTACAATCATTCCAAAGAAAATAAAACGCTCAGGTATAAGCCTAACAAAATATGTGTAGGATATATATGCTGAAAATTGAAAATTATAAAGTGCTAATGAAAGAAAAGATTTAAATAAATGGAGAGGCATATTGTGTTCCTGTATTTGAAGATGTAACATAGCAATTTTCAATTCTCCCTAAATTGATCTGTAGGTTTTTTGTTTTGTTTTAGAGTCAGGGTCTCACTCTGTCACCCAGGCTGGAGTGCAGTGGTGCAATCTCAGCTCACTGCAACCTCGGCCTCCCAGGCTCAAGTGATCCTCCCACCTCAGCCTTCCAAGTAGCTGGGCCACAGGCATGCAGCACAATGCCTGGCTAATTTTTGTATTTTCAGTAGATACAGGATTTTGCCATGTTGTCCAGGCTGGACTCAAACTCCTGAGCTCAAGTGATCCACCCACTTTGGCCTCCCAAAGTGCTAGGATTACAGGTATGAGCCATGGCGCCTGGCCGAGCTTGGCAGTTTTTTATAAAGCTAAACATGCAACCACCATACAACCAACCAATTACACTCTTGGGCATTTATCCCAGAGAAATGAAAACATATTAACAAAAAACCCACACATGAATGCTCATAGCATCCTTGGTCATAATAGCTAAAAACTGGAAACAAATCAGATGTCCTTCAATGGGTGAATGGTTAACAAATTTTGGTACATCTGCACCATGGAATACTACTCAGCAATAAAAAAGGAACAAACTACTGATACACATGACAACCTGAATGAATCTCCAGGGGATTATGTTGAGTGAAAAAAAGGTAACTCTACAATATTACAAACTGTATGATTCCATTTATAGTCCATTCTCAAAATGACAAAAATCGTAGACGTGGAGAACAGATTAGTGATTGCCAGAGGTTAAGGAGTGGGTGTGAGTGAGAGGGAAGTGATCATGGAAATGATCAGTATCTTGACTGTATCAATACCAATATCCTAGTTATGATATCATACCATAGTCTTACAAGATGTTATTGTTGAGGGAAACAGGTTTAAGGGTAAAGAGATCTGTATTAGTACTTACAACTACATGTGAATAAAAAGACAACTGATGAAATGGGAGAAAATATTTACAACAGACCAAGGGCTAAAGAACTCTTAAAACTTAAGGAAAAAAAAACAATGATCATCTCAACTGATGCAGAAAAAGTATTTGATAAACTCCAACCCCCTTTCATGATAAAAAATTTTTACTAATTAGAAATAGAAGAGAGCTTCTTCAACATGATAAAAGGCACTTATTAAAAAAATCTCGGCCGGGCGCCATGGCTCACGCCTGTAATCCCAGCACTTTGGGAGGCTGAGTCAGGCGGATCATGAGGTCAGGAGATCGAGACCATCTTGGCTAACACGGTGAAACCCCGTCTCTACTAAAAAACACAAACAATTAGCCAGGCGTGGTGGCGGGCGCCTGTAGTTCCAGCTACTTGGGAGGCTGAGGCAGGAGAATGGCGTGAACCCGGGAGGCAGAGCTTGCAGTGAGCCGAGATGGAGCCACTGCACTCCAGACTGGGCAACAGAGCGAGACTCTGTCTCAAAAAAAAAAAAAAAAAAACTCATACTCGGTGGTGAAAGACTGAGAACTTTTTGCCTAAGATCAGGAATAAGACAAGGATGTCTTTTTTTTTTCTTTCTGTCGCCTGGGCAACAGAGCAACATCCTGTCTCAAAAAATAAAATTAAATTAAAAACTCACTGCAGCCTGGATCTCCCTGGGCTCAAATGATCCTCCTACCTCAGACTCTCAAGTAGCTGGAACTACAGGCACAGGCACACACCACCATGCCTGGCTGATTTTTTTTTTTTATTTTTAATAGAAATGAGGTCTTCTGTCCAGGCGCAATGGCTCATGCCTGTAATCCCAGCACTTTGGGAGGCCGAGGCGGGTGGATCACAAGGTCAGGAGATAGAGACCATCCTGGCTAATACGGTGAAACCTTGTCTCTACTAAAAATACCAAAAAAATAGCCGGGTGTGGTGCCCGTGAACCCGGGAGACAGAGCTTGCAGTGAGCCAAGATCACGCCACTGCACTCCAGCCTGGGTGACAGAGTGAGACTCCATCTCCAAAAAAAAAAAAAAAAAAAGACAAAAAAGAAATGAGGCCTCACCATGTTACCCAGGCTGGTCTAGAACTCCTGGGCTCAAGCAATCCTCCCACCTTGGCCTCCCAAAGTGCTGGGATTACAGGCATGAACCACCGTGCCCAGTGGATGTCCACTTTTTTGTTTTTGTTTTTGTTTGTTTGTTTTTGAGACGGAGTGTCGCTCTGTCGCCCAGGCTGCAGTGCAGTGGCGCTATCTCGGCTTACTGCAAGCCGCCTCCCGGATTCCCACCATTCTCCTGCCTCAGCCTCCCGAGTAGCTGGGACTACAGGAGCCCGCCACCACACCTGGATAATTTTTTGTATTTTTAGTAAAGACGGGGTTTCACCGTGTTAGCCACGATGGTCTCGATCTCCTGACCTCGTGATCCACCTGCCTCGGCCTCCCAAAGTGCTGGGATTACAGGGGTGAGCCACCGTGTCCGGCCTGGATGTCCACTTTTAACACTTTTACTCAACACTGTCCTGGAAGTTCTGGCCAGAGTAATTAGGTAAGGAAAATAAATAAAAGGCATATAGATCAGAAAGGAAGAAGTAAGAATATCTCTTAAAAGATGACGTGATCTTTTATGAAAAAGTCCTAAAGAATCCACAAAAAACTAGTAGAGTTAATAAATGAACTCGGCAAAGTTTTCGGATATAAGATCAATAGGCAAAAATGAATTGTATCGCTATAATATATGCTAGCAATGAACAATTCCAAAAGGAAATTACAAAAACAATTACATTTATAATAGCAGCAAAAAGAATAAAATACTTGGGAATAAATCTAATTGAGGAAATACAAGAGTTGTATACCAAAAATTAAAAAACATGCTAAAAGAAATAAAGAAGACATAAATAATGGAAAGACATTCATGTACATGGATTGAAAGACTTAGTATTGTTAAGATGGCAGTAATCCCCAAAGTAATCTATAAACGCAATGCAATCCCTATGACAGTCCCAATGGTCTTTTATGAAGAAATGGAAATGCTGATCCTAAAATCCACATGGAATTGCAAGGGGTCCTAAATAGCTAAAACAATCTTGAAAAAGAGCACTCCTCTACAGAAACAGGCAGATCTGCTAGGCAGAATATCAGTAAGGATGTAGTTGAATTCAACAGCACTGCCAGTTAACAGAATACAGTTGACATCTAGCCGGGCGCGGTGGCTCACGCCTGTAATCCCAGCACTTTGGGAGGTCGAGGTGGGTGGATCACGAGGTCAGGAGATCGAGACCATCCTGCCTAACATGGTGAAACCCCGTCTCTACTAAAAATACAAAACAAATTAGCCGGGCGTGGTGGCGGGCGCCTGTAGTCCCAGCTACTGGGGAAGCTGAAGCAGGAGAATGGCGTGAACCCGGGAGGCGGATCTTGCAGTGAGCTGAGATTGCGCCACTGCACTCCAGCCTGGGTGGCTGAGCAAGACTCTGTCTCAAAAAAAAAAAAAGAAAAAAAAATTTTAAGAAAGAATACAGTTGACATCTATAGAATAGTTCATCCCACAACAGCAGAATACACATTGTTTTCAAGACCAAATGGAATATTCACCAGATAGACCACATTCTGAGCCATAAAACACACTTTAACAAATTTAAAACAATAGAAACCATGCAATTTCTTCTCTCAGACCACAATGGAATTAAACTAGAAATCAATAACAGAAAGATGGCTGAAAAATCCCCGTACTTGGCCGGGCGCGGTGGCTCACGCCTGTAATCCCAGCACTTTGGGAGGCCGAGGCGGGCGGATCACGAGGTCAGGAGATCGAGACCATCCCGGCTAAAACGGTGAAACCCCGTCTCTACTAAAAATACAAAAAATTAGCCGGGCGTAGTGGCGGGCGCCTGTAGTCCCAGCTACTTGGGAGGCTGAGGCAGGAGAATGGCGTGAACCCGGGAGACGGAGCTTGCAGTGAGCCGAGATCCCGCCACTGCATTCCAGCCTGGGCGACAGAGCGAGACTCCGTCTCAAAAAAAAAAAAAAAAAAAAAAAAAAAAAAAAAAAAATCCCCGTACTTGTAGATTAAGCAACATACTTATAACTAACACATGACTCAAAGAAGAAAACTTAGAGAAATTAAAAAATATTTTGCACTAAAAGAAAATAAAAATATGCTTATCAAAATTTGTGAAATGCAGCAAAAGCAGTGTTTAGAGGATTTTTTTTTTTTTTTTTTTTTTTTTTAGAGATGGGATATCGCTATGTCACCCAGACTGGTCTCTACCAAAAATACAAAAAACTAGCCGGGCGTGGTGGCAGGCGCCTGTAGTCCCAGCTACTCGGGAGGCTGAGGCGGGAGAATGGCGTGAACCTGGGAGGCGGAGCTTGCAGTGAGCTGAGATTGCGCCACTGCACTCCAGCCTGGGCGACAGAGCAAGACTCTGTCTCAAAAAAAAACAAAAAGGCATTAGTTCTATTCCACCCTTATGACCTAATCATCTCCTAAAAACTAAAGAGCCCACCTGTTAATACTATTACATTGGTAATTAGGTTTAACATATGAATTTTGTTAACATTCAGACCATAATAATCAATAATTAATAATCTTCCAAAACAGAAAGCTGCAGGCCTGATGAGTTCACTGGTGAATTCTACCAAACATTTAAGAAAGAAATTATGCCAGTTCTGTGAAATCTCTTCCAGAAGATATAAGCAGAGAAAACACTTCCTAATTCATTCTATGAGGTCAGCATCTAATACTAAAACCAGATAAAGACATTACCAGAACAACTCTACAGATCCATATCTCTCATAACCATAGGTACAGGAATCCTCAACAAAATATTAGCAAATCAAATCCAATGATACATAAAGATAATTATATGCCATGACCAAATGGGGATTTATCCCAGGTATGCAATCAGTTAATGTAATCCATCACGTCTAAAAGAGAAATATCAAATGATAATTCAATACACGCAGAAAAAGCATTTGAAAAAATTCAGCACCCATTTGTGATTTAAAAAAACTCTCAGTAAACTAGGAATAAAGGGGAACTTCCTTAACTTGATTTTTAAAAGGTACAAAAACCGTATAGCTAATATTTTACTTAACAGTGAGAAACTAGAAGCTTTCCTGCTAAGATCA
Source organism: Homo sapiens (assembly GCF_000001405.40). Taxonomy (NCBI): domain Eukaryota; kingdom Metazoa; phylum Chordata; class Mammalia; order Primates; family Hominidae; genus Homo; species Homo sapiens. Next base: position 65,755,123 of record NC_000011.10, on the reverse strand, counting down.
GAAAAAAGGAAAGAAAGTCCTCTCTCCCCACTCCTTTCAATATTACGCTGGAAGTCCTAGCTAATGCTAAGACAAGAAAAAGAAATAGAAGTATACAGATTGGGAAGGAAGAAAGGTGGTAAAGATGGCATGATTGTCTATGTAGAAAATCTGGAAAAATCAGCAACAACAAACCCTTGGGACTAATGAGCAGTTATAGCAACATTGCAGCATGCAAGATTAATATAAAATTATCAATTGCTTTCCTATATACCATCAATGAACAAGTGGAATCTGAAATTAAAAACACAGGCTGGATAGCTGCAAATAAAATAAAATACTTAGGAATTAACCAAAGAAATGAAAGATCTCTACAATGAAAACTATAAAACATTCATGCAAGAAACTGAAGTGAGGCTGGGAATGGTGGCTGAAGCCTGTAATCCCAGCACTTTGGGGGGCCAAGGTAGGTGGATCTCTTGAGTCCAGGAGTTCGAGACCAGCCTGGGCAACGTGGTGAAACTTCAACTCTACAAAAAACACAAAAAAGAAAAACTAGCTGGGCATGGTGGTTCGCACCTGCAGGCCCAACTACTCAGGAGGCTGAGGCAGGAGGATCACTTGAGCCTGAGAAATTAAGGCTTTGGCAAGCCATGATCACACCACTGCACTCTGGCCTGGGTGACAGAGTGAGACCCTATTTCAAAAAAGAAAAGAAAAGAAATTGAAGAGGACACAAAAAATGGAAAGATATTTCATGTTCATGGATAGGAAGAATCAACATTGTTAAAATGTCCAATAGATTTAATGCAATTCCTGTCAAAATACCAATGACATTCTTCACAGAAATAGAAAAAAATCCTAAAAATCCTAAAATATGTATGGAATCACAAAAGACCCAGAATAGCCAAAGCTATCCTAAGCAAAAAGGACAGAACTAGAGGAATCACATTATCTGACTTCAAATTATACTACAGAGCTATAGTAACCAAACGGCATGGCACTGGCATAAAAACAGATACATAAACCAGTGGAACAGAATCAAAAACCTAGAAATAAATTCATACATCTACAGTGAACTCGTTTTTGACAAAGTTTCCAAGAATATATATTGAGGAAAGGACAGTCTCTTCAATAAGTGGTGCTGGGAAAACTGGATATCCATATGCATAAGAATGAAACTAGACCCCTATCTCTTGCCAAAAAAATCAAATCAAAATGAATTAAAAACATTTAAGACTGAAAATTATGAAACTACCAAAAGAAAACACTGGGGAAACTCTCCAGGACATCAAAGTGGGCAAATACTTCTTGAGCAATACCCCACAGGTATAGGCAACCAAAGCAAAAATGTATAAATGGAATTACGTCAAGTTAAACAGCTACTGCACAACAAAAGAAACAATCAACAAAGTGAAGGGACAACCCATAGAATGGGAGAAAATATTTGCAAACTTCCCATCTGTATTAGTCAGTGTTCTTTCTCTCTCTATATATAAAGGGGAGTTTATTACATGATCACAAGGTCCCACAATAGGCTTTCTGCAAGCTGAGAAGCAAGGAGAGCCAGTCTGAGTCCCAGAACTGAAGAACTTGGAGTCCGATGTGCGAGGGCAAGAAGCATCCAGCACAGGAAAAAGATGAAGGCTGGGAGGCGAAGGCTGTCTCTCCTTTTCACGTTTTTCTGCCTGCTTTATATTCAATGGCAGCTGATTAGATTGTGCCCACCAGATTAAGGGTGGATCTGCTTTCCCCAGCCCACTGACTCAAATGTTAATCTCTTTTGGCAGCACCCTCAGAGACACACCCAGGATCAATATTTTGTATCCTTCAATCAAGCTGACACTCGATATTAACCATCACACCATCTGACAGAATACATAAGGAGTTCAAACCACTCTCTAGAAAAGAAATCTAATAATCTGATTAAAAGTGGGCCAGAGATCTGAATAGATATTTCTCAAAAAAAGACAAACAAATGGCAAACAGGCATATGAAAAGGTGCTCTACATAGTTGATCATCAGAGAAAAGCAAATCAAAACTACAATGAGATATTACCTTACCCCAGTTAAAATGGCTTTTATTCAAAAGACAGGTAATAACACATGCTGGCGAGGATGTGGAGAAAAGGCAACCCTTGTACACTGTTGGTGGGAAGGTAAATTAGTGCAACCACTGTGGAAAACATTGTGGAGGTCCCTCAAAAAACTAAAAACAGAGCTACCATATGATCCAGCAATCCCACTTCTAGATATATACCCGCAGAAAAGGAAATCAGTATTTCAAAGAGATGTCTGCACTTCCATGTTTATTACAGCAGTATTCACAATAGCTAAGACTCCGGAGCAACCTAAATGTCCATTAACAGATAAATGGATTAAGAAAATGTGGTACATATACACAATGGAGTACCATACAGCTATAGAAAAGAACGAGATCCTGTCATTTGCAATAAAATGGATGGAACTGGGGAACATTATGTTAAGTGAAATAAGCCAGGCACAGAAAGACAAACATTACCTGTTCTCACTTATCTGTGGGGGCTAAAAATGAAAACAATTGAACTCATGGAGATAGGAGAAGGATGGTTGCCAGAGACCAGGAAGGGTAGTTGGCGGTGGGGGCTGGTGATGGAAGGGGAGATGGTTGATGGGTACAAAAAAATAGTTAGAAAGAATAAATAAGACCTACTATTTGCTAGCACAACAAGGTAACTATAGCAAAAAATAATTTAATTGTACATTTAAAAACAATTAATAGAGTATAATTGGATTGTTTGAAACATAAAGGTTCAATGCTTGCAGTGATGAATACCCTATTTACCTGAATATGATTATTATGCATTGCATGCCTGTATCAAAACATCTCATGTAACCCATAAATATATACACCTACTATGTACCTAAAAAATAAAAAATATAAAATATAAAAAATGCAGGCTGGGCACAGTGGATCACACCTGTAATCCCAGCACTTTGGGAGGCCAAGGCAGGAGGATTGCTTGAGCCCAGGAGTTTGAGACCAGCCTGGGCAACATGATGAGACCCCATCTCTACCAAAAAAAATTAGCTGGGTATGGGGCATATGCCTGTAGTTCCAGCTACGGGGGAGGCTGAGATGGGAGAATTGCTTGAGCCCAGGAGGCTGAGGATTCAGTGAGCTATGATCACACCACTGCGCTCCAGCCTCAGTGACAGATTGAGATCCTGTCTCAAAACAAACACACACACACAATACGGTATCATTTACATCAGCTCCCTCCAGAATGAAATACTTAAGTACAAATCTAACAAAATATGTACAAGATTTATATATTTTTTAAAAACTATGAAACTCTGATGAAAGAAAACAAAGAAGTACTAAATAAATAATGTTCCACGTTCATGGTTAGGAAGACTCAATATTGTTAAGATATCGGTTCTTCCTAACTTGGTCTATAGATTCAATGCAATCCCAATCAATATTCCAGCAAGTTATTTCTTATATTGACAAACTGATTCTGAAGTTTATATGGAGACATTTAAAACAAACATCACCACCACCAAAGATACCCAGAGTAGCCATCACAATATTAAAGGAGAACAAACTCAGAGGACTAACACCATTCAACTTCAGGACTTACTATATAGCTACAGTAATCAAGACACTGTGGTACTGGCAAAAGAGCGGACAAATCCATCTATGGACTAGAATAAAGAGCCCAGAAACAGACTCACATAAATATAGCCACCTGATCATTAACAAAGGGGCAAAGGCAATACAAATAGAGCAAAGATAGTCTGTGCAACAAATGGTGCTGGGACAACTGGGCATCACATGCAAAAAAAAAAAAGAAAGAAAGAAAAAGAAAAAAAGAATCTAGACACAAACCTTAAACCCTCCACAAAAATTAACTTGAAATGGATCATAGACCTAAATGTAAAATACAAAACTGTAAAACTCATAGAAGATAACATAGGAACAAATCTAGATGACCTTGGGTATGGCAAATACTTTTTAGATATAACACCAAAGGCCTGATCCACAAAAGAAATAATTGATAAGTTGGACTTCATTAAAATTAAAAACCTGCTCTGTAAAATACAATGTCAAGAAAATGAGAAGACAATCCACAGACTGGGAGAAAAATATTTGCAAAAGACATTTCTGAAAAAGTACTGTTATGGAAAATATACAAAGCATGGTGGCTTATGCCCATAATCCAGCACTTTGGGAAGCCAAGGCAGGCAAATCATTTGAGGTCAGGAGTTCGAGACCAGCCTGACCAACATGGCAAAACCCTGTCTTTCCTAAAAATACAAAAAAAAATAGCCAGGCATGGTGGCGCACACCTGTAGTACCAGCTACTCAGGAGGCTGAGGCAGGAGAATCACTTGACCTGGGAGGCAGAGGTTGCAGTGAGCAGAGATCGTGCCACTGTACTCCAGCCTAGGCGACAGAGCGAGACTTCATCTAAAAAAAAAAAAAAAAGAAAAAAAGGAAAGAAAAGAAGAGAAAATATACAAAGAACCCTTAAAACTCAACAGTAAGAAAAAAAACAACCTGATTTAAAAATGAGCAAAATATCCTGAAGAGGCACCTCAAAAGAAAATATACAAATGGCAATAAGCATATAAAAAGATGTTCAACCTCATATGTCATTAGGAAATTGCAAATTAAAATAATGAGATACCACCCCACACCTATTATAATGGCAAAACCCCAAAACGCTGACAACACCAAACCTGGTGAGAATGTGTAGTAATAGAACTCTCATTCATTGCAAGTGGGAATGCAAAATGGTACAGCCACTTTGGAAAGTAATTTGGTGGTTTCTTACAAAATTAGACATATTCTTACCATATTATCCAGCAGTTGCACTCCTTTTATTCAAATGAGTTGAAAACTTGTGTACACACACACACACAAACATGCACATGGATGTTTTAGCAGCTTTATTTATAATTGCCAAAACTTGGAAGCAACCAAGATGTCCTTCAGTAGGTGAACAGATAATGGAATATTATTCATTGCTAAAAAGAAATGTACTATCAAGCCATTAAGTGACATGAAAGAACCTTAAACGCGTATCACTAAGTGAAAGAAGCCAATCTGAAAAGGCTACATGCTGTAGGATTCCAACTACATGACATTCTGAAAATGGTAAAACTATGCAACAGCAAAAGGATCAGTGGTTGCCAGAGGTTAAGGGAGAAAGAGGGATGAATACAGGGAGTACAGAGGAGTTTCAGGGCAGTGAAACCACGCTATCTAATACTATAATGGTGGATACAGATCATTATATATTTGTCAAAACTTATAGAATGTACACCACCTGGAGTAAGCCTCAATGTAAACTATAGATGTTGGATAATAATGATGTGCCAACGTATGTTCATCAATTGTAACTAATGTAAGACCTCCCCGTTCCCCCTCACTTTTTCTCTTGTTCTGACAGAGAAACAGAGTGCCTTGGCATCTGTATGTTTTTCTCTGCTGGCTTGACCCCAAGCCGGGGACTCGAATATTCCCAGGCACTGAATAAGGTGTTTAGGTTATTGCTCAAAACCCTGAAGGAAACAAGCCCAAGCACTGAGCCAGGCTCTTTAAACCAACATATAAACTCATACACCAACTCCCTTGTTGCAGGCATGCCTAGCTAGACAGACCATCCTTTTTTCTTGCTGTCTGTTGTTATGATACACTGAAGCACTCTGTAAGTTTCCCTGGGAAATGGACTAACCACCCTAGCATTTAGTTCTTCTTTCTTTGGATTCTAACTGACAGTTTGGGGCAATTCCCATACCTCAGCTTTTGGGGCAACTCCAGCCTCGAATCCACCAGGACAAAAAACTACCACTCTGGTGTTCTGGTGTGGGGGATTGATAGTTGGAGAGGCTGTGCATGTGTGGGAGCAGAGGGTCTATAGGAAATCTCTGTATCTTCTGCTTGATTTTGCTGTGAATCTAAAACTGCTCTAAAAATAAAAATTTAGAAAAATGATTCACACTTCTTGATTTCAAAACTTACTACAAAGCTACAGTAATCAAAACAGTGTTGCTAGCATAAAATTGACATATAGACCAATGGAAAAAATTTGAGAGCCCAGAGATAAACACTCATTTATGGTCAATTAATGTTTGACAAGGGTGCCAAGACTATTTAAGGGTGAAAGAACAATCTCATCAACAAATGGAGCTAGGACAAAGGGATATCCACATTCAAAAGAATAAAATTGGACCCCCACCTCACACCATATACAAAATTAACTCAAAATGGATCAAAGACCTAACTATAAGAGCTAAAACTATAAAATGCTTAGAATAAAAAATAGGGGTAAAATTTCATGGGCTTAGATTTGGCAATGGTTTCTTAGATATGATACCAAAAGCATAAGCAACAAAAGAAAAAATATAAAAATATGTGAATTGGACTCCATCAAAATATTAAATTGTGCATCAAAGAACACTATCAACAATAAAAAGGCAACCTGCAAAGTGGGATAAAATATTTGATAATCATAAAACAGATTAAGGGTTTGATATCTGGAAAACATGAAGGAAGATTTCTTGCAACTCAACAACAAAAAGATAAATTATTTCATCAAAAAATGAGCAAACGACTTGAATAGACATTTCTCCAAAGATGTACAAGTGTCCAATAAGAATATGAAAAGATGCACAAAATCATTCATTAGGGAAATGCAAGATAGGAAAACACAATGAGATTGCACCTTACAAACACTAGAATAGCTACCATTAAAAGGACGGACAGTATCAAGTACTGGTGAAGACATGGACTAATTGGAACCCTCATACATTGCTGGTGGTGATATAGAATGATGAAAATGCTTTGGAAAACTGTTTGGTAGTTCCTCAAAAACTTAAACAAAGTTACCATGTAACCCAGCAATTCCACTCCCTGTTATAGGCTGATTTGGTCCCCCACCCCAAATTCATATGTTAAAGCCCTAACCCCCAATGTGACTATATTTGGAGGCAGGGCCCTTAGGGAGGTGATTCATGTTACGTGAATCATAAGGACAGGGCTCCAATTCAGTAGGATTGGTGTCCATATAAGAAACTGAAGAGAGACCAGAGAGCTCTCTCTCTGCACACATGCACAGAGAAGAAGACCATGTGAAGACACAGTGAGGAGGTGACTGTCTACAAGCCAGAAAGAGAGATCTCACCAGAAATTAACCGTGATCTTGATCTATTTCTCGCCTCTAGACCTATGATTAAAGAAATCTCTGTTTATTAGGTCACCCAGCCTGTGGTATTTTGTTATGGCAGCCCTAGCAAACTGATACACACTCCTAGGTATATACCCAAGATAACTGAAAATGTGTATTCACATAGAAACATGTATATCTGTGTTCATGATAGCATTATTCACAAAGACCCAAAAGTGGAAACAACCTGTCTTAGTCCACTTGTGCTGCTATAACAACATACTACAGACTGGGTGATTTATAAACAATAACATATTATTTCTCACAGTTCTGGAAGCTAGGACATCCAAGATCAAGTCTCCAGCAGGCATGGTGTCTGGTAAGGTCCAGTCTCTGCTTCTGAGGTGGCACCTTATTGTTGGGTCCTCGGTGGTGCACTCATGGCCTAATCAGCTCCCAAAGACCCTCCCTCTCAATACTACTGCATCGGGGATTAAGTTTCAACATGAAGTTTGGAGGGGACACAAATGCTCTAACCATAGCACAACCCAATATACATCAATGGGTGAATGGATAAACAACATGTAGTATAGCCATATAATGTCGTATTATTCAACCATGAAAAGGAATGAAATACTAATACATCCTGCATCATGGTTAAACCTTGAAAATATTATGCTAAGTGAAAGAAGAAGCCAGACACAAAAAGCCACATATTATATGGTTTCATTTATGTGAAATGTCCAAAATAGGCAAATCCATAAAGAAAGTAAATTCGTGGTTGCCAGAGGCTGGGAAAATGAGAAATGGAAGTGACCTGGGTGAAAGAGCGAGACTCTGTCTCAAAACAAAACAAAACAAAAAACTGTGAGAAATAATATGGCATTTCCTTTGGGGGTAGTGAAAATATTTTGGAATTAGATAGTTGTGATGACTCCAGAATCTTATAAATATATTAAAATAACTAAATTTTACACTTTAAAAGGAATTTTTTTTGAGATGGGGTCTTGCTATGTTGCCAAGACTGATCTTGAACTCCTGGAGGCAAGTGATCCTTCCACCTCAGTCTCCTGAGTAGCTGAGACTACAAATGCATGCCACCATGCCCAACTAAAAGGGAGAATTTTATGGTAGGTGAAATAAATATTGATATAAAAATTTTTTAATGATGAACGTACAAAAGCAGCAAAATTGAAAGACATCTCAATGGCCAAATCTGGAACAAGATGAGCAACAAAATAAATAATGAGAGTAATAAATTAAAATCTTTTTTTTTTTTTTGAGGCAGGGTCTCACTCTATCGCCCAGGCTGGAGTGCAGTGGCACAATCAGGGCTCACTGCAGCCTCAACCTCCCAGGCTTAAGTGATCCTCCTACCTCAATCTCCTGAGTAGCAGGGACTACAGGCTTGCACCACCACACCTGGCTAATTTTTTGTAGTTTTAGTAGAGACAGGGTCTCAGCATGTTGCCCAGGCTCATCTCAAACTCCGGGACTCAAGTAATCTGCCCAACTCAGCCTCTCAAATTACCGGGATTACAGGTGTGAGCCACCATGCCTGACCTAAATTAAAATCTTTAGAGTAAATATCCATGAGCCCATGTTGATGTAAATAAATCATTGAATAAATAAATAAATTAGGGAGAAAGAACAGCCCCAGAATGCAAATTTTAAAATGTATAGCCTGGGCAATATAATGAGACCTCATCTCTACAAAAAAAATTTAAAAATTAGTTGGGCATGGTATTGTGTCCCTGTAGTCCTAGTTACTTGGGAAGCTGAGGCAGGAGGATTGCTTGAGCCCAGAAGGTCAAGGCTGCAGTGAGCCATGATTGCACTACTGCACTCCAGCTTGTGCAGCAAAGTGAAATGCTATCTCCAAAAAGAAAAGAAATGTAGAAAGAATGATGGAAATAGAAAATCACCATTAGGGAAACACCATAATAATAATTGTTTCAGGCAAGAATCATGAATCAATGCTCAAATCTGTGGGCAAAAGCATGGTGAGGAACAGGTTATTTGCATAGTCTCAAAATAGTTCCCTACAAGACACTTATGATTACAAAATAAAGACTAGTAACTTCACAGTGGAGAACTCTGACAGAAGACAGACACAACTTTAAGCAAGTGATCAAAGCACCAGGAATAGGAGCAGTAATGTGCTGCATTGAGAAGGGTGCAAGAGCACTTACGTGACATTCTTGCCAGAAATACCGACCATCTAATTAGGAGAAGACATCAACCAAATCCTAATGGAGAGATACTCTACAAAATAATGGTCAGTGCTCAAGTCACAGTCATCACAGAATCACAAAGGAACTGTCACAGAAGACTAGAAGGCACGGAAACTAGACACAATGTGAGACCCTGGAGTCAATCCTGTACCAGAAAAAGGGCATTAACGGAAAAACTGGCAAAATTCTAGTAACGACTACAGATCAGTTAGTCTTATTTTATCAGTGCAGGTTTCCTGGTTTTGATCATTGGACTATGGATATGGAAGATGATAACATTAGTGTCACAGTATCCTTAGGGTGTCGCTTTGCCAGCTGGAAACCTCCATGGCCCGCGGCGCCTGTCCTTGGGTTTTGCACCCACTGGGCTTATTCCACACACCCGGCCTGGGAGGCTGCATTTGGCTAGTGCTACCAGCACAGATCCTACACCTGCCAAGGGCCAAGCCAAGGGTGTGTGAACCAGCGAGTGTGGGGTCCAGCCACCGCGCGGAACAGGCACACTGGCCGCTGCCGCAGGGCAGGCAGCTCTGGGTGTCAGCACAGGTGCCGGCTCCATGCGAGGCTGCGGCTGGACCAGATGTAATACACACAGCTTCCGCTGCGGGCACCCGTGTCTGGACGAGGGGAACACAGTGGCACCCAGAAGCTTGGAGATGCCAGGAACTGCAGAGCCCCAAAGAGGCTGTCACAGCCCCTGGTTTGGGGAGCCCCTAGGTCTGGGGTCCCGGAAGGGCCTCAGCTCTTCTCTCCTCGTCTCTCACAACATGGCAAGGGTTGGGGGATACGGCAGGGACGTGTTTTAGCCCTGTTTGTGTTACAGCTCTTTCAGTCCTGCCATTTGGCAGGTCCTAAGTTCTTGTCGTGTGACCAGGAAGAATGAAGTACATGGACAACTGGAGGGTGAGCAAGGTGGAGAGGAGCTTCACTAAGCGACAGAACAGCTCTCAGGAGACCCGAAATGGGTAGCTCCTTTCTACAGGCAGGTTGTTCCCCGAGTGACCAGCTCTCAGCAGAGGAGAGACCCCCAGTGGGTAGCTCCTTTCTGCAGACAGGTCATCCTGAAGAGTCCAGGAGGCCCGAAGTGGGCCGCTGCTTCCCTCTGCTGGTAGTCCCGAAGTCGGTTGGAGTCTGGTTGAGTCCTGGGTATTTATAGGATCAGAAGGGAGGAAGTGCGTGCTGATTGGCCCATGGACGGCCATGGGCGGGCCTGGAAAAAGCACCGTAAATTCTCACTCAGGACTTCGGACTCCACCCAGAACTGGCAGCCCAGCTCCCAGGCTTCAGGCCATTTCTGGCTTGAAGGTAGGGTTTCACCGGGACCACCCCTTTCCGCCCAGGAGCCTGTCTGCCTCCTGCCACCATCAACATGCTGTCCTGTCCATGGTGCCCAGGCTGTTCATGCTGAGGGGAGACTGCAGGCCCGAACCCAGCCCCGCCTTGGCCTCCCTCCCATGCTTATCAGTGCCCAAAATCTGGAGGTGGCCAAGGTGGCAGGGGGCTGGCGTGTCAATGCCACCTTGAGTGTGCACACACCCAGCTGGGTTGCAACAGCACCCAGGCTGGGCCACAACTTTGCTCCACCCCAGAGCGGGTGCCAGGAGTGGGGAGAGGCCAGGGAGCGGGAGCAGGCACTTTTAAGCCTGTGGGGGCAAAAGGCTTCCTGGGCCCTGAAGAGCGCAGGGATGCTGGGGTCTGGAGCTGCAGCTGGGTGGCTGCGGCTGCACCAGGGGCACTGGCTCCTGCCCTGCCAACTCGGCAGGGGGTGAGGCTTTCACCTGTTCCCAGCTCCCGCTGGCCCCTTGGGCCACACAGCCCCGGCTGTGCCTCCTCCTCTGCGACTCCCACGCTGCAGCCTGCATCTTGGCAGCTGCAGCTCCCGACGGGCTGCCGCTGCCATTAGGAGAAGCCAGGTGAGGAATATTTAAGAACTCTTTGTACTACTTTTGCAAGTTCTCTCTAAGTCCAAAACTATGTTCAATAAGAGTTGAGAAAAGTAATGAGATGGTGGTATGGTCTAAATGTTTGTCTCCCTAAAATTTACAGGTTGAAATCCCAACCGTAAAGGCGATGGAACTAGGAGATAGGGCTTGGGGTGAGATGATTAGTCATGAGGGTGGAACTGTCATGAATGAGATCAGTGCCCTTATTAAAAAGGGCCAAGAGGGTGCGGTGGCTCACGCCTGTAATCCCAGCACTTTGGGAGGCTGAGGCGGGCGGATCACAAGGTCAGGAGATCGAGACCATCCTGGCTAACACGGTGAGACCCCGTCTCTACTAAAAATACAAAAAAATCAGCCGGGCGTGGTGGCGGGCGCCTGTAGTTCCAGCTGCTCCGGAGGCTGAGGCAGGAGAATGGCATGAACCCGGGAGGCAGAGCTTGCAGTGAGCCGAGATCACGCCACTGCACTCTAGCCTGGGTGACAGAGCGAGACTCCGTCTCAAAAAAAAAAAAAAAAAAAAAAGGGCCAAGAAAGCTGCCTTGCCCCTTCCACCATGCGAGGATACGGCAAGAAGGCGCCATCTGTGAACCAGGAAATGGGTCCTTGGCAGATACCGAATCTGATAGTGTCTTGATCTTGGACTTCCCAGCCTTCAGACTGTGAGAAATAAACTTCTGTTGTTTATAAACTACCCAGTGTATGGGGTTTTGTTTTAGCAGCCCAAACAGACTAAGACAGATGGTCATTATATATAAGTAAGAGAAGCCACTCCCACCTCTAACCCTTGGTTCCTAGACTGTTGTATTGTGACCAAAAGAGAAAAAACATCACATATAGGTCATTGGTTCAGAGCACTGTACTGTGATTACTTAGATTCTGTATTTGTCTATTTGGCATCCATTAACCTAAGGGCCAAACTAATGGCTAAAGTTGTTTCCATCTTTCCTGTGATCCAGAGCCCATACTCTGAACTACTTTCTTATGTAACCCTCAATCACCAAACCAATATTTCTCCTGCCCTGAATCAAATCAGGGCCAGGTGCTAGACAACAAGGGACAGCCCCTATGCCCCCAAACCCACCAGAGTTATTCAAATTAGCCAATCCTATGCTCTTTCTGAGGTAGGAGACCAGTAGGACTTGTTTTCTGATCACAACACTGCTGACCAAAACAGGATCTGATCTAGACAGGATAAAGTGAGGAAACTGGCAGGAACCAGCAGATAGCAAGGAAAGTGATCCCTGGCTGCCCTCATTATTCATTAGCATAAGACACTCCCACAAGTACTGTGACCATTTAGAAATGCCATGGCAATGACCTGGAAGCTACCACCCCTTTCCATGCCAACAACTTGGAGGTTACTGTCTCTTTCCTAGAAAGTTCTAAATAACTAGCCCCTCAATTTGAATTGACTCACGCCTTAATTTGAATATAATTGAAAATGCATTTAAGTGAATATAAACACAGTTGTCAAGACCCCATACATTTCTTTTTTTTTTTCTTCTTTTTTTGAGATAAAGTCTCACCATGTCATCCAGGCTGGAGTGCAGCGGTGTGATCTTGGCTCACTGCAACCTCCGACTCCTGGGTTCAAGAGATTCTCCTGTGTCAGCTTCCCAAGTATCTGGGACAGGCACCCGCCACCATGCCTGGATAATTTTTGTATTTTTAGTAGAGACGGGGTTTCACTATGTTGGCCGGGCTGGTCTTGAACTCCTGACCTCATGATCCACCCAACTCAGCCTCCCAAAGTGCTGGGATTACAGGCGTGAGCCACCATGCCTGGCATTTTTTGTTTTGTTTTGTTTTGTTTTGAGACGGAGTCTCGCTCTGTCGCTCAGGCTGGAGTGCAATGCACCATCTTGGCTCGCTGCAACTTCTGCCTCCTGGGTTTAAGTGATTCTACTGCCTCAGCCTCCCGAGTAGCTTGGATTACAGGCGCTCACCACCACACCCAGCTAATTTTTGTATTTTTAGTAGACACGAGGTTTCAAAATGTTGGCCAGGATGGTCTGGAACTCCTGACCTCAAGTGATGTGCCTGCCTCGGCCTCCCAAAGTGCTGGAATTACAGATGCGAGCCACCATGCCTGGCCAAACCCATACATTTCTTACTCTGGGTGCACTGCCAATGAGTTAGTCATGGTCTGCAAGGAGCAGCACCATTCAGTAAAAGTTGCTGCTGTCTAACACCACTGGCTCACCCTTGAATTCTTTCCTGGGTGAAGCCAAGAACTCACCCAAGCTCAGCCCCAGTTTTGGGGCTTACCTGTCCTGTATCATCTGGTGACCACAAAGACGACAAAGACAGCAGAGATGACAGCTATTGGTGACTGGTGAAGTGGCAGTGAGATAGTGGTGACCAGCGATCAGCAGAGAAGTGATGTGACAGCAGAGACAGCAGCAATCAGTGGACAGATGGTGAGAGACAGTGATTGACAGTGAGACTGGTGATCCACGATTGGCAGAGAGGTGAGACGATGAGAGACAGTGAGAAATGGCGATCAGCTAGACAGAGATTGGCAAGGCGGCGGACAGGGAAGGGGCAGCAATAAGAGAGAGGCAATGAGAGGCAGCAAGACAGCGATGAATGAGAGTAGGTGAGATGGTGATTGGTGCTACAGCAATACAAGCTGCAGAGCTGTAAGACTAGCCAAAGGCTCTTTTAAGAGCCATTACCTTTCCTGGCAGGCAGTGGAGCCAAGTAGGCAGGTGAGCAGCCACAGAGCCACTGCCTTGTGTGGGACCCACCACTCTGACCAGCAGATCACTGGCCTGTGCGCCAGTACCCCCCATGGTAGCTGAGCCTGTTCAAGCTGAGGAAACTTGGGGAGGAGCCCTTAACCCAGGCCCCAGGTTGGAGACTGACTAGTCCATTTTGGCTCCTGCAGATGGGTGACTGTCCCCTCTGCCCCTTGATATTGAGTAAGCCAGGAAATAAGGCTTTGGGCATCTTAGATTGTCATTTCAAAGTCTCCCATGGCATACCTGACCAACTACGTCCTTGTCACTCCTTCTCTCGGTCCTTTCCCTAACATCTTTTCATTTTTCCATTGCCATTTCATTTATTTTTTATTTTAAATATTTTTCTTTTTCTTTTTATTTATGTATTCATTGTTTGAGATGGAGTCTCACTCTGTATCCAAGCTGGACTGCAGTGGCATGATCTTGGCTCACTGCAACCTCCACCTCCTGGGCTCAAGCGATCCTCCCACCTCAGCCTCCTGAGTAGCTGGGACCACAGGTGCATGCCACCACACTTGGTTAATTTTTTGTATTTTTGGTAGAGACAGGGTTTCACCATGTTGCCCAGGCTGGTCTCGAACTCCTGAGCTCAAGCAATCCACCTGCCTCAGCCTCCCAAAGTGCAAAGATTACAGGCATGAGCCACCATGCCCAGCCTTTTATTTTATTTTAATTTTTTCTCTGAAATGTATGTTTCATTTGTAGTTTTTGCTTTAGTTCCCTGATAAACTATTTGGGCAGTTGTTTAAGGCAGAACACTTGTCTTTGAGAGGTCCCCTGTTGTGTTGACCCTGGGACACCAGAGTCATGTTGTTCTGTGGCCCCAACCAGGCCTTTGAGGTTCACTGCTGGCTGCCCCCTGGGCACTCCAAGGGTTTTGGTATTGGTACTGTCTCTCAGGATTGTGGGATAGAGGCCCACCCTAGGGGAATCTCAGTCTTGCCTTTTCTTGTTTTCTGCCTTAAAGTTAAAGTTATTTTCTGTAACAGCATTTTCTTTTCTTGTCACTTCATTTACACTTTTCCTTCTACATTTTGCTTGATAAAAATACTTTCTTTGTCGTACTTCATCCACTGGAAAATGCCTATAATCCACTTTCATAATGCCTTGCTTATACCTCTGCAGGAAGTGAGAATCTAAAAGGGAAAAATAATGAGAGCCCAGTTGTTTTCCCTCTCACTAGACTTAGAAAAACCTCTGGCCAGGCGCAGTGGCTCACGCCTGTAATCCCAACACTTTGGGAGGCCAAGGCGGGTGGATTACTTGAGGTCAGGAGTTCGAGACCAGCCTGACCAACATGGTGAAATTCCATCTCTAGTAAAAAAATACAAAATTAGCCAGGCGTGGTGGTGCACGCCTGTAATCCCAGCTACTCAGGAGGCTGAGGCAGGAGAACTGCTTGAATCCGGGAAACGGAGGTGGCAGTGAGCCAAGATTGTGCCATTGCACTACAGCCTGGGCAACAAGAGCGAAACTCCATCTCAAAAAAAAAAAAAAAAGAAAAAAGAAAAAGAAAAGAAAAACTTCTATGTCCAGTATAAATCCTTGTTAGACATGGAGACAATGATGAACATCCCAGAAGACTTACCACTAGGGTGTCTTTTAGGCTGTTGGAGCAAATTCAAATTCAACCTAAAGAAAAAGAAACTCATTTTCTATTGTAGCACCACTTGGGTCCAAAACAAATTAGAAAACCAAGAGATTTGGCCTAATATATAGATTTGGTTCTATATATTGTGACGCTATTTTACAATTGGACTTATTCTATATAAAATAAGGAAAATGGGAGGAGGTCCTTTATGTACAGGCTTTTATGGTCCTTTATTGGCTCATATTACTCCCAGGAACCCGGAAGCCATGCCTAAGGGTTTCCCTCCTAGCTGTTCCCACTAGAAGGCCTACATCTTTCCTGGAGTCTCCTCAGTCCCCCAGTTCTGAGGAAGTCCACCCCAAGTTTATCAGGCACCCTTATCCAACTAGCCCCAGCCCATATTCCTCACTTCCCAAGGTAGTAAGCCCAACCAGTACCACCAGGAGTGGGGCCCCATATTAGCCTCCAAAATAAAACTTGTGTCCATTGTAGGAGGTAACCGATGGAAATGGGGTGATACTTAGAATACATGTTCCATTTTCTATGTCAGATTTGGCTTTATGCAAAAAATTTGGCCAGTTTTCAGAAAATCTAGAAAAGTTTATAGAAGAATTGGTTGACAATTTTTTAAATTTAACTTGCCGTGACTTGCAAGTATTGTTGTCTCCCTGCTGTGCCATGCCGGAAAAAAAAGTGGAGGAAAAAGTGTGTAGTTAAGCCAGCCAATTATGACAAAGTTAGAGAAATAACTCAGGGAAAAGATGAAAATCCCACTCTGTTTCAAAGTTGTTTGGTTGAGGCACTCAGGAAATACACTAACGCAGACCCAGACTTCCCAGAAGGCAAACTCTTCTGGTTATGCATTTTATTACTCAAGTTGCCCCTGACATTAGGAGGAAGCTACAAAAAGCAACAATGGAAGCTCAAACCCCTATGAGCCAATATTTAAACTTGGCCTTTAAAATTTACAACAATAGGGACAGGGAAAAAGAGTTGAAAAAAAAAAGACAAAAGAAACAGCTCTAGCCCAGGCAACATGATGAAACTCTGTCTCTACTAAAAATACAAAAAATTCGCTGTGCATGGTGGTGTATGCCTGTGGTCCTAGATACTGAGGAGGCTGAGGTGGGAGAATCACCTGAGCCCAGGAGGTTGAGGCTGCAGTAAGCTGAGATAATGCACTGCAACTCCAGCCTGGGCAACTGGAGTGAGACCCTGTCTCAAAAAAGAAAAGAAATAGCCAAAAAGTGCAATTGTTAGCTGTTACTTTAAGTCCCCTGCCACCTTAGAATTACCTATCCTGAGAAAGTGTCACAAGATCACCATCTGGGATGCCCAGATGAGAGCCCCCAACTCACTGGCTCCTGGTCCAGAATCAATGTGCCTACTATAAGCAAAAGGACCATTCACAATGAGAATGTCCTAACCATCCCCAGCAAACGAGGGAAAAAGCTCCCCGTCAATATTAGAACTAACCTTCTTCCATATGTCCCAATGAGCCACCTTGCTCAAGTAAATTTACTCAGATTCCTGGACCCTTGACCCAATGGACAGCTTTTTGCAGTGGAAGACAAGTGGCCACCAGAACATTTTTCTTTGGTGTCTCCACTGCTAGATGCTCTGGTAGCTCAAGGACTCTGAGACCTCCCCTTGAGCAACATGGTTTACCACCTCCCTTCCTTATTTGATGCTATGGGGTCCCTTCTCTGCCTCTTCCTGTCTTCCCTACGTATCTGGGCAAACAAAATGTATTGAGATAGACAGGTCCCAATTTTATAAGTAACTTGGATCCATCTGTCTTGTGTAGGTCACTTCATTTGTGTGATGGGTGTTGTGTTTAGCATACTATCAAATTGGCTTATAAATAAAAGAGAATTCATAAATTAAAAAATAAGACTAGTCTAAATTTATTAGTTTGAAGGGAATGTTATGTCTTCTAAAATTTAACTTTAAGATTTTTACCTAGATGAACCTCTGATGTTTGTAGCCTTTAGAATGGTTAGGATGGCTTTTAAACAGTGAGCTTATGTATAGTTGAAAATCTTAAAGCTGTGAAATAGTTCTCATCTATAGAGTGCCAATGTCTGATGAGCAGTTCAGAATTTCTTGCTCTTTAGATTTATATAAAATAAGCCAAAGAAAGTGTGTTTTTTATTGGGAAAAATAATAATTTTTGTCTAATTTGGAAGTTATTAAAAGAGAGGTTCAAAATATGAAGGAACCAGTAAGTAGAAAAGAGAGATATGAAGAAAGTTATGGATAGATGTACTTTTTGCAAGGAAGAATACAAAGAAGGATACAAGGAAGGATATAAAGAAGGATACAAGGAAGAATACAAAGTTATTTTATATGAGGAGGGATCTTGTGTAGTAAATTCTTATCCTAGAGTAAAATGATGAGTTCTTTAAGGAAGGGGTCCTATAGGACAAGTCAGAAAGTCCAAGCATGTTGTAGATGGTCCATGTGGGTCATGATGGGGTTTGTGAAGGGGAATTTTGTGTATGATTAAGCTTAAGCTGACTATGACTAAAGGAAAACTGTGGTAGACTTTCTAGAGAATGGTCTATATATTGGCAACAGGTTTTCTTAAGGTATTGATTTGCTAAATTACAGGAAGTTTTGCTTTTAATAATCTACCTGGTTTATTTTAAAATGTCTTGGATTCATGTCTCAGAGATTCAACTGTTGTTGTGTCTCACTACTTTCAATTCTTTCTCCCTTTAAGAAGGCCTGGGATGATGGCTCTTTCCATCAACCTTTTCATCAACATTGTGACTTTTTTTCCTCTGGTTCTGACTATTGGGCCCTGGTACTAAAATGTTTTGTCTTAGAGGTCTGCGAAAACAGTGTTTTCCCCGAATATAGCTTGATTCTATGCTGTTTTTTTTTTTTTTTTACATATAACCTTATTATTGGCATTTAGTTTTTGACTCTTATATTGCTTTAAAAGATTTTAAGGGCAAATGAGTGCCTGCTCACCTCCATTTCCTTCTGACCTAGGATGTTTAATTGGCTATAAGTCTTTTGACTCTAAGTCCCTTAGCCAAAGGGAATTCCAAAGAAGCCTTCAAAAAAAAAGAAGTCAGACCATGACAGGAAACAGGGGGCCAAACATGCCTCACTGTGCCACCCCTTAGAATTTAGGCTAGGCACAAAGGCCCTTCAAAAATTATAATAACAAAGTACTTCCCTTTCCCACATAGGAAAGAAATAGCTCCTCTGTTCAACCTGAACACCTAGTCTTACAAAAAACTTTTTGTTAAAAAGGATCCCCAGAGGATCAATTACAACCCAAATGGAAGAGCCCCTATCAGGTATTGTTAAGTACCTTCCCTGCTGTTAAACTTCAGGGAATCACTAGTTGGGTACACCTGTCCAAGATTAAATCTGTTTCTTATGAATCCCTGACGGCATAAGAGGAGGACACCATGATTTACACCTGTGAGCTCCTATAAGACTTAAAGCTGTTGTTTCACAAACACAAAGATAAAAAACATGATGCCATGGGCATAGATGCATTAATTTTCTCATCCTCCAAATTATAATTTTCCTGTTGACCTCCTACTTAAGTTTATGTCTTCTAGATTCCACATAAAGATGATGCTGGCACAAGGTTTCAACCCATCCCATCTTATGACCTGAAAAATGAAAATATCCTGTTGGACCCCTTAGATCAGGTATCCAGAGATTACCAGAGGCTAGGGGCATGGGAGAGTGGGAAATGGGAAGATATTGCTCAAAAGGTACAAAGTTTCAGTTAGACAGGTATATTAGAGTTCTCTAAAGGGACAGAACTAATAGGATAGATGTATATATGAAGGGGAGTTTATTGAGGAGTAATGATTCACATGATCACAAGGTGAAGTCCCACAATAGGCTGTCTGCAAGCTGAGGATCAGGGAAGCCAGTCCAAGACCCAAAACCTCAAAAGTAGGGAAGCCAACAGTGCAGCCTTCAGTCTGTGAACAAAGGCCCGAGAGCTGCAAACCACTGGTGTAAGTCCAAGAGTCCAAAAGCTGAAGAACTTGGAGTCTGATGTTCGAGGGCAGGAAACATCCAGCAAGGGAGAAAGATGAAAGCCGGAAGGCTCAGCAAGTCAAGTCCTTCCATGTTCTTCTGCCTGTTTTAATCTAGCTGTGCTGGCAGCTGATTAGATGGTGCCACGCCAGACTAAGGGTGGGTCTGCTTCTCCCAGTCCACTGACTCAAATGTTAATCTCCTTTGGCAACACCCTCACAGACACACCCAGGAACAATACTTTGCATTCTACAACATTTTTATATTACTGTATTGTATTAGAGATGGGGTCTTACTCTGCCACCCAGGCTGGAGTGTAGTGGCACAATCATGGCTCACTGTAGTCTTGAACTCCTGGGCTCAAGTGATCCTCCTGCATCAGCCTCTCCAGTAGCTGGAGCTACAGGTGTGCATCACCACACCTGACTAATTTTTTTTGGGGGGGTAGAGATGGGGTCTCACTATGTTGCCCAGGCTGGTCTGAAACTATTGGCCTCAAGAAATCCTCTCACAGCTGGGTGCAGTGGCTCACACCTATAATCCCAGCACTTTGGGAGGCCAAGGTGGGTGGATCATGAGGTCAAGAGATTGAGACCATCCTGGCCAACATGGTGAAACCCCGTCTCTATTAAAAATACAAAAATTAGCTGGGTGTGGTGGCACGTGCCTATAGTCCCAGCTACTCAGGAAACTGAGGCAGGAGACTCGCTTGAACCCAGGAGGTGGAGGTTGCAGTGAGCCAAGATCACGCCACTGCACTCCAGCCTGGCAACAGAGCAAGACTCCATCTCAAAAAAAAAAAAAAGAAAAAGAAATCCTCTCATGTTAGCCTCCCAAAGCACTGGGATTACAGGCATGAGCCACTGCAGCTGGCTATGAGGTGGACAGTTTTAGATCTTGCATATAAGTGAGATCATGTGGTATTTGTCTCTCTGTGCCTGGCTTATTTCACTGAACATAATGTTCTCCAGGTTAATCCCTGTTGTGGCAAATAATAGAATTTCCTTTTTTTTTTTTTTTTTTTTGACGCAGTTTCACTCTGCCTCCCAAGCTGGAGTGCAGTGGTATGGTCTTGGCTCACTGCAACGTCTACCTCCTGGTTCAAGTGATTCTCGTGCCTCAACCTCCTGAGTAGCTGGGATTACAGGTGCGCACCACCATGCCCAGCTAATTTTTGTATTTTTAGTACAGACAGAGTTTCACCAAGTTGGCCAGGCTGGTCTCAAACTCCTGACCTCAAGTGATCCGCCCACCTCGGCTTCCCAAAGTGCTGGGATTATAGGCATGAGCCACCGCGTCCAGCCAGAATTCCCTTTTTACGAAAAAAAAAAAAAGGCTGAATAGTATTCTGTTTTTTATATACACCACACTTTCCTTATTCTTTCATCCACCAGTGGACACATAGGTTGATTCCATATCTTGGCTATTGTGAATAATGCTGTGATGAATATGAGATTGTAGATGTCTCTTCAACATATTCATTTCAGTTCCTTTAAATATATACCCAACAATGGGATTGCTGGATCATATGGTAGTTCTATTTTGAGTTTTTTAGGAACCTTCATACTCTTTTATATAAGGGCTGCACTAATTTACATTTCTACCAACAGTGTACAAGAGTGCCCTTCTCTCCACATCCTCGCCAACACTTTTTCTTTCATCTTTTTATTTTCTTATTTTCTTATTTTTATTTATTTGTTTGTTTTTTTGAGAAGCAGTTTCACCCTGTCGCCCAGGCTGGAGTGCAGTAGTGAGATCTCCGCTCACTTCAACCTCCGCCTCCCGGGTTCAAGTGATTCTCCTGCATTAGCCTCCCAAGTAGCTGGGACTACAGGTGTGCATCACCATGCCAGGCTAATTTTTTTTTTTTTTAATTTTTAGTAGAGATGGGTTTTCACCATGTTGGTCAGGCTGGTCTAGAACTCCTGACCTCAGGTGATCTGCTTGCCTTGGCCTCCCAGAATGCTAGGATTATAGGCATGAGCCACCATGCCCAGCCTCATCTTTTTAATAATAGCCATTCTAACACATGTGAGGTGATATCTCATTGTGGTTTGCATTTCCCTAATGATTAGTCACGTTGAGCATTTTTTCATATACCTTTGGCCATTCATATGTATTTTGAGAAATGTCTGTTCAGGTCCTTTGCCCATTAATTCACTGGGTTATTTGTTTTCTTGCCATTGAGTTGTTTGAGTTATATATTTTGGATATTAACTGCTTATCAGATATATGGTTTGCAAATATTTTCTCCCATTCTGTTTTTGTCTCCACTCTGTTAATTGATTCCTTTGCTGCCCAGAGGCTTTTTAGTTTGATATCATCCCATTTGTCTATTTTTGCTTTTGTTGCCTGTGCTTTCAGGGTCATTTTCAAAAATTCATTGCTCAGACCAATGTCATAGATCTTTTCCTCTATGTTTTTTCTAGTAGTTTTACAGTTTGTTTTATATTTAAGTCTTTAATCCATTTTGAGTTGATTTTTGTATATAGTGTAAGATAAGAGTCTAGTTTCATCTTCTGCATTCTCAATACCATTTATTAAAGAGAGTATCCTTTTCAAATTGTATATTCTTGGCATCTTTGTCAAAAATCAATTTGCCATAAATGTATGGGTTTATTTTGGGGGCATTATATCCTGTTCCATGTGTTGATATATCTTTTTTTTAATGGCAGTACCATGCTATTTTGATTACAGTAACTTTATAATATATTTTGAAATCAGGGAGTATGATGCCTCCAGATTTGTTATTTTGCTCAGGATTGCTTTGACTGTTTGGGGTCTTTTGTGGTTCCATGTGGACTTGAGGATTGTTTTTTCTTTTTTATAAAAAAAGACTTTGGAATTTTGATAAGGATTGCATTGATTCTGTGGATTTGGGTAGTTTGGTTACTATGGACATTTTAACAATACTAATTATTCCAATCCATGAACATGGGATATCTTTGCATTTATATGTGTTTCCTTCCATTTCTTTTTTTTTTTTTTTTTGAGATGGAGTTTCACTCTGTTACCCAGGCTGGAGTGCAGCGGCACGATCTCAGCTCACTGCAACCTCCACCTCCTGAGTTCAAGTGATTCTTCTGCCTCAGCCTCCTGAGTAGCCAGGACCACACGCATGCGCCACCATGCCCGGCTACTTTTTGTATTTTTAGTAGAGACAGGGTTTCAGCATATTAGAAAGGCTGGTCTCGAACTTCTGACCTCGTGATCCGCCCACCTGGCCCTCGCAAAGTGTTGGGATTACAGGCATGAGCCACCGTGCCCAGCCTCCTTCCATTTCTTTCATCAGTGTTTTATAGTTTTCGGTATACAGACCCTTCCCCTTCTAACAGCAAAAGCATTTGACAAAATTCAACACCTTTTCATGATAAAAATAAACACTCAACAAACTAGAAATAGAAGTATACACCCTCACCATAATAAAAAGCCATATATAAAACACCCACAGTGAACACCATACTCAATGGTGAAACATTGAAAACATTTCCTCTAATATCAGGAACAAAGCAAGGATGCTTGCTTTCACTATTTCCATTCAACATAGCACTGAACATTCTAGCCAGAGCAATTAGGCAAGAAAAAGAAATAAAAGGCATCCACACTGGAAAGGAAGAAGTAAAATCATCTCTGTTCACTGATTACATTGATCCTTTTTTTTTTAGTTGGGGTCTTACTCTATTACCCAGGCTAGAGTGCAGTGGCACAATCATGGCTCACTGCATTCTTAAACTCCTGGCCTCATGTGATTCTCCCACCCCAGCCTCCCAATTTGCTATGATTACTGTTATAAGCCACCAGGCTCAGGCCTGATATGATCTTTTATGTAGAAAATTCTAAAGGTTCCACACATCAAAAAAAAAAAACTGTTAGAATTAATAAATGATTTCAACAAAGTAGCACATACAACGTAAACACATAAAAAGTCGCATTTCTATGTGCTAACAATCTGAAAAGGAAATTTAAAAACAATTCCATTTACAATGCATTCAAAAGAATTAAATATTGGCCGGGTGCGGTAGCTTATGCCTGTAATCCCAGCACTTTGGGAGGCTGAGGCGGGTGGATCACCTGAGGTCAGGAGTTCAAGACCAGCCTGGCCAACATGGCAAAACCCTGTCTCTACTAAAAATACAAAAATTAGCCAGGCATGGTGGCAGGCGCCTGTGATCCCAGCTACTCGGGAGAATGAGGCAGGAGAATCGCTTGAACCCAGGAGGCGGAGGTTGCAGTGAGCCGAGATCGTGCCACTGCACTCCAGCCTGGGCGACAAGAGGGAAACTCCATCTCAAAAAATAAAATAAAATAAAATAAAATAAATCAAATAATTAAATAAAATAAAATATTTAGGAATTAACCAACAGGTAAACGACTTATACAATAGAAACTACAAAACATTGCTGAAAGAAATTAAAGAAGACATAAATTAATGGAAACACTTCCCATGTTTGTGGATTGGAAGAGTTAATATTGCTAAGATG
This sequence comes from Homo sapiens, assembly GCF_000001405.40. Lineage (NCBI taxonomy): Eukaryota > Metazoa > Chordata > Mammalia > Primates > Hominidae > Homo > Homo sapiens. The sequence continues at coordinate 65,730,980 of NC_000011.10, read as the reverse complement.
TGAATACTACCCAAAGCAATCTACATATTCAATGCAATCCCTATCAAAGTCATGATGATGTTTTTCACTGACATTTCTTAAATAACCATCCTAAAATGTTTATGGTATCTCAAGGTGAGGCAGGGCAAATTCTTGGCTTCACTCAGGAAGGAATTCAAGAGCAAGCCGGGGGTAGAAGAAAACAGCTTTATTGAAGCAGTGGCAACGTCACAGCTCCGTGACTGCTCCTGCCATGCAGGGCTACCTCATAGGCAGTGTGCTGAGAGTAGCAGCCTAGGGGCACTTTTGCAGTTATATTTATACCCACTCTTAATGGTATGCTAATTAAGGGGTCGGTTATTTTAAAATAGCTCAAAAATGGGCAGTAACTTTCAGGTGTTGCCATGGCAATGGTAAACAGTCATGGCGTTAGTGGGCATGTCTTATGGAAAGGTGCCTTCAGTGTCTCTTCCCAGTTTCTTTTCTTTTGAAATGGAGCCAGGCTGGAGTGCAGTGATGAAATCTCAGCTCACTGCAACCTCCGTCTCCCAGGTTCAAGTGATTCTCCTGTCTCAGCCTCCTGAGTATCTGGGACTACAGGCGCCCGCCACCACACCTGGCTAATTTTTGTATAATTTTTTATATTTTTAGTAGAGACGGTGTTTCACCATATTGGCCAGGCTGGTCTTGAACTCCTGGCCTCAAGTGATGTACCCGGCTCGGCCTCCCAAAGTGCTGGCATTACAGGCATGAGCCACCACACACAGACTCTTCCCAGTTTCAACCAGTCTTCAACCTGGCCCACAGTCGAGTCCCACCTGCCTCCTACCTCATTCTCCCCTCAGAGATCAGATACTCCTCCTTAATCTGAAAGGGGTTGCAAAAGGGTGGAGGTCCATGTTCTGTAACTGCTCCCTGCTGAGTTCATGGGAATAGGCCCTGCATAGCACTAGAGGAGTAAAAATCTCCAGATACCTGACCCAAGGCGGCCCAAAGGCAGGATGCTTTCATTCTCTAGGTCAGAAGATGGATGGGTTAGAAACCTTGTGCCAGCATTGTCTTTACCTGGAACTGTTGTAACCTAGAAGACACAAACTTTATTAAGAGGTTAAACAAGCAGGCCGGGAGTGGTGGCTCATGCCTATAATTCCAGCACTTTGGGAGGCCGAGGTGGGCAGATCACCTGAGGTCAGGAGTTCGAGACCAGCCCATGGTGAAACAACATGGTGAAACCCCATCTCTACTAATAATTCAAAAATTAGCCAGGTGTGGTGGCTCACACCTGTAATCCCAGCTACTCAGGAGGCTGAGGCAGGAGAATCGTTTGAACCCAGGAGGGGGAGGTTGCAGTGAGCTGAGATCGTGCCATTGCACTCTAGCCTGGGCAACAAAGAGCAAAACTCCATCTCAAAAAAAAAAGAGGTTAAAAAAGCAAGGGCCAAAGATTAGTAATAACAAGACAGCTATCAAAGGTCCTAGGAGAGGTAAGAACCAAGTGAGACTTGGGAGGGGTTTTTTTTTTTTTTTTTTGAGATGAAGTCTTGCTCTTGTTGCCCAGGCTGGAGTTCAATGGCGCGATCTCAGCTCATTGCAACCTCTGCCTCCCGGGTTCAAGCAATTCTCCTGCCTCAGCCTCCCAAGTAGCTGGGATTACAGGCGCCCGCCACCACGTACGTCTAATTTTTGTATTTTTAGTAGACACAGGGATTCACCATGTTGGCCAGGCTGGTCTCGAACTCCTGACTTCAGGCAATTCACTTGCCTCGGCCTCCCAAGTGCTGGGATTACAGACATGAGCCACTGTGCCCGGCCGGGAGGGCATTTTTGATAATCGAGCAGATATAGCTGGAGTCAGTGACCCAGCATCTATGTGACCAGATAGATTGCTGATAGATCGTGTGAATGTTAATCTCAACCTGTCCAGGTTTTATTCATAACTGCACAGCCTCCACCTTGTTCAGCTAGTAAATAATCCAATGCTAGTCTCTTATCAAGAACTACATTTGCCAAAGAGTCTAGGAATCCCTGAATTCCTTTTAATGCCTGACCTGTGTTGGTGGCTAATGATTCCAGGGTTTGAGTCAGTTCTTTAGGGCCAACTCATGGTAGGCAAAGCCACCCCAGGGGGCCACTAGTTCTAATGCCACTCCAGTTCATGTCAGAATTAATCCTATTGATCATTCATTTCTGGTATTCCTCGGTCTTACAGGGTTTTATATGGTGACCCCCGGAAGGCCAAAGGGTGGCCAACATACACTCACCCCTGTTCCAAGTTTTTGATATACAAAGGAAAGCTACTCCTAAAAGAACAGGAGGTCCTCTGGGGAGTTAGGAGTGGTTATGGGATGTGACTTCTTCCCACTTATGACCACAAATGAAAACGAACCCATTTGGGGTGCAATAGAGGCCCTGTGAGGTGTGATGCCTATCTTTAGCCACTAAGTTGGGTCTGTGGAGATACAAGATATCTCCCCCCATTCCAACGGGGAGGACCAAACAACCCTGGTAGGGTTTTCTGGGTTTTGTTTGTTTTTTGCTTTTTGACAGTTGACAGAGCTAGCTGAGGCTTTATCTTGAAAAAACAAAACAAAACAAAACAAAACAGTGGAATTGTTTTGTGATGGAGGCATGGGCAAGGGAGTTACCCCACACAAGTGGGCTGTGGAGGAGGGCTGAGCCTCAAGTGGGTCTCCTGTTCCCTGCGCTTTCCTGCACAGCAGCCTCCCCCACAAGCTCTGGGGCAGCTGCAAGAGGGGGTAGGCTGGGAGGGACTGCCATAGTTGTTCGCTTGGGCAGGACATCAGAGGACTCGGACACCAGCTTCCCAACCATGGTCCTGGAGGAGCTGGTGCGGCTGAAGGAGCTGAAATCCCTGCCAGAGTCAAGGCTGGGGCCCAGGCCGTAGCTGAGGCCAGGGCTTGTGAGGCCCCGGGAGGCCGAGCTCAGCTGTCTACTTAAGCAGCTGCGGCGCCAGGTCCTGCTTGGCCGGCGCCAGGTCCTGCTTGGCCTGCTACAGGGCAGCCTCCAGCTCCACCAGCTCCCCACGCTGCTCAGCATCCGCGATGGCCTCTGAGGCCCTCAATCTCAGCATGGACCCCGCTGATGTTGCGGATCATCTCAGAGTTCTCCATCTTCCCGCGACGCAGGTCATCCCCGTGCTTCCCAGCCAGTGTCTGCAACTCCTCATCCTTGACCTGGTGCAGACTCTTAGCCTTGCCTGGCCGCAGTGGGCGATCTCCTCGTACTGGGCGTTGACCTCCGCGATGATGCCATCCACGTCCAGGGAGTGGCTGTTGTCCATGGACAGCACACAGACGTGTCCGAGATCTGGGACTGCAGCTTCCAGATCTCCTCTTCACACAGCTCTCTGGGGAAGTTGATCTTGTCAGTCAGCCCTTCCAGGTGAGACTCCAGCACTGCCTTGTTCATGTAAGCTCCATCCACATCCTTCTCGATGAAGGCAAATTCATTCCCCATCTCTGTCCGCTCGTTGATCTCATCCTGGTACTTATCGTTGAAGTCTTCCAGCAGCCCCTGCGTGTTGCCAAGATCTGCCTCCACCTTCAGCTTCTCCTGGCCCAGTGTCCAGCTGCTGCCCAAGGCTGTGGATGTGGCTCTCAAACACGCTGTCCATGTTGCTCCCAGCTGTCTTCTGCTGCTGCAGGATGCTCCACTTAGTCTCCAGCATTTGTTCTGCTGCTCCAGGAACTGCACCTTGTCGATGAAGGAGGCAAACTTGTTGAGGGTCTTGATCTGCTCCTTCTCCTGGGTATGCACAGCCTGGATATTGGGGTCCAGGTCCAGCTTAAGGGGGCTCAGCAGACTCTGGTTCACCATGATGGCTGTGTCGCCCACCCCCACCCCATACCACTGCCCCACCATAGCCACCACCCAGACTCATGCTGGTGCCTAGGCCACTCCAGAAGCTGCTGCTGCTGCCCACTTGGGAGAAGCTCAAGGAGCTGATGTGGGCACCGGGACCACTGGTGTAGGAGCGGCTGCTGAAGGCCCAGGGGCCAGAGATGGATGCCTTGTAGGGCTTCTGGGTCACCGTGATGGACACGATGGAGGCAGGAGTGGAGGTAGGCAGGCCGAACCAGATGTAGATTCAAGGATGGAGAAGCTTCCTCTAGGTCAGCCCTTGTTTTCCAGAAGGGGGCGGTAATCTCACCTTCCCAGATTAGGCAGTTGTTTTTTTCTCTGTATGTTCTGCTCTGGGAGAAGGCACTGTATATGGTCTCCTTGCTCACAAGTGGAATCTTATTTATCTTGCTGTGGCCTTGGGAACTTGGCAACTACAGTTGGGTCACAGCATTGTGGGGAAACTTCCACTTTTGTGTCATTAACACAACAGTGGTTGCAAAAGATAGAATCATTAGTGCCCTGGAGATCTAGATACACGCCTTGACAGAATCATGAGTGCCCTAGAGATCTAGATACATGCCTTGATAGAATCATGAGTGCCCTGGAGATCTAGACATACGCCTTCCCAGGTCCAGGCAATAGTGGTGGGGGATTTCAGGTAGAATCCATCAAGTGCACGACAGAAATTTCCACCTAATGGTCGGGGTCTGGGTACTTTGAGATTGCTATGGATGGTGAAGAGGGCTAGGGAGTTAGCCAAGAGAGTTTTTGGATCGGCCAGAAGGTGAAATTCTCTATCCTGGGGATGTTGATGACAAATCCAGCAACCATGAAGATGATTTCCTAAAGCTATAATTTTTGAAATATTTACTATAAAGTTTTGTTCCCACTTACACAGGATTAGGTTAATTGGGAGAGCAACAGGATTAACAGTGGCACATGGTATCCACCTGGGCCTTAGAGTGGCCTCTACACCCAACAAGGACAAGAGATGTTTCCTGGGAGGAGGTAGTTGCCCAAAGCGACAGAAAAGAAGTATTACAATCAGGAAGAAGAGAAAAATGTTCCCACCCACGGCGTCACGTTACCACTTATGGCTGAATATTGATTCTTTTAAATAGGTAGCAGAGGTCCTCCAAAGGTTCACAGATGTAGGTCGTGGTATCCTGCTTTTGTGCCTGTGACTCATAAGAAACAGGTTTAATCCTAGACAGGTGTACCCAACAAGTTATTCCCTGAAGTTTAGCAGCAGAGGGGATACTCAACAACACCTGATAGGGGCTCTGTCATTTCGGTTGTAATTGATCCTCAGGGGAATCTTTCTTTCCAAGTTTTTATTAAGACTAAGCCTCCTGGCCGGGCGCGGTGGCTCACGCCTGTAATCCCAGCACTTTGGGAGGCCAAGGCGGGCGGATCACGAGGTCAGGAGATCGAGACCATCCTGGCGAACACGGTGAAACCCCGTCTCTACTAAACACACAAAGAATTAGCCGGGCGTGGTGGCGGGCGCCTGTAGTCCCAGCTACTCGGGAGGCTGAGGCAGGAGAATTGCTTGAACCTGGGAGGCAGAGGTTGCAGTGAGCCGAGATCTCACCATTGCACTCCAACCTGGCTGACAGAGTGAGACTGCGTCTCAAAAATAAATAAATAAATATAAAAAAATCAGCCGGGCATGGTGGTGGGCGCCTGTAATCCCAGCTACTCGGGAGGCTGAGGCAGGAGAATCAGGAGAATTGCTTGAGCCCAGGAGACGGAGGTTGCAGTGAGCCGAGATTGTGCCACTGCACTCCAGCCTGGCTGACAGAGCGGACTCTGTCTCAAAAAAAAAAAAAAAAAAAAGGAGAGGAAAAAAATGCGTATTTCCTAGCTTTGTCCACTGGAAATATCTAGAAACAAAGGCTAACTCAGTAGCAATGAATACATCTAGTATCAGATTGGATTACTAAATATCATTTCCCACTGAAGGGAACCAGCGATCTTTGGAGAGATGTATAATTCCAAGTCTGGGGCAGGAAATGTACAAGATGAGCCAGGAACATCTTGTGGTACTGGAAAACAAAGATATGTATAAAAGATCACTAGGGTCATATCGAAAGATTCAGGAGATAACTTGAAGAGGCTTCCACTGGCAGAAGATGGGGAAATTTGCACCTCAGTAAGAATAATAACCACAATTATGTGAAACATAAAAGTGTTAATCCATTATTTATTATTTTTATTTATATTTATTTATTTAATATTTATTTAACATTTTTAAAAGGTCACCATTGGAATATGCTAGGGCAACAAATCATTATTTTAAGAACTGGAAAATAAAAGGATTTTTTTGAGATGCAGTCTCGCTCTGTCACCCAGGCTGGAGTGCAGTGGCTCGATCTCAGTTCACTGCAACCTCCACCTCCCGGGTTCAAGCAGTTCTCCTGCCTCAGCCTCCTGAGTAGCTGGGATTACAGGCATGCGCCACCACGCCCGGCTAATTTTTGTATTTTTTAGTAGAGATAAGGTTTCACCGTGTTGGCCAGGCTGGTCCCGAACTCCTGACCTCAAGTGATCCACCCACCTCAGCTTCCCAAAGTGCTGGGATTACAGGTGTGAGCCACTGTGCCCGGCCTAATTATTTTGTCTTTCTTATCCTCACTGTACCAACAGGCAATCAAATGGCTGATGGGGAGAGTTTTTCTTTATAGACCTATTTCAGCTAGTAAATGAAGAAGAAATGAGAGGACTTAGAATATCAGTTTTAGGCTGGGCACCATGCCTCACGCCTGTGATCCCAGCACTTTGGGAGCCCAAGGGAGGGGAGCAGATCACTTGAGGTAAGGATTTGGAGACCAGCCTGGCCAACATGGTAAAACCCCATCTCTACTAAAAATACAAAAATTAGCCTGGCATGGTGGCATGCGCCTGTAATCCCAGCTACTCAGGAGGCCAAGGCAGGAGAATTGCTTGAACCCGGGAGACAGAGGTTGAGCTGAGTGAGCCAAGATCGCGCCACCGCGCTCCAGCCTGGGCTACCAGGTGAGACTCTGTCCCAAAAATATGTGTGTGTGTGTGTGTGTGTGCGCGTACACACGCGTTTTAACCTCTAATGAATTAAAGGATCTAGGCAATGATCATCTATGGCTGCTAACCTCACAAAAAGAGGGAAAAACACAAAACCACCCATGAAGTAGTCTTGCCCTCTCCCCTCCCCAAAGAATCGAATTAAGCTTCTAGATGTAATTACAGAAAATACAGGTATAGATTACCTTGACACTATAGGAATGCAATTACTAATATCCAGACTACAGGAAACTTGCAAAACCAAAAACATAAAAATAAAAAATAAGATCCAACATCTACTCCCAATTTTTAAAAGCTCTTAGTAGTACAGCTTTAATGAGACATATATAACAAGTCAAAAGGCAGTTTCATGATTATTGGTGAAACAGCAGAAGCACTCCCGTGAAAGTTTCAGGAAAAAGACAATGTTGTCCTCTGATACCAGTAACATTTGAGAGACTGTTCTGCAAGTACTGGCCAAGGCAATTAGAAAAGAAAACAAATTACAAGGTGTAATGAAAAAAAAAAAACAAAAAACAAAAAACAAAAAGAAGATGTAATGGTGAGGTAAAAATTATTATTTGAAAGAGAGGTGACTAATTCTGGGGATCTTAAAATAAAATAAAAATCATTAGGAACAAAATAATTCAGTCGATATCTAGTTTAAAAATGGACATATAAAAATCAACAGGTTTGCTATAGACAAGGGGTCTGAAAACTATGGCCTGTGGTTCAAATCCAACCCCTTGTCTGTTTCTGCAAAGATTTACTGGAACACAACAACGCTCATTCATTTATGTATTGTCTATGACTGCTTTCATGCTATAACGGTGAAGTTGAGTAGCTGCGACAGAAGCCATAAAGTCCACAAAACCTAAAATATTTACTATTTGACCCCTTACAGAAAAAGTTTGCCAACCCCTGCTATAGATTAAAAAGAAAATCAGTTAGAAAATAAAATGAAAAAAATAAAAGCCCCAATTTTGGTTTTTAGAGAAAGGGTCTCCCTCCGTAACCCAGGCTGGTGTGCAGTGGTGCAATCGTGACTCGAACGGCAGCCTCAAACTCCTTGGCTTAAGTGATCTTCCCACCTTAGCTTCTTGAGTAGCTGGGACTACAGGCACATGCCACTGTGCCCCACTCATGTTTAAAAAAATTTTTTTCTTTGTAGGAACGGAGTCTTGCTATGTTTCCCAGGCCGGTCTCAAACTCCTGGCTTCAAGCAATCCTCCCCCATCTTGGCCTCCTAAAGCACTGGAATTACAGGTGTGAATCATCATGCCCAGCCCCTCAGTTCTTAATAGAAACAATTATTAATATAAGCTAAGAAGAAATAAACTTTACAATATGTATTAATAGCTATTATATATGAACAAAACCTCACAACTGTACAGATATCCAAGGAGATGTGAATAAATTGAATTATGTCTTTCCTGATAGAAAACTAAAGCAAGCCTTTTTCTAAATTAATCTGCCACTCTAGTGAAAGAGCACCAGGAATACATCTGCAGTTGAACAAATTGGGTATATTACTCCTGCACTCTGGGGAATTTCAATAAGAGGGTGCTAGAAAGGACTTATAGGAGGATTTGTGCCCATGTTCAGTGATTTCAGTCAGGGTTTAGGGAAGCCAGGCTTCTCTCTGGCTTGGATGCTGTCAGAGGTGGGGGTATGTCTATGACGGACTATCTTAATGAGTCTTGCCCAGAAGGAGAGAAGATTAGTTGGAGGCTAATGCTGTAATTGGTAAGGAAACAACAGTCACTCTCTTATGGGAGAAAGAGGGATGTTTCATGCCTTTTGTGGTTTGGACAGTGTTCACCTTTGCCAGCATTCAGATGTGACGATGGAGTGGTTCTGTTTCTGTCTTGCTCCCTCACGGTCACAGAGTGACCTTGTCCGATGCTGATGTTCTCTGAAATTGTTTATATTCAACAGAATACCAAGGCCAGCTCCCAGATGTGCAGGGATGTATAAATTAAACGCAATTTAAATCTAAATTTCCAGTTTTGTGTTTGTTTTATGTGAGAACTTGAAAAAATATATCTAAGTTGGGTGTCTGAACAAATAAACATTAGAGAAGAGCTGAGAAACCAAAGAGAGAAAATTGTGAAATCTAAAAGACTGAAAAGTGTTGATAAATTTGACTACAAAAAATTAGTCTTTGTCCTGGGTGCAGTGGCTCACGCCTGTAATTCCAGCGTGATTTGGGAGGCCAAGGTGGGCAGATCACTTGAGTCCAGGAGTTCAAGACCAGCCTGGGCAACATGGCAAAACTCCACCTCTACCAAAAATACAAAAATTAGCTGCGTGGTGGCGCAGGCCTGTGGTTCCAGCTACACAGGAAGCTGAGGATGGGGGATGGATTAAGCCTGGGAGGTCGAGGCTGCAGTGAGCCAATCAAACCACTGCACTCCAGCCTAGGCGAGTGAGACCTTGTCTAAAAGACCAAACAACCACAAAAATAAGTCCTTGTCCAGCAAAAATCACCTTTACACAGGTTTGCAAGACAGACCACAGATAAAACATTTTCAATGCATTTAAGAAAAGGGTTGATGTCCCTAATAAACTAAAAATGAATAACCTACCTACTAATCAATATAAAAAGAGTACTTTTCAGAATCGTTTTAGATTTTTACAACGACATGTGCCATTAAAAACAATAAAAGAAAAAAACCCGGCTGGGGGCGGTGTCTCACGCCTGTAATCCAAGTACTTCAGAAGGCCGAGGCTGGAGGATCGCCTGAGGTCAGGAGTTCGAGACCAGCCTGGCCAACATGGCGAAACCCAGTCTCTACTAAAAATACAAAAATTAGGTGGGCATGGTGGTGTGCGCCTGTAATCCCAGCTACTCCGGAGGCTGAGGCAGGAGAATCGCTTGAACCCGGGAGGCGGAGGTTGCAGTGAGCTGAGACCGTGCCTGGCACTCCAGCCTGGGCGACAAAACGAGACTCTGTCAAAAAAAAATAATAATAAATAAGAAAAAGAAAGAAAGAGGGAAGGACGGGAAGGAAGGGAAGGGAAGGGGGGAAGGAAGGGAGGCAGGGAGGAGGGGGAGGGGGGAGGGGGAAGGAGGGGGGAGGGGGAAGGAGAGGGGGAGAGGGGAGGGAGGAAAGAGGGGAGGGGGGAAGGAAGGAAGGAAAAAAACAAAACACAACTGGAAAACCCTAGGACTTGAACCCAGGGAAAGCGTTAGGGGGTAAGGGGACTACACTTCCCGTGAAGCTCCGCGGCGGCTTCCCGTGAGGCCCCGCGGAGGCTTCCTGAGAGGTCCTGCGCGCTTTCCGCGCCAGCTTCAGTGTCAGCTCGCGAGCCCTGGCGTCGCGTAGGAGGGAGGATGGAGAGCGGCGACGAAGCGGCCATCGAGAGGCACCGCGTCCACTTGCGCTCCGCCACATTGCGCGACGCCGTACCCGCCACACTGCATCTGCTGCCCTGCGAGGTTGCGGTGGACGGGCCCGCCCCGGTGGGGCGCTTCTTCACGCCCGCCATCCGCCAGGGCCCCGAGGGTGAGCCCTGCGGCCGGACTACGGCTCCCGGCAGCCCCCGCGCCGGCCTGCGCGCTTCTCATCGCCTGGGCTCCTGGGGATCGTGGTCCGTCCGGAGGTGGCGGGAGGGCAGCTCCGGGCTCGACCCAGCGTGGGTCCTGCCTGAGGCCCTTTGCGCCTCCCGCTCCAGGACTCGAAGTGTCGTTTCGGGGCCGCTGTCTACGGGGAGAGGAGGTGGCGGTGCCGCCTGGCCTCGTGGGATACGTGATGGTGACAGAAGAGAAGAAGGTGTCGATGGGGAAGCCAGACCCCTTGCGGGATTCCGGGACTGACGACCAAGAGGAGGAGCCGCTGGAGCGGGACTTCGTGAGCAAAGGGATAGGGTTGAAAGGGGGTGCGGGCGGGAGCTGTAGTCCCGATGCTGAGCCAGGCCCCTTCCCCAGGACCGCTTCATTGGAGCCACTGCCAACTTCAGCCGCTTCACCCTGTGGGGTCTGGAGACCATCCCTGGCCCGGATGCCAAAGTGCGTGGGGCCTTAACTTGGCCCAGCCTTGCGGCAGCGGTGAGTAGACGAGGAGTTCCGTCTTGCCCCCGGGTGGATGGGCTGGGGAGCACAATTGCGCAGACGGAGCCTGGAGGATTCTACTGGGTAGTGTGTGGGAAGCGTAGCTCCCTGACCACTCTTCCTAGCATGTCTAGAAGCGGTTATTCTGAACAGCTGGGTCCTTCCTCGGGTATGGGGGCCAGCTTGCCGCCCTGTCTTACAAGTCCAACAGTAGAGGCGACTCCTGTTGCAGATTCACGCACAGGTGCCCGAGGACTGAGAACCAGAGCTTGAAATTCAAAGCTGCGATCCCTTCACAGCAGTAAACCAGCTCTTTGGAACCGATTCCATCACCCCAATAAAGGAGCTCTTCACAGCACCTGTGAGTCTGGGCGCCTTAGAGCCCCTAAGCCAGCATGGGCCCTTTCCCCCTCCCCACCAAGAACTTTGCATGGCTCTGGCATATAGAAACAATTTATTGCCGGGGGCAATAGGGGTAAGAGAAGCCAGAAATTTTTGCAGCCAGCACCCACCCCACCCCCAACTTCTACTTTACAAAAGAAATTTTTACAATCACCAGCCCTCTGTACAGAGCTCCCCCATCCGGATCCCTTCTCACTGTACACAGCTGCCTGGCTCCCTCTGGTCCCTGCTTCAGAGGAGGCCTGGGCCTGTGGCCAGCTGACCTTGGAGTTGGTCTGAGCCCGGAGCTCGCCTTGGTGCTGGGCACCAGTGGGCCCCTGCCAGGCCTGTCCTCTCCTTTTTGAGCTGTCCTCAGCCCCATCTCCCTTAGAGTGCTTTGTGGGAGCTGCAGTGGGGGCGGGGTGGGCTATCAGCCCCAGTCCTGCTGCCGTCTTGGCACTGCAGTGGGCAGTGTCTGGTCACCACTTCCCCCTCTTGCTCCAGTCCTTGGGAGTGAAGTGCAGACACTTGGAGTCGATCCGCAGGAGCCGCTTGAGCATGGCCCGCTCATGGCCATCCACGATGTCCTCTGACAGTGTGAGGATGTACTGGCCCTGGGCAGAGGAGATGGGTTCAGCAGGTGGTCAGCCCACAGAGGACTGCACTCTGCATCCCACACACCTGTCTCCCCTGCCTGCCTCCCTACCTTGTAGTAGTTGATGAGATTGAGGTACTGCAGAGTGGAGATGACATCCTCCTTCTTGATGCTGGTGATTTCACTAATCTCACTGTGGGAGAGCACAGGTCAGGTTCCCTGAGGACCTTTATCTGTCCCCAGGAGCCCTGAGAGAGAAAGCCCAGGAACAGACAAGCCATGCCATGTACCCCCAGGTAGACAGCGCCAGGCTCACTTGATGGTGATCTGTGGCCTCTCCCCGCTCTCCGACTTCAGCCCCATCAGGATCTCCAGGATGGTCTGGGACCAGTAGCTTCGATAGGATAGGAGGCCAAGGTCTGAGAGGGGCTTCTCAGGGGTCCCTGTTTTCCCTTCCACTTTGGAGAGTTCATAGCCTAAAGCAATGGAGCAGGAGAGGGTGAGTAAGAGGTCACAGATGAACATAAGCAACATTTAAAAACACAGGTTGCCAAGGCAGGCTGCCTAGTTCCTATCATGGCCCTGCCACTTGGCAGTTCTATGCCCTCCACTTCTCTGTGCCTCAGTTCCCTCAGGAAGAACTGAGTATTCACTCTTTCCGTGCGCTGAGCACAGTGGAGGGCATGAGGGCACTGAGAGGAGCAGCTGCAGTCAACCATGAGGGTGATCAGAGGCCAGTGAAGGCTTATGGGCAGGGGATGCAGAGAAAATGGCTCATGGGAAGAAGGGGCCTCCAATTTTCCTTTGCCATCCCGGGCTCTGTGTCTAGCCATGTAAGGAAGTGGAGACAGATTCCTGTCTCTAATCCAGACCTGAGAATGCTTGAATTCTCAAAGTCCTCCTAGCTGGGACCTTGGGAGTGTCACCTGCTGTAAGACTTGAGTGGCCTGACTGGGTGGTTGTGAGGATGCAAGGAGAAAAGGTGCACCAAGGTGCTTCCTAAGTCGGGGAGACCATTCCTGGGAGCCACGTGACTGACCCCCACCATGGCTCTTTCCCTCCAACTCGTGCTGATAGCTGGCCGCTGGGAGGCCGTCCCCAGTGAGATCCTCAGACCCTGCACAGCCCTGAGTGGCTTCACATCTCTTGGTCAGTGTCTTCATTCTCCCCAGTCAGGGACCTGGGATGTTTGTTACTTCTAGAAGCCCTTCCTCACCCTCATAATGGACCTTAGCCCCTTGCTGGTCCCACTCACATCCCGTCTCCATTGCTGTCTGAGTTCCAAGACTGAGTTTCTTCAAGCATCCACTTGTGCTACCAGGCTGAGAAGTTCTGAGGATGTGACCCCATCTGGGCATCATTTAACCAATAAAATTTCTCGAATGGACCATAACCTTGATCAGGTAAAGCCTCTGTGTCTTCACCAGGTCAACAGCTAGAACTTCCTCCTTGTTTCTCAGGTCAGAGCTTGGTTATTCCAAGTGAGTGGTGAGACAGACAGAATGGGGGGTGATGGGGAGTAAGAGGCTGGGAAGAAGGGGCCTCAGGGTTGGGGAGGGCACTGAAGAGCCCATGTGTGATGAAGTTCAGAGTCCCTTCTGGCTTTAAGAGACTGACCTCACTGGACACAAGGAGCGAGGGACAACATGCTTATGTCTATCTGCTGACAGCATTTTGGATACCTGCCTGCAAGGCTCAGGGGACAACTGGGGACATTAGCCACTGGTCCTTGCCCCAGTACTCGTATCATGGCACACGTTACCAGATACATCAGCACCAGCGGCTCACTAACCTTCTGCCCATGGCTCCAGGCAGGAGCACGTAAGTCAGATTTGGGGAAAGCTGAGTGGCACTTAGAACCCTGGCCAAGGAGCAAACTGGGGGGCTGAGAACCTACCCCAGATAAGCAGGGCAGTCAGCCTGAACGGAGAGAACCCCGGGAGAGTGCCACTGTTATTTCTGGCTGGTTCCCCTAGAGGCTGGGCTGCACAGCCAGGGTTGAGAATCACAGTAGCCTGGCCCATCTGCCTGTGAGGCACCGATAGTGGGTCCACTACCCCCTGGCCGCAGCACACATACTCACTGAACTCGATCAGCAGCTTGCCGTAGCCCCGGCGCTGGTAGGGAGGCAGGGTTAGGATGCAGGCCACATTGTAGTCTTCCGTTGATTCTTTCTCCTGGAGAAGGGGGACAGGTGAGTGTCAGGGAAGGGATCTGGCTCAGGACAGGGCACAGGGACAGCTTGGGCAGGCACTGACCTTGGAGAAGTAGCCCACGATGTGGAAGCCCTTACAGTCATACTCTGTCATGACGTAGAAGAGGAAAGGGTCTGTGTCATAGTACAGTGTCTTATGGTCAAGGAAACACTTGGCCAAAAGACACAGGTTCTGGGAATAACTCTGCAAGAGAAAAGGCTTGTCACCACTCTGGGTATCCCGCCTTGAGCCTGGCCAGTGGTTCAGGGTCAACCAGGAGCTTCACTGTTCGTGCTATGCCCCAGGCTGCTAGGTGATGAGTGTTCTTCCCTGGCTGGGCCTGACCCACTCCACCAGCCCGCAGCTTAGGCAGGGCTGCTCCTCAGTGTTGAAAAGCCTGTGTGCCAGATGTGTGATGGTGTCTGAGTGCCTCCCTGCTCAGTCAGGCAAGTTTCCCGCCTTGCTCCGCACACCTCCATTCTAAGCCTGACCAGGAGAGACCACTGCCTTTTAATGTTTTTTAACAGCAGCCAACGAACTAATGTGTCCAAAGTGAGACTCTGACCACGGCTCCTCAAACTAATGTGTCCAAAGTGAGACTCTGACCACTGACTCCCTATCTAACAGTCTTGGGAGTCTAGCTGTTAAAAAACCTAACATTCTACATCCACAGTCACACCTCCTGGGAACTGATCTGCTACTCTACAACAGAGTTAAGGAATTCTGGAATTTAACAAAATAACTGCCTTAGGGTTTACCCCAGCAAAATTATGAATCCTGCTGCTTTACTTCTGCACACGATTTCTCCTGCATTTCAGACATTGTGGGTTTTTTTTTTTTTTTTTTGACACAGGGTCTCACTCCTGTCACCCAGGCTGGAGTGCAGTGGTGCAATCATGCAATCGTGGGTCACTGCAGCCTTGACTTCCCAGGCTCAGGTGATTCTCCCAACTCAGCCTCCCGAGTACCTGGGGGTTTCTCCATGTTGCCCAGGCTGGTCTCGAAATTCTGGGCTCAAGTGATTGGCCCACCTTGGCCTCCCAAAGTGCTGGGGTTACAGGTATGAGCCACTGTGCCCAGCCAGAAATTGCTTTTTATTTATTTATTTTTTTTACACGAAGTCTTGCTGTCTCCCAGGCTGGAATGCAGTGGTGCAATCTCGGCTCACTGCAAACTCTGCCTCCTGGGTTCACGCCATTCTCCTGCCTCAGCCTCCCGAGTAGCTGGGATTACAGGCACCCGCCACCACGCCCAGCTAATTTTTTGTACTTTTTAGTAGAGACAGGGTTTAACCGTGTTAGCCAGGATGGTCTCGATCTCCTGACCTTGTGATCCGCCCGCCTCAGCCTCCCAAAGTGCTGGGATTACAGGTGTGAGCCACCGTGCCCAGCCCAGGAATTGCTTTTTAACCGCCTGCTGCTGGGTACTGCCACTTGGATGCCCAGGTCCACATTAATAATTACAAAATGGTGGTTAACACAGCATCTTCATCACCTAAGCTCTGTCCCATGTACGAGCCTTCCCTCATCCTCCCTTTTCTGCCTCCCAACCAGAATGATCTCTGCCTTTCACAAAGACCACCTTTGTGCATCCATGCCTACTCTTCAGAACACCACTGCAAGAAATCCCCTCAGCCACTTTGTCATCCACCAAGGCTGAAAGGTAACCCTCTATGAAGCTCTGCTGACCACCTCCTTTGGGTCCTGCTAACCTACCCTCTGTTTCATGACACTTAGGACACTGGGAGCTAGAGGTCATTGGTATGACTGTCTCTCCCATGGACTAAGCTGTCAGAGAACAGAGACTGTCTCATTCCTGGCTACCAGCACCTGCCAGACAGCAGGAACTCAATAAAAATGGGCTGGACTGATCTGCTGGCTTGACTGGTCAGTGTTTACCTGAGCAAGAAGAAGCTGTCATTTGATTCACCCCAGCGCCTCACTGCCTCTCAAGCACTAACCTTGTTCTTACGTCCATCAATCTCAAAGAAGGAGATGGTGCCCTTGCGGTAAATCTCATTGCCTGGAGGATGTCGTAGGTCACACTTGGTCTGGGGAAGAGAGGAGGATCAGGAACAAGGGCAACGTGGAGGGTGCTGGGAAGGCAGCCTCCCTGGACCCCTCATACCAAATGACGCTGAAGACACTTGAGACTACGGCCGTACTTGAGGCAGAACTCGCACAGGTAGAGGACAGGCAATGTGGTGAGTTCCTGTGGGTACGGGGAGAAGTACCACGGCTTGAGGCGGTGCCGGCCCAGCTCAATGCACTCAATGTTCTTCATCCGGGTGACGATGTCGTCGTGGCTTCGATCAGACACCAGGCTGCCAGTCATGCGTGGTGCTGACGGTATTCCATCAGAGCTGTCCTGGGAGTCCTGCCCAGGGCCAGTGGAAAATACCAGGTTGTAAGAGACAGCTCAGCAGGACACCACAGCTCACAGCCCTTTGACAGGTTTCCTTCAAGCCTAACAGCAACCCTAAGGGGGAGGTACCATGATCCCCAATTTCCAGATAAAAAACCTGAAACCCTAAAGGATCGATGATGTGGAAAAGATCACCCAATGACCCCATTTTTTAGATGGAGTCTCAGTCTGTCGCCCAGGCTGGAGGGCAGTAGCGCGATCTTGGCTCACTGCAATCTCCACCTCCGGGGTTCAAGCAGTTCTCCTGCCTCAGCTTTCCGAGCTGGATTACAGGCACCCGCCACCACGCCTGGCTAATTTTTGTATTTCTAGTAGAAACAAGGTTTCACCATGTTGGCCAGGCTGGTCTCAAACTCCTGACCTCAGGTGATCCACCAGCCTTGGTTGGACTCCCAAAGTGCTGGGATTACAGGTATGAGCCATGGTGCCCGGCCCCAATGACTCATTTGAACAATGTTCTGCCTGTCTCCTAATCCCACCAACACTAGCTCTGCCCACCACCCCTTCTTTATTTTTAAACTCATCACTAAATAACTCTCCACCCTGCCTGCATCCCTTCCTTTTCACCCAGTTCCCTTCTGCTGCTCCCCAGACCCACCTCATCAGTGCCCAAACAATTCGATTTTCGCTTCCGTCCTGGCTGGGCTGCCACTGCCCTACGGGCGGCTCCATTCTGCCGAGATAGTAGGAAAAGAAGGGATGGCTGTGAAATGAGCCTGAAAAAAGCCACCAGAGAGTAGAAGAGAGGAAGAGAACAAGAGATGGTTTGGGGAACTCACCTGGGGAAAAACCGAGGCCGGGGCTGTCTCGCTGGGCACTGGAGTTGCTGGTGAAACCACCTCCACCTTCCGTTTCTGCAGAGAGAAACCAACAAAGGTGGGTCAGAAGGTAGAGAAGGTGGGACCTGAGAAGAAAGCAAGGTCCCTGGAATTGCTGAGGGTACCGTTGAGCGGTGGTTGGGCTGCAGGCAGGAGCTGGAGGAGAGCGGCTGGTCAGGCTCGCCACCGGGAATGGCCTCCCGCTCCTTGGGCAGGTTGAAGCGGAGTGTGATCTGGACCGGGATTGGCAAGGTCTTCCCGCTGGCCTGCGCCGAGGCCGGCTGTAGAGATAGGTCCAGGGTCTTCCTTTGGGGCGGGGATGGCAGTGGGATGGGGAAGGGGAAGAGGGGTCCCTCACCTCAAAATTATCAAACCCCACCCTCGCCTTCTGAAGGACACAGGACTAGCTACTGGACTCTGGGAGCTACATGTGCAATTTGGCCCCCATCCTTTGCAAGATGAAGTCAGGGTGAGAGGGAGCCGCCTCCTGCCCATCCAGGAGCTCCTAATGCCAACAGACAAGAGAAATAGGAGGCAGGAGAGAAAAGGTGAAGTGGGGGACCTACTCACCACCTCTCTCTCTGGAGAGCCAGGACGGGACCCAGGAAGTCCGTTCTTAGTGGGGGTCTTGGCCTCTTTCTTGGGGAACTGGATCTTCTTTAGGTCCAGCCGCTCATGCGTCACCCATTCATCCAGACGTTTGTTGACTGTAGCAGTGGGGATGGCTCAGGACAGAATGCCAAAGACTGTCCCCCAACCCTACCCTGATGCCCCACCTCAGGCCCAGAACTCACAGTCAATGTAATGGACGTAGAAAAGCTTCCGGCCACTGATGTCCTTCACGCTCAGGATCTCGGCCAGGGCTATGAGAATAGCATAGACAGGGGCCTTAGACAGGCCAGGCTATGAGACTCCACCCTTCCACGACCTGAACTCCACCCCCAGGCCGGATCCCTAAGCTCCAGCACTTAGGTCTCTCCTAAGCCTCCTTCAGTCACAAGTGCCACCCCTTTCCAGGCCCCGCCCTGTACCTCTCGGAGCAGCTAAGAGCCACGCCCCTTCATCAAAGTATCTGCGCCTCGCCCGCCCCATAATTCCAGACGCCCCTCCCCATCCCGGGATTTCAGTTGACTCCCGCCCCTCGCCCTCAGGTTCCTTAGTCCCGCCCCCCAACGTCACTCACGCCACTCATCTTCGTTGTCCTGGTTCCGCCGCAGCACGGGTAGGCGGCAGCCCTCGATTATCTCCCCCTGGGGAGACAGCGCGACGCCAGGGTCGGCTACTGGGGGGCCTCGGGCTCTACCCACCTCCCCTGGCTCCCTCCGCCCCGCCCCGGGCACCGGACTCACCACCTCCGCCATCTTCCCTCCCTCCACTGCCACTTCCGGCCCCTCTGGGAGACGTCACTTCCGGGACCGAGCGCCCTGTGGGCCCGGGCCTCACGAAGCCCCTGTAGAGGGGGACCTTTGAGAGACACCGCGACCCAGCTGCGAGGGGCAAGACTGCCCCTGTGACTCGGGGGAAAACGGAGTGTTACAAGCCTCAGGCCGAGCCCTAGGTGGAAACCCCATAACGTGCACAGCCAGTGGCGGTCTACTGAGTCCGTCACGTGACGCCCACCGGGTGCGAAGCTGGTCACGTGTATGCGGAGCGGGTCACGTGGCAATACCGTTTTTGGCTTTGTCGGAGGGAAGTCCTCGGGCGTCTCCTTGTGGCGGCGGGAGGTGTTGCCGGGAGTCAACTGGGCGCGAGAGGCTGGAGAAAGGAAGTGGCCTTAGAAGGGTTCGAACGCTCCCCCAAGTCTGTGGACTTCATTCCGTAGGCAAGAGGACTCAGGGAAGATTCCTAGCTTTATTTTGTATATTAGGCTTTTTTAATTTGTATATATTTATTTTTGAGACGGAGTCTCGCTCTGTCGCCAGGCTGGAGTGCAGTGGCGCGATCTCAGCTCCCTGTAACCCCCGCCTCCCGGGTTCAAGCGATTCTCCTGCCTCAGCCTCCCGAGTACCCAACTAATTTTTGTATTTTTAGTACGGGCGGGGTTTCACCATGTTGGCCAGGATGGTCTAGAGCTCTTGACCTCGTGATCCGCCCGCCTCGGCCTCACAAAGTACTGGGATTACAGGCGTGAGCCACCGCCCTCAGCCATATTAGGCTTTTTTTTTTTTTTTTTTTTTTTTTGAGACAAGGTCTGGCTCTCTCGCCCGGGCTGGAGTGCAGCCAGCGAGGCACAATCTCCGCTCACTGCAGCCTCCCCCTCCCGGGATCAAGTGATCCACCTCAGGCTCTCTAGTAGCTGGGACTACAGGCGCGCACCACCAAGCCTGGCTAGTTTTTTAAAATTTTTGTGTAAACAGGGTTTGGAGACTGGGCATGGTGGCTCACACCTGTAATCCCAGCTGCCTCCAGTCTAATCATGAGAAAAACATCAGACAAATCCCAATTGAGAAACATTTTACAAAATACCCCATGAATACTCCTCAAAACTGTGAAGGTGTCACCGGTGGAGGGTGTACAGGTTCTTGGCATCTAAAATAATGGGACAAAACGGCTGGGCGCGGTGGCTCACGCCTATAATCCCAGCACTTTGGGAGGCCGAGGCGGGCGGATCACGAGGTCAGGAGATTGAGACCATCCTGGCCAACACGGTGAAACCCTGTCTCTACTAAAAATAAATACAAAAAATTAGCTGGGCGTGGTGGCAGGCGCCTGTAGTCCCAGCTACTCGGGAGGCAGAGGCAGGAGAGTGGCGTGAACCCGGGAGGCAGAGCTTGCAGTGAGCCGAGATTGCGCCACTGCACTCCAGACAGAGCAAGACTCTGTCTCAAAGAAAAAGAAAAAAAAAAAGAATTGGACAAAATGCACAAAGCAAGGAAGGAATGAACGATTTATTGAAAATGAAAGTACACTCCAGTGTTGGGGCCGGCTGAGCATAGGTGCTCAAGGGCCCAGTTACAGAATTTGTTGGAGTTTAAATACCCTTTGGAGGATTCCATTGGTTATTTGGGATATGCCATATGTAAATGAAGAGGATGAAGTAAAGTTACAAAGTCATTTAGGGTGTACTCCCTAAGGAGAGGATATTTCCTGTCATAACTGAAGTGTGAATCAGCCTTATATGTTCCCTGCCTCCAGACCCTATTTTCCTGCCTCAAAGGTGGCTGAACATGGTGGCTTACGCCTATAATCCCAGTGTTACAGGAAAGGGGTCCCCATCCAGACCCCAAGAGAGGGTTCTTGGATCTCGTGCAATAAAGAATTCAGGGCGAGTCCAGCACTTTGGGAGGCCAGGCAGGTGGATAACCTGAGGTCAGGAGTTCGAGACCAGCCTGACCAACATGATGAAACCCCATCTCTACTAAAAATACAAAAATTAGGCAGGCGTGGTGGTGCGCGCCTGTAATCCCAGCTACTCGGGAGGCTGAGGCTGGAGAATTGCTTGAACCCAGGAGGCGGAGGTTGCAGTGAGCCAAGATCAGGCCACTGCACTCCAGCCTGGGAACAGAACAAGACTCCGTCTCAAAAAAAAAAAAAAAGAATTGAGGGCGAGGCCATAAAGTGAAAGCAAGTTTGTTAGGAAAGTAAAGGAACTCAATGCTGGTTGCCCATTTTTCTGGTTATTTCTTGATGATCTGCTAAGCAAGGGGCGGATTATTCATGCCTCCCCTTTTTAGACCATATTCGGTAACTTCCTGCCGTTGCCATGGCACTGGTAGGAGTGCAGCAGTGAGGACAACCAGAGGTCACTCTGGTGGCCGTCTTGGTTTTGGTGGGTTTTAGTTGGCTTTCTTACTGCAACCTGTTTTATCAGCAAGGTCTTTATGACCTGTATCTTGTACCGACCTATCTTATCTTGTGACTTAGAATGTCTTAACCGTCTGGGAATGCAGCCTAGTAGGTCTCGGCCTCATTTTACCCAGCTTCTATTCAAGATAGAGTTGCTCTGGTTCATGCAACTCTGACACCGAGGCAGGCGGACAACTTGAGGTCAGGCGTTCAAGACCAGCCTGGCCAACATGGTAAAACACCGTCTCTACTAAAAATACAAAAGTTAGCTGGGCACGGTGGCATCCGCCTGTAATCCCAGCTACTCAGTCAGCCAAGATCGTGCCACTGCACTCCAGCCTGGGCAACAGAACAAGACTGTGTCTCAGAAGGAAAAAAAAGAGGCCGTGCGCAGTGGCTCGCTCCTGTAATCCCAGCACTTTGGGAGGTCAAGGCAGGAGTTCGAGACCAGCCTGGCCAATATAGTGAAACCACATCTCTACTAAAAATACAAAAATTAGCTGGGCGTGGTGGCATCTGCCTGTAGTCCTAGCTATTCAGGAGGCTGAGGCGGGAGAATCGCTTGAACCCAGGAGGCAGAGGTTGCAGTGAGCCAAGATTGTGCCAGTGCACTCCAGCCTGGGCAACAGACAGAGACTCCATCTCAAAAAATAAATAAAATAAAATAAAGAAAGAAAAGAAAAAGATGTTGCTCAGGCTGGCCTCAAACTCCTGCCTGCAATCCGCCTGCCTCAGCCTCCCAAAGTGCTAGGGCCACCGCACCCTGCCATTGTTTTGTATATTAGGTTTCTTTTTTTTTTGGTCCAGTGGCTCACGGCTGTGATCCAAACACTGGGAGGCTGAGGTGGGAGGATCGCTTGAGCCCAGGAGTTACAGACCAGCCTCGGCAACAGAGCGAGACTCTGTCTCTACAAAATTTTTTTTTTTTAATTAGCCAGGCGTGGCGGTGGCCCTCGCTTGTGTTCCCAGCTACTCAGGAGGCAGAGGAGGGAGGATCGCTTGAGCCTAGGAGTTCCAGGCTGCAGTGAGCCGACCACTGCACTCCACCCTGAGTGACAGACAGACCCTGTCTCAAAATAAATAAAGACCTCTTGCCCTTAGGGCGCTTACATTTTTGGAGTTTGGGAGAGAAGAGGACAGGTATAGATTGTCCACCCTCAGCAATGTCACCATCCCTGCTGGGCCACATGCAAAGTGGATAGCAAAGAGAAAGACAGGACTCACCCTTCTACGTTAGCTCAGAGTTTTGGCTGGAAGGGTGTTACAAAAGTGTTTGCTTGAGAAAACTAGCGCCTCCTCAGACTGAGTCATCTTCAAAATAGCACTTGCTTTCCATTCTAAATGTCACCAGCACAGAGGACCCCAACTCCATTTTGCCATTTTCAGCAGAGTTTGCAGAATTCACGGAGACACATGGGTTGCTTTATCATAGGGACAATCATGGTAACACCTAGAGATGATGCACTTGGGGGTCGGGCATGGTATTCAGCACATGATGGGCATCCAAAAATCAATAGGTCTTCTTAACCACTAATAGTGTGCTTAAAGATTTTCAAATATCCTTCTTATGCCCATTGTTGCAAAAACGCAACATGTCTGATAGTGCTCTGCCCCCATCCCCCACATCCCTGATCAAGGTATCTCACACATATACCTGCAACTTTGTTTGGGGCTTCCCCTGGCTGCAGGAGTACGTCCAGCCTATGCATCTGGAAGGCCAGAAGTGTGACGAGTTAACACCTCCTGAAGCAACTCTCAGCCAATGCCTGATGGGAGTTGGAGGGTAAACTCCCTTGTCTGTGGGGTGAGACCACTCTGAGGGAGGGCTGACTTTTAAATTTAAAATGTTTTTAGATACATTTCATATATATTTTTCTATAAATGCATATATAGTCTTGATGGTTAATTTTAAGTATAGACTGGGTTATGGGGTACCCAGATAATTGATTAAACATTATTCCTGGGTGTGTCTTTGGGGTGTTTTCAGATGATATTAGCATTTGAATGGATAGATTGAGGAAAGCAGAGGACCCTCCCCAGTGCAGGTGAGCATCATAGTCAGAGACTGAATAGCACAAAAAGGTGAAGGAAGAGAGCGTTTTCTCTCTCTGTCTGACTGCTGGAGCTAGGACACCAATCTCCTAACCTCAGACTGGAACTTACACCTCCAGCTTTCCTGGGTCTCCAGCTACAGACAACAGATTGTGGGACTCCCCAGCCTCAGCCGCCATGATTGCATGGACCAGTTTCATATATGTCTCTCTCTCTCTCTCCATATATATCTATATAAAATCTCCCATTGCTTCTGTTTCTCTGAACTCTGATGAATATATGGTCATAATACATGTTTGTTTTTGAGACGGGGTCTCATTCTGTTGCTCAGGCTGGGGTGCAGTGGTGCCATCTTGGCTCACTGAAGCCTCCACCTCCCAGGCTCAAGTGATCCTCTCACCTCAGCCTCTGGAGTAGCTGGGACTACTCCAGTCATGCACCACCATGCCTGGCTCATTTTTGTATTTTCTGTGGAGATGGGGTTTCGCCATATTGGCCAGGCTTGTCTTGAACTCCTAGACTCAAGCTGTAGGGACCAGCCCCACAGGGTCAGTGGGTCTCTCCCCATGTGCGGCATCGAGAGAGTGTAGAAATAAAGATGCAAGACAAAGAGATAAACGAAAAGGCAGCTGGGCCCGGGGGACCACTACCACCAATGCGCGGAGACCGGCAGTGGCCCCGAATGTCTGGCTGCGCTGTTATTTATTGGATACAAGGCAGAAGGGGCAGGGTAAAGAATGTGAGTCATCTCCAATGATAGGTAAGGTCACGTGGGTCACGTGTCCACTGGACAGGGTGCCCTTCCCTCCCTGGCAGCCGAGGCAGAGAGGGAGAGGAGACAGAGAGAAAGACAGCTTATGCCATTATTTCTGCATATCAGACACTTTTAGTACTTTCACTAATTTACTACTGCTATCTAGAAGGCAGAGCCAGGTGTACAGGATAGAACATGAAGGCGGACTAGGAGCGTGACCACTGAAGCACAGCATCACAGGGAGACAGGCCTCTGGATAACTGCGGGCAGGCCTGACTGATGTCAGGCCCTCCACAAGAGGTGGAGGAGCAGAGTCTTCTCTAAACTCCTGCAGGGAAAAGGAGACTCCCTTTCCCGGTCTGCTAAGTAGCAGGTGTTTTCCCTTGACACTTACGCTACTGCTAGACCACGGTCCGCAGGCCTGACCGATGTCAGGCCCTCCACAAGAGGTGGAGGAGCAGAGTCTTCTCTAAACTCCTCCGGGGAAAAGGAGACTCCGTTTCCTGGTCTGCTAAGTAGCAGGTGTTTTCCCTTGACACTTACGCTACCGCTAGACCACCATCTGCCTGGCAACGGGCGTCTTCCCAGACGCTGGTGTCACCGCTAGACCAAGGAGCCCTCTGGTGGCCCTGTCCGGGCATAACAGAAAGCTTGCACTCTTGTCTTCTGGTCACACCTCACTATGTCCCCTCAGCTCCTATCTCTGTATGGCCTGGTTTTTCCTAGGCTATGATTATAGAGCGAGGATTATTATAATATTGGAATAAAAAGTAATTGCTACAAACTAATTAATGATATATATAATCATATTTAAGATCTATATCTGGTATAACTGTTCTTGTTTTATATTTTATTATGCTGGAACAGTTTGTGTCCTCTGTCTCTTGCCTCGTCGCCTGGGTGGCTTGCCACCCACACAAGTAATTTGCCCACCTCAGCCTCCCAAAATGCTGGGATTACAGGCATGAGCCACTGCGCCCAGCTCATAATACATGTTTTTTTAATGCAGTCTATTTTTTCTTTGTCTTTCTTGCTTGACTTCTCCTTCTCTCCACCCATATTTCCCACTCTACCCCTAGGTAACCCAGATTAACACCCTGATATGTATCTTCTGTATTTTACCCATACTCTTATAAGTAAGAAAAAACCTATATCTAATTGGAGTCTCTGTAAATGTATATACATGGGATGTGTCTAGCGTTTTGTTTTTAGTCACAATTGCTTTTACCAAATGCACTTTTCTTGTTCAACAGTAGCTTGTGGAACATTCTCTGCTATTTTTAATGGCTTTAATACTCCACAGTGTGGAATGTGGCTCTCTGTGGGCCTTTGCTTTATTCCCAGTTTTATGACAACGTGAACAATAAATTCCTCATAGGGTCTAAGGGATGGAGTCGCATGAATGAGATTGCTGGGCTGAAAATGTAAGAACGTTCTATTTTACTAGATATCAGCTAAGTTTTAAAAAATTAACATCTCTTATCCACAAAAAAGTATGAAAATTTCCATCTCCCCATATCCCCATCATTAATAGATGTTAAAGCTCATATATATATGTATATTATACATACAACTTATATATATAAGTATATATATAGTATTAGTCGATTTCCATGCTGCTATAAAGAACAGCCTGAGACTGGGTAATTTATAAAGGAAAGAGGTTTAATTGACTCACAGTTCAGGATGGCTGGGGAGGCCTCAGGAAACTTACAATCAAGGCAGAGGGTGAAGGGGAAGCAAGGCACCTTCTTCAAGAGGTAGCAGGAAGGAGAAGCGCCGAGCGAAGGGGAAAGAGCCTCTTATAAAACCATCAGCTCTCATGAGAAATCACTCACTATCATGAGGACAGCATGGGGGAAGCTGCCCCAATGATTCAATTACCTCCACCTGGTGATTACAATTCAAGATGAGATTTGGGTGGGAATACAAAGCCTAACCATATATTATATATAGGATATATAGATAGATATAGTATATATATATATCATACATATATAACCATATCATATATCTATATCTATATATCATATAGATATCATATATAGATATAGATATAGATGTATTTTTTTTTGTCCTGAGGCGCAGTCTCAAGAGGTCCTGAGAACATGTAGCCCAGCTCCTGGCTTGAGCAATGCTCCTGCTTTGGCCTCCCAAAGTGCTAATATTATAGGCATGAGCCACCATGCCTGGCCACAAAGCCTTTTTAATTCTTGCCAAGCTGATGGGTATAGTAGTATAACTTTACTTTGCATTCCCCAATCTTTTAGCCAGATTAAGCAGCACCTTTTCTTTTGTTTGTTGGCCACTGGAACTTTTCTTATGTGAATTGCTCCTCTGTATGTTTAGCCCACTTTTCTGTTGCGTTGTCCACTTCTTGATTTGCAAAAACCCCTTTTATGGGGTGATATTAAGCTGCTATTGCCTTCAGCTGTGTAAACATTTTTTCTGAGTTTCTCCTTTGTCCCTATAGTTTGTCTCCATCCTCTTTTGGCATGCATACATTTAAATAGTCACATTTCGGCCGGCGCAGTGGCTCACGCCTGTAATCCCACCACTTTGGGAGGCTGAGGCAGGCGGATCATGAGGTCAGGAAATCGAGACCATCCTGGCTAACATGGTGAAACCCTGTCTCTACTAAAAAATACAAAAAATTAGCTGGGCGTTGTGGCAGACACCTGTAGTCCCAGCTACTCGGAAGGCTGAGGCAGGAGAATGGCGTGAACCTGGGAGGCGGAGCTTGCAGTGAGCCGAGATTGGGCTACTGTACTCCAGCCTGGGCGACAGAGCAAGACTCTGTCTCAAAATAAATAAATAAATAAATAAATTGTCAAATTTCATAACTTCTGCGTTTCCAGTCTTGGTTGAGAAGGTCTTCTCATATTTTACATTTTTTTTACAAGATTCATATTATGGTTTTTTTTTTTATTTAATAAATCTCTTCTGGAATTTGTTTTGTGGGCTAGTGTAAGAGACAGGCCCAGGTGCATTTTCTTCCAGATAGGGAGTGAGCTGACTGCAGCGCCTCTCATTACATAATTCCACCCTTTCCTGCCGAATTAAAATGCCACATGTGGCTGGGCATGGTGGCTCACACCTATAATCCCAGTACTTTGGGAGGCTGAGGCAGGCGGATTACTTGAGGTCAGGAGTTCAGGACCAGCCTGGGCAACATGGTGAAACCCCATCTCTACTAAAAATACAAAAATAGCTGGGTGTGATGGCACATGCCTGTAGTCCCAGCTACTCAGGAGGCTGAGGCAGGAGAATCACTTGAACCGGGGAGGCAGAGGTTGCAGTGAGCTGAGATCGTGCCACTGCACTCCAGCTTGGGTGACAGAGTGAGACCCTGCCTCACAAAAAAAAAGGAAGCCAAGAAAGAAAGAGACACTGTGGGACCAGCTGGCATGCAGGGAGCATGGGAGGAACAGAGTGGCACTTGTCTGTGACATTAAAGAGCATGCAGCCTCCAGCCAGTAGTCATAACACAACAAAGCAGAGAACTTTTACTTTCTTAATTTTATTTCTTTATTTTCTCCATAACTAAACTTAATCTCTGATTTGAGATCCATCATGCCTAGGGCGGTAGGGAACATAATCTCAGGAACTTTTGAGATGTAGACTCCCATCCAAGGTGGAGCTGGAGGGCAAGGACAGGATGACCTGGAGATACATCAGTCATTTGACTTGATGGGTGAGCACCATATGAGAAACAAAGAATACTACTGAGAATTAAAAGAGACATTTTATCTTTATAAAGGAGTTATTTCATTAAGAAAACATCAAAGTCATAACAGTATGCATTCAATAATTCAAAACGCATGAAGCAAAAACTGACAGAACTGAAAGGAGAAATTCCTTTCAGACAGGCATGAGCCACCGCACCTGGCCTCTCTGGCTGATTTTAAGTGTGCAATTCACTGCCATTCAGCACATCTACAATGTCATGTAACTATCACCATTTTCCAGCTCTGGAATTTTTTCATTGTCCCCAACATAAATTCCGTATCCATTAAGCAAAACTTCCCATTCCCCTCCCCTCAGCCCCTGGTAATCTCTATTCTACTTTCGTTTTTATTAATTTGCCTATTCTAGGTACTTCGTATAAGTAAAATCACACAATATGTGTCCCTCTGTGTCTGGCTTATGTCACTTGGCATAATGTGACATAGGTTGATCGATGCTGTAGCATATGCCAAAGTTTCATTCCTTCAGATTGCCACAGAATATTCCCTTGTATGTATACACTGCATCGTGTTTCTCCGTTCATCTGTGGATAGACATTTGAATTGTTTCCACATTTTGGCTATTGTAAATAATGTTGCTATCAACATTGGTGTACAAATATCTGTTGAAGTTCTTGCCTTCAGGTTTTGTTTTGTTTTGTTTGTTTGTTTTGTTTTGTTTTTGAGATGGAGTCTCGCTCTATGGCCCAGGCTGGAGTGCAATGGCATGATCTTGGCTCACTGCAACCTCCGTCTCCCAGGTTCAAGTGATTCTCCTGCCTCAGCCTCCTGAGGAGCTGGGATTACAGGCGCGCACCACCACGCTGGGCTGATTTTTGTATTTTACTAGAGATGAGGTTTCACCATGTTGGTCAGGCTGGTCTTGAACTCCTGACCTCGTGATCCACCGCCTCGGCCTCCCAAAGTGCTGGAATTACAGGCATGAGCCACCAGGCCCGGCCCAGTTCTTTTGGATATATACCTAGAATTGGAATTGCTTGATCATAGGATAGTTCCGTGTTTAAAGTTTTGAAGAATTGCCAGGCTGTTTTCCACAGTGGCTGTACCTTCTTGCATGCTCACCAGCAAGGCACTAGGGCTCCAATTTCTTCACATTCTCACCACAGCTTATCTTTCGTTTTTTGGAATTAAGGGTTTGATTTTAACAGTTGTTCAGATTATATCACATTGCTCCATGGCAACAGTTAATGACATATTCTAGATATACATTTGATTAAAATATGTACTGCTTCCAAGAAGCCTTTCTCATTTTGAGAATTGAGATTCAGTTTTATAGATTCAAACAAGAATACCAATCAAAATTTCAGCAGACTGGATTGGTAGAAATTGACAAGCTGATTCTAAATGGTATACAGAAATTCAATGGCTCACACCTGTAATCCCAGCACTTTGGGAGGCTGAGACAGGAGGATAACTTGAGGCAGGAATTTGAGAATGGCCTGGGCAATGTAGCAAGACCCCATCTCTACAAAAATAAAATAAGATATTAGCCGTGTGTGGTGCCATACACCTGTAGTTCTAACTACTCAAGAGGCTGATGCAAGAGGATCACTTGAGCCCAGGAGACACAGACAAAAACCATATGATTATCTCAATTGAAACAATTATTAAATTGCATTTAATAAAATTCCATATCCTTTCATGATAAAACCTCTAAACAAACTAGGAATAGAAAAAACTTACTTCGGCCAGGCACGGTGGCTCACGCCTGTAATCCCAGCACTTTGGGAGGCTGAGGCGGGTGGATCACGAGGTCAGGAGATGGAGACCATCCTGGCTAACACAGTGAAACCCCGTCTCTACTAAAAATACAAAAAATTAGCCGGGCGAGGTAGCGGGCGCCTGTAGTCCCAGCTACTCGGGAGGCTGAGGCAGGAGTATGGCGTGAACCCCGGGGGACGGAGCCTGCAGTGAGCCGAGATCGCGCCACTGCACTCCAGCCTGGGCGACAGCGAGACTCCATCTCAAAAAAAAAAAAAAAGAACTTACTTCATAACAATTTATTGACATGACAAACCCATAGCTAACATCACACTGAATGGGGAAAATCTGAAAGTCTTTTCTCTAAGATCTGGAATAAGACAAGAATGCCCACTTTCATCACCCCTATTCAATACAGTGATGGAAATCCTAGCCAGCGAAATCAGGCAAGAAAAAGAAATAAGTGGCATCCAAATTGAAAAAGACAAAGTCAAACTATCCCTCCTTGCTGATGATATGATCATATATTTAGGAAAACCTAAAGACTCCACCAAAAAACTCCTAGAATTAATAATAAATTCAGTAAAGTTGCAGGATACAAAATCAACATACAAAAATCAATAGCATTTCTACATACCAATAATGAGCTAGCTCAGAAAGAAATGAAGAAGCCCATTTATCTTGCTGCAAAAAAAAAAAAAAAAAAAAAAAAAAAAAAAAAAAAAAAAAGTCTAGGAATAAATCTAACCAAGAAGGTGAACTATCTCTACAATGAAAACTACAAAACACTGATGAAAGAAATTGAAGAGGACACAAACGAATGGGAAGACATCCCATACACATGAAATCAGAGAATTAATAGTGTTAAAATCAAGAGAGGAGACCAGCAGGTCTTGTTTGGAAAGAATCAGCAGATGGTGACAAAAGCAATCCCTAGCTGCCCTCATTGTTCCTTAGCATAAGACACTCCCACCAGTGTAATGACAGTTTACAAATGCCATGGCAAAGACCCAGAAGTTACCACATCTTTCCACACCAATGACCCAGAAGTCACCACCCCTTTCCTAAAAGGTTCTAAATAACCCCTCCATCAATTTGCATTAACTCACCCTTCTATTTGCATATAATTAAAAATGAGTATAAGCGAATATAAATACCGTTGCCAAGAGCCCATAGGTTGCCTGCTGCAGGTGCACTGCCTGAGTTATCCCTGCTCCACAAAGAGCAGTACCATTCAATTAAAAAACTGCTCTCTAATACCACTGTCTTGCTCTTGAATTCCTTCCTGTGTGAAGCCAAGAACCCTCCCAGGCTAAGCCCCAATTTTGGGGCTCACCTGTTCTGCATCACCTGGTGACCATGAAGACCACAAAGACAACAGAGATGGCAGCGACTGGCAATTAGCAGACAGGCAGCAAGACACTAGAAAGGAGAAAATTGGCAATTGTTGGTCAGCAATTGGCGGGATGGTGAGACAGGACAGAAAGATAGCAATAGATAGCAATTAGAGAGAAGTGGTGAGAGCAACTGGCAAGACAGTGAGACAACAGAGAGATGGCAGGAGGTGGCAGTTGGAGAGAGGTGGCGAGAGATGTCAAGACGGTGATCAGCAAGAGACAGCAGGTGATCAGTGCTACAAGCAATCAAAGCTGCAGAGCTTCTAACACTGCAGAGGTGTAGCACTAGCCCAAAGGTTCATTTTTAAGAGCCACTGTCTTGGCCGAGCGCAGTGGCTCACTCCTGTAATCCCGGCACTTTGGGAGGCCAAGGCCAGTGGATCACCTGAGGTCAGGAGTTTGAGACCAGCCTGGCCAACATAGTGAAACCCCATCTCTACTAAAAATACAAAAATTATCCTGACATGATGGTGCACAACTATAATCCCAGCTACTCAGGAGGCTGAGGCAGGAGAATCACTTCAACCCACGAGGTGGAGGTTGCAGTGAGCCGAGATTGCACCGCTGCACTCTAGCCTGGGCAACAGAATGAGACTCTGTCTCAAAAAAAAAAAGAGCCACTGTCTTTCCTGGCAACCCGTGGAGCCAAGCAGATGGACGAGCAGCCATAGCAGCACTGCCTTCTGTGGGACCCAATATTCCAGCTGGCATGTTGCTAGTATACCTGCTGATCCCCCTTTGGCAGCCAAGCTCGCCCAAGCTGGGGAAATCTGGGGAGGAGACCTTCACTGGGCCCCATGTTAGAGACTGGCCAGCACCATTTTGGCTCTTGCGGACAGGTGACTGTCCCCTTTGCCTCCTCTCCTCCATATCAGGTGATCCAGGAAATAAGGCTGTTGGCTAAATAGTCAATTCAAAGTCCCTCAAAGCGTGCCTGACCAATTGCATCCTTGTTGCCCCTTCTCTTGGTCCCTTCTCCTCTCATGCCATTTAATTTTTCTGTTGGCCATTTTATTTCATTTTATTTTCCACTCTGAAATATATATTTCTTTTGTAGTGTTTGCTTTGAATCCCCACTAACTATATTTGGGCAATTGTTTAAAGCAGGACACTCGCTTGTGGGAGGTCTCTGTTGTATTGACCCTGCAAAAAGTTGTTCTATGCCCCTGACTTGGTCTTTGGGATTCACTGTTGGCCACCCCCCAGATGGTCCAGGGTTTTTGACATTTGGTGTGAGGACTCTCATTGGCCAGTGAGGTGGTGGGGGCTGGGACATGGGCTCTTCCTGGGGACACCCCAACTCCTCTGCTCCTTTCTACAACCTCTGCTGTTCCTCTCTTCCCCTTTCCTCATCCTTTCATAATCACCTTGGTGGGCAGTGGTAAGGTGACTGGCTCAATATCTGAGCATTTATTCTTCCAAATCTTTTTGGGTTTGGGGGAGTTTTTGTTTTGTTCTGTTTTTTAGACAGCATCTCACTCTGTCTCCCAGGCTGGAGTGCAGTGGTGTGATCATGGCTCACTGCAGCCTCAACCTTCAGGGCTCAGGTGATCCTCCCCGCTCAGCCTCCTAAGTATCTGGGACCAAAGGTACATGTCACCACACCTGGCTAATCTTTGTATTTTTTATAGAGACAGAGTTTGGCCATGCTGCCTAGGTGGGTCTGGAACTCCTGGCCTCGAGCCATCCACCCGCCTCGGCCTCCCAAAGTGCCGAGATTACAGGCATGAGCCACTGTGCCGGCCCATATCTATTGTTTATGACACTGAAACCGGCATCGTGAGTTCTTTTGTTCTACTGTGTCCTGAGTCAGGGACTGGAGTGGGAGGGTCACAGGACAACAGGAAATCTGTGTGTGTGTGTGTGTGTGTCTGTGTGTGTGTGTGTGTGTGTCTGTGTGTTTGTGCGTCTGTGTGTGTCTGTGTGTGTGTGTGTGTGAGCTGTGATGTAATCTCACACTGTGTTCTCCTGTTTGGGTGTCTGTTAGAATCGGGTTGAGGGGAGTGAGGGAGGGTGGAAGTCGGGCGGGGAACAGCGCTGATGCTTGATTTTGGACCCTGGCAGGGGTGGAGAGAGATTTGGGAGGTAAAAGAGGCCTGAGATAGGGGGAGAGTCTGAGAGTGGGGAGGAATATGTCTTGAGAATAGGTAAGCCATGGCCGGGCGCGGTGGTTCACGCCTGTAATCCCAGCACTTTGGGTGGCCGAGGCGGGCGGATCACGAGGTCAGGAGATCGAGACCATCCTGGCTAACACAGCGAAACTCCGTCTCTACTAAAAACACAAAAATAGCCGTGCGCGGCGGCGGGCGCCTGTAGTCTCAGCTACTCGAGAGGCTGAGGCAAGAGAATGGTGTGAACCCGGGAGGCGGAGCTTGCAGTGAGCCGAGATCGCGCCACTGCAGTCCGGCCTGGGCGAAAGAGCGAGACTCTGTCTCAAAAAAAAAAAAAAAAAAAAAAAAGAGAGAGGCAGAGAGAATAGATAAGCCAGATTTCAGGCTGGAGAAGGCAGAATGTGAGTTTGGTCAGAAATGCCCACGGGCGCTGGCTAAAGGAGGCAGCAGACAGGGAGGGAGCTCTGGAGTTTGGGAGGAGGTGGGGAGGCCTGTCTCGCTGTCTGCTTATTTAGTGTTTGGTGATGGGGAAGCAGGATTTTTTTTTTTTCCTTTTCACTGGAATTTGGCCAGATTAAGCTCTAGGACTGCCCTGGACATATGGCCTCTCCAAACCCTGGACCAGCCAAGGCTTCTTATGTGGGGTCACCCCAGCCAGCCCCATGGCCCTATTCTTCATGTGGCTACCTTATCTGGGACCACATTTCCAATGGGTCTCCGATCTAGAAAGCTGGAATGATCCAGAGAGGCTCTAGATCAAGGGGGTGGGGCCTGTCTCTGCCAACATGGGACTTACTTTCTGTCTCTTTAAAATGTCAACTCCACCAGGCCTTATGACTTCTTCTTGTCCACTCCTCTATCCTGGGCACATTGTGGACACACAGTAAATATCTGCTGAGTGAACGAGCCAGGATCTGAAGGGATTCCCTAGGGTGAGAAGGAGCCACGTGTCTTCTCTACAGCCCCAAAGGGCAGAAGGCTGACCATCCCATGGAAGCTAAAGGGGGATGGATTCCACCCTACAACAGAAAGGGCCTTGATCAGCCAGAGCTGCTGACAGCATCGAGTCACCTGAGCTGACCATGCTGGGGCCAGGGGTGGACCCGGAATGACACTGTGGAAAATGGCTTACTTCAAGCAGACCTGAAGGGCCCCTGAGGGTCCTTGCAGCCACTGTGTCCAGAACTAGGCTTCTGGGTCCCATTGTAGTAGGTAATGGCAATTGAGATGGCAGCTCTCAGCCAAGAGCAGTGGCTCACACCTGTAATCCCAACACTTTGGGAGGCCAAGGCGGGAGGATCGCTTGAGCCCAGGAGTTCAGGACCCGCCTGGGCAACATGGTAAAAACCCCCATCTCTACAAAAAATACAAAAATTAGCCAGGGATAGTGGTGTGGGCCTGTAGTCCCAGCTACCTGGCAGGCTGAGGTGGGAGGATCGCTTGAGCCTAGGATTTCAGGATCAGCCTGGGCAACATAGCCATCCCCCGTCTCCTTTTTTTTTTTTTTTTTTTTTTTTAATGTGAAAGAGAGAGAGAGAGATGGCAGTCAGACGGATCTAGGTTTAAATCCTGGGTCCTCCATTAATCTGCATGATTTGGGCATGCTACTCAATGTCTCTAAACCTGTTACCTCATCTACAATGTGAAGGTACTAATGGTATCACCTCAAAGGCTGGCTGTAAGCATTAGATTCAAATAATAACCTTTTTTTTTCCCCTTGAGTCCGGGTCTTGCTCTGTAACCCAAGCTGGAGTGCAGTGGCTTGCTGCAAACTCAAACTCCTGGGCTCAAGCGATCCTCCCACCTCAGCCTCCCGAGTAGGTGGGACCACAGATGTGCACCACCACGCCCTGCTCATTTCTGGGTTTCTTTGTTTTTGTATAAACAGGGTCTCAGTTTGTTGCCCCAGCTGGTCTCAAACTCCTGACCTGAAGCAATCCTACCGCTGCGACCTCCAAAGTGCTGGGATTATAGGCATCACCCACTGCACTCAGCCTCAAACAATAGCCTATTATTTAGAGCAACATCTATTTTAGATCAACATCTGGCACACAGCCTAGACTCAATAAACATTGGCTATTGTTACTGTGCTGGAGATGGGCCAGAGGGGGCTGGTTCCTAGGGCCCAGTGAACCAGGACGGACCACATGTAAAGTAAACAAACTGGTTGGCAGACAGAAAGGTGTGTGAGTGCTTCTTTAGATACCCAAAGTGCACTTTTCTAGTATGATATAATTTTTTTTAAGAGACAGGGTCTTGCTATGTTGCTCAGGCTGGAGTACTGCGGCTGCTCACAGGCACGATCCCACTACTGATCAGCTCAGGAGTTTGGACCCACTCCTTTCCGACTTGGACAGGTTCACCCCTCTTAGGCAACGTGGTGGTCCTGCTCCCAGAAGGTCACCCTATTGAAGCTGAACTT
Organism: Homo sapiens; assembly: GCF_000001405.40. NCBI lineage: Eukaryota > Metazoa > Chordata > Mammalia > Primates > Hominidae > Homo > Homo sapiens. The sequence goes on along the minus strand of NC_000011.10, from coordinate 65,695,659 downwards.
GGTGCAGACACCCAATGGGCATAGTGCACTGTAGCCTAGAACTCCAGGGCTGAAGCGAGCCTCCCGCCTCAGGCTTCCCAGTAGCTAGAACTGTAGACGTTTGCCACCATGGGGGTGTGCCCGGCAATTTCATACAATTTGGATTCATATACTTCCAAATAATCATGGGGAGTGGAGAGCAATATCCAGAGATGCAAAAGGTGGTATTTTTAAAAGAGCTGCAGAAACAGATATTAAATCCATAACTGGTACCGATGTTTCTCATTTGTGTTAAATACAAAATGACAGATATCTTGATTCCAAGTCGCTTATGCACACAGAAAGGCTTCAGGCCTAGTTTCTTCCCTCTTAGAACAAACATCTCCAACAAAAAAAGCTATCTGGGGCTGGGCACAGTGGCTCATGCCTGTAATCCCAGCACTTTGGGAGGCTGAGGCGGGCAGATCACTTGAGGTTAGGAGGTCCAGACCAGCCTGGCCAACATGGTGAAACCCCATCTCTACTAAAAATACAAAAATGAGCCAGGCTTGGTGGCAGGCGCCTGTAACCCCAGCTACTAGGGTGGCTGAGGCAAGAGAATCGCATGAACCCAGGAGGCGGAGGTGTCAGTGAGCCAAGATCACACCACTGCACTCCAGCCTGGGCAACAGAGCAAGACTCTGTCTCAAAAAAAAAAAAAAAAAAAAAAAAAGAAGCTCTCTAGATTGTGCTACTGACAATATTTACATTGTTTTATTAACCTAAACTCTGTGTTAAACTGGATCATTTGTGGAAATAGTAAGTACATCAATAATGACAATAAACTTTCAGGGTTTTTTATTATTTTATTTTTTGAGACGGTCTAATTCTGTCACCTAGGCTGGGGTGCAGTGGCACAATCACAGCTCTCTGGAGCCCCAACTTCCCAGGCTCAAGTGATTCTCCCACCTCAGCCTCCTGAGTAGCTGGGATTACAGCTGCGTGCCACCAAGCCTGCCTCAGTCTCCCAAAAAAGTGCTGTGATTTTAACCAAGTATTCCCATTTTTCTTAGAAAAAGAGAATAAGTTACTATTATTTTTTTCTTTTCTCTTCTTTTCTCTTTTCTCCATTTCTCCTATTCGCCACTTCCTAATTAACCAATGCAATTATAACCTTTCAGCTCCCCTTCACCAGACACTCCCCACAGGACAAGTTCATCTAACCATGTGCTTAGAGGCTCCAGGGCAGAACGCTCTCCCACCAAGCGACTGTCTCAGAGATAACAGTCCATTTGCAACCCAAAGTATGCCCACTATGAAACTCTCTCCCACTAGGAGGTTGCCTCCAGAGACAACAGTCCATCTACGACCTCAAGTATGCCCACTACAAGACTGTCTCCCACCTGGAAAGTCTTTGGCCACTTTTACAACCCATGAAGATGCCAGCAGTTACCAACGTGACTGCCCAGTAGATAAGGCACCAAAGGGAGTCAGCAGATCCCGCACCTGCTTGCTTCCTCTCCCACATTAAAAGAGCCCGCTTTCTGCTCCAAAGCCAAAGTACTGCCCTTAAGGCAGGAAGCCTGTACTTCTTCCCCTAAGTTAGCTTTGGAATAAAAAGTCTCTTTCTTTATACCAGACCTTACTCTCATTAACTGGACTCTGCAAGCAGCAAGCAACTGAACCTGCATTTCAGTTACAATTTTGGTGACCCATATGGGGAAGTGCTGCCCGCCCTAGGTGAGTCTGAGCTGGATAGCCTAGTTATGCTCCTGGGTGAGGCATGGGGTCACCTGTGAGTGCCAGCCGCTCATAGCTAGCGACAGGAACATCATGGAACTTCCCGGCAGCTGCCAAAAATGCTTTTGTTTTTGGAAGAGTCTTCCTTTCACCTCCCAGCATGACATCTGCCACCTTCAGTGTTTCACTGGTACAAAGCAAGTGACCTCTGAAGAAGACAGCAAACTTTGGAACTGGGTGAGTTATTTGGAGTGCATCTGACCACCCTCTACCTCTTTTGCAGTGTCACTGGGGGCCCTGCTCTACTTAAGATTTGGCTGCTATTGACACCATTTGAGCATTTTATGCATTTATATTTGTTTGTGCATGTGGAACCATAAGAGCTTTGCTTAGCTCAAACTCAACTACCCATGAAGCCATTTGGATCTGAGGAGGGGGATTCAGGGCCTTACCCAGCCCGTCAATTGGAGACTCATTGGGAAGCACATTGTTTGTTTGCAAATGTGAATGTATGACCATGTGTGGGCTCTGGCCCTTTTCTTGACTCTCTACCTTCAATTTCACCCTCCTGATTATCCAGGAGAGCTGCCCACATGGGCTACGGAGACTTTCCCTCATGGAAGACAAACAAGAATGGTGGGGTTTTTGTATTGTTTTGGTTGTTTTGTTTTCCAAGAGGACTCTTTTTTTTTTTTTTTTTTTTTTTTTGAGACAGAGTCTTACTCTGTCACCCAGGCTGGAATGCAGTGGCACGATCTCAGCTCACTGCAACCTCCACCTCCCAGATTCAAGCAATTCTCCTGTCTCAGCCTCCCGAGTAGCTGGGATTACAGGCATGCACCACCATGCCTGGCTAATTTTTGTATTTTTAGTAGAGACGGGGACTCACCATGTTGGCCAGCCTGGTCTCAAACTGCTGACCTCAGGTGATCTGCCCACCTCGGCCTCCCAAAGCGCTGGGATTACAGGCGTGAGCCACGTACCCGGCCTCATCTATTTATTGATATTACTATTTAGCCACTTCCCAGCAGTGTGACTGCTGTAACAAGAACAGGACTCAATTTCTAAAGGTAATAAAATAACAAGGCCATCATAGACAGAACATTGGGAACACTCCTTACAGGGAACTGGCTTTTCTTTTCCAGCCAGGTGCCAGGTAGCATTCCTGAATACCCGCCTCCTGGTCCCCAACAGAGGCACATCTTCGCTCATCTCAGCCCCGGGCTTGGGGGGCAGTGGTATTCTGGATGGCCATCTCCCTGCCCCTCCCCGCACCACCTGACCTCAGTTCATCTGGATAAACCTGCTGTGCTTCCTGTCCAGGAAGTGAGAAGTGAGGCGCTCGCGAAAGGCTGAGCCAACGTCTACTAACTATGGTGGCTGGAAGGCTCATGAGTTTCCTTTCGGTCACTTTACCTTTTTTTCTTCCTCCCCTTTCTTTCTCGTGTCCCACTTGTGAATCCCGGCTCCTATGCAGAGGCCTGCCAGGTTGGCTTTCTCTGTCTTCTTTTCTGCCTGCTTTACATCTGCTGTTACTAAGCTGCTGGTGCTGAGATAAGACTCATTGTTTGCGGACTAGCTAGAATGTGAATGCTAGAAACGAATTTGAAACTGAAGGAAAAACGGGCAAAAGAGGTGTTTTTAAAGACCAAACCGCCACAGAGACTGCTTTACCCAAAATTTTTTTTAATTAATTTTTTTTTTTGAGACAGAGTCTCGCTGTGTCACCAGGCTGGAGGGCAGTGGTGCGATCTCAGCTCACTGCAATCTCCACCTCCCAGGTTCAAGCGATTCTTCTGCCTCAGCCTCCTGAGTAGCTGGGACTACAGGCTCATGCCACCACACCCGGCTGGTTTTTGTATTTTTAGTAGAGACAGGGTTTCACCATATTGGCCAGGCTGGTCTCGAACTCCTGACCTTGTGATCCACCCACCTCGGCCTCCCAAATGGCCTGGATTACAGGCGTGAGCCACCACGCCTGGCCTACCCAAATTTTAGTTCATAGCTTTCATTGGATTATATACCAGGATGAACAAAGTTTATTTAGCCATGTAAACATCCCAATTTCATGAAAGAATAGTGTGGATTCAGCTATCTTTTATAAAGTGGTGAGTCTGTATTTTTTTTTTTAACAAATGAGACTAATTTGTTATTACTAGTTCAATGAAAACAGCTAAATCTTCTGAGTTATCAACAGAATGCCTATGTGTTTGACTTTAAGATTCTTAAACACCCAATGCTCACAGCCTTTAAAAATGGTTAACAGGGAAATAATTTTAAATAATGACCACCTTTGTGTAATATCTCAGTTTTCAGAAGTAATCTAAATAAACGATTAAAAATGGGAAAATTGGGTACATACAAATGAGATACATTCTTGTAAGTAAACTTTTGTATAATTTAAAATCTTAAAATCATGTTGGACGCTTATCGTATGTCTATGTCATTTCCAATTAAGAAAGGGTAATCGTATGGAAAATGTTCCAAAAGTTGTTGAATGGTTCTCATCTATAAAATGCTAATATCTGATAGGCAGTTCAGGATTTCTTGCTTCCCAAGTTTATATAAAATGTGCCAAAGAAGATGTGTTCTTAGCCGGGCGCGGTGGCTCACGCCTGTAATCCCAGCACTTTGGGAGGCCAAGGCGGGTGGATCATGAGGTCAAGAGATCGAGACCATCCTGGCCAACATGATGAAACCCCGTCTCTACTAAAAATACAAAAATTAGCTGGGTTTGATGGGGCGCACCTGTAGTCCCAGCTACTTGGGAGGCTGAGGCAGGAAAATCACTTGAACTTAGGAGGTGGAGATTGCAGTGAGCCCAGATCATGCCACTGCACTCCAGCCTGGGCACAGAGTGAGACTCCGTCTCAAAAAAAAAAAAAAAAAAAAAAAAAAAAAAAAGATATATTCTTATTGAGAAGAAGAATAATTTTGTCTAATTCAAAAGTTATCTAGAAGGTCATTCAGGCTGGGTGTGGGGCCTCATGCCTGTAATCCTCAAACTTTGGGAGGCTGAGGTGGGAGAATCACTTGAACCTGGGAGGTCGAGGCTGCACTGAGCCGTGTCGCACCACTGCACTCCAGCCTGGGCAACAGAGCAAGACCCTGTCTCAAAAAAAGTCTAATTTAAATTATGGACTTGGAAAGGTTATTACATCCATGTAACTTCTGTATTGCTTTTAAATCCCTTGTGCTGTTAAGTCACAGGGCTTTGACTCTTGGGTCTGAAAAGAGCACATGATAATGTCATGTTCCGCCTTCATTCTTTTGAGGAGTTAAAATCCTTTGCAAGCTCACCAGTGCCTGCTCTAGGCTCCTTCTGGGAAGAACAATGGTGTCTCCCCCATGCTGTAGCTCAGTAGCTAAGGTTCAGCCTTTCACAATGGCAGCCTGGGTCCAATTCATGATTTAGGGAATGAGTCTTTTCTGGTTTGTTATTTGTTGACCTTTGCCATTTATTGATTCATTTTCCCTCCGTGGACAGATTCTGATTTCCTGTCTTGAAATTTTTCTTTCTCTGAGCTACCTCTGGGGCAACTCTAGATCATGGAAAAAATGCTTGCCATGGCCGGGCGCGGTGGCTCATGCCTGTAATCCCAGCACTTTGGGAGGCCGAGGCGGGTGGATCATGAGGTCAGGAGATCAAGACCATCCTGGCTAACACAGTGAAACCCCGTCCCTACTAAAATACAAAAAATTAGCTGGGCATGGTGGTGGGCGCCTGTAGTCCCAGCTACTTGGGAGGCTGAGGCAGGAGAATGGCGTGAACCCGGGAGGTGGAGCTTGCAGTGAGCCGAGATCGTGCCACTGCACTCCAGCCTGGGCGACAGAGCAAGACTCCGTCTCAAAAAAAAAAAACAAACAAACAAAAAAAACGCTTGCCATCTCTTTGAAAATACCTTGTGCACCTGTGGTTAAGTCATACCCTTAGTTAAGTCTTATTGATTTCATGTAGGAGGTTACATTTAGTTAAAAAAAAAAAAGTTCAAAAGTCAGAAATATCAGTCATTTGTGCTGGCTAAAATCTGGTAATAAAAGATTTAAAAAGGGTTTTTCTTTTGAGAGCTCTATAGTTAGAAACTGACTTAATTAAAGCTGATATTTGGGCCATATGTGTACAGATAGTGCTTTGAAGCCCCTGCTGTCCCTCTAAAAACTCCTCAGTCAATGGAATCCTGTCTGATTCTCCATTTACTCCTGTCTGTTCCTCCTTCCTCTTTTTATTTATTTATTTGTTTGCTTGTTTGTTTATTTTGGGATGGCATCTCAGTCTGTCGCCCAGGCTGGAATGCAATGGCACAATCTCGGCTCACTGCAACCTCCGCCTCCTGGGTTCAAGCAATTCTCCTGCCAAAACCTCCTGAGTAGCTGGGATTACAGGTGCCTACCACCATGCCCAGCTATTTTTTGTATTTTTAGTAGAGATGGGGTTGTGCCATGTTGGCCAGGCTGGTCTTGAACTCCTGACCTCAAGTGATCCACCCGCCTCAGCCTCCCAAAGTACTGGGAATACAGGCATGAGCCACCACGCCCGGCCCAAAATTTTATTTTATTAAAACTAATTAATATTAGATAGATTTGTTTATAAGGTTTTATTAAGAATTGGGTTTAACAGGCCAGGCGCGGTGTCTCACGCCTGTAATCCCAGCACTTTGGGAGGCTGAGGTGGGCAGATCACCTGAGGTCAGGAGATCGAGACCAGCCTGACCAATATAGTGAAACCCCATCTCTGCTAAAAATACAAAAATTAGCCAGGCATGGTGGCGCCTGCCTGTAATCCCAGCTACTTGGGAGGCTGAGGTGGGAGAATCACTTGAACCCGGGAGGTGGAGGTTGCAGTGAGCCGAGATCACACTATTGCACTCCAGCCTGGGCAACAAGAGCGAAACTCCATCTCAAAAAAAAAAAAAAAAAAAGAATTGGGTTTAACATTAATAGTACACTAAAGCAAAGGTGAAATTTGACTTGCTCTTTTGAACAAATTTTTGTGTAATATTAAAAGGTAATAAAACATTTTGCTAGCCTGGGCAACATGGTGAAACCCTGTCTCTACCAAAAATACAAAAATTAGCTGGTCGTGGTGGCAGACACCTATAGTTCCAGCCACTCATACGGGAGGACTGCTTGAGCCTGGGAGGTTGAGGCTACAGAAAGCCAAAATCACACCACTGCACTACAGCCTGGGTGACAGAGTGAGACCCTGTCACAACAACAACAAAAAAAACCAAAACATTGTTTGTCATTTGAATAAACAACAGAAAAAAAGGGGAGGGAAAAGAGACAGATCTGGTTGGCCTCGTGCTGTCTTTAGAGTCTTGTTTGGAAAGTTGAGTCTACCATCAGTCAAGAAGTAAAGATTTTTGCCTTTAAAATTTTTTTGAGTTATCATTTTGGCTACATAAATGACTTCTAATGACCTGGGATTCTATTTTGTAATATCAAGTGTTTAAACCTTTGATATATGACAAAGTTTCCAAAGTCAAATTCTAAATTAAGTCTTGTTTTTATCTGGTTAACGCTTTTTGATATTAGGTACCCTAAAGACCTAAAGAGACATATTCGGCCTAGTTGGTATATTAAACCGTTGGAGAGCAAGCAAGCTTCAAAACTGGGGCTTAGCCTGGGAAGGTTCTTGGCTTTGCTCAGGAAAGAATTCAAGAGAAGCCAGTGGTAGAAGAAAACAGCTTTACTGAGGTGGCAGTGTTACCACTCCATAACTGCTCTGCAGAGCAGGGCCACCCCATAGGCAGTGTGTCGAGAGCAGCAGCTCAGAGGCAGTTCTGCAGACATATACATGTCCACTTTTAATTATATGCAAATTAAGGGGCAAGTTATTTGGAATTTTCTAGAAAAGGGGTGGTATTTCTGGAAAGGGGTGGTAACTTCCAGGTGCAGTCATGGCAATGGTAAAGTGACATGGCACTGGTGAGTGTGTCTTATGGAGAGGTGCTTTTGCCTCCTCCCTGTTTCAGCTGGTCTTCAGCCTGGTCCAGAGTTCAAGCCCCACCTCGGGAGTCAAGTCCTGACTCCTACCTCATTCCCCCCTCAGAGATTAGATACTCCTCTTTACTCTTAAGGGGGCTACAGAAGGGTAGAGGTCCATCTTCTGTAACTATTAAAACTTCCTGCTGAGTTGATGGGCATAGGCCCTGCCTAGTACTGGAAGGGTAAAAATCTCCAGATACCTGATCTAAGGGGCCAAAAGGCAGGATGTTTTTATTCTCCAGGTCAGAAGTTGGATGAGTTGGAAGCCTTGTGCCAGCATTGTCTTTACCTGGAACTTCTGTAATCTAGAAGACACAAACATTACTAAGAGGTTAAACAAGCAAGGGCCAAAGATTAGTAATAACAAGACAGCTATCAGAGGTCCTAGGAGAGGTAAGAACCAGGTGAGCTTGGGAGAGCATTTTTGATAGTCAACCAGATAGAATTGGGGTCAGTGCCCTGTTTATGTAGCCAGGTAGCTTGCTCATAGATCTTCTGAATGTTAATCTCAACCTGTCCAGAGTTGGTAATATATGTGCAGCAGGTTTTATTCATAGTTGCACAGACTCCACCTTGTTCAGCTAGTAAATAATCCAATGCTAGTCTGTTTCCAAGAACTACATTTGCCAAAGAGCCTAGGGACTCTTGATTTCCCTTTAATGCCTCACCTGTGTTGGTAACTGGGGATTCTAGAGTTTGAGTCAAGTTCTTTTTTTTTTTTTTTTTTGAGACAGGGTCTCGCTCTGTCGCCCAGGCTGGAGTGCGGTGGCGCAATCTTGGCTCACTGCAAGCTCCTCCTCCCAGGTTCACGCCATTCTCCTGCCTCAGCCTCCCGTGTAGCTGGGACTACAGGCGCCCACCACCACGCCCGGCTAATTTTTTTGTATTTTTAACAGAGACAGGGTTTCACCATGTTAGCCAGGATGGTCTCGATCTCCTGACCTTGTGATCCGCCCGCCTCAGCCTCCCAAAGTGCTGAGATTACAGGCGTGAGCCACCGCGCCCGGCCTGAGTTAAGTTCTTTAGGGTTGACTCGTGGTAAGCAAAGCTGCCAGGGTGCCACTAGTCTTATTGCCACCCAATTCCTACCAGAATTAATCCTATTGCTCATTTATTTCTGGTATTCCTAGGTCTCATGGGGCTATAGACTGTGACCCCTGGAGGGGCAGGGGTAGCCAATGTACATTCCTCTCTCTTCCAAGTTTTTGATATACAAAGGAAAGCTACTCCCAAAAGAACAGGTGACTCCCTGGGACTCAGGAGTGGTTACAGGATTGACTTCTTCCCAGTCATTGACACACAAAAATGAAACCAGTTGGGTCACAAACAGAAGCCCTATGGGGTGTGATGTTAACCCTTTGCTGCCCAGTGGGTCTATAGAGATATTTTTCCCCTGCTGTGATAGGAGTGGCCAAACAATCTCTGTTTTCCAGAAAGGGCAATATGCCCCTCTTTTTTTTTTTTTTTTTGAGACGGAGTCTTGCTCTGTCGCCAAGCTGGAGTACAGTGGCATGATCTCAGCTCCCTGTAACCTCCGCCTCCCAGATTCAACCAATTCTCCTGCCTCAGCCTCCCAAGTAGCTGGGATTACAGGCACACACTAGCACGCCTGGCTAATTTTTTGTATTTTTGTAGAGATGGGGTTTCACCATGTTGGCCAGGATGGTCTCGAACTCCTGACCTCGTGATCCACCCACCTCAGCCTCCCAAAGTGCCAGCACCTGGGATTACAGGCGTGAGCCACCGCGCCCGGCCAGTACTCCCCCCCTTCCTAGACCAGGCAGTTGTTTTTCCCCTGTGTGGTCTCATCTGGGAGAAGGCACCATATATGGTTTCCTCACTTACAAGTGGAATCCCATTTATCTCGCTGAGGCCTTGGGAACTTGGGAACTTGGCAACTACAGTTGGATCAGAGCATTGCAGGGAAACTTCTGCTTTTATGTCATTAACACAACAGTGAGTGCAAAAGATGGAATCATTAGTGCACTGGAGATAGACATACCCAACTTCCCAGGTCCAGGCAATAGTGGTAGGGGGATTCAGGTGGAATCTGTCAAGTGGAGGAGAGTTCCACCTAACAAGTTGGGGTTCTAGGTACCTTGGGATTGCTATGGTTAGTTAGGAAGCCTGGGGAGATGATAGATTTTCTGGATGGGACAGAAGGTACAACTCTCTCTCCTGGGGATGTTGATGACAAATCCATCAACCGTGAAGATGATTCCCTGATGCTATAATTTTTGAAATATTTACTATGGAATTTTGTTCCCAGTCACAGTCAATCAGGGTAACTAGGAGAGCAAAGCCTTAGAGTGACATCTATACCCAATGAAGACAAAGTAGTTGTTTCCTAGGAGGAGGCAGTTGGCAAAAGCAGTAGAAAAGAAGTATTACAGTCAGGAAGAAGAGAAAAATGAATGCTCCTATTCCCACCCACAGCATCACATTACCATTTCTGGCTGAGTGTTGATTCTTTTTTTTTCTTTTTTTGGGTGGGGGGATGGAGTCTCACTCTGTCACCCAGGGTGCAGTGCAGTGGCATGATCTTGGCTTTTGTGCCTGCAACTCATAAGGAACAGGTTTAGGCCGGGCATGGTGGCTCACGCCTGTAATCCCAGCACTTTGAGAGGCCAAGACAAGCAGATCATTTATGGTCAGGAGTTCGAGACCAGCCTGGCCAACATGGTGAAACCCTGTCTCTACTAAAAATACAAAAATTAGCCAGTGGTGGTGACGCACACCTGTAATCCCAGCTATTTGGGAGGCTGAGGCAGGAGAATTGCTTGAACCTAGGAGGTGGAGGTTGCAGTAAGCCAAGATCTCACCACTGCATTCCAGCCTGAGCGACAAAGCAAGACTCCTTCCCAAAAAAAACACAAAAAAAACCAGGTTTAATCCTGGATAGGTGTACCCAGCAAGTTATTTCTTGAAGTTTAGCAGCAGTGGGGATACTTAGCAACACCTGTTAGGGTCCCTTCCATTTTGGTTGTAATTGATCCTTAGGGGTTCCTTCTTTCCACATTTTTAGTAAGACAGCCTCCTGGTTGAAGGGGTGGGGGTAATTATTTCTCTTGTGGAAGGAGGCAATATTTTATTTCCATAGCTTGAAGGGCTTTTGAACCTGGCCTAAGTTGATAATATGAGTGAGCATTCTATGTGTCTCTCCATCAAACAAGAGGTCTGAAGTTAAAATACTTCGTAAAATAAGATTAAAACTTATTTTGCAAATAAATTTGTCCTACTATGATTTGTCTTTAGCAAAATTGGGATTAGAGAGATAAAAATTATGTTTTGGAAAAAAACTATAGGCCGGGAGCAGTGGCTCACACCTGTAATCCCAGCACTTTGGAAGACCAAGGCAGGCAGATCACTTGAGGCCAGGAGTTTGAGACCAGCCTGGCCAACATGGTAAAACCTCATCTCTACTAAAAATACAAAAAATTTGCTGGGTGTGGTGGCACACGCTTGTAATCCCAGCTACTCAGGAGCCTGAGGCATGAGAATCACTTGAACCTGGGAAGCAGAGCCTGCAGTGAGCCGAGATTGTGCCACTGCTCTCCAGCCTGGGAAACAGAGAGATACTCTGTCTCAAAAAAAAAAAAAAATTATAGTAAACCTGTTGTTAGATTCTAGTCTTGTCTGTTGTTTTTGAGTTTTTATAATTTTCCACAACTTGGATTAAATCTTGAATTCTTTCTAGGCTACGGGTTATTAAATTAATGCTTTCAAATTATTCTTCCATTGTTCTGATTTGAACTCAATGAAAGTACTACTACATTATTCCTTGTAATACAGGTGAGAAAAACACATCAGATGGCCACCCCCTTCCTCCTCTGTGATTAAAGATGCTTTGAATCTAACATCTGGATATATTGTGCCTAACATTAACCTTTGTTTTTCTTCTGTTTCCATAGAGGCTAACATCTGGAAAAATTGTGCCCAAAATTAACCTTTGTTTTTCTTCTGTTTTCATAGAAATGCCTGTTTTTATTTTGAGATGGAATCTCACTCTGTTGCTCAGGCTGGAGTGCAGTGGCTTGATCTCAGCTCACTGCAACCTCTGCCTCCCAGGTTCAAGTGATTCTCCTGCCTCAGCCTCCCAAGTAGCTGGAACTACAGGTGCCCACCACCACGCCCGGCTAATTTTTGTAATTTTAGTAGAGACAGGGTTTCGCCATATTGGCCAGGCTGGTCTCGAACTCCTGACCTTGTGATCCACACACCTCGGCCTCCCAAAGTGCCCCAGCACTTTGGGCTTACAGGTGTGAGCCACTGCACCTGGCCAGAAATGCCTCTTATTAAAAATCCGTTTGCTTTCATCACATGTAAATGCCTAGCCCATCTGCAATGCCACCTCCTGGATGGGATGCAACTATTTAACCAAACTGATCCATTCTCAAGAACTAGACAGGACTTATGATCACCTTCATGAGTGTTTATAGCTTTTCCTGTAACCTGTTAAATCCATATTTAGCCAACCTGTCATCATATCTGGTTACAATGGATAGTGGGGAACCTGCCTTATAATTAAGACTAACTGCTGTGTATACATCCCAGATAATTTGGAAATGTCTCAGATAGCCCTGCAAGATATGCACCAGCAAATCAAAGCTATGTCTGCCCCCACATGGTCGTTAGATCCATGGATGGCATCCTGGTTCGGGTCAGGACCATCCTGGGGATGGAAGCTACTTACTACTCTAGCCCTAGTTGCAAAAACAGGTACACTTCTCCAGTGTGGATTTTACTGCTGTGGCATCCTCTGTATGAGACTACATGACAGGCTTTCCCAGAGAATTTCCACACCTCGCACCATAATGTTCCAGCAAATATCATCTGTAAGACCGGGCATTTGTGAAGATTTCCAACTTCAAATAGTTCAGTTCCTCTTTGACACCCAATGACCTACAACCCCTTTCACCAGGAAGTAGCCAGAATGAATATGGTGTCTAAATCCCAAAGAAATGGAACGGAACTTGACGGTGAGGAATTGTAACCAAGTACCCCCAGTTTTCAAAGAAAAAGATAATGAATTACTACTATTTTTAAATTATTTTATCTTATTTTCTGTTTTCTCCATTTCCCCCATTCCCCACTTCCTATGTAGCCCTTTAGAAATGCAATTATAAACCTTTACCTCCACTTCACCACACACTCCCTACAGGGCAAGTTCATCTAACTAGGTGCTTAGAAGCTCCAGGACAGAACTCTGTCCGATCAGGGGACTGCCTCAACAGATAACAGTCAATTTACAAACCAAAGTGTACCCGCTATGAAATCTCTCCCACCAGGAGGTTGCCTCAAGAACCTACATTACAACAATAGTCCATCTACAACCCAAAGTATGCCCACTACAAAAATCTCTCCCATTTGGAGAGTTTTGGGCCACTTTTACAATCTAGTCCTGCCCACAAAGGCACCAGCAGCCACCAGCTTGACCACCTGGTAGATAAGGCACTGAAGCGAGTACGCGAACCCCTACTTGTTTGCTTCCTCCCCTGCGTGCATTTCATGCCAGCATGCCAGCACCCCCATCTTTAAAAGCATCAGCTTTCTGCTCTGAAGGCAAAGTGGTACCCTTAAGGCAGGAAGCCTGTACTTCTTCCCCTAGCTGGCTTTGGAATAAAAAGTCAGTTTCTTTATAACAGACCTCATTCTTATTAATTGGACTCTGCAAGCAGTGAGCAACCGAACCTGTGTTTCAGTTACAGGATTACAGGTCTGAGCCACTGTGCCTGGCTCACCAGTTTTTTACTTACTTACTTATTTATTTATTTTTTGTTTGTTTGTTTGCTTTTGTTTTTTGGGTTTTTTTGAGATGGAGTCTCTGTCGCCCAGGCTGGAGTGCAGTGGCGTGATCTCAGCTCACTGCAAGCTCCGCCTCCCGGGTTCAAGCAATTCTTCTGCCTCAGCCTCCCGAGTAGCTGGGACTACAGGCGCCCGCCACCACGCCTGGCTAATTTTTTGTATTTTTGGTAGAGACGGGGTTTCACCGTCTTAGCCAGGATGGTCTTGATCTCCTGACCTCGTGACCTGCCCACCTTGGCCTCCCAAAGTGCTAGGATTACAGGCATGAGCTACTGCACCTGGCCAACAGTTTTTTAAAATGTAGCAAAAGGCCGGTCGCGGTGGCTCACACCTGTAATCCCAGTGCTTTGGGAGGCCGAGGTGGGCGGATTACAAGGTCAGGAGATCGAGACCATCCTGGCTAACACAGTGAAACCCCGTCTCTACTAAAAATACAAAAAATCAGCCGCGGGTGGTGGCGGGCTCCTGTAGTCCCAGCTACTTGGAAGGCTGAGGCAGGAGAATGGCATGAACCCGGGAGGCGGAGCTTGCAGTGAGCCGAGATCGTGCCACTGCACTCAGCCTGGGTGAAAGAGCGAGACTCCGTCTCAAAAAAAGAAAAAAGAAAAAAAAGTAGCAAATGGGGCCAGGCGTAGTGACTCACGCCTGTAATCCCAGCACTTTGGGAGGCCGAGGCAGGCGGATCACAAGGTCAGAATATCGAGACCATCCTGGGTAGCACGATGAAACCCCGTCTCTATCAAAAAATACAAAAAATTAGCCGGGCGTGGTGGTCGGCGCCTGTAGTACCAGCTGCTCAGGAGGCTGAGGCAGGAGAATGGCATGAACCTGGGAGGCGGAGCTTGCAGTGAGCCGAGATTGCGCCACTGCACTCCAGCCTGGGCGACACAGTAAGACTCCATCTCAAAAAAAAAAAAAAAAAAATGTGGGCCGGGCACAGTGGCTCATGCCTATAATCCTAGCACTTTGGGAGGCTGAGGTGGGCAGATCACCTGAGGTCAGGAGTTTGAGACTAGCTTGGCCAACATGGTGAAACCCTGTCTCTACTAAAAACATAAAAATTAGCCGGGTTGGACCGGCGTGGTGGCTCACGCCTGTAATCCTCGGATTTTGGGAGGCCGAGGTAGGTGGAGCCTGGCCAACATGGTGAAACCCCGTCTCTACTAATAATCCAAAAAAAATTAGCTGGGCATGGTGGCACGCACCTGTAATCCCAGCTACTTGGGAGGCTGAGGCAGGAGAATTGCTTGAACCGGGACCTGGGAGGCGGACGTAGCAGTGAGTGAGATCACGCCATTGCACTCCAGCCTGGGCTACAGAGCGAGACGCTGTCTCAAAAACAACAACAAAACAAAACAACAACAACAACAACAAAATTAGCCGGGCATGGTGGCGCATACCTGTAATCCCAGCTACTCAGGACGCTGAGGCAGGGGAATCACTTGAACCCAGGAGGTGGAGGTTGCAGTGAACGGAAATCATGCCGCTGCACTCCAGCCTGGGTGACAGAGTAAGACTCTGTCTCAAAAAAAAAATAAATAAATAAAAGAGCAAATGTAGTTAACCTTAGGCCAATGTTTGTAAATTCCCAGAACAAGAACAATGATGAAATGCTGACTTTGAGACTGTTATTTAGAGCTAAACTCACAAGAGAGGTCAAATTAGTTCCAAAATGGATCCAGTGCTCCCATACCTCCTCACCCTACCAGTCCTAATGGCAGAAGATGGAGCAGAAGCGGAAACAAGCCCTCTGTGGAAGGAAGCGTTCCCAAGGTGAACCCACAGAACTGTTATTTGACCTCACAACCACCCACCAAACCCATGAAGGTAAACGACCATGAGTGCATATCAGCAGAAACAAGAAACAACTTCCTGTATATGGCATAAGGGAAAGACCAAGTTTCACTATTTTTCCCTATTGTTCCAGCACCATTTCTCAAAAAGATTAAACTTTCCCCCATTAAGTTTCCTTGGAAAACTTGTTAAAAATCAATTAAGAGAGGCCAGGCGCCGTGGCTCACGCCTGTAATCCCAGCACTTTGGGAGGCCAAGGCAGGTGGATCACGAGGTCAGGAGATCGAGACCAGCCTGGCCAACACGGTGAAACTCCGTCTTTACCAAAAATACAAAAAAATTAGCCGGGCGTGGTGGCAGGCGCCTGTAGTCCCAGCTACTTGGGAGGCTGAGGCAGGAGAATGGTGTGAACCCGGGAGGCGGAGCTTGCAGTGAGTCGAGATCGCGCCACTGCACTCCAGTCTGGGTGACAGAGCGAGACTCCGTCTCAAAAAAAAAAAAAAAAAATCAATTAAGAGAAATAGGGAAGGAGAGGTGAATGGAGGGAAGAATTTGTTCTCGCTCCAGGACTGGCTAGGAAACATTGCTAGCAATGCAAACAGAGGGAATTTCTGCAATAAAGAGTGCCTTCATCCCTTTTTTTTTTTGAGACAGGGTCTCACATTGTTACCCAGGGTCAAGCAATCCTCCCACCTCCACCCCCCAACTAGCTGGGACTACAGATGTGTGACACCACACGCAGCTAAGTTTAGTATTTTTTGTAGGCCACCAGACTCAGCTAATGTTTCAAATTTTTTGTGGAGATGAGGTCTCAGTATGTTGTCCAGGTTAATCCTCCTGCCTTGGCCTCCCAAAGTGCTGGGATTATAGGCATGTGCCACCACACCCAGCCAGTGTTATTTTCTTAGTTTTGTTTGTTTTGTTTTGTTACTGTCAGTGAAACCTTCTTTAATCAAGCCCAATATTTGGCTGGGCATGGTGGCTCACGTCTGTAATCCCAACACTTTGGGAGGCCGAGGCGGGCGGGTCACTTGAGGTCAGGAGTTTCAGACCAGTCTGGCCACCATGGTGAAACTTCATCTCTACTAAAAAATACAAAAATTAGCTGGGCGTGGTGGCATATGCCTACAGTCCTGGCTACTTGGAAGGGTGAGGCAGGAGAATCGCTTGAACCTGGGAGGCGGAGGTTGCAGTGAGCCGAGACTGCACCACCGCACTCCAGCCTGGGTGACAGAGCGAGACTCTGTCTCAAAAAAAAAGAAACCCCGTCTGTACTAAAAATACAAAAAATCAGCCAGGCATGGTGGCGCATGCCTGTAATCCCAGCTACTCGGGAGGCTGAGGCAGGAGAATCGCTTGAACTCGGAGGCAGATGTTGCAGTGAGCAAAGATCGTGCCATTGCACTCCAGCCTGGGCAACAAGAGTGAAACTCCATCTCAAAAAAAAAAAAAAAAAATGGCCGGGCATGGTGGCTCACGCCTGTAATCACAACACTTTGGGAAGCCGAGGCGGGCGGATCATGAGGCCAGGAGATGGACACCATCCTGGCTAACGCAGTGAAACCCCATCTCTACTAAAAATACAAAAAATTAGCCGGGTGTGGTGGCATGTGCCTGTACTCCCAGCTACTCGGGAGGCTGAGGCAGGCAGAAGAATCACTTGAACCTAGGAGGCGGAGGTTGCAGTGAGCGGAGATTGCGCCACTGCACTCCAGCATAAGCAACAGAGCGAGACTGTCTTAAAAAATAAAAATTAAAATAAAAAGTGTGAGCCACTGCACCTGGCCAATGTCTAATTTATTTAATTAAAACAAAAGTGAATCTGCAAAATTCAGCTACAAGTCTATGTAGATCATGAGTGTTAAGATAAAGACTGTCAACCTGAGGCCAGGCTCAGTGGCTTACACCTGTAATTCCAGCACTTTGGAAGGCCAAGGCCCATGGATCACTTGAGGTCAGGAGTTACAGACCAGCCTGGCCAACATGGCGAAACCCCATCTCTACTAAAAATACAAAGATCAGCCAGGCATGGTGGCAGGCACCTGTAATCACAGCTACTCAGGAGGCTGAGGCATAAGAATCACTTGAACCCAGAAGGCAGAGGTTGCAGTGAGCTGAGATCGAGCCACTGCACTCCAGCCTGGGGGACAGAGTGAGACTCCGTCTCAAAAAGAAAAAAAAATTCAGGAGATGGAGGTCACTATGTCTCCCAGGCTGGTCTTGAACTCCTGGCTTCAAGCAATCTCCCACCTCAGCCTCCCAAAGCACTGGCATTACAAGTGTGAGGCACCATGCCCAGCCAGCCAATGGGCCTGATTATTTGAAAGGACTAACGTTTCAGATAACGTTTCTATTCTCAAAGCCAAACTGTTTTTTAAAGTCCCTTTTGCTGTAGGGATGTGAGTAGAGCAGTTAAGATAGTGTCTTACATTAAGACTTTATTGAGTCAAATATATATGTTCAATATTATCGTAATATAGTAAGACCATATTGAACATATTAAGGTATTTGGGCTGGGCGCGGTGGTTCATGCCTGTAATGCCAGCACTTTGGGAGGCCGAGGCGGGCGGATCACCTGAGGTTGGGAGTTCGAGACCAGCCTAACCAGCATGGAGAAACCCCGTCTCTACTAAAAATACACAATTAGCCAGGTGTGGTGGCGCATGCCTGTAATCCCAACTACTTGGGAGGCTGAGGCAGGAGAATCACTTGAACCCAGGAGGCAGAGGTTGCGGTGAGCCAAGATTGCGCCATTGCACTCCAGCCTGGACAACAAGAGCGAAACTCCGTGTCAAAAATAAATAAATAAATAAATAAATAATAAAATAAAATAAACAAGGCATTTGGCAAAATCCAGTAATCACAATCAAAACTCTCAGCAAACTAGAGCTAGAAAGGAATTCCTCAGCCTATTAAAGGCATATATGAAACACCTGCAATTAACATCTTAATGAGGAACAAGAACGCTTTTCTTATAAGATCTGGAAAAGACAAGAATGTCCACTGTTACCACTTCTTTTCAAACTTGTACTAGAAGTTCTAACCAATGGAGTAGTTTTGTTTTGGGTTTTTTTGTTTGTTTGTTTGTTTGTTTTTGAGACAGAGTTTTGCTCTTTCGCCTAGGCTGGAGTGCCGTGGCGTGATCTTGGCTCACTGCAACCTCCGCCTTCCGGTTTCAAGCAATTCTCCTGCCTCAGCCTCCTGAGTAGCTGGGATTACAGACACCTGCCACCATGCCCAGCTAATTTTTGTATTTTTAGTAGAGACAAGGTTTCACTATGTTGGCCAGGCTGGTCTCAAACTCCTGACCTTGTGATCCACCCGCGCCTCGGCCTCCCAAAGTGCTGGGATTACAGGCATGAGCCATTGCATCCAGCTTGTTTTGTTTTTAAAAGAGAATTAAAAGGCATTCAGATTGGAAAGGAAAAGGTAAAGCTGCTTTTATTTACAGACAACACGATCATCTATGTAGAAAATCCTAAGGATTTACAAAAAATGGAGGTACAAGAACTAATATGTGAGTTCAGCAAGGTTGTATGTCTCAAAAAAAAAAGATACATGGATAAGAAATAACATGTGAAAAGATTCTCAAAAAAACCCTCAAATCTCTGACAATAAAAAGAGTAAGAACAAATCAATACTCTAATGAATGAAAGGGAAATGTAATCACAGACATAGCAGATTTGTTGTTGTTGTTGTTATTTTTTGAGATGGAGTCTCACTCTGTCGCCCAGGCTGGAGTGCAGTGGTGTCGTCTCAGCTCACTGCAAACTCCGACTCACAGGTTTAAGTGATTCTCGTGCCTCAGACTCTGGAGTACCTGGGATTAGAGGTGCGCACCACCTTGCCCGGCTAATTTTTGTATTTTTAGTGGAGACGGGGTTTTGTGGTATTGGCCAGGCTGGTCTTGAACTCCTGATCTCAGGTGATCTGCCTGCCTCATCCTCCCAAAGTGCTAGGATTACAGGCGTGAGCCACCACACCCGGCCAGATGGGGTGTGTGTGTGTGTGTGTGTGTGTGTGTGTGTGTGTGTTGGGTTTTGTTTGTTTGTTTGTTTGTTTTTTTGAGACAGGGTCTCACTCTGTTACCTAGGCTGGAGTGGCACAATCATAACTCACTGCAGCCTTGACTTCCTTGGCCCAAGTGATCTTCCCACTTCAGCTTCCTGAGTAGCTGGGACCACAGGTATGCACCACCACACCCAGCTAATTATTATTATTATTATTATTTTGAGATGGAGTCTTGCTCTGTAGCCCAGGCTGGAGTGCAATGGCATGATCTCGGCTCACCACAACCTCCGCCTCCCAGCTTCAAGTGATTCTCCTGCCTGAGCCTCCCGAGTAGCTGGGATTATAAACATGCGCCACCACGCCCGGGTAATTTTGTATTTTTAGTAGAGATGGGGTTTCTCCACGTTGGTCAGGCTGGTCTCGAACTCCTGGCCTCAAGCGATCCTCCCACCTCGGCCTCTCAAAGTCCTGGGATTACAGGTGTGAGCCACCATGTCTAGCTGAAGATGCTAAAAACATATGAGAACTGTCCTTAACACAAATAAATTTGAAAACCTAGTGCCCTGCTGAAACCTAAACCCCAAGGTGATCAGAAGTGGGAGGTGATTAGGTCCTGAGAGTGCGATTAGTGCCCTTATATTAATAGAAGATACTTTTGCCCCTTCTACCGCTTGAGGACACAGTAAAAAGGCACCATATTGGCCGGGCACAGTGGCTCACGCCTGTAATCCTAACACTTTGGGAGGCCAAAGAGGGCGGATTACCTAAATTTGGGAGTTCGAGACCAGCCTGACCAACATGGAGAAACCCTGTCTCTACTAAAAGCACAAAATTAGCTGGAGGTGGTGGCACATGCCTGAATCCCAGCTACTCAGGAAGCTTTGGCAGGAGAATTGCTTGAACCCGGGAGGCAGAGGTTGAAGTGAGCCGAGATCGCACCATTGCACTCCAGCCTGGGCAATAAGAGTGAAACTCTGTCTCAAAACAAACAAACAAGAAAAAAAGAAAACAAAAATAGCCGGCTGTGGTGGTGGGCGCCTGTAATCCCAGCTACTCGGGAGCCTGAGACAGGGAGAATTGCTTGAACCCAGGAAGCAGAAGTTGCAGTAAGCCGAGATCGAGCCACTGCACTCCAGCCTGAGCGACACAGCAAGACTCCGTCTTGTGGGGGAAAAAAAAAGAAGGCATCATATTTGAAGCAGAGAACAAGCCCTCACCAGACACTGAACCTGCTGGCACCTTGACTTGGACTTCCCAGCCTCTGGAAAGCAAGCAATAAATTTGTTGTTTGTTAATTACCTAATCTAAGGTATTTTGTTATAGCAGCCGGAATGGTAATATTCCATTGACTCAAGAAAAATGGAATAATCCTATAAATACTAAATATTCATGTATATTAAAGAAATTGGCCAGGTGTGGTGGCTCACACCTGTAATACTAGCACTTTGGGAGGCCAAGGTAGGAGGATCACTTAAGTCTAGGAGATTCAATCAAGATCGGTCTTTCTGATCTTGATTAGAGAACTCTTATAGAAGAATTTTCACTGCAACCTCTGCCTCCCAGGTTCAAGCATTCATTTAAAATTTTTTGCAGATGGCAGATTGTGGGGCTTCTCAGCCTCCATAACCTTGTCAACCAATTTCCATAATAAATCACCTCTTATATATCTATATCTGTTTGGTTCTTTCTGGAGACCCTGGACCAATGCAAATGGATTAATAAACTGTGGGCCAGGTGCAGCCCACAAAAATTCATTTAAAATTGAATAATTTTACCATATTAAAACTCAGGATTTCTGTTCCTCAAAAGACATCCTCATACTACAATTTATCTAAGAAACTCTGGATATAAAATATATTTTTTAAGAAGAAAGAAGAGGCCGAGTGCGGTGACTCACACCTGTAATCCCAGCACTTTGGGAGGCCAAGAGGGGCAGATTACCTGAAGTCAGGAGTTCAAGACCAGCCTGGTCAACATGGTGAAACCCCGCCTCTACTAAAAATACAAAAATTAGCTGGGCATGGTGGTGCACGCCTGTAGTCTCAGCTACTTGGGAGGCTGAGGCAGGAGCGATTATTGCTTGAACCTGGGAGGCAGAGGTTGCAATGAGCCGAGATCATGCCACTGCACTCCTGCCTGGGCTACAGAGTGAGACTTCATCTTAAAAAAAAAAAAAAAAAAGAAGGAGAAGGAAGAAAACACATGATGAAACAGAAAAAAGTGGCCGGGCGCGGTGGCTCACGCCTGTAATCCCAGCACTTTGGGAGGCCAAGGCAGGCAGATCACAAGCTCAGGAGATCGAGACCATCCTGGCTAACAAGGTGAAATCCCGTCCCTACTAGAAATACAAAAAATTAGCCAGGTATGGTGGCGGACACCTGTAGTCCCAGCTACTCAGGAGGCTGAGGCAGGAGAATGGCGTGAACCCAGGAGGTGGAGCTTGCAGTGAGCCAAGATTGCGCCACTGCACTCCAGCCTGGACGACAGAGCGAGACTCTGTCTCAAAAAAAAAAAAAAAGAAAAAGAAAAGAAAAAGGAAAAAAAAGAAAAAAGTGGTTATCAGTCTCAGTGTGGTGGCTCACACCTGTAATCTCAGCTCTTTGGGAGGAGGCCGAGGTGGAAGTATTACTTGGGCCCAGGAGTCTGAGACCAGCCTCGGCAACAAAGCGAGACCTCATCTCTACTAAAATTTTTTTAAAAGATTAGTGGGGTGTTAGCTGGGCGTGGTGGCTCATGCCTGTAATCCCAGCACTTTGGGAGGCTGAGGTGGGTGGATCATAAGGTCAGGAGATTGAGACCATCTTGGCTAACACGGTGAAACCCCATCTCTACTAAAAATAAAAAAAAATAAAAAATAAAAAATTAGCCAGGCATGGTGGCGGGCACCTGTAGTCCCAGCTACTCAGGAGGCTGAGGCAGGAGAATGGCGTGAACCTGGGAGGCGGAGCTTGCAGTGAGCTGAGATCACGCCACTGCACTCCAGCCTGGGTGACAGAGCGAGACTCCATCTCAAATAAATAAATAAATAAATAAATAAATAAATAAATAAATAAAAATAAAAATAAAAAAATTAGTGGGGTGTTATAGTGAGTGCCTGTAGTCTCAGGCCTCAGTCTCCTCAGTCTCCTCTGAAGACTGAAGGGTGAGGATCCCTTGAGCCCAGAAGTTTGGGGCTACAGTGAGCTATGATTGCACTATTGCCCCAGTCTGGGCAACAGAGCAAGATCCCATCTCAAAAAAAAAAAATTAGTTACCTATAGGGGAAGGGAGACAGCAGGTTGGAGAGGACAGGGATAGAAACAAGACTTCTTTTAATATATCTTGTTATATAGATTTGACTTTGGAACGATATAATATTTCACATCATTATGAAGAAAAATAAAACTTTAAAAAGCAATTCCTAAAAAGGGAAAATAAAACTATGTATCAATTTGCTGGTATAACTTTATGGAGATTAACTATTCAAAGAGATTCAAAACAAAGTTATCTGACTATCATCCCTAGTGGGCTATAACCTAAGGACAAGAACTACAAAAATATATTTTCAGAAATCTTATTATGTTGAGTCATAAGTTTTATGAAAAATAAAAAAAGAAAAAAGAAATCATTATGGAGGTAGAGTTGGTATCATTATTCTGAAACTGTTTTGTATACAGTGTGAGATAAAGCAAATGAGTAATGGGTTGGTGTCACTGAGAACTGAGGCTGGGTGCAGTAGCTCATATCTGTAATCCCAGCACTTTGGGAGGCTGAGGTGGGAGGACTGGTTGAGCCCAGAGCCAAGGAGTTCAAGATCAGCCTGGGCAACAGAGCAAGACCCCATTTCTAAAATTAAATAAAAAAACAGAGAAAGAATTGAGATTTTTTAAATTGTGGTTAAATATATATAACATAAAATCTACCATGTTACCCATTTATAAGTGTGCCACTGAATGGCACTTAGTACATTCACACTGTGTGCTACCATCAATCACCACCATCCTGCTCCAGAATCTTTTCATCATCCCCAACATAAACTCTGCATTTGTTAAGCATTAACTCACCATTTCCCCTTCTCTCCAGCTTCTTGTAATGGGTATTCTACTTCCTTTCTCTATGAATTTGACTATTGTAGGTATCTCACATAAGTAGAATCATATAACATTTGTCCTTTTGTGTCTGGATTCTTTGACTCAGCATGTTGCCTTCAAGGCTCCTCAATACAGCATGTATCAGAATTCCCTTCCTTAAGGCTGAATAATATTCCCTTGCATGTATATACCACATTTTGGGGTTTTGTTTTGTTTTGTTTTTGAGATGGAGTCTCACTCTGTCACCCAAGCTGGAGTGCAGTGGTGTGATCTCAGCTCACTACAACCTCTGTCTCCTGGGTTCGCGCAATCCTCCTGCCTCAGCCCTCCAAGTAGCTGGGATTACAGGCGTGCGCCACCACACCCAGCTAATTTTGTATTTTTTTTTTAGTAGAGACAGGGTTTCGTGGGGTTTCACCATGTTGGCCAGGCTGGTCTTGAACTCCTGGCCTCAAGTGATCCACCTGCCTCGGCCTCCCAAAGTGCTGGGATTACAGGCATGAGCCACCGTGCCCGGCCGCATTTTTTTAATCCATTTGCATTAATCCGGGATCTCCAGAACAGAACCAAACAGATACAGATATAAGAGGCGATTTATTATGGGAATTGGATGACAAAGTTATGGAGGCTGAAAAGTCCCACAATCTGCCATCTGCAAGCTGGAAGACCTGGAAAGCCAATGGTGTAATTCATTCCAAGTCCAAAGACCTGAGGACCAGGTGAGCCAATGGTGTAATGTCTCGGAGTCTGAAGGCCTCCAGGAGCTCTGATGTCTGAGAAGTTGGATGTCCCAGCTCAAGAAAGGAGAGAATTCACCTTTTCTTCACCTTTTTGTTCTATTTGCGCCCTCAGTGGATTCGATGATGGCCACCTATGTTGGATAGGGTGGATCCTTTTACTCAGTCTGATTCAAATACTAACCTCTTCCAGAAACACTCTCACAGACATACCCAGAAATAATTTTCTACCAGCTATCCGGGTATTCCCTGGGCTGGTCAAGTTGACACATGAAATTAACTATCACACTGGTCATGCGTCAATGGACATTTGGGTTGTTTCCGCCTTTTGGCTATTGTGAATAATGCCGCTATGAACACTGGTGTACAGATATCAATTTGAGTTCCTGCTTTCAGTAGTTTTGAGTACTATGAAATTTCTGGATCATGTGTTAATTCTGGTTTAATTCTTTTGAGGAACCGCCATACTGTTTTCCAGAGCGACTGCACCATTTTACATTCCCACCAGCAATTCACAAGTGTGCCAATTTCTCCACGTGTTCTCCACATCTCCATATTTCTCAGCAAACAGCTGTTACCTTATTTTTCTGATAACAGCCATCCTAATGGGTGTGAAGTGGTATCTCTTTGTGTGTTTTTTTTTGTTGTTTTTTTGTTTTGTTTTGTTTTGAGATGGAGTCTCGTTCTGTTGCCCAGGCTGGAGTGCAGTGGCGCGATCTCGGCTCACTGCAAGCTCCGCCTCCCGGGTTCACACCATTCTCCTGCCTCAGCCTCCCGAGTAGCTGGGACTACAGGTGCCCGCCACCATGACCGGCTAATTTTTTGTATTTCTAGTAGAGATGGGGTTTCACCGTGTTAGCCAGGATGGTTTCGATCTCCTGATCTCGTGATCCGCCCGCCTCGGCCTCCCAAAGTGCTGGGATTACTACAGGCGTGAGCCACGGCGCCCGGCCTATTATTAGTTCTTTATATGTTCTAGGTATTAATCCTTATCAGATATGTAATTTGAAATATTTCCTACCATTCTGTGGGTTGATTTTTTACTTCAGTATATTGTATTTGATGTACAAAAGTTTTTAATTTTTATAAGCCTAATTTATTTTTTTCTTTTGTGGTCTGTGCTTTTATGTTGTATCCAAGAAATCACTGCCAAATTCAATGTCATGAATATTATACAACATAAATGATAACATATAAACAATAAAAACGTAAATAATAACATATAAGCAATCAAAAACATGGGGCACTATGTTTTTTTCTGAGTTTATAGTTTTAGGTCCTACATTTAGGTATTTGGTCCCTTTTTAGCTCTTTATTTTATTTATTTTTTTTTTTGAGACAGAGTCTCGCTTTGTCGCCCAGGCTGGAGTACAGTGGCGCGATCTCGGCTCACTGCAAGCTCCACCTCCCAGGTTCACGCCATTCTCCTGCCTCAGCCTCCTGACTAGCTGGGACTACAGGCACCTGCCACCGTGCCCGGCTAATTTTTTTTTGTATTTTTAGTAGAGACAGGGTTTCACCGTTTTAGCCAGGATGGTCTCGATCTCCTGACCTCGTGATCCGCCCGCCTCAGCCTCCCAAAGTGCTGGGATTACAGGCGTGAGCCACCGCGCCCGGCCCCAGTTCTTTATTTTTTTGAGACAGCGTCACACTCTGTCGCTTAGGCTGGAGTGCAGTGGCATGGCTCACTGCTGTGAACTCGAACTCCTGGGCTCAAGCAATCCGTCTCAACCTCCTGAGTAGCTGGGACTACAGGCATGCACCACCATGCCCAGCTAATTTTTTTCTTTTTTTTTTTTTTCTTTTGTAGAGATAGGATCTCACTATGTTGACCAGGCTGGTTTCAAACTCCTGGGCTCAAGTGATCTTCCCGCCTTGGCTTCCCAAAGTGCGGGAATTACTGATGTGAGTCACCAGGTCCAGCCATTTGAACCATTTTGAGTTAATTTTTGTATATAGTGTTAGGTAAGGGTCAACTTCATTCTTTTGCATGTGGATACCCAATTTTCCCAAAACCATTTGTTGAAAAGATTGTCCTTTCCCCCAGTGAATGGTCTTGGCGCCCTTGTTGAAAATCATTCAGCCGTATATGGAAAGGTTTTATTTTTATGGGCTCCCTATTCTGTACAATTGGTCATATGTCTGTCTTTATTTTTTTTGGAGACAGAGTTTCACTCTTGTTGCTCAGGCTGGAGTGTAATGGCTCAATCTCGGCTCACTGCAATCTCCACCTCCCGGGTTCAAGCGATTCTCCTGCCTCAGCCTCCCAAGTAGCTGTAATTTCAGGCATGGGCCACCATGCCCGGCTAATTTTGTATTTTTAGTAGAGACGGGGTTTCTCCATGTTAGTTAGGCTGGTCTTGAACTCCTGCCTCAGCCTCCCAAAGTGCTGGGATTACAGACGTGAGCCACCACGCCCGGCCTATATGTCTGTCTTTATGCTAGAATCACACTGTTTTGATTACTGTAGCTTTGTAGTAAGTTTTGAAATCAGGAAGTATGAGTCCTCCACCTTTGTTTCTTTTTTTTAAGATTGTTTTGGTTATTTGGGTCCCTTGAGACTCCATATGGACTTAATTTAAGAGTGGACTTTTCTATTCCCTCAAAAGAAAATCAAGATTTTTGACATGGGAGAAACATGTAAAGTGACTAAGGTTAAGTTAAAACCCTGTAATTCTAGCTGGGCGCGGTGGCTCACACCCGTAATCCCTGCACTTTGGGAGGCTGAGGCACGTGGATCACGAGGTCAGGAGTGTAAAACCAGCCTGGCCAAGATGGTGAAACCCCGTCTCTACTAAAAATATAAAAATTAGCCAGGCATTGTGGCAGGTGCCTGTAATTCCAGCTACTCAGGAGGCTGAGGCAGAGAACTGCTTGAACCCACAAGGCAGAGGTTACAGTGAGCCTGGGCAACAGAGCAAGACTCCATCTCAAAAAAAAATAATAATAATAAATAAATAAAATTTAAAAACCCTATAATTCTAAATTTGAATATGAAACATTAGTATGAACTCCTGATGCATTTCGTATTTAAAAAAAATTACAGCCAGGTGCGGTAGCTCACGCCTGTAATTCCAGCACTTTGGGAGGCCAAGGCAGGCAGATGACAAGGTCAGGACAGGAGATCGAGACCATCCTGGCCAACATGGTGAAACCCCGTCTCTACTAAAATACAAAAAAATTAGCAGGGTGTGGTGGCGCGTGCCTGTAGTCCCAGCTACTCAGCAGGCTGAGGCAGGGGAATTGCTTGAACCTGGGAGGCAGAGGTTGCAGTGAGCCGAGATCGCGCCACTGCACTCCAGCCTGGCGAATGAGCAAGACTCCATCTCAAAAAAAAAAATTACCAGCTAGGCTGGGCACAATGGCTCATGCCTGTAATTCCAACACTTTGGGAAGCTGAGGCAAGAGGAGTGCTAGAGCCCAGGAGTACAAGATGAGCCTGGGCAACATAGTGAGACCTCTTCTCTACTAAAAAATAAAAAATTAGCTGAGCATGGTGGTGTGTGCCTGTAGTCCCAGCTACTGGGGGACCTGAGGAGGGAGAATCACTTGAGCCTAGGAGTTCGAGCCTGCAATGGGCTATGATCACACCACCACTGCAATCCAGCCTGGATGACAGAGCAAGACTCCCATTTTTTAAAAAATTACTGGCTGGGCATGGTGGCTCACGCCTGTAATTCCAACACTTTGGGAGGCCGAGGCGGGCAGGTCACTTGAGGTCAGGAGTTGGAGACCAGCCTGACCAACATGGAGAAACCCTGTCTTTACTAACAATACAAAATTAGCCGGGCGTGGTAGCGCATGCCTGTAATCCCAGCAACTCGGGAGGCTGAGGCAGGAGAATCACTTGAACCCGGGAGGCGGAGGTTGCAGTGAGCCAAGATCATGCCATTGCACTCCAGCCTGGGCAACAAGAGTGAAACTCTGTCTCAAAAAAAAAAAAAAAAAAAAAAAGTACTAACTATTCACCGAAAACATCTACAATGACTGACTCAGTAGCAATAAGTATCCGAAGTACTCAAGCTGTAGTCTTTAAATATCATTTCCTACTAAGAGAAATCAGGACTCCTTGGAAAGCTGTCTGATTCCAGATCTGGGGCAGAAAATTTACTAGATGAGTCTAGAAATATCTTTTCAGGCCAGGCGCTGTGGCTCATGCCTGTAATCCCAGCACTGTGGGAGGCCAAGGCAGGTGGATCACCTGAGGTCAGGAGTTCGAGACCAACCTGACCAATATGGAAACCCCATCTCTACTAAAAATACAAAAATTAGCTGGGCGTGGTGGCACACTCCCATAATCCCAGCTACTTGGGAGGCTGAGGCAGGAGAATTGCTTGCACCCGGGAGGCAGAGGTTGCAGTGAGCCGAGATTGCACCATTGCACTCCAGCCTGGGCAGTAAGAGCGAAACTCCATCTCAAAAAAAAAAAAGGAAAAAGAAAAGAAATATCTTTTCATACCAAACAGCAAAGAAGCTATCACAGGCTACTGTAATTGCTTTTTTAAAATTATTTTTTTAATAGACATAGGGATCTTGCCATGTTGACCAGGCTGGTCTTAAACTCCTGGCCTCAATCAGTCTTCCCCATTCAGCCTTCCAAAGTGCTGGGATTACAGGTATGAGCCACCAAGACTCATATATTGGAATTGTGTCAAAAGGACTGAAGAACAACCAACTTGAAGAAGTTCTCCCTAACCAAAGACGAATAATTTGAATTTCAATAACTATACTTGATTAAAACACAGCTAATATATTTAAATCCATGCATTCATTAAGATTTTAAAAAACTCAGCCGGGTTTGGTAGTTCATGCCTGTAATCCTAACACTTTGGGAGGCTGAGACAGAAGGATCGCCTGAGCTCAGAGGTTCGAGACCAGCCTTGGCAACATAGCAAGATCTTGTGTCTACTAAAAATTAAAAAAAAGAAATTAGCTGAGTGTGGTGGTGCACGCTGTTAGTCCTAGCTACTTGGGAGGCTAAGGTGGGAGGATTGCTTGAGCCCAGGAGTTTGAGGCTGCAGTGAGCAACGAGTCATGCCACAGCATTCCAGCATGGCGACAGAGTGAGACCCTGCCTCAAAAAATTGTTTTCTTTTTAATTAGCTGTGTGTGGTGGTGAGTGCTTATAGTCCCAGCTACCTGGGAGGCCGAGGTAAGAGGATCCCAACTGATAGGGGCGTTGGTGGGAGAAAAAGTAGGTTTACTGATTTATTCTGAAAGCCAGCAAGACTGAGAGGACGGTGTACTAGCGTTCTAAAGTACCATTTTAAGTCAGTACAATCTTAGGCTCTTTCTATGTTAAGGGCAGGGAAGAGAAGGAGGGTGTGGTCAAGAAGTACCCCATGGCAGACATCTGGGCAGCAGCGAGGGTCTGAGGAGGTTGGGAACTTCTTTGTCCTTGGTCCAGTCACAATGCTCCTATAAATCTTTAAGAAAACATAGTTGTTTACATACTTCTTTAACCCCAGACTAAGTTTTAAAAACTACATGATTGCTGTTTTTATATATTACTCAGTGCTCTAAAGCTTATGGCAGCAAAAAATTAGAAGTCCAAATGCCCATGGCTGGGCACGGTAGCTCACGCCTGTAATAGCACTTTAGGAGGCCGAGACGGGCAGATCACCTGAGGTCAGGAGTTAGAGACCACCCTGGCCAACATGGTGAAACCCTGTCTCTACTAAAAGTACAAAATTAGTCAGATGCAGTGGTTCATGCCTGTAATCCCAACATTTTCAGAGGCTGAGGCAGGTGGATCACCTAAGGTCAGGAGTTTGAGACCAGCCTGGCCAACATGGTGAAACCCCGTCTCTACTAAAAATACAAAAAGTTAGCCAGGCATGGTGGCAGGCACCTGTAATCCCAGCTACTCAGGTGGCTGAGGCAGGAGAATCACTTGAACCTGGGAGGCAGAGGTTGCTGTGAGCCGAGATTGTGCCATTGCACACAACAAGAGCGAAACTCTGTCTCAAAAGAAAAAAAAAATACAAAATTAGCCGGGCATGGTGATGCATACCTGTAATCCTAGCTACTCAGGAGGCTAAGGCAGGAGAATCACTTGAACCTGGGAGGCAGAGGTTGCAGTGAGCCGAGATGGTGCTATTGCACTCCAGCCTGGGCCACAAGAGAGGAACTCCATCTCAAAAAAATAAAAATAAAAATGCCTATCTTCAGGATGAATAAACAAACTGTGGTATATTTACACAACAAAATAGTATACAGCAGTGAAAAAGTGAATTAACTGTGAAACATGAATCATAGTAACAGGTTGAGTGAAAAAAGCAAGTAACAAAGGACAACAAATCATATGATGCCCTCTTCATAAAAGTTCAAAACTGGCTGGGTGCGGTGGCTCACACCTGTAATCTCAGCACTTTGGGAGGCAGAGGCTGGCGAATCACCTGAGGTCAGGAGTTCGAGACCAGCCTGGCCAACATGGTGAAACCCCGTCTCTACTAAAAAAATACAAAAATTAGCTGGGCGTGGTGGTTGGCCCCTTTAATCCCAGCTACTCAGGAGGCTGAGGCAGGAGAATCGCTTGAACCTAGGAGGCAGAGGTTGCAGTAAGCAGAATGCCACTGCATTCCAGCCTGCGCGACAGAGTGAGACTTTGTCTCAAAAAAAAAAAAAAAAAAGTTCAAAACTAAGGAAAACCAAAAGATATATTGTGTAGGCATGCAGATATAACTTTTTTTTTCTTTAAAATACAGAATTCTGGGCCAGGTGTGGTGGCTCATGCCTGTAATCCCACTTTGGGAGGCTGAGGTGGGAGGATCGCTTGAGCCCAGGAGTTTGAGACCAGCCTGGGCAACACAGTGAGACCCATCTCTATTTACAATAAATTAATTAATTAATTAATTTAAAAAATACAGAATTCTGGCCCAGCGTGGTGGCTCACGCCTGTAATCCCAGCACTTTGTGAGGCCAAGCGGGGAGGAAAGTTGAGCTCAGGAGTTCAAGACTAGCCTGGACAACAAGGTTAAACCACTTCTTTACAAAAAATACAAAAACTTAGCCGGGCATGGTGGTGTGCTCCCGTAGTCCCAGCTATGCAAGAGGCTGAAGTGGGAGGATTGCTTGAGCCCAGGAGGTAGAGGCTGCAGTGAGCAGAGATTGTGCCACTGCACTCCAGCCTGGGCGACAGAGACAGACCGTGTCTCAAAAAATAAATAAATAAATAAATACAATACAATACAATACAATACAATACAATACAATACAATACAATACAGAATTCTGGATGGTGGTGGCCCCTTGAGTTTTGCAATGGGTACATGGGTGTTTATCGTATTAATTTAAAAGTTATAAATATACATGAATTTTAAGAAGAGGATCCATGCAAGGTTCAATGATAATTGTATATCATTAACCAAAGATTTTAATTAATCCATTCTGTCACCTGAAGTCGGCCTCCCCCGCCCCCTGCCAAAAGTAAACACTTTTCTAATCAGGGCCAGCCACTGGAGAAACTGAAATGAGTGGGCGGGGTGCTAACTCTATTTTCACTTTTCTCTTCCTGTTTCTTCAGAGCCTGGGAAACAAGTCAGAATTTCCAATCTTTTCCAATTCCCACATGATTTCCTAATTTAAGACGAATTCAGAGAAAATAAAAAAGTCTTTCTCCATCTGGAGAAGACTCCGCCCCCTGCAGTGGAGCATCCTCCTTTGGGGATGAGGCCTGGGGTGGGGGTGCGTCAGCCCCAGCCTCCACACGGACGCGCCTTGGGCTTGGTCTTGGGGGAGCTACCTGCACTGTGGGGTCACATGACAGAATTAGTGGTCAGCCCTAGCTGGAGGTCCAGGGCAAACACAGGCGGGGGCAGGGGGGTGGGGGGTCGTGAGCCTGCTGATTCAAGTGTCCCTGTGGGTCCCGCACCTTCTGAGACACAAGCGCCAGGCTTCAGAGACGAGGCTCCGGGATTTACCCCTGGGGGCCTCCTGCTCCCACAGCCGATGAGAGCCGGCAGTTTGGCTGTATCGTAAGCTGGCGCTTTAGCTGGAGAGGGACGAGCCCTCGGCCAGCTCGCCAGCGGGAGGGCCTCAGTCGTCCCATCCGGGCTGTAGGCTCCGCAAAGCTCTTGATGCACTGTCAGGCTGGGAGGTCCGGCCGCTCCCATTCCCCCACAGCCGCATCTAGATTGGGGTGGGTAGGACATTTTAACGTGCTTCTGAGACAGCCACCACCGAAAGGCACCTTTAGCGGTTAGGAAACCCGCGCGGAGTTCAACCACCCGGCCTCTGCGGAGCAGAAGGCCCGGTCGGGCTTTTCCCTGCGCGGGGCGGGCGGCCGCAGCCCAGTAGCCCTGGCTTTGCTCCAGACCCGGCCCAGAGTGACATCACCAAACTCCGCCGATCGGCGGGAGGGGGCCCTGAAATCCCCTAAAAACAAAGTGAGTAATCGGCGGACCCACCCTCCAGGCGGGGCCGGGACCCGGGAGCTAGCCGAGCCACCGGGCACGCCAGCCTCTTCGTCCTCGGCGAGGCGCGCACTTGGCCCCGACCCCCGGCAGCGGCTGTGCGTGCAGCCTCTTCGTCCTCCGCGCGGCGTGCACTTGCTCCCGGCCCCTGCGCCGGGCGGCGGCGGGGCAGCGCGCAGGCGCGGCCGGATTCCGGGCAGTGACGCGACGGCGGGCCGCGCGGCGCATTTCCGCCTCTGGCGAATGGCTCGTCTGTAGTGCACGCCGCGGGCCCAGCTGCGACCCCGGCCCCGCCCCCGGGACCCCGGCCATGGACGGTGAGGTCGCCCTCTGACCCCGCGGGGTGGCATCGCCGGGGCCGCCGCGGCTGTGGCGGGAGCCCCCGCGCCGCTTTCCGCCCCTTCCTGCGCCGACGGGCGCTGCGCAGGGAGCGGTCGGCCTGCCGGATGGTGGCGCGGGGCGGGGCAGGCGGGGAGGGGTCTGACTCAGTTTCCCCTCTGGGTGGAGGGGGTGGCCCTTGACTCAGCATCCTCCCTGGGTGGGGGAGCAGAGGGAACCTTGACTCAGTTTCCCTCCACACCGTCCATGGGGGCAGCTCTGGCTTCGTTTCCCTATTAGGGGAGAACGCATCTGATTCAGTTTCCTCTCTGGAGGGAGGTGGGGCGTGCCCTCCCTCAATTTTCCTTAAGAAAGTACAACAGGCCCTGATTCAGCTTCCCTCTGGAGAAGAAGGATTCCTTACCCCGTTTTCCCTCAAGAAGCAGGTGTTTCTGGTTCCTTTCCTCCACCCCTTAGTTTCACCGCAGGTTCTAGGGAGCAGGTCCTGACTCAGTTCCCCTGGGAGGGAGCCTGGCTTCTCCTCTCCGTGGAGAGCAGATTCCTCCTTGTGAGAATGGGCATTGGGTGTGTGCTGACCCTGATCTCCCTCCCCTTTCAGAACTGTTCCCCCTCATCTTCCCGGCAGGTAAGTGGCCCCCGCGGCGGTCGGGGAGGTGCTCCCTGGGGTAGGGCAGTGGGGGCAGCCGCCTAATGGGGCTGCGGTGTCCCCTGGCAGAGCCAGCCCAGGCCTCTGGCCCCTATGTGGAGATCATTGAGCAGCCCAAGCAGCGGGGCATGCGCTTCCGCTACAAGTGCGAGGGGCGCTCCGCGGGCAGCATCCCAGGCGAGAGGAGCACAGATACCACCAAGACCCACCCCACCATCAAGGTCAGCACTGCGCCAGGGTGTGCGGGGAAGGGACTGTGGAACCCCAGCCCTCTGTGTTTGGGAGTCAGGTTTGGATGTCTGGGCCTCTGTACTTTGGACAGATCAATGGCTACACAGGACCAGGGACAGTGCGCATCTCCCTGGTCACCAAGGACCCTCCTCACCGGCCTCACCCCCACGAGCTTGTAGGAAAGGACTGCCGGGATGGCTTCTATGAGGCTGAGCTCTGCCCGGACCGCTGCATCCACAGGTGAGGTCCCTGCAGGCTAGGAGGCCCAGCATGAGGGGACAGGAGGCGGGCTATGAAGTAGCCGCTACAGTGTTACTCCTTTCTGGACCCAGGGCAGAATTCCTCACTCCTTGCCCTGACTCAGCTCTGCAAGTAAACTGCCTTTGTCTTGAAATTATCTATTTGTACGTTTACTCTAGCAGATGAGTTCCAGGGGATACGGATGGGTCCCTAATCACTTCTGAATTCCTGACCCCTGTAGCTGGAAGGACAAGTCCCTCAGAGTCACGTCTCTTGTTTGAGGAAGAAAACCATTGAACCAGCACTCTCCCCTGGAGTTGACATTGCAGTTGACAGAGACAGGCTGTAAAAAAATATACAGGCCGGGCATAGTGGCTCATGCTTATAATCCTAGCACTTCGGGAGGCCAAGGCAGGAAGATCTCTTGAGCCTAGGAATTCAAGACTAGCCAAGGCAACATAGTGAGACCCCATGTCTACAAAAAATAAGAAATTAGCTGGGTATGGTGGCATGCGCCTATAGTCCCAGGGAGGCTGAGGTGGGAGGATCGCCTGAGCCCAGGAGGTCACTGCTGCGGCAAGCTATGATTGCACCACTGCACTTGGGTGGCAGGGCGATACCTTGTCTTTTTTTTTTTTTTTTTTTTTTTAAGAAAGAGTCTTGCTCTGTCCCCAGACTGGAGTGCAGTGGCGCGATCTCAGCTCACTGCAACCTCCACCTTCCGGGTTCATGCCATTCTCCTGCCTCAGCTTCCCGAATAGCTGGGACTACAGGTGCCTGCCACCACGCCTGGCTAATTTTTTGTATTTTTTAGTAGAGACAGGGTTTCACCGTGTTAGCCAGGATGGTCTCAATCTCCTGACCTTGTGATCTGCCTGTCTTGGCCTCCCAAAGTGCTGGGATTACAGGCTTGAGCCACCGCACCCGGCCCGACACTGTGTCTCTTAAAAATAAATAAATACACAGATAAATAAACAAGGTGCTGTCAGAGTAACAGTTTCAGTCCTGAAAATAAAACGAGGTCATAGGATAGAAGGATAACCTGGGGTGGGGGAGTTAGGGGAGCTGGTGTGTGATGACTTTAGATTGGGAGGTCAGGGAAGGCCTCCCTCAGCTAAGACTTGAATGGTGAGAAGGAGGAGAGAAGTAGGAAAAGAACATTCCAAGCCGACCAAACAAGTGCAAAGGCCTTGAGGTGGGAATGAGTGTCCTGTGTTTAGAGAGTGGAAAAGGAGCCCCGGTGGCTGTAAGCAGGGAGCCCACAGGGAGGCTGGCAGGGGCAGGGGCACGGAGGTGCTTGTCAGCTGAGTGAAGGGACAGGGTTCGTTGCAGCACAGTAGGAAGCCACTGGAGAGGGTTAGGCATGGAGCGATGATCTAGGGGTGGGCAGAGTAGGAAGGAGCAGGCTGGGCAAGGCAGGAAGGTCTGGGCTCTGTGAGAGACAGTGGGACAGACGACTGGGGGCGCTCAGTTTCCAGAACCTGGGAATCCAGTGTGTGAAGAAGCGGGACCTGGAGCAGGCTATCAGTCAGCGCATCCAGACCAACAACAACCCCTTCCAAGGTGAGGGCAAACCTGCCTGCCACACCCGCACCCTCTGTCACCCTCCCCAGCCCGCCTTTCCTGCATCTCCCTCACTGGCCAAGACACAGTAAAGCTGGAATCTTGGTGCCCATTCAGTACTCTCCCACTTTACCACTGGGAAACTGAGTCCCAGGAGGGGACATGACATTCAGGCCACAGTGGAGTCAGTGCTGGGTTCTGCCTCCTCTAGGACTTGTGTTTCACACACGCACCAGCGGCCCTCCCAGCGCAGAGCTCCCTGCCCCCACTGATAGCACCTATATCCCCACTTCCCCTGCTCTCCTGATCGCCTGTTTTCTTGGCAGTTCCTATAGAAGAGCAGCGTGGGGACTACGACCTGAATGCTGTGCGGCTCTGCTTCCAGGTGACAGTGCGGGACCCATCAGGCAGGCCCCTCCGCCTGCCGCCTGTCCTTTCTCATCCCATCTTTGACAATCGTGAGTAGCGAGGGAGACGCAGGAAGGGGAGAGGGTGGGCCTGAATAGGAGGAAGGGGGTTGGGGTGAGTGTGGCCTGCAAGAGGCGCTCTGGCTTCATTCAATCATCTTGCGTATTTGTCTACTCTTCTCTGCCCAGCTCTTTGTTGGCTGGGGAGAGAGGGCAAAGAAGACCCAGAGCTGTCCTTGAGGTGTAGCTCTGGCCTGGCAGGAAGTCTAGCAGAGAGTCTGATGGGAGATGGGCATTTTCAGTATTGTGTGATGAGAAGGTGGTGTGCCCACAACTGCGATAATGACTCTAGGAAATGAACTCCCAGGAACAAGATAGTGTTCGAGAATGATGATTCAGTGATGGAAGCCCACAGATGAATTGGGCTGACTGATCAGCTGCAGTCTTTAGTTAAGTAACCAGCAGGATGAATGGAAATAAAACGAATCTGGAGCCCCAAGGATGGGAAACCAGGATAAACTGGGGGTCAGGAGGGAAGGGCTCATTGCCAAGGTGGGTATGGACTGGCCTTAAAGATTGCTTTGGTCAGGTGGAGAAAGAGTGTGATCAGATTGGCACCCACTGGACTATAAGCTCCGGGAGAGCAGAGAGGTTTGGGTTTTGTGTGTGGTCGTATTCTTGCTTAGATCAGTGTTGAGTGCACAGTAGGCAAATACTTGTTGAATCGGTTGGGGTGAGGAGCTAATAAGAAGGTCTGACTTTGGCTACAAAGGTGTAGGTGGCAAGCTCTGGGCAACCTTGACTCTGGGCTGGGCAGGGAAGTTGCATCTCCTGCAGGCCACCCTGGGGACCTCTCGTGGCTCAGGTCATCCTCCCTTGTTTTCACTGCCTCAGGTGCCCCCAACACTGCCGAGCTCAAGATCTGCCGAGTGAACCGAAACTCTGGCAGCTGCCTCGGTGGGGATGAGATCTTCCTACTGTGTGACAAGGTGCAGAAAGGTATACATCAGGAGGCAGGGGTGGGCTCTTGGGAGCAAGGGGTGAAGCTGAGCAGAGAAGTGGAGTGTCAGGTAACTGGCTTTGGATACTTCCTCCTGTGCCTCGGGGGCCTCAGGTGGGCCGAAGGGTGATGTATCAGAAGACAAGCATCAGAAGTTGAGGGGGAGACCATGGAGGGTTAGACACACTGACCCACACTGCCACCGCATCTCCTGCAGAGGACATTGAGGTGTATTTCACGGGACCAGGCTGGGAGGCCCGAGGCTCCTTTTCGCAAGCTGATGTGCACCGACAAGTGGCCATTGTGTTCCGGACCCCTCCCTACGCAGACCCCAGCCTGCAGGCTCCTGTGCGTGTCTCCATGCAGCTGCGGCGGCCTTCCGACCGGGAGCTCAGTGAGCCCATGGAATTCCAGTACCTGC
This sequence comes from Homo sapiens, assembly GCF_000001405.40. Classification (NCBI taxonomy): domain Eukaryota; kingdom Metazoa; phylum Chordata; class Mammalia; order Primates; family Hominidae; genus Homo; species Homo sapiens. The sequence continues at coordinate 65,658,295 of NC_000011.10, read as the reverse complement.
CAGATACAGGTACACAGCTGGGGTGGCAGCATCAGGGCAGCTGGGCTCTGTGCCGTGAGAGAGAGGCCAAGACTGCATGTCTGGGGCTGTGGTTGAGGGCCAGAAGCTGGAGTCAGAGCTTGGGATCCAAGAAACTGGAATCCATTTCTTGCCTCATTTAATAATAATGATACCTCAGACATTGAGCTAGTACTACACATCTGCCCCTATTCCAGGCACTTCACTGGATTACCTGATTTTAATCTCATGACCCTTTTGAAGTAGGAGATAGTGTCCAACTTGCCTGGGTTCACGTGGCTAGTAAGTAGCAGAGTCTAGCAGAGTCAGCGTTGGAACCCAGGCCATCTGGCTTCAGGATCCTTTTGCCACACTGGTTGTCTTGTCACTACCATACAGCCCAGCCACATTTTGGTCGAGGTTTGAGTGTCCACTTGGTACCAGGGCCTGTGCCAGGTATTGTGAATACAAAAAATGAGTAAGACATGCTCCCTGCCCTTCAGAGTCTCAGTCACTTGAGGAAGACAAATGTGCAAAACAGATCCTTAAGTCACGGAATGACATGTGAAATGGAGGTGTGCGCAGAGAAGCACGGGGGCACAGTGGCCTCCGGGGAGCTGGAGACAGCTGCATGGAGAAGGTGGCATTGAAGCTGGAGAAAGACACAGAAGTGTGTTCTCCAGGCAGGTGGCCCAGCACCTGGAAGGGAAGGGGTGTTGGCAACTGCACGGCCTATTCAGGGCCACCTTCGTGGTTTGAGCTGATGTTGGGCAGTGAGCAGGCTCAGAGATTGGAGGGCCTGGTTAAGCTGAAGGCCTCTAAGCAGAGAGGTGACAGGAGCAGATTTGGAAGTTGACTCAGGAGGCCACGTGTAGAAGATCAGAGACAGACAGACTCAAAGCAGGGAGGCCATTCTGGAAATGTTGCTGTAGTCCAGGAAGAGAAGATGCGGCACAAACCTTACAGAAGGAATAGCAGAGCAAGATCACATCTCCACCACTGTCCTCAGTTACCCTTCAGCCCTGCAGCCGTTTTGCGTCTTACAGACCAAGCTCAGTCTCACCTCAGGACCTGTGTCTAGCTGTTGCCTCTGCTTGGAATGCCCAAGGTTTTAATGCAAGTGGCTCATGCCAGTCCTTCCCTGACCTCTAAATTAGCCCTTCCCTCTACATTTAGACTGTCCTGACCTCACTTCCAGTATTGTTACATCACCATATCGTCCCTGGACCACCGTCACTTGAGATTTTCTGGTTTGGTTTTGTTTGTTTGTTTGAGACAGAGTCTCACTCTTGTCGCCCAGGCTGGAGTGCAGTGGTGCAATCTCGGCTCACTGCAACCTCCACCTCCCGGGTTCAAGTGATTCTCCCTGCCTCAGCCTCCCGAGTAGCTGGGACTACAGGCGCCCGCCACCACATCCGGCTAATTTTTTGTATTTTTAGTAGAGACGGGGTTTTCACCATGTTGGCCAGGGTGGTCTCGATCTCTTGACCTCGTGATCCACCCGCCTCGACCTCCCAAAGTGCTGGGATTACAGGCGTGAGCCACCACGCCTGGCCGAGATTTTCTGGTTTGTATATATGATTGTGTCCCTCTCACTTTTTCACTAGGATGCCAACTTTTTGGGAGCAGACACCTTGTGTGCATACTCACGGCCACATCCCCAGTGTCTAGAAGGGAGGCTGGCACATAGTAGGTGCTTGATAAATATATGTCAAGTTACTGGCGGGGAGTGAGAGAAAAGAAGATAATCATTCCAAGGTTTCTAGCTTTGGTGACAGGGCAGATGGCGGATGGTCAGGGAATGCAGGAGAAAGAACCTAGTTTTTGAGGGATGATGAGGTTGTCTTTGAATTGATGGAATTGAAGTGCTTTGGAGCTACTGAAATACCACTGTAATTAGAAAGACAGTTCTGAAAGCTCTGACTAAAATATGAAACCATTAGAGATAAGAATAAGAGTCTCTGCTGAAGTCTTAAGGCAGTTGTGCCTCAGCTGCCCCAGAGTGCCAAGAAATTCTCGCCAGGCCTGGGTGGAGGCTGACAATGAGCCAGGATGTGAGCAGTGCAGGAAGGTGTGAGCTGGAGGCTGGGGCCCCCCAGGTCTCCTCTTTGCCCAGAGCATGGCCCCTGTACTCGGCCTCACCATGTGGTCTTAGAGGGGCAGATTCAGCCAACAGAGGCCTCCAAAAGCTGTGGGATTCTCAGAACTGCTGAGTGTCACACATCCCTTCTCATTGGCAGAGAAGGTTGGGAGAATGGGTCTTGGGAAAGCCTGGCTCCTCCCCTTCCTCCTGAGGGACCTTTGAGAGCGTCGGGGACCCACCTGAGGAGAGCAAGTCCCACTTCTCCCCCTTACTTTCCCAGACGATCGTCACCGGATTGAGGAGAAACGTAAAAGGACATATGAGACCTTCAAGAGCATCATGAAGAAGAGTCCTTTCAGCGGTGAGATGGGGACTGGGAAAGCCAGAGAGGAAGGCAGCGGGCAGGGAGGGGACACCCTGGGGCTGAGAACTGACCTAGCCCTTGCCCTACAGGACCCACCGACCCCCGGCCTCCACCTCGACGCATTGCTGTGCCTTCCCGCAGCTCAGCTTCTGTCCCCAAGCCAGGTAAGGATTTCCTTTTGTCCCACTGGAACGACAGGTTCAGCTCTGTTCAGCTGAGGAGCAGTGGAGATGAAGACTCCTGGGCCCCATTACAGACCTACTGAATCAGAGGCTTTGAAAGGATGGCGCAGGAACCAGCGACTTCCTGGGATGCTAATGCACACTGAAGCCTGGGAACCACCGTGCCACTTAAATTCTATATTGGGTATCTTGGGAATCAGAAGTTAAAAATGCAGAATCTCTGCTCTCATCTCTCACTTGAATTGGGGGAACAAAAATCACCTCTAAATTAGCAAGATGTGTGTGCCTGTGCGAGGCTCAAAAACTGACAAGCTCTGCACTTCAGGCCGCTGCTCACTTGGTGCTCCATGGGCTCATTGCCTCTCAGGACTTAGTTTTTCAGCTGTAAACTGAGGAGTCCAGCTTATCTCTCCAAGTGTCCCTTCCTCTAAAAGGCTGGAAGAGTTTCGTGGGCTTGAGTAGTCAGGGAGGACTCCAAGGTGGAGGTGTGGCTAGAACTGGACCCTACAGGCTGGGTCAGATGGGGTAAGAGGAAGGAGATAGGGTGTTGGCAGTGACTCCCTAGAGAGGGATTGAGCCTGAGCACCATGAAGAGGGGCTGGGGTACAGAGGACGGGGTGGATCTCTAGGGCTTTCTCTGACCCCTGCCTCTCTGTCTCTCTCCTCCAGCACCCCAGCCCTATCCCTTTACGTCATCCCTGAGCACCATCAACTATGATGAGTTTCCCACCATGGTGTTTCCTTCTGGGCAGATCAGCCAGGCCTCGGCCTTGGCCCCGGCCCCTCCCCAAGTCCTGCCCCAGGCTCCAGCCCCTGCCCCTGCTCCAGCCATGGTATCAGCTCTGGCCCAGGCCCCAGCCCCTGTCCCAGTCCTAGCCCCAGGCCCTCCTCAGGCTGTGGCCCCACCTGCCCCCAAGCCCACCCAGGCTGGGGAAGGAACGCTGTCAGAGGCCCTGCTGCAGCTGCAGTTTGATGATGAAGACCTGGGGGCCTTGCTTGGCAACAGCACAGACCCAGCTGTGTTCACAGACCTGGCATCCGTCGACAACTCCGAGTTTCAGCAGCTGCTGAACCAGGGCATACCTGTGGCCCCCCACACAACTGAGCCCATGCTGATGGAGTACCCTGAGGCTATAACTCGCCTAGTGACAGGGGCCCAGAGGCCCCCCGACCCAGCTCCTGCTCCACTGGGGGCCCCGGGGCTCCCCAATGGCCTCCTTTCAGGAGATGAAGACTTCTCCTCCATTGCGGACATGGACTTCTCAGCCCTGCTGAGTCAGATCAGCTCCTAAGGGGGTGACGCCTGCCCTCCCCAGAGCACTGGGTTGCAGGGGATTGAAGCCCTCCAAAAGCACTTACGGATTCTGGTGGGGTGTGTTCCAACTGCCCCCAACTTTGTGGATGTCTTCCTTGGAGGGGGGAGCCATATTTTATTCTTTTATTGTCAGTATCTGTATCTCTCTCTCTTTTTGGAGGTGCTTAAGCAGAAGCATTAACTTCTCTGGAAAGGGGGGAGCTGGGGAAACTCAAACTTTTCCCCTGTCCTGATGGTCAGCTCCCTTCTCTGTAGGGAACTCTGGGGTCCCCCATCCCCATCCTCCAGCTTCTGGTACTCTCCTAGAGACAGAAGCAGGCTGGAGGTAAGGCCTTTGAGCCCACAAAGCCTTATCAAGTGTCTTCCATCATGGATTCATTACAGCTTAATCAAAATAACGCCCCAGATACCAGCCCCTGTATGGCACTGGCATTGTCCCTGTGCCTAACACCAGCGTTTGAGGGGCTGGCCTTCCTGCCCTACAGAGGTCTCTGCCGGCTCTTTCCTTGCTCAACCATGGCTGAAGGAAACCAGTGCAACAGCACTGGCTCTCTCCAGGATCCAGAAGGGGTTTGGTCTGGGACTTCCTTGCTCTCCCTCTTCTCAAGTGCCTTAATAGTAGGGTAAGTTGTTAAGAGTGGGGGAGAGCAGGCTGGCAGCTCTCCAGTCAGGAGGCATAGTTTTTACTGAACAATCAAAGCACTTGGACTCTTGCTCTTTCTACTCTGAACTAATAAATCTGTTGCCAAGCTGGCTAGAGATCCGCTTTTTTTCAGCAAACACTGAGCACACATTTTGCTAGTCACATCAGGCCAGACATTGGTGGTAGAGAGCTGGGTGAATGCGTGCACTGTCCTCTGAGAGCTTGCAGTCTGAGAATGCCCTTGGAAACCCCGAGTTACCGTCCAGTGGATGAAAACGGGCAGCTAAGGCAAGAGTCCTAGCACACTGAGAGCCTAGTAGAGCCCGCTGGCTGTGGGGATGGAGCAGTTTCAGGAGTCTTCCAAGAGGCCCCATTAGCTCCAGGTCTTAGATCAGCTGAGAGTGGATGTCAAAGAGGGACTAGCCAGCGTCAGAGGTAAGAGAAACGATGTTCGAAAGATGTGATGGGGCCAAATTCCTTGGGTGGCCCAGGGAGTGTGTGCTTCTCTTGGGGAATGTGTGGTGCCAGGTAAAGATCTACCCGGCCCACCGATGCTTTGATACTCTGTTCTGGGAGGAACGGTGAAATCTTCAATCCACAGCCTCAGGAAGCCAAAACAAAGGCCCAGCCGCAGCCCACAAGGGCTACAGCTGGACGTACTTCCGCTTTGCCCCAGCGCAAGCGCAGCAGCAAAAAGCGCTGGCCGGCGTGGGCCCCCTTCTCGACTGCGCAGGCGCACAAGGAGCCCGCAGCAACCGGAGGCCGGGTCCAGCGTCTGGGGAAAATCCCCGCCGAGGCCGATGGCGTCTTCGTTTGGGCTTCGCACCGTCGCGGGAGGACAATAGCAGGGGAAAAGGAGTTATCGTCAGCGGGACGCGTCCCAAAATTCAGCGAGTCTCCTAGGAACAGAAAAGGCCCTGGGTGCAGGCTCCGACGGGCGGCGCCGGCGAGACGGCAGGCCAATTCCGTCGAGGAAGTGGCGTTTTCCACGGGGCTCCGGCTCCGGGGGGGCGGCCAGGGGCGGGGCTTGGAGCGAGGGCGGGCCTCGGCGGAACTCCCACGCGAGGGGCGGAGCCCGGGCTCGCGGTGGCCAGGTCAGGACCCGGGCGAAGCTGCCGGGGAGCGCCTGGGAGGCGGGGTCGGGGAGGAAGCGGGCGGGGTGAGAAGGCTCCTAACGCTGAGGAAGCCGACGGCTGAGCTGCGCAGGGACCCCGACCGGAGGTCCGCGACCCGAGGCCCAGAGGGAAACCAGGGAGCCAAGGCCCTGCAGCCCAGGCTGCGCCTCCCTCCTCTTGGCTTTCTCGGTCCCGCGACCTCCCGTGACCCACGAAGACCTCTCCTGGTTCTTCTCTCATTCGTGAATGACCCCATCATGCTCATGGCTCAGCAGCTCCAAGTCCTCGTATCCAACCCAGATCTCTCTCCCCTGCGCACCAGCCCCTGGACATCTCCACTCTGACGTCCTCGGGCCTCTCAAACTCATCCTGTTCCAAATGACCTCAGCCATCCCCAGCCTGCCTCTCCTTTTCCCTGTCAGCCCTGGCCCTGCCACCTTCCAAGGGCTCCAGCCGGAAACCTGGCCACTACCGTAGATGCCGCCTCTTCCCTTAGTAACTTGCGTCCAGTCCTTCCACGAGGTCCTGGAAAATCTGCCCACTTCTCCCCACTGTCACTGCTATCACTGAGTTTAAGTCACCACTAGACCTCCCACTGGACTGCGGCTACAGCCGCCTCCCTGCAGCCAAAGAGCTCTGACATCCAGATCTCACCCCATCAATCTCCCTTCAAACATCAACCACAAGACCAGATCCGAGTTTTCTGCAGACACACCCTCAGTGACCACAGCCTTCCACACTAGTCCACAACCAGGAAAAAGTGGCAGTCTTGGGAACTGCTAACCCAGGATCCCTAGTGCACCTTCACAACCCTTTCTGATCTGGCTTCTTTGACGCTGGGTTCCTGGGTGTGCCTTGGCTCTAGTCCAGCAGGCCTCAGCCAGACTGGTCCTACCAGGATACCTCTGACGTCTCTGCCTGGTGAACTCCTACCCAGCCTTCAAAACTCAGCCCTCATATTACCTCCTCCATGAAGCCTTCCTGATCCTCAGATGCTCTGTTTCTCCGAGCCTAGCTCATCCTGCCAGCACCTAAGTTAACAGACCCAGGGCCTAGGTCTCACCATGGAGCTTCAGCCAGCCTAGGGAAGGGACTGGAATAGGCATGAGATGCTGGGCAAGTCTGCCCTATCTGGGCCTCAGGTCCAGAAACCAAAGGATTTAGACAAAGTCCCAAGTTTGGACTTGATGATGCCACTTCGGGGAAAGGCCTGGCCTCGCGAGGAACAGAGAGGACCATAGGCTGGTGAGGAGGGAAGTGGGTCAAGGGCCCGTTTCCTCCAGGACATAGAAACAGCCCCAGTCAACTGAGGCGGAGATGCCACCGCCTCTGGAATTGGGCCCTGCAAGAAGTGGCCAGGTGGGTAGAGAGAGGACAAGGCCTGGGGGCTCAGTGGCTTCAGAGAGAAGAGTGAGGCCTGCACTGAGGCACAGGGCCTTGTGATGCACGGCCAGGGTAGCTGTGGGGTGTGGCCACCTGCTTCCCTGCAGAACCAAATAAACGTTATGGGAGAGAAGCCAAGCAGTGGCCTGGCCTCAGGGACCCCTCAGTGAGTGCCAGCCCATCTCTGAGCCAGTGTTCCCAGGGCCTGTCCTGACTGGTCCGAGGAGTTTGGCTGGGGCCTCTGGAGGCAAAACCCCTTGCCCTGCCCTGTCTTGGACACATGTTCAGACACAGACATCAGTGGCTTTTTTACTCCCTGAAGTCCTCTTTTCTCCACAGAATATTTACAAACAGGGAAGGGGTGGAGGCCACTTCCGCCACCAAATAAGGGGCTAGGGAGGGGGGCAGTGCTAAGACACGCCTCTGCGCAGGGAGAGTTCCTGAGGAGGGCCCAGTGTGACCACAGTGCCCTCAGGGGCCCAGGTGGTTCCAGACGGCTCAGGCCAGGTCGGCGGTGGGTGAGCCCAGCTGCTTGGAGGCCAGGAGGAGGCGTGTGGCTGCACTCTCAGACTCCGCCTGCAGCCGCCGGTTGTTGTGTCTCAGGCTCCGCACCTCCTCCTCCAGGGCCGCCCTGTCCGCCTTCTCCTGGGGTGCCGGGGAGACAGGAGTCAGAGCCGCCAGCCCCTTTCCTGGGGCAGCCCTGTGACTCCCCCCAAGCTCAGCCCACCCCTCACCTTCTGCAGGTCCTCCTGCAGCTTCCTGAGCATGGACTCCAAGTGAGAGACCTTCTCTGAGAGGTTCCCAGGCTCTGGCCTGAAGACATGGGGGTCAAGACTCAGCAGGACCAAGGCAGGGGGCAGTGCACCAGCTGACTCCCAGCCCCAGCTAATGAGAGGGGCCCCGCTGGTCTTCTAGGCATATGTGGCAGCAGAGCCCAGGACAGAGCTCCACCCCAGCAGACAGGCACGAAGGGGGGGTCATGTGGGCAGGTAAAGCGGCTGTGGGGAGTTGGGGAGCTTACTCAGCATCAGATTTTGGAGTTCCCTTAGGGTCTCCACTCTCTGGGATGGGCTGTCCTGTGGGGACAAAGGGATCAGGTGGGCAGGTCAGAAAGGGGGCAAGAGCACTGCCCAGGCTTACCGCAGCACCCTGGTGGCCTCACCCTCTCGGGACAGCGACTCCAGAATGGTGTTGCAAGTAGAGGCAATCTCCGAGATGGCCTGCCACTCGTCCTCCAGGGTCCCACTGCCCGCCTCCGACATGACTGTGGGCACAAGGAGCAGGCTGAGCTAGGGAAGCCCAGGAGCACCCCCCAACCCCTCCCCTGCTCTCCTGGGTCCAGACTCACTCCTGCTGATGGAGTTCCGCAGAGACAAGGTACGTGGCAGAAAGGAGGCCCTCAGCTCCGGCGCCGGGTTGCCCTTGTCCTCAGAGCCACTGGGACTGCCTGGCCTGTCCTGTGCCACAGAAGTGGATACAGATTCAGTGATGCCCACTGTCACCACTGTGCTGTTGGGCTCCAGAGCCTGGTTTCTGCTCACCTGGGTCAGGGGTGTCTCACTGTCAGCACTGGGTACTGATGGCTTGGCTGTGGTGGCCAGGAGGAGGTCCGGGGTGGTGTTGGGCAGGACTGGGGCCTCATCCGACAGAGAGCTGGGGAGAGCAGGGGTGGCTCAGAAAGGGAAGCCGCTTTCCCAGAGGCCTGGAGGAGAGGGAAGGCCAAGAGTGTGCACCTGCGTGGTGACAGCGAGTTCTGGCTGTGCAGGAACTCAGTCCTCTCCTCGGCCAGATCCCCAGGCCCTGGAGGACTGCCACCATCTTGCAGGCACAGGTGCAGCAGCTGCTTTGTGGTGGGCAGCAGGGTCACCCCCTGGACCTCATCCTGCACAGGATCTGGGGCCCCCCGCCGGCTAGGCTCCTGCAGCGACAGCGTGTACAGCTCCGAAAAACTCCTGTGGGGTGGGACAGGGTCAGGCAGGACTTCTCCAGTCCCCAGCGTCCTGCATCACTAGCCCCACCCCCAGCCCGCCAGGCTCACTTCCAGGAGCAGGAGAGCTCCCCGGCATCCTGACAACAGTGAAAAATGTCTGCCTGGTTACTGGCCATTTTTCCAGACCATGGTTCAAATTCCAGTGCTGCCCCTGTATATCCCAAGCAAATCACTCTGAACATCAATTTCTCCATCTGTGAAATGGGGATAATAGTACGAACCTCATAGTGTGCTGTGAGGATTTAAATAACACGTGTAAATTGCTTAAATCCCAAAACTACTGTCTGTAGCCAAATCCAGCCTGTGCCTTTTCCTTTTCTTTTCTAAAGCAGATGTGCCAGTTTCTGTACTGCGAGCTAAGCATGGATTTTACTTTTTTTTTTTTTTGAGATGGAGTTTTGCTCTTGTTGCCCAGGCTGGAGTGCAATGGCGCGATCACAGCTCATGGCAACCTCCTCCACCTCCTGGGTTCAAGTGATTTTCCTGCCTCAGCCTCCCAAGTAGCTGGGATTACAGATGCCTGCCATCACACCTGGCTAATTTTTGTATTTTTACTAGAGACGGGTTTCAGCATGTTGGCCAGGCTGGTCTCGAACTCCTGACCTCAGGTGAGCTACCCGCCTCAGCCTCCCAAAGTGCTGGGATTACAAGCATGAGCCACCGCGCCCGGTCCGGATTTTACATTTTTAACTAGTGGAAAAATCAAAAGAATATTTCATGATAAGTTAAAATCATGTAAAATCCAAATTTCAGTGTCTATAAAGTTTTAGCGAGACACAGGCACATTTATTTATTCATTTACCTACGACAGAGTAGCTGCGGCAGAGACCAGATGGTCCAGAAAGCCTAAAATATTTATTATTTGGCCATTTACAGAAAATGTTTGCCTACCCCTGGCTTAGCACAGGAAGTTATCAATAGTGTGTAGTGTGTGTGTTGGGTGGGCGGGTGCCAATACTTAAAAAAAAAGATAGTGGGGGCTGCTATTTGATCTTTTAAGCAGTGGGAGCAACGCGCTTAACTGGTCCCATTCTACATATGAAGATAGAGGTTCAGGGCGCGGTGACTCACGCCTGTAATCCCAGAACTTTGGGAGGGCGAGGCAGGTGGATCACCTGAGGTCAGGAGTTCGAGACCAGCCTGGCCAACTTGGTGAAACCCCATCTCTACTAAAAATAGAAAAAATTAACCGGCCGTGGTGGTGCATGCCTGTAATCCCAGCTACAAGGGAGGCTGAGGCAGGAGAACTGCTTGAACCTGGGAGGCGGATGTTGCAGTAAGCCGAAATCACGCCATTGCACTCCAGCCCGGGCAACAAGAGGGATACTTCGTCTCAAAAAAAAAAAAAAGAGAGAGGAGAGAGAGAGGAAGGAAGGACAGAGAAAGAGAGAGAGACAGAGACAGGAAGAGACAGGCTCAGACGGGCTAAGAGACGGGAGATTCTTTCCAGAAGGAAAGGTATCCACACTGGGTTCCTGAAACTGCTGATGGCGACCCGGGAGGCGCAGACTGCGCGGTGGCCAACTGCCGGCCCTCCCACCTCCCCGCGTCCCCGGCACCCTGACCTGCGGGGCCGGCCGCTCTCGTCGGGGGGCAGGACGGTGACGCAGACCTTGGGCGCCGAGCGCAGGAGCTGGGCAGCGGCCTCGGGCCGGAGGCTGGGCAGAGTCTGGCCGCACACGCGCAGGAGGCGCGCCCCGGGCCGCAGCCCCGCCGTCTCGGCGAATGTGAAGCGCTCCACGTGCGTGACGAATCCCTCGGCGTCCACCTCGAAGCCCAGGCGGCCTTGACCGTCGCGGGGCAGCGCCAGCTCGCGGGTCTCGCAGCCACGGCTCACCAGCTGCGGACGGGGCGGGACGAGTGGGCGGGGCTGCCGGGAGGTGGGGCCGCCCCAGCGCCCGCCCCCTGGACTGCGTCCCAGGCCACACGGAACTTTCCACAGTCCCCGAGGGCCGCGTGTGCCACCGCCCGAGGGATGAAGACCAGAAGTCGCTTACCCGAGGGCACCAGTTCCGGCCTTGCCAAGCCCCGGGGCTGGCTCTGCCCTCCTCGACTTTCCCTTCCGCAGGAGTAGGGGACAAAGGCGGCGGGAGGGAGGGGTCCAAAGCAGGCTCCGCCCCGCCGCGCGCAGGGGCCCCAGTTTACCACTCCAGCTCACCTGCAGGCGCGCCACCACCTCGCCCACGGCTTGGCCGGGGGACCCGTCGAAGCGCAGCGTGATCGCCTCCCCGCGGCCGTGGTACAGGTCCAGCTGCTGCTCGGAGAAGGTCCAGGCCAGCACGTCGCGACAGGCGCAATTGAACACTACGCGGCCGTCGCGCGGCGCCACCAGCACCAGAGCCTCGGCCGAGATGCCCAGCAGGCAGGGCACCTCGATGCCTTCGGGGCCGCTCGCCTGAGCCCCGGCGGCGACCCGCGCCCCGGGCGCCGCGCGCACTCCCCACACCAGTGAGCCCGCTGCCTGCAGCTCGGCGCCTGGGCCCCGAGGGGCCGCCCGGCGCCTCCCACCCAGGGAGGGCAGGCCGAAGCGTGAAGCCGAGTCCAGCGACGTAGTGGTCACCTCGTTGGTGGCCAGGTCTTGCAGGTACTGCTGGCGGGTGCGCGTGGCCATGGCGTGGAACTGGCGCGCGTGGCCGGCCGCCTGCTCACCATTCAGCGCTTTGGCCAGCAGGAAGGCCCGGAAGTCGGCGTTGGCTGCGAAGGGGCCTCCGCCAGCAGGCAGAGCTGGCCCGAAGGCAGGGGTGTCCTGGGTGCGGCTCACGGCCACCCTGCGGGGAGGGAGGCGTTAGTGAGGGGCGGCAGGACTCCATGCCCACGGGAGACCTGGGACCACTCCGGTGCCCACCTGTAGGTGGTGTGTGGCGTGCAGGGTGTGTGTGCCCGCACCACTAGGAACACGTGCTGGAAGTGCGAGCGGATGGTGGTGGGGCAGAAGGGCTTGCTGCCAGGCTCCTGGAACACGATGGTCACAATGTCGTTGCCAATGTGGCGCTTCCGGAGGAGCTAGGGGTTGGATAGTAGGGGCTCGTGATGAGGTCTTCTGTGCCCCAAACCCCTCCTCATTCAGGCAGGAGAAAGCCAAGGCACCAATGGCTCCCCCACTGCCCCTGGTGAAGACCTAGGGTGTTTCTGTCTTTGGGAAGGGGCCACCAGAGGGGCGGGCTGTTGGGGCCAACAGAGCTCCGGCCAAAGCTCAAACGTCATGGGCCATGCAGGGCCCTCCATGGTTCCCGGAAGCCCCACCCCCACGTTGGTCCCCCTCACACCTGCTGCTGGTTATTAGGGGTGTAAGGCAGCATCGTGGACACGTGGAACATGATCTCGTGGTCCTGGTATGTGGTGTAGAGGGAGTGCGTGCCTGTGGAATCCGCTGTGGCCAGGAAGTTAGGGACACAGAAGGAGAAAACAAGGGGAATCTAAGTGGCTTGAACTTGCCATTCCTGCCTGTACACAGGAGCCTCTGTGCCCCAAACAGCAGGTGGACAACCAGTCATGCCACCAGCCAATGCCCAGCCAGCGAGATTCAAGGGCCTCAGCCCTGGGTGCCCCTCCTCCTCTCCCTCCACAGGCTCCAGCCCCATGCCAGAGTGAAGGGGGGTCAGGATGGGAGAGTTGAAATAGAATGAAGACAGAAATGAGAAGTGGTCTCAGAGGGAGGGCAGGGTCAGGTGTCCTAGGAGGACAGGTGTCACTCCAGGCCCAAGCATGTGTGGCATGCTGGGAAAGTGAAAAGCAGGCAGGGGGTGCTCAGTACAACACCTCCCAGGGGTCCTGGGGCCCCTTCCACCAGGGAGGTAGGGGCACCTCTCTTCCACGAGGCTGAGCTGCTGGAATGTGTTTGGTGGAGGGGTAGTGCCCCCAAACCACTTTAGCCCCAGCTCAGGCAGTAGGGTACTTGGGCCTTGAGGGACAGTCCCAGCCCCTCTTTTCAGCCCATAGCTTGGCCCTCATAGCCCTGACTCAGATCCTTAGCTCACCCAAAGAACTCTCCAGTCCCCAGCCCCAGGATTGTACGGACAAAGGAGTGACAAGGCAATTTGTGCTCACCCCTTCAGCACAGATCTGCTCCCACCCCTCCTGCCCCTGGGCCTCACTTTTGGTGTCTAGCTGGGCCCGGTAACTCTCAAAGCCTTTGAGCCGCACCACATCGCCCAGCAAGGTGAGAAACTGCATGAAGGCCGGTCCCGCCTCCTGGTTGTTGTACATCTCCTCCTCCGAGCCCTGGCCCGCCCGGCAGTACAGGATGCCCACCTTGCGTTGGAAGCTCAGCTGTGGGTGGGAGACAGAAGGCATAGGTCTCAGTCCCCTGCAGCCCCACCCCACCAGCTCTTAGGGAATGGATGGGACGCTGGCCTGGGGCTGAGCACCAGCCCTCTCTGAGCCACTTGTGCCCTTGCCTGTCAGGTGAGTACAGTCTGTTGTGCTCCTCGTGCTTGGGAGTGCACAGGTAGGAAGGGATGGGAGGAGGCTGGTTCCCATGTGGCAGTAGAGAAGGTGATTCACAGAAAGGACCCTTCCAATAAACATACACATTATCATCCTCCTTATCTCAAGGCTGGACTGTCCTCTGCACCCCTGAATCCAAGGCACCCCCACCCCAGCCCCTGCAGGCCAGGCACCACCTCTGCCCCCCATGCTCCCATTTCTGTGCCCTCTTCCCGGCTCTTCCCTCTGCGGATAACTGGATAACCATGCCCAGCTCAAGGTGCTCTGAACTCCTCCAAACAGCACAGGCTCCCCTCCAGCGGTCACCTCCCTTTTCTACAACTAAACTTGTCTGCACTTACAGTCCCCACTTCGATTTCATTCCTCCCAACCCCCTGCACCCCCCACTCCCCATATGGTCCCCAGATGTGGCCTCATCCTGGTACCCTCTCAGCCATAGGTGGCACTGGGGATAGCTGGAAACTCACCTTGCCTAGGGCCCCAGGAACCCCGCCCTCTTCTGCCTGGGCCTCTTCTCCACCCATGCTCCTCCCCCTCCCTGGCTGCAGCAAGGATGACACCCCCATCTCCGCCTCCCATTCAGACCGGCCTACCAAACCCCGGGCCTTTTTCTCCGGCTGCCTAATGTCTCACCTTGCTGTGACTCCCCCACCCTGCTCCTCCTCCTTAAACCACCACTCCTGGGGGCCAAGAAGCTGGGAAATCCTAGCACTTCACCCCTTCCAGTCAGCCACATGACTACCCAGTCCTTCCTGGACTGTCACCTCCTCTTCACCTCCACTATCGCTGCCACTGTGTCTAGCCTGGGCAACTGCAATAGCCTTCAGCCTGGCATCCCCGCCCCGTACAGTCTAGTCCCCATGCTGCAGCCAGAGAGCTGCCCCTCTCAGATCTGCACCGTATCCCTCCATGGCTCCCCAGTGTCCACGGGAACAAATGCAAGCTTCTCCCCCGCCCCTCCCCACAATCCCAACCCCAGCCACGCTGAACTGACTGCCTAATGTGCCATGCTCTCATTCTCCAAGCCTTTGCACAAGTTATTCCTTCTGACCAGAAAACACCTGCTTATCCGGGCCTGAGCCCTTTTGTGTTCTCCATGCTGGAAAACCCTGGCCAAGGAAGGGCTCTCATCACTACCGTCGTGGCCCAGGCAGCCCTCAACATTCCCTTTCAGTGTTCCAGTACTGCTCCTGTGTTTCAGCAGTTCTCTGTGGGTCTCTTTCTCCCACCCAGCTGTGAGCTACTCAAGCAAAGCACCTGGTCTAGACCTGTCCCCAGCATCCAGTCTGAGGCCTGGCACCAAAAAGGTCTAAGAAATGTTTGTTGAATGACTGATGGGTTGAATGATACAGAGGAGAAGACTCAGCCAATGGGCAGCTTTCAGCATGGAGTGGGGGATGGAAGGAGCCGCTCCAGGAAGCTGTGAGCACCACATGTTAGAGGAAACCCAGCAGGGGCTGTGGGGGAAATTGGCCAGGAATGATGCGGGAACTGCAGGACCAGTGGGGTGAGTCAGACCAGGGCATCTAGGGCTGCAAATATCTTTTTAAAATGCAGACTCTGGGCCAAGGGCAGTGGCTCATGCCTGTAATCCCAGCACTTTGGGAGGCCGAGGTGGGCAGATCACAAGGTCAGGAGTTCAAAACCAGCGTGGCCAACATGGTAAAACCCCCATCTCTACTACAAATACAAAAATTAGCTGGGCGTGGTGGCATGCACCTGTAATCCCAGCTACTCAGGAGGCTGAGGCAGGAGAATCTCTTGAACCCGGAAGGCAGAGGTTGCAGTGAGCTGAGATTCCACCATTGCACTCCAGCCTGGGTGACAGAGCGAGACTCCATCTCAAAATAAATAAATAAATAAATAAATAAATAAAGTGCAAACTCTGATTCAGATGGTCTGGGGTGGGGCCCCAGAATCTGCATTTCTACATGATGTGGATACTGCTGGTCTACAGAGCTCACTTTGAGACGCAAGGCTCCAGATGAACTCTGATGCCCTGTCTCTGAAAAGCCAGCTCTTCTGGGGTCACCACCCAGCCCAGGATCAGGGTCAAGGCTAGGGGTTTGGGAGCTGGGCAGGCTGGGTTCAGACTGGGGCCAGCTGTATGGCTGGGGGCTCCGCGGCCCGCCACTCACCACTTGCTCATCCAGTGTGAGCAGCGTCCGTGGTACCTTGGGTGAAGCTGAGCCCAGGCGCAGGCAGCTGGGGCTCAGCTGCGGCGCCACGTGCTCCAGAAGTTTCCTTGGGGACAGACCCCGTGGGGGCCCCGGCGGCAGCGCGTCCTCCGAGATGGTGCCACGGAGTGTCCGGAGCTGAGGAAGGGGTGTAAGGGCACTCAGGATGCATACAAGGTGTCGGGGAGGCAACCCACGTCCTGATCCCGCGATCCCGGCCCACCTGCGTGGTCCGCACGATGACGCGGTAGCTGTGCAGGGTGCCCCCTCCGCTGCCCTCCTTCTCCTCCCGCCGCAGGCTCACTGCCACCGGGCCCAGCGACTCGTCCATCCCGAAGAAGTTCTGATGTTCTGGGGGACCGCGCCGAAGAAAACGATTGGTCCCGCCCTCTGGCAGCCCCGCCCCCGCTCGACCACGCGCATCACTAAGCCCCGCCCTAGGCTTCATCTCACCACCAAATGTTGACCCTAGACTAAGTCCCGCCCCTCTGTAGCCCCGAGCTCAATATCTTGATCTCAACCCTGACCCAGAGGTGGACCCAGACCCAGACCTAGACCCACGCGGCCAGCTCCCAGGCCTAAATCCTGCCTTGGCTCCACCCACCACGCCCTCATTCTCCCTTCTATGTCCTGGAGCCCTCTCTCCGCAGTGCTGGTGCGAACAAGGTTCACGGATGCAGGGATTTGAGGCCTGAGTTTTCACCCCACAGAAAAGCCCATAGGGAATCTCTCCCCAGCCTGGCAGGTTGAACCAGATGGAGGATGAACCAATACGGAGGCAGAGGGACCAGCCCTGGCTGGGGGTGAGGAGCCAGGGATTAGCCTTAAGAAGGTGGTTGAAAGTAGGTCCAGGAGGACCCCAGCTCAGCTCTTGAGCCCTCCCAGGGCCAGGGACTTTACAGGAAATGGACAGTTCATGAGCCCTACTGTGTGCACTGCAGGTGACAGGGACCTCTTCTTCAGCCCCCCTCCTCCACTCCCTGGAACTGCCTTTCCTCACCTTTGCCATAGAAGTATTTGCGGTAGTAGCCAGCACCCAGGTCTGCGTGCTCCAGGCTGTAGGCCGAGGTTCGGTTCTGTGGCTCCTCCAGGATGGACACGGCCGCGTTGGGCAGTGCAGGGGGCACAGGTGGGGATGCTGGTCCACCCAGGCCTAGCTCACCCTCACCCCCGAGCTCACACACAAAGCCAGGTGCCCCATGCAGCAGGTCCGAGCTGGCAGCCTGGTCCTCGGCTGAAGCCAGGGTCCCAGAGCTGGCCTCTGAGTGGCTCCCCATCCCCTGAGACCTCGGAGCCCAATCAAAGAGCAGGCTTTGCACGTCATAGTGGGCAAACCATCGAGGCTCAAGCACTGGTGGGAAGGCAGGCTCTGGTTCCTCTGCTGGCAGCCCCAGCAGTGCCAGCGGGTCAGTGAAGAGCCGGGTGGAAGTGGCTGCAGGTCGGCTGGCCTCTTCGTGGCTGTGGGCACGGGCACGGGGGCTGGCTGGCGTGGGGGGCCTGGCCTCGCCTGCATCGCTGCCGCTGCGCAGGAGTGGGCCCCGGACTGGCCTCGGCTCGAAGGTGTGCGGTGTCAGCGGGGGCCTTGCTGGCTGGCGCAGCTTGCGGGCAAAGAGGTCATCTGTGGACGCAGGGGCCATGCCCCGCCGAGGGCTCCCCACACCGCCGGCCCACATGGGCATGCTCTGTGGGCCTGACTCTCCGGGGGCTGGGCCGCATTGGCGGGCACGGGTGTTTGGTGCCCAGCCTGAGGTTGTGGCAGCAGTTCCTGCCCTGAAGGAGGAGGGGGCTGCTCAGAGGGGCCTGGGCAGAAAACAGGAACCCAGGCCCCCAGCCTGGTCCTCCACCACCCGTGTTGGCTTCCGGCCCCCTCCGAGACCATCAAAGCTGCTTCCGCTTTCCAGGCCACTTCCTTGTCTGCCTAGGGCTAAAGTTTCCAGCCCCCTCCCCAGCTTAGCTGGGCAAGGCTAGAGGCTGGGCTGTTGGGTCTTGGTCCTGAGGGTCCTGGAGCCTGGGCAGCCCTGGGACTGCCAGGGTCCCCCAGTCGCCACCCACACACCTTAGCTTTGGCCTGGGCCCAGAGTAAGGGTCCCACCAGGACCTAGCCCAACCGGACAGATGACTTGTATTGGCTGGGACGGGAAACCCAGGGGCCACTGGTGTCTGGGTCCTGCCCACTTAACAAAGGGAGGACGTCCTGTCCCCAGAGACCTTCCTCCTTGCCCCTCCCACTTCCTTCAGGGTCCCTGGAGAGCTGATCACCCAGAGAGGTCTGATCTCAGTGCCCTGGACCTCAAGGCCTCAATACCACAAGGACACATGGGTTCCCAGGGAGGCAGCGGCAGGGCAGCAGGAATGGCAAGAGGACTTCCTTCAGCACAGGAAGTAGCCCCAACTGTGGGCCCAGCCCTCTGCCAGGCCCCCACATCCTGAGGAAGGTGCTGGGGTCACAGCAGCTGTCATGGGACCCCAGTCACCCTGCCCTGAAGGACAGGCCAACTCACCTTCTTGCAGGCTACTGTGCCCAGGCTTGGGGGCAAGAGGAGTCACAATGACAGGGACCCATAGGGACCTCTGCCTACCTGGTCTCACTGATGCAGACAGGGAGGTCTGAACCCCATGTGACAGATGGTCAGATGAGGTCCAGAGGAGATGCTCTTGCCTGAAGCAATTCCGTGTCAGAGCTAGGATGTGAGCCTGGGTCTGCCCATCTCCAGGCCCTAAGCAGGGCTGCACCTGCCCACTGCTGTCTGTGTGCGTAGGTTTTGGGGGGTGGGTGTTGGGCTGAGGTTCAAGGTCTCACAGGATGCAAGATTGAGACACCCAAAGCCCCAGGGACCTGCTAAGTGCGGAAACGTGACGCCAGAGGCAGGTGCAAATGGTGGTGTGAGAACTTGAGGGAAGCCACACCCAGGCAAGCCCTGGATGGAGTAGGCAGTGAGGACAGGGAGCTGGGGAACCTCCACTGGGGGTACAGGCATCTAATGGTGGGTCTTCATGCAGCATCCAGCAACATCATGCGGGGCTGGGCCGGAGGGGGGTGGAGGAGGGGCTCCACACACCCTTCGTCTGGGGCCTCCAGAACCAAGCAAGAGTCGGCTCCCCAGCCCAGGTGCTTCTACCTTGATTTCTCCTGAATAAACTCCCATGCTGACCTTGAGCCTCTGTTTTCTCATCTCTAAAATGGGGTTAACTGGCCGGGTGCGGTGGCTGTGGCCTGTAATCCCAGCACTTTGGGAGGCCAAGGCGGGGGGATCACCTGAGGTCAGGAGTTCAAGACCAGCCTAGCTAACATGGTGAAACCCTGTCTCTACTAAAAACATAAAAATTAGCCGGGTGTGGTGGTGCGCACCTGTAGTCCCAGCCACTCAGGAGGCTGAGGCAGGAGAATCGCTTAAACCTGGGAGGCAGAGGTTGCAGTGAGCCGAGATCGCGCCACTGAACTCCAGCCTGCGGGACAGAGTGAGACTGTCTCCAAAAAAACAAAGAAAAAAATTGGGTTTAATTATTTCTGTCCCCTCCCAAGGCTGCTGAGAGACTGAGAAGAATGAGGTGAGTGTCGCTAGCTATGTGTGTGTGTGACGGGTGTAGCCCCTGGCTCCATGAGCCAAGCTCTGGGCACATTCAGCGCTCGGGCCTGGGCTATAGTGTGTGAAGGAGTAGGAGGGCATGAGGGAGGGGGTCTGTGCAAGCCCCGCTCCTTGTGGGCTGAGCTCTGCACGCTTGGAAGTGAGATCTGTGCATGTGTGCACCCAGCCTGTGCGCTGCCTCTTGCTGTGGCCCAGTGCCAGGCTCTGGCGCTGCCTTGAGGGGTGTTCTCGGGCTCTGCCCCCCACCCTGAAGCTTCACACAGGGTCCATTGAGGCTAGGACATTCCTCCGGGCCTGTGTCACTAGGGGTGGGGGGAAAGGGCCGGCCCCGCCCCCACAGATCCGGAAGGCCTGGCTGCCCCAGGAGGAGGAGCTGGCCACTTCCCAGCACATCTGGAGGTCATGACCCCATTTCGGCTGCCAGGGGGCGCGACAGATGTTTCCTCCCAGGCCAGGCCAGGGACTGGGGTGGAGGCCGCCTAAGAAGAAGAGGAGCCTCAGAATAAGGGGGAGCCCCGCACACACTTGCAGTGTTGAGGGGGAGGGGGTCACAGTGCCGCCACCAGGAGTCAGGAGCCGCCGCTTCCACTCACCGGCTGGCTGGCCAGGCTAAGCCGTCACACAGAGAGAGTAGGAACGGCTGGTCAGAGACAGGGGGCTGGACATATTGACTCGGGACTGAGCTGGAGCCCGGAGGGAAGTTGGGAGGGTGCTGGCGGCGAACGTGGCGAGGACCCCACTCCCATACACATCACCCGGGCCCACGGCTAGGCCACCTCTCCCCTGTCGGGCCCGACAGTAGTGCCTCCCGTCCCCTGCTCCCGCCAGTACCTCTGGGGCTCCCGCCCAGCCGCCGCCGCCCGCGCTGGGGTCCCGCTGCCGCTCTCCCGCTACCGCTCCCGGCGCCGGCTCCGCCTGGGGGCGGGGCCATGCTGGGAGGCGGGGCCATGCCGGGAGGCGGGGCCGGCCGGGAGCTGTCTGCGGCGGGAAGCGCAGCAGCGGGGATTCCAGGCCTGGCGGAGGTCAGCACCGAGCAGTGCTCATTCTAAGGCCATTTCCTCTCCTGAGAAACTTGTGCCTGCCTTCCAGACCAACCGGGAGGGCTAGCGGAGGCCACCTAGCGTCCAGCTCCCGGCCAGCAGGTGCTCAAGAGTCTGCCACTATTTTATGGAGCACTTGCTAAGCACTGGGCCCTGGGCAACCATTCCACTAGCGCGCTCTCATTTATTCTAAAAACACCTTAGATAGGTGTCATCTCTTTACGCCCTGGAGCAGCTGAGGTGCAGAGAAAGGCTTTGGCCAAGAACAAGCCTGATAAATGTAGGAGCCACCAGACCTGGAAGTCTGACCATATGGTGGGAAATGGCAGACAATACCCTTCAGATAAAGGCTTGAAAAGGGAGCAGCCATGCGGTGAAGAGGACCCGGTTCTACCTGAACCCCACCTTGGTCTGCCCTTGATCTCTACTAGACTTCAGCCCCACATCCTTCACCCCTCTGCGTGCTTGTCCATCCCAACTTAGCCGCCTGTACTATCATGTACCCATTCCCAGGTAGAAAAAGAAACTGCCAACCAAAATCAAAAATAGTGTTATTAATTCTGATGTCTCCGAAGCACAAAAAAAAAAAAAAAAAAGAAAAGAAAAAAAAGGAAAGAAAGAAACCACCCTTCCCACAATTCAGGCCCCAGGTCCAGGCCAAGGGGGCCACACCTGCAGGCAGTGCAGGCCCAGGGGCTGAGGTGGTCCTGGCCACAGGCTCCAAGTGGGACCAGCCCATGGTTTGGCTCTTAGGGCCTGGCTGGGAGGCTGACTGCCTCCATCTGGGGAGCCCAGGCCCTGGACTGGGGATGAGAGAGATCAGGGGTCAAGGTCAGAGGTCTGGGTCACTCAGTTTTGGTACTCTGGCCAAGGCAGCCAAAGGTCAGGGTTCAGACATGTAGGCCAAAGCCACTCAGTTCTGTGGTCCAGCAGAGAGGCAGCAGAGCAGGTCCGTTACTGAATCCTAGGAGGTGGTCCAGTGGGCGCCAGGTAGCTCAGTACTGGTGTTCCAGCAGGGGCTGGGCTGCCGGGCTCTCACGCTCCTCAATAGGGGCAGGCCAGTCGCCCAGGGCACCCATAGGTGTGCCACTCTCAGGGGCACTGCTGTCCAAGCAAGGAATGTCCTGGGAAGCTCTGGGGGGTGAGGCCTCAGTGCTGACATCGGGGCTGAGGCTGAGGCTGAGGCTGAGGCTGAGGTCTAGAGGCGCCTGGGGGAGGGGGGAGAGGTTGGCGGGTGAGCAGGCCTTAGCCTTCTGGGACCCAACCCTCCCACAGGTGCCTTACCTGAGATTTGGGGGTACCTCCTTTGGGGCTCCCTGAGGCTGGCTCCCCGTCAGATCCTCCCAGCCCCTTCCGGCCCCCCAGGCTCCACTTTCCACTGGGGCCCTCAGAACTGAGGAGACCCGGGCCAGGGGGCCGTGAGGTCCGGGGACCCTCTGTGGGGATAGGCGATGCAGGGGGTGGTCCAGGGAGCCGAGGGGGAGGCCACTGCAGCAGAGGTGGGGGCCGCCCATCACCAGAGCCACTCAGGGAGGACCGCGGCCCCCAGCCAGGGCCTGGTGGGAGGGGTTGGTCACCATTGCCTGTAGGAGACAGATAAGACAGCAGAGGCCTCAGCTGGGCTGCACTCCTCACCCACGGGTTCAGCCCAGCCTCGCCTGCTCACCTGCCGTGTTCTCAGGTGTGGGGTGTGCCACGGGGGGGTTATTGCTGAGGGAGGTCAGGCCACCGCCCCCACTACAGTCTGAATCATCCACGTTCCCGCCACTATTGCAGCCGGCGCCACAGCCCTTGTGAAGCCTGGGGGTGGAGAGGTAGAAAAGGGATCAGGAGGGACACGGCTGAGGCCAGAGGCCTCACAAGCATGAGTCCTCAGCCCCAGGACAAGTCATCTAACACCTCTGAGCCCCAGGATCCTCCCCTCTAAGAAGCTGCCACCTACTTTGCAGAGTCTTTTGAGGGTGCGTTGTCAACAGTGCTTGATGACTAAAGGCCACTGTCAGCTCTGGGGGTAAGGTGACATCTAGGAGGGGCAGGTCAGCTCTGGGAGGGGGTCATCTCTCGGGATTCAAGCCCTGGCTCCAGCACGTCCTCCCTCTGAGACCCAGGAGGGACGTACTGCACCTCAGCTTCCTCCCGCGCCACACGTCACCCCTTCCCGAGGCCTCACCTCTCCCAGGTGCGCAGGAGCCAGTGGGCAATGGCACCCAGGCTGATGGGGCCACCCCACAGTGCCCGTAGCTGGGGGTGGCTGCCAGCCAGCGAGGTGGTGAGAGGCGACACGTAGATGGGGTAGCCCAGCGGCTGGTCACAGGAGGAGTTGATCATGTTGCGAAGCGCCTGCTTGGCGTTCTGGATGCTGCCACGCTCGGGGTTGCGGTTGCGCAGGAACACCAGCTCCTGCTGCTGCCCGGCCCACAGGCCGCGCACGCACTCCCGGTTCACCTGAGAGCCACACGCCAGGGTCAGGGGGCCGGCCCAAGGGGGTTTGGGGCAGGGCTTAGGGCAGGTGGGGCCGGCCCAACCTTGATGACTCGGAAGCTGAGGTGGCGCCGGTTGAGCATGATGATCTTGTACTCGTCGGAGGCATCATCCAGGACATGGCGCAGCGCCAGCAGGGAGGGCGTGTTGCTGAGGATGGCGCTGCGCCATGCTGGGTCACCCTCATGTGAGATGACCAGCCGCTCCTCGTTGGCCGCAATGGCATCGTATAGGGCTGCTGGCTCCTCATATTCATCTGGGGACGTGAAGTGGTCCTGGTAGAGAAGACGGGAACAGGG
Source organism: Homo sapiens (assembly GCF_000001405.40). Taxonomy (NCBI): domain Eukaryota; kingdom Metazoa; phylum Chordata; class Mammalia; order Primates; family Hominidae; genus Homo; species Homo sapiens. The sequence goes on along the minus strand of NC_000011.10, from coordinate 65,635,193 downwards.
GTCAGTGGCCCCTGCCCTGGAGAGAGGCTTCATCCCCCACCTGCCCATGCTGCTGGGCACACCCCTCCCCAACCTGGTGAAGCTTGAGGGCCATGCGAACCCCAGGCGCCACAACGCGGTGAAGCAGGTCCATGTCGGCAAAGACCCACTCGTCACGTGGGGAGGTGATGCGAAAATCCCCCTTGAACAGGGCGTGCAGGCCGTAGAGGAAGGGCTCCAGGCTAAGTGGGAGGAAAAACAGGGAGGGGAGAGAGGGGTGTCGAGGACCCAGGGGTAAGGCTTCAGAGTGATCCAAGCAGAGGCCTTTCCTCACGCTGAGCCTCAGTTTCCCCATCTTGACAAAGAGGCCAATCTCTGCCCATGTCTCTCACAGAGCACTGAGGAGCAGGCAAGGTCATGACCAGGAAGTGCCCTGCCCGTGGGAGAAGAGGTACCCCAACAGGAAGGGCCACTGCAGTTTCTGTGGCCACTGTGGCCAGAGACCACAGTGCTCTTCGTGGAAGAGGTGGGGTGGGGACGGCAGTAGGCCCCGCGGGACACCCGAGCACTCACCTTGCAGACATGCTGTGAGAGGCTGTCCCCAGGGCCCGGCGGCCCAGCACACACAGGCCAAAACACAGCGTGACCAGCGGGGAGTTCCAATCCTGGTCCACGGGCTGTGGCATAAGGACCCCCATCCCAGAGCCCAGCTCAGACCTGGGACAGGGACCTTGGAGTGGGGGCTGGGGCTCAGGCTAAGGGAGGCTCAGAGTGAGAGGAAACCAAATGGGGAGAAGGGGAGCAGGGAAGCCCAGGTCCCACAGCCCCAGGTGGCAGCCTCAGGTAGTGGAGCCTGACCTGGCTGCGCCGGGAGGCGCAGTACTGGATCCACTCGAGGTGCACAGCACAAAAGGAGGGCAGCGAGAGGCCAGACAGGCGGAGGTCATAGTCCTCATCCACACTCAGCGAGAAGGTGGGATCCGAGTCGGCATAGCCGGGCACCCGCACAGGCCTCAGGGCTGCCGTGATGCCCTCATGGCTGAGCCACACCTCCAGCTTTGGTGAGCGGCTCACGTAGTAGATGATGCTCTGGGAGAGGAGGGGCAGGCGTCAGGCCGGGGTCCCGGCCCTGGCCACTGGAGGAGAAAGCATGGAGGTTCAGAGGCTCCTCCCCAAGACTGAGCTGAAGTCCGCTTTCTGGGATGCCCCGCTCCTAGAGCCATCTCAGCTCTCAAGAGCAACCAAGCAAGTTGGCTCCTTCCCCTAGACCAGGGAGGAGTGACAAAGCCGCCAGGAAGCACCCACTTACAGAGCAGGAAGTCCTGTGCTGGGGCTAGCACTCACAAGCAGCATCTGCCTGCCTCTGCCCTAGAATATGCCCCGTTTGTATGAGAAATTGAGGCTCAAACAAATGGCAGCCCCCAACGAGAACAAGATCATCACACTCAACATTTACCACCTCAGCTTCCAAGTCATCAAGGTGGAGCTGGCCCCACCTGCCCTGAACCCTGTCCCCCACCCGCCTCTGGCTGGCCCCGACACTATGGTGTGGCCCTCAGGTGAACCTTCAGTGCCTGTGCAGCACGTGGGCCAGGTAGCAGCAGGAGCTGGTGTTCCTGCACAAACATAACCCCGAGCGCGGGAGCATCCAGATGTCACATGGGCAGGGGGCGGGGAGCGAGTGGGGCAGAACAGACTGAACTGCCGCCTGAACCCCGGACCTTCCCCATCATGACATTGTGGGATCCAGATCTCGGGGCCGGAAGGGCAGGCTGAAGTAGTGGGCCTGCCTCAGAGTGCCTGGGTCACAGGTCCCTTTAGGCAGCTGAAGCATGACAGCCATCAGGCCTCGCCTCAGAAAAAAGCCACGGGCACATGTGGTACCCAAAGCTGGGGGCTCCTGGACCTCTTGTTAAAAGGCCCTGTTGGGCAAAAGTACAGGAGCTTTGGAAGACAGGTAGCTGGCATGGCCAGGATGCACGGGCGGGTTAAGGCCGGCAGGGCAGCCAGTGAGGTGATGGGGATTCCATGTGCCACCCTAAGATGGAGCTAATGGGGCAGGCCCTTTGCCAGGGCAGACCCGCTCCAGACTGACTTTCTTGCCCATAGCTCGCCTCTACAATCCAGGCACCACCAGAGCTGCTAAAAAGACCCAGAAAAGAAAAGCTTCAGCCAGACAGGGTGGCTCACACCTGTAATCCCAGAACTTCGGGAGGTGGAGGTGGGAGGATCGCTTGAACCCAGGAGTTCAAGACCAGCCTGGACAACATGGCGAAACCCCATCTCTACAAAAAATACAAAAATTAGCCAGGCATGGTGGTGCATGCCTGTAGTCCCAGCTACCTGGGAGGCTGAGGTAGGAGGATTACTTGAACCTGGGAGGTGGACACTGCAGTGAACCCAGATGGCACCACTGCACTCCAGCCTGGGTGACAGAATGAGACCTTGTTTCAAAAAAAAATAAAAAAAAGAAAAGCTTCAGGGACCGGGAGAGGAGCTGGCCTGGCACATATCAGGTGCTTGGTTAACCTTCACCAGTGCCATCCTTTTCTCTGACACAACACTCACGGTCATCTTAGGAAGAAAATGAAGACGGGGGGCAATACCAGCAGCCGCTCCGCCTGTGAGCGCTCACTGCGAGCTGGGCTCTGCCCAAGGTACTTCCCGGGAAGCACTGCCCAGACTCCGTGCAGCCTCAAGCCACGGTGCCTTTTCCTGCTCTTGTAGCCCTTCCCAGCTGCAGAAGCAGGTCTGAGAGCCCAGTAACTCCCACGGGAAGGGCAAAGCTAACGGGAGGGGCTCCGCCTCGACTGGCCAACCTCGAAGGCTGGAAAGGACCTATCCCTGCAGCTGGGACACTTCCCCAGATGCACCAGGCTCCCCAGCACACCCGCCTCCCCCCGCCCCACCCCTGGCAGCCCTGACTTGTCCTTCCAAGCTTCACCCTCAGTCCACATCCTCAGCGGAGCCACCCCAGGTCCTCCAAGCACTTCCTCCAGACTCAAATTCTGCCCAGCCTTTGAGGCAGCCTTAGATGTGGCCAGTCAGCTTCCCCATGGGACAAGAGACCTGGCCAGGTGCATCTCAACCTGCTGGCCCTAGCCTAGCAGGCACAGCAGGGCAACCTGGGCAAGGGCACCTCTCTCAAGATGGGACCGGAAGGTGGACCAGGCCATGACCTCTCGGTGACCTGGGACTGGGAATGTCCCTCTCTAGACACAGCCTCCTTCTTGATGAAAGGGGGGTGGTCTCACAAATCCTTGCCTAGGAGTGGCTGGGAGGGCAGAAGGAATGACAAATGACAGCTCCTCTGATATGTGGTGTGGACAGGATTTCCTTTGGAGAAGGACAGCCAGGGCCTCGTGAAACTACTCCAGAGAGAACCTAGGTGGCAGGCTCACCTGGGCCCCAGTAGGCCACCCACCGAGCCCAACATAGGGAGCACCAGGGTAGATCCTAAGAAGGCACGTGGGAGCCTGCACTGTGATCAGCAGGCCACCCCACTCCCAGTACGCTTATTCTGAGCACCACAAGCCTCAAAATTCCTTTTTTTTTTTTGAGACAGTCTTGCTCTGTTGCCCAGGCTGGAGTGCAGTAGCACGATCTCGGCTGGCTGCAACCTCTGCCTCCCAGGTTCAAGTGATTCTCCTGTCTCAGCGTCCCAAGTAGCTGGGACTACAGGTGCCCGCCATCACACCCGGCTAATTATTTTGTATTTTTAGTAGAGATGGGGTTTCGCCACATTGGCCAGGCTAGTCTCAAACTCTTGACCTCAAGTGATCCACCTGCCTTGGCCTCCCAAAGTGCTGGGATTACAGGCATGAGCCACCACGCTTGGCCAAGCCTCAACATTTCTGCCATCTCAGAGAACTGCAATAACCCCCACTTCTCAAGGGGTAAGCTGAGGGACACAGGGAAGAAACATTCCAGGCTGATCAGAACCCCCATTCCAGGGCTCCTTATGTACCCCACATTGCCTCACCAACCCCCTCCCACCCCCAAGAGGTCTCAAGATCCTCAGGCCTGGCTCAGAGCCCCCAGGCTAAGGCAGGAAAGCTCTGTGGCTCAGGGCCAGCCTGGGTTCAAGGCCTGGCTTGGCCATTTTCTTCAGATTCTGGAACCTCTGCAAGCCAACTTCCACATCTGTGAGATAGCAGGGCCCCTCTCAAAGGGTGGGGGACTCCACCCAGCTCAGGAGAGATGCCCAGCATAGCGCCCACCCGTGGTAAATGTTACTGCTCAAGCAGCTGCTCCCATGATGATCGTTAACGTGACAACTGTTAGCTCTACCACTGCTCTGTGCTGGGTGAGCTGGGGGCAGGGGCTGGTGGTTTCAAAGGCTGGCCTCTGCAACTGCCCACCTGCCCCATACTCACTGCCCAAAGCAAGCCTTCCTTGCCTGGGCACCTATCAGAGCCATATGGGCACAGAGGCCCCTGCAACCTGAGGTCTGGCAGTGGCACCTCAGGGGACACTTAAACTCTCTGAGGCCTCAGCTTCCCTTGGACAAAACAGGCTCCCAACAACCCAGAAAGGGGGTACTGGGGCCTCTGGTCAGCGAGCGCTCACCCGCAAGGGCCCTGCTGCCCGGCCACACCTGCCCACCGTACCTTGACATAGTAGGTGATGAGGATCTTGCGGAGGTCGAAAACCTGCAGCATGGAGGCAGCATTATTGTCACTAATGCTATAGCCCTCCAGCACGTACTTGCTGGCTGTTACCTCCCAAGCCAGCCAGCGCTGCCCAAAGGCAGCATTGAAGGACAGGACCCGTGGCAGGTGGCCAGGTTCACAGCAGCAACAGCCCTCGTCCTCCTCCACACCCTCGGTGATAGCCTCCACCTCGCGCTGCTGGCAGTAAGTGCCTGTGGAGGAGGGGTGTGCAGTCAGGGGCTGCTAGAACAATCCCTACCTGCCCTGTCCTGGGAGAGTGACCAACATGGCATCAGAGGCCTGCTGCCATTCACCCCCTTGGACGCCAGGGGAGTCAACCTTATTGGATGCCAAGATTCACGAAAGAGCGCCTGCCTTTCTCCTCCCAACTCCCAGCATCCAAGGGCAGGGCGGGAGGGAGCAGGGACACGGTCTGGCCCCTCTGCACTCTCGGGCATCCAACACACACGTCTTCCTGAGAGGAAGGAGCTGGCTCACTCATGGCGCCCAACCCATGGGCCAAGCCTGAGACCACAGAGCAGGCTGGGTGTGAGAACTCAGACCTCCAGGCCCAGGCCCTCACTGCAGTGACCTGTAGAGTCACTGGGACCTAAAGTTGGGGCAGGCACAGGGCTTGGCCAAGAGACCCTGCCACCTCATTGCTCAGACTGGGAAACGCAGGCCCAGGGAGGAGGAGTGCCTTGCCCAAGGCCACCCGCCAGCCTGGACAGAGCTGGACTGGACCTCCTTCGCACGTGCTATTGAACACAGCTCCCACATCAGGCCCGAGCTGTGCCTGCCCACCCGAGCCTGGTCCTGCGGCTCACCCCGGAACTCAAGGCCACGCAGCTGGAAGGTGACGAGGCCATTGCCAACCTCGATGAGGTGCACCAGGGCGTTGAGGTAGTCAGAGGCCAGGACGAAGCAGTCACCAGGGCCATAGTTGCCCCAGCGGCCCAGCACCAGGTCCCCACACAGTGTGTGCTGCAGCGAACGTGTCAAGTGCTCATAGAAGATGGAGTTGAGGTTGTTGTCATCAGCGCCTAAGACCCAGAACAGACGGGCAAATGGACAAAGTGACAAGTTAGCGAGGCTCCCTCCCCAGGGAGGCCCTGCCCTAAAGCCCCTTGGATGGCTGGGTACACACCAGGGTTCCTGTCCAGCTGTGTGACCAGGCGGGTGTTGGAATGATCCACACGTTTAGTGCTGTTCAGAGAGAGTGCAACAAGGCGGTTGGCCAAGAAGGTGAAGAGAGGGTGCACCCTGCTCATGCTCTCCCTGTGCCACAAGGTCAACGCCATCCAGGACAGCCCCGTTATGCAGGCAGATGAGGAGACTGAGGCTCAGGTACATGAAGGGACTCACACAGGACACACAGCCAAGAAGCTGGGAGGCTAAGCTCATCCCCAGACCCCACTATCCCCAAGCTGTGAGCCTGAAGCCTTGGCCTGGTGCAGGCTCTCCCTGCATTGGATCTGCCGCCTCATGTGTCCCCACTGTGACCAAGCCCTCCCATACCTGCTGTGGGCCCCTCTGTGGGTGGCCTCCAGCCTGGGCTCCAAACCTCTCCCTTCCTGCCCTGCTGGGCATGCTCCCGCCTCCTGTGAGACTCACTTGTAGTCGCGCTCCCAGAACTTGAGGGGCCGAGCGTAGGACATGATGAAGACGGCACTGCCTAGCAGTGGGTTGAGAGGCGTGGAGAAGAGCCCCGAGAGCAGGGCCTGGACGAACAGCATGGCCGAGTCTGAGCCACAGTCAAGGAGGCGGCGGGCAACAGGACCTCCCAGCCCCCCACCACCCCCCACTGCCCCAGGCCACAGCCCTCCCTGCACACCCCCACCCAAACACAGGCTGGATACGTGGCACGGCAAACGGCTGGGCAAAAGCGTGGAAAGCCGAGCCCCAGGTGATCTGCCAGGGCGCGATGTAGGTCAGCACGAAACGCAGCTTGTACAGCAAGTCCCACAGCTGGCAGGGCCAACAGGGAGAAGAAAAAAGACATGCAGGGTCACTCATGGAAGCCCCCGGATGCCAGGCCCCATTCAGAGGCTTGGGTCATCGCACTGGCTTGGCCCACGGGGGCCAAACTCAAGGTCACTGCCAGCCCTTGTGCTCTGGACATGGCTCAAGGCGCCTGATGCCATTAGCAACCCCTGCCTGAGCTCAAAGGGGGCGGTGGCCATTTAGTTCACACAAGTACCCTGTGAGCTTCTTATTCCTATTGCTGGCCCCTTTTCACAGATGGGAAAGTTGAGGTTCAGTGAAGACAGAGAAGATAAATGACTTCCTCAGGTCACGCCACTAGGTCACTGGTGAGGCTGAAGCTAGACTATAGTACTGAAAATTGAGAACAGCCACAGGCCCTGCCCTCAGAGGGTACGCAGTGTGGATGACCGCCATCCTGGGCCAGGCCAGAAAACAAGAACAGAATGCCCACGTGAGGAAGAAAAAGGCTCAGGCCTGCCTGGGGTTCCAGGTACCACTGCTGGCCTCCAGTAGAGTGTAGGAGCATGGTTCCTTAGTTCAAAGAGCCCCCCAAGCCGTGGCAATGCCACAGCCGGCAGAGCACCTATACACACCCAGGCACTAGGGGCTTCTGAAACTCAGCTCGGACTGCTCTGGATCCAGGGTGGCAAAAGAGCGTGGAACTCAGAGGTCTGCGTCCAGAGGATAAGGCCAGGTCCTGATTACCCTAACCATTTCTGAGGAGGTGGTCGTGGGGTCAGACAGGCCTGGGTTCAAATCCTGGCTGACCACCAATTCTCTGGAAGCCTGAGGCAAGTCCCTCAACCTCCTTCAGCCTGCTTCCTCTCTGTAGAGGGTGGAAGTAACCCCTTCCTTGAGAGGCTGCTGCAAAGGCCCACGGGGCTGATACAGAGCGGTGGCCACAGGCCCTCAGGAAATTCTCTTCCCACCCAGGCAGAAGTTGGCTCTGCTCCCATTGGACAGCCTGGGGTCTGGGCCACAGCCACCAACTCACCTTGCTGCAAAGCAGGGACATGAGGAAGTAGTCAAGCAGAAAGCCCTGGGAGAGGCGCGGGTAGTCAAAGTGGAAGAGCAGGACGGTGAAGGCCAACGTCAGGTACTGCTGTGGGGGGCAGCAGAAGGCTGAGCGCAGCAGCTTCAGCCCAGCCACGGTCATCAGCAGCGCCCGGCAGCTGTGGGCAAGGGGCAGGCATCGGGTGCTTGGTAGGGGACCGGGGCAGTGGGTATAGGTGTCCCATCCCTCGCCTACTCTGGCCGGAGAGCAACCCCTGGCCTCTGCTCTGCTGGGCTGGTCCCTGCTCTTTTGGGCCCGTGACTCTTAGTCTCTGCTCTTCCAAAGGGAGTGGTGGGAACACATTTGCCTTTGAAGAAGCAACCACTTCCTGGGATGGCGTGTCAGGAGCTGGGGTCCTGCTTTAGCTTGCTAAACAACCTTAGACATGATTCATTCCCTCTCTAGGCCTCAGTTTCCCCACGGATCAAAAGGGAAAGCGGATGATGGGATCGTTGAGGGTGGGGTGGTCCTCACTAGAAGCAGTACTTGTCCGGGTGGCTGACGACTGTGTGGGCGTCCACCGTGAGGGCGTTGAGCACCACGGCGGGGTAGATGAGGTACTTCTCTACGCACTGCAGGCCAGCATACAGCTTCTCAAACCACATCACCTGGGCGGCACCTGTGTGGAGAGGCCAGGACTCTGCACCTGGCTTCCACATGCCTGCCTTCCCTGAGGAAGTCCTTCCCTAGGAGGGCAGGCTGTGCGGTCCTGACTCCTCGGAGACCCTGGGGGGAGGGGCTGATCTGTGGCAGCTCAAATGGGAGCAGCGAGCCCCAGCAGGGCAAGGGCTCCACATGGCACTTAGCACATCGAGGCTTGCTTTATGGCAGGTGCTCTGCTCTGCTGTCTGTTAAAACAAGGCCAATGATGAAATCGCAAACACCTACGTACAGCAGGCTGGCTAGGGCCTGAGTGCACAGTGAGCCCGTGAGCTGGGCCCTTCTAAAGGGCAGACCCCTCGGTTCAGGCTGGTTGTAGCCACAGAGGGATGCTAGTCTGGGAAGCAAAATCTTCTGTCGTTTAAGAAAAACTCAAGAAACATGGATCTTCATATCTCAAATCGAGATGCTAAAATAGAGGCTCCAGGATTTTTTAAAAACCATTATGCAGCCCAGTGAAGATGTGCTCCAGGCAGCTCTGGTCCACTGGTGATCAGTGTTTAATTCTGGACAAGAGATCCCTTCAGGGCCCTGGGGTTCTAATTCTTCCGTCTTCTCACAGACAGGAAGGAGGGCAGGACCAGGGCAACACAGGCAAGGGAAGGGCACAGCAGGGCACGAGGAGAAGAGTCGGTGGAGAGCGCAGCCGGGCAACACGGACACAGAGGGCAGGGAGGGAGCAGAAAGGGTAGTGTGGGCAGCGAGTGCCCCCTGCTGGCACTCCTGAGCCGAGAGGACCACAGCTCCCACCAGCCAGGCTGCAGCCCGAGCCACTGCCCAGGCCTGGCCATCAGGGGTGGGCACTCACCGCGCACTTCATACTGGCTGTACTCCAGCGGCTTCAGCACGGGCTGTGACAGGCAGAACCAGGGCAGCTGTTTGCGGAGTTGTGGCAGCAGGTAATGTGTGAAGAAGCCCACGGCCCCAGCCAGTGCGTACAACACGAAACCCAGCACCGACTGCAGGAGGGAGAGGCCAGAGACTCAGCTGATGGGAGCAGGCCAAGGGACCACAGAGGGCCACCTGGCACAGGCCGGGGAGGGGCTGCCCACGGCACTCAGATTGAGCAGGCTCCCGCCAAGACAGCGAGAGGCAGCAGCGGCCCATGCCACACAAACCTTCAGGGCAATAAAGACGGTGCTGGCGCTGATGGCGAAGGTGAGCACGGCGATCACCACACACATCACCAGGTCGGAGTGCAAGACCTCACGCTGCAGGGCCAGGAGAGACATTCAGCTGCCCGGCCAGGAGAGACACTCAGCTGCCCAGCAGCCCAAGCTGGACATGCCCCTCCCAGGAACCCCAGGACCTGTCACCACCTCCCCACAGACCCCCACCCCCCGCCCCCTCACCACCGACTGGCGCATCTTGTCCGGCAAGGGGTCCGGGGGCTCGGCCCGGGCTGTCTCCAAGCTGCGCTCCTCCAGCTCAGGGAACAGCTTGCTCCGGATCAGAGACCTGGGGGTGAGGAAGAGTCAGGAGGAGGCCGCCCCTCCTTCCCCCCGGCCCCAGTCACGGGCACATGCACAGACCACAAACCCCTACTGGGCAGACACAAACACACGACCCGGAGCACACCCACCAGAGCACGGTGGGGTCGCTGCTCTGCCGGCTCAGGTGGTAGGACAGTGCCACCAGGAGGCCACAGAAGACTGAGAAGAGGACAGGGACGTGCTGCTCTGGCCACGGAGTCTGCGGAGAGAATCCATGCTGGTCAGGGGAGGTGAGGTAAGCATGGGGCCCGGGCTGCCCCCGTGTGAGAAGCCACTGCTGAGCCCAGTTCACAGCCCCGCCCCAACCACCCTTACGCACTGCAGCATGCCCCCACCTCGCAAGCCACCCCTACCTTGATGGCCCCAAGGCAGAAACCGTAGAGCAGGGCAGCAGCCAGCAGGCTGCGGGAGAGGCTGAAGACTGCCGTGAGCGGGCTGGTGGCAGCTGTGTGGAAGGGAGAAGTACAGCCCAGCTCTCACTTGCAGGTACCCCACCTCAACCCTAGCCGCGCTTCCCCTCAACTCCCAGAGGCTGGCCTCCCTGGAAAGGCACCCCCAGCCCATTGTTCTCTGCTGCCCCAAGCCCCAAGCGGCCTTTAGAGCTTCCAAGATTCTCAGATATAAACCACTTGCCTGGGGAGGGAAGGAGAGGGGAGAAGGCAGAAACCTTGAGTCTGCAGTACAGACGCAGGAGAAGGTTCCGCAAGGGTGGAGCCAAGGACCCAATCCGAGGGCCCTCCTGGGCCTCCACACGGGCCCCATCCCTGAGCCACCTGTGGGCATCATACCTGTGCCCCCGAAGCCGTGCATATCTATTTGCTCCAGCAGGTACATGAGGCAGGTGTTGACCTGGGGCAGGAGGCCCAGGAGGAAGACGAAGGGGAAGCACAGGGTGAACACTGGCAGGGAGGGGACACGAAGGCCTGGTCAGCCTGCTGGCTTTCCGCGGCCCACCCTCGGGGACTCACTCTCCTGGGCCACCTCATCCCTGCCCCAGCCTCACCAGTGGCCACGTCTCGGGCACAGAAGAAGAAGGAGGCAGAGAAGAGCGTGAGGCCGTAGAGGGAGACAGGTGGGAAGGGCTGAGCTGAGCCCAGGGCGTCCAGCAGCCAGATGAGCAGACAGCAGATGCAGAAGTAGACAGGACGGCTGTACGCGATCACCCAGTTGTGGCCCTGAGGGGTCAGCCCATGAGGAGCTGGGTCTCCCCGACTGGCCACACCTCTGACACATGCACACACTCAAGGGCCCCAGGCCTGGCCCTGGGTCCAAGCTGGAGAGCCTGGCCAGGTGGGGGTGATGGGGGTGGTGAGGGAGCCCCAGCCCTCCATACCCTACCCTCCTCCCCACCTGGTCTCAGCCCCTCCCGGGGCCTCCTGGCCAGAGGCGCTGCTCCATGGGTACTCACGTGCATGGGGGACGCCGCATCAGGCTGCACGCTCTGGAAGAGACAGGGCTACGTTGGCAACTAGAGCCGATGCCCACGGGATGGTCAGAGGCCCCAGACCTGTTCAGCTCCACCACTAGGCAGTTATGAGTGACCAGGTCAGGCCCCCGAACTGTCCTGAGCCTCAGTTTTCTTGCTTGTAAAAGAGCTGGCCAGCTCTAGGGAACCTTAGACAAATTATCTACCTTTCAGCTTATACTCCTTAAAACTGGAGTTGTGGGAAGGGCAATCTTGGGAAAAGTCGGGTGGGGAAGGAAACACAGAGAGCCCGGCCTGACCTTCAGCAAGGAGTACTGGCAGGAGGCGATGACCAGGCAGAACTGGAAGACCCAGATGTCAGTGAAGAAGCCCTTGAGCAGCAGCAGGTAGCCCAGGAAGGCCACAAGGCTGCTCAGGCCCACGCCGAAGATGTTCTCCAGCACTCCCCGCGTCCTGCAGGGACAGCCTAGTCAGGGCGTGCCCGTCTTGCCTCACCTTCCAGTGGGGCAGTGGGGAAGATGGATCTTGCCCTAAAGGCCCAGCTCTGGGACTGTGCCCATGCCAGACCCTTGTCCTCTGAAGATGTGAACACCTATAACTTTGCGACGACGCGGCCCGGCAGCACCTGCTCCAGCGACCATTGTATTGCTCTCTCCTTCCCAATCTTTGCCTGCTCTGGACATTGAGGGCTGAGAGCTCAGGGTGCCATTACTCCCGGGATTCATCCATCCCCAGCTGAGACTGAGTTAACTGCACGTGGCTACATCGTGCATGCTGCCTTGGGCGTGCCACGCTATGCACACAGGACCAGCACCCAGTCCCTGTGCCTAGAGAAACCCAGATGGACGGGAAGCCACATGGGCTCTAGGCCCAAGTTCTCTACACTGGGTAGAAGTCATCTGACTTCTCTATTGGATTTTCTGGGACTCTGTGTCCCCTCTGAGAAATGGGAAAAGTGAGATAACTGGTCTGTGAGCTTTTCTAGGTTACAGCACTCGATTTTCAAATCAACAGAAGCTAATAAAAAAAAAGTGAATAGGATGGCCGGGCGCGGTAGCTCACGCCTGTAATCCCAGCACTTTGGGAGGCCGAGGCGGGCAGATCACAAGGTCAGGAGATCAAGACCATCTTGGCTAACACTGTGAAACCCCATCTCTACTAAAAAAAAAAAAATACAAAAATTAGCCAGGTGTGGTGGCGGGCACCTGTAGTCCCAGCTACTCAGGAGGCTGAGGCAGGAGAATGGCGTGAACCTGGGAGGCGGAGCTTGCAGTGAGCCGAGATCATGCCACTGCACTCCAGCCTGGACGACAGAGAGAGACTCCGTCTCAAAAAAAGTTTTTTTCAGCAGGACTTTGGAATAAACAGATTTAATACAGCACCACCCACTTGGCCACCCCTTTACACCACAAATGAACCATAGAAACCACCACTGCAGACTCCAGCCAACGACAGGCCCTCAGCTTCCCCCGAGTCAGGCTCTCTGCTGCCATGACTGCCTCCACAGGTACAGAGTCTGGGGAGCCAAGGTCCAGGGGCTTTCCAAGAATTGGGGGCCAAGGCTGCGGGACACTCACCGGTCCAGCAGAGCCAGCAGGGCAAGCCGCTCATAGCGCACAGAGGTCCAGCGGCCAGGGAGAAGCCAGTACTTGTAACTATGCTGGGCCCGGGGTGGCGCTTCTTCCATCAGTGTCTGCTCCTGGGATTCGTGCAGGGAGTCCTGGTCCAGCAGGTCAAACTGCAGTCCCCACAGCCGCGGCCGTCAGCCCCGCCACCCCCCACATGGTCTACTGTTACCCCCCTTCAGCACACCGGTCTGGTTGACCATTTCCATCAGCACATAAAGGCCCCTGTCTAGCGGCCCTGGACCCCACCAGAACCCTTCATCTGAAAGGGCTCCTCCTCTCTCCAGGTTCCCAGGACGTCGCCCAGTGGCTGCAGGGGCTGCCTAGAGTCACCCGCTCCCACGCCTGTCTTCCCCAGTCAGGCAAACTCTCCCACCTCTTCTGAAGCTCAAGGAAGTCCACTTGTCCTTTGGGACCTGGCACAAATGCTACCCTCCTCCCAGACAGGGCCTGTCACTGTCACTCTGACTACCCCATCCGAGCGTGCATGCAGGGCTCAGCCTTGAGGACATGCCTAGGTGCCAATGCCAGCCCTGAGGCCCTGGGCACATGACTTGACCTCTCATTTGTTGTATCCTTCACTCAACAAGCACTTGTGGGGCCCCAGCTATGGGCCCGGCCCTGCCCTGGGATCCAAGGATAAAATGGCGAGCCAGAGGCACGCAACCCTTCCCTCTGGAGGCGGCCGCCGGCCACGCTTCCACCCCACATGGTTACAAGGAAGAAATGAACCAGAAGCGGGCAGGTGGGAGCTTCTGGGGGCTGCCCAACCTATCTGTGGCCTTGAGGGTCAGGTGCCGGGTACCCTTTTATGATCATTCTTTAAGCTCTAAGATGGCGTTTCACGCATTTTTAGCGCTTCTGGTGTTAATAGATTAAGTATACAAATTTACTGTCCAAACTGTGATATTCTTAAGAGTGACAGAGCGCTGGTAATGAGTATACTGAGACAGGAAGTGTTAACAGAGAGCACCCCAGCAGCCACACGTGCACAGTGTATGCAGGGCAGCACAGTCATCACAGGGTCCCTGCTTGCTAACAGAACACTGCCACTTCCGCAAGTATCATCATTAACACCCATGGCCCCTGTTCACTGTGGGACCCTCCAGAGTTAGGAATGTACTCCAAAGGAATTCGTAGTAAGCAAATAAATGACTTCTCCAGCCATTCAGACCCAGAGTCTCTGCCAACATCAAAGATCAGGACAGACACAGTAGGGCCCCTGGAGCGCTCACTCAGCACTGCCCGTCCCTCCTGGGGCACCTGGGCAAGCTCTCTATGCAGGCCGGACTCAGTGATCTGCCCGCCCCGTCACGCCCCACTGGCACGGCCCTTCCCCGGCTGCTCCTCACCTCCGGGATCTCCAGGGGCACCCGGCGCACCTGCATGCCCTGCAGAACCACAGGCCTCGGCTGCAGCAGGTTCAGGCCGCCTGTAGCCTCAGGGACATCAGCCGAGTGGAAGCTGGAGGAATGCGAGTGTCGGTCCCTGTGAGAACAGCAGCCATCAGGATCCCCCCACGGGCGAGCCCTGGGGCTGGGTGGGGTCGAGGCCGAGGCCAAGGCCAGGCAGGTAGGGCTGTCTGTGCCGAGACCAACCAGGGCTCAAGGGACAAGTGCTGGGGTCAGGTGGCAGAAGTGCCTCCCTCCCAGACCCTGGCACGAGTGTCGAGGCTGTGCCCTGGGCTTCCTAGAAACTTCCTGCCCGGAGTGTCATGGAGCCAGGGACCCCAGGAGGTCTGTCCTTTGCTGCTCCCCATCCTCTCCCTGCAGATCTGAGCTGCCCCTGCCCAAGCCCAGCAGGAAGAGAGCAAACTCCAGGCTCAGGGAACTTCCCAGAGATGCAGGCCACCAAGACAATGGCTTGGGAGGCCAGGCTTGGGAACTCACCAGGCTCCATTAGCTGTCTGCTCCCCTTGCTGCCCTACAGGGTTCTCGTAGCCGCCTCCAGCCAGGCCAAAGGTGTAGGAACGCCGCACACCTGGGGCAGGGTATGGGAGATGAGGCAGCGTGGCAGAGACAGAAGCACCAAGGCCCGGCTCACGTGGGCACCAGACCCATCAAATGAGGCAGAACCTTGTGCTGTGTCCTCTGAGAGGGCAGCCCAGCCTCTGGAGAGGAAAGGGCCTACAGGTCAAGAGCCTGGGCGCGGCAGTCACCTGTCCTAGCTTTAGATCTCCCCTGTACTGTAAGCTGAGCCTCTGTTTCCTCATCAGCAGAGCAAAAGATGACAGAGACACCGTGCCTCAAAGAGGCTGCAAGGATGATGTCTGGCAGCATTAGCAGTGTACCTGCCACAGGGCCGAGCGAGCACCACTGCTAGGAGGAC
Source organism: Homo sapiens (assembly GCF_000001405.40). Lineage (NCBI taxonomy): Eukaryota > Metazoa > Chordata > Mammalia > Primates > Hominidae > Homo > Homo sapiens. Next base: position 65,619,990 of record NC_000011.10, on the reverse strand, counting down.
TCAGGCTGTTGGGGGAAGGCGGGGAGGCACTGGGCCACCGGGCTTGGGAAAGGCTCACCGCTCTCATCGTAGAAATAGTGCACAGCACCCTCAGAAGTGTCATCAAAGGTGCAGGCCTCATGCACATTGGCACCGGCCCGGGTGAGCAACAGTGAAGAGGCGAAATGCAGCGCAGAGGGCAGCGTCAGCGCCCGGGAGTGGGAGGCAGCCCGGCCCCGCTGAGCTTCCTGCAGGCTGCTGGAGAGGGTCAGCCCCAGGTCAGCGCCAGCTAGAGCTTGCGGGCCCTCCCCGGCCCCCGGTGCCCCTCGGCACAGCTGGCAAGGTGCTCACCTGGGCGGCGAGCCCATGACAGAGGCTGGAGGGGTGGGGTTGCTGCCTGCATTGTGGCGTCTCCGAATGGCCTGGGTCCGCCTCACACTGCTTGAGCGGTCCCGCCTGCCAGTCTCCTCGGCCGCTGCCCAGAGAGAGGCCCCCAAGTGTAAGTGACAGATGCTCAGACAAGGCTGGGGGAGTAAGGTTGGGGACGGTGTTCCGCCAGGGAGCTAAAGGCCTAGTACAACCACGCCCCGGCTCTGAGGCCCAGCCAGGTCACACAGCCCCATGCTCAGTTTCCTTACTTGCAAACAAGGATGACACTGATCGGCCCTGCCCCACCCCACTGGTGGTGGGAGGATGAGTGTGGATGATGAGAGTCCTCAGGGGACAGAGACTCAGGTGCTAATCAAGGATGTGGAGCCAGGTGGCTGAGCCCCATGTCTAAGAGGTTTGGCAGACAATGTCAATCACCACCAGGCCCACGTCCATCTGCTGCCTACAACCGAGGCTGAGCTGACACTGACCAGGTCCATTCTTACCTGCCCTTTGCCCAACCCCAAGCCCGTAGCTCACGTCCCCCAGCCCCTGCCTCTAGAGCAAGCACTCACCTCCCCCCACAGCACCTTCCTCCTGCAGCTCCCCCCGCCAGCCGGGCTGGTTGGCAGCGGGTCCCCTTCGCGCCTCAGCAGGCAGCACAACAGGCTCACTAGCAGCCTGCTCCACCCCAACCTGGGCCTCCAGCTCTGCCTTGCAGCCAGCCAGTGGGGGCCTCAGAACATCACCCCCAGCCCCATCCATGCTCAGCACACGGGCATGTGTTTTAGCGCTGGCGGTACTAGGCGTCCGCTGGGTCCCATATGGCCGCTTGGGGGGCACAGCAGTTCCCTCCTCAGCCCCATGGGGGGCCCTCCGCTTCCGGGGTCCCCCTGCTGCACCCCGGGAGCTCTCAGGGGAGTAGCAGGAAGTAGAAGAGGAGCTGTCAGTACTGTAGCGGCGCTGCGATCGGAGACTGGAGGCCGGGCTCAGTTCACTGCCCTCACTAGTGTCTTCATCCTCAAAGAAGCCCCCACCTTCAAGCAGGGGCCGTCGAGGGGCACGGCCAGGTGGAGAGTGTCTTCGCAGGGGTGGCTGCCGTTTGCTAGGCCGTAGCAGGGCCAAGTCCTTGGGCCGCACGACCAGGAGCGGCTCAGCCAGGCCCGGTGGCGTCCCTGCTCCAATGACCGTGTCAAAGGAACGCAGCGTGTCATCTGAGGGGACCCCGGCGTCTGGTGAGGCAGGCAGCTCAGCCTCAGAGGGTGGGTCTGTGTCGCTGCCCTCAGGGGCTGGCCCCCCTGGGGGGCTGTCCAGATGGGTGGAGTTGGTCTTCTCACTCTTGAAGCTGCTCAATGTCTCCCTGTCAGTGCCGCTGAAGCAGGAGTCTGAGGAGCCGGCTTTCTGGGGCGTGGGCTCCCCTGAGCCCCGCCGGTCAAGGGGCTGATAGCCACCTGCCCCCCTGCGTTGTTCCCGTCGACTGCTGGTCCTCACCAGGGCCCGGTCAGGCTGGGTCAGGGTCAGGAAGCTCTTGCTCAGCTCCTGGCTGAGGCTCCCCTTCAGCAGGGGGCTCATGGGAGTGTCAGCCATGCTGCTCCCACTCCAGGGCGCTCCATCTCCAGCCAGGGGAGAAGGCTCTGAAGAGTCTGTACTGGCAAGAGAGGGGTCTGGGACAGCCCCTGGAGGCGTCTGGGGAAGGTCTCCAACTGCCAAAATAAAGGGAAACAGAAAATGAAAAAAGGGTTTTCTGCAAAACAAACTAGTGGTTAAGGGAGGTCTTATGCCCTGTACTTTCCCTGAGAGCCCAGCCACAGCAGCACACTGGGGAGGTCCCACAGAGGAATACAGAGGAGACCCAGGATGGAGCCAAAGTTGAGGGGATTCAACAACGAAACAGCTGGTCTAGCCCACAAGCCTCGGCCCCATAAGGCCCACGCACTCAGTTTCTCCTGCGAGCTGAGCTTCAGCATCTCTCGGTCGGCAGAAGTCACGATCACATTGTTGCTGCCCTGCTCCCGCACCAGCTCCTTGATGTCTGCAACCATGGCCCCAGAGGTGTCAGCAGGACCCCCTGGCACAGCACGCCAGCCCCTGTTCCACAGCACTATGCTCCAACCCTGAAGAGCAGCCACCTACCTCTAAGGGGCCCAGAGTCCTCCATTCGGGGCAGCAGCTCCTGAGTAGACAGAGAGCCATGAAGGAACAAACAAGGCAAGAAGTAGGCTCAGGATGCACCCACAGTAGGGACTGGCTCGCAGAGGGACAGGAGGACAAGCTGAGGTCCAGGCCCACTCACCGAGACCTGGTTGAAGCCAAACACAGAGTGCTGGGAGCTGCAGCGCACCGGGGGTGTGGAACTGACTTTCCGGAACACTGTCATCTCCACTCCGGGGTCCCTGGCGGTGAAAAAGAGCAGCAGCTTTGAGCTAACCTCTCCTCTGTGTATGCTACTTCCTCCCATCTTTGTCACTGCTTCTTTTTCAGAAGTCACTTTACAATTCCAGGGCTAACACAGGACAAGTGTTCACAATCACTCAGAGAGCCAATGTTCCCTAAGCCCCTACTCCACCCTGCAAGGTTCCGGCCCAGGCACCAAAAACCCTCAATCCCCAGCACAGCCCCTACCCCACCCACCTGGGTGGATTGCTGTCCCCCTGGGCAGGCTCTTCCTCCAGCTCCCCCATGGTAGAGCTGCGCTTCTCCACGATCTCGCCCTGGTCAAACATGGCATGAAGCCGATAATTGACAGTCTTGATAGTAGCAAAGATGACAGCCACCACGAGGCAGTACACGCCGGCCACCATCAAGCTGGGAGGCAGGACCTGAAGATGAAAGTAAGCCAGGTCCCTTTTCACAAAGCCTCGCCCCCACAGGATGTACCTGCCATCAACATCATAGCTGGGATTCACAGACTCACAAGAAAATTTCATCACCTCTCCACACAACCAGTACACAGACCTCGACAAAGGGCTCTGTATTCTGCTTAGCTGGATGAGATTAAGTGTAGGGTTCAAGGTCACTCGATCCAAGAAAGGAAGACTTTGGCCCCTCTTCCACACAGACCCAAACTCTGCAGTGATTCCTCTCTCTCCACGTCCCAGAGCCCAGGGCACTGCCCTGAATCCCTGCCAGGCTGCCCTCCCTCTCCCGGCTGGAGTTACAGGTGGCCGTGGCGTCTCACCATGTACAGTAAGAAGGGAAAGATGAGCAGGAAGATCCAGACATAGAGGTGGAAGCAGTTGGAGAAGGTGCTCTGGTGCGGGTCGAAGAACCAACCGCCGGTGAGCGAGGCCCACACCCCCTGGCGCAGGATCTGCAACACCTGCGACCCCATGGCCCCGCCGCTGCTGCCCGCGCCCCCCCTCCCGGGACCCTCATGGGGGCGGCCCCCGGCCCATGCCCCGTCTGGCGCCTGAGGGCCCCGGGGCCCGGCCTCACGCTCACGCCATGGCCTCCCCCAGCGGGGGAGGGGGGCTCGGCCGCGCGAGGGTGCGAGCAGGGGGCGGGGCCGGCCGGGACAGTCAGTGGTGCAAGGCCCGGACGCGGGGGTGGGGCTGCATCAGGGGCGGGGTCCGGGTCCCCACTCCTGGCCCAGAATTGCTCCGAGGGGCCGAGCCGGCAGGCAGGCGCGGGGCACGGGCCGGGTACCCGTCGGCGGCATCCAGAGGTGGTCGTGGGGTGGGTGCTCCCGGGGTGCAGGCGACAGCTCCCTAGTCTCCGGACCAGGGAGAACCCCAGGATCTGGGGTCCACTTTCGGGGTCGCAGGTCACTTGCTTGGGGCTCCGCGCTCGCCCGGCTTCTGCTGGTGCCGGCCTAAGGAGGAGGCCGGAAGAAGGAGCCGCGAACCGCCAGCCTGCAGTGGCGCATGCGCCCAACGATTCCAATTGGGACCCGGAAAAGGAAAACTTGACGGCATGAATGCGCAAGCGCAGAAAGGTGATGGCGCGGTAGGACGCGAGGGGTGCCCTTTGGGCGTGCGCAGACTCCAGGACTAAAGCAAGTTCGAGCGTAAAAGCGTTTGGGCGCATGCGTAGACCCAGGCGTTGCCAACCCAGGGTAGACGACTGGGCGGAACCAAAGAGACAGTTGAGTAGCCATTGGGTAACGGCAAAGTAATTGGCGCACAGCTCTTCCAATGAGTTACAGGAGGCGGGGAAAAGGTGGAGGCGTGGACTCCCCTAGTAGCAGCGAGAGTTCTGCACTACCGAAGCACGCCCCTCTCGGCCCGCCCCCTTTAATGCTGGACCTCGTACGTCACGACCGATTTCGCTCCCAGCGGCGTCTACTTCCGGGTCAGAGCTCAGACCTAGGGTGTAGAGAACAACCTTCCGTAACAGGCAGGAATAGTCGAAATAGGATAGCGTCGTCTTTCTTAAAGTGACAGGCTCAAAGCAATTGGGGCAGCCCTATCCAGAAGTTGTGAGGGCGACTCAGCTATTCTGAATCCAATCCTGGGCAAAGTTCTGGACAAGTCTCAGGTTTCTGCCAATGGGGAAGGGATATGAAGAAGCGGATTGTTTCCCAGGTGAGGAGAAGAAGAGAGCCTTAGGCAATCCACTCCAAGAGCTTGAGGTGCAGCCAGTTCCGTCTGTCCTCCAGTCTTCCCCACCCCATCCAACTAGCTCTACGAGGCAGAGCTTTCTCGTCCTCATATCATATATGAAAAGAATGGCCGGGCGCGGTGGCTCACGCCTGTAATCCCAACACTTTGGGAGGCCGAGGCGGGAGGATCACGAGGTCAGGGGTTTGAGACCAGCATGGCCAACATGGTGAAACCCGTCTCCACTAAAAATACAAAAATTAGCCGGCCGTGGTGCCACGCGCCGGTAGTCCCAGCTACTCGGGAGGCTGAGGCAGGAGAATCTCTTGAACCCGGGAGGCGGAGGTTGCAGTGAGCTTAGACTGCGCCATTGCATACCAGCCTGGGCGACAGAGCAAGACTCCGTCTCAAAAGAAGAAAAAAGAAAGAAAATAATGAGGCTCAGAATCGATGGATCGCACAGTCCCACAACTTCGCAGCCAAGACCAGACTCGGGTTCACCCCCTTCCCAAGTGTGGTTCTGTAACCCCGTTTTGCTGCCGCCGATGCGGATGCAGAGGGCAGAGATGGCCCATCCTTAGCAGAGACCAACCTCCACCCTAGGCAGCAGAGCACGCAGCTGGGGGCTTTTCTTTCTAGATCTCAAAAGCCTGCTGTGATGGGGGATCTGGTTCTGCCCTTTCCCTCTCTGCCTCTCCTGGCCCGCCTACCCGGGAACTCCCCGCCTGGAGCCTCTGGGAGGGGAGCGGTGCAGGCCGCCCGCGTCATCTGATGCTGTTTCCTGCAGGAGGGAGAAGAGCGGAAAAAAGTGAAACTCCACCCTCCACCTCTGCCTCCCGCCCCCGGGGCCAAAGTACAAAGGGAGGAGGAAGAAGGGAGCGGGGTCGGAGCCGTCGGGGCCAAAGGAGACGGGGCCAGGAACAGGCAGTCTCGGCCCAACTGCGGACGCTCCCTCCACCCCCTGCGCAAAAAGACCCAACCGGAGTTGAGGCGCTGCCCCTGAAGGCCCCACCTTACACTTGGCGGGGGCCGGAGCCAGGCTCCCAGGACTGCTCCAGAACCGAGGGAAGCTCGGGTCCCTCCAAGCTAGCCATGGTGAGGCGCCGGAGGCCCCGGGGCCCCACCCCCCCGGCCTGACCACACTGCCCTGGGTGCCCTCCTCCAGAAGCCCGAGATGCGGGGGGCCGGGAGACAACACTCCTGGCTCCCCAGAGAGGCGTGGGTCTGGGGCTGAGGGCCAGGGCCCGGATGCCCAGGTTCCGGGACTAGGGCCTTGGCAGCCAGCGGGGGTGGGGACCACGGGCACCCAGAGAAGGTCCTCCACACATCCCAGCGCCGGCTCCCGGCCATGGAGCCCTTGAAGAGCCTCTTCCTCAAGAGCCCTCTAGGGTCATGGAATGGCAGTGGCAGCGGGGGTGGTGGGGGCGGTGGAGGAGGCCGGCCTGAGGGGTCTCCAAAGGCAGCGGGTTATGCCAACCCGGTGTGGACAGCCCTGTTCGACTACGAGCCCAGTGGGCAGGATGAGCTGGCCCTGAGGAAGGGTGACCGTGTGGAGGTGCTGTCCCGGGACGCAGCCATCTCAGGAGACGAGGGCTGGTGGGCGGGCCAGGTGGGTGGCCAGGTGGGCATCTTCCCGTCCAACTATGTGTCTCGGGGTGGCGGCCCGCCCCCCTGCGAGGTGGCCAGCTTCCAGGAGCTGCGGCTGGAGGAGGTGATCGGCATTGGAGGCTTTGGCAAGGTGTACAGGGGCAGCTGGCGAGGTGAGCTGGTGGCTGTGAAGGCAGCTCGCCAGGACCCCGATGAGGACATCAGTGTGACAGCCGAGAGCGTTCGCCAGGAGGCCCGGCTCTTCGCCATGCTGGCACACCCCAACATCATTGCCCTCAAGGCTGTGTGCCTGGAGGAGCCCAACCTGTGCCTGGTGATGGAGTATGCAGCCGGTGGGCCCCTCAGCCGAGCTCTGGCCGGGCGGCGCGTGCCTCCCCATGTGCTGGTCAACTGGGCTGTGCAGATTGCCCGTGGGATGCACTACCTGCACTGCGAGGCCCTGGTGCCCGTCATCCACCGTGATCTCAAGTCCAACAACAGTGAGTTTCTGGGGGCATGGTTGGGGGTGGCATGGCTCTGGTACACACCTGCTCCCAACCTTCCACTGAGCCTAGCTTAGGGTCTACTGCAGGTAGGAGCTCCCACCCTAGGGGGTCCCAGCTGACCAGGGGTGCCCATGGGCTCAAGCTAGCCCCCAAACAGAGCCCCAGGCACCCAGCAGAGTCTTCCTGCGCCAGCTTCAGAAGTCCTTGACCCCAGCCTGCAGCTGCGGTTTGGACAAGTTAAGAAATTGGTATCTCTCAGGTGGGCCATAAGCATCCTGCCCAGCCATGGCTCCCACCTCAAGGAAGTCCTCTGGAAGCTCGTGCTCCTCATCTTCTCCTCCCCTAAATTCATGTTCGTGGAGTTGGTGCTCTGTCCTCCCCTCCCGTCGTCATGGGCAGCTCCTCCAGAACAGATATCTCAGAGAGGGAAGCCCTCCTTGGCAGTCAAGGCTAAGGCCAGGGCTGGAATTCTGGCCTAGCCCTCCCTGGCTTCATGACCTCTAGCTGGTTACTCCAACTCGGAGCCTCAATTTCAGAATCTGTAAAAAGGGAGAGTGAAACAGCTCAACAGCTTGGGCAAGCCCGACCTGCGATCCCCAACCCACAGCGGGTCCTCAGCCATGGAGATGGACATTTGAGGGCTGGATCGCCAAGAGGGCCTAGCCTGAAATCAGTGCTTGGGATGGGAGTGCTGGGCTAAGGGAGACTCCATCTCCCATCATTTCAAGCCCCCGACACGCTGCCCATCATGGCCCAAGAGAAGTGAGTGACAGCTTCAGAGGGTTTCCTGGTGCACGCAGCATTTAGAGAGAGAAGGCATGGAAGCAGGACCCAGCACACAGCAGGGACCAGGAGCAGGGGCCTCCTAGAGCCCAGAGTGCAGGCTGGAGAGCAGCAGTAGGAAATGCAGGAGGGGCCAGGCTCAGTGTGGTCACTGGAAAAGCATGAGACATTCTTAGAGGGGGGTCAACGTGGATATTTTGAGCCTCCTGGCCTGGGCTGACCATGGACAAGGGGCTTGCAGGAAACAGAGTGCTGAGCCCCAGATATCCAAGTTCTTGCCAGGACTGGGGGAGCCAGGAGAGGCCTGCCAACCATCCTACCCACTCTTCTCATCCCTGGTAGGGTGCGGTTCCCACCTCTCAGCCTCAACCCTGGGCTCTAACTATCTAGGGACCCCCGCTACCTGCCCCAATCTGAGGGGGATTCCCCGAAGGCACAGGGGGAGGGGACTCCCATCTTCTGTTTTTCCTCCGTTTTCTTTCCAGAAAAAATGGAACAATAGCCCAGGCCCCTGCTCCCCACCCTCCCCACTGCTTCCTGCGTTTCCTGCTGCCCCTGAGCCGGCTTCCTGTCCCTGCTCCAGCCCCTGCTCCCTCCCTAGCCCAGCTGCCTGCAGGGGAGGAAAGAGCTTGGGGTGGAGGACTTGCGGGAGGAAGGAGCCTGGAACTGCTCCCCTACTCCCCTCTAGTTCCCCTGCTTCCCTCTCAGAGTCTGGGAGGTGGTGGTAAAGGGCAGGCAAGGTGCCCTCAGCCTCCCTGAGCCTGGCATTTAACCTCGGAGACCCCAGTCCTAGGCCCAAGTTGCTGTCTGCAGGATTGGGGTGGGGGGAGTCCCTGGGCTGGTGGGGGGCACAGGCAGGAAACAATGGCATGATTTTCCTGGACAATGGGGGCCTTGTGAGGAAGCCTGGCGGGGAGAGGAGGGGGAATTCTCCAGGCCCACGAGTCACAGGACTGACCAGCCAGCCCGGCCTGGGCCTGACCTCCCCCAGTTCTCCCCAAAAGGACTCCCCCTCCCAAGTGGGAGACCTGGCCCAGGCCTCCCAGAAAGGAGAAGTAGGGACCACGGGAGGAAAGCGGAAGAGGTGTGAGCTGCCCAGGCCACTCCCAAGCCCCACAGAGGCCAGCCCAGGGAGGGAGCTGGTGGCCAGGTCCCTATCAGAGGCCAGGGAGCCCTAAAGGGGCACTGAGAGCTTCCCCCAGTTTCGGGGTCTCTGGCCCATTCTCCTCTGGGTGACCCCTGACCTCCCATGCCTGGGATCTACATCAGACACCAGAACAGCAGTTCGAGTTGGGACAGTTGAAAGCACAGAGAGGAGCTTGGAGAGAAAGCAGAGGATGGGGCTTAGCAGCTGGCAGAGCCAGGAGCGGGGAGGTAGCAGAAAGACCACAAGTACAAAGAAGTCCTGAAACTTTGGGTGAGTTGTTGCCCCTCTCTGGGCCTCAGATTCCCCACCTGAAAAAGGTGGAGAGTGGCCACCCGGCCTGAGATACTGGAACAGCACTTTGCCAGTCTGGGGTGCCACAAGTGGCTAGAGACAGGCCAAGAAGCAGCAAGTGTTGGTCTTCAAAGGGGAAGGTGGGCCCTGGCACCAGGGGAGGTGCCCATTTCCACTCCACCCACTGCCCCAGCCTGCTGTGTTTCCCCTTTGGAATGAGCTTGTCGTCGGGGGCTTGCTAAATGCTCAGGTCCCCGCCTCCAGCAGCCAGACCAGAGGCTGTTTTGAAGTTGGCAGTAAGGAGTGACAGAGGAGGGAGAGGAGGGCGGAGATACGATAAGTGCTTTAGGACAACTGGCCTTTAGGATGCTTCTGCCAGGTGGCAGCCCCCATGCAAAAACTTTAAAAGTGTGGTCTTGTTTCATGCTCGTGACAGCCATCTGAGGAGGGTTTTGTTGTCATCCTCAGCTTGATGAAGTGTTCAGGACTCAGCTCCAAGGTCTGGCTCAGAGGAGTGGGTAGATTTTGAGACCATTCTCTGGATTAGGAAAAATTGCAGGAAAATCTACTGGGCATGCCGGGATAGTAAAGGTGGTCATGGAGGGCACCTGGACATCAGGTAGAGCTGCTGAACCAATTTGTCTGGCCTGGAGTTGCAAATGTGGAAGATGCCAGTGGGGAGAGGGAGCTGGTACCTGGAAGAGGCTGAGTCAGCCAGGGGCAGTGGGCAGAGGTTGAGGAGAGGTCATGCTCTGAGAAGCACCAGCGCCGAAATGGCTGAAGGTGGAGGACACAGAAACAGAGCCAAGCAGCCAGGGGCTGTGGGGGCTGAGGACGGTGGGGCAGCGGGGACAGCTGGCAGCAGTGCCAGATGCCTCCTCAAGGCCCAGGTGGCCTGGCCAGCAGCAGGATCAGGGCTTGTTGCTTTAAGCCCTGAAAAATGAGCACCCTGGTTCTGCCACCTCCTCTGGGAAGTCTTCCCTGACTCACCAGGCTGTATTAGGTGCCCTTCCCATCTGCCCCACCCCCTGTGCCCTATGCTGCCCCCATGACAGCCGTGTCACACAGGGCAGGAGAGCTGAGAGGTGTGCCCTGACATGGGTCCAGAAACATGGTTGACTTGATATTGCTTCTCTTCCACAGTGCAGTTGGCTGTAACCTGAAAAGTAGAGGGGCCCTTCAGACCCTTCATGACTCTATGACTTTGTCCTCTTTCTATTCCTCGAAAACTTCTCTCATTTGAGCCATTCCTGTCCTGGTGAGAGATATGCAAGTTGCTGCTTCTCCTCTTTGTACCAAGTACGGTGGCCCCATTTGGGTTAAAGCCATGAGCCCCTGCCAAGTCTGACCATCCACGCCTACATTTACCCCAAGCTCCTCCTTTGTGGCCAAGAACCATCACTTTCTTGGACCCCACCCTTTCTCTTCCCTTCCAGCTGCATTGGTAGGTATCTTTTGGAGTCTTTGCTTTGGGAGTGGCTGCACTTGCCACAGTGTGATGTGGGCACTAGGGGCCTGTGGTACCTGCTGGGCTTCTTTTCTCACCAAGAGCTTCCCTCTTGCTCCCCACTCTAAGGGGGGTTCTGATTCACGCTCCTGCCTCAACAAAATGACAGGAGACTCACAGATCTCTCTTGAAATCAAAGCCATAAATGTCCAGAGCTGCCACCTTGCCAGTTTTGCTTCAGTGTAATATTAGGGAAAAGCTAGAACACTGGTTTCAGAGCCACACAGACCAGGTTGTAATCTCTGCTGTATTTGTTGTATGACCTCTGCCAAGTCATTTCCCTGCTTGGTTTCCTCATCTGTGAAACATGAAAAATATTATTTAGCTCATAAATGGTTTTGAGTGCTGGGGTTGAGTGTGAAATGTTTGGCCTCGGCCAGGTGCAGTGGCCTGTAATCCCAGCACTTTGGGAGGCCGAGGCGGGCAGATCACCTGAGGTTGGGAGTTCGAGACCAGCCTGACCAACATGGAGAAACCCTGTCTCTACTAAAAATGCAAAATTAGTCGGGCGTGGTGGCACATGCCCATAATCCCACTACTCGGGAGGCTGGGGCAGGACAATCGCTTGAACCCAGGAGGTGGAGGTTGCAGTGAGCCAAGATCACGCCATTGCACTCCAGCCTGGGCAACAAGAGCAAAACTCTATCTTAAGAAAAAAAAAAAAGGAAAAGAAAAGAAATGTCTGACCTCAAGTAGGTCCTCAAGATCTAGACCAAGTCACCTCTGTGCCCCCAGGACCCAGCCAGGATGTCCGTCAGATGAGTTTGCTCCCAGCTCTTACCCTGTCCCCACCACCTGATCCTGGAGCATCCACAATCTGGCCCCTCTTCTCTAGTTTTGCTGCTGCAGCCCATTGAGAGTGACGACATGGAGCACAAGACCCTGAAGATCACCGACTTTGGCCTGGCCCGAGAGTGGCACAAAACCACACAAATGAGTGCCGCGGGCACCTACGCCTGGATGGCTCCTGAGGTTATCAAGGCCTCCACCTTCTCTAAGGGCAGTGACGTCTGGAGGTGCGGCCCTTGGTGGGGCTGGACGGGCTGCTACGGGGCTGCAGAGGGCAGAGGTGGCTGCCTAAATCTAGGGCTGGGCCAAGTCCAGGGACAGGGACCCAAACCACTTGGCTCCTAGTTGCTTTTGGGTGAAGTGGCAGTAAGGGGGTGGGGGTTGGGAGAGAAAAGGGAACACAGACCTGTTGTCTCGCCCACAGTTTTGGGGTGCTGCTGTGGGAACTGCTGACCGGGGAGGTGCCATACCGTGGCATTGACTGCCTTGCTGTGGCCTATGGCGTAGCTGTTAACAAGCTCACACTGCCCATCCCATCCACCTGCCCCGAGCCCTTCGCACAGCTTATGGCCGGTAAGAGGACGGGGAGGGCAGGTGAGGTACAGAGCTCCCTGGCCCAGGACACATCCACCCACGGACCCCTTCTTATTCTGTCCCCGCTGCACGCCGTGCCCCTAGACTGCTGGGCGCAGGACCCCCACCGCAGGCCCGACTTCGCCTCCATCCTGCAGCAGTTGGAGGCGCTGGAGGCACAGGTCCTACGGGAAATGCCGCGGGACTCCTTCCATTCCATGCAGGAAGGCTGGAAGCGCGAGATCCAGGGTCTCTTCGACGAGCTGCGAGCCAAGGAAAAGGTGCGAGGAATCAAGGGACCCAGCGTTGGAACGAGTGTCTCCCCGATCTCCCTGGGGCAGAGTCGGGGCGGGCGCTGCCGGGATTGGTGCCAGGCTGACCTCTCCACCATCGCTGTCTCGGGCGCAGGAACTACTGAGCCGCGAGGAGGAGCTGACGCGAGCGGCGCGCGAGCAGCGGTCACAGGCGGAGCAGCTGCGGCGGCGCGAGCACCTGCTGGCCCAGTGGGAGCTAGAGGTGTTCGAGCGCGAGCTGACGCTGCTGCTGCAGCAGGTGGACCGCGAGCGACCGCACGTGCGCCGCCGCCGCGGGACATTCAAGCGCAGCAAGCTCCGGGCGCGCGACGGCGGCGAGCGTATCAGCATGCCACTCGGTGAGGGCCGGGCCCCGGGGCGTCCCCCGCCATTGGCTGCGGGGGTGGGGGTGGAGCCAGGCCTGTGTGCTCACCGCGCTGGGATTGGTTTAGGGTGTTGTGGGTGGGCCCGTGAGATGAAGGCTGGGAGGGGTGGAGCCAGGAGTGTTTTTTTTCTGTCTGTGGGCGGGTTCTGGCGGAAGTATTTGCATGTCGGTCTGGGAGTGGGAAGGGGTGGGGTTCACGAAAGTTCTGGGAAGGTCTAGTGGGCGGGGCCGGCCGGCGCCAGGGCATCTCCGACTCAGACGAGTAGCTTTCCTTATCCAGACCCAGGGGCTCAAGAAAGCAGTGAGGCTGGTCACAGTCTCACAGCCATCGTGCCGCTCCCTATGTGGCCTGGGAGCTGGCCTTGGGCCCCTGCAGGTTGGGGTCCTGGCTCTACTTCATCACAAACCTGAACCCTGCTCCCCCCAACCCAAATCCCAGACTTCAAGCACCGCATCACCGTGCAGGCCTCACCCGGCCTTGACCGGAGGAGAAACGTCTTCGAGGTCGGGCCTGGGGATTCGCCCACCTTTCCCCGGTTCCGAGCCATCCAGTGTAAGAAACTTCACCTCTCATGCCCCTCTCCGCCCCCCAGCTCCTTATTCTCTGTCAGACCTTATTCTTGGAGGCGGAGCCCACTCACTATCCCCTCTTCCTCCCCGCCCCCAGGCTCCCTGCCTTAGGTCTAGCCTGTTACCTCTGAACTCCCCAAGCAGCATTAATTTTACTTATTTTTTTTTAGTCAAATAATTGTATGACACTATGTACTACTAATTTTCTAAATGCTTTGCTAATATTAATTTCTTGCAATAATTCTATTTGGTAGTTATTTTTGTTGTTAATTTAAGTTTTATGGATGAGAAAAGTGAAAAAAGTAACTTGTTACACAGTTAATAAGTGGAAGAGCCAGAATCAAACTCAGGCAGTTGGTGTCAGTGTCTGTACTAATTACTAAGCAGCAAACTTCAGCCCAAGGGCTAGATGAGATGCCCCACCCCACTGTTGGCCCCAAGACCCAAACCCATCTATCTTGCCCAAAGCTCACCCTGGGAATGGTACAGGGCCCAGCCTGCTCCCCATACTCTAAAGTTTATCTCTGAAGCCTGACTGTGATGATGGAGGGAGAATAAAGATTATCTCCGATTTCATCGGTTTCCCCTGCAGTGGAGCCTGCAGAGCCAGGCCAGGCATGGGGCCGCCAGTCCCCCCGACGTCTGGAGGACTCAAGCAATGGAGAGCGGCGAGCATGCTGGGCTTGGGGTCCCAGTTCCCCCAAGCCTGGGGAAGCCCAGAATGGGAGGTGAGTACCTGAGTGCCCCCCAGACCCAGCATCATTTGCTTTCCCCAAGTCCTGAAATTCCTAAAGCACCCCTCCTTGCCCTCCCATCACCAGGAGAAGGTCCCGCATGGACGAAGCCACATGGTACCTGGATTCAGATGACTCATCCCCCTTAGGATCTCCTTCCACACCCCCAGCACTCAATGGTGAGTGGCCTTCCTCCCCCGGCAGGATCTGGCTGAGCTCCTTCCGTGGGCACCTTGGGGAGGCCACAATAGGCTAGTAGGCAAAGCAGGAGTCCTGCCCTGGTTGCTCTCATTCTAGAGACTAGGAAACCAAGGCTGAGACAAGACAGAGCCGATCCTGGAACCCAGGTCTGACCTACAGGCCCACGATCAAGCGGCATACAGCCCAGGCCTCGGCTCGGGGCCCAGAGTCTCATCCCCTTGCTCAGACCTGGCCTGCAAGAAGCCTCTTCCCTGGCCCCATGGCAGCCCCTGTGCCTTTAGCAGGCTCCAGGGAGAAAAGAAAGACAGGAAGCCCACCTGGCATTTGGTACCCAAGGGAAGCTGGACCCAGATGGGGGAAGGAATCAGCCTGTGTGGGGTGGAGCCAAACAAGTGTCAGCCACACTGTGCTTCTCAGAGCCCCTTCTGGGAGCCTGTAGGTGAAGAAGAGAATGAGAAGGCCGAGCAGGCAGGATCCAGGACCCATTCTCACCACATCCAGGATAGCTCGGGGCCTTTCTGTTCTCCATGACGGTAACTGCCCTACTGTGCCAGGCATTCCCTCCAAGCATTGATGAAGAGGGGCTACTATTACCCCATTTTGCAGATAAGGAAACTGAGGCTCTGAGAGGTGAAGTAACCTACCTCAAACCCCCAGCTGAGGATTTGAACCCAGAGAGGCTTCAGCTCCAATGCTCTCGTAGTGAGCTCAGAAGCTTTCACTTGAAGAAAGGGCTTCTCACGTATAGACTGCTTAGGAAGCCAGAGGGTCAGGCAGAAGGCAGGGCTCCAGCATTGCAGGGAGGAGGGCTCACTCAGCTCAACACTGCCCAGCTCTGAGTGAGGCCAGAGAGTTATGGCCTCCCTTGCCTGTGGGTCCCTGTGCCAACCTAGGGACCATCCTCAGAGCCCCCACACCTGCTGCTCACAGCCAGAATGTAGGACCCGCTTAGCTGCTCTCAGAAGAGTCCTGTTCAGCAAGCCGTTTAAACTCACTCCTCCCATCCCACCCAGCCCATCGCCTCTTCCATTCCCTGAGCTACACTTGATAGTTGTAACAACAGCTAACCTTTGTTGGTTCTCTTCTATGTGCCAAGCAGTTCTGTGAGGGGAGTAGTAGTATTGGCCTGCATTTTACAACAGAGAAAACTGAGGCACAGAGAGATTAAGTGGTTTGATGTAAGGCAACCAGTAGAGCAGGGATTTGATCTGCTCTTGCCTGTCTGACCACAGAGGCAGAGCCCTGGGCCTCCATCTGCCCCGCCATTTGCTACTCCAGCAGCTGCACTGCCCCCAGCATCTGTCCTGCAGGGACTGAACTGAGAGCTGGAAGGCCAAGGAGGCTTCTTGAATTCACTTGCTCTAAATTGTACCAGGCCAGATGGGCCAAAGGAGAACTTGAGAGCCTGTCAACCCAGGTGTGTAGGCTGAAGCAGGTCCTGACTGTTCCACAGAACTCTCTGGCCCTCAGCTCCCAGAAGCAGGGGCACAAGGGGCCTGGGCCCCATCGTTCTCAAGCTTGCCCCATGTTTTTTTATCCAAAGAATTTGTTAATTATTTATGAAGAGAAACTACTTATTAGCCCATATATTCATGAATAGTTCAGATCAGTGACAAACTTCTAAGTAATTCAACCCAAAGAAATTCTTCATATTCCAAAATCACTTTGCATTCTGAGAGATAGCAGCCTTCCTCATCTCCTCGAAGTATTTCATGGCATCATAACTTCTGTAGACATCTGTGCCCATAGAAATCTGAAATGCCTTCTTTCTTGGTCCAGCCCCTGCAAACTGAGAGAGCCGCAGCCCCCAGGGATACAGTGAATGCTCCCACAATATGAAATTGCAGATGTGTGGCCAGAAGGCCACATGTCTGAGGTTTCATGAAAGCACTGGAAACCATGGTAGTTACTGTTCTTGATAAGTATGTCGGCCTCAACACCAGTGCCCTTCCTGGCTGATGAAGAAATGGATTGCCACTTGCCCTGAAAGGATGTCAGCTGCCCAGCTCAGTGGCTGGCTGAGCATCTGGTTCCCCTAGCCCAATCCCACACTCCACGCATCATCTGGGTCCATGAAAGTACATGACATTGACCTCACAGCCACCCCCCGAAACCCAGCTAAGAATCAAATAATGGGGCTTCACAGAGGTCCCAGACCCTGTGAGATGGTCCCCGGCATAAGCCATACCACTGGAGAGTCACACACACCCTCACCCTGTCCCCAGTGGGCTGTTCTGGTCCCTGGAGAGCTGGCTGCAAGGAGTGGCACATTGGCAGGGTGCACTCAGCTACGCTGATAGCAACTGCCCTGTGAAGCTTGTTGCCTTAGAGCCAATAACTACGTGGCTGTGTCCTCCCTGTGAGACCTCACGGAAGCAGTTTCGCCTCTATCTATCTATCTTTGGGTCAAGAATAGTCACGCAGCTTTCTCCTAAACAACAGAGTTGCTAACTCTTGCTGCCAGGAAGCTTAGAGGCAGATTCAAATCCTAGCTGGATTATGTTGACCAAGTCCCTTACCCTTCAGAACCTCAGTTTCTCAGGCCATTGACTGCAGGAACTTCTGTTCACTCTCATTTTGTCTGCTGGACCCTATCTTCTCTTCCCTTTGTCTCATTTCTGTCTTTTATTTTTTTAAAGATAGAGTCTCATTCTGTTACCCAGGCTGGACTGCAATGGCATGATCATGGCTCACTGCAAACTCTGCCTCCCAGGCTCAAGTGATCCTCCCACCTCAGCTTCCTGAGTAGCAGGGACTACAGGTGCATGCCATGCTTGGCTAATTTTTATATTTTTTGTAGAGATGGGGTTTTGCCATGTTGCCCAGGCTGGGCTGCGCTTAAGTAGTCCACCCACCCCAGCCTCCCAAAGTGCTGGCATTACAGGTGTGAGCCACCACACCCAGCTTGCTCTTGCTATTTTCTTTTTTTTTTTTTAGAAGGAGTCTTGTTCTGTCACCCAGGCTGGAGTGCAGTGGTGCGACCTCAGCTCACTTCAGCCTCCACCTCCCACGTTCAAGCAATTCTCCCTCAGCCTCCCCAGTAGCTGGGATTACAGGCATGTGCCACCATGCCCAGCTAATTTTTTTTTTTTTGAGATGAAGTGTCATTCTGTTGCCCAGGCTGGAGGGCAGTGGTGCAATCTCGGCTCACTACAACCTCCACCTCCCAGGTTCAAGTGATTCTCCTGCCTCAGCCTCCCAAGTAGCAGGGATTACAGGCATGTGCCACAATGCCCGGCTAATGTTTGTATTTGTAGTAGAGATGAGGTTTCACCATGTTGACCAGGCTGGTCCCGAACTCCTGACCTCAAGTGAGCCACCTGCTTCAGCTTCCCAAAGTGCTGGGATTACAAGCGTGAACCACCATGCCCGGCCTAATTTTTGTATTTAGTAGAGACAGGGTTTGACCATGTTGGCCAGGCTAGTCATGCACTCCTGACCTCAAGTGATCTGCCCTACTTGGCCTCCCAAAGTGCTGGGATTATAGGCTTGAGCCACCACTCCCAGCCTCTCTTGCTTTTTTTTTTTTTTTTTTTGAGATGGAGTCTCACTCTGTCACCCAGGCTGGAGCGCAGTGGCGGGATCTCGGCTCACTGTAACCTCCGCCTCCTGGGTTCAAGCGATTCTCCTGCCTCAGCCTCCCAAGTAGCTGAGACTACAGGTGCGTGCCACCATGCCCTGCTAATTTTTGTATTTTTTAGTAGAGACAGGGTTTCACCATGTTGGCCAGGATGGTCTCGATTTCTTGACCTCGTGATCCGCCCACCTTGGCCTCCCAAAGTGCTGGGATTACAGGTGTGAGCCACCGCACCCGGCCAACTCTTTCTTTTTTTTAAACATGATTTCCCCTCTTCTGTTTAAACTCACTGTAAATGATCAGTTCTTCACCTGCGAAGTGGGGGTGATATGATAACCTCGTGGTTGGTGCAAGGATTATAAAAATGGATTCTTCATCAAACAAGAATTTGCTTTTTTTTTTTTTTGAGACGGAGTCTCGCTCTGTTGCCCAGGCTGGAGTGCAGTGGTGTGATTTTGGCTCACTGCAAGCTCCGCCTCCTGGGTTCATGCCATTCTCCTGCCTCAGCCTCTTGAGTATCTGGGACTACAGGCGCCCACCACCACGCCTGGCTAATTTTTTGTGTTTTTAGTAGAGACAGGGTTTCACCGTGTTAGCCAGGATGGTCTCGATCTCCTGACCTCGTGATCATCCCACCTGGGCCTCCCAAAGTGCTGGGATTGCAGATGTGAGCCACCGCGCCTGGCCCAGGGATTTGCATTTTAAGAGCCAGGCATCAACATGTTAAACACTGCCCTGACCTCATATGATGAAGCAGGCAGACTCATAAACAAGTCCAGTAGCACCTCTATGAGGCATAACGTGAGCAATAACTGTGTAGGTTCAGGGAGATTCTGGGAGGGCTTCACAGAGGAAGTGACATCCCAGTTGGTCTTGGATGGTGCATAAGAGGTCACTGAAAGCCAAGGTGGGAAAGGTCAGCCACCCAGAGTGAATAGTGTGTGCGCAGGCATGCAGCTCACCATACCCAAGGAAAAGGCAACCTGGCTGAACTCCGAGAAGAGTTGAGAGCCGAGGAGTCTCAGGACTGGGGCTGCGGACAGGGGCCAAGGCACATGGGTCAGTAGATGTTGATTGAATGAATGAGTGAATGAAGCTGGAAGTGATGGGTAGTTTTTAAGCAGAGACCTGTCTTTAACAGGTTTGCATTTTAGAAGGATTCCCTTGTCCCTTCAGTGGCAGTGGCCGGGGTGGGAGTTGGGTGAGGTAAGAGGCAGAGAGTCTGAGTAAGGGTTGGGGCTGACAGAAGGGACTGTGAGCTAAGTCCTGGTTCATAGTAGAAGCTCATTTTTCCCAGCCTTGTATTTCTCCCTCCCGACATCCAACCTGCTGCTGCACTCCAGGCAGGAGGGGAAAGGCAGAGGGACAAGGCCAGGGAGGGCTTCAGAGGACCAGCCAAGGAGGCCAGACTTTCTCCTAGTGACAGTGGAGAGCCACAGCAGTTTCTAGAGCCAAGGAGGGATCTGACAAAATCAGGGCTTGTGAGAGCCCATCCTAGAGTCCCTTGTCCTTAATGAGGGGTTCCCCATCCCTGCCCAAGTGGTCTAGAATGGAGTCAGGCCAACCCTAGACTGGAAGGTAGGACACTAGTGTCTTGAAATCTAGGGCAGAGTCTGGCTGGGAAATGGTGGAGAGCAAAGGTTCTACTGCCCTTGCCTGGGGTGAGGCCGGCTCCACCTTTCACTGGCTGTACAGCTCCGCACAAGCCCTCAACCTCTCTGAGCCTGGAACCCCTGGGGCATGAGAATCAGACAACATAATGCCCCTATGCCATTCAGCTCAGGCCTGGCACAAATACATACTCTGTAAATTAGCTGTGACCTTGGGCAAGGTACTGACCCCTCTGAACCTCATTTTCCTCCTTTCTAGAATAGAGACAGGGATTTATGCCCTCAGGGCTGCCATGTACCTTAGAGTTGACTGTGTGCATCTTATAAGCTACAGCTGGAGCGGGGGTGGGTGGGCAGAAGGGGCAGGGCTGCCAAGCCAGGAAGCTGGTGGGCACAGAGCACAGGGCGCCGGTCCCAGTCAGTGGGACCTGCCATGCCCCTGGGCCTGGAGGTTGCCCCTGGCAGGCCACAGAGGCCCACTGTGACCTGGCCCCAGCCTGCCTCCACTGGGACTGCCCATCCATCTTTCGGGTCTGGGGTCGCTGGCTGCCATTGGGCTTTGCTGCCGCTTCCTCCACCTGCACTGCCCTCCCCTCCCAGTGCCCATCTTGTGAAAGGCCAGAATGTGGGTATGTGATGGGGAGGCCATGGGACCTGTGGGACCAGGGAAGATGCTAGTAGAGGGCAGAACTCAGTCCTTGTTCCAAGACCACGGAGAGGTCTTGGGCCCTCACCCGGAATATGCACCAGCCACACCCTCACCTGTGCCGCCTCTGCCCGCAGGTAACCCCCCGCGGCCTAGCCTGGAGCCCGAGGAGCCCAAGAGGCCTGTCCCCGCAGAGCGCGGTAGCAGCTCTGGGACGCCCAAGCTGATCCAGCGGGCGCTGCTGCGCGGCACCGCCCTGCTCGCCTCGCTGGGCCTTGGCCGCGACCTGCAGCCGCCGGGAGGCCCAGGACGCGAGCGCGGGGAGTCCCCGACAACACCCCCCACGCCAACGCCCGCGCCCTGCCCGACCGAGCCGCCCCCTTCCCCGCTCATCTGCTTCTCGCTCAAGACGCCCGACTCCCCGCCCACTCCTGCACCCCTGTTGCTGGACCTGGGTATCCCTGTGGGCCAGCGGTCAGCCAAGAGCCCCCGACGTGAGGAGGAGCCCCGCGGTGAGTGGCCTGAAGCCGGCCTGCTTCACATATGGGAGACGGGGGTTCCCAGGGAGGGAGGAGTGGCTGGTGGGGACATGCAAGGAGGCAAGGCCGAGACCACAGTCATCAGCTGGACCCTGAACCAGGCATTCGGGGTACTGAAGACGCATGTAGGGAGCAGAGTTCTAAGTTCAGCTATCAGGTGGTCCAGGCAGGTGGGGGCGATGCCTGCTGTGAAATAAAAGAAGTAATCGGGCCAGGCAGTGGTGCACGCCTGTGATCCCAGCACTCTGGGAGGATCACGTGAGCCTTGAAAGGTTGAGGCTGCAGTGAGCGGTGATCATGACACTGGACTCCAGCCTGGGCGACACAGCATACATGTAATCATAATCGTAGCAAACTCCTGGCTCCTTACTTGTGCCAAGTACTGTTTGCAAGGCTTTCCCGAGATGGTCTCATTTAGTCATAACAACCAGAGAACTAAGCGCTCCTGGATGCCCATTTTTAGATGAGGAAATTTAAGGCACAGAGATTAAGGGACCCACAGCTCCCACAGCTAGTAAGTGGCAGGGCCGGGATCCACATCCAGGCCAGCCTGCTGCAGAGGCCTCACTCCTAACTATTACAAAAAACAGAGGCACCACGGAGCAGGAAGGGCGGTGGAAGTTGAGTCAAGTAGGTCACTGTGCACATGGGGAAACTGAGGCCCAGAGCAGGACAGTGTCTTGGGGACCTCAGCAGTTGGGGGTTGCTTGACCCTGTGCCCCTCCTATATCCTCACAGGAGGCACTGTCTCACCCCCACCGGGGACATCACGCTCTGCTCCTGGCACCCCAGGCACCCCACGTTCACCACCCCTGGGCCTCATCAGCCGACCTCGGCCCTCGCCCCTTCGCAGCCGCATTGATCCCTGGAGCTTTGTGTCAGCTGGGCCACGGCCTTCTCCCCTGCCATCACCACAGCCTGCACCCCGCCGAGCACCCTGGACCTTGTTCCCGGACTCAGACCCCTTCTGGGACTCCCCACCTGCCAACCCCTTCCAGGGGGGCCCCCAGGACTGCAGGGCACAGACCAAAGACATGGGTGCCCAGGCCCCGTGGGTGCCGGAAGCGGGGCCTTGAGTGGGCCAGGCCACTCCCCCGAGCTCCAGCTGCCTTAGGAGGAGTCACAGCATACACTGGAACAGGAGCTGGGTCAGCCTCTGCAGCTGCCTCAGTTTCCCCAGGGACCCCACCCCCCTTTGGGGGTCAGGAACACTACACTGCACAGGAAGCCTTCACACTGGAAGGGGGACCTGCGCCCCCACATCTGAAACCTGTAGGTCCCCCCAGCTCACCTGCCCTACTGGGGCCCAACACTGTACCCAGCTGGTTGGGAGGACCAGAGCCTGTCTCAGGGAATTGCCTGCTGGGGTGATGCAGGGAGGAGGGGAGGTGCAGGGAAGAGGGGCCGGCCTCAGCTGTCACCAGCACTTTTGACCAAGTCCTGCTACTGCGGCCCCTGCCCTAGGGCTTAGAGCATGGACCTCCTGCCCTGGGGGTCATCTGGGGCCAGGGCTCTCTGGATGCCTTCCTGCTGCCCCAGCCAGGGTTGGAGTCTTAGCCTCGGGATCCAGTGAAGCCAGAAGCCAAATAAACTCAAAAGCTGTCTCCCCACATGTAGCCTGTCACCTTTCTTGGAGGTAACCAGGTGACCCAACCTATCATACAACCCTGGTGTCCTGATGCCCCAACAATAGGCAGTTGGATGCCTTGTACTGCATGCCTCTCCTGGGACCAAATCCACCAGCCTTGGTCAGTCATTCAAGGCTCTTCTCGGCCAGGTGCAGTGGCTCACTCCTGTCATCACAGCAGTTTGGGAGGCCGAGGCCGGCGGATCACATGAGGTCAGGAGTTCAACCTGGCCACATGGTGAAACCCCATCTCTACTAAAAATACAAAAATTAGCCAGGTGTGGTGGTGCATGCCTGTAGTCCCAGCTACTCTGGAGGCTGAGGCAGGAGAATTGCTTGAACCTGGAAGGTGGAGGTTGCAGTGAGCCAAAATCACGCCACTGCACTCCAGCCTGGGCAACAGAGCAAGACTCCGTCTCAAAAAAAAAAAAAACAAAAAACCATAGGCCGGGCATGGTGGCTCACGCCTGTAATCCCAGCACTTTGGGAGGCCGAGACGGACAGATCACAAGGTCAGGATTTTGAGACCAGCCTGGCCAATATGGTGAAACCCCGTCTCTACTGAAAAAAATATATATATATACAAAAATTAACCAGGCGTGGTGGCAGGTGCCTGTAGCCCCAGCTACTTGGGAGGCTGAGGCAGGAGAATAGCTTGAACCCGGGCGGCGAAGGTTGAGTGAGCCGAGATTGCACCACTGCACTCCAGCCTGGGCGACAGAGCGAGACTCCATCTCAAAAAAAAGAGTAGTAAGTTCCACCCACCTCCCAGTATGGTGACTTGCCATGGCATCTGGCACCCCTGACAGTTCTCTTCACACTGCCATGGGGGCTCTGGCACTCCCACACCATACCCTAGGGCAGGGTCCCTCCCTCGGCCTCTGTCCATTCTCTTCACACTGCCATGGGGGCTCTGGCACTCCCACACCATACCCTAGGGCTGGGTCCCTTCCTTGGCCTCTGTCCTCAGCCCCTCTGACGTTAGAGGAGTTGGAACCCAGGCTCCCCCTTCCCCTCTCCCAGGTGCCCCATGGCAGCCCAGACTCTGTGTCTGCAGTTCAGGGGCAGGGAGTCAGGAGGGCAGGCACAAAGCGTTCTCAGGAAGAACTGGCAATCGGGCGCAAGGGTATCATCTGCCCGGGTGCTCTGGGCACCCTGGAGTCCTCTCCCCACCTCCCACCCCCACCTGATCCTTCCCAGCTGCCACCATTCCTCTCCCACCACACCACCCAGGCCAAAATCACTCCATCCATGACGCCTACAGTAGCCCAGCGTAGGTCTCCCTGGACCACATTTATCCTCAAGGGCCTGTGTCCTTATCCCCCCTTCACCCCCAACTCTCCCCTGCCACAGCCAGCCCTCTGTTCCTCTCACACCCCAAGCTCATTCCTACCTTCACTGGCCTCTTACTCCCCAGCTGAAATATCACCTCCTTAGCAGAGCTTTCCCAGTGAGATAACCCCCCCGCTCCCCGCAGAGCTCTCCCATCACCCAGGGTGTTTCCTTCATGGAACTCATGACAATGTGAGGTTGCCATGTTTCTTTGCTAAGAGGTTTCTTGTGTAAACACCAGGAAGGAAAGGACCTGTGCCTGTCCTCTTCCCTAAGCACTTGAATGAATGAATGAATGAATGAATGTGGTATGGGTGCCTGAGTGAGCAGGACCTTGAATAAGTGTGAGGTCCTCTCTAGGCTTCAGCTTCCTCCGCCTCCTCCCCTCACCGCAGCCGCCTTCCTCCACCCATCCCCACCATCCCAGCTGCTGTGAAATGGGCAAATGTCTTGCCTCCAGGACCTGGGAAGGGTGATGCAGCTCACCTCCCTCCTGTTCACACCCCAGCCACCCCAGCCATCCCAGCCGGGTCCCAGCCACCCACACAGCACCTCCTCCTGGCCCCGCCCTGCCCAGCCCCTCCCAGGTGCCTGAGGTGGAGCCGCCAGTTCCCACAGCACCCCAGCGGCCTGCCATGGGGGGTCTAAGGCCCTGGTCCCGATACGGGCTCCTGGTTGTGGCCCACTTGCTGGCCCTGGGGCTTGGGGCTGTGGTGTTCCAGGCCCTGGAGGGGCCTCCTGCATGCAGGCTTCAGGCTGAGCTCAGGGCAGAGCTGGCAGCCTTCCAGGCAGAGCATAGGGCCTGCCTGCCACCCGGAGCTCTGGAAGAGCTGCTGGGCACTGCCCTGGCCACCCAGGCCCATGGGGTCTCCACCCTGGGCAACAGCTCAGAGGGCAGGACCTGGGACCTTCCCTCAGCCCTGCTCTTCGCTGCCAGCATCCTCACCACCACAGGTAAGAGAGCCAGGCAGCCAAGTCGGGGGGTGCGGCTCCAAGAGGCCATGGCTCCCTGGGGGCTTTGGGGTTCATGCAGCCCTTCCTTCAGCCCCAAAGAGCCAGATGGAGCCCAGGCCCTGTGAGGCCTGACATCACAGCTGGGGCTCCCCACCAACACACCCCAACTGGTGCCTCCACTTCAACTGCCAGGAAGGGTGTGGCCTCCCCAGTCCCACCCCAGGCACCCTTTGAGACCCAGGAGAGCTGCCCAGATGCCACAGCCTGTGGCCAGATAGGGGATACAATACAGTGGGATGGATTCTTGGATGGAAGCAAATAGAATGAACCTGGGAAGGACAGATCAGGACCATGGCCTCGGGTGGGGGAGTGAGGGAAGATAGGGGAGGAAGTCGGCATGAGATGCTTGTGGATCAGGAGGGCACAGACAGGGATGAGGGAGTCCTGCAGAGAAATCGCGTGGGCACAGGCCCAGGGAAAAGCAGCAATGAGACCCACAGCCCTGGGTTTTCGTATTTTTTGCCCCACAAAGTGTCTCAGTATTTTTTGAATTGGAATTTGTATTTCCAACTTTTTTTTTTTTTGAAACGGTGTCTGACCCTGTCACCCAGGCTGGGGTGCGGTGGTGCGATCTTGGCTCACTGCAACCTCCACCTCCCGGGTTCTAGCAATTCTCCTGCCTCAGCCTCCTGAGTAGCTGGGACTACAGGCATGCACCACCATGCCCGGCTAATTTTTGTGTTTTTAGTAGAGACGGGGTTTTGCCATGTTGGCCAGGCTGTTCTCAAACTCCTGACCTCAAGTGATCCACCTGCCTCAGCCTCCCAAAGTGTTGGGATTACAGGTGTGAGCCACTGTGCCCAGCTCATATTTCCAACTTCTTTTGGAAAATCAGGAAACCCACTCACACTGAGCCAGAATCCCTGCAAGGCAACATCCTGACTGGAGCAGAATGGGGCCTGCCCTTTGGATACAGCTCACACTTTCCAGTGTACCCCTGTCCCCACCACTCCTGTTTGTCTCCCATCTGGCTCCGGTAGGCATGTGCGTTTGCAGCTCTGTATTAGCTGATCCTGTTCTCCCAGCACACCCCGCACTCCCACCCCTCCCCGCCTGGCACATGCCCTCTCTCGCCCATGCTGCCTCTTTGCAGCCCTTCATGATTTGCCTGCCCGACTCCCCCACCAGAAGGGGCAGGGCCTGGGCTGATTCAGATCCCAGTACAAAGCCTGGCACACAGGACATGACACACATTTGGGGAAAGAGTGGATGATATTCCACCAGCTGTGGAATCGGGAGTATCTGTTAAGGGCAGCGCAGTTCTCAGAATTGTCCCAGCTACAAAAGGCCTGAGGAACTGTCTTCTTTCATCCTTTCATTTTCCAAAAAAGAAAAGAATGGCCTAGAGAGGGTAAGGGATCCCCTGACGAAGAGGAGCAGAGCCAGCTAGAACCTGGGCCTGGCCAGTTCAAGGCCACCAGAGGGCAGCCTTCTGCGGAAGGCAGTATTGGGGTAGGCAGGGACCCCAGCAGACATGGCACTCAGAGCTCTCACTGTCCACTGACTCTCTCTTCTCCAGGTTATGGCCACATGGCCCCACTATCGCCAGGCGGAAAGGCCTTCTGCATGGTCTATGCAGCCCTGGGGCTGCCAGCCTCCTTAGCTCTCGTGGCCACCCTGCGCCATTGCCTGCTGCCTGTGCTCAGCCGCCCACGTGCCTGGGTAGCGGTCCACTGGCAGCTGTCACCGGCCAGGGCTGCGCTGCTGCAGGCAGTTGCACTGGGACTGCTGGTGGCCAGCAGCTTTGTGCTGCTGCCAGCGCTGGTGCTGTGGGGCCTTCAGGGCGACTGCAGCCTGCTGGGGGCCGTCTACTTCTGCTTCAGCTCGCTCAGCACCATTGGCCTGGAGGACTTGCTGCCCGGCCGCGGCCGCAGCCTGCACCCCGTGATTTACCACCTGGGCCAGCTCGCACTTCTTGGTAAGTCCAGCCACCTAACAGCGTGTGGGGGAAGGGGGAAGAGGAGCCTGGACTAGGACTCCCATAAATCACTGGGGGGCTGGGCCTTGCAGGTGGAGGGACCTCACTCCAGGGCACGGCGTGGGAGGGGTAGTCGAAGAGCTCTGGTGGCAGCGTTGAGAAGGGGGTGAGTGGTGCCAGTTGCCAGGGCAAGTCACTGCGCTGGGAGGTGGGCGGGGAGCATCACCAGAACCCAGGCGCTGCCCCAGCACCTTCTCCTCCCCAGGTTACTTGCTTCTAGGACTCTTGGCCATGCTGCTGGCAGTGGAGACCTTCTCTGAGCTGCCGCAGGTCCGTGCCATGGGGAAGTTCTTCAGACCCAGTGGTCCTGTGACTGCTGAGGACCAAGGTGGCATCCTAGGGCAGGATGAACTGGCTCTGAGCACCCTGCCGCCCGCGGCCCCAGCTTCAGGACAAGCCCCTGCTTGCTGAAGCGTCAGGTGACCGAGTTCAGCTCCGTAAGGTGGCGGCACCTGAGGAGGAAGCAGCCAGGAGTGGCTGGGGAAGAATCTGGAGATGGAGCCGCGGTGAGGGTGGGCGGGAGGCCTCAGAGGATACTGTTAATCATAAAATGAGCAACGACTTCGGCTATTTTCAACTATTTCGAATGGGACTTCCCTGAGCCACCGGCCACCATCCCGGGAAGGCCGAGGTCCAGCCTCCGCTGGCCCTGGGAACCTCGAAACCGCACCTTCCGGCTTAGGATGGCAGAGCCGCCCGCCTCAGCCTCGGCGCACTCCCCTCCGCCTATTGAGAGCCCAGGTGGAGCGGAGAAAAGGCCGGCGCTGGGGTAGTCTCGTCCAACTTTATTGCTCTGGAGAACAGGAGGGCAAGCCAGCGCGGGGCGGTAGTGCCCAGGCATCCCTCTCCCCGAGGCCGCCGGCCCGGCCGTGCCGTCGGGGAGGACCCCGCACCCGCCGCGAGCGCGCACACACCCTCGGTGACAAATAAATACGGCGGCCGCCCCGCCCGTGGGGTCGGGGATCCGCCCTGCCCTGTACGGGGAAGGGCGCCGGCGGCCCCTAGCGGACACGCGCGCGGCCTCCGGGACGGCCGGGTCGTCCGCAGCGCAGGCCCGGGGCGGCGGCGGACGCCGGGGACGCGAGAAGTTATGGGCCACCCGGGCCGGCGGCCTCAGCTCAGCACGCAGCGCTCCCGCCGGCTCAACTGCCGGCTCAGCTTGCGGCGCCGCTGTTCCAGGCCGCGCTCCAGGCGCTCGTCCTCCTCCAGGGCGCTGGGGAGAACGGGTTCGAGTCAGCGCTCCGTTGGGCGGGGTCCACACGCAGCCCTCTGCGGGAGCAAGTCCCGGACCCTCCCAACTCCCAGCGCCGCCCAGCGCCACTCACATCCGCTCCTTGTGGTCCAGGTCCCGGACTAGCTCATCGCGCTGGTTCACCAGCGACACCAGCTCCTCCAGTAGGAGCTGCTCTCGGTGCTGCTGAGCGGACGTTTTCTGCCAGTCTGAGGGTCGAAGCGGCTAAGCGTCAGGAGGCGCGGGCCCAGGGCTGTGCCGCCTCCACCCTGGCTCTGTCTTGCCTCCCGGCCCCTGAGCCCATGTCCCACCTTCGATGGCCAGCATGGCCCGCAGCTCGCGGCTCAGCAGCTCGAACCTTCGCTCCAAGTCCTGCTCCTCCATGCTGGAAGGTGGCGGGGGGTGGGTGGCGGGGGGGTGGCAGTTCAGGAAAAGGGGCGTAGGGAGAGAGTGCCCAGGGCTCTGGCCACTCCCTGACCCCATCCCACCTCCCCAGCAGTTCCCGAGGGCAGGGCTGACCGCAGAGCTATCCTCTAGTCTCCAGACCACATTATCGCTTTTCTTCTGTTTTCTCCAATTGCTGGGTGTTTGTGTTGCTCCTCCCACACACCCCCCAGAAGGACCCCCGAAGGATTATTTGGATGAACAGTACTCATAAACAGGAAGCACTGGCTACAGTTATTCTGAAAAATCCCAAACGCAAAAGGGAGGCAAAGCTGTCTCCACCCTGCAGGATGACAAAGGCAATGGCCGCAGAGTGGCTTCGGACCCCACATGGGAACCAGATCAGATCTCTCTGGGCTTCTGTTTTCCTTACTGTAAAGGCTGGAGTGCAGTGGCACGATCTCGGCTCACTGCAATCTCTCAACCCCAGGAGGGTTCAAGCGATTCTCCTGCCTCAGCCTTCCCAGAAGCTGGAACTACAGGCGCCCGCCACCAGGCCTGGCTAATGTTTTGTATTTTTAGTAGAGACGGGGTTTCACTGTGTTAGCCAGATGGTCTCAATCTCCTGACCTTGTGATCTGCCCGCCTCGGCCTCCCAAAGTGCTGGGATTACAGGCGTGAGCCACCGCGCCCGGCCGGTTTTCTTATTAGTAAAAATAGTTCTAATTTAAGAGTTTTACCCTTAATTTTTGTTTTAATTTTTATTTTTTGAGACAGAGTCTCACTCTTTTGCCCAGACTAGAGTGTAATGGTCTGATCTTGGCTCACTGCAACCTCTGCCTCCCAGGTTCAAGCGATTCTCCTGCCTCAGCCTTCCAAGTTGCTGGGATTACAGGCGCGTGCCACCATACTTGGCTAATTTTTGTATTTTTAGTAGAGATGGGGTTTCACCATGTTGGCTGGTCTTGAACTCCTGACCTCAGATGATCCGCCTGCCTCGGCCTCCCCAGGTGCTGGGATTACAGGCATGAGACACCGTGCCTGGCCAGTTTTACACTTTAAACAGCAATTTGTTTAGGACAAAAACAGTAAGATGGAAGAGGAATCGTTTGTCAAAAAGATCTCTGTAGGAATAAGAAAGTAGTGAAGAACTCTAACCAAAGTAGCTAAGAGTCCCTCTGCTCTCCTGGCCCGGGGCCAGCACTCACAGCAGCTGCAGCTGGTCCTGCCTCCGGATGAGAGCGTTCTTCTTGTTGACCAGGGTGAACCACTCCTGGATCAGCACCTCCTCCTGCAGCTTGTTGGCACCTGCATTGGACAGGGACAGTCACCAGGCCTGCCCCCTGCCCCGTGTCAGGGTAGGGCAGCTGGGGGTTGGGGGAGGGGGTTTGCTCCCTTGTGACATCCCAGAAGCCAGAACTGTGTGCCTCGAGGAAGCCACTTCAGGGCCTCAGCATGCCTGGCTGTAAAATGGGAACGCTGATGCCAGCCGTGCCTCCTCCCAGCTCCTCCCAAGGTCAGGAACAGCTGCAGGGCTGGACAGACCTAGTGGCATGTGTTGGGGAAGGGATCCCTAGATGTATGCCCCACCTGACTCCATGAGGCTCCTCAGCTGCATCTCCACCTCAGCCGCCCGCCCATCTATCTGCCTCTGCTCCTGTTCCAGGGCCTGCAGCTCTGCACACACGTACTGACTTGTGTCCTGGAACCGTTGCTGGGGGTGGAAAAGGCAGAGAACAGGGTGGACTCAGCCCAGGCCCTGAATAGGTGGTGCTCACCCATCAGCTCCTCCCACTTAGCCCTCCTTACCAGCCCAGCCTCCTCCCCTGGGCTTGGGGGTGGTTCCTCCGAGGGGGAACTCCCACCTGCAGACAGAGATGATGATAAGGCACCCCCTAACCACCACCCACCCCCAGGAAGTCCCCAGTCCAGGCTTTGTGAGCAGCCTGAACTGAGATGGTCACCACTCCTGCTACTCACCAGGGGGCTGTTGAGAGTCTGCAGCTGTGGGTGGGCCTGGGGCAGGGCTGGGGTCAGGGGCCTGGCCTTCCTGTGGAAGAAGGGGCCAGTGAGGGCTGGGAGGGGTTTCCCACCAGCCTGGGCCTGGGGCCAGCCAGAGCCACTCATACAGAGGGGAGGAGGGGTCCTTGACCCCAGCTCCTGCCCGCCCCTGC
Source organism: Homo sapiens (assembly GCF_000001405.40). Classification (NCBI taxonomy): domain Eukaryota; kingdom Metazoa; phylum Chordata; class Mammalia; order Primates; family Hominidae; genus Homo; species Homo sapiens. The sequence goes on along the minus strand of NC_000011.10, from coordinate 65,589,626 downwards.
CCCTCCTCTAGTCCTGCATGCACAGAACCCCCGGGCCCACCTCCTTCCAAGAGAAATGCCTCCTCAAGCAAAGGCCACAGCCTTCATCCTTCCTGGCCCTGTGGCCCTGGGCCCATCCACACCCAGGCTCCGAGCCTCCCAATTCCCCTCCTGGGGCTGGGCTGAGCTCCGGCCTCACAGGATGAGAGCCTGTGAAGGGCCCAGCCCAGGCCTTTCCTCCCTACTCTCTTTTTTTGAGATGGAGATTCGCTCTGTCGCCCTGGCTGGAGTGCAGTGGCAGGATCATGGCTCACTGCAACCTCCACCTCCTGGTTCAGGTGATTCTCCTGCCTCAGCCTCCCAAGTAGCCACCCGCCATCACGCCCAGCTAATTTTTGTATTTTTAGTAGAGACGGGGTTTCACCATGTTGGCCAGGCTGGTCTCGAACTCCTGACCTCAGGTGATCTGCTCACTTTGGCCTCCCAAAGTGCTGGGATTACAGGTGTGAGCCACCACGCCCGGCCTCGACTCCTCTTCCATGGAATTCCCTCAGGCCACCTCTGACTTCTGTCACCTAGTGCTGGCTTCTCCGTCATGGCCAGGGCCCCATGCAGTGACCATTGCACTGCCCCACATGGCCCCATCCGTGTGACCCAGCCCAGCCCTGCCTCCTGCAGAGGCCCCACCAGGCTCCCTCCCCTTCTGTCCTCAGGGCTCCCCAGACCTGGACCCTCCTGAGCCAGCACCTCCACCTCCTGGCCAAAAGGGGGTGCCCTGCTGCCTTTTCAGTTCCCACACCCAGGAGCGGCTGCTGCATGCTCACACACACAGGACAAGCCAGGCTGGCTGGATCTTTGAATTTTAGCTTGGAAGGGCAGGGCTGACCCCATGTACCTGCCCGCCCCTAGTGACTTGTTGGGACTGTCAGCCCTGGGGGTCCCCAACTTTCGACTCAGCTGATAGCCTGGCCCCTCAACTGCTCCTGCCCTGGCCCCCCACATCTGGGTCATCTGACCTGTGTCGGGGTCATGGGGCAGGGACAGTGGTTGACCTGCCCGTGTCCACTCCCACCTGTACCTCTCTCAGAGGCAGCCCTGGACATCCCTGGCTCAGAGGCAATCCTCTCTGGCCTGGGGCAGTGGTGACTTCCCCACCAGCCACCACCATGGCCTGCCTGCTGACTCAAGCTGAAACTGAGAGGCCTCTCTGACACCTTCACCCCCGGTGTAACTGTTTCACATCTCTCCTCAGCCCCCCAGCCTCATGCCAAAGCCTCAGGCGGCCCCAGCCTCAATGTTCCTACCACCCTGAGCCACGCCTAGACACCGCCCCCTGGCCACAGTGGCCGACTTTCAGTTCCCAAAATAGCTTTCTCAGCCTGGAGTCAGCTTCCATCTTGGGCTGCCTGGTACCAACGTGACCTCCACGACCCAGCCCAGCCCTACTTCCTCCAGAGACCCCCCTGCCGGGGCCCCCACACTCTTCCCGCCTCCCTCCCTGACTTCCATGTCTCCAGAAGCCTCCTCTGATCCCCAGGCTGGGCAGATGCTGCTCCCATGGCCTCCCCCATCACAGCTCCAACCCCCACTCACCCCGTCACAGCTGCTGGTTTCCCATGTCTCCCCCTTATACAGAGCTGGGCCCAAAAAATACAGTCAAGGTACACTGACTAATAACAGCAGCTAATATCTACCAAGTGTTTCTGTGCCGGGCACTTAAAGCACTTTATGTGCACTGACTCACTGAATCCTCCCAACAGCCCTGTGAGGCAGGGACCACGACCCTCCCCACTTTACAGATGAGGAAACTGAGGGTCAGAGATGAGGCTCCTAAAGGGTCTGGTCTAGGGCCCAGGGTTGTCTAACCCAGCAGTTTGTTCCCAAGCTTGGCCACCAACTTGCTGTGTGCCTTGGGGCCAGTCACACCCTTGGGGCCTCTGTTTGTGTCCTTGTATGTAAAATGGGAGAAAGCCCAGCCCTGTGTGACCTGGGAGCTGCAGGGCTTCTAGAAAGGAATCTAGGGAAACACACATCTCCCCTTTTTTGACAGCAACTTGCAGGGGGCCTCAATGCCACCTTGCAAAATGCTTTCATACACACCCTAAGAGTCCATGGGCAGGCCAGGCACATAAAGAGTGCTGAGCTGACGGGACAGGCAGAAGCAGGAGAGTGGAGAAATCCAGCCTCAGCAGCGCAGAGCTTCCGCATGCCAGGCCTCGTGGGAATTCCAGTGCTTCCTCATGTCTAACTCAAATTCCTCTTTTTTTTTTTTTTTTGAGACGGAGTCTTGCTCTGTTGCCAGGCTGGAGTGCAGTGGCACAATCTCGGCTCACTGAGACCTCCGCCTCCGGGGTTCAAACAATTCCCCTGCCTCAGCCTCCTGAGTAGCTGGGACTACAGGCCTGTACCACCATGCCCGGCTAATTTTTTGTATTTTATTAGAGACGGGGTTTCACCATGTTGGCCAGGATGGTCTTGATCTCCTGACCTCGTGATCTGCCCACCTCTGCCTCCCAAAGTGCTGGGATTACAAGTATGAGCCACGGTGCCCGGCCTCAAATTCCTCTTTCAATACCCTCATGCCTGGCCCCTCCTCCAGGAAGACCAGGACTTTGGGAGCTCCCAAGGGCCGGGCCAGGCCAGACCACCTCCCACTGCACACAATGGGCATGGGGGAGGGGGGTGGCCAATGAGGAGTCCCCTCCAGCCCTATGGGTCAGATATCTCCTGTGAGACAAGAGCTGGGGGAAGGCCTGACTTGGAAACACCAGATGCTGGAACTTGGGCCCAGAGGGGGCACCTCCCCTTTAAGATTTAAAGAGCCACTGACACACATTAATGAGGCCAACAGATGGGCCAAAGCTGGCCTTGTCCTCTTGACTCCTGCGTATCACATCTTCCACAGGTGGGTGTCACCCATGCCCTCTGTCTCTCACTCACAGGCTCAATGCTTGTGCCTCTGACCCTACACCCAGGACTCCTGCTCTCAGCCTGGCCTCATTGCCACTTATGGACCTTCCGGGAGATGGCTGGCAGTTCCCTAAACGAGGCCTAAACTTTCCTGCTGCCACATTTTTGCTAATGCAGTTCCCACCATTTGAGAACCCCACTCATTTTTCACCTGGGAAAAACCTGGCCATCTTATCAACCTAGCTCAAATGGTGGCTTCTTCCAGAAAGACTTTCCCAATGAATTCACTCCTTTCCTTCAAATGCAGGGGTCATTCCTGGACAGCTGAAGGTTTGCAGCAGCCTGGCAGAGCTGCCCCTTGGTTGACAGGCAGGATGGGGCAGTGCTGGGACTCCAGCTGGAAAGCCCGTGTCCTGGACTCCAGCAGCTGTGGGTCACTGAGCAAATCCCTGCTCTTTCTGGGACCATGTCCCCTTCAGCACAGTGACACGACACTCTAGGAGATGACCTACAACCCATAGGGGATGACAGCAGGGACACGGGCCCTCACGATCTCACATCTCCAACCTTCCATTGTAAGAAAAGAGGAGACTGGTCTCCAGCATCTGGGGTTAAAGATGTACGCCAGAGTCCTGGGGCTGGGAGGCCCTGGAGAATCCCCCTTGAGTACAGATAGTCTGCACCCAGCTCATGGGGCAGGGTGGCTGCTGGTTAACGATGAGCCACCTGCAGGGAAAGAAATGCCCAAACCCACCTTCCAGCCTACCAAGCACTGGGCAGAGTGCCAGGAACGTGGATGCTCCGGGAACTTCTGCAGCCTGATTCCCCACACCAAGTGCCAAGCACTAAAAACCCTCAGCACTTATCCCAGGCTGGCCGCAAAGCTGGGGACCCTGCCTGGTGGGCCTTGGCTCAAATGCGTCCCCTAATGAGGAGCTCACTACCACACCAGAGGACTCTTCCACAGCACCAGGGTCCCTCTGATCAGATAGCCCCTCCTGGGTCCAGCCGAGCCCCGCCACTCTGAAACCGTCACCCTCGCGCCAGCTCTGTCCTTGGGGCCCCTTGGGGGCTCGCCCGTTCTCTGCCCATCTTCCCGGGACCCCGCGCTGCGGCGGGGGAAGAAAGAAGGACCTTGACACTCACTGCAGCCGCAGCTCCCATGGCTCCCGCGTCCGGATCGTCCATCGAGAACGAGCTGCTGTTCCGCAGCCGCGAGCGCCTCTTCTTGAGCAGGTCCGCGTCGCGCACGTGGGAGAAGGAGCCGTGCGCGCGGGGCGGGGGCACCGACCCGGGCTCCCCGTTGACCGAGGGCCGTCGCAGCCTCACGCCGCCGCCGCCCGGTGCCCCCGCCCCGTTCACCAGCCCCTCGGCCGGGACCTCCGCGGGTCGCGACTCTCGGGGGGCCTCGGCCCCGCCGTCCTTGGAGGCGCGGCCCGCGACCGCGTTCCTGGAGGCCACCCCCGGGGCCGCCCCGTCTGCGCGGTCTGCGGCCTCCTTGGGCTCCTGGGGCCCCTCGGCCCCGTGACCGCGCAGCCGCTGCGCCAGGCCTCCGGCGTCCAGGTCGTCGGGCGGGCTGGGCTGGGCGCTGCCCACGCGGTACGTGCCGGCGCCGCCGCCGCCCTCCAGTTGTACCAGCTGCAGCTCCTGCCCGGTGCAGAAGGCGCGGATCTGGCACAGGTACGTCATGACGATGAGCTTGTCGGGCACCGACAGTAGCACCATGTCCGCGGGCTCCAGCAGCCGCGACACGCCCAGAGCCGCGAAGCCATCGAAGGCCTAGGGGAAGGGTGCACTCGGGGTCAGCGGCGGCGGTGGCCCGCGCCACCCGGCAACGCTGCAGTGCCGCCCCACGGAGGGGGTCCCCGGGATTGGCACCCCGGGTTTTGCCTAGCAACACCGCCCCCTCCTAGCGAGGGAAATCCAGCAACAAGGCCCGCCCTCGCGTTGCTTAGCAACGGCACACCGTCCACCCCGTTACCAAAGGGTGGTTTTGGAAAAACCATCTAAGGGAGGAAAAACGCTTTAAAACAAACAAACGAAAATAAGGAAAACAAACAATTTAATGACCAAAGGGGTAAAAAGTGGCAGAACTTCCAGAAGCCACTGCTGGGCCCGGCAGTCCACTTTCTCCAAATCTGACACTGAGAGCCTGGCTCTCCAGACCCTCCTTCCCTCCAGGCAGTCCCCCACCCCATCTCACCTGCTTGTTGTTCTGCTTGATGTTGAGTGGGTCTAGCGAGGCATAGTCACTGCAGAGAGTGTGCTGGTCAGAGGCTGGGTCCACACTGCCCTCCCTGATGGCTCCCCCATTCGTTCCCACCCCTCTGGCAGCTCACATCTTGTCTGGGTAGAATCGGTGCAGGATGGCACAGAAGGCCAAGCCGTTGCGCCAGGATGTGGTGAAGTTGGTGATGCGGACGCCACGGTAGCCAGTGGTGACTTCCTGGCACCACTCCAGCAGGGACTGGCTGGAGCTGACCAGGGCAGGTGGTGCCTGAGGACACAGGGGTGGGCTTAGGGAATGTATAAATGGGATGTATGCCCTCTGCCTCTTGGGGAAGCTCATGCCTGGCACACAACAGCCCCATCTCTGAGCTTGCAGGGGTCACCAGAGACCACTGGCTAGAGCCTTGGGGCCAGGTAAAAGGGTTTCTAGATCCAGGGTTATCTGCCAAGGTCACCTAAAAGGTCAGTGGCCCCCAGACAAGATCAGAGGTCACCAGCAGCCACACCTCAAAGTCAGCCCAGAAAATCAGCTTAGAGGTGTCCAGCTCCATGCGGCCCAGGGAAGATGGGGTAAGAGAGCCAGGGCATCCTGAGAGAGGAGGGGATGAGGGGGCTCCTTCAAGCTGAGCCCCCCACCCCACCCGATCCCATTCCACCAGGTGGGTCCATGCAGAGCCGCCGTTCGCTCAGCCCCAGGTTAGTGGGAAGCAGCAGACTGGGCCCTCGGCGGCCCCCATCCCTACCTGGCTGCCCGGCAGCCTCCTGTCCTCTTCAGCCTTCTCTGGGGAAGAGGCCCTGGGCGCCCCAGCCCCTGCCCCACTGGCCACCTGTGCTTCAGGCAGGCTGGCCTCTGTGAGGCTTCCCTCAGCTTCTTTCCCCTTCTCATTTCCCAAGACCCCAGCCTCCGCTTCCTGGGCCTTAAAAGTACCAGATTTGTTCTCTGGAGACTCTAAAACCTTCATCTCTGCTTCCTGGGCCCCCCAAGCCCCAGATTTGCCCTCTGACATCCCCCAAACCCCAGCCTCTGCCTCCTGGACTCTCAGAACTTGAGTCTCTGACCCTTGTACTCCTGAAATCTCTGCTTTTGCTTCCTGGGATCCTAAAACTCTTGGCTGAGTGACTGGGGCCCTTAAAGCCTCATATTTGAGAGCACTCCCAACTCTAGTCTCTGCTTCCTGGACCCCCGAAGTCTGAGCCTCTTCCTTCTCAGCCTCTGGAACTATAATTTCTGTCTTACGGGTCATCAGTACTCGGGCCTCTGCCATTCCAGCCTCGGGCCCTGAGATCCCTGAACCCCCGACCTCTGTCTCCTGGGCCCCAGCTACCTCAGATTCTAGCCCTGGGACCCCTGAACTCCTAGATGCTATCTCTTGGGTCCCCAATATCTCAGTTTCTGCTGTCCCAGTCGCTATCTCTGGAACCTCTGAACCCCCAACCTCTTTCACCTGGATCCCTGTTGTATCAGCTTCTAACCCTGGGACCCCTGAATCCCTAGATGCTATCTCTTGGGTCCCCAATATCGCACCTTCTGCTGCCCCAGTCTCTATTCCCAGAACCCCCAAAAGTCCCACCTCTATCTCCTGGGCTACCAATATGTCAGACTCTGCTATCTCTGCTTCTATCTCTCTGACCCCTGAATCCCTAGCTGTTATCTCCTGGGTCCCTAATATTTTAGCTTCTGTCCCCTCAGCCTCTGACTCTGGTACCCTAGAAGCTTCCACCTCTGTCTCCTGGGTCCCCAGCATCTCAGACTGTATTGTATCTTCTATCTTCAGTGGCCCTAAATCCCCAGATATCTCCTGGGTCACCAGTACCTCAGTCTCTGCTATCGTAGTTCTTGTCTGCAAAACTCCTGAACCCCCAGCTTCTGTTTTCTGGGTCCCCAATACCTCAGTCTCTGTCCCTGGGGTCTCTATGACCCCCACCTCTGTTTCCTGGGTCTCCAGTCCCTCACACTGTGCTGTCCCAGCAACCTCTGACTCCAGGACCCTTGATCTTGCTGCTTCTTTCTCCAAGGCCCCCAATATCTCAATTTCTAGTGTCCTAGTCTCTGGGAACCCTGACCCCTCAACTTCTTTCTCCTGGGTTCCCAGCACCTCCAACCCTACCACCTCAGTCTCTGTTTCCAGGTCCCCTGAACCCCCAGCTTCTGCCTCCCAGCCTCCCAGACCCCTGGATATTGCCCCCTGGGCAGTTGATAACAGGGCCCCCTGCCAGCTGCTCACCTGGGGCCTGGTGCTTATTGCTCCAACAGAAGGGCCCTGCTCCAGGCCTGTCCCCTCAATACCAGGTGCTCCACCCCTCACTTCTGCACCCTCTCTCTCCTGGCCTGCAGCAGCCCTGGCCCCCTCGAGGTCACCAAGTTGCCCAGAGTGCCCTGCAGGCTCCGCTGGGGGCAGGCTCAGGCCTGAGGGAGCCTCATCCCTGGTCCTGACTCCCAGCCTCCCCTGAGAGCCCCTTGGAGGAGCCTCAGGGGTCCCCCTGCATCTTGCCTCAGGCATCACCCCTGTCGCCTCTGGTCCCTTAGTGTCCACATGTCTCACCTTTGACCTCTGCTCAGCATCCACTTGACAAACTGCTGAACTCTCTTCAGCCTCCCCAGCTCTGACTCCTGACCTCTTAGTGTTTGCCTCTCTGCCTCCTGACCTTGGCTCAGTGTCCACCCCACTGGCCTCTGGCCTGTCCTCAGTGTCCATCTCTTCAGCCTTGAGTCTCTGCCTTCCAAAAGGGTCTCCAGAACCTTTATCCTCAATGCTCGGGCCCAGCCTAGCTCCATGGGCTTCTGTCCCTTCCTGAGGGCATGCCTGGGCCTGGGTCTCCCTAGCAGAGCCCAATCCTGCTGGAGGAGCCCCTGAGGCTTTGGGGACCTCATCTTCCCCCTGGGGGACTGGGGGCCGGAGGGCATCAGAGCCTTTCCGGAGCCGAGGGGCTGGGGTGGGGGCCGTGTCCTGGGCTGGCTGCCTTGAAGACCTGAGAAGAGAGCAGGAGGGGGAGTTGGGGGGCTGCTTTGGCCCCAACTCTCAGCACCATCCGCCACCCTTCAGACTGTTGGGGCCCTGGAGGCAGGTTGGTGGGGGTGAGGACTGCAGCTCCTATCAGGGGGCAATGGGGGGTGAGGCTGGTTCCAAAGCTCACCTCATCTCTGGTGAGGTTTCCGGGGGCCTTGGGGCCTCAGGGCCTACCTGGCCCCCCGCTTCATTAGCTCGTTCTGACCCCTGGCCTCGGGAGGTTCTGGCTGGGGGTGCAGGAGCACTCACAGGGGCTGGGCTGGTATCCTCAGCATTAGAAGGGCTGGCAACTGAGAAGAAAGAGGGGGACACTGTGGCCTGGGCCCAGTGACCTGGGGTCCAGTCTCCACCCCCAACCCCAGCCTGGGTCTCACCTGCCTGCTGGGGTCGTCCTTGGCCTTCCTCCTCCTCCTCACAAAGCGTCTTCAGCTCTCGAGAGGGATCTGGGAATGGTAGGAGAGGGGAGAAGGGCAGAGTCAGCCCAGGGCAGGGCCCCACAGGCCTGACCCCCTCCCCCAACTACAGTGCAGGTCCTACCTGGGAAACGCCCTGGCCTCAGGGCACCGCCCCGGCCTGCGAGAAGAGACAGGCCCACAGATGTGGAGAGAAAGAGAGAGAGAACCTCAACAGTGGACAGAGAAAAAGCCTGGACAAGCAGCAGGGAGGAATGAGGAAGCCCCAGCTGGCCCAGGAGGGCTGGTGGTGAGGGATCAGGAGCCGGGCTTCTGACCCAGCTGTCCTGGGTCAGGTACGGGCCTGGCAAGCACCACAAAGGGATGAGGAGAGGACCCAGGAGCCCAGCGAGACATTGGGAACCCATCCTCCAGGACTCAGCTGAAGACCAAGGCTATCGTGGGACCAGCAGCCAGGTTGGGACAATTGAGGCTGCTGGGTTGGTTGGGACTGCCTGGGCAGTAATGAGTTCCCATCACAGGGCGGGCACAGCAAGTGGCTGGTGGCCCGGGTAACCCTCCCTCCCCAGGTCTTGGCAGTCTCGATCCACAGCAGGCTGTGAGCCCACCTGGCTGGGGGACTCGAGCCCGGGCCTCCGGGGCTCCTGGGCCATGAGCCTCATCTTCATCACTCTCAGCAAAGTCATCCAAGTTGCCCACATCACTAGGCTTCACACTCATGAGGCTTGCGAGACTCTGCATGTCATCGTCCCTGGGAGGCAGAGGTTAAAGGTGAGGGTGGAGTCAGAGGTCACAGGCCAGGATCAAGGAGGGCAGGTAGGCACTCACGTGGCACGGCCCTCCCGCAGCAGCACCCCGGAAAGAGTGAGGCTCAGCTCAGCCTGCACCACCTTCACTGACTTTGGCTTCAGCCGCAGCCTCACTGGGACTTGGACAGGCACGGGCCCTGCATGGCGGGCCAGGTCCACCTCGGCCGTGGCCAGCACCTTCCGCTGCCCCTTAGACTCCTGTGGGCCAGGGGAGAGACCAGGAGAAGGGGCATCAGTGCTGTCCCAGGGTCCCCAAGATTCCAGACCTGAGCCCACTCCAGACACTCACATTTTCAATAATAAATGTCCACTCTTTGGCCTCATACTGGTCCACGTGGGGGTCCTGGGAAGAAGGGTGCTGGTGAGTACAGGACTGTTGGGGCAGCAGCAAAGGGAGCAGAGCTTGTCTGGCTCAGGAGGTGCTTGGTAGTGGTGGCTTTTTTTTTTTTTTTGAGACGGAGTCTTCCTCTGTCGTCGAGGCTGGAGTGCAGGGGTGCGATCTCGGCTCACTGCAACCTCTGCCTCCCAGGTTCAAGCAATTCTCGTGCCTCAGCCTCCCAAGTAGCTGGGATTACAGGTGCACGCGGTGGTTGCTACCTCCTCCTGGGATGCACCCCAAGTTCTGGTCCCAGCTGCCTCTCATGCTGCATGTGTTGGGTAAATGCTGCCTCCTCCAAGGAGACCTCCTGGGCCAGTGATGCTGAGCAGGCCCCCCTAATTCTTGGCCTCACCCCCCGCATCCTCTTCTATCTGGATGAACAACCTACCAGGAGACCTGTGTTGCAATTGTTGCAACTGCCTGTGTTGCAATTGCCATCCATGCTGGAGGGCTAGAGACTCACCCTGTAGAGGGTCACAGAGATGTCCACATTCTCAGGTACCATCCACACCACGGTGCCCCGGTATGGGTTCTGGATGCCCGGCTGCCAGCTGTGGGCCTACAAGGGACAATCTGAGTCCTCCCCCCATCTTAACTCTTCCCTCCCACCTGCACCCCCTATCACCAACCTTGACACCATCTTCCCCTCCCCTCTGTGGATTCTGATCTGTGCTTGAACCTCACTCCACTCCCCCATCAGCCCCCATCAGCCTCCCACCGGCCCCCATCCCTAACCTGGATCCCCAGTTGCCATCCTTCCCCACCTTGGAGCAGATGCGTCGGTTCCGACGGGTCCATACCACCACCAGCTTATCTGGCTGCCTGGGGGAGGGGGAAGGGGAGGGAGAAAGGGAGCAGGCTGCTTGGTCAGGCTCACCTGCCTCCCCATCTCCTCTTCCTCCTCCCCCAGCTCCCTCAGGGTCTTCCTTCTGCCCACCTCCCCCTCCTCCAGAAGAGGGCCTGGGCAGCCCCTTATCTGGGGCCACAGGGTGCAGGGTGGAGCTGCTAAGGTAGGGTGGGGCCAGAGCAGAAGGGCAAAGGCCCAGACAGTGTGGGCAGGCAGGGACTATGAGGAAAGACAGCAAGTGAGAAAGGGACAGGCACATACAGAGACCAAGACACACAGAAACACAAGGACCTGGCAAGAGATGCCAGACACAGATGCACATGTGAGCATCGTGCACACACGCAGACTCCAACACAGGGAGAGACAAAGACGAGGGATAAAAGAAGTCCCTTCGCACAAAGATGTTTGTGGAGCGCCCACCATAAACCCAGCCCAGTTTTGGGGACAGAGGAGGGCAAAAGAGAGACAAGACCTTTCCGGTGAGGACAATGGAGGTGGGGGCAGACTACCAGTCAAGAAGGAAAATAAATTAACAAGCGAACTCCAGGGTGATGTGAGGGAACCCCTGGGGGTCTCCTTGAGGTTGGGTGTCTGGGCAGAGATGAGTGGCAGGGGGATGGGCTGTGTGAGGATCTGGAGAAAGAGGGAATGGCAAGTCCAAGGGTCTGCGGCTGGAGGGTGACATCAGAGAGAGGGGCAGAGAGTTGGGGGTGAGGCCGGAGAAGCAGCAGAGGGTCAGCCTGTCATTAACCAACACCGCCATCCCTCGCCCACCATGTCCAGCCCTTTGCTGGGCGCAGGGGTCCCAAGGAGGATCAGCTTTCGGCAAGATGATGACAGTGGAGCCTGGAGGGCAATCAGAAAAGACTTCCAGGGGGTGACATCTAAGCTGAACAGCATATGCCAGGTCAGACATGGAGGAGAGGCAGAGGCAAAGCCAGAGGACAGAGATGGCTGCGCAGGGCCCATTCCCAGGCACTGAGTGGACTCATGGCTGGGCCTGGGGGCAGAGGGCCCCTTGGGGTTAGATGTTCAACTGCTGCCCAGGAGGGGTGATGCTTGAGGGGACGATCCGGCCCAGGGCAGCACGCGAACTGGCCTTGCCTGTACCCAGCCCCATGCCTGCACCCTCTCGTGATGCTGGGGTTTGCCCAGCTCACTGTTCGTCTGAGGCCAAGCCAGGATAAGTGCCTCTCTGTTAACCCTGAGGATGCTGAGGCCCACAGAGGTTTGGAGCCAAACAAGTTTACACGGTTGAGCCTAGAGCCCTCCAACCCAGAGCCAAGTTCCCTTCCCCAAGCCCAAATTGCCAGCGATGGCAGAGCAAGGGTAACTAAGGGGCCTTCCCAGAAAGGGGAAGCGGACAGGGGGTGCCTAGGGAGGGCAGGGCTTGGCTGGGCAGCCTGACTCAGGCTGGGCACGCCCTCCTGGGAAGCTGCAACCTGGGCAGGGGCAGCTTCCCGGCCTGGGCTCCAGGCTAAGCAGCCCAGGAGGCCCTACCCACAGCCGCCTGTGACTCAGCTGCGTTGACACTGCCGGCACCCTCAGCCTGCTGTGCCCAGTGTTTCCCTGGCCTCCCGCAGGATGCTGGAGCAGGAGCCAGAGGCCAGAGTTCAAGTGCCAGCCCCCAAGCTCTCCCAGGCTCTGCTGAAAGATGTGAATGGCCCTCTAGCAGGCCCAGTGTGGGCAAGGCCAAGGATATGGCAGCTGCCCAAGGGACCCCAGCCTCCTGCTTACTCCCCTCCCCCTGGACCCCATGGTCCCTTCCTGCCCCAGCCCTTCCCCTGGGGAGCCTAAATTTAGCCCCGCCTGGCGGGTGAGGCCCCCACAGCTGTGCCCTAATCCAGCCAAGGGAAGCTGACACCAGCAAGCACGTATATTTAGGGTGTGACGCAGGGGCCTGGGCAGCTATGGGTGGCGGCATGTGAACGAGATGCCCCTGAACCTGTTGGTAGTCCAGGCTGGGGCCTGCACCCTCTGGTGAATCACCCCTCACCCTGCCACCTTGCCCTCCGCAACCCTCTCCTCCCGGACCCACAACCTCCTAGGTCCTCAGGCCCCTTTAAGCTGCTCCCCGCCTCCCTCCTCAATCCTCCCAGCACTCAGTTTCCCCTTTTAAGGACATTGTGGAGATGTTTCCAGCCTCCCAGCACTCTGGCTGAAGAGGCGGGAGTTGGAGGGGTTCTTCTGGCTCAACAAGATGGCAGGGGAGGAGGGGGCAACATCTCTGTTCTTAGCTGGACTAAGTAAGGTCAGGGAGGCTCCTGCCCCAGCCCTAGCCACCTGCAGACCTCAAAACTTGATCCCTTTTCCAATGCCACCCTGAACCACCTTTCTGGCACAAGACATGCGGCCTCCCTCCCCCAGCCCTGACCGCAGCTGAGGAAGGAGTGGACACAGGCAGAACCTCAGGCCTGAAAGTCCTGACCCCCGCGCAGGGAAGGCTGCCCACGCCCCCAACTCCAGGGGTCCCACAAATTGCAAGGGCACTTCTGAATCTCCGAGCCTGGGAACGGAACCAGGGCCCAAGCTGGGGTGGGGGCCCATTTGGTCATTGGGCTGGGGGGGCAGAGTCCTCTCAGGCTCAAAGGGCCGGATGAGGTCCCAGCAAGTTCGGGGGAGCCCCCCCGCCTCCCTCCCACTCACCATTTCTTGGTGCACTCCAACACTAGCTCGTGGTAACAGGCCACGAACTGGAACTTGGCCGCCCGCTTGCCCACGCGCTGCAGGCGCTTCCACACCGAGGTCATGGCCCCCGCCACCCCGCCGCCCACTTCTCAGGCCCGGGGCTCCCGCTGGCCCGCCACCGCTGGCCCGGCCCGGGTCCCCATGGCCTGTCCGCGCCGCCCGCCCCGTCCGTGCGGAGGTGTCCCAGGCTCCGACCCGGGACCGCGCTCTCCGCTGCCGCCGCTGGGGCCCGCAGGGTGGTCTGGCTGAGTCTGCGGGGTCGCCTGGGGCGCGTCGGGTGGCGAGCGCGGAGCTGGGAGCGCGCCGTTTCCTGGAGCCGCACCCCCGTCGGAAGGCGGGCGGGGCTCCGGCGCGGGGCGGGGGCCGGGGCAGGAGCGCGGGGGCGGGGCGACCCGGCTTCCGGGGCCTCGCGCCGCGACCCGGGAGCGGGAGCGGGGGCGGGGGAGGGGGGCGTGGAAGGGGTGTCGCCCGACCGCAGTGCCCGCTCGGTGCGCGCAGAGGCTGCGTGGAGAGAGGGCAACCAGCAACTTGGTGCCACCCTAGAGAGCGCTGCCCGGGCCGCCTTCCTTCCTGCCCGCAGCCCTGGGAGGTACGTACTACTGGCCCCCTTTCAACGGCTGGGAAAACTGAGACCCAGAAAGGGGAAGGGACTTGCTCAGAGTCATACTGTGAATGTGGACGAGGACCAGCTCTCAACTCCAAGGTGCAGCCACCCACGTCTTAACCAGAGCAGGAAGGCGTCAGTAACCTCGGTGGCCCAACCTCAGAACCTGACTCTGCTGTCAAGGGGGAAGATAATCCCAAACCCCGACAAGTAGCTGGAGAATCATAACTGACCTCCAACCAAGTGTGACTTTGGGCAAAGCGCTAACACTCTGAGCCTCAGTTTCAACGTCTATTAAATGGGGATAATTGTAGTTCCGCCTTTTAGGGAATCCCTGAGAGGATGAACCTCAGAAGGCATTTAGCAGAAAGCCTGGCTGATTTTGCCATGCCTCCTTATTAAATGGGATGCGCTATAATGGATGGGGAAAACGTGTCATTTTTGTGTATGTTTACTCTCCCTCCCCAGGAAAGCCTGCCTGGAGCGTTAGCAGCTGTGAACCCCTAGATTAGAGCCCTTATCGCCTACCCACCCGCCCTGCATGGTAATGAGCCTCTGCAGGTGTCAGCTGCCCTGGGGCAATAGGTCAGTTTGTTCCTTCCCGCTGCTCTGCAAGGTGTGTAAATGGACAGGAGCCCGGTGCGTGACTGCTACTTGGTTTAACGGGATGTCTGAGTGCCAGGACTGCCATCTGGGCTGCATCTCCAGGAGGCAAATGGCTGCAGCAGGGCGCGGGGATGTGCTGTTCGTCCGCACACCTCGGTGTGCGGCTTCACCTCTTTTCAGGAGGTTGTGAGGTGTCGTGTGCGCGTGTAGGGGGCTGAGTACCCACTGTCTCCGAACGTGCTGGCTTCTTCCGGTGGGCTTGACAACTGGGTTTGGTTCTCAGTCCCAGCGGTGTGGGTCCCCGGTTTCCTAAGAAACCTTCCACAGATAACTGTAAAGACCGCTAGTGCTGTGGGGAGAGCCGGCGGTCTTCACAGACTGAGCGGGGAATACGGGTCCCTGGAACCCCAATCAAACTTCACCGCCGCGGAGTCTCATGCTTGGCCTCCGGGAAGGCCCGAGGTGCCGCGACTTCACTCCCCTCGGCCTCTGCCACCCCTCCCTCCCACCCGCGGGGCGTGAGGTCCCAGGCCGTTCCCGGAGGCGCCTCCCCCGCCCCCGCCGGGGCCCCTTGCTCCGGCGACTCCGGCCACCCATTTCCTGCGCCGCCTCAACCCCGCCCCGCGCGGGGTGGAAAGTTTCCCTCCTCAAGGTGGGCGGCTCCTTCTCCTTCCTTCCCGGCAGGCAGGGAAAGCCCGAAGCGAACTGGGAGGAGGGAGCGGGGGACTCGGAGGTCGCGGGCGAGAGAGGGGAAGTGACTCGACCGCAGTCACCCGGCGGCTGAGCCAGGCTCGGCCAGCAGGCAGCGCCCCCAGCCCCGCCCCGGCGGGACGGCAGGGCCTTCACTCGGCGCGGGGCGGGGGGGGAGGGGGTCTCGGGCGCCACCTGCTGGCAGAGCGCGGGGCCGCACCTGCCACAAACACCGCGGTCTTCCCGCCCCAGAGCCAGCCAGGCAGAGCACAACGACGCTGAGTGTATTTATTTATCTACGCGCCCTGGAGACCGGCCCCTAAATTTAAATATCCAGCACGGGGCCTTGGCCCTCCTGGCCGTGGGTGGTTATTGGGACGGGTCCTGGAGCCCTTCCAGGGCAGAGGAACCCAGAGCCCGGAGGTGGGATGCCCCTGAGCCAGCAGCTGCCGATAGCAACAAAAGGTGAGGAGGAGATGGGAGCCAGGCACTCATCCCAATCCCAGAGACGCCAAGCGGAAGGGAAGATGCTTCGGGCCCCACCGCAAGGCTGAGGGTTGGCCAAGCTGGGGGTGCACACATGTGGAAGAACTGGAGGCCCAGTGCCATGAGCAGAGGCTGTACCCTAGATGCCCGCCCCAGTGCCAGCCAACCCAAGACAGGAGAAAGAGTTTGGCAGTTTCGCCTCTGAGGAATACATGCCTGGCCCTCCTGTGAGGTGAGGCGGTAGGGGGGAAGGCGCAGGCTCCGAAGTCTGAGGGCTTGCCGGAGGGGGAGTTTCTGAGCCTTTTGCATGGGTGCATGCCCCCTGCCCCCCAGCCCTTCAGAGGCTGATGTGGAAGGCATCCTGCAGCCACTGGTCACGGGCATTGTGCGTCTGGGGCACAGTAAGGGGTGGCGGGTCAGGAGGCAGGCTGGCATCGGGAGGCTCCTCGTCGTCAGACAGGCCCGCATCCGGTGGGTAGGAGCTGTCCGAATGGAGGGAGGATGACAGGTCCTGGCAGAAGCTCAGGTCTTGGCACAGGTGTTTGTAGTCCTGGATTGACTCGTACAGGCCCCACAGCTGGCACAACAAGGACATGTCCAACTGCCGCAGCCCCACCTGCAGACAACTGAGGGTGGGCTGGAGTTGGGGTCCAGGCCACCCCAGCCCAGCCCCGCCCCCTGGAATAGTGGGCCCCAGCCCATCTTCCCCGCACCTTCCTAAACGAAGTTTTTGTGGACATCAGGCACCACCTGCAAGCTATGCAACTTTAGTCATGACCCTCACCCAAAAAATGGGGTTATCCATTTAGCCGGATGAAATGAAGTAACGTCAGCAAAACATTTGAAAATATATGGTAACTACTGCCATAATTGGTAACTATCACTAATTATTGTTACCATAACCCTTGCAACCCAACTGGTGCCTGCAAGTCCTCTGAGACCCAGGCCGCCTGTCCCAGTCCCCTGCGTTCCTCCGCGTCAGCCCCCCGCCCAGCTGGCCCGGCGCCCACCCACTCACCATCTCCTTGCGCAGCGCGGCCAGCGCTGAGTCGAGGTTGACAGGACGACGCGGGCCGGCTGCGGGTCCCGCGTTGGCGGCGCCGGCGGCGTGGCGGGGCCCGTCCGGGGCGCGGGCGGCGCGGCTCAGCTCGTCGTGGATGCGGCTGCGCTGGCTGTAGACGCGCTCCAGCTCCCGCCACGAGCCCCCGCTCGCATTAAGGAGGCCGCTGAGGCCGCGCGGCAGCGGTGGGAGCCCGGCCAAAGCGCAGCCCGCCCCGCCCGGCGCCTCTGCCGAGGGCAGCCCGTTCATGGCCGGGGCCGGCGCGGACGGCGATGCCACCTCCTTCCCTCCAACGCTCCGCCCGGGCCGCCGCCCGCAGGCCCCGCACCCCGCGGCCCCGCCGGAGCCCAGCCGCCGCCCGCAGGCCTCGCTTTGTTCCTTCCCCAGCTCCTCAGACTCCGCCTCTGCCCCACCCCCTCTGGATGGGCCGGGCCTCTCTTAAAAAGGCAACGGTTGTGGGACCACGTCGCGCAAAGCTGAGAAAAGGCAACGGGACATCCACTCACTCAAGGGGAGATGGAAAAATGCGGCGGAGGGGGGAAAAGGCTGAAGGGGGCAGGCGTGGTTTCTTCACGGTTCTTTTTGCTACCCCGTCTCCCCGCCGCGCCCCGCCCCGCCCCCACACCCAAGGAAAATGATCTAACAGTGGAGTCAGGAGACTGGCAAGTCCACACTTGGTGCCTAACGTGCCACCTGACGCTGGGGTCACCACAAACTCCTGTCGGTGTCTGAGTACCTGGGGTGGGCATGAGATGGGATAGGCTGATAGGGTCAGGATGCTCAGGGGAAGGAGGGGAATCTATCAAGGGGATCGGAACACAAAACCTCACTTCCAGGTGGGGAATGGACACCAGATGGCGGAAGAGGCTGCAGAGGTGCTGCCAGAGACAAGGCTAGGGTCCACCCCTCTGGCTGCTACCTTTGAAAAGGCTATGGCTTCTTCCTTAGAAAAGGGGCATCACATAGTCCTCTACCTACTCCCTCATCCTGACTGGGGAAACTGAGAAGAAACAAGCTCAACTCATCTCAGGGCGTCAAGGAGAGCAGAGTGGAGAGGTGAAGAGGCCAAAAGCTGGAAAAAGGTGAGTGGAGCTGGGGCTGGCATGCACACTTGGAACCAGGAAAAAAACAAACCACACAGAGGAACAGCTGTTTTTCTAGAGGGTTTTTCTCAGGGGCTTCTCTTAGTGCTGTAGCTGCTGCAGGCTGCGCAGGGCCTCCGCACATGCGCGGATAAGGCCACACAGCTGGATGCTAGTCTCCAGGGAGGTGCTAGAGCCCAGTTCAGCAGAGGCCCAGGTCAGCTTCTGCAAGAGGGCTGTCTGTGTGCAGGCCATGACATCTGTATTTGGAGGCACAGCAGGAGCAGGTGGCCCCTGGGCTGCCTTGAGTCCTGCTGCAGCTCCCTCACAGTGCTCCGGACGAGGTACTGGGGGCTGGGGCGCAGGTCGAGAGCCCAGGGGGAGCTCTGAGGCTGAGGCCAGCTGGTGCTCCCGAGCTTGGGAGAGGGCAGCCTGGGCATTCAGAGCTAAAAAGAGGAGAAAGTGGGTGGAATGGTCAGGATGCCTGGCCCACCTCAGCCCTGAGCCATCTCCTTTTCTGCTCTGCTCTTTCTGTGCTTGAGGTGTTTTCCCTGTCCCTCTATAAGGCAACTCATCCACTTTCTACTTTGTATCACATTTATGCCCTAGCTTCAATTCTCCATCAGTACTGGGCCTGGTTGAGCTCAGACTCTCGCGCAGTGGCTGGCACACAGGAGGTGCTTGGTGCTCTTATTGAGTTAAGGGTCCTCTTTAGAGCCTAAAGGAGAAATAATTTTACTTCTACCCCACCCAGAGACTCCACTGTCACCTCTCAGCCCTACTGTTCTCGGGCCTCTATCACCACTTAACCACGCTTCCCCCCTAAGCATATCCGGCCCCTCTCCCGGATTATTTTTTACTCTTACCGGGATTATCTTTATCCACGTCTGAGTCGAGTTCCTGACAAGCCACGCAGTAGATTTTCCGCTGTTTGTCTTGGAGGAGGATCGTCTACGGACCAAAAAGCACACGGGGCCGGAATGAGACGCCGGCAATGGGGTCCAGAGGGGAGGGCCGGGGAAGGGCTGAGTGGCCTGGCCCGCGGACCCATCCCCGGTCACTCGCCCGAGTCTCGCCTCACCCCGCAGTCCGCACACGTCTCGCCCAGCATGCGGTAACCGCGCAGCAGATAGTCGCCCATGAGCCGGGAGATGCGATCTTGCCGCTCCCGTCGCGCCTGCAGCACCTTCGTCTCCGCCTCAGTCGGGGGCTCCCAGGAGAAGTCGTCGACTTCTGGGGAAGAGAGGCATAGGGACTGGGGGTCTTGCCGGAGTGGGCTGCCTCCCGTACCTCACAGCCACAAACCCCTGCCGCCCAGGTCCTCACCAGCTCCGTTCAGGGCCATGTTGCCGTTGTCACCGCCGGGCTCACAGGAAGTGACGTCAAAGCGGAGCGCCCTCCGCTGCGGCTCCGCCCGTTCCATAGCTGCCGCGGATCAGGGCGGACGTGACGCCTTAGCGTGGTCCTCAGACCTCGCTGTGCCCGGGGTGGGGCGTGTCGGCTGCTACCGAGAACCTGCTCGGGGGACGCGTCCGTCAACCGGAATCCAGGGGACAGAAGCTTCCGACGCGCGAGGCCTCGGGAGGAGCGTCTCCTTGGTAACTCTCCTCCGGTCGCAAGACCTGGAAGTGGCCTCAGGGGGTCGCCCTTCCTGTCCGTCGTGGATGAAGGGGACCACTTGGCTTCAGAAATCCCCGCTGGCCTCCGCCTCCCCTGGGGTTTCCCTTTCGGCGCAGGCGGGGCAGCGGCGTCATCACAACCATCGCCACCCCAGTAATCACAGCGAGCGGCCCTTTGCGCACGCGTGGAGCCTTCTCAGGCCTCAGTACTTCTCACTTCGCCCGGCAAGGCTGGCCAGGAGGGGTGCATTCTCCCTTTCCGCGTATTTCAAGACCACTCCCCTTCTGCATGCTCGGTGTCCCAGTCTGTCTCCTCGCTGCCTCCCGAGGCCTGGAACTGAAGCAAAGTTCGCCCCGAAGCCGACCGTTCTTTGAAGTTGAAATCCTCAAAAAGCCTGCAGACTGAATAGCGCTGTACTGGGCACGCGCATTGCGCTTCCAGCCGCCCTTGGGTGCTGCGTGCTGGGCCGGGTCGGGTTGGGGCCTTCCTACATACTCTTGCGACCATTAGGCTCTTCTTGGGTGAGTTGCAAGTTAAAATTACCAGGGCTCTCTGAACATGGACCTTGGTGCTTTTTTTCTCTCTCCCTCTTCCGTGTTCTTTTTCAAACGCATCTTCTCCCTTATTAGATTCAGAGAAGCCAGACAGGGCAGGCAGGGGTCCTCAGATGTGCAGTCTGCAGGGCCTGAGGTTGTACACCAGGGCAGTGGAAAAGCAGCTAGGACTTGGACTTTCACAGTTACATCGACATTCTCCTCTTCCGGATGGCACATGCCCCCTCAATCTGACCTGAAGTCCCTTCCTCCTGGCCCCCTCTTCCTTCCACGTAGAACCCCTGGAACTGTCATTCTTGCTGCCTCCTGCTTACGTGGAGAGCCCTGTGTCCCTTTCACATCTCCATCTACCAGTCAGGCTCTTGGGCAGCAGCGTACCTGACTTAGGGCCTGTACCACAAGTCGTTTCTATCAGGCTGAATAGAGCCACCGTTTTTTGTGTGTTTGTTTGGTTTGGTTTGTATTTTTTGTAGAGATGGGGTTTCGTCATGTTGCCCAGGCTGGTCTCCAACTCCTGGACTCAAGTGATCCTCACACCTCAGCCTCCCAAAGTGCTGGGATTACAGCGAAGAGCCACAGCACCTAGCCTGAGGCTGACTAGAGGAACTGTCTCTGAACCATCTCTTGGACTCCAGCCTGTATGCACAGACCCCCAGGTTATTACCGTCTCCAGCTCCCAGCCCTACCCTGAATTCCTCAGTGCGCCGACTATGTCACCATCATGGCCAATATCCACTCAACTGTCTATTCTGCCTCGCACCTACAAAGAGCCTTACATGAGTCCTCTCACTTAATCTCTCCAATTTACTCCTCATGACAACCTTACATATCCCCACATAAGCAGGAAACTGAATAATTATTTTAAAATACAGTGTCGTTCTTGTACTAAAAACCATCTGGCTGCCCGATACTGTGGCTCACGCCTGTAACCCCAGCACATTGGGAGGCCGAGGCGGGCAGATGTCTTGAGATCAGGAGTTCAAGACCAGCCTGGCCAACATAGTGAAACCCCTTCTCTACTAAAAATACAAAAATTAGCCAGGTGTGGTGGCGGGCGCCCGTAATCCCAGCTACTCGGGAGGCTGAACCAGGAGAATTGCTTGAACCGGGAGGCAGAAGTTGCAGTGAGCCGAGATCACACCACTGCACTCCAGCCTGGGCAACAGAGTGAGACTCTATCTAAAAAAAAAAAAAGCCATTTGGCATCTCCCATCACACTTAGACAAAAATCCAAAGTCCTTGTTATGGTCTCCAAGGTCCTATAAATCTGGTCCTTGACCCCCCAAATCCAGACAACACATAGAGAGATGCACACACATCTCCCATCCTTCCTGCATCCCTCTTCTCCCACTGCTCAAGAGGACTCTTGTCCCTTTTCTCCTCTCAGGGCCTCTCACCATCTTAAGTTCCACTGTAGGGTGGACAAGACGCAGAACTGGAATGAGGCAGGCCTGGGTTTGATCCTGGATCTATTTACTGTATCACCTGGAGTAGTTTACTTCATCGCTGTGGACTTCAATTTCTCATCTGTAAAACAGGGCCAGTAGACCAGGTGCTGTGGCTCACACCTATAATCTCAGCACTCTGGGAGGACATGCAGGAGGATTGCTTGAGACCAGCCTGGACAGCATAGTAAGAACCCATCTCTAAGAAATATATGTATTTTTTAAATTAGCTGGTGCAGTAGCATGCACTTGTAGTCCCAGCTACTCAGGAGGCTGAGTGGGAGGATTGCTCCCAGCCCAGGAGATCCAGGCTGCAGTGGGCCATGATCAGGCTTCTGCATTGCAACCTGGGTGACAGAGCGAGACCCTGACTCAAAATAAAAATGGGGCCACTTATGCCTATTTGTTGCTTGTTTGTTTTTTGAGATGGAGTCTCTGTCACCCAACCTGGAGTGAAGTGGCGCAATTCTCGGCTCACTGCCACCTCCACCTTCCAGGTTCAAGCAATTCTTGTGCCTCACCCACTGGAGTGGGATTACAGGCATGCGCCACCACAGCTGGCTAATTTTTTTTTTTTTTTTGAGACGGCATCTTGCTCTGTTGCCCAGGCTGGAGTGCAATGGTGCGATCTCGGCTCACTGCAAGCTCTGCCTCCTGGATTCACGCCATTCTCCTGCCTCAGCCTCCCAAGTAGCTGGGACTACAGGCACCTGCCACCACGCCCGATTAATTTTTTTTGCATTTTTAGTAGAGACAGGATTTCACTGTGTTAGCCACGATGGTCTCGATCTCCTGACCTCGTGATCTGCCCGTCTCGGCCTCCCAAAGTGCTGGGATTATAGGCATGAGCCACCGCGCCCAGCCAATTTTTTAAATTTTTATTTCTAGTAGAGACGGTGTTTCACCATGTTGGCCAGACTAGTCTCAAGCTCCCGACTTCAGGTGATCTGCCCACCTCAGCCTCCCAAAGTGGTAGGATTACAGGCCTGAGCCACCGCGCCAGCTTCAAAGATGTTTATCTAGGGAACAGCTATGGAAGATGGAGATAGTGTCTCCCTCCAGAGCAAAGGACAGCCATGCTTACTGGCTTTGAGTTTCCTAAGCTTAGGGTCCTCTCCCACAATGTAATTCGCTCTGTGTGCCCACACTTGCCTGAGCCCATCAGCATCACCCCCATGGGACTTAGGGTCAAAAGGAACTAACGGAAATATGCTGGTGCTCATGCTGTTTGCTGCACAGCGATCAAGTCCTTTGTCTCTGACCCAGGACTCTCCTGTATTCTGCCAGCATTCTTGAACCTGACGGGCTACCTTGGTAGCTTGCAAGTGGGTAAGATCTCAGATGCTTCACAGTCCTTGACATAGAAGGTGCTCACAGGTGTTGGTGGTAAAACCTATTCGCAGCAGTCACAGTGGACAGGCCAGTGTCTGTGGAGCAATGGGCTTGGGCTCTTTCACACCCTTCCCTTGCCGACAATATATCACACCTTCAGCCAGGCATGGTGGCTCACAACTTTAATCCCAGCACTTTGGGAGGTCAAGACTGGCAGATCACTTGAGGTCAGGAGTTCGAGACCAGCCTGGCCAACATAGTGAAACCCCATCTCTACTAAAAATACAAAAACTAGCTGGGCATGGTGGTGCGAGCCTGTAGTTCCAGCTACTCATGAGGCTGAGACGGGAATTGCTTGAACTGGGAGGCGGAGGTTGCAGTGAGTGGAGATCCTGCCACTGCACTCCAGCCTGGGCAACAGAGCATGGAGTCAGGGAAGAGAAAGGAGGGAAAGGAGGAGGGGGAGGGGGAGGGAAGGGAATCACAGTTTCATGTGAGCCAGTCCAAATTGGTCCCTCCTTGTGGCACTGATGACATGGCTGTAGTTAGGCTCTTTTCTGGGTGATAGAGCACCCCACAGCAGCTCAGTCATGCACAGCTCAATTACAGCTCCCCCTGGGCTGGCTGATTTGGTGGGGATGGTTCACATGGCAACAAGTGGCCTATGCCATGTTGCCTGGCCTCTGAAAAACGTAACTTATCATTTGTATTTTCACACAGGCACTGAAAAGGGGTCAGCTATTCTTTTTTTTTTTTTTTTTTTTTTGGTTTTCACTGCAATGTGAATCACCTTGACATTTCTGTGAAACAGGAAGTGGCTGGATGATACAACAATAAAAATAATCACACTCAACTTGGTGTGTGTGTTTTCTTTGGGCCAGGCACTGTGTTAAGAGCTCTTTATGAAGTATTTCGCTTATTCCTTAGGACAACACTGGCAGCTAGGTCTTATCATCATTCCCAATTTGCAAATGAGGAGGCTGAGGCCTGGAGTAGTGAGAGATGTATCCACAGTCACCCAGTTGGGAGTGGCAGGGCTGGGGCTCCCGGCTGGCAGCCAGTGTACCTCTTGAGCCTGAGCTCTTACCAGTAGATTTCTCCCGTGCTCAAAAGGCGGGGAAGAGTGGCAGGGCAGAAGGGCCCCCTGATTTATCAAGCGTGAAGGTAGTTTCATCTCATTTCCAATCCCAACTCTCAGTGTCCATCGTTTTACTACCCACAGTAAGTGGCACATTAGAGGGGTTTAATAGCCACTTTCAGTAAAGTGTCTTTGGAGAGAAATGCTTTAGGGCAACCTTGTCCCCTCCAGGCCTTCATCACTTCCATCCCTCATCTTTAAAGCTGATGAGCAAGGCCGGGCGCAGTGGTTCATGCCTGTAATCCCACACTTTGGGAGGCCGAGGCGGGCAGATCACCTGAGGCCAGGAGTTCGAGATCAGCCTGACCAACATGGTGAAACCTCATCTCTACTAAAAATACAAAAATCAGTTGGGAGTGGTGGTGGTGGCTGCCTGTAATCCCAGCTACTCAGGAAGCCGTGACACAAGAATCGATTGAACCCAGGAAGTGGAGGCTGCAGTGAGCTGAGATTGTGCCACTGCACTCCAGCCTGGCAACAGAGTGAGACTCTGTCTCAAAAAAAAAATAAAACTGATGAGTGTGACCCCCTTCCCTTCTACCCACCCACCCCCTCGCCAAGAGCCATTTCTTTCTTCAGAGCCCAGAAGCTTCCCAAAGACATTCAGAACTCAGAGGGACAACACATGGAGGCGGCACAGCCTCTGACACACAGTCAGCCCTCGTGGCACGGTGGCTCTCCACCAGCAGCCCGTCTCTCACCACCCTGCCCATCTTGGCTTGCAGATCCAGACAATGATGAAAAGGTCTCACATATCCTGAGTGCTTACTATTTGGCAGGCATCTGCTAAGGGCTTCATAAATATCAGCCCACTGATTCCCTGCTTATTTTTATTTTTATTTTTATTTTTGAGACAGAGTCTCATTCTGTCGCCCAGGCTGGAGTGCAGTGGCACGATCTCGGTTCACTGCAACCTCTACCTCCTGAGTAGCTGGGATTACAGGCGTGTACCACCACATCCAGCCAATTTTTGTATTTTTGGCAGATGGAGTTTCACCATGTTGGCCAGGCTAGTCTCGAACTCCTGACCTCAAGTGATCCACCCACCTCGGCCTCCCAAAGTGCTGGGATTACAGGTGTGAGCTACCACACCCGGACTTCCCTGTTAATTTTTTTTTTTTTTTTTGGTGGGGGGGAACGGGGTCTTGCTCTGTTGCCAGGCTGGAGTGCAGTGGCGCAATCTCGGCTCACTGCAACCTCTGCTTCCTGGGTTCAAGCAATTCTCCTGCCTCAGCCTCCTGAGGACTAAGACGCGCACCACCACGTCTGGCTAATTTTTGCATTTTTAGTAGAAATGGGGTTTCACCATGTTGGCCAGGATGGTCTCAATCTCCTGACCTTGTGATCCATCCACCTCGGCCTCCCAAAGTGCTCGGATTACAGGCGTGAGCCACCGTGCCCGGCCTTTTTTTTTTTTTTTTTTTTTTGAGACAGAGTCCCACTCTGTCACCCAGGCTGGAGTGCAGTGGCGCCATCTCGGCTCACTGCAGCCTCTGCCTCCTGGGTTCAAGCGATTCTTGTGCCTCAGCCTCCCAAGCAGCTGGAATACAGGTGTGCGCCACCACACCCAGCTAATGTTTTGTATTTTTAGCAGAGACAGGGTTTCGCCATGTTGGCCAGGCCGGTCTCGAACTCCTGGCCTCAAGCAATCTGCTCACCTCGGTCTCCCAAAGTGCTGAGATTACAGGCATGAGTCACTGAGACTGGCCTCATTCCCTGTTTAAAAATGAGGAAAGCCAGGTGCAGGGTTGTGTGCCTGTAATCACAGCTACTCAGGAGGCTGAGCGGGAAGGATCACTTGAGGCCAGGAGTTTGACTCTATATTGACGGAGCAATATACAGAGACTGTCTCTAAAAAAAAGGAAGGGTAGGGGGTTGAGGACTGAGGCACAGAGAAGTTGAAGAATTTTCCCAATTCACTTAGCTGGTGCATGACACAGCCAGTATGATCTAATGCTAGAAAACAACCACTGCAATGCGGCCTCCTGAGACAGAACTTTCATCATGCAGCTGCTGTCACCCTGTCCAGCCAATCCCTTAACATGGCATCAGGAGCCCTGAGTTCAGGTTCTGGCTCTGCTGATGGCTGGCTGTGTAACCTTCGTCAAGTCCCATATCTTCTCTGGGCTTCAAGAACCCAAGAACCTCAAGAACATTTGACTAGCCCGAACATTCCCTGGGCCTGGGTCCTATTCCTCCTCCTTGTCCCATTCCAGCAAAGCCCCTCATTGCCCTCAGGGTCCTACCCACCTATCTTCAGGACATTTGTGAGCAAATGTCAGGGCTCCTGATGCCTTCAGGACACCTCTCATTCCTCTCCCCAGGATCATTGTATATATAGGTTCTGGATCAGGCAGGCTTGGGTTCAATCACCAGGTGACCTGAGTCCAGTTGGTTTGTTTGTTTGTTTTTGTTTTTTGAGACAGAGTCTCTGTCTGTCACCGAGGCTGGAGTGCAGTGGCGCTATCTCGGCTCACTGCAAGCTCCGCCTCCCGGGTTCATGCCATTCTCCTGCCTCAGCCTCCCGAGTAGCTGGGACTACAGGCGCCCGCCAACATGCCCGGCTAATTTTTTTTTTTTTTTTTTTTTTTTTTTTTTAGTAGAGATGGGGTTTCACCGTATTAGCCAGGATAGTCTCTATCTTCTGACCTCGTGATTCGCCTGCCTCGGCCTCCCAAAGTGCTGCAATTACATGCATGAGCCACCGCGCCCAGCTGAGTCTAGTCATTTCATCTTTCAGAGTCTTGGTTTTCCCTTTGCAGGGTCACTGGGAGGATGACGTGACCCCACAGTGTAAAGTGCATGGTAGATGGCAGGCACTCTTGTGGCCTCTCTGTGCAGTCAATCAACAAACTTCGGCACCCTATCTGTGCCAAGCCTTGTTCTGGGATCTGGAGACAAGGTTGTCCCTCCCTGAGAGGGTGGTAAGCTGGACAATAAGCAAGTCAACAAATCCACAAAGAATGCTTCAGATTTTGTGGAATACCAGGGAAAAACACAGGTGATATGACCCAGAGGGCTAGGGATGGCTATTTCATTTTTTTAAATTTTTTAATTTTTATTTTATTTATGTTTGAGACACAGTCTTGCTCTATCACTGAGGCAGGAGTGCAGTGCTGTGATCTCAGCTCACTGCAGCCTCCGCTTCCCGGGTTCAAGTGATTCTCCTGCCTCAGCCTCCCAAGTAGCTGGGATTACAGGCGCCCGCCACCAAGCCCAGCTAATTTTTGTATTTTTAATAGAGATAGGTTTTCACCATGTTCGCCAGGCTGGTCTCAAACTCCTGACCTCAACTGATCTGCCCATCTAGGCCTCCCAAAGTGCTGGGATTACAGGCGTGAGCCACCACGCCTGGCCAAGGGATGGCTGTTTTAGAGAAAAGCATCTGCAGGAACCCTGACATGAGGACCATGAAGTTGGCAGAAGAGCATCCCCAGACAGAGGAATGAGCTCAGCCACTCTGAGGAACAGTGGACCTGGCAGGCTCGGGTGAGCAAGGGAAATCACTGGAGGTATTTTAAGGAGGAGAGTCATGGTGGAATTAGGTTTTGAAAGGTGACTCCGGCACCAGGAGGAGGAGGGACCAGATGATGCAGAGTAGCAGTGGGAAGACCTGTTATTGCCAGGAATGATCTGAAGTAATCAGGAAGATCATGGTCTCCTTGGACTTACAGGAGAATGTACATCATGGAGGAATAAAAGTGTGCCGGCAGCCGGGCGTGGTAGCTCACGCCTGTAATCCCAGCACTTTGGGAGGCCAAGGCAGGTGGCTCACTTGAGGTCAGGAGTTTGAGTCCAGTCTGGCCAACATAGTGAAACCCCATCTTCACTAAAAATACAAAAGAATTTAGCCAGATGTGGTGGCATGAGCGTGTAGTCCCAGCTGATTGGGGATGCTGAGGTATGAGAATCGCTTGAACCCGGGAGATGAAGGTTGCAGAGTGGAGCCGAGATCGTACCACTGCACTCCAGCAGAGCAAGAGCTTGTCTCCAAAAGAATCCAAAAAAACCCCAAAAATCCTAAAGTTAGCGAAGCATGGTTGTGCACCTATGGTTCCACCTACTGAGGCGGCGGTGGGAGGGGGGGTTTAGGTGGGAGGATCCCTCGAGGCTGCTTAAGGGATGTTGAGGCTGCAGTGAGCCAAGATCATGTCACTGCACTCCAGCCCTGGCACAGAGTGAGACCCTGTCTCAAAAAAAAAAAAAAAAAAAAAAAGTGTGCTGGCAGATTCTAGGCAAATGAGGTGCCACATGTAGTGATGAGGTTAGAAAAGATGTTCAGGCCAAAGAGACCATGTGTGTTGGGCTTTGTCAGCTTGCCCTGCAGACCCCTTCTGCATTCCTGACCTCCCTGCTGAGCTGGAAAGCTAAGCTCCACCTGCTGTACCCCCAGGCCCCTCAGCCCACAGGCTTTCTTCTGGGTTCAGCCCACGGTTGGCCCAGCTGGAGACCCGTGGCTAGGAAGAGATTAGGGTGATAATTGTTCCCCCAGCGCCCTCCCTGCAGACTGCAGAGGGCCAGGGGCTGCTGCTCTGCTTCAGGCCACACCTCTCAGGCACCCTCCCTGGTTATGCCAGTGGAGCAATGTGCACTGGAGTGATGTCCCTCTGTTGCTAGCCCCAGTGGTTTCAGCTATTTCCTGCGGAGGCCCTGAGAGCTGAAGGAATTTGGTTGGATATCATTTGAGTTGGGCATCATTACTGGGCTGGACACTTTCATTGATCCTTCTCACTGAGTCCCCTCATCAGCCCCTGAAGAAGGGCTGTTATCCCCCCATCATACTGGCAGCAGCTTTAGACACCGAGGGCCACACCGTCCTCCTGGCTCTTCCCCACCACACTCCTGGTTTTCCTCTCTGCTCCCTCCAGCTGCTCTTTCTGGTCTTTCGCCTGACTCCGCCTCCTCTCCCTGCCTGACTCCGCCTCCTCTCCCTGACCCGGGAACAGTGATCTCCCTGGGCACCCTGGGCTCTCTTCTCTCCATAGTAAGCCCACCCTTTCCCGCTGTCGTAGATGCCCCCTGTATAACCCCAAGCCTCTGTCTCCAGGCCAGACATCCTGTCTGAGCTGCAGACTCCCGGGTTCGGGCACCTCCACTTGGATGACTCACAAGCATCTCAAACTCAGCAGGACCAGAACAGAGCTGTGGACCCTGCCCCATGTTTCCAGCTCCTCTGCCTCCCCTCTTCTTCGCCCATCCAGAGATCAGGCCAGGAATCTGGGGGCCATTCATGCCACCTACCTCTCCAGCACCCCTACTTCACCCAGTCTTTACATCTCCCCTCCCAAATACATCTCTCCCAGGGCCAAGTGAGATCTCTCTCCTGGGATGAAGGCAGAGTGCCCGCTCTTGCCCTGACACAGTCCCACTGCAATGAGAATAAAAGCAAATTCCTCACCATGGCCGGCCCCTCCCACCACCACTACACCTTCGGCTCTCCCTCTCCACCACACCCTGTTGTTCCACTGGCCTTCCCTCAGTTCTCTGGATAGCCTCCCCCTGCAGCCTCCCCTGAGGTCAGATGCCCACAGGTGTGACTCACTCCTACTCATCTTCCAGCTTCCGATGGAAGACTCTCTTTGTCTCCCAGGTCCCAGCCCTCTCCTGTCCTGCTTCCCTGCCCTTCTCTGTCACGGTACCAGCCTCTGTTGTAGCCACAGTTCTGTGTGAATTGATCTGGCACATATCCAGCTCTCCTAGTACAGCAGCTCCAGGAAGGCAGGACTGGTTCTATTTGTGGCCAAGAGCTTAGGATGTGGTGGAGTCTCAGTTTGTTGAGTGAATTTTTTACATTTATTTTTTAATTTTTTGTTTTTTATTACCAGTAGTTGAACATAGATGTTGAGTGAATAGATACCCATCTCACAAGCAAGGAAACTGGGGCTTAGAGACAGTAAGAATCCAACCCTGGACTGTTTGACTGTGCTGTGCTCCATGGTGAGCCACAGCCAGCTCTAGGCAGAGTCAGGACAGGTTCAGATGAGTGTTAGGAAAAAATGAGTATACAATGCTCAGCCCTGTGCCTGGCAGGTGGTCGGCACCTAGCATTATTCCCTGCCTCCGTGTGGACCAGGGCCCCAAGAAGCAGGGGCTTGCCCCTCACACCCCATCCTGGATTCCGGCAGCAGGGATCCCTGGGGACATGTGATTGTCCCTCCCAGCCCTGCACCGCTTAGTAAGGGGGACTTACTAAGCGTCCCCCTAAAGCTACCCACATCAACTTACGCTCAAAGTAAAAACAGAGTTCCTTGGACAGGTGTGCCTGAAAGTGAGTCCCTGAACCTCCTCTCCCCAATTAGACTGCTGCCCCGGGTGCTGTCCGGGAGAGGGTCTGGTGCCGCCCTGACTTGGCAGCGCTTTTCCTGGATGTGCCCTAGCCGTCCCCACCTCCTGCTGAGTTCTGTGAGTCAGAGACGGAACCCTGGGGTCTCCTGGCAGGCCCCACAGTAAGGCCTGGGCCCCCGCACGTTGCAGCCTTTCCTTCCAGACCAGCGGACAAGCCTGGTCTGGAACTATGCTCCTCTCCAGCCATGGCCAACCTGAAGACCCCCACCCCCAGCCGCTGCCAGCCCCTGCCCTGGGGCTCTGCTGTGCCCCTCTCCAGCCCCTGGGCCCTCGGACAGCGCCCCCGTCCTCCCGGCTGTTAGCCTGGGAAGGGGGCCAGGCCCTGAGCTCAGACCTTGGCGATTCCAGAGTGTCTGAGGCCCAGAGCCAGCCCCGCCAGCACGGCCAGACGAAAGGAAAGGGGGGAGGTGGCAGGGTGGGCACCAGGAAGCCATTCCGAGGGGGCTGGCAGGGAAGCTGGGTTCTAGCTTTGTTCTTTCTGCTCCTCTTCTGGACCCCACAGACTTCCTCCTGGGACCTCCGTGAGCCCTGGCCAAAGGCTGTCCCCACCCTTTAGCCCTTTCCTCAGAGGGGATTGGACCAGCACTAACGAGAAGTTACTTTGGGGCCCTGAGACCCCCACGTTTGCAAGGGAGGCTGGGAAAGAGCTGGAAGGCCTGGGCTCCGGCTCCACCCGGCCTCCATCGTCAGTGTGACCCGGCAGGGCCACCTCTCTCCCTCAGCCTCGGTATCTCGCTCTACGCAGGCCTCCCCGCCCCGCCCCGCCCGGAGGAATCCGCGGCCGGCCAGACGGTCCCAGGTGAGGGCCCTCTGGAAAGGGCCCAGCGCGGCCGCGGGTTCCGGCGGGGGCGGGCATCTGGGGTGGGGACTGTCCCCGCGCCACCCCCCAGCCTCCGCCAGCCTGCACACCCTCGCTTCTCCAGGCGGCAGAGGCGACGCTTTAAACAACAAAAAAAAAAAAACTGTGTCCCTGGCCCGGGGCCAGCGTCCCAGCCCCCCTCGCCGCCGCCGCGCCGCGCTCCAGCCAGGGAAAACAACTGCTCACTTCTCCCTGAGCCCTCCCCGCGCGCTCCCTGCCTCCCCGCGGCCGCGGGAGAGGAGCCCGGCCAGGGGGAGGCGCGGAGCGGGCCGGCCGCCCGGCCTTCCTCTCCCTCGCTCCTCCTCTCCGCCTCAACTTGCTCCGGCCTCCTCGCTCCTGCCTGAGTTCGGGGCCTGGTCTGGGCTTCGTCCTGGGGCTGGGAAGTTTCTGCGCTCCCCGCTGTCCAGTCTGCATCTCCGCGCCTCCCGCCGGGCCCCCGCGGTCCCCTCCCGCCCGCTTCCCCCGCTGCCCTCCCTCGCTGCCCCCTACCCTCTCCCGGGGCTCCCGGCCCTCTACTCCCTTCGGGCGCGGGCCCCTCGCCCCGCCCGGGCGCGCCCCCCCTCCCCCGGGTCCTGCGGCCCCGGATGCCCGGGCCCCGAGGGGCTGCTGGCGGCCTGGCCCCTGAGATGCGCGGGGCGGGGGCGGCGGGGCTGCTGGCGCTGCTGCTGCTGCTGCTGCTGCTGCTGCTGGGCCTGGGCGGCAGGGTCGAGGGGGGGCCGGCCGGCGAGCGGGGCGCAGGCGGGGGCGGGGCGCTGGCCCGCGAGCGCTTCAAGGTGGTCTTTGCGCCGGTGATCTGCAAGCGGACCTGTCTCAAGGGCCAGTGTCGGGACAGTTGTCAGCAGGGCTCCAACATGACGCTCATCGGAGAGAACGGCCACAGCACAGACACGCTCACGGGCTCCGGCTTCCGCGTGGGTGAGGGCCGGGGGCACGGCTGGGGGCAGGGGAAGGACAGGCACCAGGCCCGGTGGGAGAGCTAGTGGGGTCTTGGCCTTAGAGACTGGGGGCTGAGGGTATAAAGGGCAGAGATCCGAGGGCCTGGGGGACCAGGGGCCTCAGGGAACTTGGGAGGCTGGAACTCTGGGGGCCAGAGTTGGAGGGCTGCATGGAGGCCTGGACTTTGAAGCTTTGCGTTAGGGTTGGGGCCTAAGGGGTGGGGAAATGCAGAGGTCCTGGATGACACTGGCTTCCCAGAAGGTGCTGAGTTCTGAGCAGGAGCACACAGGGTTTTTGAGGAATGTGAGCCGGGGACAGGAAGCCTCAGAGAAGGGCTAAATATTCCCGCAAGAAGCAGACTTGCTGGAAGAAACAAGAAAAGTCTTTACAAAATGTCTAAAGTAGGGCCTGCCAGAGTAGACACCTGCATTCCCTGGGAGGAGGAGCTAAGGTCAGGGCTGGGGATGGGAGCCGGCTACTGGCAAGGTCTGAGTAGGGAGGGTGTTGAGGCCTAAAAGTAGGGTGCAGGCCTGAAGGTAGGGACTAGTTCGGGGTTCTCAGCCTCTCCTTTTCCAATGCCTCCCCATAAGCTCCTAACATCCTGCCTCAGAGGCCCTCAGGGCCCCCCTCATCCTCCCCCAAGCCCCTACACCCTCCCCAGTTCAGCTTGGAGTCCACCCCCTCCCCAGCATCTCTCTTTAAAGGGCCAGGCCTGGGGCTCAGTCATCCTCCTGCTAGGCCCCGTGGGCCAGGCTCGGGGAGGTGTCCCAGCAGTAATTACCCTCCTGGACAGGGTAATTAGGCCAGGCCCAGGATGGCACCAGCAAAACAGCCCCTCTTACACATTCCTATATTCACTCTCCCACTCACAGAGCTAAGGAACCCCACTCATGTGGCTCAAATTTGTCATGAGATGGGGTGTGCGTGCGTGTGTCTGTGCGCATATTGCCCCTGTGTCTGGGGTCATGCCATGGGCATGGCGTGGCACACTGTGAAGTACCCGTCTTTGTGTTGTCTTGGGTGTGTGTCTCTAGTCGCTGTTAGAGAGTATGTGGGAATGTTTTTGTTTTTGTGTTTTTGAGATGGAGTTTTGCTCTTGTTACCCAGGCTGGAGTGCAATGGCGCAATCTCAGCTCACTGCAACCTCCCCCTTCTGGGTTCAAGTGATTCTCCTGCCTCAGCCTCCCAAGTAGCTGGGATTACAGGCATGCGCCACCACGCCTGGCCAATTTTTTTGTATTTAGTAGAGATGGAGTTTCACCATGTTGGTCAGCCTGGTCTCAAACTCCTGATCTCGAGTGATCTACCTGCCTCGGCCTCCCAAAGTGCTGGGATTACAGGTGTGAGCCACTGCGCCCGGCCAAATGTATGGGAATGTTTATGTGAACCTGTGTTGGTGTCAGGATGAGTCTCTGTGTGTGTGTGACAAGAGGACTGTGGGTGTGAGTGTACGTGTGTCCATCTCCCAGGCTCCCTGGCCATCCTGCCCAGGCTGCTGTCTCCATCTGTGCTGCCCACATCCCCCAGGCTCGGTGCCCAGGCCACAGTGGGCGGGTGTCATTGGGAGGTCACTCTCACCGCTATGAGTGACTCACTGGCAGAAAGGAAAAAGAGAATCCTACCTCCCCCCGCCCAGGACACACCCCTCTGCTCTGTGAGGCCTGGCCCCAAGAGGCCAGGCAGGATGGGCTGGGCTGGGATGTGCTTAGCCTGACCCTGAGGGCCATGGATATGGGCTGTCCCTGTGAGGCCCTTCTGGCATCCAGGAGAGCAGCACCCCCGCCCTCCTGCCCTCCTGCCCTGGGAAGTGAGGGCAGCCATGGGGTGGGCAGGAGAAGGGCTGGGGCTTTGGGATGAGTCAGAGCCCCAAGGCTGGTAGTAGCACAGGTTGAAGGTGAGTATGGGACAGAAACAGACAGAGGTCCCATCCTCTCCCTCAGTCATTCTTTCATTCATTCCCCCGAACCCCCTGTGGGACCCAGAGCTGAGGCCAGCCTGGCCCTGCCTTCCAGAGCACCCTCTATAAGGAGGCAGACAGACAAGAACATAGCCAAGCAGGTGCCAGGCAGAGCTGGCCAGTGGGTGGTAAGGCAGGAGAGGGAGCTCAGGGGGGCCGGATAGGAGGAAAGCCTCCCTCCTGGTGGAGACACTGAGCTAGGAAGGATGAGATCTGCATATATAGAGAGGGGGGGGACCTGGGGCCCTGTTGTGGAGGGAAGGGCATGGATGAGGCCAGGAGGCAGGAGGCAGGCACATTTGCAAGAGGGAGATGGGTCCTGGGGTGTGCAGTACACAGGGAAGGAGCAGAGGGGGATGGGCTGAAAAGGTTCTGGTCCATGGAGTGAGCTTCTGCCTGAGGCAGGTTTCTCTGGGACACTGAGATTGTGGACCAGCAGGAGAGGCTGGAAGCCAAGGAGGGGTCTGGGTGGCCAGGCCTGGGCCAGGGCAGGAGCAGTGGCCCTAGGGAGGAGGGGAGGCAGGTTCATGGGACATTAGAGGCTGTAACTGGGCAGGGGAGAGCAGGAGGGACGGAGCCGTCGGGGCTCAGCTGTGGATGCCTGGTGGCCAGGTGAAGAGGAGGTGGGGAGGCAGGATGCTGACTTCTGACAGTATGTCCTGGGCAGAGGTGCCTGAGAGAGCCCTGGAAAGGCTGGGGGCTGTGTCTGTGTCTTGAGATGTGGACATCTTTGGCAGTGGTGAGGTGGGCGCCCCAGGATGGTGAAGAGGGAGAGGGTGGAGAGCAGGCAGAGAGGACTGAGGCCTGAAGGAGGGAAGGGTTTATGGGAGAAGAGGAGGAGGCGCCAGGGACGGAGCCAATACCTTTGGAAGGCTCAAGGGGAAAGCCAGATCACCATAATTATTTGCTACCACTTATTAAGCACCCTTTGTGTACCAGGCCCTGGGGTAAGCATTTGTACAGCCCTTACCTCATCTAACCCACACATCTCTACAGATGAGGACGCTGGGGCACAGGGAGGGGACGTGAGTTGCTCAGGGTCGCACAGCTGGCACATGGCTTAGCGAGGATTTAAATCCTGGACTTGAGACTCCAGAACCCAACATAGGTGTAAGGATGTTGGGGAACCTAGAGAGGGCAGTTTCCCTATGTAGGATGTATCTCAAAACCTGGCTTCCCAAGAGGACAGAGCCAGTGGGTGGCAAGGAAGTAGGGAGGAGGGGAAAGAGACAGGATGTGGGTGAGGGCCTGACCCCACTCTTCTCCCCAGTGGTGTGCCCTCTCCCCTGCATGAATGGCGGCCAGTGCTCCTCGCGAAACCAGTGCCTGTGTCCCCCGGACTTCACTGGGCGCTTCTGCCAGGTGCCCGCAGGAGGAGCCGGTGGGGGTACCGGCGGCTCAGGCCCCGGCCTGAGCAGGACAGGGGCCCTGTCCACAGGGGCGCTGCCGCCCCTGGCTCCGGAGGGCGACTCTGTGGCCAGCAAGCACGCCATCTACGCCGTCCAGGTGATCGCTGACCCTCCTGGGCCCGGGGAGGGGCCTCCTGCCCAGCACGCAGCCTTCCTGGTGCCCCTAGGCCCGGGACAGATCTCAGCAGAAGGTACCAGGCAACTGGCAAACCCGGGAAGGTCGCCAGTGGGTGGGCACTAGGGTGGCCAGGGCAGGGCAGGTTCAGCCCTGGAGGAGCTCAGCGCGGTGACCCGCGGCGCGGTGCGGGCAGCCCTGAGGCCACCGCGCCCGCCCCCAGTGCAGGCCCCGCCCCCCGTGGTGAATGTGCGCGTCCATCACCCGCCCGAGGCCTCAGTCCAGGTGCACCGCATTGAGAGCTCGAACGCCGAGAGCGCAGCCCCCTCCCAGCACCTGCTGCCGCACCCCAAGCCCTCGCACCCCCGGCCGCCCACCCAGAAGCCCCTGGGCCGCTGCTTTCAGGACACTCTGCCCAAGCAGCCGGTGAGTGAATCCACAGTCGGGATCTGCCTTTCCTTCTCTCAGGGTTGCTCTGCCCCAACTCACTCGGATAGCAGAAAACTGAGGGGCGGGGGAAGAGGAAAAGGCCCAACCCTAACAGGCGGCACCGGGGCGGGGTGCTCTGTGACCCCACCTCCCCCTCCTTCCCCTAGTGTGGCAGCAACCCCCTCCCCGGCCTCACCAAGCAGGAAGACTGCTGCGGTAGCATCGGCACTGCCTGGGGCCAGAGCAAGTGCCACAAGTGTCCCCAGCTGCAGTGTGAGTGCTTGGGCTCAGGGGGCGTTCCCTATCTGGTGGCCCCTCCCCACCCACCCCACCCATCCCTGCAGTGGGAGTCCCCAGGTCACCAGATTCCTCTCTACATCTGCTGTGCCCCTCCCCAGTTCCCTCCTCACCCTCCCCTGCCAAGCTATCCTCTCTCTGCAGACACAGGAGTGCAGAAGCCAGGGCCTGTACGTGGGGAAGTGGGCGCTGACTGTCCCCAGGGCTACAAGAGGCTTAACAGCACCCACTGCCAGGGTATGGCCAGCTAGGAGATTCTGTGGGCTGGAGGGGCAGGCCAGCCATCACTGGGGGTGGGGAGGGTCCCAAGGTGGGCGAGAGAGGAGGTGGGGCTGGGGCAAGACCCTGAGGTTCTTGGAGCAGCCTGCTGTCACCCCATGGCCCCAGACCAGAGGGGCCAAACTTCCACTTACCACAGACATCAACGAGTGCGCAATGCCGGGCGTGTGTCGCCATGGTGACTGCCTCAACAACCCTGGCTCCTATCGCTGTGTCTGCCCACCTGGCCATAGTTTAGGCCCCTCCCGTACACAGTGCATTGGTGAGACCTGGGGCTCAGGTTCCTGGGAGGTCACAAGGCATGGGTGGGAGCAAGGATCAGAGATCGCAAGAGATCAGAGTGGGGTTAAGGGTTGACTGCAGGAGGAACAAGGCCCAGAGCCAATAGGATCAGGGATCAGCAGGGTCCGGGGTCACATGAGATCTGCCATTAGCAGTCACATGGGGTCAGGGATTACATAGAGTCAGAGTCATGCAGAACATAGGCTTGATGAGTAGGAGTGGTGAAGTCCAGGATAGCTAGAATCGGGAGTCAATGGGGTCAGTGGTCACATAAGTTTCAGGGGTCACATGAGTTCAGGGTCATATGGGGTCAGAGACCACATGGGGGATCAAGGGTTGTCTGGGCCGGAGAGGCAAGGTCTGCAGCAGCTGGGCAGAGGGACGTGGGCAATGTGCAGGCTCAGATGCCCATGCCCCCCACTGGCCCCTGCAGCAGACAAACCGGAGGAGAAGAGCCTGTGTTTCCGCCTGGTGAGCCCTGAGCACCAGTGCCAGCACCCACTGACCACCCGCCTGACCCGCCAGCTCTGCTGCTGCAGTGTCGGCAAGGCCTGGGGCGCGCGGTGTCAGCGCTGCCCAACAGATGGCACCGGTGAGTCAGGGTTACCCGGGGATAGGGGTTCATAGGTCCATGCACCTGTCCAGGAAATGCTCACTTTTGTGTCTGCTGTCTTGACTGCAGCTGCGTTCAAGGAGATCTGCCCAGCTGGGAAGGGATACCACATTCTCACCTCCCACCAGACGCTCACCATTCAGGGCGAGAGTGACTTTTCCCTTTTCCTGCACCCTGACGGGCCACCCAAGCCCCAGCAGCTTCCGGAGAGCCCTAGCCAGGCTCCACCACCTGAGGACACAGAGGAAGAGAGAGGTCTAGCCTGACCCCTTCTGATCCCTGACCCATGCCAAGCCCCTAGGCCTGACCCCTTGACCCGTGATCCACAGATCTGACCTCACAGTCTAACCCCCAATTCCTTATCCCTGACCCATCCACTGACCTCCCACCTGACCCTCTGACCCCTGACCCAGATATTTGACCCTGAGCTATAACCTCCTAAGCCTTCTACAGCCTGACCTGTAACCCAAGGCCATTCAACCTGATCATGTGACTACTATGCAAACACACCCTAACCCCAGAATCTAACCCCTGACCCTTGACCTGGAGACATGATTGTTGAACTCCCAGAGACCCTAACTGCAAATACTCAGCTGCTGATCCCAGATCTGACTCCCTTCTCCCGCCCCAACACTTCATGGCCCCATCTTCTTCCCTTTTAGGGGTGACCACGGACTCAGTGAGTATGAGAACCCAGATGGGAGGGGTGGGCAGGCGAGGGACAGGAGGGCTCATGCTGCTGTCACCCGCAGCCGGTGAGTGAGGAGAGGTCAGTGCAGCAGAGCCACCCAACTGCCACCACGACTCCTGCCCGGCCCTACCCCGGTGAGCTGGGCACTGTAGGGATGAGTCCTCAAGGGCTAAATCACTGGGTGGGCGGGGAGTTCACAGTTTAAGTACTCGGGGACAGTCAAGCTGGGGTGGGGCGCCGGGCCAAGACTGAAGTGGAAAGGGAGGCTTCAGTCAATATCGTCTCTGACCAGAGTGCACTGCCGCCCGCAGAGCTGATCTCCCGTCCCTCGCCCCCGACCATGCGCTGGTTCCTGCCGGACTTGCCTCCTTCCCGCAGCGCCGTAGAGATCGCTCCCACTCAGGTCACAGGTAAGGCCCGCCCAGCAAAGCCACCCCTGCCTAGGCCACGCCCCCACTTTAGTTTTCTCTCCTCCCTCCCGCCCCCAGGCATTCCCTAGCGCTAATAGGCTAGCGTGTATCCAGGGCTGGGCACTGGGGAAGCCTGGTGAGCACCAGAGATCCCACTGCCCTAAACGATCCAGGTAGCATGGTGGTTAGCCCATTCTGAGGGATTTCATTCATTCAACAAATACTTATTAGTGTTACAGGTCTTTTAGAATTTGTCTAGCAGGTTTCCCAGTTTTTTTTTGTTTTTTGTTTTTTGTTTTTTTTGAGACGGAGTCTTGCTCTGTCGCCAGGCGGGAGTGCAGTGGCGCAATCTCGGCTCACCGCAGCCTCCGCCTCCCGGGTTCAAGCGATTCTCCTGCCTCAGCCTCCCGAGTAGCTGGGATTACAGGCATGCGCCACCACGTCCAGCTAATTTTTTTTTTTTTAGTAGAGACGGGGTTTCACCATGTTGGCCAGGGTGGTCTCGATCTCTTGACCTCGTGATGCGCCCGTGTCGGCCTTCCAAAGTGCTGGGATTACAGGCATGAACCACTGTTCCCAGCCCATAACCATCTTTCAAAATCTGTTCAGAAAGCCTTCTATCATTGCCACCCTACTTATTATCACAACCCTCAGAACTCCTTCCTTCTACTCTGATTTTTTTATTTTTATTTTTATTTTTTATTTTTTGAGATTGAGACGGAGTCTCGCTCTGTCGCCCAGGCTGGAGTGCAGTGGCGCGATCTCGGCTCACTGCAAGCTCCACCTCCCGGGTTCACGCCATTCTCCTGCCTCAGCCTCCTGAGTAGCTGGGACTACAGGCGCCCACCACCACACCCGGCTAATTTTTTTGTGTATTTTTAGTAGACATGGGGTTTCACCATGTTAATCAGGATGGTCTTGATCTCCTGACCTTGTGATCCGCCCGACTTGGCCTCCCAAAGTGCTGGGATTACAGGTGTGAGCCACCACGCCTGGCCCTGATTTAGTTTTTCATAGCATTTATAAGACATAGGAGATTCTGCTTATTGATCGGCTTGTTGCCTGTCTGCTCTGCGAGGACAGGAAATTTTTGTCTGTTTTTGTTCATGCAATATCCCTAGCACCTCAACAGTGCCTGGCACATAGTAGGTGCTCAAGAAATATTTGGGTTCCTTTCTTTCTTTTTATTTGTTTAGTTTGTTTTTTGAGACAGGGTCTCACCTTGTGACCTAGGCTGGAGTCAGTGG
The DNA here is from genome assembly GCF_000001405.40 of Homo sapiens. Lineage (NCBI taxonomy): Eukaryota > Metazoa > Chordata > Mammalia > Primates > Hominidae > Homo > Homo sapiens. The sequence continues at coordinate 65,549,878 of NC_000011.10, read as the reverse complement.
CAGGATCATGGCTCACTACAGCCTTGACCTCCTGGGCTCAAGTGATCTTCCAGCCTTGGCCTCCCAAAGTGCCAGGATTACAGGTGTGCGCCACCATGCTCTTTTTTTTTTTTTTTTTTTTCCCGGCCTGGGGAGTTTTCCTGTGAAAACTGGGAAACTGTGGCAGGGTGCAGTGGCTCACGGCTGTAATCTCAGCACTTTGGGAGGCTGAGGTGGGTGGATCACGAGGTCAAGAGATTGAGACCATCCTGGCCAACATAGTGAAACCCAGTCTCTACTAAAAATCCAAAAAAAAAAAAAAAAAAAAAAAAGATTAGCTGGGCGTGGTGGTGCATGCCTGTAGTCCCAGCTACTCAGGAGAATCACTTGAACCTGGGAGATAGAGGTTGCAGTGAGCCAAGATCGTGCCACTGCACTCCGGCCTGGGGACAGAGTGAGACTCCATCTCAAAAAAAAAGAAAGATGGTTAGAAATGCCAGAGACATGAGGAAGGGAGGGGCATTCAGGTTGGGAAAAGGATATCACAAGGGAAGTTAAGTTGGGCAAAGGCATGGAAGCATGAAACACTGGTGGAGGAGGGAGAACCCACACACAGGCCAGTGTCTCTGAACCAGGGGAAGTCCAGTGCACTGAGCCTTGTCAAGGAGGCTTGAGTTTAATGCCAGAGGCTATGGGCAGTGTCTGCAGGATTTTGAGCATCATAATTGCTAGCTCAGACTGAGCAGTCCCTCTGTGCCAGGTACTGTCTGAAGAGTTTTACGTTCTAAATACCATTTAACCTTCTCATACTCTGCAAAGTGAGCGTTGTTAGCCTCGTTTTCCAGATGAGAAAGCTGAGCCTCAAAGAGGTTCAGTAACCTGCCCCAGGTCACACAGCTGAGCCGTGTTCAAGCCCATGCCTGTGTGGGCTTCAAAAGCACAAGGGAACTGCCAACCCAGCTGAAACCCTGATCCTCCATGAGCTCCTAGGGTTAGGGCTCAGGTGGGAGATGGCTGTTCTTGGGGGCTTTGGGAATGTGGACAAGGCCCCTCAAAGGAGGGGCTGTTAAGGAAGCCTAAGGAGAGGTACTCCAGGCAAAGAGAACAGCCTGCAAAGCCCACTGGCCAGGTGAGTTTGGGGCAGAGCAGAGTTCACTGTTATGGCCCAGGCTGCATGGCAGGAGTGAGGGGGAAGGGGTGTGGGAAATGAAACTGGTGAGCAGTGAGGATCCAAAGGAGGGGAGAGGCTGGAGGCAGGGAGTCCTGGGCTTGGTGACAAAGAGAGTGAGGGGGGTGGTTCCTGGATCTGACTGCCTGTGCACAGCTTTGGCACTAGTTAGGATTCCCAGGAAACCAGCTCCTGCTAGTCTTGGGAGGGGGTAATCAACCCTTCTGGAATAGGGGGTCGGGTCCCTGGGGCAAGGGCTTATGGAGTCACTGGGCTAGAGGACACTGGTGTGACCGAGGCTATAGAGTTTAAGGTATTGAGGCGACTGGGGAGAAAGGAGTTTTAGTCCCTTGGGTGGGAGTACTGGGACGACTGAGGGGCCCTGAGGGGATGTGGTTTGGTTTGAGGTGAGTGGGGTCAGGGTCTTGGAGTGAACCGGGAATGGAAGTATCCGGGCCTGGGTGTGGGGTGATACGGCTGTCAGGGGCCTGGAGTCCTAGTTTGGAGCTTTCTGGGGTCTTGATATTGGGGTTATCTAAAAGAGAGAAATAGGACATCCTGGAGTTGGAGTATGGGCGTACAGGAACCTGAGGTCATGGTGTGACTGGGGTGTTGAGGTCTGCCCTGGGGATATGGCAGAAGGTGAGCGCTCCCTGCTCTGCCGCTTGACCTGGCCATGCCCGCAGAGACTGATGAGTGCCGACTGAACCAGAACATCTGTGGCCACGGAGAGTGCGTGCCGGGCCCCCCTGACTACTCCTGCCACTGCAACCCCGGCTACCGGTCACATCCCCAGCACCGCTACTGCGTGGGTGAGCGCAGGGCAGGCGGCGGGCATGCAGGTGGGTGGGGGGGGACCCCAGATAACGACGCTTCCTTTGACTTTTCTTGGCCTACCCGTTCTTCTCAGATGTGAACGAGTGCGAGGCAGAGCCCTGTGGCCCGGGGAGGGGCATCTGCATGAACACCGGCGGCTCCTACAATTGCCACTGCAACCGCGGCTACCGCCTGCACGTGGGCGCCGGGGGGCGCTCGTGCGTGGGTGAGCGCCGCCAGGGCGGAGGCGGCCCTGGGTGGGACGGGCTCTCCTCCAGACCGCCGTGTAATCCCTCCCCTTGCCCGCCGCCTCCTACACCCCCTTCGTGGCCCCTTCCTCCCGCACAGACCTGAACGAATGCGCCAAGCCCCACCTGTGCGGCGACGGCGGCTTCTGCATCAACTTTCCCGGTCACTACAAGTGCAACTGCTACCCCGGCTACCGGCTCAAAGCCTCCCGGCCTCCTGTGTGCGAAGGTGAGGGGACCCCATTCAGACCAAAGAAGGAGCTCCTTAGCTGTCTCTCCACCTGGGGTGGGGCTGGGGTGCCTGCATTTTTTTTTTTTTCCCCCGAGACGGAGTCTCACTCTGTCGCCCAGGCTGGAGTGCGGTGGTGAGATCTTGGCTCACTGCAACCTCCGCCTCCCGGGTTCAAGCGATTCTCCTGCCTCAGCCTCCCGAGTAGCTGGGATTACGGGCGCCTGCCACCACGCCTAATTTTTGTATTTTTAGTAGAGACGGGGTTTCGCCATGTTGGCCAGGCTGGTCTCGAACTCCTGACCTCAGGTGATCCACCCGCCTCGGCCTCCCAAAGTGCTGGGATTACAGCCGTGTGCCACCGCACCCGGCCTGTATGCTCGGCTCTGGGCCTCTCAGAGGTTGGGGTCCGGGAGCCTCGTTGATCTGTGTGGGAGGAAGTCCCTGCTGTGGACGCTGGGAGCCGGGCCACCCGCGTTGTCCCCAGATGGGTCCTCTTCCTTCTCCCTCCCGTGCAGACATCGACGAGTGCCGGGACCCAAGCTCTTGCCCGGATGGCAAATGCGAGAACAAGCCCGGGAGCTTCAAGTGCATCGCCTGTCAGCCTGGCTACCGCAGCCAGGGGGGCGGGGCCTGTCGCGGTGAGGGCGGGGCCCGGAGCCGAGTGGGTGGGGCCGTCAGGTGCCTCCCCCAGTCTGGCTCCGCTGGGGGCGGGGCGGGGTAGCGGTGGTGATTGGCGTCTGGGGGCGGGGCCTTCCGGGAGTAGAGGCTGCCCTCTCAACCCCGCGTTCCAGGGAAGAGACCCACACCCCCGCGAGGTGCGCGGTCCGCCTTCCGGTGGGGCAGAGTCCGAGGCTAGGTCTTTCCGCCGCAGACGTGAACGAGTGCGCCGAGGGCAGCCCCTGCTCGCCTGGCTGGTGCGAGAACCTCCCGGGCTCCTTCCGCTGCACCTGTGCCCAGGGCTACGCGCCCGCGCCCGACGGCCGCAGTTGCTTGGGTGAGCGCCAGCACCCCCGCCCCGGGCCTCCGCCGCCCCCTACGCGCTGAAGCCGGGGAGCGGGTCACGCTGTCTGTAAACAGTGGGTGGAAGGTGGCTCATTCATCCCCAGGTGACTCTGCTCACTCATTTTCTCAACGAACTTTGCCAAGGAAGGCACCACTAGAATTTCCACGTAGGAAGGGTCTCGGGGTAGAGCTCGAAGCTGCGTTTGCAAAGCATGTTACTTAAATTTGAAGGAAAAAAGATATCAAAGAATGAGGGCAGACGATAGTACTCCCCCCTGCACTCCTGTTTATTATACGCCAAGAGGCGGGGCTGGGGGCTGGGACTCATTGAAAACTGGAGAAGGAAAGACAGACTGTAGCATGCAGTGCTGGGCCTGGATGGAGCTGGGCTGCTTCCTGGAGACACAGCGGGATGGGAGGAAGGAGGCCTGGGTCATCTTAAAGAATCACTAGGAATTGGGCAAGAAAGGAGGAGAGGAACAGCATGGCAGGCACAGGGGTTGGCACTGGCAGATCAGAGGTGAGACAGAGGGTGGGGTGTTGGGGAACTGTAAGGAATGATCAGGCTATGGGGGCTGAGGCTGGCCGGGGAGGGACAGGTCCCCATCCCTTGGAGGGCCCCCTAAGTCCTGCCTGGGAGGTTGTGCTTCACCCAGAAGGTGTTAGAGGGCACCTGCAGCATTTTAAGTGTAAGAGTGACAAGATTTGCCATTTGTTTTAGAACGTTCCCTGCTGCTGATTGTGGAGGGAGGTCTGTTGCAGAGACTTAGGGCGGAGACAGTGGTGGACAGGATGAGTGGTGGGCTCAGGATGGCCATGAGACGATGATATTGGAGAAATATTAGACCTCCTGGGTTTTTTAACTGGATGTCAAGTGAAAGCGAGGGTGATAACGACCCCTCCCCGTTTCCAGTTTGGGTGAGTGAGGGGGTAGTGCTGCTCACTGGGAATGGGTCCTCATGCGTGGGCATGTTTGGGAGGGAAAATGCTGAGCTCCACATTGGACAAATTGAATGGATTGTGCCTGTGAGCCTCTCAGCAGGAGATGCCAGCATACCCACCTGGAATGATGGACCATGGACCGGGGGAGCTATGGAGTCTTGGGTGGGCCTGCTTAGCCAACCCAAGGTGGGTTGGGTAAGCAGAGCATCTAGCAGAGCCTTGTGGACACTGACAGTTCAGGGGCAGGCTGCGGAAGGCGTTGGAGGAGATGGTGGGGGAGGGATGGCAGGGGCGCCTGAGGGGCACCATCTGGGAAGCTGGGGAGGACATATTTCCAGGGAAGGAGGAGGATGAGCCAAGTGCAGTAGAGAGGTTCTTGTAAAATAATAACTGGTGAGACAATAAGTCTTAGGACAAGACTTAGGGGTCTGCCCCCTAATCCTACATGGAAATCCTAGTGATGCCTTCCTTGGCAAGAAGGTCCCTGGTAGCCTTGGCAGGGTAGCTTTTGGGATATGATAGGGACAGAGGCCAGAGATATGTGGGCAGAAAGTGAAGAAGAACAAGACCTGGGGACTCTTGCTCTTCCAAAGTGGGGCTTTGGTATAGGCTGAGGAGGTGATGCCAGGAGAGTGGACCAGGAGACGAGGGCAGCAGGGTCAGGAGAGGAGGGAGGAGAGCCAGCGGAAGGGACATCTCTTGCTGTAACAGGAGCAGGAGGGGAATGGATGTAGATAACGATGTTCAGTGGGTTAAGGGGGATTACCTTTAATTCTCTCAATACACAGTGAAGGGCCTGGGTTGAGTAGGGGACTCAGGAGAACAGTGGCGGTTTGGAAGTATCCCAGGGCATGGGGCTGCCTAGGGGCTTTATGGAAGTCAAAGCTTTAGAGGAGTCAGAGAGGGAGGTGCCAGCCACACGAGGCTCTGTTGGACTGAGGCTGAAGCCTGTGGGTATGTTCCAGCATGCTCAGCTTGGTGGCTGCTCCAGTCCCACTCCGCACCCAGGATCCACAGGCCACAGCTCTGACCAGAGACTGGGCATTGCCAGACAGTGAGGAGGAAGGAGAGGTGTTTATGGATCAGGGACGGGAGTCCTAGGGATGATAAGCCCTGGGCTCCAGCTGGGAACTATCAGAGTCTGGGGGTGTCAGGCAAGCTCGGAGGACTGAGAGGGAGGCCACCAAGCCCTGTGAGAGAGAAGGTGGAGGTGAGGACTTGAGAACAGTGGAAAGAAGGCAGCCTCTGAGGGCCCCAGGGTGGAGCAGATCTGAGTGATGAAAATCCCCTTGGGACCCTGAGAGTGAGGGGAAGGTCACGGAAGCCGAGAGATCCAGGAATGTGAGGTCAGAGGCTGACCTGGTTGTCCACGCGGATGTTCGAAACTCCCAGGATGGAGAGAAAAACAGAGCAGGAGGAATGAGGAAGGTGGGTGCTGACAGCCACAGGAGGACTGAGGCTGCAGGAGGCCGGCGGCACCTCAGAGGCCGAGCTCAGGCTTGGAGGGGTCTGGGATGTGGGCAACAACTGGCTCCATCAGAGAGGCCTCAGGAAAGTGTGTCCCGGGGGAGGGTCAAGTTCCTTTACTGCATGAGCAGAAGAAAGTGGGAAGAACAAGGATAGGGAGTTTATCCCCAGAGGAAAAAGGGAGCCATGGCAGGTGAGGGAAGGGTGGGAGCAGCAGTGAAAGCGGCTGGGGCAGGGAGAGAGGGCGGGGGAGGCTGGGGAGGCTCTTTAGCATCAGACCTGGCCTAGGGACCCTGGCAGCACCTGACCTGGTCGTCAGGGCACTGTGTGCCACCCAGAAGCAGGGTGAGGCCTGTGCTTCTGAGTGCTGCTGGCCTCAGCTCTGGTGCTCCAGGCCATGCGCAGAAGTGAGAAAACAGTAGTAGAAACCCAAGACCACCCAGCCTGGTCCTCTGACACCCCCTATGCCCTGCAGATGTGGACGAGTGTGAGGCTGGGGACGTGTGTGACAATGGCATCTGCAGCAACACGCCAGGATCTTTCCAGTGTCAGTGCCTCTCTGGCTACCATCTGTCCAGGGACCGGAGCCACTGCGAGGGTGAGGGATCTTAGAGCTGGGGTGCTGACCTGTCCCTCCCTACCCCAGGACCCCCACCCCCCAGGGTCCAGTCCTAATCCAGATCTCAGTTGGGGCATAGGGGCGTGGGACTGACCCAGGGCTCTGGGAGAAAGCTTTGGCTGCCTCAGGCTGGGGTTGGTGATCAGCCCCTGAGATTCTCCACCCCTTCCATCCCCTACAGACATTGATGAGTGTGACTTCCCTGCAGCCTGCATTGGGGGTGACTGCATCAATACCAATGGCTCCTACAGATGTCTTTGCCCCCAGGGGCATCGGCTGGTGGGTGGCAGGAAATGCCAAGGTATGGGGGACTGGCTGAGGGTTCCTGAGGGATGTGGCAGGGAGCAGTAATTCCCTAGACACACTGTGGCCTTTCTCCATCCATCCATCCACCCATCCAACCATCCTTCATCCATCCATCCATCCATCTATCCATCCATCCATCCATCCATCCATCCATCCATCCATCCATCCTTCTATCCATCCATCCTTCCATTCATCCTTCCACTCACCCACCCATCCATCTGCTCAGCCTTCCAGTCTTTCACCTAGAATAACAATGATCACAGTAAACATGACAGTTAGTGCTATCGTGGTGCTTACTATGTGCCAGGCACTCTGTTAAGCTCTTTACAGATATTAATGTATTGGTCTTCCCCATCAACTCACCCATACACATGCATTCATCCAACAAAAGTTTAGGCTGAGTGCAGTGGCTCAGGCTGGGGGCGGTGGCTCATGCCTGTAATCCCAGCACTTTGGGAGGCTGAGGCGGGCGGATCATGAGGTTAGGAGTTCAAGACCAGCCTGGCCAATATGGTGAAACCCCATCTCTACTAAAAATACAAAAATTAGCCGGGCGTGATGGCGCACGCCTGTAGTCCCAGCTACTCGGGAGGCTGAGGCAGAAGAATCGTTTGAAGATGGGAAGCGGAGGTTGCAGTGAGCCGAGATCACGCCACTGTACTCCAGCCTGGGCAGAGAGTGAGATTCCATCTCAAAAAAAAAAAAAAAAAAAAAAAAAGTTTATTGAGCACCTACTATTTTCCAGGTTCTGTGCTTTGTACTAGGTAATCAACAATCACCCAGGGCTCCCAGCTAGGGGAGGCCAACATGTAAACTGATTCTGACAGTTCAGGGTCCTGGGTGCCAAGAAAGGTATAGACTAATGATTAATTGCAATGGGGAGGTGAATGTTGAACTGGACTGAAACGTAAGTAGGAGTTCCCTAGGCATGGGAAAGGCAAGGCACGAGAAGTCATTCCAGGACCAAAGAGCAGTAATTGCAAAGCATAGAGATCTGGAAGGAGCTAGTTGTGTTTACAGAGGAGGGGAGGGTGCCCTGAGCACAGAGTTGGGGAGTGGAGGGTGGTCTAGAGTAAGGCGTGATGAGACCTAAAGGTATCGGAAGCTCAATTGCATTTGAGGCCTTTCCATTTGGGCTTCTGATACTTTTAGGTTTTGTAAGGTTAGTGGGAGCCACTGAAGGTGTTATGAAGGACAGCAGCTAATGTCCACATGCACATTCAGACACATGCACAGACACAGCAGACTTCCTGCTGTACATACTTTGAAACCAAAGTGGAAATTCAGGTTCTGAACTTGTGTGAGGCCCTTGAGGTGCAGCCCCAGGGAAAGAGGGGCTGGGTTTCCAGCTGCGCTACTCTTGCCCCGCAGACATAGATGAGTGCAGCCAGGACCCGAGCCTGTGCCTTCCCCATGGGGCCTGCAAGAACCTTCAGGGCTCCTATGTGTGTGTCTGCGATGAGGGCTTCACTCCCACCCAGGACCAGCACGGTTGTGAGGGTGAGTGTCCTCCCAGCTCCTCCCTCGGACTGGACAACTCCCCTGAGCTGCAGCTGGGATTCAGAGATGTGTCCTGGCCCCACCCTCCTAAATTTGGGGAACCGGAAGAAATCTCTTTTGGCTGGGGGAGTCTGGTGGGGCCAGACGATGAAGGGTCCAGAACACCACGTTGAGAACAGAGCCAACTCTCAGGAGGAGGCTAAGGGGAGCCAGGGAATGTGGGGGGAAAGACCTGTGGTGGGTGGGCAGGGTGGACAGGGCCAAGGGGGGTCTGTGCACAACCCTGAGCTGCCGTCTGCCCCTCAGAGGTGGAGCAGCCCCACCACAAGAAGGAGTGCTACCTGAACTTCGATGACACAGTGTTCTGCGACAGCGTATTGGCCACCAACGTGACCCAGCAGGAGTGCTGCTGCTCTCTGGGGGCCGGCTGGGGCGACCACTGCGAAATCTACCCCTGCCCAGTCTACAGCTCAGGTCAGGAGCCGGGCAGGCCCCTTCCCAGATCTTCAGTTTCTTCATCTGGAAGCCAAATGTGGGAAATGGCGCCCCCTGGCAGTTGGGAAATAGGCGGCGGGCTGCAGCCCTAAGCCCACGCGCGCGCTCAGTCCTGCCTCTTCCCTCCCCACGGCCGCCCTGCCCCTGCAGCCGAGTTCCACAGCCTCTGCCCAGACGGAAAGGGCTACACCCAGGACAACAACATCGTCAACTACGGCATCCCAGCCCACCGTGGTAAGCGCCCTGCGGCTCCGCCCGCCCCGCGCCCTCTCACCCCGGGTTGGGCTCGCCCGGATCCCGCCGGGACTCGCTGGGTCAGCTGCCCGCGCCGGGTAAGCCCCGCCCGCACCTTCCTCGCAGGCCCCGCCCTGTAGGCCCCGCCCCTCCTGTAGGCCCCGCCCGGGGATGGCTTCGCTCCGGTGGTGCGCCCAGCCCACGCCTCCGGGCTGCAGCTGCGGGACCGGAGCGGCCAGTGTTTGTCACCCCGCAGACATCGACGAGTGCATGTTGTTCGGGTCGGAGATTTGCAAGGAGGGCAAGTGCGTGAACACGCAGCCTGGCTACGAGTGCTACTGCAAGCAGGGCTTCTACTACGACGGGAACCTGCTGGAATGCGTGGGTGAGCTCCGCCCCCCGGCGGCCGTGGGGAAGCGGCAGGGAGACACGCGCCACCGCGCCCATCCCGGGCCTGCCCCTGCTACCCACGCTTTTCCTCCCTGCAGACGTGGACGAGTGCCTGGACGAGTCCAACTGCCGGAACGGAGTGTGTGAGAACACGCGCGGCGGCTACCGCTGTGCCTGCACGCCCCCTGCCGAGTACAGTCCCGCGCAGCGCCAGTGCCTGAGCCCGGAAGAGATGGGTGAGGCCCGGGCCGGGGAGTGGGGTACGCGGGAGGGGCGGGGCCCGGGCCGAGCTGTGACGGCCCCCACCCACCCCCTCGCTGTTCGTAGACGTGGACGAGTGCCAGGACCCGGCAGCCTGCCGCCCTGGCCGCTGCGTCAACCTGCCGGGCTCCTACCGCTGCGAGTGTCGCCCGCCCTGGGTGCCCGGGCCCTCCGGCCGCGATTGCCAGCTCCCCGAGAGCCCGGCCGGTGAGGGCGAGGGTTGGCCTTGGCCGATCCCGGGGCCCTGTCCGTCACGTGGCCCCCGCGCAGGTGGGGTGGGGCGGAGGCGGGCGGTTCCTGCCTTGGGCCCCTCCCCTGATGCCAGGTGTCTTCCGCAGAGCGTGCCCCGGAGCGGCGCGACGTGTGCTGGAGCCAGCGCGGAGAGGACGGCATGTGCGCTGGCCCCCTGGCCGGGCCTGCCCTCACCTTCGACGACTGCTGCTGCCGCCAGGGCCGCGGCTGGGGCGCCCAATGCCGACCGTGCCCGCCGCGCGGCGCGGGTAAGGCAGTCGGGGAGGAGTTGGCCGGGAGCGAGGATGGGGGCCAGGGCCCGGGGACCCGGACGTCGCTGACCAGTTCTGCTCCTCCCAGGGTCCCATTGCCCGACATCGCAGAGCGAGAGCAATTCCTTCTGGGACACAAGCCCCCTGCTGTTGGGGAAGCCCCCAAGAGGTGAGTGCTGCCGGGTCGGGCGGTGGCGGGGTTGGTAGCCTTTGGCCGGGGCTCAGTGTTGAAGTCCATATTGTTCCGGGCCACGCAGATGAGGACAGTTCAGAGGAGGATTCAGACGAGTGTCGCTGCGTGAGTGGCCGCTGCGTGCCGCGGCCGGGCGGCGCCGTGTGCGAGTGTCCCGGCGGCTTCCAGCTCGACGCCTCCCGCGCCCGCTGCGTGGGTGAGCCGGGCTTCGGGGGTGGGGGCAGGGGCGGGGCCGGTGGTGAGGAGCCGCCTGGAGGCTCAGCGAAGCCGCACCTGTCGCCCTCACCTTCAGATATCGACGAGTGCCGAGAGCTGAACCAGCGCGGGCTGCTGTGCAAGAGCGAGCGCTGCGTGAACACCAGCGGCTCCTTCCGCTGCGTCTGCAAAGCCGGCTTCGCGCGCAGCCGCCCGCACGGGGCCTGCGTTCCCCAGCGCCGCCGCTGACGCCGCCGACGCCGCCCTCGGCCCAGACCTCGGTGATCACTGAGGGATTTCCGCGAGCTCGGCCTCACTTCTGCCCCGACTTGTGGCTCGGACCCAGGGACCTTCAGGGCCCGCAGACCCTCCCGGCGCCTTGAGACCCGAGGCGCCCCTACCGGCCCCCCTCCCCGGTTAGCGGGCGGTTGTAAGGTCTCCGGCGGGCGCTGCCTGCCTTCCTCCCAGAGGGTGTTTCCTAGAAACTGATAAATCAGATCGTGCCTCTTTACCCTTGGCTTTCGAAGCAAATTGATGTTCACGTCTGACGTGGGCGCGGGCTGCGCAGGGCGGCGCCAGACCCCAGCCGCCTCCCAGGGGCTAGACTGAGCCCGGCACAAGGGGTGTGAAATAGAATTTATTGTGGCTCTGATTATGTACACGTGAGATGGCCTGGCTGGGCCGGCCGGGCTCACATGGTTTGTACAATAAATACATCTGTGGGGCGGGCTCTCCGCAGCCGGGAAGGGCCACCGCCACGGTTCAGTCCAGCTTCCGGGCTCCCAGCTTCATGGGGCCCTTGGCCACCTTCCTCTCGGCGCGTTTGGCCTCCATCTCCCGCCGCCGCTCCTCGCGCTTCTTCCGGGCCAGCTCAGCCTTGACCTGTCCTGGCGTCAGGAAGGGGAGCCCCGGTCTCAGCTCTCCAGCCAGTGCCTGCCGGGGGCCTGTAGGGGCGGGCTAGTCGGGGAGCCCTAGTCTTCAGCCCACCCAGGGGAAGCACTTACGACTGTCAGTCTCGAGGCCCTCCCAGTTGTCCTCACCCCAAGAGTCTGGCCTCGGCTGTAAAGAGAAGTGTGGGCTGCAGTGGGGCCCACTTCTGGCTGAGGTCCACCATCTCTACCCTCTCGCCAGACCTGTGCTGGGTACCTGGGTGCTGGGACGTGCAGACAGGGTAGCGAAGGGGTCGCCCTTGTCGCTGGACTCTGGGCCACCCCAGTTATACTCGCTGGCCAGCCGTGTACCGTCAGGAGGTGGCTCCTGGGAGCTTGGCTCCTGCCAGCCCTGTTCCCAGGAGCCCTCAGCTTCCCAGCTGCTCCAGTCGGACTCTGGGGATTTGGAGGATTTGTGGTCGGAGTTGCTGACCTGTAGAAGAGCGGGAGGGGGAAGTAGCCCTGGGCCCAAGGAGGAAAGAGCCCCATACACACACCTCCCCACCAGACCCAGCTCACCTGACTAGCACGGCTCACTTGGCCCCCGGTGCTCCAGTCGTCCTGCTGGGCCAGCACAGACTCGGCCTCCTGCTGCAGTGTGGGAAGGGACCACTGACTCCCACCCCATGCTAAAGGGCAAGTGAGCCCGCCCCAGCATCATCCCAGCCACGGGCCCCACCACTGTCTTTTGCCTTCCTCCTCATTTGCTCCTCAGGCCCTGTTTCCCATCTATTAAATGGACGCTGACCCTGGCCTGCCCTCACCCCTCTTTAAGGCTGGGGAATGAGATCTAGATGCCCCTTCCAACAGCCTTGAGGGCCAGAAACTGCTGCTGTCAGCCAGATGGGGAAATTGGGCCCCCAGCTCTGCCCCATTCTGAGGACAGCCCCAGTCCTCCCTCAGCCCAACCTGAGCCCATCCCCCAAGCAGAACTGGTCTGGTTCTAGACCCAGGAGTGGCCTCTCCTTGCTGACCCCCATGGCTGGGTGGGCACTGGAGGAGGGGAAAGGGGGACGGTGTGGGTAAGAGTGAGGAAGTTCAGGGAATGCCCCAGGCACCATCTGCCTAGCCTGCTCCCTGGGGCCGCTGGGGTTGAATGGGGCCTGCTGCTGGCTCTGGCCTACAATGGCCACTCCATGAGGCCTACGTGCCAGGGATGCTGTGCTGATGAGGACAGGCCAACTCCAGCCAGGCCCCACAGAAGCTCCCTGAATGGCAGCCTGTGGATTTGAGCTGGGGTCCCCTGGGGAGGCTCCCTCAGCCCCACACACCTCCAGGCTGCCCCAGTCTTCGTCGTCCCATCTGTCAGCAGTGCTGCTGTCCTCTGCTGTGTCCTTGTCCTCCTCCTGCGTCTCCCAGTGGCCTGAGGTTGTAGGGGTGGCAGGAACAGGGGTGGGGGCTGGGGCAGGAACTCCTGGGGAGCAGAGGCTCACTGAGCTTTCAGGGGGGTCTTGGGACAGGGCAGAGGCTGCTAGGGGAAGGGGGCTACTGGGGGGAAGGGGCACCAAGGAAGCCCACAGGGTGACTGGAGCCTACCCAGCTCCTATATCCCCTTCACCATCCCCGGGGGAGTCAGACAGTAAGAGTTCCTGGGTGCCTGCAGCTCTCAGCCCTCTCAGCCACTGATGCAGCTAGGCCAGGACACTCACCTTCAGGCGTGGGTCTTTGGGGAATGTTGGTTTCTGTTGGGGCAGTGGTTGGGTGCGAACGGATCAGCTTGGAGGTGAGTGAGGAGACCCCGGTCACGGCCCAGCCTGCCCAGCTAGCTGCGGCTCCTCCCATGCCAGGGCTGGAGGCTGCATGGACATCCTTCTCTGGGCAGTGGCATGAGAGAGAGGTGGGTATGGGCACGTCAGGCACCCATGGGTGACAGGACAGCAGGAACTGACAGTGCCCTGCAGCCACCCCTCCTTTCTCCAGGCCTGATTTCTCCCATCTGTGAAGGGGGAGCTGAGTCAAGTCTGCTCACTAGGACCTTTCAGAAACTCCAGTGGGGGTGGGACACAAACAGGTCACAGTCAAGGACATGGCAGGGAAAGAGGGAACACGAGTGTAAGCCACTCACCCACTTCCTCCAGCTGGGTCGGGTCCTCCGACACAGACTCCAATTTGGACAGGAAGCTCCGAATGGCCTTGAAGGCCTGTGGGGTAACGAGGCAGAGCTGGGGTCTCTGGGGTTCCCAAGAACCTACCAGGCCAGCTAGGGGCTGACATCCCCTACAGCCCCAGCCCAGGGCCCAGGCCCAGCTGTGCCTCACCTGGTCTCGCACGGATTTCTCAGGATCTACAGTGAGACCGCAGAGCACAGGCAGGATCTTCTGGGCACAGTCGTTCATTGAGTAGAGGTTGTGGGTGGCAGCAAAGCCCAGGACACCCGCAACCCGGGACGGTGCAAACGGGTCCCTAGTGGCTCGGCTGAAGGCAGAGGTAAGGACCCTGTGTCTGGTCTACGATGGGGCAGGAAAGAGGGCTCCTGAGTGTAGGGTCAATGTTGGGACCCAGAACCACCAGCCCTTACTTCCCAGAATGGGACCACCCATAGGTCCCCAGAATCTGAAAAATATGAATGAATCACTTAAATGGGGAGAGTTGACCTAAAACTCTGGACCTGGGCTTCTCTTCCCAAATCACTGGGTTCCACACTGCCTCAGGGCATGGGACCACAACAGCAGCTGTCCCCAGGGCTCGGACACAGGCTCCCTTCCTCCCTGCCCAGCTGACCGTTCATTCCTGTTAACTGTCTGGGCACGGCAAGCAACTGAACTTACAAACCCTGGCTGAAGGGATGCACACAGGCCATGGGGCCAAGCACGCCTGGATTCAGATCCCAGATCCCTCCTGACTGTGTGACTTCGGCCAACTCACTCCTCCTCTGGGAACCCAGATATGGGGCCAACAGCGTGCAGGGTCTAAGTCTCTGGGAGAATGAAGGCCCCCACACACAAGACTCCTGGCCCTGGAGGAGGCTGTGGTCCTGCGACAGGGACCGGGCTCCAGCAGTTGTGCAGGACACTCACGCTAGCACTGAGGTAGGAGCCGATTTTGCCCAGGCAGACTGTGGTGTTGCAGCGGATGGGGCCCTGTTCATCCTTGGCCTGTAGCCGTGCAAAGTGCTTCATCAGCTCCACATTGAGGTTGGCCTCGTTCAGCTTTGGGGCCAGGAGCAGCATGGACTGTGGGGCAGAAATGAGTGGGAACTGTGGGCTGTGGCGGGCAAAGGGCCTTGTGCAGGAACAGCCTCCTGGCAGCCCTCATCCCAGAGCACACCCATCAAAGCCTGCAAGGCCACCTCCCAGCCTGGGCCTGGCCCTGTCCAGCATGTTGAAGAAAGGGACCCCATTTCTGTCCCCCTTTACAGCAAAACCTCCAAAGTCTGTCTGCACTCCTGTTTCCCATTTCCTCTGCTCTGCTCTCCTGATGGCACTCCACCTAGACTCACACAAACAGCCCCACACTCTGCCAAACTGGCTCAGGGTGAGGTCACTGATGCCCTCCCCGGTACTAATTTCAACAGCCAGTTCTCCATCCTCACCAAACTTGACCCTCAGCAGTTCTGACACCCCTGAGTTTTCCCTCCCTGAAACTTTGGTCTCTGGTCTTCCAGGACACCACCCCCTCCTGGTTCTCCTCTGACCTGGCTGGCTGCTCCTTTTGCTGAGACTCTAACGTTCACACACCCGGAGCCAATCTAGAGGGCTCTTTTCTATCTAACACTCTTGCCCTAGGTGATCTCAGCCATTTCATGGCTTTCAATGCCATCTTGTGAGCTGACAACCCCCAGGCACATACCCCTAGCCCAGACTTCCCTAAATTTCACACATGCATAACCAGTGGCCAACTCGACATCTCCATCCAGCTGCCTAACAGAAACAGCCAAGATGGGGCCCAACATGCTTGTGTCATCTCAGTAAATAGCAACTCCTAACCTTCCAGTTGCTCAGGCCACAAGCCTCAGAGCCACTCTCGTCTCCGTATCTTTTTTGTTTCTGAGATAGAGTCTCACTCTGTCACCCAGGCTGGAGTGCAGTGGTGTGATCTCTACTCACTGCAACCTCTGCCTCCTGGGTTCAAGCAATTCTCCTGCCTCAGCCTCCTGAGTGGCTAGGATTACAGGCGCCCACCACCATGCCTGGCTAATTTTTTTAATTTTTATTTTATTTTATTTTTTTGAGACGGAGTCTTGCTCTGTTGCCCAGGCTGGAGTGCAGTGGCGCGATATCGGCTCACTGCAAGCTCCATCTCCGAGGTTCACACCATTCTCCTGCCTCAGCCTCCCAAGTAGCTGGGACCACAGGCGCCCACCACCATGCCCGGCTAGATTGTTTTTGTACTTTTAGTAGAGACGGGGTTTCACCATGTTAGCCAGGATGGTCTTGATCTCCTGCCCTTGTGATCCGCCCACCTCAGCCTCCCAAAGTCTGGGATTACAGGTGTGAGCAACCGGGCCCAGCCATTTTTTGTATTTTTAGTAGAGATGGGGTTTTACCATGTTTTACCATGTTGGCCAGGCTGGTCTCAAACTCCCATCGCCTCAGGTGATCCACCCGCCTCGGCCTCCCAAAGTGCTGGGATTACAGGCATGGGCCACCAGGCCCGGCCTAAAATAATTTCTTAAATTTTGAGATGAGGTCTCACTCTGTTGCCCAGGCTGGAATGCAGTGTCACGATCACAGCTCAATGCAGCCTCAACCTCCTGGGCTCAAGCTACCTACCTGCCTCAGCCTCCCGAGTAGCTGGGACTATAGGCGTGCATCACCATACGCGCCTAACTTTTGTATTTTTTTGTAGAGATGGGGTTTGGCCATGATGACCAGGCTGGTCTCCAACTCCTGGGCTCAAGCGATCCTCCCACCTCGGCCTACCAAAGTGCTGGGATCACAGGCGTAAGCCACTGCGCCCAGCCCCTGACCACTGTTTTTAAAACCACAAACTCTTCTCCCCACACTTTCCAACAATGCATATTTTCTTTCTTTTTTTGAAACAGAGTTTCCCTCTTGTTGCCCATGCTGGAGTGCAACGGCATGATCTCGGCTCACTGCAACCTCTGCCTCCCAGGTTCAATTGAGTCTCCTGCCTCAGCCTCCCGAGTAGCTGGGATTACAGGCATGCGCCACCATCCCCAGATGGTTTTGTACTTTTTAGTAGAGACAGGGCTTCGCCATGTTGGTCAGGCTGGTCTCGAACTCCTGACCTCAGGTGATCCGCTTGCCTCAGCCTCCCAAAGTGCAGGGATTATGGGCGTGAGCCACCGTGACCAGCCAACAATACATATTTTCTAATTCTGTTGTATTGTCTGGCAAGCCCACCCTCTGTGCCCTGGAAAGGAAGCTCCATGAGTGCAGGGGGCTGGGCACCTCATGCATGCTGCCTCCCAGCATGGGGCTTGGGCCAGGAACAGGCAGATGCTCGTTGTCTGCTGAATGGAGGACGTGCTCCCCCGCCAGCTGCCGAGCTGCACCCACGGCCTGAACCCACACAGCAAGGACAGTGTCTGCTTGGACCCATGGGCCAAAGCCAAGGCCTCTGTGTCTAGGGTGAGCCCCTCCAAGCCTTGGAAAACCAGGGGTAGCCACTCTGGGCCTGGCCACACCCACCTTGACCGTCTGCTCCCGGATGGCAGGGTTGGTGTCCAGGAAGCCATGTACGACGTGGGGGAAGATCTGGGTGTTGACTGTTGGCTCGTCAAGGTACTGGATGAACTGCTCCATCTGTGGCCCAGGTTGGGATGCGTCAACATGGTCAGCCCTTCCCACTCTATCCCCATAGCCATGGAACCGCTCCTGGCTTAGCTTTTCCACCCAGCAGGCACTGGCCAGCCAGGTCAACCTCCTGAGCCACCACCCAGGTGTTTGGCCTCAGGCCCAGGTGGAGGAGTGAGGAAAGGCCAGGAGGGCGCTAGGAAGGCCTGGCTCATAGTCCGGCTCATCTGGCCACCCTCTCAGAGCCTCTTCTATTTTTTTTTTTTTTTTTTTTCTGAGACAGAGTCTTGCTCTGTCACCGAGGCTGGAGTGCAGTGGCGCAATCTCAGCTCACTGAAACCTCTGCCTCCCAGGTTCAAGCAATTCTCCTGCCTCAGCCTCCTGAGCAGCTGGGATTACAGGCACCCACCACCGCACCTGGCTAATTTTTGTATTTTTAGTAGAGACGGGGTTTCGCCAAGTTGGCCAGGCTGGTCTTAAACTCCTGACCTCAGGTGATCTGCCTGCCTCGGCCCTCCCAAAGTGCTGGGATTACAGGCATGAGCCACTGCGCCCAGCCTGAGCCTCTTCTATAAATGAGGGTATCACCCCTTCCCTGCTCCTCCCCACCTGCCCACAGTGCCACGAGGAGGACTGGTGTGTTTGGTGGTCACAGAGGGAATGGCACTGGGAGCCACTGGTACTTCCTAGATCCCATCCATCTTGTCTGATGCTCCCAGCTGCCCTGGGGTTGCAGGAGAAAGACTGTATCCCCACTCTAGAGGGCCAGAGTGACTGAGCCAGGAGAGGAGGGGGCATTAGAGCGCTGCAGCCTGGGCAAGCTGGCCATTCCCAAAACTGCCAAGGAGCCCTGTATGTGGCCAACTTTCTGAGAGCCTGGCCTCATTGGGTCCCTCAGTTGTGTGTATGTTCAGGGGTGGGGTTTCTGGGGTCCCTGTGCAGCCAGGGCAGGTGCCTCCCCAGCCACCAGGTTGGGGTCTGGGTGGACCACCACAGAGTCTGGTACAGAGGCCTCACCTGCTGCAGGAGGCGGATGCGCATGGCCCGGTCAGTGGATGAGAACATCTTGACCACCACAGGGATGATCTTCTGCTGATACTCCTCAGCGCTCAGGAACTTGCCCACCTGAAAGGGCAGGAAGATGGGTTCAGCTGCTCACAGGAATGGGCTGACTTTGCTGGGCTTATCTAAATTCCTGGGGCTGATATCCCAGGGTGGGAATGAAGTGATGGCGGAGGGGGGGGCAGGCATTTCCTCAGTAGCTCCTCTACCCATATTCCATCTCAGCCTTGCCCTTAACCTTTCTGGGCCAAGGCCTCTTTCAGGAGGCTGATGAAAGCTCTGGGCCCCTCCCTACAAACAGGTACCTTTATGCCATATGCAGAAATTCTGCCTGCAATTTCTGGGGGTTCTCAGCTATACAGGACTTGCTTGTTGTCTTCTCCCCTCCTGACAAGTCTTTCAGATGAAAGGGTTCTCCCCAAGGTGAGGAGGGCAGGGAATGCCAGGTGCCCATAAAAAGGCGGGCTGGGGTCTGAGGAAAGGGTGGAAGATCCAGCCCCCAGAAGTCAGGTGAGCTGAGTGCTAAGCAGTCAGGAGGGAGGAGGGCAAAGTGGGGTGGTGAGTAGGTAATCCCCTGGGCCCTGGGAACCAAGGTGCACAGGTCAGACCCGGAGAAATGGAGGAAGGGCTGAGGGTTGTGAAGCCAGAGGTTTGTGGAAAAAAGGATTTTAGCGGCAGAGTCTCTCCTCCCCAGGGGACAGCTGGTCAGGTACCTGTTTATAGACACTGGCAGGAAGCTCCTGCTCATATGGGCTTGGGTCTGCCCTAAACAGCCTGCCCTACCCCAGGGCCTTCTCTTTGGCAGTTCCTGTGCACCCAGCCAGCCTTCTGGACCCCACAGTTCCACTCACCTTGAAGAGGGGCGTGAGGACAACGGCCCCAGCATTGCCGAACTCGAAGGCGGTCAGCAGCTGGGGCAGCACCTTGTGCCGACAGAAATCCTCAGGGAATGCGTCCAGGCTCTTGCTCAGCTCCTGGAAGAATTTTTGCTTCTCGGCTGGCTCTTTGATCTGGGGGAGTGAGGACGGGACCCGGGGAAGAGATCAGCCTGGTTGCAGCCCAAACCCAGCCATGGGTGAGGACAAGGAGAAGTGATGCTTATGGGCCTTATGGGCTCTGGAGCCTGGCTGCCTGGGTTCAAAGCCCAACTGTCCCACTTACCTGCCATGTAAAATGGGATAACAGCTCTACCATCTACGGGATAGTTCTGGGATTCAACCAGAAAATGCACATAAAAGCTGCAGAACAGGCTGGCACACGGCAGATGCTCGGTGGGTTAGGGACTGTTGCTGCCATTGCGGCTACCTGACCTGTTGCTGGGAGAGCAGCCACTAGGGACAGCAGAGGCATCACTAAGGGCATCAGGCCCTTTATCAGTGTTGCCTCTACTGCTCGCCACCCAGGATGTGAGCACAGAGGAGGAAACTGAAGATCAAAGAGGTGAAGGGGCTTACTTGGTTTCCCTGCCCTGGCTGGATTGGGCAGGAAGTTCCTGGTAGGCCGTGGGAAGGCAAGGATTAGGTACACTTTACTCCCAGACCTCATCCTCCCACTGAGCCAAAATGGACCAGCCTGTAAGCTCAACGGTCTCCTTTAGTCCTCCTAACCCCCCTTTGAGGCCATAATACCCCCAATTCATATTTCTGGAGCACAGATTATGTGCTAAAACCTTTACACAGATTATCTCAGTCCTCTTCACAACTTTACCAGGTAGGTGCTAATGTAATCCACATTTTACCAACAAGGAAGCTGAGGCACAGAGAGGGCAAGGAGCTTGTCCAAAGTCACACAGCTAAGAAGCGGTCAGAGGAGGGTCTGACTCACTGGTTTGGCACCTCTCCTGTGCTGTACCCTTCAAAAGATGCTGTCACTCCCCCCATTCACAAAGGAGGAGACAGAGGGTCAAGGTCAGCAGCCAAGAGTGGCCAGGCAGGGGTCATGACCCAGTGTTGTGTTCCAAAGTCCCTGTGCTCTCTGTTGTACCACCACCCCCATAGCCGCGGCTTGGCCGGGGAGAGGCGACCTCTGGCTTGGGACAAAGAGGACCTAGATGGCCCTTGAGCAGCTCAGACCAGCGTGGGAGGCCGGCTTGGTGCTCTGATCACATGGTTCAGCGGGGCCAAGGCCCAGAGAGGCTAAATCACATCCAAGGTCATACATCAAGAGAGTAGCAGCTGGGTTCTCCCCACCACTCCACCTAACAATGGGAAGAGGGGCCCCTGGGCACTGCCCTCCCATGTTCTCCTGGAGGCTCCCGAAACCCTATTTCCTATGGGGTACACTTTAAGGAGAAGGGTAGCTTGGCAGAGCCAGCCGTACGAGGAGAACTCCACGTAACAAAGTTCCTGCTGCCCCGACACTGCCCAGGAGGCAACGGGGTCTCAGCGTTTCCAGCAGCTTCTCCTTCCAGGTTTCCACCCTCCAAAGGCCCTCCCCGCCCCACAGCATCTGAGTCAAGATTCCATGACCTCTGCTGGGTCAGGGTCTGTGGAGTGTCTGCCACTCTCCTCCCCTGCTCCTGATTCTGATTCTCAGCCCCCGCTGTCTTCCCCACACACGGCTGGGGCCGGGCATTGCATAGAGCAGAGCCTTCCTCCCTCCTCCCTACAGCAACCCTGCAGGCCAGTGCACCCAGATGCTCCTCACTATACACATGTGGAAACCAAGGTTCAGAGGCAAAGCAGAGGGCTCCCTCCTCAGTATCTCTCCACGTGCTGTCGCCTCTGCCTGGAACTCTTACTCCAGGTACCATCCCTCTGGCTCCCACAGTCATGTCCTTCAGGCCCCAGCTCCAATGTCACACTTCAGAGAGCCCATCCCTGAATACCCACTCCAGTACTTTCCTTCCTGCACTGGATTTTTCTTTTCTTTTTTTTTAAGACTGAGTTTTGCTCTTGTTGCCCAGGCTGGAGTGCAATGGTGCGATCTCGGCTCACTGCAACCTCCTGCCTCCCAGGTTCAAGCTATTCTCCCGCCTCAGCCTCTGGAGTAGCTGGGATTACAGGTATGCGCCACCATGCCTGGCTAGTTTTTTGTATTTTTAGTAGAGACGGGGTTTCTCCATGTTGGTCAGGCTGGTCTCAAACTCCTGACCTCAAATAATCCGCCAGCCCCGGCCTCCCAAAGTGCTGGGTTTACAGGCGGGAGCCACCGCACTGGCTGGTTTTCTTATTTATGGTGTTCTTTTGTTTGTTTTGAGACGGAGATTTGCTCTTGTTGCCCAGGCTAGAATGCAATGGCACAATCTTGGCTCACTGCAACCTCCACCTCCCAGGTTCAAGCGATTTTCCTGCCCCAGCCTTCCTGAGTAGCCGGGATTACAGGCATGTGCCACCACTCCCGGCTAATTTTTGTACTTTTAGTAGAGATGGGGTTTCTCCATGTCGTCAGCTGGTATCGAACTCCCGACCTCAGGTGATCCACCCGCCTCAGCCTCCCAAAGTGCTGGGATTACAGGCGTGAGCCACTGCACCTGGCTCTTATTTATGGTTTTTATGTTTTCTGTCTCTTCCCCAGCAAGAGTTCCCAAGGTTGGGGATCTGGTCTGTTTACTTTTTGCTAGATTCTTGAGGACAGTGATCTAGGTCCGCCTCACCTTCCTCCACACCGTGCTGCCCACCCCCCTGCAGCCAGTACAGGGTGTTACACCCCTGGGGACCAGAGCCAGAATGTACACGTGGAGTGACTGGAGTAACCAGAGCTGGCCCTAAATGCCTGCTGGGCACAGAACACTATACCACACATTTTCAATTCTGACTCCTCACTGGGTCCCTTTGAAGTAGGTACAGGTTGAGTCTCCCTTGTCCAAAATGTTTGGGACCAGAAGTGTTTCAGATTTCAGATGTTTTTTGGATTTTGGAATATGTGCATTATACCAATTCAACATCTTTTTTTTTTTTTTTTTTTTGAGACGAAGTCTCACACTGTCGCCCGGGCTAGAGTGCAGTGGCACGATCTCGGCTCACTGCAACCTCCGTCTCCTGGGTTCAAGTGATTCTCCTACCTCAGCCTCTGGAGTAGCTGGGATTACAGATGCCCGCCCAGCTGATTTTTTGTATTTTTAGTAGAGATGGGGTTTCTCCATGTTGGTCAGGCTGGTGTCGAATTCCTGACCTCAGGTGATCCACCCACCTCAGCCTCCCAAAGTGCTGGGATTACAGGCATGAGCCACCGCGCCTGGCTCCAATTTAACATCTGTAATCCAAAAAAATCTGAAATGCAAAATGCTCTAATGGGCATTTCCTTGGATTGTAATGTTGGTGGTCAAAAAGTTTCCAGTGTTGGAGTAGATCATGCATTTTCGGATTAGGGATGCTCAACCTGTACTATTATTGGGACTGAACTTCAGCCAAGGGAAGTCACAGAGTAAGTATGAGCTGGAGCCTGGGTTTGAACCCGGATTGGCCTAACTCCACAGTCCATGCTTGTCTCCTGAGGGTCAATTGTGAGGTACCCTGAAAAGCAGGGTAGGGGCAGAATGAAAAAGATAGGGTCGAAGCCCAGGGTGGGTTGGGGGCTCACCTGAATCTCCTCCAGGAAGAGGTTGGTTTCTACAAAGCGGTTGCTCATGAAGCCACCAGGTGCCCGGCAGTTCTGCAGGAAGCGGGCTGGGTTGGGACGCACCTTGGGGTTTGCTCCCACCAGCTCACAGTAATGGGGCACCAGCGTTTTGGGGATCTGTAGGGGAGGGGTCAGTGTCAGGGCAGGGGTAGCCAGCTGGCAGAGGGGCTGAGGCAGGGCAAAGAGCCAGGGGCAAGAAACTTACCTTCCCAGGGTTGCGTAGGGCTGCTGCCCGAGGTAGGGGCCCATTGAAGACTTCCCAAATGAGGCAGCCCAAGCGCCACATGTCTGCTGACCTGTGGCAGTGACCCAGAGCTCTTAGGGCCCCACCAACCACCTGCACAGGCCTCCAGCCTGCCTTGGGCACCAGGCACCCACTGCATGCCAGGGCCTGGCTATGTCCCTCAGCTGAGCCATCAGTCCCAAGAGGCAGGTTTCATTAGCCTCACTTAACAGATTAAAAAAACCAAGCCTCAGAGAACTAGGCACATCTGTCCAGGTCACAGAGCTTTCAAGTTCAGAATCACCCAACCCCGAATGCTGTGTCCATCCCGCCCTACCGCCCTGAGGACCCTGGGGGCAGAGGAGTGTCCCTCACTCCTGGGACACTGATTCCCTCCCCAGCCAGGCAGCAGGGAACAGGGGAGTGCCAACTAGTCTAGGAGTCCTGAGGCTGCAGGGGCCTCCAGGACAGGGCAGGTTGGGGCGCGCTGCCCCCAGTCACCCACCACTTCTCTCTGACCACTCTGCCACTGCTGTCAGCCAACTCCGGGGGGTCATACTGCTCAAGCTCGGGGATCCCCTTGCGGGGAGGTCCCCCACCGTTGCCCTGGGCCGAATACATGTAGTCCAGGCCCCCAAGCTTCCACTCGCCAGCTCGGTCCACGAACACGGCGGCCATGCAGACATTGTTGTGGATGAGGCTGCAGTCGTTGACCAGGAAGCTGAGGGCTTTCTGGGGGCAAAAGGAGCCATCACGCCCCAGCACCTGCAACCCCCCATCCCTGCTCTCATCACCACTGCCCCCCACCTCACCACGATCTGGTGTAGCCCCCAGGAGATCTCCAGCTCCTTCAGGCCACCAGCCTCCACTCTCGCCTTGAGGTATATTCCCAACGGGGTCACAGCCTCTGTCACGACGTGGAGGCATTTTTCTGTCTGGGGAAGGGGACACAGGGTTATCAAGGGCGGAGGGGCAGAGAGGAAGGAGAGATAAGCGACTTGAAGTTGGGAGAGATGGGGAAGAGGAAACCAAATCTGGGGGTGCTGGGGCACATAGGGTGGAAACAGGGCAGGAGGGGAGACAGGAGTGGGTAACCAGGACATCGTGAGGGGCAGAGACGGGCAGGCAAGGCAGCAGGTACCTCCAGTCCATCGATGTAAGCCAGGATGTTGGGGTGCCGTAGAGTTTTGAAGCGCTTGAAGGCAGCTTTGGCCACCTGGGTCTGCTCTTCCGCGCCAGGCTTCACATCATAGACGAAGATGGACACGGGGCTGCCTGTGGCCTAGGGGAGGGCAGCGGGGCCTGAGATGGTCCCAGAGCTGTTGTGTGGCCGGAAGACAAGGGCCCGCAGCCAGGTCTCTCCCCAGGTCAGCCTTAGGGACACTTCGCCGGGCCCACGTGACCCCGGCCCTGTCCGCCTGTCGGTCCCTCGGTCCCTCCGCCCGCCACGTAGGCACTGCCCGCCCCCTCCCCGGCCTGCTACCCCTTGGTTCCGCCGCCACGTCAGGCCGGGCGCAACGCGACGGGGTCGGCGGCGCGGAATAGGCAAGGCCCAGGTCGACCGCGGCCTACGGAGCTCGGCCGCACTCACCTTCTTGCGGCCGCGGTGCAGGGCCCAGGGCCCGGGCAGGCCGCCCTCTGGGGGCTCCGGGATGAGCTCGAACGGAAAGTCCCGGACCGGGTCCCGGGCAAAGAACCACATCGTCCCCACCGCCGCCGCGGGTTCGGGCGCCTTAGCTCCGGGTCCTCCGGCCGCCCGAGCCGGGGCGGGGCGGAGAGGGGGCGGGGCCTGCGTCAGACGGGGGCGGGGCCCGGGGGCCAGGGCGGGGCCTACGTCGGGGCGGAGCAGGACGTGAATTGGGGCGGGGTGGGGCAGAACCTGAGTTGGGGCGGGAAGGGGCGGGGACAAGGGAGGGGCGGGAGAGGGGCGGGGATGGGGGGGCTAGGGAGGGGCGGGGATGGGGGGGCTAGGGAGGGGCGGGGATGGGGGGGCTAGGGAGGGGCGGGGCAGTCCGGGGCGGCGGGCGGTACTAAGATCAGTACTCCGCCGCCGGGTAAGTCACTTAAAACCCTCCAAGCCTGTGAGCCCTTTTATCTAAAGAGGCCTAAATCCTAAAGGATAATAGAGCCTGCCTTCTAGCGTACTGTAAGGATGAGAGCTTAAGAAGGGACAGAGGGATGGGGAAACCGAGGCAAAAAGGGGGAGAGGTAGAAAGACTGACAGGCATGAGAGGGTGCAGTGAGGAGTGAGGCAGAGACCCAGAGAGGGAGACTGGCCCCACGCCAGACACTCTCTCCCACCAGCAAGTGGGTGCCTCCAGGCTCCGGGGAGGAGTCGGTCCTGGTGAAGTGACCATGAGAGAAGCACGAGGAGACGCCCCAGAGAAAGAGCGTGGGTGAGAGGCAGAGAGTGAATCCAAGGTTCCAAGGAGGTCCAGAACCCCGGGGCAGGGGCGGGCACCCAGGGAATGGAGGAAGGAGAGACTGAGGAGGGAAGAAGAAGTGACCCCAGGAAAGGAGGGAGGGAGAAGGAGCAACTGGGCAGGTCTGGAAGAGGCCAAAGGGCTGGGAGGGGACCCTGCTCTCCTGGGCTCAGCTGCCCGGCTCTCAAGCCAACGGATTGCATCTCTCAGTGCCTGTGTAGACAGCCATGGAGTGGTGTTAGCTCAATCAGCACATCACACTGGTGGGGATCCAGCCCCTGAGCTGTGTAGGAGGGGCTGGACAGGCAGTGGTTCTTCTGCTGGTAGGGTCTCAGGACCCAGGCTTGGGGACAGTGCCTCAACCACAGCTATGGAGCACTGGTGAGATTCTGGGACTGGTTATGAAAAGTCTGGTTGGGATGCCTTTGGGAGATAACTCAAGGGCAGAGATGCCACAGTGAGACGGTGCTGGGTTTCAATCACGGTTCAGCCCCTCATTGGATGTGAGAACTCACACAGTTCCCTTTGGGTGCGTTAGGTCCCCCATCTATAAACTGGGGTGAGGGCCAGGCACAGTGGTTCACGCTTGTAATCTCAGCACTTTGGGAGGCCGAGGCTGGAGGATCACCTGAGGTCAGGAGTTCCAGGTCAGCCTGACCAACATGTTTGAAGGGGGCCTGCCCCTCCACACCTGTGGGTATTTCTCGTCAGGTGGAGACAAGAGACTGAGAAAAGAAATAAGACACAAAGTATAGAGAAAGAACAGTGGGCCCAGGGGACCGGCACACTCAGTATACGAGGACCTGCACCGGCGCTGGTCTCTCAGTTCCCTCAGTATTTACTGATTACTATTTTCACTATCTCTGCAAGGGGACTGCGGCAGAACAGGGTGATGGTGGGAAGAAGGTCAGCAGGAAAACATGTGAGTAAAGGAATCTGCATCATAAATAAGTTCAAGGGAAGGTACTGTGCCCGGATGTGCACGTAGGCTGGATTTATGTTTCTCTTTACCCAAACATCTCAGTGTAGCAAAGAGTAACAGAGCAGTATCACCGCTAGCATATCTCACCTCCAGCCATAGGGCAGTTTTCTCCTATCTCAGAATAGAATGACTGGTGGGCTTTACACCAAGACATTCCATTCCCAGGGACATACGGGAAACAGAGGCCTTCCTCTTATCTCAACCGCAAAGAGATCTTCCTCTTTTACTAATTCTCAGCACAGACCCTTTACGGGTGTCGGGCTGGGGGATGGTAAGGTCTTTCCCTTCCCACAAGGCCATATCAGGCTGTCTCAGTCGGGGAGACAATACCCAGGCTTTCTCGGGCAGAGGTCCCTGTGGCTTTGCACAGTGCATCATGTCCCTGGTTAATAGAGAATGGAGAATGGCGATGACTTTTACCAAGCATACTGCTTGCAAACATATAGTTAACAAGGCACATCCTGCACAGCCCTAAATCCCTTAAACCTTGATTCAATACAGCGCATGTTTCTGTGAGCACAGGGTTGGAACTAAAGTTACAGATTAACAGCATCTCAAAGCAGAAGAATTTTTCTTAGTACAGATCAAAACGGAGTTTCTTATGTCTTCTTTTTTTCTGCATAGACACAGTAACAGTCTGATCTCGCTTCCTTTCCCCCACATATGTGTGGGCGGAGGAATACCTAGGTGCGGAGGCAAGAGATTGAAGGCACAAACTGTTTCAGTATAAAAAAGAAAATAGTTAGAATAAGAATAGTCATAATACAAATTAGATATAGAGATGGTCATGAACAATTATCAATCATTGTTATAAGCATTATTAATCATTAGCTTTTAATATTACTCTTTGTTGCATTACTAATATAACCTAGGAATAACCGGCGGGTATAGGGTCAGGTGCTGAAGGGACATTGTGAGAAGTGACCTAGAAGGCAAGAGGTGAGCCTTCTGTCACGCCCGCATAAGGGCCTCTTGAGGGCTCTTTGGTCAAGCGGTAACGCCAGTGTCTGGGAAGGCACCCGTTACTTAGCAGACCGCGAAAGGGAGTCTCCTTTCCTTGGAGGAGTCAGGGGACACTCTGCTCCACCAGCTTCTTGTGGAAGGCTGGATATTATCCAGGCCTGCCCGCAGTCATCCAGAAGCCTAAACCCCTCCCTGTGGTGCTGTGCTTCAATGCTCACGCTCTTTGTCCACTTTCATGCTCCTCCCATACTCCTGGTTCGTCTTTGAAATTCGTAGTAGATAGAGGTAGAAGAAATAGTGAAAGTCTTAAAGTCTTTGATCTTTCTTATAAGAGCAGAGAAGAAAACGCTGACGTATGCTGCCTTCTCTCTCTGCTTCGGCTACCTAAAAGGGAAGGGCCCCCTATCCTGTAATCACCTGACCTGCTTCACCTTGTCAATCACTTAGAAGATTCACCCTCCTTACCCTGCCCCCTTGTCTTGTATACAATAAATATCAGCGAGCCCAGCCATTTGGGGCCACTACCGGTCTCCGCGTCTTGATGGTAGTGGTCCCTGGGGCCCAGCTGTTTTCTCTTTATCTCTTTGTCTTGTGTCTTTATTTATTACAATCTCTAGTCTCCACACAGGGGGAGAACACATGCTAAGCCCCGTAGGGCTGGACCCTACACATATGTTGAAACCCCGTCTCTACTAAAAACACAAAAATTAGCCAGGTGTGGTGGTGGGCACCTGTAATCCCAGCTACTGGGAAGGCTGAGGCAGGAGAATCGCTTGAATCTGGGAGGTGGAGGTTGCAGTGAGCCGAGATCGCACCACTGCACTCCAGCCTGGACGACAGAGCGAGACTCCATCTCAAAAAAAAAGTGGGAACTTGGATGGGCACGGTAGCTCACGCCTGTAATCCCAGCACTTTGGGAGGCCGAGGCGGATGGCTCACCTGAGGTCAGGAGTTCAAGACCAGCCTGGCCAACATGGTGAAACCCCGTCTCTACTAAAAATACAAAAATTAGCCAGGCGAGGCCAGGCGCAGTGGCTCACGCCTGTAATCCCAGCACTTTGGGAGGCCGAGGCGGGCGGATCACGAGGTCAGGAGATCGAGACCATCCTGGCTAACACAATGAAACCCCGTCTCTACTAAAAATACAAAAAAAATTAGCCGGGCGTGGTGGCAGGCGACTGTAGTCCCAGCTACTCCAGAGGCTGAGGCAGAAGAATGGCGTGAACCTGGGAGGCGGAGCTTGCAGTGAGCCAAGATCGCACCACTGCACTCCAGCCTGGGCAACAGAGCGAGACTCTGTCTCAAAAAAAAAAAAAAAAAAATTAGCCTGGCGTGGTGGCACATGCCTGTAATCCCAGCTACTCAGGAGGCTGAGGGAGAATTGCTTGAACCTGGGAGGCGGAGGTTGCAGTGAGCCAAGATTGCGCCATTGCACTCCAGCCTGGGGGACAAGAGTGAGACTTCGTCTCAAAAATAAATAAATAAATAAAATAATAAAATAAAATAGTGGGAACTTTAAGCTTAGCTAACAGGGATCCAAATTCTTCAAGAGAAAGTATTTGTTGTTCAGCCCACTGTAAGATATCAAGAGCTACTTGCTAATGGCCCACACTTATTTTGTTGATGACTTATCATAGGAAAACCTTTGGTGTTCTTTCTACTTTATCTTATATTATAACGCATGAAACAGAAAAGCTGCTGTAAACAATGCTGAATCTTATGTAACAGCCAAATTTAATTTTAGAAAGTATTTAAATTGTGCTCTGTCCTAGATCTAAATGTTGAGAATTTTAAAAAAAACAAACGTTTTAACATCTGCCAAAGCATGTAAGAATAACTTCAAGCTGCCGGGCTTGGTGGCTCACGCCTGTAATCCCACCACTTTGGAAGGCCGAGGTGGGTGGATCACGAGGTCAGGAGTTCGAGACCAGCCTGGCCAACGTACTGAAAGCCCGTCTCTACTAAAAATACAAAAATTAGCCGGGCGTGGTGGCATGCGCCTGTAATTCCAGCTACTCTGGAGGCTGAGGCAGGAGAATCGCTTGAACCCGGGAGGCGGAGGTTGCAGTGAGCCGAGATCACGCCACTGCACTCCAGCCTGGGACAGAGGGAGACTCCATCTCAAAAATAAAATAAAATAAAATAAACAATAATAACTCCAAAATTAACATTATTTTGACTTCCTATTATTGTCTTTCCAAAAAATGGCTCTGTGTTTTTTGTTTGTTTTGATTTTTACTTCTTTGTTTGGTTTGGTTTTTTTGTTTGTTTTGTTTTTAGCAAATATGATGCCTAAAAAGTAAACTGTTCAGGGTTCTGGCCTATTGTGGTCGGCAGAATACTAGCCCCTCAAAGATGTCCATGTCCTAACTCTCAGAACCTGTGAATATGGGCCAGGTGCAGTGGCTCACACCTGTAATCCCAGCACTTTGGGAGGCCAAGGCGGGCGGATCACATGAGGTCAAAAGTTTGAGATCAGCCTGGCCATCATGATGAAACCCCTTCTCTACTAAAAATACAAAATTAGCCAGGCATGGTGGCACACACCTATAGTCCCAGCTGCTTGGGAGGCTGAGGCAAGAGAATAGCTTGAACCCTGTAGGTGGAGGTTGCAATGAGCCGATATCATGCCACTGCACTCCAGCCTGGGCGACAGAGTGAGACTCTGTCTCAAAAAAAAATTAAAAACCTACTTACAAAGAAAAGTCTAGGCCCAGATGACTAGTAACTTCTTCACTACTAACTTCTACCAAACATTTAAAGAATTAATACCAATTCTTCACAAACACTTCCAAAAAATGGAAGAGGAAGAGGGAATACTTCCCAACTCATTCTATTAGGCTGGTATCAATAGTACCCTGATAACAAAACCAGATAAAGACATCACAAGAAACTACAGAGCAGGCCAGGCGCAGTGGCTAACACCTGTAATCCCATCACTTTGGGAGGCCAAGGCAGGTGGATCACAAGGTCTGGAGATCCAGACCATCCTGGCTAACACGGTGAAACCCTGTCTCTACTAAAAATACAAAAAAAAAAAAAAAAAAAAAAAAAAAATTAGCCAGGCTTGCCTGTAATCCCAGCTACTCAGGAGGCTGAGTCAGGAGAATTCTAGCCGGTGCAGTGGCTCACACCTATAGTCCCAGCACTTGGGAGGCTGAGGTGGTTAGCTTGCTTGAGGCCAGGAGTTTGAGGTCAGCCTAGACAACATAGCAAGACTCAGTCTCTACGAAAAAAATTAGCCCAGCATGGTGGCACATGCTTGTAGTCCCAGCTACTCAGGAGGCTAAGGCAGGAGGATTGCTTGAGCCCACCCAAGAGGTTGAGGTTGCAGTGAGCCGTGAGACATGAGCCATGATTGCGGCACTGCACTCTAGTCTAGGCAACAGAGCAGGAACCTGTGTTTAAAAAAAAAAAAAAAAAAAAAAAAGGCTGGGCGCGGTGGCTCATGCCTGTAATCTTAGCACTTTGGGAGGCCAAGGCAGGCAGATCACCTGAGGTTGGGAGTTCAAGACCAGCCTGACCAACATGGAGAAACCCCGTCTCTATTAAAAATACAAAATTAGCCGGGCATGGTGGCACATGCCTGTAATCCCAGCTACTCGGGAAGGCTGAGGCAGGAGAATTGCTTGAACCTGGGAGGCGGAGGTTGCGGTGAGCTGAGATCGCTCCATTGTACTCCAGCCTGGGCAACAAGAGCAAAACTCTGTCTTAAAAAAAAAAAAAGAAAAGGAAAATTCTATATCATGATTAAATAGGATTTATCCTAGGAATACAAGGTTGGTTTAACATCTGAAAATTAATTAATGTAATACATACTATTAATAGAATAAAAAGCAAAACAAAAAAATACCTGATCATCTCAATAGAAGCAGAAAAAGCAATTAACAAAATCCACCAGTCTTTCCTTTTTTTTTCAGACAGAGTCTCACCTTGTCACCCAGGCTGGAGTGCAGTAGCGCGATCTCAGCTCACTGCAACCTTCACCTCCCGGGTTCAAGCGATTCTCCTGCCTCAGCCTCCCGAGTAGCTGGGATTACAGGCATTCACCACCATACCCAGCTAATTTTTGTATTTTTAGTATAGACGGGGATTCGCCATGTTGGCCAGGCTGGTCTTGAACTCCTGACCTCAGGTAATCTGCTGGCCTTGGCCTCCCAAAGTGCTGGGATTACAGGTATGAGCCACCGGGCCCGGGCCAATCCACCAGTCTTTCACGGTAAAAAGAAAAAAGAAACCAGCCAGGCATGGTGGCACATTCCTGTAGTCTGAACTGGGGCGTGAAGGTCACCTGAACCTGGCCAGGCACAGTGGCTCACACCTGTAATCCCAGCACTTTGGGAAGCCAAAGTGGGCAGAACACATGAGGTCAGGAGTTCAAGAGCAACCAACATGGAGAAACCCCACCTCTACTTAATAAAAAAAAAAAAAATTAGCCAGGCATGGTGGCATGTGCCTGTAATCCCAGCTACTCGGGAAGCTGAGGCAGGACAATCACTTGAACCTGGGAGGCGAGGTTGCAGTGAGTCGAGATCGTGCCATTGCACTCCAGTATGGGCTACAGAGTGAGTCGTCAGGTAAAAAAAAAAAAAAAAAAAAAAAGAATGTTTTCAGATTGTTCGCTGCTATAGTGATTTTTGTATGTTGATCTTGCATCCTACAACCTTGCTGAACTCATTAATTTTAATAGCTTTCAAAGACTCCATAGGATTTTCTGTATACAAGATTATGTCATCTGTGAAGTTTTACTTAGGTGAGCCACCACGTCTGGCTCCATTTTTAATAACATAAAGAAAGAATAAATTACTAGGAATAAATCTAAGAAAAGAAGTTCAGGCCAGGTGCAGCGGCTTATGCCTATAACCCTGGCACTTTGGAGGGCCAAGGCAGGAGAATGGCTTGAGCCCAGGAGTTCAGGACCAGCCTGGGCAATACAGTGAGATCCTATCTCTAAAAAAAAAAAAAAAAAAAAAAAATTAAAAATCAGCTAGTTGTGGTGGTGCATGCCTAAAGTCCCATTTCCTTGGGAGGCCGAGGCAGGTGTATTGCTCGAGTCCAGTAGTTCAGGCTGCAGTGAGCTATGATTACGGTACTGCATTCCAGCCTGGGCAACAGAGCAAGCCATTCCAGATCCTGTCTCAAAACAAAACAAAACTGGCCGGGTGAGGTGGCTCACACCTGTAATCCCAGCACTTTGGGAGGCTGAGGCAGGCAGATCACATGAGGTCAGGAGTTTGAGACCAGCCTGGCCAACACGGCGAAACCTCGTCTCTACTAATAATACAAAAATGAGCTGTGCGTGGTGGCAAGGTGCCTGTAATCCCAGCTACTCAGGAGGCTGAGGCAGGAGAATCGCTTGAACCTGGGAGGCTGATGTTGTGGTGAGCCAAGATCGCGCCACTGCACTCCAGCCTGGGCAACAGAGCCAGACTCTGCCTCAAACAAAACAAAACAAAACAATAACTTTTTAAACATAAAGACATCTTCAAGTGGCAACCACTACCTAAATGCCATTCCCAGCTAAGCTGTCATGAAAACTGAGAGCAAAATAAAGATATTTCAAACAAAGACTCTCAGAATTTCCCACTCAGAAATCAGTTACACCCCCATCGTGGCCCAGACCCCCGCGCAGCCCAGCCTCCTCAAACTGCACGTGGCTAGAACTGAGTGTGATCATCCCCCACCTTGCAGCCAGAATCATCAGTCTCACCATCTGTTCCCCAGGGGCAAGCCCCTAACTCATCTGCTGTCCTAGGGCCTAACTACCCTCCAACCTACCCCAGCTTCTCTCTCTCTCTCTCTCCTCTCTCTCTCTCTCTGTCTCTCTCTCTTTCCTTTCTGTCTCTCTCCTCTCTCTGTCTCTCTCTCTCCTTTCTGTCTCCTCTCTCTCTCTCCTTTCTGTCTCTCTCTCCTCTCTCTCTGTCTCTCTCCTCTGTCTCTCTACTCTCACTCCTCTCTCTCTCCATCTCTCTCTCTCCTTTCTCTCTGCTCTCTCTCTGTCTCTCTCCTGTCTCTCTCCTTGGTCTCTCTCCTCTCTGTCTCTCTTTCTCCTCTCTCTCTCTTTTATCTCTCTCCTATGTCTCTCTCCTCTCTGTCTCTCTCTACTCTCTCTCCTCTCTGTCTTTCCTCTCTCTGTTTCTCTGTCTCCTTTCTCTCTCTCCTCTCTCTGCCTCTCTCTCTCTCTCTGTCGCTCCTCCTCCCCTCCCCTCCCCTCCCCTCCTCTCTCCTCTCCTCTCTCCCCTTCTCCAACTCCTCTCTCAGCCTCCCTTCCAGCCACTCTGGGTTGCAGTGCCCCACATTTCTCACTTTCAAGCTGTTCTCTCTGGAGGAAGGCTGCCCTGGTCTTTTCTATCCAGCAAATTCGTATTCTTTGAATCTCACTCCAAATGTCCCCTGCTCTGTCTAGCCTTCCCTGAATTATTCAGGCAGAAAGCATTGCTTCTAGCCTGGCAAGATGGCTCACACCTGTAATCCTGGCACTTTGGAAGGCTGAGGTGGGAGGATCGCTTGAGCTCAGGAGTTCAAGACCAGCCTCGGCCATAGAGTAGGACCCTCATCTCAACAAAATATCAAAAAATTAGCCAGGCATGGAGGTGTGCACCTGTAGTCCCAGCTACTTTGGAGGCCGAGGAAGAAGGATTGCTTGAGCCCAGGAGGTTGAGGCTGCAGTAAGCCATGATTCAACCACTGCACTCCAGCCTGAGCAACAGGGTGAGACCTTGTCTCAAAATAAAGAAATAAAAATAAATTAATTTAATTAATTTGTTAAAAAGCATTGCTTCTGTGCTTTTCCAGTGCACTTCACAAGAAATGCTCTCAGAGACCAGGCACGGTGGCTCATGCCTGTAATCCCAGCACTTTGGGAAGCTGAGGAAGGAGGATTGCTTGAGCCCAGGAGTTTGAGGCCAGCCTGGGCAACATAGCAAGACCTTGTCTCTATAAAAAAAAAAAAATGCTCTTGGCCATGTGCAGTGGCTCACACCTGTAATCCCAGCACTTTGGGAGGCCAGGGGAGGTGGATAACTTGAGGTCAGGAGTTCGTGACCAGCCTGACCAACAGGGTGAAACCCCGTCTCTACTAAAAATACAAAGATTTGTATATAAATTGAATCATGCAGTATGTATTAATGGCAAAAACTGCAATTACTTTTTTTTGAGACGGAGTCTCACTCTGTCACCCAGGCTTGAGTGCAGGGGTGCAATCATGGCTCACTGCAACCTCTGTCTCCCGGGTTCAAGCGATTCTCATGTCTCAGCCTCCCCGGTAGCTGGGATTGCAGGTGTTTACCACCACACTCGGCTAATTTTTGTATTTTTAGTAGAGACGGGGCTTCACCACGTTGGTCAGGCTGGTCTTGAACTCCTGACCTCAGGTGATCCACTTGCTTTGGCCTCCCAAAGTGCTGGGATTATAGGCGTGAGCTGCCACACCCAGCCTGCAATTACTTTTGCACTAAACTAATAGTTTTTAAAAACTGGTTTCTTTAATCTCAACATCTTTTGAAATTCTTATGTATTACGGGTGTATCAGTAGTTTGTTCAAGATTTAAAACCTTGAGACACTATGAGCAAAGCTCACCCCCCGCCCTCCTCCAGCATAAAAATTATAGATAACGGCTAGGCATGGTGGCTCACGCCTGTAATCCCAGCACTTTGGGAGGCTGAGGCGGGTAGATCACCAGGTCAAGAGATCGAGACCATCTTGGCCAGCATGGTGAAAACCCGTCTCTACTAAAAATACAAAAATTAGCTGGGCGTGGTGGCGCATGCCTGTAGTCCCAGCTACTCTGGAGGCTGAGGCAGGAGAATCGCTTGAACCAGGGAGTCAGAGGTTGCTGTGAGCCAAGATCGAGCCACTGCATTCTAGCCTGGCAACAGTGTGAGACTCCATCTCAAAAAAATAAAAAATAAAAAATATTAAATGATGGCAGATGTATCCAAGGAATATTTTGGGGATTTGATCCCTTTATGAATCTTGTGATAGATGAAAGTGTGAAGATGGCAACTAGTGGACAACAGAGCAACCCTGGAACAGTGGTAAGATGAGGGAGAAGTATCCTCATATTAGAAGCCTTGGAACAACTATAAACAATGGCGGCTCTGCAGAGAAATCCAAGTCCCTTCTCCAAAGGACTTGTTTTACTATGATGTAAAAATTGGGCCACGTACATTTTTTTTTTTTTTTTTTTTTGAGACAGAGTCTCCCTTTGTCGCTCAGGCTGGAGTGCAGTGGCACAATCTCGGCTCACTGCAAGCTCTGCCTCCCGGGTTTATGCCATTCTCTTGCCTCAGCCTCTCAAGTAGCTGGGACTACAGGCGCCCGCCACCACGCCCGGCTAATTTTTTGTATTATTTTTAGTAGAGACGGGGTTTCACCATGTTAGCCAGGATGGTCTTGATCTTCTGACCTCGTGATCAGCCCGCCTCGGCCTCCCAAAGTGCTGGGATTACAGGCATGAGCCACCGCGCCCGGCCTGGGCCATGTGCATTTTTATATTAAGCTTTTTATTAAGTAAACATTTGTAACAATAAAAATTTAAAAAAAGAGATTTAAAACTTCTA
The DNA here is from genome assembly GCF_000001405.40 of Homo sapiens. Classification (NCBI taxonomy): domain Eukaryota; kingdom Metazoa; phylum Chordata; class Mammalia; order Primates; family Hominidae; genus Homo; species Homo sapiens. Next base: position 65,513,925 of record NC_000011.10, on the reverse strand, counting down.
CTCCTCAAAGACACTGTTACAAAAAAATGAAAAGAAAGACACATATTGGGATAAAACTTTTGCAAAACATATATCTAAACATAAAACAGGCCACGGGCAGCGGCTCATGCCTGTAATCCCAACACTTTGGGAGACCAAGGCAGGCAGATCTCTTGAGGTCAGGAGTTTGAGACCAGCCTGGCCGACATTGTGAAACCCTGTCTCTACTAAAAATACAAAAATTAGTGGGGTGTGGTGGTGCATGCCTGTAATCCCAGCCACTTGGGAGGCTGAGGCAGGAGAATTGCTTGAACCCGGGAGGCAGAGGTTGCAGTGAGCTGAGATTGCACCACTGCACTCCAGCCTGGGCGACAGAGCGAGACTCCGTCTCAAAAAATACAAAATAAATAATAAACATACAACAGAAGTAAAAAAAGAAAAAAAATCTGACAAGGGACTTCTATCTCGAATATGTAAAAGCCCTTACAACTCAACAAAAGATAAAAATGCCAACAACAATGGCAAGAAAAAAAAAACACAAAATGGCTGGGCACGGTGGCTCACACCTTTGGGAGGCCGTGGTGGGTGGATCATTTGAGGTCAGGAGTTCAAGACCAGCCTGACCAACCTGGTGAAACCCGGTCTCTACTAAAAAAACAAAAATTAGCCGGGCGTGGTGGGGCGCTCCTTCAATCCCAGGTACTTGGGAGGCTGAGGCAGGAGAATCGCTTGAACCTGGGAGGTGGAGGTTGCAGTGAACCGAGATCGCAACACTGCACTCTAGCCTGGGCGACAGACGGAGACTCCGTCTTAAAAAGAAAAGAAAAGAAAAGAAAAGAAAAGAGAAAAACACAACACAAATGAACAGACACTTCACCAAAGAAGATACGCAACTGTGGCCAGGCGAGGCGGCTCACACCTGTAATCTCAGCACTTTGGAAGGCTGAGGCGGGAGGATCACTCGAGCTCAGGAGTTCCAGACCATCCTGGGCAACATGGAGAGACCCCATCTCTACTAAAAATAAAAAAATTAAGGCCGGGTGCGGTGGATCACACCTGTAATCCCAGCACTTTGGTAGGCCAAGGCGGGCAGACCACCTGAGGTCAGGAGTTAGAGACCAGCCTGACCAAAATGGAGAAAACCCATCTCTACTAAAAATACAAAATTAGCCTAGCATGGTGGTGCATGCCTGTAATCCTAGCTAATCAGGAGGCTGAGGCAAGAGAATTGCTTGAACTGGGGAGGTGGAGGTTGCAGTGAGCCAAGATCGTGCCATTGCATTCCAGCCTGGGCAACAAGAGTGAAACTCCATCTAAAAAAAAAATTAGCTAGGCATGGTGGTATGCACCTGTATGGTTCCAGCTACTTGGGAGGCTCAGGTGGGAGGCTGGCTTGAGCTCAGGAGGCAGAGGCTGCAGTAAGCTGAGATCCTGCCACTGAACTGCGGCCTGAGCAACAGCGACAAAGTGAGACCATGTCCCAAAACAAAACAAAAAACACCAGTGCTGGGTGCAGTGGGTCACACCTGTAATCCCACTTTGGGAGGCTGAGGTGGGAGGATCCCTTGAGTCCAGGAGTTCAAGACCAGCCTGGATAACAAAGCAAGACACAATCTCTTTTTTGTTGTTGTTGTTTTTTGAGACAGAGTCTTGCTCTGTTGTCCAGGCTGGAGTGCAGTGGTGCGATCTCGGCCTAATGTAGCCTCCACCTCCTGGGTTCAAGCAATGCCTCAGCCTCCCAAATAGCTGGGATTACAGGAGCCAGCCACCACGCCTGGCTAATTTTTGTATATTTTTGGTCTTGCTGTGTTGGCCATGTTGGTCTCAAACTCTTGGCCTCAAGAGATCCACCCTCTGCAGCCTTCCAAAGTACTTGGATTACCGGCGTGAGCCACCATGCCCAGCCACTCTTAATTTTTATTTTTTTTTAAACAGAGTCTCACTCTGGTACCCAGGCTGGAGTGCAGTGACGTGATCTCTACCTCCTGGGTTCAAGTGATTCTCATGTCTCAGCCTCCCGAATAGCTGGGATTACAGATGTGTGCCACTACGCCCAGCTAATTTTTTTGTATTTTTAGTAGAAACAAGGTTTTACCACATTGGCCAGGCTGGTCTCAAACCCCTGACTTCAAGTGTTCTGTCCATTTTGGCCTCCCAAAGTGCTGGGGTTACAGGCGTGAGCCACTGAGACTGGCCTTAATTTTTTTTTTTTTTTTTTTTTGAGATGGAATCTCACTGTTGGCCAGGCTGGAGTGCAATGGCATGATCTCGGCTCACTGCAATCTCTGCCTCGCTGGTTCAAGCAATTCTCCTGCCTCAGCCTCCCGAGTACCTGGGATTACAGGCATGTGCCATCACACTCAGATAATTTTTTTTTAACTTTAAGTCCTGGGATACATGTGTCGAATGTGAGGTTTGTAACATTTTTGTATTTTTGGTAGAGACGAGGAGGTTTCTCCATATTGACTAGGCTGGTCTCGAACTCCTAACCTCAGGTGATCCACCCTCCTCGGCCTCCCAAAGTGCTGGGATTACAGGCATGAGCCACCGCGCCCAGCCCTCAGCCAATATTTTTAAAAATAATTTCATGGTATATCCACACAAGGGAGTATTACTCAGCAATAAAAATGCTTGTTGAGACGGGTGCAGTGGCTCACGCCTGTAATCCCAGCACTTTGGTAGGCTGAGGCAGGTGGATCACCTGAGGTCAGGAGTTCGAGATCAGCCTGGCCAACATGGTGAAACCCTGTCTCTACTAAAAATACAAAAATTAGCCGGGCGTGGTGGTGGGAGCCTGTAATCCCAGCTACTCAGGAGGCTGAGACAGGAGAATTGCTTGAACCCAGGAGGCGGAGGTTGCAGTGAGTGAAGATGGCACCGCTGCATTCCAGCCTGGGTGACAGAGTGAGACTCAGTCTCAAAAAAAAAAAAAAAGTTTGTTGAACAAGTGTATTACAATGTATTCCAAAGCTAACGCATGCAATGCCCAATTTGTTCACTAGATGGCAGCAAGAGCCAAGTCATTTCTAGTTGCTTCCAGGTGGGTCTACTGTGGCTACTCTTGCTTGTCACAGTAAACTGACAGAGCACTGTCCCCAATTAAAGATAGGAAAACAGAGGCGTAAAGAACACTGCTTTGTCAGAGCCAGGTTTCTGGTCTTCCAAATCAACAACCCATGAATGAGAACCCTCCCAGATCTCTTCCCCACACTGTTCCCTTCCCCTAAGTCTGGTAATTTCATCCATTTCCTGAAGTCAGAAGTACTCGGCCCGGGCCAGGTGCAGTGGCTCAAGTCTGTAATCCCAGCACTTTGGAAAGCCGAGGGAGGCGGATCACCTGAGTTCAGGAGTTCGAAACCAGCCTGGCCAACATGGCGGACACCCCCGTCTCTACTAAAAATACAAAAATTAGCTGGGCACCGTCGTGAGTGCCTGTAATCCCAGCTACTCAAGAGGCTGAGGCAGGAGAATAGCGTGAACCTGGGAGGTAGAGGTTGCAGTGAGCTGAGATCGCGCCATTGCACTCCAGCCTGGGCGACAGAACAAGACGCCGTCTCAAAAATAAATAAATAAATAAATAAATAAAATAAAATAAAAATGCAAAAATTAGGCCAGGAGTGGTGGCTCAAGCCTGTAATCCCAGCACTTTGGGAGGCTGAGGCGGGTGGATCACCTGAGGTCGGGAGTTCCAGACCAGCCTGACCAATATGGAGAGACCGCGTCTCTACTAAAAATACAAAACTAGACAGGTATGGTGGCGCATGCCTGTAATCCCAGCTGCTCAGGAGGCTGAGGCAGGAGAATTGCTTGAACCCGGGAGGCAGAGGTTGCAGTGAGCGGAGATCGCGCCATTGCACTCCAGCCTGGGGAACAAGAATGAAACTCCATCTCAAAAAAAAAAAAAACCCCAAACCAAACGAAAACAGCGGATCACGAGGTCAGGAGTTTGAGACCAGCCTGGACAATAGGGTGAAACCCTGTCTCTACTAAAAATACAAAAAAATTAGCCAGGTGTGGTGGCGCACAACTGTAGCCTCAGCTACTCCAGAGGCTGAGGCAGAAGAATTGCTTGAACCCAGGAGGTGGAGGTGGCAGGCAGTGAGCCGAGATTGCACCATTGCACTCCAGCCTGGGTGACAGAGCAAGACTGCTTCTCAAAAAAAAAAAAAAATTAGCCAGGTGTGGTGGCAGGTGTTCCTATAATCCCAGCTACCCCGGGGCTGAGATGGGAGGATCACTTGAGCCTGAGAGGCAGAGGTTGCAGTGAGCCGAGCCTAGATTGTGCCTCTGCATTCCAACCTGAGCTACAAAATGAGACCCTGTATCAAAAACAAAAACAAACCAAATCTCACACAGGTCCATACCAACCAGCCCCTGATCCTCGGTCTGAGGGGCTTGAGAGGGTAGGTTTTGGAGGGGTTGGGGAATGGTGGAGCTGCCCCTTGAACTCAGGATTATCAGGATGATGAAATCCAAAACTGTGGGCCGGGATCGGTGGCTCACACCTGTAATTTTAGCACTTTGGGAGGCCAAGGCAGGCAGATCGCTTGAGGTCGGGAGTTCCAGACTGGCCTGGCAAACATGGCGAAACTCTATCTCTACTAAAAATACAAAAATTAGCTGGGCGTTGTGGCGTGTGCCTGTAGTCTCAGCTACTCGGAAGGCAGAGGGAGGAGAATCGCTTGAACTGGGAGGTGGAGGTTGCAGTGAGCCGAGATTGCCCCACTGCACTCCAGCCTGGGCGACAGAGCGAGACTCCGTCTCAAAAAAAAAAAAAAAAAAGAAAAGAAAAGAAAAAAGAAAAAAAAAAGAAAAAACTGAGGTCCCTGTGTACAACTGGAGGAGTACATATGGGGAATGCCTAGGGCTTGTTTATATTATTAAGAGCAGTCGGCCGGGCGCGGTGGCTCATCCTTGTAATCCCAGCACTTCGGGAGGCCGAGGCGGGAGGATCACGACGTCAAGAGATCGAGACCATCCTGGCCAACATGGTGAAACCCCGCGTCTACTAAATATACAAAAATTAGCTGGGCGTGGTGGCGCGCCTGTAGTTCCAGCTAGTCGGAAGGTTGAGGCAGGAGAATCGCTTGAACTCAGGAGGCGGAGGTTGCAGTGAGCCGAGATCACACTACTGCACTCCAGCCTGGCGACAGAGGGAGACTCTGTTTCCAAAAAAAAAAAAAAAAGCGCAGTCCCCTTGACTTGGACAGGAGCTTTTGGGGAATTTATGCTCTCCATTTTGTGCTCAGAGGGTGGAAATGACTTCCGGCCTACTTTTCTGCCTCCTCCTGTTGCTGTGATCAGTGTCTGATCTTTACATTTTTCAATCCTGGAGAACTTCCTCAACTCCAGGAACTACGTAGCCCCTGGCGAATGCCCAGCTCCTACTCTTTTTTTTTTTTTTTTTTTTTTTAAGACGGAGTCTCGCTCTGTCGCCCAGGCTGGAGTGCAGTGGCCCGATCTCACCTCACGGCAAGCTCCGCCTCCCAGGTTCACGCCATTCTCCTGCCTCAGCCTCACGAGTAGCTAGGACTACAGGCGCCCTCCACCACGCCCAGCAAATTGTGTGTGTGTGTGTGTGTGTGTGTGTGTGTGTGTGTGTGTGTGTAGTAGAGACGGGGTTTCACCGTGTTAGCCAGGATGGTTTCAATCTCCTGACTTCGTGATCCGCCCGCCTCGGCCTCCCAAAGTGCTGGGATTACAGGCTTGAGCCACCGTGCCCAGCCTTTCTTCTTCTTTTTTTTTTTTTTTTGAGACAGTTTCGCTCTTGTTGCCCAGGCTGGAGTGCAGTGGCGCAATCTCAGCTCACTGCAACCTCCGCCTCCCGGGTCCAAGCGATTCTCCTACCTCAGCCTCTCGAATAGCTGGGGTTACAGACATACGCCACCACGCCCGGCTAATTTTGTATTTTTAGTAGAGATGGGGTTTCTCCATGTTGGTCAGGCTGGTCTCGAACTCCTGACCTCAGGTGATCTGCCCACCTCGGCCTCCCAAAGTCCTGGGATTATAGGCGTGAGCCACTGTGCGTGGCCCCCAATTCCTACTCGTACTCCTTTGCTCTCCAGTAAAGTATTTGTGCTTCCACAGAACCTTCTGCTTTGGAAAAACAGAGACCTTTCTCCATACGAAACTGACTGGGCATCAATTCAGAAGACACTTAAGCAACTTAGGAGAGCACCTAGCTCAGCTTCTTTCATAACCAGCGAGACAGATACCCCATCCCCCATTAGATCACTTCAAGGGAAGAGAAAGCTCCTGTGGCCAAGGCCTATACAGGCTGGGTAGGTTGGGGGTTGGTGTGCTGCTGACCTGCCGGGCCATTGCTTCATCTATCAGAACATTCTAGACATTGAAGAAACAGCAACATAGGGGTTGAAGTGTTGACTGACTAGGATTCAAACCTCAGCTCTGCTGCGTTGTCAAAAGGGGCCCAATCAGAGTCTACCTCTCCATTTGCAAAATGTAATACCATTAAAAAAAAAAAAAAAGGTAGTTCTGCTTCTGAGGCCCCTCCATTAGGCTAAGGGTGTGGCCAGTCACAGGTTCCCCAGGCTGGAAGATTCTTCAGACGTGGGTCCCTCTCTCTGGTAGGTCTGGGTTTACTAGAATGCATCTCAAACTCCAATAAGCAAGGTCTGACTTTTCAGGGAGATCTTAAGGGTAAGGAGGGCCAGGGAGGGTATTTCACCTGAGATCCCAGCCAGTCCTTCCAACAGCCAGATGCTGCTACTAATCCCACAGCACGTTCAAAGGGACAAAAGGGGACCAGTGACAACTGATTAAAGGAAAATGTGATCCTGAGTGACCCAGGACCTTGGGACTCTGAGGGGGAACCAAAGAGCTTAACTGGTTTAAAAACTTAAAAGGATCGGCCAGGCTTGGTGGCTCACACCTGTAATCCCAGCACTTTCAGAGGCCCAGGCGGGTGGATCACACGAGGTCAGGAGTTTGAGACCAGCCTGGCCAATATGGTAAAACCACGTCTCTAACTGAAAATACAAAAATTAGCCAGGCGTGGTGGTGTGCACCTGTAGTCCCAGCTACAGGGAGGGTGAAGCAGGACAACCACTTGGACCCCAGAAGTGGAGGTTGCAGTTTGCAGAGATCATGCCACTACACTCCAGCCTGGGGGACAAAGTGAGACTGTCTCAAAAAAACAAAAAAGAGAGCTTTCCAATGACACACACACCCCGCCCCATTTCTCCCCCAGCCCAGCTCACAGCCAATTACTAAATAGTGGAAAGGAGGCTACTTAAAAAGAAGTTCCCTATTTTCCTGTGGGGGTTACTGGGCTTTTTAGTAGGCCACTCACCCACTACCCTCGCACCAATCCCCCAAAGTCCGTACCCTACTTGAAGATTATGCTGTAATTATGGGTGCTGTGTTTATAGACCACAGATTTAACAGAACAAGCCCACAGAACACCCATCTTTTTTCCCCAATCAAGATTTTTTTATTCACAAAAGAACCACAACAATTTAGAGCTTCTCCATTTTTATTACACAAAATTGTTAAGTTTTCAGCAGTAGGGCTTCTCAAAACACCAGCTGCAGGCTATTACCTGAAAAAGACAAGGCAGTTATATTAGGTTCTCGTGTAAATATGAATATACAATCAAGTCAAGCTCCTGACAAATTATACATCAAGGATGTATATAGTTCAAAGATATTGTGCTGTTACCTCCCACCTCCCCAAAACTCCAAGAACTAGCACCTGCAGAGAAAAGGAGAAATACAGAAAGAGTCCTGAAGACAGATTAGTAGTCAAAGCAAAGACGCCGCAGGGATTTGAACCCCGTCCTGGAAACCAGGAGTGCCAACCACCAGCATCTTTTGCTTTTTTTTTTTTTAAGCTAGAAAAAGGCCAAAAAGCAAAACCTGAGAAAACAATACGTGTTGTTTTCTCAGGAAAAGAAAAACCTTCATGACCCTACTGAAGAGCATTGGAGATCAGCTTCCGCTAAGATGCTAGCTTGGCCAAGTCTGTTATGTTCACCTGAAAAAGTCTTAGCAGAGAATTTTTGCATTCCCACCCAAAAGCCCTCTCAGCCACTCAAATGCCTATCTTCTCCAGTCTACAAGTTACATGTTCCCACCCAGCATTACAGTTCTTGAACATGTTATTTCTCCACTTACTGGTTTAAGTTGGTTTTAGTCACTGGATAAGTATTATAATAGAGCTACTTAGCTGTGGTTTTAATACCCTTCTGTTAACAATTTGCAGGCAAATTAATGGCCTTTTCTAACATAGTTCAACCCACCAAAGACCTCGACACCATCGTTACCTTGAAACCGATTATGGATCATGCCCACAAGGATCCAAGCTACTGGCTGCATCGAGGTGAGGGGTGAAGGGTCTGTGCTAGATCAAAAGGCACGGGGTGGCGATGTGGCAGAGAAGTTGCTTGTGGGGAGACCTTGCTTTTAACAGGCTTCTGGAAAAGCTAGGGAAAAGTGGTTGCCCGCTTTCCCCCTTTCCCTCCCCTTCAAGCACCGCTTGAGATTTGGGCTTTATTATTAAGAGCTGCTATAAAAACAGCTTGCTTAAATGTTAAGAGAAGCCCAGGGGTACTTCAAGCATTCCTTCGGATGCTTCACTCCAGAAAGAGGGAGTTGAGGCAAGTCCTCATTACTAATAAAAATCAGGTGAGGCTGACACTTCTCTTGACCTTAGGATAATAGCGCTTTGTTGTCTCTCCTGCCACAGGAAGGCTCCATGGTTGTCCTACTTTAAGCCTTCGGTGCCTTTAGTGAGGGGTACCTGAAAAATCTTAAAAAAAGGCTTAGCGCCCACCTCACCCCTCCACCCCCACGCCAACACAGTTTGCTCACATGCCAGTTACTCCAGCATAAAGCTGAAATCTATTCAATACTATTGTCCCATAACTGATCTGACTTTGTATGTAAATACAGAAAAAGCTTGTTCACCTGTTTTCCTCATTTTGTCCACTGGTGAATTCAACTGGAAGCTCCTTCTATAGTCTGAAGAATACCATCTGAAAGAACTAGTGGTTCCCAATCCCCACATTTAAAATGGAATGTTTGGTTTATTTAAAGTAAATAGGCTATTTTTTCTTACTGGGTCTGGCTTCTCTGGCCCTTCGCATACGTGTGTCTGCTGAGTGTTCCTGCATGTAAGAATTAAGACCAAGGGAGGGGAGAGAGAAACCCACACATAAACAATGCACTAAAGATCACTGAACTGTTTAAACATTTCCACTTGCCAGTTTAATTTCTTGAAGACTGTTGCTTGTTTGGAATGTTTCTTGTCACTGATTTTAAGGTTGCATCTGGAAAAGACTAAAGGCTTCAGTCCCCTCCCACCACCAGAAATGAACAAAAAGCATTTTACCTAAAAATACACCAGCAAAATGTACTCAGCTTCAATCACAAATACGACTGCTTAAAACTGCAGAAATTTCCTCAACACTCAGCCTTTATCACTCAGCTGGATTTTTTCCTTCAACAATCACTACTCCAAGCATTGGGGAACACAACTTTTAATCATACTCCAGTCGTTTCACAATGCATTCTAATAGCAGCGGGATCAGAACAGTACTGCATTTACTTGCCAACAGAACAGACAGACCTGAAGTCAAGACAACTGCATTCTCTGTGAAGTCTGTAAAAAAAAAAAAAGCTACAACAAGTAAGCCCCACCCCCTCCTCCCATCCCTCCAAATTCCAGGAAAAAAATTTTGAGTATGCTGATAAACTCACTGCAAGGTCTCATACACTCACTAGAACAGAAGGAAGAGCCAAGCACTCATATGCAATTCAAAATCCTGAATGGCTTCATGAAGGATGAAATGCCTCTGCAAAGGAAAATTCTTTAAAACCCCACAGGCACCCCCTCCCTTCCCTATATAAGGTCAATAGTGTAAAACATTGCCTACCACTCTAAGATTGTAAGCATTTAAAGTTAACATGCAAACTTTGGAAATGTGAAAAAGTATTACTCTAATCACTGTCAATTTATAGACCCCTGACTTTCTGGAAATAAAATGTGTAATTACCTTTTACTCTGATCATAATCTCCCACCTGTCTAAGAGGTTATTTATTCCTTATTTAGAGGGCCTCTATTGCCATGTGCCTGGAATTATTATATGCTCATCACTTTATGAAGAATAAAATTTGTCTTTCCTGCCTTAAAGTTACATTCGTTCTTCCGCTCAAATCCTGATCTGGTCCATTAAAGAGTGTTCGCAGACAAAGTTTCTGAAAGATTAGAGAAGAATCCCCCCCAAGATTGCCCCAACACTGAACTACAGACAAACACTATTTTATTTAAATAAGGAGACAGCTTTCTAAAAGTATACATTCTCTAATAAAAATAGTTTATTATTTTGAATGATTTAATGGTTTTCTACACAATTTACATCACAACATGTAAATTTTAGCAGTAACATCTGATTCTAACAGCACATCATGCTATTCCTTTCATAGAGCCTTCAGAGATTCAATGCTAAACAAATTTCCTTAGTTGGCATCAAGGCACTGATCACTTTAGAGGCTTTTAAGAAATTATTTAAAGATGCAAATGCCTCTGAGTGAAGTGTACTATCCCATCACTGAAGCCCACAGGAACAAGTCCTACAATTTTAAAAAGGCTCGATGGAAAAATTTCTCAATCCTGAAATCCCCTAGGGAAGGGGTCAGGAGAAAGTGCCATGGTTGATATTTAAGAACTCCACAGCTCTTAAAAATAAGCACTTATCCCTAACATGCAATACTGCAGATGCAAGTTAAACTTATCTGTTAACAGCTGCCTGCTGTTTTCTGCTCCCAGATGAAATGAAGCAACTCTTCTGATAACGAAGAGATACCTGTCTGAGGCAAACGAAACATTGGCACACAGCACAGCCTCCTCAATCCACTTGATCCCAACTCATCTCTCATTTATTTCGGCTTCTTTTATTCCAGGATTAATGTAGTGTAACATTTTCATTTCTTTTCGCTTTTATTCTGCTTTTGTAAAAGCAGTATTTTGAGATGGACATTGCCTCTTCATTGTATTTCTCATCAATTCATTATTTTTGTGGTTATAGCTTGACAAGCAATTAACTTTAAAATGGTAGATTCCGTAACTTTAAATTGGTAGCTTTCATTTGCTTAAAATTTTTTGGCATATGCAGATAATGTTCTCATCAGTAGTAAGAATCTCAGGGTTATGCTTATTCCCCAATGGAGGTATGACATATAATCTTTTCTGCCTTTACTTATCAATTCACCAAGGAGCTGTTTTCTCTGCATCTAGGCCATCATACTGCCAGGCTGGTTATGACTCAGAAGATGTTATCTGAAAAAAGTCTATAGAAAAAAAAAAAGTTTCCCCTCCCTCATCAACAAAAGCCCACCCTCTAAGAGACATTCAAGCTGAACTATCACAATTCTTAATCAGTTACAATTTACAAACAGATAAGTTTAAAATAAACAATTTACAAAATTTTTGAAGCATACCTTAACATCTTGTTTTGCAGTTAAACAATGGAAAAGTATTTCTCCTACACTAAAAAAAAACTTGCTTACACACAACTGAAAATAGAATCTTACTTGATAATACAAAAGCTACCATCAGAAGAAATCCCTTCAGGATCATTAAGCCACTTCCTTTGCTCTGCAGTTTCTATAGTAGTTTTAAATTATTATTAAATCACCTGAAAAAAATTCCAAAAGAGAACCACACACTACCATATCCAAACAACTTTTGCATTTCCCATAATTGTAGTTAATGTCAGCCCAGTAGGCCAGACCAACCCCCAGTTCAATACTTTCCTTCCCCAAAAGCTCTATACTTTGAAGGAAAACAGATACAGTATCAAATTATGACACTTTCCTTGCCCAAATTAATGCACTGGTACACCCAGTGGCTCATATTTAACTTCCCCCAGCTTCCCAATTCAAACTGGGGGGAAAAAAACTAAATCATTGGGAGTTACTTGCCAACTTGGAAGTTGATATTTCTTTACTTTTTCCATTCTAAGACTTTAAGTTCTCTGGCATGAGTTTATCTGCAATCATAAACTAAACAATTACCTAAACCCACCCCACCAATCCCAACCGTAACAGGCCACTGCCAACTAATTGCCAATATTTGCCCCTCCCCTTTAATAAAACTTTTAAGAAGTCACATTATTGGAAAACTTAACTTCAACATTTGGCCTACTCAAGCTCTTCTGAAGTTCTCCTGAGATGACTGAATATGAACCAAAGCTGCACTGTGCTGTACTTTTCAGCTTCAACTGGGAATACTCTTCCAAGGATAAAAGCAGCTCCAGTCCCTGAAGGTGTTCGTGCCAACAGCACAGCGGTACACTCCTTCTCTAACCCAGTTTGTCAATAGTACTATAGCATCTGTGGAAAATCTTAGAAAAAAACATTTTCTCCCCCACCCTCTCTCTTCCCTGTTAAGACCATCCCAAAATGCTTCAAGTAAAAAATAACAAGTTTAAGGGGTTAAGCACTTTTAAAGTCTGATTAAGGGGGTGGGGGGAAAAAAGAGTAACTACCAGCCATTTCTCCAATGGACATCTCTTCCACAGACCTCAACGTGAGAACTGCTCTAGTTTCTATAAACTGTAAACCTGTGGTGGTCTGATTATCCTGATATTGGATTTTCTTGTTTTCTGTTACACCTTGAGTCATTTGCCTTTAGGATTCTAGACAGACCTAAGGGAAAAAGAACTGAAAACATATTTTGCCCCCACCCCCACAAAAAAAAATACTGAAAACTCCCCCCCGCCTCAGTTACACATCCAAACTCTACATTTACAAAACGAATTCAGGGTGAGGAAGTAAAAACAGGTCATCTATTCACAAAACTGAAATACTTCATTACCCCAACTAAACATACAAACTGCTTACAGATTTGCTGAAATTGTCTCAATTTGGCTATCAAATTCATTTGGTTTTCCTCAAATTCGTGTAAAAAAAAAAAACCCACAAACTTGCCATCTACTATTTCTCCAGGACTTGGCAGTCTGCCCTCAAAAGCTTCAGACAAGATTCATGAGTATAAGCCTGAAAAAGAGAAACCTACAACACCCGGAAATCGGCCTACGTCCCCATATAAATCCCTTTACACCTCAGTACGAAACTCCCCCATTATATTAGAAAATAAATAAAAGGTTACCATAAGTAAGTTCCAGAAAAACAACATATTGCCGACCTCACGGATTTTTACCAACCACTCGCTTTCCCTGTGGCCTTGGCACACTGGCATGCTGGTCTAGGATCCTCTACGCACAACGCCTGCTCGCCTCCTCCGTGTGGTTGCCAAGCCAAGCCGCCTGCTACCTTCATCACCAAATTGCACTCGCTCCTTCCTGGAATCCTTTTTCCTAGCTTCACCACCAAATCGTTAGCGCTCCTTCCTTCTTCCTAGCTTCCTTCACCAAATCGCACTGGCTCCTGGACTCTTTTCCTATCTTCACCACGAACTGCTGCTTGCTCGCTTGCTCCTCAGTCCTAGCTTCATCAAACACTGGTTCCTGGAATCCTGTCTGCTGCTGTCTTCCTAGATTCACTGAATCCACTTCTGTGTAGCACCTGGGTCAGCTGTCAATTAATGCTAGTCCTCAGGATTTAAAAAATAATCTTAACTCAAAGTCCAATGCAAAAACATTAAGTTGGTAATTACTCTTGATCTTGAATTACTTCCGTTACGAAAGTCCTTCACATTTTTCAAACTAAGCTACTATATTTAAGGCCTTCCAAATTCTTCTAACTCTTCCAAAAGCCTTCTGCCTTAGTTTTTTTTAAATTACACCAGTCCTTTTAGTAGCTTTTTGATGTGATTTTTAACCAACTTCCCCTTCTAGCTTCAAGTATTCTTCTAAATTGGTTCTGGTCTACGTAAACACCCTCATCTTCTCAAGCTTTACCTTCTAACTTCTGCACCACCAGAAATTAAATTGATGGGCTTTTAAAATAAATTGGTTACCAATAATTTCCTCATTTTTTCAGTGCTATTTTATCCAATTTTTGGCTTTATATTTTTCTATCTTCTATACTTCTCCAATACTTGTCTTAGCTTGTTTTTCATTTTCTATCTGAAACTCTTGACAATATTTTCATTTTCTATCTTGTTTCTATCTTCCAATTTTCTTCTAAGTTTGTACATTTTGCCCTTAGCTTTTTGTTTCCTAGCTTGTCTTTTTTCTTCTGCTTCCTACTTTTCAGGTTTAAATTTATCTTTTTTCTTCTAAAAGTATGTTTTTATCTTCTAATTTCCCTATCTTCTCTATTCTTTTCTTCGCCTTCCCGTACTTCTGTCTTCCAGTTTTCCACTTCAAACTTCTATCTTCTCCAAATTGTTTCATCCTACCACTCCCAATTAATCTTTCCATTTTCGTCTGCGTTTAGTAAATGCGTTAACTAGGCTTTAAATGACGCAATTCTCCCTGCGTCATGGATTTCAAGGTCTTTTAATCACCTTCGGTTTAATCTCTTTTTAAAAGATCGCCTTCAAATTATTTTAATCACCTACAACTTTTAAACTAAACTTTAAGCTGTTTAAGTCACCTTCATTTTAATCTAAAAGCATTGCCCTTCTATTGGTATTAATTCGGGGCTCTGTAGTCCTTTCTCTCAATTTTCTTTTAAATACATTTTTTACTCCATGAAGAAGCTTCATCTCAACCTCCGTCATGTTTTAGAAACCTTTTATCTTTTCCTTCCTCATGCTACTCTTCTAAGTCTTCATATTTTCTCTTAAAATCTTAAGCTATTAAAATTACGTTAAAAACTTAACGCTAAGCAATATCTTAGTAACCTATTGACTATATTTTTTAAGTAGTTGTATTAATCTCTATCTTTCAAAGAGAAAAAAACTTATCTGCGGTTTCCTCAAGCTCCGCCTGCCCCCTCAGCAGAAGCCCCTGCGCTGGCTGCCTCAATGCCTACCGCACAGCTCGGGCGAGGCGTATTTATAGACGGAGAACAACTCGCATCACCGGAATTCGATCACCTTCCGCCGCCTTTGTGAGGGAGGCAAAAAGTAGTTCTTCGGTTAAAAATAGGTTCTAGTTTTACTTTTCTAGATTTTTCTTAACAGCTTATGGAACTTGAATGCAAACTACACATGCAGAAATACTTAAATTACTAGCGTGTGGAAAGATTTGAGCTGCAAACTTTAGACAAAAGAAACATGGAAATCATATTTTAAACGGGTCATCAAACACCTCACAAAACCCCCGGAACTTTTAAAATACCTCTTAAAGCACTTCTTGTGTTCTCTTGAGGGACAGTAGGTATAGTTTACCACCTTTTGAAGGAAGATTAAAGTGTGATAGTTCAGGGCTTTACTTTCCATTACGCAACTGAGCCCCAGCCTTGCAGGGACGGTTGAGAAGTGGCAAAATGGCGGACTTTCTCCCCCAACTGCTTGCAGTCCTGCGACTTGCTCCCAAGACAGCCACACGTTTTGCTTTTTTGTTCGAGAAATCGGAGCAGCACGGGCTGTCTGCTTGGGAAATCTTAGAAACGTGAAAACCCACTCTTGGAAAACGCCTCAATCCCACACCACAGAGCTGCTCCCCGCCTGAGCCCCGGGGGCCGTTGGCTGCCAGTGGCCCACTCTGATCTGCGGCCCCCCAGTTGCCGCCAGCCCCCCACGGCCCGCACGGAAATTTTTCTACCGTTTTTCAGCTTCCAGGCTCTCCTGAAAGTGCTCACAAGGCAAATCGCCATGGAAAGCGAGTTCAAGTGGCCTTTTAAAGTAGACCAACTAAGCGAATGGCTTTGTCTCCGAAGACACAGAGACCTTGGGCAGCCAGTCAGGGACACACCCAGAAGTGTTTACACTGCTCTGGGTCTGCTTTTTTAGGGGTTTTTGTTTTGCAGATTCTGTGTTATGCCTGGTTAGGTATGAGCTTCAGACCTTCTGAACCGGAGCAGGAAGAAAAATAAAAGCTTTCCTCCAAACCCCAAGACCAAACTGCAGAGTTTGAGTGGTTTTATCTAAATACCACCACCTGGAATGGCCAGCCTATAAGGACAGCTAAGATAGCAGCACAACTCGTCGCTGCGTCCCAAGGACTCTGGGAAACCTGGGCTCCCGGAGGCGTCAGAGGGGACCTGCCTTCAGGCGAGCTGAGGCTTCCCGGCGCCGGGCTTCTGCGTTGCTAAAATGGCGCTGCGCTTAAGAGGGCAGGAGAGGCCAGTTGCGGGGCCCCAGTCCTTTACAGAAGTCTCGGGCTGCAGGCTGCGGAGGGGAGAGCGGGGGCGGGGAGGGACTGCGCAACCGGTGGGGCTGCGTCAGGGACAAACGCCGGGGGAGGGGCGGCTCGCGAGCGCCGCGCAGGGATACGCGAGGGCCGTGAGCCGCCCTCCCTTTGTGAGGCGCTGGCTCGTGGGCGGGCGCCACTGGTTCTAACCGGCTCTAGCCGGTCCTGGCCGCCTTCCCGGAGCTGTGGCGGTTGGCGCAGCGCGTGACTGCGCACGCGCGCCCCGCCCTAACGCCTGTGCCTGTTCTGGGGAATGGCATGGGGGCGGGGTGGCAGCTGGCCTGGGAACTTCTCGGTCGCTACTCTGCGCTGTCACTGCACTTGGGGGCTGGTCTTTCTTTCGTGGAGCTGCTGCCCAACTTCCATTTTCAGTCTAGGTCTTCCTTTCCCACCTCTCTCCTGTCCTTTGTCATTTCCTCCATATAGTCTCGACGTCATCCATTAATTTAAAATCAGAACACAAACCTCGTGTAGCTATCAAGGGCCATGGCATTATTGTAAAATATCTTCGTCGTTTGTATGTCACCAGGTCTTACTAGTCTAGAATTCTCGGGGCAGAAGTGGTCTCAGGCTGACCTTGCAGCAGCCTAATTTTTTAGAAAAGAAACTGAAGCAATGACCTAAAATGGAGAGTTCCAGGGCACACAAAGCTTGGAGCTGGACGGGGTGGTGACACCCACCCTCTCCGCTCCCTCACCCCCGGGTCTTTGGAACCTGTATCCATGGCTTGTTTTTAGGCAGTCAACTCCGAGGGGAGAGATTAGTGACGCTGTATAGGTTAGGATGGCAAAACTAACACAATGATACAGCAACTCTATGAAGTTGATTTCTAAAACTCCTTTGGCTCCTGTAAATGATGCAGGTTGTGTACGGTGTTGGGGAGCTGCCCTGGGGGCTCCAGGAAATGAGGGTCCTGTTTTCTGGGCCAACTCCCTGTCCCCACCTGCCCACATAAAGCAGGGCCTGTTGAAGCAGCTGTTCTCAATTGACGCTGGTGAAACTGTTCTTGTTTTCTTTTCTTTTCTTTTTTATTTTTAAGCCTGTAAGAGTGGAATATTACTGAGATGCAGCCGGATCCCTTCAGGCACAGTCCTGATGCTTGCTCTGGGGTTGGAAATTTTTTAGTAGAATTTTATCGCTGGATGAAGGAAAACTGAGGCAGGTCACCTCGTTTCGCAAATGGGGATTTGGGGGCCTGGAGATTTTGTGATTTGCCTGAAATGACACACAGCTAATTAATAGCAGAAGCTGTTCTTGAATCCCAGATTTTCCACGTCCTGCTGCCTCCCTTCCTCTCCAGCACTTCTGTCAGTCTCTCCAACTGCGGTTTTTCTATATCTGGGGGAGGACCTAGGACCTGCTCTGTACTCTCTGCTCTCTCCTTCACTCTAGAGCGAGTGAGATGAACGTTAAGAGCCCTAAAATGCTTTAAATTATTGTCAGTGTCACTGCATTAATTTCCATTACCTTGACAGATTACAGAATGTTTCTTTTTTTTTTTTTTTGAGACGAAGTCTCACTCTATCGCTGAGGCTGGAGTGCAGTGGCGGGATCTCGGCTCACCGTAACCTCCGCCTCCCTGGTTCAAGCAATTCACTTGCCTCAGCCTCCCGAGTAGCTGGTACTACAGGCGCCCGCCACCACGCCCGACTAATTTTTTGTAGTTTTAGCAGAGACAGGGTTTCACCGTGTTAACCAGGATGGTCTGGATCTCCTGACCTCGTGATCCGCCCGCCTCGGCCTCCCAAAGTGCTGGGATTACAGGCTTGAGCCACTGTGCCCAGCCGCCAGAATGTTGTACAGTCATCCCTTGGTATCCATGGGGCCTTGGTTCTAAAACCTCTCCTCGGATGCTAAAATCTGAAGATGCTCAAGTTCCTTATGTAACCTACAGATATCCTCCCATATCCCTTAAATCATCTCTAGTTTGCTTATAATACCTAATACAACGTAAATAATTTTTATATTGTATTAATGAGGGAGTAATAACAAGAAACGAAGTCTGTATATGTTCAATACAGATTCAATTTTTAAAAATTTTTCTTTTTTTTTTTTTTTTTTTTGAGATGGAGTTTCACTCTTGTAGCCCAGGCTGGAGTGCAATGGCGCGATCTCGGCTCACTGCAAGCTCCACCTCCCAGGTTCAAGCGATTCTCCTCCCTCAGCCTGCCGAGTAGCTGGGATTACAGGTACGCACCACCACGCCCGGCTAATTTTTTTTGTATTTTTAGTAGAGACAGGGTTTCACCATGTTGGTCAGGCTGGTCTCGAACTCCTGACCTCAGATGATCTGCCTCCCTTGGCCTCCCAAAGTGCTGGGATTACAGGTGTGACCCACCATGCCCGGCCTTTAAAAATATTTTTGATTCACAGTTGTTTGAATCCACAAATGTGAAAACCCATAAAGGGGCCAAGGCGGTTGGATCACATGAGGTCAGGAGTTCCAGACCAGCCTGTCCAACTTGGTAACACCCCGTCTCTACTAAAAATGCAAAAATCAGCCAGGTGTGGTGGCGTGCGCCTGTAATCCCAGCTACTCAGGAGGCTAAGGCACAAGAATCACTTGAACCCGGGAGGCAGCGGTTGTGGTGAGCCGAGATCGTGTCACTGCACTCCAGCCTGGGCGACAGAGCAAGACAACGTCTTTAAAAAAAAAAAAAAAAAAAAAAACTCTAAAAAATGAAATAATAAAAAAAGACAGCCTAAAATTGCCATGTACTTTAGTGAGGAGATTAATAATATATTTGATTATGTGGCCTTCTCAGCACTCTTGGAACTAAGGATCTTTTTAACATAACACTGAATTTTTTCAAGCACCTTTTCTCTGGACTGCGTCTGTGCTCCTTTTAATTTCATAATGTCTGATGGAAGCTGCCCCCTCCACTAGTCCTTTAATATCATGTTTGTTCCCTTTCACTTTAGTCTCAAACCTAGACTTCATTTGGGCCTAAGGACACAAATATAAGAGGGCAAATTTGTTTTAGCCAGTCATCTCATGCTCCCCTCAAAAAAGCCCAGGCTAAAAATAGAATGCCCTTGGTTCTGGTTTCTGGCAATTACTCCACTGACAAACAGCCCTGTGACCTCAGGCACCAACCCAAATAACTTCCCAGTAGCAACTGAGATATGTAAAATGAGAGGATTCCATGCAAGAAGCCATGATGCTGATTCTATAAAATACAGTAAACAAAGGGTTGGGGAGAGGACATGAAAGACTTTAGGCTGGAGCCGGGCGTGGTGGCTCATGCCTGTAATCCCAACACTTTGGGAGGCTGAGGCAGGCGGATCACCAGGTCAAGAGATCGAGACCACCCTGGCCAACATGGTGAAACCCCATCTCTACTAAAAATACAAAAATTAGCTGGGGTGTGGTGGAGGGCACCTGTAGTCCCAGCTACTCGGGAGACTGAGGCAAGAGAATCGCTTGAACCCGAGAGGCAGAGGTTGCAGTGAGCTGAGATGGTGCCACTGCACTCCAGCCTGGCAACAGAGCAAGACTGTCTGAAAAAAAAAGAAAAAGGAAAGATCTTAGGCCTCCTGGCTGTACCTTCGAGAAGGCGGGGTGCTGAAAAGGACTAAAAGGGCAAAAATTTTGCATCCAGCCTCCAAGCATACAGTCAGCAAGGCCCTACCTTAATCCTCCTGACTCAGGCCAGGCCGGAAACCTCCAGAGAATGCCAGAATCCACTCCACCCCTTCCCTGATTGGCAAGTCCAGTCAGGCTTAGTCAAGAGACAAGCTTCTGAGAGATCCGTCATCTACGGCCCTGGAGCCCAGAGGCCGCAGTGGCTGAGTCTTCATGGCACCTGGATTCCTCCCAGGCCTCCTTTGATTTTATCTAATCCTGTAATTTTTTCTTTAATTCTGCATTTCTAGAGCTCTCTAGAAATGCAGGTCAGAAATGAAGGGCAAAGACAGTCCCAAGAAAACAACTTTCTTGGTTTTTGTTTTTTTTTTTTTCCTTGAGACAGTTTTTTGCTCTTGTCACCCAGGCTAGAGTGCAGTGACGGGATCTCAGCTTACTGTAACCTCTGCCTTCCGGGTTCAGGTGATTCTCCTGCTTCAGCCTCCCAAGTAGCTGGGATTGCAAGTGCCTGCCACCATGCCCGGCTAGTTTTCATATTTTTAGTAGAGACAGGGTTTTACCATGTTGGCTAGGCTGGTCTGAAACTCCTGACCTTAAGTGATCCGCCTGTCTCTGCCTCCAAAAGTGCTGGGATTACAGGCATGAACCACCACACCCAGCCCAAACTTTCTTGTTTTCTAAAGATTTTAGGAATTTGCAGTTCCCAATCCCATCCCCTGGCTGCCCACCTTCCCAGAGCCGATTTCTGGAACAATGTGACCTTCCGTAGCTGCTGCACAAACTTAGGCTCCCTCACCTACTGTGACCGCCCCCACAGCAGGAAAAAACCTACAGAGATGATGCAGCTCAGAGCTCTATGATATGGAAGACAGAGCATTGTTTTCTAGGGGGTTTTGGACAGCTAATAATTTACCCTGTAGAACATGTAAAATTATCCCTTGAAACCCAGCAGACAGGCCTGTCACTTCACAGAGAGCTGAGGGCAATTCCAGCAAGAATGAGTTACAGAAACTAGAAGTGGCTGTGTCATTGACCTTCCCAAAATGATATGCGGAAGAGGCAGCTGGGGCCTCTTCCATCACAGCCCTGAATCACCAGGGCAGGAGGGTAGGGGAAACAGATTCTCTCTTCCTGAGACAAGAAAACATCTTCTAAATGTACCCACCTCTACTTCTAGCAAGCATTCCTTGTTAGATAGAATCCTCTTTCGGGGAGGGGAATAAAGGAGAAAGTGTCTTTTTTGTTGTTGTTGTTCTTTCTTAGGAGAAAGTGTCTTAAGAAAGCAATTCCCCACCCCCTGCCTGAGAGTTCCAGGCTCCTAGTTCCTTCCTTGGTCTATTTGCTGCGTAATGTACTTGGCCCTGGGCCCTGAAGCCTATTGGTGGATCCTCCCGAAAGGCCTGGCTGTGGCAGCCCAGCTGTAGCACTGTGGGCTGTAGGAGGACAGATTGACATCGAGGGGCACAACTGGGCTGTCCCCCATGCCTTCCTGGGGGCTGCGTCTGTAGAACCGTCTATCCACTCCATGTGCATCTTTATTTTCTGTAACGTGTATTGAGTGCTGTGCCTCACAACAGCCCTGTGGGGGAGGTGGTGTTGCTTTCCCCTTAGACGGATGAGGAAACTGAGGCAAAGAGCTGTCATTTGCCAGATCACTAGAGCCTGGCACACAGTAGAAGCTCCATGTGTGTCTACTGAGTAATGACTCAATGAATACATTGGAATAGTATCTTTTTTGGAATTTATAACACACACACACACACACACACACACAACCAGAATACTGAAAAGCTCCCACAGGAACAGATCATTCCACAGGAACAGATCATTCCACAGGAACAGAACGGATTTAGACTTGACGTAAATTCGAATGCCCATCAGGATGGAGTGGAATGGGACTGAGCTAGCTGTACTGCGTGGGAAACTGGGAACTGCTTTGCTCTGGAGGTCTGTTCAGAACTTCTGAACCAACTGCCATCCACAGAGACAGGGGAGAAAACCCAGAGGCCACCTGTGGTTTCCATGCAGCTCTGATGGAGCATTCACCCCTCTACCTCCTACCCGCCCCCTGCCCAGTGCAGGGTAGTGAGCCCGGCTCAGCCCTTGCTGTCCTTGCCCCATGATGAGTCACCGCGGGAGACGCCTGCTGAGTGAACCTTCCCAAGTGGCCTGAAGGAACAATGAAGCTCTCAGGGAGTCGCAGCCGCGTTCTTGTGTCCCTGATCTTTTCAGTCATGCTTCAGGTCCCTGGCAGATGTTTGTATTGGCCTGGCACACCCAGCATGAAGCTGATTAAACATCCTCCATGAGCATGCTCACACACACACACACACACACACACGTATATTCATTCTTCCTCATGCAAGTGTGGCCCACATCCCACAGACACACATCTCCTGGGACAAGGGGGTAGCGGCCACAAGGTTTCAGGCACTTTGTCGGGGTGTGTTTCTCAACAATGCCGGATTAAAACAGAAGCCCGCAGAATGACAGGGCCTTCTCCTGAACTGGTAATAGTGGATCAGAGCCACCCAGTGTTTGAGTGGAATAAACCTCTAGGTAGCAAGTTCCCATTCCCACAGGTATCCTCTGGAAGCTGGGTGACCTTCCTAGGGTTCCGCAGTATCCCTGCATTGCGAAGAAGCTGGTCAAGAAAACTTGAGATTTTTCTTCCAATCCTGAAAATCCATAATTCTAAGTAGCCCCTCATGCTACAATTGAAGAATCTAAGACTCAGAAAAGTTACATTCCCACAGCACTTTTTAGAGATGCAGGCAGATGGCCTCTGGGGCCCGGACATCTCCCTGAGTTAGCTGTAGGGACACTCACGCCCTGGCTGCCCATCCTGTGGGCTTTCTCCTGGAAGCTTATCCAAGGGGTCAGGCTGCATTCGGTCTAGCCATGAGGGGAACAGATTAGTACAGGAAGTGATACAACAGGAACAGGGCCCAGGAGAGACTGTGTTCTGGCTAGAAAATTCCAGAAGCCAGGCTGGGCGTGGTGGCTCACGCCTGTAACCCCAGCACTTTGGGAGGCCGAGGTGGGCAGGTCATTTGAGGTCAGGAATTCGAGACCAGCCTGACCAACATGGTGAAACCTCGTCTCTACTAAAATACAAAAATTAGCCGGGCATGGTGGTAGGCGCCTGTAATCCCAGCTACTCGGGAGGCTGAGGCAGGCAGGAGAATCGCTTGAACCCGGGAGGCGGAGGTTGCCATGAGCCGAGATTGCGCCACTGCCCTCCAGCCTGGGCGACAGTGAGCCTCCATCTCAACAACAACAACAAAAAGGATGTGTAGGATTTAATAGACTTTTATGAGGGGCAGGGGGTGGGGAATATCCCAGACAGAATAGGTAAACAGAGGCCCTGCACCTGCACACCCCAAATTGGTAATGCTTGTGCGGGGAGGAGGAAATGACTGGCCAGGTGGGTGCTGGGTGTGGCTGTTGGCAGGAAAGCAAGAGAAGACTGCAGTGAGGTCTGGGCTGGCGTGGACACCTGGAGAGGGCCATGGACATGGCTCTTAGGGCAGAAGGATGGCTTCTGAGCTGGGAGAGGCCCTGGCTTCCGGAGGCATTGTCTGGCTGCTCTGGGCAGGATGGCAGAGCTGGGAGAGGCAGCAGAGGGGAGGGCACTGAGGCCCAGTGCCATAGCCCAGGCCAGAGGTCATGGGGCCTGGATTGGGAGTGGGGGGGTGGCCATGGGACAAGAGAAAGGAAAAGCTGTGAAAGAGTGGCCTGAAGCTGCCTGTGCCTGCAATGAGGGCCCCCTCCCTCCTGTCTCTTAGTGCCCCGGCCCTTCCAGATTCCTGGTCTTTGCTGTCTTTGGCTCGTCTTCTGGGAATGCTCCTCTACAGCTCTTCAGAAGGCAGACTCCTCGTCACCCTGACCACAGGGCACTCCTTGCACAGGACCCCTCTGGCCACTGTATCCAAAGTCGCCACTTATCACCACCCCATCAGTAGTCTCTGTCCCAAGGCAGCCTACATTTTCTCGGATGACTATGTGTTTGTTAACAGGGCTCCCTCGCTCCTCTGAGGATCAAAGGGGACAAAGGGGATTCCAGAGTTTCCAGTCCGGTTGGCAGGGAGGCCTCAGGCTCACTCCCAGTACAGACATGAGAGAGAGGCAGGTCTGTGTCAACTCCACCGAGGAAGGGTCCCTCTCACCCTGGACAAAGGGCAGGGACAACATAGGGATGTCATTTTGCATTCCCAGCTGCTGCTGCTGTTCAGGAAGGCCTAACAGGAGGTGGGGTGGAGCCTGGAGCCCAGAGTAGGGAAAGGAAGGCCGGGCAAGGGGAAGGAGCTGCCAAGGTCTTCCCAGCTCCTCTTTCCCCTTGAAGTCACTTTTTCCCCTTGGAAGCTTCTAGAGATAGACATATAAAATACTCCCCCTGAGAAAACAGTGGACCTGGATCATTTCTGGAGAGCAGAAGTGCTGAACCCACAATATTTAGGTGCCCCTGGGCTTCTTCCGCCCCTGCTGCCCTTACTCTGGGGGAGGCACATTGGTGATGAGCTGATGTGACTCGAGTACTGCTGTGACGGAGGAGGCTGTTACTCCTCCTCTTTGCCCTCCCAGGAGCAGGGACCCTGGGGCGTCTGGGACCTGTCAGGCACGGGGGATGGCTCTGGTATTTCATGGCAGCTCAATGCCCCACATGCCTGAAATTCTGATGCGTCCACTCCACCGGCCTTCTGTGGCTGTCCCCGTGACCTGGAGGCTGTCCTCGGCCTCTTCAAGCCTGCAGCCCCCACAAGCGGAACTCAGCCCAGCAGGGCCTAGAAGAATGTGGAGCTGGGGACTGAGTGCTGGGAAAGGAATCTGGGTGGAAATTTCCATGACTCTTCTGCTCAAGCAAAGACTGCAGCTGAGGCCCAAGATGTCAACAGAGACCAGGGCCCAGGTCACAAAGGGTCACTTTTCCTCTCTCTGGGCTCTTTATCACCTACTGCCCCACCCTGAGCCAAGGCCATAAACCTCATGCAGTCCAGCCTCCTCTGTTCCTGCCCCCCCCACCCCCACCCCCACTGTTTGTGGCAGCAAGATCCCTACTTTCCCTACTTGCACTGACCTCCCTCCACTGCTCCCCACAGTCGTGGCCACTCTCCTGGCAGTGGGAGCCCCCCAACTTCAGGAGCCAGGTCAAGACCCCTTGAACCTGAACAGTCAGTCCATGCTGCAGATTCCTGCAGCCTTCCCTGCCCAGTGACGTCACCAGCACGCCTGGGACTGTGCCCTTCATTTGGTGAATCAGCTGTTTTTTTTAATTTTTATTTTCTTCTCATTGTCCAAACGCATCTCAGCCCTTGTTATCCTGAGCTATGGTGTGTGGCTTTTATTGCTGTTTGTCATTGTCACCTGTCTTGAAAACAGAGTTCATGTCTTATAGTTCTGCCTCAGCTCAGGACGGCTCTGCACATGACTTAGGCAGCATCCGCCCACACAGTCAGCCCATGCAGCCTTGGGCTGGTGCTAGGGGCTCTGAGAGGCTCACCCCAGTCCCAGCTGGTGGTCTCTGTGGATTCCCCAGCCAGATCAGGCAGAAGTGTTTGTGGTTTGCCCTCCCTGTCTGCCCCCAGCCAGAATTCCAACCTGGCCAGTTCTAAAAGCTGAACCGTGAAGACTCAGCCCTGCCTGGAGCAGCCTTCCCTGGAGCCTGGCTGACTGCACCCACCAGCCGTCAGCTCTGGCCTAGAAACTTAGGGGTCCTGGAGACAGCAGGTCCTGCTACCTCCCTGTCCTCCATTCAGCCTAAATGTCCACCTCCTCAGGGGCCTGCCTTCAGCTCACCTGCAGACCATAGAAGTCTCCCTGCTGTGCACTCATCCCCTGCGCTTTGGCACTCCCTACTCCGCCCCAGGTGTTCTGCAACATCGGTAGCATGACAGAGGGCTTCTTAGAGAGAGGGCGCCCTTGCTACCAGGGTCCACAGGCTCAGTCTCAGCCTGGTTCCTGTTTGTGGTGCCCCTTTCTCAGGCCTGTGGGGATGTCAGGAGCTTAGGACAGCGCCGGGCTCAAGAGATGTGGCTACCTTCCCTCCTGCTTTCGGTACTCAGCGCAGGCAGGGTTCAGTGCA
Organism: Homo sapiens; assembly: GCF_000001405.40. NCBI lineage: Eukaryota > Metazoa > Chordata > Mammalia > Primates > Hominidae > Homo > Homo sapiens. The sequence continues at coordinate 65,488,052 of NC_000011.10, read as the reverse complement.
GCAAGTAACAGCTGTGGCTTACTGGATTGTCTGCAACCATTGGCGACTGAGAGATCCCTGCAGCCCTCCCAGACCCTCGATCTGACTGGAGCCAGGCCCACGTGGGGAAAGGGTTAAACGTTGGCAGTGACTTCACCCCTGCATTGGAGCAGGCGGAGGCAGAGTAGGTAAAAAAATCAGGACAGAGGCTGGTTGGAATTTTCCAGCGTTCATAAACAGGACCAGTCAGGGTTGCTAAGGGAGGTCACCATGGAAACGGTCACGTGCGCCTGCCTCCTGGTTATTCCACCCTGGTCAGGAGGATGATGCAAGCTCCGAGCCTCTTCATTGGCTGCCACCTTCCTCTTGCCACCGAAATCTGGTGGGAGATTGGCTGAGGACAGTTGCTGGGCTGGAGCTAGCCTTTCCCTTTCTCCCCCATCCCTCCCACAGGAACCTGCTGGAAGCTGTTCTGAACCAGAGAAGGATGAAAATAGCTGCCAAAGATGTTGCCATAGCAACTGCTTTCCTTCCTGACCTCCTTGGAAGTTAGTAGTTGACTTTGCAGTTGAAGTACTTTTCTGAAGGCAGAAGAGGCTGTCAGCCATTTTATACTGACCTAACTTTCTTCTCTTGAAGGTGAACTCCCTCATTTTCCAGAGTAGTCAAGGAATTTCTGTGCCTCTACCCATGGCTTTGGTTACCAACTCATCCCTGGGGGCCTTGGTTTCTTTCTGTGAAATGGAATATTCATTCCAGCACTCACCACCTTCTAGGCTGGAGTAAGGCTCCAACTTTGCAAATGCTGTTAGTAAACTGTAGAGCTCCGTGCACTTCCACGTGTCTTTACTTGACCAACACTGACACTCCCTTGGGCTAATGGCTCTATAAATTGGAGGATGGGGCAGCTGACTTGTTCAACAAGCCCAGAGCCCCAGGACAGAGGACCCCTTTGGAGTTTGATTCCTGTTCTGTCACCAAAAGCCCCTGGGACCTTCAGCAGGTCACGCAGGCCCCCAGGGACTCATTTTCTCCTGTAAAAGGACGCCTCTCTAGTTAACTCAAGAGGCCCCTTCCAGCTCTGACATTCCATGACCCTAAGTTAAAGGCCAGCCTGCTTTCCGTAATAAATCTGTGGAACTTACCATCCATATAGGAGGTGAAAATGCAGCTATGCTGCACTGAGTCCTTTCTACATGGCAGGCACTGCGGCACATGCATTCACTGAATTTTCACGGAAGATAACTGTCATGATTACAGCACCTACCCATTTTACAGATGAGGAAATGGAGGCCCAGAGAAGTTAAGTAAACTTGCTCAAGGTTGCACAGCCAGTAAATAGCAATGTCAAGACTTAAAGCCTGGTGGTCCAGCAGCTAGTCCACACAGCTGTCTTTCTAGGTACTGACTAGAATGACGAAAACAACATGGGTCAGTTCATAGCAGGTAAAACGTTGAGTGGAGCAAACCCTGGACGAGGCACCAGCAGCCCTGGGTTCTACCCTAGGCTGTGCCATTTAAGTGGCACCCTGTTACCTCCAGCAAGTCACTCTTCCTCTCTTTGTCTCAGTTCTCTCATCTGTAAAAATAAGAAGTTAACCGGCTGGGCATGGTAGCTCACGCCTGTAATCCCAACACTTTGGGAGGCCGAGGTGGGCAGATCATCTGAGGTCAGGAGTTCGAGACCAGCCTGGCCAACATGGCGAAACCCTGTCTCTACTCAAAACACAAAAATTAGCTGGGTTTGGTGACATACGCCTGTAATCCCAGCTACTTGGGAGGCTGAGGCAGGAGAATCGCTTGAACCCGGGAGGCAGAGGTTGCAGTGAGCCAAGATCGTGCCATTGCACTCCAGCCTGGGCGACAGAGTGAGACTCCATCTCAAAAACAACAAAACAAAACAAAAAATAAAAATAAATAAATAAGAGGTTAACCCAGATCTCTGAGGGCCTTTCTGCACTAAACACTCTTAGTCTTTGAGAGAAAGCAGCCCAGAGAAGACAGGTGCCAGCTTGTCCGAGTCACAGAGTGAACAAGCACAGCCTCACTGGCTACCCACTAGCTTTGATCTCAACCTTTGAAACAAACAAGGTTTGGGAAGGGTTGTTTGAACCTAGGGCCCGTGAACCAGAAACAGTCCCTGGGAGCGTCGGCTGTGACTTTTCCAGAAAACTAACTACATCCCATTTTAAGAGGGTCCTTTATTCAGAGATTAAGCCTGTGAAAGGAAAATAAATCTTGGAATCCCAAAATCACTAAGCCAAGGGAAAAGTCAAGCTGGGAACTATGTCAGGCAAACCTGCTTCCAATTTTATCCCTAAATAAGATAGCTACAAAGATTTATTAAAAAAAAAGCTACATGCCTCCCTCACAATTTGCCCACAAGGAAATTCCTTGTGGACAAAGGACAGACAGAACTCAAAATCATCCCTCCGAGGCTCACGTGAGACTAATGCATATCGGATTGCTTCCCCTGACCTCTGATTTCACTAAACCAGACTAAAGCAAAAGTGACTACTCCTCTGCCCTCCTCTCAAATGTAAATTGCGTATTAGGTGAAAGGCTAATCAGAAACTCAAAAGAAAAGAGTGCAACTCTTTGTCTCTTATCTACCTCCCGAGGCTGTGTCATGGGTGTGTCCTTAACCTTGGCAAAATAAACTTTCTCTTTTTTTTTGTTTTTTGAGACGGAGTCTTGCACTGTCGCCCGGGCTAGAGTGCAGTGGCACGATCCCGCCTCACTGCAACCTCCACCTCACAGGTTCAAGCAATTCTCCTGCCTCAGTCTCCCAAGTAGCTGGGATTACAGGCGCCCGCCATCATGCCCAGCTAATTTTTTGTATTTTTAGTAGAGACAGGGTTTCACTATGTTGGGCAGGCTGGTCTCAAACTCCTGACCTCAAGATCCACCCTCCTCAGCCTCTCAAAGTGCTGGGATTACAGGTGTTAGCCACCGTGCCCGGCTGGCAAAATAAACCTTCTAAATTGGTTGAGACCTGTCTCAGATATTTTGGGTTCACAAGCCCTTCTTGTATCTTTGATGTTATAAAGACTTTTTTCTTATGAAACGGTGGTGACAGTGCAGGGTAATTTTGTTATAATTTTGTATTTGGGAAAAGTTGGCTCACCGTTTGTCAGTATTTCCAATACTTAAAGATGTTTTGTTATGGAAAATTTCAAACATAAAAAAGTAAAGGCCAGGCGTGGTGGCTCACATCTGTAATCCCAGCACTTTGGGAGGATGAGGCAGTCGAATCACGAGGTCAGAAGTTCGAGCTAACCTGGTCAACATGGTGAAACCCCATCTCTACTAAAAATGCAAAAATCAGCCAGGCCTAGTGGTGCATGCCTGTAATCCCAGCTACTTGGGAGGCTGAGGCAGGAGACTCACTTGAACCCAGGAGTCGGAGTTTGCAGTGAGCCAAGATCACGCCACTGCACTCCAGCCTGGGTGACAGAGCAAGATTCCGTCTCAAAAAAATTCTCAAAAAATAAAATAAAAAGTAAAAAGAATAGTTTAGGGCCAGGCGCGGTGGCTCACGCCTGTAATCCCAGAACTTTGGGAGGCTGAGGCGGGTGGATCACCTGAGGTCGGGAGTTCGAGACCAGCCTGACCAACATGGAGAAACCCCATCTCTACTAAAAATACTAAATTAGCCTGGCATGGTGGCGCATGCTTGCAATCCCAGCTACTCAGGAGGCTGAGGTAGGAGAATCGCTTGAACCCGGGAGGCGGAGGTTGTGGTGAGCCGAGATAGTGCCACTGCACTCCAGCCTGGGCAACAAGAGCAAAACTCTGTCTCAAAAAGAGAGAGAGAAAAAAAGAATAGTTTAATGAATCCCCATGTTATTCATACCCAGCTCCAACAGTTACTAACTCCTGCCACTTCCCTTCCATCTAAACTCCCAATCCCTTGAAGGGGATCAGAATATCTCAGCCCCACCAAATGCTACTTTGGTATAAGGATAATTCTGAACTGAGGCATTTGAGATCGGACAGATGCAGAGAGAGCCTTTCTGGAACTTTCCTTATCTGACTACAAGCAAAAACTCCTAGAAATGAGGACTGCCATAAATATCCTCTTCCAGGAAGGTTTATGGTCATGAAGACAGAAAGTCAGGCCAGGCACTGTGGCTCACGCCTGTAGTCCCAGCACTTTGGGAGGCCGAGGCGCGCGGATCACGAGGCCAGGAGATCAAGACCGTCTTGGCTAACACAGTGAAACCCCGTTTCTACTACACACACACACACACACACACACACACACACACACACACACACACAATTAGCCGGGTGTGGTGGCGGGTGCCTGTAGTCCCAGCTACTCGGGAGGCTGAGGCAGGAGAATGGTGTGAACCCAGGAGGCGGAGCTTGCAGTGAGCCGAGATCATGCCACTGCACTCCAGCCTGGGCGAGAGAGCAAGACTCCGTCTCAAAAAAAAAAAAAAAAAAAAAAAAAAAAAGGACAGTCGGCACTGAGATGAAACTGCACAAACAAATCTTACTAAATTCAGAGTGATCTTCCACTAGTTTTCCCCATATATTTACCATCCCACGGTTTTGTAGCCCCCAGAAGCTTAAAACCGTTTTCCCTTTGCCTTGTCACATCTTCACGATGTACTGCTATCTTGAAAATGATATGTAAGCTCTCAGGCCAGGCAGTAAGAGGGTGGAAGAAAGTGTTTCTTCTTTCTTTGTAACCCCCATTACCTGGAGTATTTTGAAACAAACCATAACTATTTTTATTTTCTTTTTTTTCTTTTTTTGAGAAGGAGTCTCGCTCTGTCCTCCAGGCTGGAGTGCAGTGGCATGATCTCGGCTCACTGCAAGCTCCGCCTCCCGTGTTCACGCCATTCTCCTGTCCCAGCCTCACGAGTAGCTGGGACTACAGGCGCCCGCCATCACGCCCGGCTAATTATTTTTTCTTTTTTTTTTTTTTTTAGTAGAGACTGGGGTTTCAACGTGTTAGCCAGGATGGTCTCGATCTCCTGACCTCGTGATCCACCCGCCTTGGCCTCCCAAAGTGCCGGGATTACAGGCGTCAGCCACTGCGGCCGGCCTATTTTTATTATTTTTTCAATTTGCAAAACAATTTTTATATAATCAAAATCCTATTAGCATTTTCACACCTAAAAAAATTAACCGGGGAGCCTCTCTGAACCTATTCTGGTTCAAGGACTGCCTGAAAACAAAACAAAACAAACAGAAAACTTTTTTTTAGTATTAATCTTCAAATACACAGTTTGCCTCAATATTTTTTGAGAGTTGGTTTGTTCAATCAGGACCTAAGTGGAATCTGCACATTTCCTTGGATTTCCATGTCTCTTAAGATTCTAGCATACTCTATAGGTTTCCTCTCCCCACCTTTTTTCCCCCTGAAATTTATTTGCTGAAGAATCTGGGTGGTTTGCCTTTGGAATTTTCCACATTCTGGATTTTGCCCATCATATCCCTGTGGTGTGGTATGACATAGTCTTCTGTTCCCTCTGCATTTCCTATAAACAAGTGATTAGATCTAGAGGCTTGATCCAACCTGGGTTCCCCTTTCTTTTTTTTTTTTGAGACAGGGTCTTGGTCTGTCACTCAGGCTGGAGGGTAGTAGCACAATCATGGCTCACTGCAGCCTCAGCCTTCCAGGGTGAAGTGATCCTCCCACTTACCACAGCCTCTCAAATAGTTGGGACTACAGGCGCACGCCACCACCAAGCCTGGCAATTTTTTTTTGTATTTTGTGTAGAAATGGGGTTTTACAATGTTGCCCAGGCTGCTTTTTCTTTTTCTTTTTCTTTTTTTTTTTTTTTGAGATGGAGTTTCGCTCTTGTTGCCCAGGCTGGGGTGCCATGGTGCAATCTCAGCTCACCACAACCTCCACCTCCTGGGTTCAAGCAATTCTCCTGCCTCAGCCTCCCAAGTAGCTGGGATTACAGGCATGCACCACCACACCCAGCTAAGTTTTGTATTTTTAGTAGAGACAGGTTTTCTCCATGTTCGTCAGGCTGGTCTGGAACTCCTGACCTCAGGTGATCCACCTGCCTCAGCCTCCCAAAGTGCTGGGATTACAGGCTTTTTTTTTTTTTAAAAAAGAATATTTTATAGATGATGTTGAAGTCATTCGATTAAAAAAAATGTAAACCAGAAAGCCGGGAGCCACACTTCTCTGATGGGAATTCAGTACATCCATTCCTCTTTGGTTTTAGCCATCGCCCCTGGGTCTGGCCAGAGCCCCCACAAAGCTCTTCTGTAGCCTTGCAGAGCTGCCCTTGCTGAGTCATTCCTTGGCATCCCACTCTCTGCTGATGCTGCTGATTTGGATGCTCAGTGAACAATGCCCTTAGTTAGGAAAGCTGCAGTCTGTTCTCATCAGCCACCACATCCCTATATGGAGACCTGTATGAGAAATTCCTTAGATATTAACTGCCAGCAAAAAATTTCCTTTCTCTGAGGAACTGGGATGCTTTTTCCCTAGAGGCAAGAAGAATCATGCAACTACCTTTGTTCCTCTTCCTTTCTCTTTGGCTCACAGAAGCTCAAAGCAATAACTGAGGCACAACTCTGGCAGTCGTACAGGACTCTGGCCTTTTTCCTTGGTCTTATCTTTTAGGTATGCATGAATTTTCTCTGCTTGATTCTTATTTTATTTCATATTTATTTATTTATTTATTTTTGAGACGGAATCTTGCTCTGTCGCCCAGGCTGGAGTGCGGTGGCGCAATCTCAGCTCACTGCAAGCTCCGCCTCCCGGGTTCATGCTATTCTCCTGCCTCAGCCTCCCAAGTAGCTGGGACTACAGGCACCGGCCACCACGCCCGGCTAATTTTTTGTATTTTTAATAGAGACGGGGTTTCACCGTGTTAGCCAGGATAGTCTCAATCTCCTGACCTTGTGATCCACCTGCCTCAGCCTCCCAAAGTGCTGGGATTACAGGTGTGAGCCACCACGCCCGGCTTATTTTTATTTTTATTATTATTATTTTTTGAGACAGAGTCTCACACTGTTGCCCAGGCTGGAGTGCAGTGGCACGATCTCGGCTCACTGCAACCTCCGCCTCCTGGGTTTAAGCGATTCTCCTGCCTCAGCCTCCCAAGTAGCTGGGATTACAGATGCACGCCACCTCGCCTGGCTAATTTTTGTATTTTTAGTAGAGATGGGATTTTGCCATGTTGGCCAGGCTGTTCTTGAACTCCTGACCTCAAGTCAGGATCCGCCCACTTCGGTCTCCCAAAGTGCTGGGATTACAGGTGTGAGCCACCGTGCCTGGCCATCTCTGCTTGATTTTTACCTCTCTCTCTCAATCTCATTGTATGTTGACAAGCTGACTCCAATTCTTTGTGTAAATGATTGATATAAAGAGTTAAAGGGAGGCTGGGTGTGGTGGCTCACTCCTGTAATCCCAGCACTTTGGGAGGCAGAGGCGAGCAGATCACCTGAGGTCAGGAGTTCGAGACCAGCCTGACAAACATGGAGAAATCCCGACTCTACTAAAAATACAAAATTAGCCGGGCATGGTGGTGCATGCCTGTAATCCCAACCACTCAGGAGGCTGAGGCAGGAGAATTGCTTGAACCCAGGAGGCAGAGGTTTCAGTGAGCCAAGATGGCGCCACTGTACTCCAGCCTGGGTGACAGATTGAGACTCCACCTCAAAACAAAAACCAAACAAACGAAAACCAAAAACAAACACGAAAAAGAAAAGAAAAATAAAAAAAATATTAGTAGCAGAGAAAGACCTAGTTTTCCTGACTTCTAGCTTCAATTCCTAACTTGATCTAGGACAGAACTTCATTCACTCAACAAACACCCTTTATGCAAGGTACAGCTAGTAAAAATAAGGCAGGAAAAAGGCAAGAATTCCACCTTCCTGGAGCTTACATTCTAGCAGAGGATTCGGGTAACAATCCTAGTGAATGAGCACTGTACATGTTCTGAGAAAATATAGGTGATGGAATAAAGGGAACAGAGGAGGGGACCAATTTTGACAAGGGTTGACAAGGAAAGTGACATTTGAGTGGAGAGTTAAAGGATGAGAATACACCAGCTTTGAGAAGAGGGGAAGATTTCAGATGGAGGGAAGAACAAGGGCGGGCAGAGGCGCCAGAGTGACAGAGTTGTCTCTCTGGGAGGTGAGCTCGCTCCCCCCACCTTCCACAGGGAGAGGGTTGTTCCTTCCCCCTGGCACATGTGGGAAATTTCCCAGTAATAGGTCCCCTGTCCTTTGCTTACAAGTTTGAAATACGCAGCCGTTCTCCCTGCCTCCAGACTTCAGCCACCACCACCTGCCTTGAAACAAATGCCCACATCTTTCCCAGGGGGTGCAGGCCCCCGGCCTTCCCACCCTTGAGCTGACGCCCAGTAAGGGATCTGGAGGCTGCAGGAGCCCTAGCTCCCTGCTCCAGGCCAAATAAGAGGCGCCACCTTCCTCTAGCTCATGGAAGTGGACATTTAGTCAGTGCTGATGTGGGGAATCCCTGAGGGGCCACTAGAGCACAAAAGTCAGTCTTAAGCCAGGGTGGCATAGCTAGGAGGGCTTCCAGGGAGAAGTGATTCACACCTCAAAAAAGCCTGAGAACATCAACCAAGAGGCTTGGGACTTTGTTTTATCACAGCTCGTTATGTAAACCAGTGGCCAGTCTCCAACACACAGTCTGTGCTCAGTAAACATCTGTTGAATGCACGAATGAGCCAGGCATAAGGGGGTGTTAACTTCAAAATGTTTTTAGTAGTAGTAGTGAGCTCCCTGTAAGTGAGAGAAGCCAGGGAGCTGTTAAATGGCTCCTCCTCTGGATTCTCGTCTTAGGGAAGGGTGAAGGCCTAGGACAGCCTAAATCTCTTCCATGCCAGGGCAGTGTGGGGGTAACCTACAGTCACCTGGAAAGGGAATCACATCCAAACAAAGCAATCCACATTCGCGGAGTGGGCTAAACTTAGAACCCCAGACCTCTCTGCCCCTCAGTGGCCGCTGGCCTAGTCCACCCGCGCCTGGCCGCACGACCCCCGGCCCTGAAAAGCCCTGGGCCTCGCCCCGTAACTCCCTCCTAGCTCTGGACGCTTGGGGCGGGCAGCGGGAGCTGACGCAGCTGCCAGCGCCCTTGGAAGACTCGGGCTCCGGGAGGCGAGGCGAGGCGCGACTGTGGGACGCAGTGCAAGCTGGGAGTCACCCCCTCGGCATGACCCCCTTCGCATCACCCCGGACGGAGCTCAGCCCGCCCCCGCAGCCAGAGCCCCTGCTGCTGCGGGGAGGGAAGGAGGAAAGGATGCGGCCCATTCTCCTTCCAGCTCTGGACCCACAGCAGCCCCTGAGGAGAGCAAAGGTCACCTGGTGGCCATCGAGCAGCCCAGGCAGAGGCAAAACTCTTTATCTGAGGAATTCAGAAGTAATGAGACTTCCCTATACCATTTGGTTCCTAGCTCCGGTCCAACAAAATTTCCAAGTAATTAGAATTTCTATACATCTCTGCAAATGCATGCCTGTCCAAACTCATTGTGCAACAACCCTTGCTGACTGGCATTAGGCACCAAAATGTCTACAAATGTAATCATTTATCATGACCTATGTGGCTAGTGTGGTCCAAGTTACCCTTAAGCTCCCTCTTTAAGGTCCATAAATGCCCCTAAGGAAAATCCCTAAGTCCTCTAGCTGAGGCGCCCCTCTGCACTCTTCTGTAGTGCTTTTTCTTTTTCTTTTAATTATTTTTATTTTTTTATTAATTATTATTATTATTTTTTTTGAGATGGAGTCTTGCCTCACTCTGTCTCCCAGGCTGGAGTGCAGTGGCCGGATCTCGGCTCACTGCAACCTCTGCCTCCTGGGTTCAAGCGATTCTCCTGCCTCAGCCTCCCAAGTAGCTGGGACTACAGGCAAGTGTCACCACTCCCAGCTAATTTTTGTATTTTTAGTAGAGACAGGGTTTCACCATGTTGGCCAGGCTGGTCTTGAACTACTGTCCCCAAGTGATCCACCCGCCTCGGTCTCCCAAAGTGCTGGGATTGCAGGCGTGAGCCACCGCGCCCTGCCTTGGTAGTGTTCTATATAATGAAACTTTCCTTTTCAAACCTACACTGCCCTCCGTAGTGCAAACCGAACAGCCAGTGCTGAGGCGCAGAGACGCCTCAGGCACCAGGTGGGAGCAGGCAGGAAAGGCACGTGTGCGAAAAGGGAGGAAAAGGGGACGGAGAGCTCACTGGCCAGGGGAACGGAGTCGGTGACAGAAAGGGCTGCTGGCCGTGTGGGGTGTGTGGGCTGTGTGGGGTGGGGTGTGTGGTGTGTGTGTTTTGCGTATTTTTAATAGAGACCGGGTCTGGCCAGGTTGCCCAGGCTGGTCTCAAACTCCCCTTCCCGTCCTGGAACCCCTTGGACTCCCCAGTTCGTAAGGCCAGTGCAGAGATCCTGGGGAGGGAGAAGCAGGGCCAGCTACCACCGCCCTTCCGCTCCAGACGGTCCCGCAGATTGGCCAATCCCGGCCGCCCAGCCAGATGCTTCCCGGTGACTCAGCGCCCGGCGTGTCACGTGACGGCGGGTGGGCACCCGCGCAGGGGCCGCTGGGAGTCCCGCGCTGCCTCCCCTGCCCCCGCGCCGGGGCCACGTCCCCCAGCCAGGTCCCTTCTTCCTGCCGTGTCCCCAGGGCAGGACCGCATCGGAGAGAGTCCGGGAGGAGGCCGCGCTCCTGGGGGCTGGAGACCCGGCGGCGGTGGCCACTGCGCGCTGTTCCAGCCTTGAGGGAGGGAACCGCGGGCCTGGGTCCGCCTTGGGATTTGGGAACCGGTTTCCTGCCGGGTTGACCTAACTTGAGCCTTCAGTAGTTCCGGGGCGGGTGTTGTGGTCTCCGTTCCAAAGTCGGGAAAACGGTATCTGGGCTGGCGAAGGGCCGCGAGGGTGGTGGGAGGACCCTGTGGCTGCGCCGAACAGACCGCGGGAACCCACACTGAGTGGGGTGGGACGGGCTGCCACCCCGGCTTTGTCAGCCCCATGCCCCCTTCTCGCCCTTCATCCTCTGCTCCCTCACTTAGGCTCCAATTCCTCCTGATTTTGTTCTGTTTTTCCCTTCGGGCATCCAAGGCAGCCACCTGCCCAGGCCTGGGCCTGTTCAAACACTGTCTCCGCTGTACTCCCTAGCTCCTTGAACCCCTACATTGTCTGCATTCAGGAAGTTTTGTGGCTTTTTAGGATTTTTTTTAAACACAGGGTCTGGCTCTGTTGCCCAGGCCGGAGTGCAGTAGTGTGATCATAGCTCACTGTAACCTCGAACTCCTGGGCTCCAGCCATAGGAAGCTTTTAATAAAACAACCTTTGCTCCGACCGCACCCTGGCCTTGCTGGATAAAGCCAGGCCTCTCTCTTGGGTTACAGCAGGCCCTTCAGGACTTGGCTGCCCCTCTCTGTTCCAGCTTCTCCTGATGTTCCTCGCTCACCCCAGAACTCCTTTCCCAAAACTGAGGGAACTCCAGCTTGTCCTTAAGATCTCAGCTCTGCCCAGTGGTCTCCTTAGACTGGGTGTGAGGGTCCCGCTGTGGACTCCCTGAGCTTAGGGAGAGGGCAGATTTGTTCCTGCTCTCTCAGGCCCAGTTTAGGCCTCAAGACAAGAGCCCAGGTTGTCTCCTCAGAGCTCAGAATGCTGCCACCACGTGTGGTCAGACCACTATTGGCCCAGCTCTAACCAGTAACTGGAGCAAGGCTTAGGATTGCTGAGAAAGATTGGGGGCAGCAGAGAAGCTTCTAAGAAAAGGTTAAATAACACACCTCTTTTTCTTGTTGTTGTTTTTGTTTTTTTGAGACGGAGTCTTGCTCTGTCGCCCAGGCTGGAGTGCAGAGGCGCGATCTCGGCTCACTGCAACCTCCGCCTCCTGGGTTCAAGCGATTCTCCTGCCGCAGCCTCCCAAGTAGCTGGGAGTACAGGCATGTGCCACCACGCCCAGCTAATTTTTGTATTTTTAGTAGAGATGGGATTTCACCATGTTGGCCAGGATCTCGATCTCCTGACCTCGTGATCCACCTGCCTTGGCCTCCCAAAGTGCTGGGATTACAGGCATGAGCCACCGCGCCCTGCGGATACTCCTCCATTAAGAAAAACATATTGGCCGGGCGCGTTGGCTCACGCCTGTAATCCCAGCACTTTGGGAGGCTGTGGCGGGTGGATCACGAGCTCAGGAGATCGAGACCATCCTGGCTAACATGGTGAAACCCGTCTCTACTAAAAATACAAAAAAAATAGCCGGGCGTGGGCCGGGCGCGGTGGCTCATGTCTGTAATCCCAGCACTTTGGGAGGCCGAGGCGGATGGATCACAAGGTAAGGAGATCGAGACCATCCTGGCTAACAGTGAAAGCCCGTCTCTACTAAAAATACAAAAAAATTAGCTGGGCATGGTGGCTGGCGCCTGTAGTCCCAGCTATTCGGGAGGCTGAGGCAGGAGAATGGTGTGAACCCGGGAGGCGGAGCTTGCAGTGAGCTGAGATCACGCCACTGCACTCCAGCCTGGGCAACAGAGCGAGACTCCATCTCAAAAAAAAAAAAAAAATTTGAAAAGGCAAAATGAAGACCAGTCCGAAAAGGTGGCCATAGGATGACCTTTGGGATTCTCTAGGCATGGCACCTCTCTGACTTATTCACCATTGATGAGGCTGGGCTCTGATGAGTAGATTGATAAGATATAGCTAGCTTCTGTCAGGTAGAAAAGATGACCCAAGATAATGGGCTTATTACCCTGCAGCGCAGCAGGTACTTTTGGATGTAACTCAGCAATCTTATTCCAGCATTGCTTTTTCAGTGCCTCTGAGTATTTCAGTCTCTCCAGTTCCCTTTGAACTAGTGTTTCCACCATTATAGTTTCTTAACACCTGAAGTAACCTTTGGTACATACATTAAAGACAGTCATGTTTATAACTTTGGAAATTATATCCTGTGACACATTTGGAGACTGTCTCACCAAGATGTCCAATTGGTTTTGGCTGCCAGAGCCAATTACACTTTGTTGCACGTGACATTTGCCTCATAGGTTCACCTGCCTCAGGCTTCCTGGCTCCATCCTGTGACTTATTATTTTTTTAATAATACCCAAGTACAGCTGGGTGTGGTTGCTCACACCTGCAATCCTAGCACTTTGGGAGGCTGAGGGGGGGTGGATCACCTGAGGTCAGGAGTTCAAGACCAGCCCGGCCAACACAGTGAAACCCTGTCTCCACTAAAAATACAAAAATTAGCCAGGTGTGGTGGTGGGCGCCTGTAATTCCAGCTACTTGGGAGGCTGAGGAAGGAGAATCGCTTGAACCCAGGAGGCAGAGATCTTGCAGTGAGCCGAGATCACACCACTGCACTCTCGCCTGAGTGACAGAGGCAGACTCCGTCTCAAAAACAAACAAACAAATAATACCCAAGTACATGGGTATTTTCTTTTAAAATTCAAACAGTAAAGTTAAAGTTGGTTGGACAATCACCTCCCATCCTAGGCCTGTTGTAAAGTTGACTACTGGCCAGTCACGGTGGCTCACACCTGTAATCCCAGCACTTTGGGAGGCCGAGGTGGGCAGATCACTTGAGGTCAGGAGTTTGAGACTAGCCTGGCCAACATGGCAAAACCCTGTCTCTACTAAAAATACAATAATTAGCCAGGTGTGGTGGCATGCACCTGTGGTCCCAGCTAATGGGGAGGCTGAGGTGGGAGGATTGCTTGAGCTCGGGAGGCAGAGGTTGCACTGAGCAGAGATGCCCCATTCCACTCCACCCCAGGTGACAGAACCAGACCCTGTCTCACAAAAACAAAAAACAAAACAAAAAAAATGGTAGTATATGGGACCACTGTCACATATGTGGTCCATCATTGATGGACATGTCATTATTCAGTACATGACTATGTATGTATATATACACATACAAACATTTATAATGTGCTTGTGAATGTGTATATATATTCATATCACACACATGTAGATATATCCTAATATATGTATAAATAGTATATACATAATTGAAATACATCATTTTAATGGTTCAAGAACAGCCTAGGCAGCATAGGAAGACTCCATCTTGCCAAGACATTTAAAAAAAATTGGCCGGGCGCGGTGGCTCACACCTGTAATCCCAGCACTTTGGGAGGCCGAGGCAGGCAGATTGCCTGAGGTCAGAAGTTCAAGACCAGCCTGGCCAACATGGTGAAACCCCATCTCTACTAAAAATACAAAAATTAGCCAGGCGTGGTGGCAGGCGCCTGTAATCCCAGCTACTCGGGAAGCTGAGGCAGGAGAATCACTTGAACCTGGGAGACGGAGGTTGCAATGAGTGGAGATCACGCCATTGCACTCCAGCCTGGGCGACAGAGTGAGACTCCATCTCAAAAAATAAAAATAAAAATTAGCTGGGCATGGTGACGTGGGCCTGTAGTCCTAGCTACTCAGGAGCATGAGGCAGGAGGATCCCTTGAACACAGGAGTTTCAGGTTACAGTGAGCTACGATTATGCCACTACCCCACCCCCCCAGCCTGGGCAACAGAATGAAACTTTCTTTAAAAATTAAAAATTAAAAAACTAAAAAGGGAGAACTATTTTGGGACATGAGTCCTACCTACCTCACTCTTTTTATTGTTTTGGTGTTTATTTTCTTTAAAAAAGAAAAAAACAACAACAAAAACAGGGTCTCGCTGTCTCTCCCAGGCTGGAATGCAGTGACACCATCCTGGCTCACTGAAGCCTCAACCTCCTGAGCTCAAGCAATCCTTCTGCCTCAGCCTCCCAAGTAACTGAGACCACAGGCACGAACCACCATGCCTGGCTAATTTTTAAATATTTTGTGTAGAGATGGGGTCTTGCTATGTGACTCAGGGGGACCTCACTCTTTTTGTTTTTTGGTTTTTTGGTTTTTGTTTTTTGAAACAGTCTTGCTTTGTCACCATGCTGGAGTGCAGTGATGCAATCTCGGCTCACTGCAACCTCCGCCTCCTGGGTTCAAGCAATTCCCCTGCCTCAGCCTCCTAAGTAGCTGGGACTACAGGTGTGCACCACCACACCCGGCTAATTTTTTGTATTTTAGAAGAGATGGGATTTCACCATGTTGGCCAGGATGGTCTCGAACTGCTGACCTTGTGATCCACCCGCCTCGGCCTCCCCAAGTGCTGGGATTACAGGTGTGAGCCACTGTGCCCAGCCACTTTGTAACTGCTAACATGGCAACACAAACTATAAAATACCTATGAATAAATTAAAGGAATGTGCAAGACTTTGTGTAGAAATTTATAATTTTTTTTTTTTTTGAGACAGAGTTTCGCTCTTGTTGCCTAAGCTGGAGTGCAATGGCATGATCTCAACTCACTCCAACCTCCGCCTCCCAGATTCAGGCGATTCTCCTGCTTCAGCCTCCCGAGTAGCTGGGATTACAGGCGCCTGCTACCATGCCCGGCTAATTTTTTGTATTTTTAGTAGAGATGGAGTTTCACTATGTTGGCCAGGTTGGTCTCAAACTCCTGACCTCAGGTGATCCGCCTGCCTCGGCCTCCCAAAGTGCTGGGATTACAGGCGTGAGCCACCGTGCCCAGCCAATTTGTTGTTTTTAAATAACCTTGTTTACAACTTTGTAATATTGATAAATTTTATAAACAATGAGATGTATGAGGC
Organism: Homo sapiens; assembly: GCF_000001405.40. Taxonomy (NCBI): domain Eukaryota; kingdom Metazoa; phylum Chordata; class Mammalia; order Primates; family Hominidae; genus Homo; species Homo sapiens. The sequence goes on along the minus strand of NC_000011.10, from coordinate 65,472,478 downwards.
AAAAAGTGAAAGCACACACACACACACACACACACACACACACACACACACACGGACTCTGCCTGAAGCAACAGCACTGTGTATTTTTCCAGAGCTTTTCTCTATCTTTATCTTTATGAGCATATTTCTGGAACTTGCGTTTGGGGGTTGAAGTGCTTCCTCACAGGGAGTTAAGCACACCTATAAATAGCTGTGACGCATCACGGACTGTGAAAAACACTGCAGCTGAGTCACCCGGTGTGTCGGGAACCTGCGTCAGGGAGAGTCATGAGCATGGGGTGGCTTCAGAGATGGAGTGGGGCCTTAATTAGGCCCGGAAGGATGAGCTGGTGGATAAGTTGGACAGGACATTCCAGGCAGGCACTTGGTCTAGAGGTGGGCTGATCATTTCTAAATGGCAGAACCCTGACAAACGTGAGACTGAGAGTCCACAGAGGGGCACGTGGGGCTGAGCTGAGAGGCCCCCAGGGCCAGCATCCTGGCCCATGCCTTATGGAAGGCCAGACTAGAAGCCCTGGGCCAGCCCCAGGAAATAGGAAGTTTCCAGGCCGTGGACCTCCTGTGCCCCTCAGGGTGGGGGCCATGGAAGAGCTCCTCTTTGTTGCAGGGAGGGGAAGTCTGTACCCCAAAAAGGTCTTCCCATAATCCTGGAGCTGGGAGTGTGCTCGATGCACCAATGGCAAATGGTGTGCAGCAAACGCGCTCCGTTCCTGGCACTCTTACCACTGTCAAGAGAGGGACCCCAGAACTCAGGAGGCAGCCACCAGCAATCAGCAGGAGCTGGCAGGGGAGGCAGACGGGCCTCCGTCTCTCTCCCATTTCTTAAATTGGCAGATGAATGATCTGCAGGGAATGGTCTGTCCTGAGTCGCAAGTCCCAGACCTTGGGAGTCCTTCCAGGGGTGCACACTGCCCCCTAAGGAGCTGGTGCACGAGGTGCAAGCTGGGGCCCTGTGGGGAGGGCTCCAGAGTGAGGTAGGACCTTCATCCCTTCAGCCTCTCCAAATACAGACTGGCAACAGAGAGTTCCTGGCAATGGTAGGCAGAGGCCCTGAGACAGCCAGCCCTGGCTCCAGGTCCGGCAGTGAGGAGGTGAAAGCAGGTCTGGAATTAAGATTTCCTGCCCGTCAGTCAGGTCCGGTCTGCCATGGGGCTTTTTCTTTTCCCTTCAAGAACCCAAAGCCAGCCAGGTACGGTGGCTCATGCCTGTAATCCAGCACTTTGGGAGGCTGAGGTGGGTGGATCACTTGGGGTCAGGAATTTGAGACCAGCCTGGCCAACATGGTGAAACCCTGTCTCTACTAAAAATACAAAAATTAGCCAAGTATGGTGGCACACACTTGTAATCCCAACTTCTCGGGAGGCTGAGGCAGGAGAATCGCTTGAACTCAGGAGGCAGAGATTGCAGTGAGCTGAGATCGAGCCAGTGCAGTCCAGCCTGGGCAACAGAGTGAGACTCCGTCTTAAAAAAAAAAAAAACAAAAAGCAAAAAACACAAAAGAACCAAGTGATCTGCAGGAACTGAAGAGGGAGGGAAGGGCAATCAGATTCTCTGCCCAGCTCGGCCCTAACTCAAAGGTGAGGACAGGCATGACCTGGCCTTATTTCCCATGCTCTGTAACTGGAGGGCTTGTAGCCCACAGGCCGGTGTGTGGCTAACAGGGCCCTTCTTTTTTCCTGCAGTTTGCTCTGTCTCCTGTTGCGTGTGTGCCTCATGTTTGCATGGTGTCTCTGCTTTTAGTTCTTTTCTGTTCTCCTGTTGAGCCCTGCCGAACTCTTCCTGTGTTCCTGGATCCTTCTGGCCCTGTATCTTATTGCGAGACAGTCACCCCCGGGCAGGAGTGGCCTGAGTTGGGCATTTTCAATCAGAGGGACTCTCCACATCAGCCTGTGGTAGGGCCCAGGAACATGTGCTCTTCCACTGAGGCTGCTGCCTGGTCACAGGAGCTGGACCTCTGCAGCCTGTGGACATCTCTCGGGTGTCTGTGTCCTTGGCTCAGGAGGTGTCAAGCAAAATGTCAGCTTATTTGCCAGGCACAGTGGCTCACACCTTTAATCTCAGCACTTTGGGAAGCAGAGGTGGGAGGATCGATCGTTTGAGTCCAGGAGTTAAGAGACCAGCCTAGGCAACATAGGGAGACCCCATCTCTAAGAAATATATATATATATATATATACACATATTTTTGAGACGGAGTTTCACTCTTGTTGCTCAGGCTGGAGCGCAATGGTGCAATCTCGGCTCGCTGCAACCTCCGCCTCCCGGGTTCAAGCGATTCTCCTGCCTCAGCCTCCCGAGTAGCTGGGATTACAGGCGCGCACCACTGCACCACCACACCTGGCTAATTTTTTGTGTTTTTAGTAGAGACAGGGTTTCACCATGGCCAGGCTGGTCATGAACTTCTGACCTCAGGTGATTTGCCCACCTCGGCCTTCCAGAGTGCTGGGATTACAGGTGTGAGCCACTGCGCCCGGCCTCTAAAAAATATATATATATTTTTTTGAGACAGAGTCTCACTCTGTCGCCAGGCTGGAGTGCAGTGGTGTGATCTCGGCTCACTGCAACCTCAGACTCTCTGGTTCAAGCAATTCTTCTGCCTCAGCCTCCCAAGTAGCTGGGATTACAGGCACGTGCCACCACGTCCAGCTAATTTTTATATTTTTAGTAGAGATGGGGTTTCACCATGTTGGCCAGAATGGTCTCGATCTCCTGATCTCATGATCCACCCACCTCGGCCTCCGAAAGTGCTGGGATTACAGGCGTGAGCCACCACGCCCGGCCTCTAAAAAATATTTTTAAAAAATTTAGTCAGCCGGGTGCGGTGGCTCATGCCTGTAATCCTAGCACTTTGGGAGGCCGAGGAGGTTGGATTACCTGAGGTCAGGAGTTCAAGACCAGCCTGGCCAACATGGCAAAACCCCATCTCTACTAAAAATAACAAAAATTAGCTGGGCATGGTGGCAGGTGCCTGTAATTCCAGCGTCTCCGGAGGCTGAGGCAGGAGAATCGCTTGAACCCAGGAGGCAGAGGTTGCAGTGAGCCAAGATCACGCCATTGTGCTCCAGCCTGGGCAACAAGAGTGAAACTCTGTCTGGAAAAAAAAAATTTTTTTTTTAGTCAGACATCCTGGCACATGTCTGTAGTCCCAGCTACTCAGGAGGCTGAGGCAGGAGGGATTGCTTGAGCCTGGGAGGTAAAGGCTACAGTGAGCTGTGATAGCACCACTGCACTGCAGCCTGGGTGAGACCCCATCTCAAAACAAAACAAAACAAGACAAAACCAAACCAAAAACCAACCAAACAAAAAACCCCTCAAACTGTCAGCTCATAAAGGCATGGGGAGGAGATGAGGCTGCAAGATGAGTCTATGAAATCAGGGCTTCCTCAAGCTGGCCTCCCTCTAGGGACCAGGAGGCTTCCAGTGGTGGGAGAGCTGCAGAGGGCGCTGTGGACCACAGGTGGGTGTGATCAGGAGGCCCTGCCTGCAGGTGGACAGGCACTGCAGGAGAAACCGGTTCAGGTCAGCTGAGCTTGAGCTGTCATTCAATGTGAACGTGGAATGAAATTATCATATTCACTGGAAGTTCCAAAAATAATAGAGAGGCTGGTAACCTTTACCCAGTTTCCTCCAATGGGAACATCTTACATAACTATAGTATATTTTCAAAACCAGGAAATTTGTATTGGTACATCCCAGAAATCTTTAGATTTTTTTTTTTTTTTTTTTTTTTTACAACGGAGTCTCGCTCTGTTGCCCAGGCTGGAGTGCAATGGCACAATTTCGGCTCACTGCAACCTCTGCCTCTCGGGTTCAAGCGATTCTCCTGCCTCAGCCTCCCAAGTAGCTGAGATTACAGGTGCCTGCCACCATGTCCGGCTAATTTTTGTATTTTTAGTGGAGACAGGGTTTCACCATGTTGGCCAGGCTGGTCTTGAACTCCTGACCTCAAGGGATCTGCCCTCCTCGGCCTCCCAAAGTGCTGGGATTACAGGCGTGAGCCACCGTGTCTGGCCGAGGAATCTTATTTAGATTTAAATTTTACAAGTGCATGTGTACTTGTTCACCATGGCCAGGCTGGTCATGAACTTCTGACCTCAGGTGATCCGCCTGCCTTGGCCTTCCAGAGTGCTGGGATTACAAGTGTGAGCCACTGTGCCCGGCCTCTAAAAAAGATTTTTAAAAAATGTAGTCGGCTGGGTGTAATATTATGTAATTATCTCACGTAGATCTGTGTAATCACCACCATAATCCTATCATACTATCTCCTCCTTAACCCCTGACAACTACTCATCTGTTCTCTATTTCTACACTTTTATCATTTCATGAGGTATACAAATGGAATCACAGAGCAGGTCACCTTTTGAGATGAGTGTTTTTCTTTCTTTCTTTCTTTTTTTTTTTTTGAGATGGAGTCTCTCTCTGTTGCCCAGGCTGGAGTGCAGTGGCGTTATCTCAGCTCACTGCAAGCACCACACCCGGCCTGAGATGGGTGTTTTTCATGCAGCATAATTCTCCTGAGATCCATTCAGGTCATTTCATTCCATTTTATTGCTGAACAGTATTCCATGGTATGGGTGCACCACAGTTATTTTAACCATTAACTCATGGAAGGACATTTGGATTGTTTCCAGATATTGACCATTATAAAATAAACTGCTAAGAACATTCACGTACATGCTTTTGAGTGGGGATAAGTTTTTGTTTCTCTAGAATAAATGCCCAAGAGTGCAGTGGCTGGGTTGTATAATAATTATATGTTGGCCGGGCATGATGGCTCACGCCTGTAATTCCAGCACTTTGGGAGGGCGAGGAGGGTGGATCACCTGAGGTCAGGAGTTTGAGACCAGCCTGGACAACATGGTGGAACCCTGTCTCTACTAAAAATACCAAAAAAATTATCTGTAATTACCTGTAATCCCAGCTACTCAGGAGGCTGAGGCAGGAGAATTGTTTGAACCCAGGAGTCAGAGGCTGCAGTGAGCCAAGGTGGCGCCATTGCACTCAAGCCTAGGCAACAAAGCGAGACTCCGTCTCAAAATAATAATAATAATTATTATTATATGTCTAGGTTTTTAAGAAACTGCTGAACTGTTTTCCAGAGTGGCGGAACTATTTTATGTTTCCACCAACAAAGTATGAGAGATTTAGTTTCTTTGCCTGCTTGCCAGTATTTGGTATTGTCATTGTTTTAATTTTATTTGTTCAAATAGGTGTGCAGTGATATCTCATTTAGTCATCCAGGTTTTTTTTTTTTTTTTTTTTTTGAGACAGAGTCTCACTCTGTTGCCCAGGCTGCAGTGCAGTGGCACGATCTCAGCTCACTGCAACCTCCGCCTCCTGGGTTCAAGCAATTCTCCTGCTTCAGCCTCCCGAGTAGCTGGGATTACAGGCATGCGCCACCACACCTGGCTAATTTTTTGTATTTTAGTGGATACGGGGTTTCACCATATTGCCCAGGGTGGTCTCGAACTTTTTTTTTTTTTTTTGAGATGGAGTCTCGCTCTTGTTGCCCAGGCTGGAGTGCAGTGGCACGATCTCGGCTCACAGCAACCTCCACCTCCCAGGTTCAAGCGATTCTCCTGCCTCAGCCTCCAGAGTAGCTGGGATTACAGGCATGCATCACCACGCCTGGCTAATTTTTGTATTTTTACTAGAGACAGGGTTTCTCCGTGTTGATCAGGCTGGTCTCAAACTCCTGATCTCAGGTGATCCACCCGTCTAGGCCTCCCACAGTGCTGGGATTACAGGCGTGAGCCACCGCACCCGGCCTTCGAACTCTTGAGCTCAGGCAATCTGCCTGCCTCAGCCTCCCAAAGTGCTAGGATTACAGGCGTGAGTCACCATGCCCGGCTGGTCATTGAGTTTTTAATTTGTAGAATACACACCAAAAAGTTCTTTTGATTCCAGGAGATTGAATTCTCTCATCATTCACCTCTCTGTGGACAGACAAGCTAGACATCTATTTGTATTTAGTAGGTGATAATGACCCCTTGGCAAGTGTTACATCTAGTTACCATCCCGTGTGAGACACTCAAGTGAGTGGGGTATGGGGAGAAGCATGGAAGCAGGACCTTCCTAGGGAGAAGCAAATCACAGCTGTAAGGAGGGTAGAGACCAGAGGTTTTCCAGCCCATCCCCATCCTTCTGAGGTCATTGTCCTGTGTCTTCAGGCAGCAACTCTCAGATATTTGCTGTGTTCTTCATTCGTTACCTTCTAGGCTACAGTTGCCACAGTGTGGTATATGTTTAGGGGTTTTCTTCTGGCCTTGGAGACTTTCAGGAGCATCTGTGGTTTGCTGAGGAGTTAGGTTCACCTTGTTTTGAGCTGTGAAGTGTTGTCCACAAATATCTGGCTGGTTGTACAGGGTTGACTTGCAGTGAGAGGCAGTTATTACCTATGAGAGATGGTCAAGGTCATTTCACAGGGCCCAGAGCGTCAGGGTTGGAAGCAGTTCCTTCTCCAGATTTCCTCCTAGACTCGGGCTTTGGCCGGAGTGAAGGTATTGGTATAGAGTCCACTGCTGGCCTGGCTACCACCGCTCCAGCTAAATGAAAAAGCACTTGGAACAGAAAGGAGTCTTTGATGGGGATGGCAACACATCCTCCAGGGTTTGAAGGAACAGCTGGGATATAAGCTAAGCCCATCACCTCTGCTGGCAGAGATCAGAGCACAGCACTTGTGACCCTGAAGGACAAGTCCTATTTAAACTTTTAGGATCACCGGGCGTGGTGGCCCATGCCTGTAATCCCAGTGCTCTGGGAGGCCGAGGCGGGCAGATCATCTGAGGTCGGGAGTTTGAGACCAGCCTGAACAACATGGAGAGACCCTGTCTCTACTAAAAATACAAAGTTAGCCGGGCGTGGTGGCGCATGCCTGTAATCCCGACAACTCGGGAGGCTGAGGCAGGAGAATCGCTTGAACCCGGGAGGCGGAGGTGGCGGTGATCCGAGATCGCGCCATTGCACTCCAGCCTGGGCAACAAGAGCAAAACTCCGTCTCAAAAAAAAAAAAAAAGAGAGAGAAAAAAAACCTTTTAGGATCAGTGATTCCATAACTTCAGGAAGGGCATAGTTCCTGAGCTCTGATTCTAGCTACTGCCAGAAGCTAGTAGCTCCACTCAAAGTGATAAATTCTTTTTTTTTTTTTGAGAGGGAATCTCGATCTGTCGCCCAGGCTGGAGTGCAGTGGCACGATCTTGGCTCACTGCAACGTCCGCCTCCTGGGTTCAAGCGATTCTTCTGCCTCAGCCTCCTGAATAGCTGGGATTACAGGCGCACGCCATGACACCTGGCTAATTTTTAAATATTTTTTAGTAGAGATGGGGTTTCACCATGTTGGTCAGGCTGGTCTTGAACTCCTGACCTCGTGATCTGCCCTCCTCAGCCTCCCAAAGTGCTGGGATTATAGGCGTGAGCCACCGTGCCCAGTCCAAAGTGACAAATTCTCAAGATATAGCCATGGTGAGTTCACAAAGAGCTTTGAGAGTTCTTTATATATTATAGACACAAGTTCTTGATCAGATATTTGATTTGCAAATATTTTCTTCAGTCTGTGGCTTGTCTTCATTCTTTTTTTTTTTTTTTGAGACAGAGTCTCACTCTATCACCCAGGCTGGAGTGCAGTGGCATGATCTCGGCTCACCGCAACCTCTGCTGCCTGGGTTCAAGCGATTCTCCTGTTTCAGCCTCGTGAGTAGCTGGGATTACAGGTGCCTGCCACAGCGCCTGGCTAATTTTTGTATTTTTAGGAGAAACGGGGTTTCACCATCTTGGCCAGGCTGGTCTTGAACTCCTGACCTCATGATCCACCCACCTTGGCCTCCCAGAGTGCTGGATTACAGGCGTGAGCCACCACGCCTGGCCGTCTTCATTCTCTTAAAAATGTTTTTTTTGAAGAACAGAAGTTCTTTCTCTTTTCCTTTTTTTGATACAGGGTCTCACTCTGTCGTCCAGGCTGCAGTGCAGTGTCACAATCATAGCTTGCTGCAGCCTCCACCTCCCAGGCTCAAGTGATCCTCCCATCTCAGCCTTCCAAGTAGCTGGGACTACACGTGTGCCACCACCATGCCTAAACTTTTTTTTTTTGAGACAGAGTCTCGCTCTGTTGCCCGAGGCGGGCAGATCACCTGAGGTTGGGAGTTTGAGACCAGCCTGAACAACATGGAGAGACCCTGTCTCTACTAAAAATAGAAAAAATTAGCTGGGTGTGGTGGCGGGCAGCTGTAATCCCAACTACTAGGGAGGCTGAGGCAGGAGAATCACTTGAATCCGGGAGGTGGAGCTTGCTGTGAGCTGAGATCGCGCCATTGCACTCCAGCCTGGGCAACAAGAGCGAAACTCCATCTCAAAAAAAGAAAACACTGTCCTTTGTCCACTAAATTGCCTTTGACTTTTGTCAAATATTAATTAATCATATATGTATGGATATATTTGTAGACTTTCTGTTTTGTTCTGTTAATCTGTTTGTCTATCTTTTTTAAAACAAAACAAAACAAAACAGGGTCTTACCTTGTCATGCAGGCTGGAGTGCAATGGTGTGATCTTGGCTCACTGCAGCCTCAAACTCTTGGGCTCAAGTGATACTCCCGCCTCAGCCTCCCAAGTTCCCAGGTAGCTGGGACTACAGGTGCATGCCACCACACCCAGCTAACTTTTATTTTTTGTAGAGATGGAGTCTCACTAGTTGACCAGGCAGGTCTCAAATTCCTGGACTGAAACAATCCTCCCGCCTTAGCCTCCCAAAGTGCTGTGATTACAGGCGTGAGCCACCACATGGCTTATTTCTCTTTTGGGTTTTTTTTTTCTTTTTTTTTTTTTTTTTTTTCAGTCTTACTCTGTCACCCAGGCTGGAGTGCAGTGGCGTGATCTCGGCACATTGCAACCTCTGCCTCCTGAATTTAAGTTATTCTCGTGCCTCAGCCTCCCGAGTAGTTGGGACTACAGGGTGCCCACCACCACACCTGGCTAATTTTTTTTTTGGATTTTTAGTAGAGACGGGGTTTCACCATGTTGGCCAGGCTGGTCTTGAGTGATCCGCCTGCCTCGGCCTTTGTCTAATTTGTGCCAATACCACACTATCTTGATTGCTGTAATTTTATTTATTTACTTATTTTAGAGACCGGGTGTCGCTATGTTGCCCAGACTGGTCTCAAACTCCTGGCCTCAAGTGATCTTCCCACTTCGACCTCCCAAAGTGCTGGGATTACAGGCATGAGCCACCGTGCCCAGCCAATTTCTGTAATTTTATTTTTTTTGAGACTGAGTCTCACTCTGTCACCTAGGCTGGAGTGCAGTGGTGTGATCTTGGCTCACTGCAGCCTCTGCCTCCTGGGTTCCAGCGACTCTCCCACCTCAGCCTCCTGAGTAGCTGGGATTACAGGTGCTTGCCACCATGCCCAACTAATTTTTGCATTTTTATTTTTTTTTAATTTTTATTATTTTTTTTGAGACAAGAGTCTCACTCTGTTGCCAGGCTGGAGTGCAGTGGCATGATCTCAGCTCACTGCAGCCTTCACCTCCCAGGTTCAAGTGATTTTCCTGCCCCAGCCTCCCGAGTAGCTGGGACTACAGGTGTGCGCCACCACGCCCAGCTAATTTTTTGTATTTTTAGTAGAGACAGGGTTTCATCATGTTGGCCAGTATGGTCTCGATCTCTTGACCTCATGATCCGCCTGCCTTGGCCTCCCAAAATGCTGGGATTACAGGCCTGAGCCACTGTGCCTGGCCTAATTTTTGCATTTTTAGTACAGATGGTCTTTCGCCATGTTGGCCAAGCTGGTCTGTTTCTAACTCCTGACCTCAGGTGATCTGCCCACCTCGGCCTCTCAAAATGCCGTGATTACAGGCGTGAGCCACCATGCCCACCCAAATTTCTGTAATTTTTTTTTTTTCCAGACAGAGTTTCACTCTTGTTGCCCAGGCTGGAGTGCAATGGCATGATCTCGGCTCAGTGCAATTTCTGCCTCCTGGATTCAAGCGATTCTCCTGCCTCAGCCTCCCAAGTAGCTGAGATTACAGGTGCCCACCACCATGCCCAGATAATTTTTTTTTTTTTTTTTGAGACGAAGTCTCATTCTTGTCCCCCAGGGTGGAGTGCAACGGCGTGATCTCGGCTCACTGCAACCTCCGCCTCCTGGGTTCAAGTGATTCTCCTGCTTCAGTCTCCCGAGTAGCTGGGATTACAGGCGCCAACCACCATGCCCGGCTAATTTTTGTATTTTTAGTAGAGACGGGGTTTCACCATGTTGGCCAGGCTGGTCTTGAACTCCTGACCTCAGGTGATCCGCCCACCTCGGCCTCCTAAAGTGCTGGGATTACAGGCGTGAGCCACCACGCCTGGCTAATTTCTGTAATTTTATATTAAGTCTTGGTTATATAAGTCACGTAGTTTAACTTTTCCAGTTTTATTATTTTCAACATTGTCTTGACTATTCTAGGTCCTTTGCATTACCACAAGAATTTTGGAATGAGCTTGTTAACTTGTATTAAAAAGCCTACTGGGATTTTGACTGGTATTGCATTGAATAGTTTATTTTGGAAGAATCATCATATTAACAATATTGAGTTTGGTATATCTCAGCTCAATATTGAGATGGTAAATCTCTATCTGGTAATCTCTCAGTAATGCTTTGTAATTTTCAGAGAACAGGTCAACTGCTTTTCAAATTCATTCCTAAGTATTTCATTTTTAAATGATATTGTAAGTGGCTATATATATATATATATGTTTTTTTGTGTGTGTTTTTTTGAGAGAGAGAGAAGGTCTCAGTCTTGTCCCCCAGGCAAGAGTGCAGTGGCATTATCATAGCTCACTGCAGCCTCAAACTCCTGGGCTCAAGCGATCCTCCTACCTCAGCCTCAGCTCAGGAGCTGGGACTACAGATGCCCGCCACCAAACCTGGCCAAATTAAAAAAAAAATTATGATTTTGTTGAGAGACAGAATTATAATTTTTTTCTTTTTCTTTTTCTTTTTGGTAGAGACAAGGGTCTCACTATGTTTCCCAGGCTGAGCTTGAACTCCCAGCCTCAAACAATCCTCCAACAGCAGCCTCCCAAAGTACAGGATTATAGCCATGAGCCACCACATTTGGCTGTATTATGTTTTAAGATTTTCAATTTCCAGTGTTTCATTGACAGTATATAGAAATAATATTGATTTTTGTATTGATCTTACAACTTGCAACATTGCTAAATTACTTTTTTTTTTTTTTGGCAGAGTCTCACTCTGTCGCCCAGGCTGGAGTGCAGTGGCGCAATCTTGGCTCACTGCAAACTCTGCCTCCTAGGTTCAAGCAATTCTCATGCCTTAGCCTCCCTAGTAGCTATTTGGTAATTTTTGTACAGACAGGATTTTGATGCTGGCCAGGCTGGTCTCGAACTCTTGACCTTAAGTGATCCACCAGCCTCTGCCTCTCAAAGTGCTGGGATTACAGGCAGCTGCCATCACGCCCAGATAATTTTTGTATTTTTAGTATAGACAGGGTTGCACCATGTTGACCAGGCTGGTCTTGAACTCCTGACCTCAGGTGATCTGCCCGCCTTGGCCTCCCAAAGTGGTGGGATTACAGGCGTGAGCCACCGCGCCTGGCCTCAGACTTCTTTTAACTGCATGTTTGGATTACTGTACTAGGAGGGTCTTTTACATATATTTATCTTATTTTATTTTTCCCACGGGAAATAGGTGGTGTGGTGGGCAGCTTCTAGCTCCAGTGATTCTCCACCTCCTGATATTGACATCCTTGTGTAGTCCCCTTCCACGCTGTATCCGAGTTGATGTGTGATTCTGTGTGATGGTTCTAAAATGTAATGCATGAATAGGCCAGGCATGGTGGGTGGCTCACACCTGTAATCCCAGCACTTTGGGAGGCTGAGGTGGGAAGATCGCTTGAGGTCAGGAGTTCAAGACCAGCCCGGCCAACACCAACATGGCGAAACCCCATTTCTACTAAAAACACAGAAATGGTCTGGGTGTGGTGGTGTGCGCCTGTAATCCCAGCTACCCAGGAGGCTGAGGTGGGAGAAATGCTTGAACCCAGGAGGTGGAGGTTGCAGTGAACCTAGATGGCACCACTGCATTCCAGCCTGGGCGACAGAGGGAGACCCTGTCTCAAAGTAAATAAATAAATATGTAATGCATGAATAGGAAATTTGAGGGCCAGTAAGGCCAACAGATCAGGAGATGACCACTGGAGAGCTTGTTGCATTTCTCAAAAGGAAGGGGCATGCATACCATGGTGGAGGAGGGTGTTCGTCAAGAGTCAGAGGGGAAAGAGGGGAAGACGGGAGCTGTGCAAGAACCTTTCTTTTTTTCTTTCTTTTTTTTTTTTTTTTTTTGAGATGCAGTCTTGCACTGTCACCCAGGCTGGAGTGCAGTGGCGCGATCTTGGCTCACTGCAACCTCCGCCTCCCGGGTTCAAGCAATTCCCCTGCCTCAGCCTCCCGATTAGCTGGGACTACAGGTGTGAGCCACAACGCCCGGCTAAGTTTTTGTATTTTAGTAGAGACGAGGTTTCACCATGTTGGCCAGTATGGTCTCAGTCTCCTGACCTCGTGATCTGCCCACCTCAGCCTCCCAAAATGCTGGGATTACAGGCATGAGCTACTGCGCTTTGACCTGCAAGAGCCTTTCTTGTGGTTTCTGAGGGAAGGGGTGGGCAGGACAGGATAACAGTTTTAGGACTGCTAGTTTCAGGATTGGTCAATTTCAGGCTCTGGGGCATAGGGGCTGTCCCTTTAGTCTGGTACCGCGCCCTGGGGTGATTAGGGTAGTGACCGGCAGCCTGAAGTGGGAAAGCATGATAAAGGAGATGGTGGGGGGGTGCGCGCTCTGGACTGGTTGGTTTGCATTTGAAAAGCACACTCTCAGGTGAGTTGTTCTCTATCCCTAAGAACTCTTGGAAGAGGTGGTCCCTCCAGTGGGGTCAGCAAGGCTCCAGATGTCAAAGCATCAGAATAAAGAAAATCAAAGACATGGCTAATACAGTGGCCAATAGAATATGAGAGAAGTGTTGATGTATCGCTTCCAAGACTAGGTTATATAGATACAGTGCCGATCAGTGTGCTCTCTCTCTTTCTCTGATCACTTGTTCCAGGGAAAGGCAGCTTCCATGTTGCCAGGAGCTGAGGCCTTTTGCCAACAGCTGTGTGAATGAGCTCTTTCTCATGTGGATCCTCTAACCCCAGTGATGAGGCTACGACCACATGTGTAAGTTATCTATTGCTGCGTACAAGTTAACTCAAAGTTTTCAAATGATTGCAATCTCTTAAGAGACCCTGGGCCAGACACGGTGGCTCATGCCTGTAATCCCAGCACTTTGGGAGGCCGAGGCAGGTGGATCACCTGAGGTCAGGAGTTCGAGACCAGCCTGGCCAATATTGTGAAACCCTGTCTCTACTAAAAATACAAAAAATTAGCTGGCATGGTGGCACACGCCTGTAATCCCAGCTACTCGGGAGGCTGAGGCGGGAGAACCACTTGAACCTGGGAGGCAGAGGTTGCAGTGAGCCAAGTTTGCACCATTGCACTCCAGCCTGAGAAACAAGAGCGAGACTCCGTCTCAAAGAAAGCAAAACAAAACAAAAATAAGACCCTGAGCTGAAACCTCCCAGCTAAACTACTCCCAGGTTCTTGACTTACAGAAACCAGAGATATAATAAATATTTGTTGGTTTAAGCTACTACACTTTGAGGTAACTTTTATGCAGCAATAGATAATACATGTGATACTAGCCTCATTTTATGGATGAAGGCAAAACTCAGAGGGTAAGATGACCAGGTCAAGGTCACGGAATAAACAAGTGACAGAAATGACTTGCCCTCAGAGAGGAGCCTTGCCCATGGTACATTCTCCACAAATATTTGTTGAATTGGCCCATCTTTTTTCTGCTATCATTAACTAAAAATTGAGGCACAATGGTGATTAGTTAAGATCAACATAGCCGGGCGCAGTGGCTCACGCCTGTAATTCCAAGCACTTTGGGAGCCCAAGGTGGGCGGGTCACAAGGTCAGGAGATCGAGACCATCCTGGCCAGCATGGTGGAACCCCATCTCTACTAAAAATACAAAAATTAGCTGGGCATGGTGGTGCGTGCCTCTAGTCCCAGCTACTCAGGAGGCTGAGGCAGGAGAATCGCTTGAACCAGGGAGTCGGAGGTTGCAGTAAGTCGAGATCACGCCACTGTATTCCAGCCTGGAGACAGAGCAAGACTGTCTCAAAAAAAAAAAAACAAAAACCCCCCCCCCCCAAAAAAACCAATGTGAATTAACATGGTAACAGCCTGTATGCCTGTTATTGGGCCAGGGACACTTGTTCTCCATTAGGTGCCTTGCTGACCCAGGGAAAGGCAAAGTCCTGTGTATGTGAACATCTGTCCTCTTTGTTGCCCCAAATCCAAATCTTCTTTCAGGGGAATCCCAGGACAGATAAGAAACAGGACCATTATCAGTCTGGGTCCAATCAGCAAAGAAAAAAAAACACACAATAATTTGAATAGGGAGGAATTTTTTTTTTTTTTTTTTTTTTTGAGACAGTCTCGCTCTTTCACCCAGGCTGGAGTGCAGTGGCGCTATCTTGGCTCATTGCAACCTCTGCCTCCTGGGTTCAAGTGATTCTCCTGCCTCAACCTCTTGAGTAGCTGGGACTACAGATGCATGCCACCACGCCTGGCTAATTTTTGTATTTTTAATAGACACGGGGTTTCTTTCTTTCTTTCTTTTTTGAGAGGGAGTCTCGCTCTTTCGACCAGGCTGGAGTGCAGTGGCGTGATATCGGCTCATTGCAACCTCCTCCTCCCAGGTTCAAGCAATTCTCCCTGCCTCAGCCTCCCGAGTAGCTGGGATTACAGGCGCCCGCCACAACGCCTGGCTAATTTTTGTATTTTTTAGTAGAGATGGGGTTTCGCCATGTTGTACAGGCTGGTCTTAAACTCCTGACCTCAGGTGATCTGCCCGCTTCGGCCTCCCAAAGTGGTGGGATTACAGGCGTGAGCCACCACACCCAGCTAGTTTTAACTTTTTAGTACAAAACAATTTCTGATGACTAATGCAGTGAATGGATTTCAGTTCTGTATCTTTTTGAAACATTTTGAACTTGGATTTAAGTTTTGCAACAAGTCCAGTGTTATCACAGACCATTGCAGGGGCACCATCTGTGGTCACACTTACTAATTTTGACCAGTCAACATTAAACTTTTTGAAACTTTTTTTTCTTTTTCTTTTTTCAAGACAGAGTCTTGCTCTGTCACCCAGTGCAGTGGCGTGATCTCGGCTCACTGCAAGCTCCGCCTCCTGGGTTCATGCCATTCTCCTGCCTCAGCCTCCTGAGTAGCTGAGACTATAGGCGCCCGCCACCACGCCTGGCTAATTTTTTTGTATTTTTTTTTAGTAGAGATGGGGTTTCACCGTGTTAGCCAGGATGGTCTTGATCTCCTGACCTTGAGATCCGCCTGCCTCGGCCTCCCAAAATGCTGGGATTACCGGCATGAGCCACTGTGCCCAGCCGACTTTTTTCAACATACAAAAATAAGTCACTTTCAGTGGTTGGATCTGCCATAGGTACCATGTCTAAAAGTTCTTCAATGATATCAAAATTCTCAGCAACACCATGGATAAACATAATTAACTGACTTGTATTATTTACATATGTGCACTCATCAACTGCAATAGAAAATGTCACAAATGATCTCACTTTTTCTCACAACTTATCCTGTAAATTCTCAGCCATATCTTTTACTCTCTGAGCAACAGTTTTTCTGGTTAGGCTTATGTCTGCAAATGCTTCTTTCTGTTCAGGACACATGATTTCCGCTGCACTCAATAGACAGTCTTTTATAAACTCACCATCTGTAAAAGATTTTGAAGCACGGACAATTTTTTCACTTATTATGTAACTGCATTTCACAGCAGCATCACTTATTTTATTTGTATTCGATGATTAATGCTGTAGAAAGTTTAGTCCTTTTCTAAGTTCATTGAGTTTTTCATCATGCATCTTTTCTGTAAACTAGTCAAAATTCTCACCATGGTTTGTTTCATAATGACATCTTCAGTTGTATTCTTTTGACACAGACAAAGTTTGGTTACATATTAAACACATAGGACTATACTTCCACAAAGAAATATGCTTGCTCCCACTTCTCTTGAAACACGCGGCGCTATCAATCCATCTTTCATTTTCCCACTTTTGATAGAGACATAGGAACAAAAAGAGAATTCACTTTTCTTTAAGAGAAACAACAGCGCAAGCCTGATGATAAATGGTGGCTGGCCCTGGAAGAGGGAGGTGTGGAGATGGTGGCAAACTGTAGAGCCTTCCAAAGGGACAGCCACCACTCAGCTAGGGCAGATTGCTGGTATGTGGGAACACAGGCCCAATGTCACCTGATCTCCCCCATTTTTTTTTTTTTTTTTTTGAGACGGAGTCTCTCTCTGTTGCCCAGGCTGCAGTTCAGTGGTGCGATCTCGGCTCATTGCAAGCTCTGCCTCCTGGGTTCACGCCATTCTCCTGCCTCAGCCTCCGGAGTAGCTGGGACTATAGGCGCCCGCCACCACGCCCGGCTAATTTTTTTTTTTTTTTTTTTTTTTTTGTATTTTTAGTAGAGACAGGGTTTCACCATGTTAGCCAGGATGGTCTCGATCTCCTGACCTCGTGATCCACCCACCTCGGCCTCCCAAAGTGCTGAGATTACAGGCGTGAGCCACCGCGTCCGGCCGATCTTCCCAATTTTTGAAGCAAAGCCAGACACTGAATTTTAACACAAAATCAGCTGACTTTTAGACATTGTGAACTAAAGAAAAAAGAAAAAAAAAAGTAACACACCGTGCAGGGCAAACCAAGTAAGTCTAAGTGTCGTGAATTGCCCCTGGACACCAGTTTGGGGCCCCTGTAGCCCCACTCACCTCCTAGCCTGCGGCCAACCACTTCCAGGGTTGTCAGGGCTTCCACCCCACACTGACCCAGGGTGGCTTCATTCTGTAAGGGAGAACCTGCCAGAAGCACAACCTTATCTTCAGGGATGAGGCCCTCCAGGGATGCTACATGGGCCTTCAAAGGAAAGGGAGAGTCAAGAGTGTTGTCTGGGGAAGCCACAGGAGGAAAGGCAAGTAGTGGCTGGGGTAAGGATGATCAGGGATACATCATTATCTTTACCTTGCTCTGGGCAACCGTCTCCAGGCCGGTCACTTCAAGAGTGTGCAGCTCCCGGGCGCGCACGTAGGCGACTTGAGGACAGAGGAGACTGAGGTCAGCAGCCCCACCTCCTCGCCACGCCCCTCGCCACGCCCGTCGGCGTCCGCGCATGCGCGGGCGCCGTCCTGGAAGCCCTGGGGCTCTCCGAGGGGGCGCTCTGGACGGTCCTCACTGTGCTCTAGTCGGTCCTCGTCGTACTCTAGTCGGTCCCGCGGAGTTGGACAGAGAGCGGGCTTCCTGCTAGACGGTGGGATACGGTAGATGTTGAGAGCGGCTGCTCTCTGGACATCTCTGCTTAAACATAGACAGGGTTGGAGTGCCGAGCAATAGAGGTGGCGAGGGGTCGCCCACAGACTGTGCGGCGGTGCTCCAAGTGTGGCCAGGGTGTAGAGGTCGCAAACAGGGAAGGGGAGGTCCCAAGTAGGTGGCCCCAACTACAAGGAGCCAGCCGTTCGGTTTGGCTCATGCGGGGCATGTTGGGGCGGCCCAGGATTACATCCCGCTTTGTATGTAGCCCATCTTCCGTTGCAACTCTCGGGGCTAGTCCAGCCCTGGCTGTCGTGTTGGAAAGAGAAATGCTAGAAGATTCTTAAGGCAGAATAGTTACATCATTTATTGTAGGAAAAAATCTAGGTCTGAAGCCCAAATCAGAATTTGCCCTTTCTGAGCCTAACTTTTCAATTCTGTAATGCTGGGTAAAAATAATTATTGACTTGAAAGATTTCGAGAAATGTATGGACTGTCACATAACACAGTGATGAGTGTGTCTGCAGAAAGCCAAAACGGGAAAGCTGGGAAAACACTGTCCCGGAGACGCTCCCCACCACGCCCCCCGGGAGCCTTGCTCTGTTGCCCAGAGCAAGACTCTGGGCTGGAGTGTGGTGGTGTGATCTTGGCTCACTGCAACCTCCGCCTCCCAGGTTCCAGTGATTCTCCTGCCTCAGCCTCCCGAGACGCTGGGATTACAGGCTCACGCCACTATGCCTGGCTAATTTTTGTATTTTTAGTAGAGACAAGCTTTTGCCATGTTAGCCAGGCTGGTCTCGAACTCCTGACCTCGTGATCCGCCCACCTCGGCCTCCCAAAGTGCTGGAATTACAGGCATGAACCACCGCACCCAGCCCCAGAGAGGCTTTTTAACCCAGCCTGGAGTGCAATGGCACAATATCAGCTCACTGCAACCTCTGCCTCCTGGGCTCAAGCGATCCTCTCACCTCAACCTCCCAAGTAGTTGGGACTATAGGCATGCGCCACCACTCCTGGCTAGTGTGTGTGTGTGTATTTTTTGTAGAGATGCGGTTTTGCCACGTTGCCCAGGCTGGTCTCCAACTCCTAGATTCAAGCGATCCAACCTCCTTGGCCTCCCAAAGTGCCAGGATTACAAGCAGGAACTACTGCGCCTGGTCAAGACAGACTTTTTTTTTTTTTTTTTTTTTTAGACAGAGTCTCACTCTGTGGTCCAGGCTGGAGTGCAGTGGCATGATCTTGGCTCACTGCAACCTCCGCTTCCTGGGTTCAAGCGATTCTCCTGCCTCAACCTCCTGAGTAGCTGGAATTACAGGTGCATGCCACCACGCCCGGCTAATTTTTGAATTTTTAGTAGAGACGGGTTTCACCATGTTGGCCAGGCTGGTCTCGAACTCCTGACCTCAAGTGATTCACCCACCTCAGCCTTCCAAAGGATTGGGATTACAGGCATGAGCCACCGCACCCACCCAGCAGACTTTTAAATATTGTTAATAGTTCAGATTTTGGAGCCAGACTGAAATTAAGTCCCTGCGCTATAGTTTGTAATCCATATGACTTTGAACAAGTTACATAATCTTTTTTTTTTTTTTAAATCTCACCAACCAGAAGCAGCAAGTTACACAATCTTGAATCAGTTTTCTTTTCTGAGAATGGAAATAGAACTTACTCATTGTTATGATAATATATTTCAAAAGCATCTAGAAGAGTGACACGGAGTAAGCAAGTCACAATGTTGAGTCAGACTTGGGATCCAAAAGTTTTTCAGGATTGTTCAAATGCATCTCCTCCCTGGAGCCAGGAAGATTGGAGAAGCTGGTGCATCAGAGCCCCACCCTTCTTCCGGCCTTGTATCCAGCTAGTCTCCTGGGCTCTTAGCAAACTGAACCCAGGGCTTTTCCACTTCCAGGCCTTTCTTTGACCTGTTGCTTCTGCTTGGCCCCTACCTGGAGTACTGTTTTTCTTTCACCTGTTGAGAGTCTGCCCATTCTTGGAGACAAAGGGCCCTACTTCCGGCGTCTACCACAGGCCTGCATATGCTTGTGCTGAGGTATCTCACCACAGATCCTGCTTCCACCAGTCGGACGCAGCGGACCATGGGGTGTAGGGGTGGGGCTCTTCCATAAAGAATGAAATCACGTCCTTTGCAGCAAGTGGATGCAGCTGGAGTTCATTATCCTGAGTTAATGCAGAAACAAACTCAAATACCACATGTTCTCACTTATATAGTAAGTGGGAGCTAAACAATAGGTATACATGGCCATAAAGATGGAAATGACAGACACTGTGGACTCCAAGAGTGGGAACAGAGCGGGAGGGGCAAGGGTTGAAAAACTACATATTGGGTACCATGTTCACTATTTGGGTGCTGGGTTCACCAGAAGCCAAAACCCCAGCATTATGCAATATATCTGTAAAACAAACCTGCACATGGACCCCCTGAATCTATAATGAAAAAAAAAGAAAAAGGCTGGGGAGGGTGTCTCACACCTGTAATCCCAGCACTTTGGGAGGCTGAGGATGGAGGATCACTTGAGCCCAGGAGTTCAAGATCAGCCTGGGTCATGTAGTGAGACTCCATCTCTATTTTTTTTTTTTATTGATCATTCTTGGGTGTTTCTCGCAGAGGGGGATTTGGCAGGGTCATAGGACACTAGTGGAGGGAAGGTCAGCAGACAAACAAGTGAACAAAGGTCTCTGGTTTTCCTAGGCAGAGTGTTTGTGTCCTTGGGTACTTGAGATTAGGGAGCGGTGATGACTCTTAACGAGCATGCTGCCTTCAAGCATCTGTTTAACAAAGCACATCTTGCACCGCCCTTAATCCATTTAACCCTGAGTGGACACAGCACATGTTTCAGAGAGCACAGGGTTGGGGGTAAGGTCACAGATCAACAGGATCCCAAGGCAGAAGAATTTTTCTTAGTACAGAACAAAATGAAAAGTCTCCCATGTCTACCTCTTTCTACACAGACACGGCAACCATCCGATTTCTCAATCTTTTCCCCACCTTGCCCCCTTTTCTATTCCACAAAACCACCATCGTCATCATGGCCCGTTCTCAATGAGCTGTTGGGTACACCTCCCAGACGGGGTGGTGGCCGGGCAGAGGGGCTCCTCACTTCCCAGTCGGGGCGGCCGGGCAGAGGCGCCCCTCACCTCCCGGACGGGGCGGCTGGCCAGGCGGGGGGCTGAGCCCCCCACCTCCCTCCCGGACGGGGCGGCTGGCCGGGCGGGGGGCTGACCCCCCCACCTCCCTCCCGAACGGGGCGGCTGGCCGGGCAGAGGGGCTCCTCACTTCCCAGTCGGGGCGGCCGGGCAGAGGCGCCCCTCACCTCCCGGATGGGGCGGCTGGCCAGGCAGGGGGCTGAGCCCCCCACCTCCCTCCCAGACGGGGCGGCTGGCCGGGCGGGGGGCTGACCCCCCCACCTCCCTCCCGAACGGGGCGGCTGGCCGGGCAGAGGGGCTCCTCACTTCCCAGTCGGGGCGGCCGGGCAGAGGCGCCCCTCACCTCCCGGATGGTGCGGCTGGCTGGGCGGGGGGCTGAGCCCCCCACCTCCCTCCCGGACGGGGCAGCTGGCCAGGTTGGGGGCTGACCCCCCCACCTCCCTCCCGGACGGGGCGGCTGGCCGGGCGGGGGGCTGACCCCCCCCACCTCCCTCCCGGACGGGGCAGCTGGCCGGGCAGAGGGGCTCCTCACTTCCCAGTCGGGGCGGCCGGGCAGAGGCGCCCCTCACCTCCCGGATGGGGCAGCTGGCCGGGCAGGGGGCTGAGCCCCCCACCTCCCACCCGGACGGGGCGGCTGGCCTGGCGGGGGCTGACCCCCACCTCCTTCCCGGACGGGGTGGCTGCCGGGCGGAGACGCTCCTCACTTCCCAGACGGGGTGGCAGCCAGGTGGAGGGGCTCCTCACTTCTCAGACGGGGCGGCCGGGCAGAGACGCTCCTCACCTCCCAGACGGGGTCGCTGCCCGGCCCAGGCGCTCCTCACATCCCAGACCGGGCGGCAGGGCAGAGGCGCTCCCCACATCTCAGACGATGGGCGGCCGGGCAGAGACGCTCCTCACTTCCTAGATGGGATGGCGGCCGGGAAGAGGCGCTCCTCACTTCCCAGGTGGGATGGCGGCCGGGCAGAGATGCTCCTCACTTTCCAGACTGGGCAGCCAGGCAGAGGGGCTCCTCACATCCCAGACGATGGGCGGCCAGGCAGAGATGCTCCTCACTTCCCAGATGGGGTGGCGGCCGGGCAGAGGCTGCAATCTCTGCACTTTGAGGGGCCAAGGCAGGCGGCTGGGAGGTGGAGGCCGTATCGAGCCGAGATCACGCCACTGCACTCCAGCCTGGGCACCATTGAGCACTGAGTTAACGAGACTCCGTCTGCAATCCTGGCACCTCGGGAGGCCGAGGCTGGCGGATCACTCGCGGCTAGGAGCTGGAGACCACTCCGGCCAACACAGCGAAACCCCGTCCCCACCAAAAAAACATGAAAACCAGTCAGGTGTGGTGGCACGCACCTGCAATCGCAGGCACTCGGCAGGCTGAGGCAGGAGAATCAGGCAGGGAGGCTGCAGCGAGCCGAGATGGCAGCAGTACAGTCCGGCTTTGGCCCGGCATGAGAGGGAGACCGTGGAAAGGAGAGGGAGAGGGAGAGGGAGAGGGAGACGGGAGAGGGAGAGGGAGACGGGAGAGGGAGAGGGAGACGGGAGAGGGAGACGGGAGAGGGAGACGGGAGAGGGAGAGGGACAGAATCTCCATCTCTATTTAAAAAAATAAAAAATTGGCCAGGCATGGTGGCTCACGCCTGTAATCCCAGCACTTTGGGAGGCTGAAGCGGGCAGATCACTTGAGGTCAGGAGTTTGAGACCAGCCTGGCCAACATGGTGAAGCCCCGTCTCTACTAAAAATACAAAAATTAGCTTGGGCGTGGTGGCACATACCTGTAATCCCAGCAACTCGGGAGGCTGAGGCGCGAGAATTGCTTGAACCTGGGAGATGGAGGTTGCCTTGAGCAGCGATCGCACCATTGCACTTCGGCCTGGGCGACAGAGTGAGACTCTGTCTCAATAAATAAATAAATAAATAGAAAAAGCTGGCTGGGCACGGTAGCTCACGCCTGTAATCCCAGCACTTTGGGAGGCCGAGGCGGGCGGATCAGAAGGTCAGAAGATCAAGAGCATCCTGGCTAACATGGTGAAACCCCCTTTCTACTAAAAATATAAACAATTAGCCGGTTGTGGTGGTGGGCGCCTGTAGTCCCAGCTACTTGGGAGGCTGAGGTAGGAGAATGTCGTGAACCTGGGAGGCGAAGGTTGCAGTGAGCTGAGACCGTGCCACCGCACTCCAGCCTGGGTGACAGAGCGAGACTCCGTCTCAAAAAAAAAAAAAAGCTACCTTCACATCTGGGCTTGTGGTTGGGGGGTGTTGGGGAAAGACCTTGAGAAGAGACATGTGTACTTTGGGAGCATTGAGGTGGATTGGCCAGCTAGGTACACTGACCCTCTGCAGACTTTGAGGAGTCAGCTCCTCAGCTGGCGGGGTTGAGGCCTCAGGAGAATTAGCTTATAATCCTTATCTTCTGCAGAGCCCTCCATCCAATCTGCGCTGCTTTCTGCGGGGCTCCCAGATGCGTATAACATCACCCGCCTTGATGAGAAGACAGGGAGACATCTGGGAGGTGGGTGGGCGGGTCAGACTCTGGTCTTTGCCCTTTTGGGCTGAGGGAGTGAGGGCCCGGGAGGGGCTGCCCTTCTTGTCCTCTGGAGGGATGAGGCCCCTGCTGGGCCCTATTGACCCCCCTTTCTCTGGCCCTGCAGAAAAACATGGAGGGCTTCCTCAGTGCAGTACTGGGTTTGATACCATCACTCAGATCATTGAGGTGATGCGGACTGCGCTGGCTGAGGGTAGCTATGTCCTGATCCCTAGAGAAGGGCTTTTGAAGTGGCCAAGCAGCCTGCATCACAGTGTCTCCCATAGACAGGCCCCCAGGGGCCTCTGAATGGGGGAGGTGCTGAAACCATGGCTCCTGGAGCATAGTAGGTGGAGATCTTTGAGACCAGGCCTGCCCTAAAAGAAGGGTGGGGGTGGGAACCTGAAGAGGTGTCAGCAGGAGGAGGGAAGATGGGGGCGGAGTCAACAGCAAGGCTGCTGTTGTCTGTGGAGCCCCACCAGGAGCAGTCTGGCAACGGATTGGCCCCTTTGTCAATTAGGAGATTGGCTGGCTCCTTTGTCCAGTTCCTTCCTGCTTCATGGGGGTCCCTGGGCTCAGCTGTTCAGGCTAGATAGGGTGACCAGTCCCTCTGTCTCAGTCCTACTCCAGCAGGAGGCAGATTTAGACTCTGGCAGTGAGTGTGGTGCTGGAAGGGAGCGGGCCTCACACCCCTTCCTCCTAGGCCACCTTGTCCCTGTGATCTCACTTCTATAGATGTGACTGAGGCCATGCCCCACATGGCATGCCCAGAGAACAGCCCCCCTTGAATGGAGGGGCCCCATTCTGTCTCTGGCAGCAAGGTCCTGCCTCAGGGCAGGGGATGGGTCATGGGGTGATCCCCACAAGTCTCTTTGACTTCAGGTCCCCTTTCTCTGCCCTGACATAGCACCCTGGAGTGGTTTCCCAGGGCCCTGTGGCTGGTGCCTGATGCAGGGTGAGTTAAGAGCACTTTGGGGACCCAGGACAAGAATGTCCTCCTTCCACGGCTACTCCGGCCTCAGCTCAGGTCCAGAGTGAGGTGCTGCTTTTCAATGGGTGAAACTCTAAGGAAGGTGTGCTTTTTTCTTCTCTTCCCCAGACAGAAGGGGACAAGCCACCTGCTATGGTTTGCATGTGGTGTTCCCTCCAAAAGCCACATTGAAACCTAATCACCAAGATGACATACTGGAAAGGGG
Organism: Homo sapiens; assembly: GCF_000001405.40. Classification (NCBI taxonomy): domain Eukaryota; kingdom Metazoa; phylum Chordata; class Mammalia; order Primates; family Hominidae; genus Homo; species Homo sapiens. Next base: position 65,448,169 of record NC_000011.10, on the reverse strand, counting down.
GCCTCTGAGAGGGGATTGGGTCATGAGGGTTCCTCCTTCACAAATGGACTGGGGCCCTTATAAAAAGAGCTTGTGGCTGGGCATGGTGGCTCATGCCTGTAATCCCAGAACTTCGGGAGGCTGAGGCGGGCAGATCACGAGGTCAAGAGATTGAGACCATCCTGGCCAACATGGTGAAACCCCGTCTCTGCTAAAAATACAAAAATAGCTGGGCATGGTGGTGCACGCCTGTAGTCCCGGCTACTTGGAAGGCTGAGGCAGAAGAATTTGGGAGGCGGAACTTGGGAGGCGGAAGCTGCAGTGAGCTGAGATAGTGCCACTGCATTCCAGCCTGGTGACAGAGTGAGACTCCATCTCAAAACATAAAATAAAAAGAGCTTGTGGGAGTGGGTTTGCCATCTTCTGCTCTTCCACCATGTGAGGATGCAACAAGAAGGCCCTCCCCAGATGCCTGTACCTTGATTTTGGATTTCCCAGCCTCCAGAATTGTGAGACCTAAATTTCAGTATCAGGTATTGTTTTTTTTTTTTTGAGACAGAGTCTCGCTCTGTCACCAAGGCTGGAGTGCAGTGGTACGATCTCAACCTCCGCCTCCTGGGTTCAAGTGATTCTTGTGCCTCCGCCTCCCGAGTAGCAGCTGGGATTACAGGCGCACCCCACCACACCTGGCTAATTTTTGTATTTTTAGTAGAGACGGAGTTTCACCATGTTGGCCAGGCTGGTCTCTAACTCCTGACCTCAAGTGATCCGCCCACCTCGACCTCCCAAAGTGCTGGGATTACAGGCATGAGCCACCGTGCCCACCTGTAACTTTTTAATACCTTCCCTGTGGCAAGCAGTAAATGTTATCCCGAATTTTCTCAACAACCCTGTGAGGTAGCTATCAGTGACTCCATTTTATTTATTTGTTTTTGTTTTTGAGACACGGTCTCACTCTGTCACCCAGGCTGGAGTGCAGTGGTGCAGTCATAGCTCACTGCAGCCTCAACCTCTTGGGCTTATGTGATCCTCCCACCTCAGCCTCCTGAGTAACTGGGACTACAAGCATGAGCTACTGCGCCTGGCGGACTCCATTTTAGAGATAGAGAAACGGAGTCTCACACAGGCTAGGTGGCACTCAGATGTCCATGCTCTTTTGCCGTGTGGTGGCTCCTCTCTGTCTTCAGTCCTGGGCTCTGTGCCTTGGCTCATGTATGAGTCTAGGCCTGTTGGTCCCCAGTGGCAGGCTGATCACATCCAAGGACAGCAGATCCTGCAGCTCCTCCCTGCTGCCCTTGCAGTTGCAGGGGTGGACTTGTGGCCTCACCACCCAGGCATGGCCGGCCAAGACCTCGGCTTCACGCTGCCTCTTCTCACCCCTTGAATGAGAGAGACACCAGCTCCGGAGGGGATTTTCTGGCACCAGAACTTGCCAGGGGCTAAGGGACTACAGATTGCTGCAAACACTCCTTGACCAGGAGGCCCAAGCCAGGGCTCCTCATGAAGGGTTCTCTCCACCAAAGCTGACTGGCTTTCGGCCCCTCTGTCTCCTGGCTCCCTTCCCTGGCCCTGCATACTGCATCCCCTCAGCCTTGTTGAGGTTTGGGGCTCCCTCCACCCCATGGGAGCCCAGCTCTCCCTAGAGGACCTGTGCCATCCTGTGACTTGAGTTTGGGCTGGGAAGACCCACTAGGGCGTGGTATTCTGAGTGGGCTCTGTGGGGTCAGAAGAGATGGCAAGCCTCCATAGGCCAGCTCTGCATACCTCTCTCCTGCTTCTGGCTGTTCCTTATGGGGCCTGACTCGTTAAAGGAGATTATTATAGTGATTGGCAGGGGCTCCCTGGAGAGCCTTGTGGTCAGGCAAGCTGCCCCAACTGCAGACAGCATCAGTATCATGGCCCATGAAATGGACTGTGAGCCCCTGGCCTCCCTCTTGGGGATGGGAGGGGGCAGAGACTGAGGGAGGAGGACACTGCCTGCCCAGGATCACAGCAGCTGCCTCTGCTGGTGCTGAGCCGGGGGGATCTCCTGGGTCCCAGGTGCCTGGAGAGCACAGGCTGACTTCCCTGTCCCACCCGGCACCTTGTGGTCCCAGCTGTTGGCCTTCCTGCACAAGGGCCGGTTCGTTGGGCCCTGTCCGCCCACCCATCTCCAGCCCAGGCCTCAGGATTTCTGGCCTCTCCCCTTGGACCTCATCTCCCCAAGCCCTCCCTGGAAGAGCCACGCTGGTCCTCAGATGTGGAGAGGAGGGTAGCGGTGAGTTGATCCTGGGAAGAAGAGGGCAGTGGGGAGTATGCCCTGAGGGGTGGGGACACTCCAGGTAGGCCCCACAGCTTTGGGTGCAGAGCCGCCAAGCTGTCCCCCTCCCGCTCCCACAGGAGTGGCTGAGGGGGCTAAGTTATCAGCTGCCTGTGGCCCCACGTCCCCTGCTGTATTCCCAGGGCCCCAGAGGATGAGGGAGGGGATAGCAGGGCAGGAGGGCTTCTGGGAGAGGCCTGGGGTGCCCCACCCAATGCTACCCCTCTAGGAGACAAGATATCCCTGGTGGGGTGGGAGGAGAGGCCTGGAGGAGGGAGCTGGAAGGAAGCAGCAACACTGCGGGGACTCGAACCCCGGCCCAGCCGTGCTGGACGTGCCACCACCAGCGCCTTTTGCTTTTTCCTGCTCACTCTTTCACAGATGGGAAGGTGAAAAGCAAAACCTGAGTGCGGCCATGGGCTGCACTCAGTAAAAGAAACACCTGCGGCGGCTCCGCGCCTCCCTCCCTCCCTCCCAGGCTCACCTCCTACCTTCCTTACTTCCCTTGTAAAGGCATAGCCAGGGGACATTGTCCCCCAGCTTCACATCCACATGTCTCCTAGCATGGCACATGCATATCCTGCCCAAGGAGCATGAAGTCAGACCAGCAAACTGAACACGAGGCACAGTCCTGCATGCTCTGGGACCGAGCACTGAGGGGGCCCACAGGTGAGAAGGTGCTGGCCCTTCAGCTCTCCCTCCCTCTGCCTTCACGAGCAGAGGCACAAGCTTCTGTGTGTATACAGAAATTTCCAGAGTGAGTCTAGGAAACTCGAGAGGACATCTCTGTGTAGTAGGGTGGGATAGGTGAGGGCAGGGATTTTACTTGCATTTTATACCCATGGCTTGAATTTTTGACTCTATGCAGATCACTTTTATCATTAAAGGCACAAATCTTTTCATCTGAACAGGGAATCTAAGACCTGTGGACACTTCCGGCACCCTGGCCTAGTGGAAATGGTTCTCTGGGTCTGCTGGGCCCCAAGCACCTGAGGTCACGCAGACGCCCGCCTGCCTCGCCTTCCATTCTCTGATCTGTCAGCCACCGTCAGCTGTGGATTCCTTCCTGGGAACTGCCATCACTCGAAATGAAGTCGGAAGCACAGGGCCCCACCAGCCTTTCTCCTGTCACTTGACTCTAACCTGGAGTCCAAGTCACCAGGGCCCCAGGACCCAAAGGTACACAAAGCCCACCTGGACCCTCAGCCGGTACTTGCCCCAGGCCACCCTCAGGATCCACGGTCCACAGCACCACTGCTGTTGGCTCAGGCTCTGCCTCCCCTGGGCCCACGGCGGGTCCGTGGGAGCCCCCCACGAGCTCTGCTGTCCTCATTTGAGAGTCCTGTCCTGGCTGCCATGGAGGGAGGGCCCCTGGAGCCCCTCCTGCTAGTGCTAAGGAGCTCAGAAGCCCTGCCCAGCAGGGTCCAGATGGGAAGCAGAGGCTCAGAGAGGACTGTAACCTGCTCAGGGACACACATGTCAGGCCAGGGTGAGAGCTGGGTGCCTTCTACTCATCCTGATGAATCTGAGCAGAATCAGCCCCCCATTTCTCCACAACTTCTCTCTTTTACACACACACACACACACACACACACACACACACACACACACACACACACACACACACAGTCTGAGGACTACCAGGTGGGCTCCGAGCCAGGTCTGCAGGCCTCAGACCTCTCAAAGGGGTGGGGAATGTGTTGGGCCAACTGCCTTTGCCCCCTCCCCCACTTTGCTCAAGCCCCATCATCCCTCCTCACACGTCCATCTCCCCTCACAGCCTCGCTTCAACTTCAGCCTCCAAACACACTATGGTGCGGGCACTTACTTACTGCAGCAGCAGAGAGGAAACATTCACGGCCATCTAAGTCCCAACCTGCCGATGAAGCAACAAAGCTCTGGCCTTACAAGGCCTCAGAAATGGGGGCAGTCAAAACACACTCTGTAAGATGAGCAAAGAATTAATTCAGCGTGTTAGCAACAGAACCCTTGGGTGTGTGCTGTGGGATAAGCGAGCTACGCGGGGAAACGTGCCACTGGCTTCCAGGAACCACTGCACTCAGCCAATGAGCAGAAGTAAAAACAGTGGTGTTGGCAGGGCCAAGGGAAAACAGCAGCCCTAGAACCATCTGGGGCGCAGGGCAGTGAGAGAGCCAAGTGACTGGCCCTTCCCTCTGGCCAGTGGGGTTGCAAACCAAAAGCTGCCTTGAGGTATAGAAGGGGATTTGCCCAAAGATATTTGTGACTGTAGAATTCGTAACCACAAAATGCTGGTGCCGGCCCACATGGCCCAGGTGGCAGTGACAACCTCTCACCCTGGAATGCCCCAGAGGACCCCAACCACAACAGGTGGATTATTTCAGCCCAAGTAATTGTGTCCCCACATAGTAACTACCAATCACAACAGTGTAAAATAAACACATGTACATGGGCAGAAAGCAGAAAAGATATAAAAATCATTCCAAATTCAGCAGTTGAAAATAACCCTCATAGATATTTAAGTCCAGTGCAAACAAGAAGACAGCGGAGTGTGTGTGCACATGTGTGCACACCTTTAGGTCTGCACTGTCAACACCAGACACAGTGAAGCCCAAGCAGCAAGCAGTCCACAGACGGGGGCGTTAGTGTCGGGAATACCAATGGGTCACCCTGCATCAAAACACATGGAGCAGACTGCTGAGCCAGCTCAGGGGAAGCGGAGAGACCCCAGGAGTGACGGTGAGAATGCAACTCACTTGTCATTACACAGGATATGGCAGATCGGATTTGACCAACAAAATGGGGAGGAACTGATCCAGATGTGGAATGTGACAGAGAATCCCTTCCCACTGCCATGGAACATTTATAAAAATAATCATACGTTAATCAATGAAGAAAGGGAGCCACACATTTAAAAAAGCAGAAATCGTACAGGCCACTTCCTCAGATAACCATTCTAACTAGGGTCAAATTATACATCAGGACTGAAACCACAAACATATAGGAAATAAGATAAAGTCTTTTGGTTTTTTTGAGACGGAGTCTCACTCTGTCACCCAGGCTGGAGTGTAGTGGCGCGATCTTGGCTCACTGTAACCTCCACCTCCCGGGTTCAAGTGATTCTTCTGCCTCAGCCTCCCGAGTAGCTGGGACTACAGGCGTGCGCCACCATGCCTGGCTAATTTTTGTAGTTTTAGTAGAGATGGGGTTTTACCATATTGGCCAGGCTGGTATTGAACTCCTGACCTCGTGATCCACCTGCCTCAGCCTCCCAAAGTGCTAAGATTCAGGCGTGAGCCACCATACTCGTCTGATAAAGTCTTTTCTTAAATACAGATGGAAGGCCTTCATGTGCCCTGGGGGTCACGTCCTGAATCCTCATGGTGGCCCCCAGGCCTGGAAGTTGGCCCTGTCCCTGCCAGCCCCAGCTTGCATGACTTCAGGCTCCAGCCATTTCCTTCATAGCCTGGCAGCTTTGCTCCTGCCTTCGCAGACAGGAATGCTGTCCTTCCAGCTTCTCCTACCCTTCGGGTCAGAGCCCAAAGGTCCCCACCCCTGGTTAGGGCTGTTTTCACTGGGCGGGGGGCGGGGGACTACACTCCTTGGTAACTGTCACAACTGCCCTTAACTAATGATTTGTGCATTGCCACCTGAGGCCTGTCCCCCATGAGAACAGCAGCAGCGTGAAGGCGAGGCTGTCAGCTGAATGCCTGTGTCTCTGGGGACCAGCTCAGGCTCTGGCCATGGGGGATGTTGATGGAGTGACCATTAAAAAAAAAAAAAAAATCAAAACTCTGTGGAATGAGGCAACAACTGTCCACTGTTACCCTTTGCTGGGCACCCCACATGCCTGCTAGGCTCTCGCTGCCCACACGAAACCTTACATCTTCCTCGGATGGCATCAGTAGCCTCCCTTACAGACACTGCACGCCCCAGCAATTGAGGAACCAGCGTGGCCACAGCGGGCTGAGGGCATGGTGGGGCTAGAGCAAGACTGCCTCACACCCTCGACTGTGCAGCCACCCTCCACCTCCCCTCTTCCATTCTTAAAAGTAGGCAAGCGTGATCATAAGTGAACCAGACACACAATGCGAGCCTCTAGAAAAAGAGTAACACAACAAAATCCAAGGCATGCCGGAGGAAAAGATTAATGAAACAAAAGTAGAAATAAATTATAAAATGAAAGCAGAACTGCTTACTTTATCTAAAGCTGCTTTTTTCAAAAGGCCAATAAAATAAATTTCTTGAAAGTCTTATTAAAAACGAAAAACTAGGAATAAAAAGTGAAAAACTATGCATAAGGAGGATATCAAAATATAAAATGCTACTCTACACTAATACATATAAAAAAGGTAATTAAGATAATATAACTTTGAAAAACTGACTTATAATGAAATAGAAATATTTAATAGCCCAGTAACCCTGGAAGAACCTGAAAAAGTTTTCAAGGCTGGGCACAGTGGCTCACACCTGTAATCCCAACACTTTGGGAGGTTGAGCGGGGGAGGATCACTTGAGTCCAGAAGTTTGAGACCAGTCCGGGCAACACAGAAAGACCCCACATCTACTAAAACAAACAAACAAATAAAAGTTTTCAGAACCACTGAAGCTCCTAAAAGAAGGCCAGCCCCAGCTGGTGTTACAAGACCCTCCGTGCCATGCAGCCTGCAGTGCAGAGGGTTGGGAACTTGTCTAGATATTTCCCATCATAAAGGGACAGGAAACAGCAGCTCCCCTTGCTCACAAGTACCTGCACGATACTATTCATTTCAGTTTCACACAAACCAACGGATAGGTTTGAACACTATTTTTATCCCCATTTCATTCACCCGGAAACTTGCTTCATGAATTTAAGAAATTTGGCCAAAGTCATGCACTACTGAGTGGCAAAGTAGGGAACAGAAACCAAGTTTTTGGGCTCAAAGCCACACTCATGACCACTGACCCCGACTATGTCTCTGCCTCCCCTGCTATCCTACCCAAAACCTGCCTGATGATGCCCTTAAGTCCAAGCAGAAGAAGTTCTAATTCATTCCTTTTCTTCTTGGTTTTTTTTTTTTTTTTTTTTTTGAGACGGAATCTTGCTCTGTCACCCAGGCTGGAGTGCAATGGTGCGGTCTCAGCTGACTGTAACCTCCGCCTCCTGGGTTCGAGATTCTCCTGCCTCAGCCTCCCAAGTAGCTGGGACTACAGGCACCCACCACCACACCTGGCTAATTTTTTTGTATTTTTAGTAAAGACGGGGTTTCACTATGTTGGCCAGGCTGGTCTCGAACTCCTGACCTCGTGATCCACCCACCTTGGCCTCCCAATCTTATTTGCTTTACAAGTCCTGCTTCAGGGTTACCTTCCCTGACCACTGCTGCCTCCCTCCCAGCATTTGCCAGGGACTGTCATTGCCTTAGTTTATTTTTTCTGTTTTGTTTTTTTTTTGTCGTTTTTGTTTTTTTTTGAGACAGCGTCTTAGTCTGTCGCCAAGGCTGGAGTGCAGTGGCGCAATCAAAGCTTGCTGCAGCCTTGAACTCCTGGGCTCAAGCAATCCTCTTACCTCAGCAACTAGGACTACAGGCACATGCCACCACGCTTGGCCTTCTAATTTATTTCTGTGTCAACAAAATAAAACTCAGGCCTAGGAATAGCTTGGTTCAGAAATCACAGAGGGACTTAGTATTCCATTAATACAAATGGAAACATTAAGTTCATCATCAGATGATAAAAGGAAAAAAAAAAACCTGATACTCATCTCAAAAGACGCAGAAAAGACATTTGCATAAATCCAGTACCTATTATTATTTCAAATTTAAAAACTTCTTCTTTTTTAAGAGATAGGGTATCACTATGTTGCCCAGGCTGATCTTGAACTCTTGGCCTCAGATGATCCTCCTGCCTCAGCCTCCCACAGTGCTGGGACTACAGGCATGAGCCACCACACCCATCATAAATTAAAACTTCTGAACAATCTAGTAACAAATGGAAATGCTTTCCCATGATCCAGCACATCTAGCAGGGGGTGTCTGCTGACATTCTACACAAAGAGACACACTGGAGTTGTGCTTCTCATCATTTCACATTAAGAACCCAACTGCACCTTTTTCTGTGCCTCTAAACACCTGTAGTCTGATAGGGGACACCCCCCCCAAGACCTTAATCATTCACATTAACACCTTGAGACTTTTTGCCATATCTGACTGAATATAGCCAGTCATTTTTTCCCTTAAATCAAGTCACTTTTTTTTTTTTTTAAACAAAGTCTCATTCTGTTGCCCTGGCATGATCTCAGCTCACTGCAACCTCCTCCTCCTGGGTTCAAGTGATCCTCGTGCCTCAGCCTCCTGAGAAGCTGGTATTACAGACGTGCACCACCATGCCTGACTAATTTTTGTATTTTTAGTAGAGACAAGTTTTCGCTATGCTGGCCAGGCTGACCTCGAACTCCTAGCCTCCTCATATGATCCACCCACCTCAGTCTCCCAAAGTGCTGGGATTACAAGCGTGAGCCACCTTGCACAGCCAAATCAAGTCACTTTTAAAATACAAATTTATTATATGTCTAAGGACATTATCGATAAAGTGAAAACACAACCCACAGAATGGGAGAAAATATTTGCAAACCATGTATCTGATAAGGGTCTAGAATCCAGAATATATAAAGAACTCTTACAACTCAGTAATAAAAAGACAAACGCCTAATTAAAAAGTGGGCCAAGGCTCAGCACAGACACTTCTCCAGGGAACATACACATATGGCCAACAGCACCAGCAAAGGTGCTTGATAGCATCACTCATCAGAGAAATGCAAATCCAAATGACACCAGAGGCTACTTCACACTCATTAGAATGATTATAACCAGAAAGTCAGATAATAACTAGTGTTGGCAAGAATGCGCAGAAATTGGAACCCTCTTACTTACTGGTGGGAATGTGAAATGGTGCATGGACGTGGGAAAATAGTTTGGCAGTTCCTCAAAAATATACAGTTACCATATGACCCAGTAATTCTACTCCTAGGTATATAATGAGAGAATTGAAAACATATGTTCACACAAAAACTTGTACGCAACTGTTCATAGCACCATTGTTCATAATAGCCAAAAACCAGAAATAATCCAAATGTCCAAATGATGTGTGAATAAACAAAATGGGGTCTATCCATACAGTGGAATATTATTCAGCCAGAAAAAGGAACGCAGTACTGTTATATGCTGCAACATGAATGAACCCTGAAAACCCGCTAAGTGAAATCAGACAGACCCAAAAAGACAAATACTGTATGATTACACTTATATGAGGCCCCTAGAATAGGCAAATTCACACAGACAGAGAGCACAACAAAGTTTACCAGTATAACAAAGGTTACCAAAGACTAGGGGGAGAGACAGGTAGGAAGTTATTTTTTTATGAATACAGAGCGTCTGTTTGGGATGACGAAAAAGTTCTAGAAATGGATAGTGTCGATGGTTGCACAACATAGCAAATATACTAAAAGCCACTGAATAGAACATTTCAAAAGCATGAATTTTATCTCAATATTTAGAAGGAAAAATAAATATTCTTAGAAGAAACAATATTACCATCATAAATGGAAAACCGGTAATAATAAAATACATACATAAATATTAAGATTTACAATGTCTATTAGCAAGTCACCCTAACTCATCTTACAGACCACCAGTAGGACAATTACCCCTTTGGGTGACATGAAAAAGGCTGCCAGGGGGCTTATGTCCAGTGCCCAGGGTCCAGCATGGCAACATATTTTGTAAAAAGTTCCAGCAGGCTGTGGACAGCAGGAATAGGCTGTTGAGGGGTTGGGCACAGGGTCAGGTGCTGGACACTAGAACAGGACTCCACTCCGACATTCCGGGTACACAGAACTTCCCAGTGGGAAGAGCTAGCCACACAGTGGCAGAAGCTTGGAAAACAACCCATCCCAGCCCTACGCTCTCTGAATGTGACCTTGGGTGCAAGCTGGGTTTGTATGAACTTACTGGCATTTTTAACAAGACAGTGTGTACGGGAGCATTTCAACTGCAAAGACCACTGAACTGGACACTGTCGGCGTGACAGTATCAAGTAACCATTAGGCAGAGCAAAACGTAAATAAAAGTACTCTGTGATGGGGTAGTCAGTCAGATGGGGTGGGGTCGGCTAGGGGGCAGTGAGGACAACTAGATGCCGAGGTAGACAGACCAAGACCAGCTTTCTGTGTAATGCAAAGTCAAATTAAATAGACGTGAGTGGATGGAAAGACGTACCTTATTCTTGCATAAGAAGACAACGGCATGAAGACATCACAGGGAAGGTTAAGGTAAACATGCAGCCTGGAATAGCCAGGAGAATTCTGGAAAAGTAGAATAATGAGGTAGGGCTTCCCTTCGCTATTTTGAAGTGCAGATTACACTATGTAAAACCATTAGGAACTGGCACGTGAATAGACAGATCAATAGTTAATAGCTGTATTAGCCAGAAAATGGTGTAAGGACAACAGGCTAACTAACCCTGTCACTTGTTATGCTAAAATTAAGTCTAGATAGAGTCCTCCAAAATAAAAATAAAAAGAGTTAGGAGAAAACATGGGGTTTAACAACAACAACAAAATCTTCAGCTGGATTAGCCTTTTCAAACTACTCACAAAATCCAGGAACCATAAAAGAAAATTAGTATATATATATGTATATATATATGTATATATATATATATACATATATATATATATACATATATATATAAACTAAAGAGCAAAATATTACAATAAAACTTAAAGATTAGTGAGAAATAGGAATGTATTTGAAAAGGGTTAATTTCCTTAATATGTAAAGAGCTCTTATTATTAATCAGTAAGTATACAACCCAATAGAAATACAAATCCAAACTACAATTAAATACTATTTTCCACTTCTCACATTGACAAATAACCAAGTTTAAGGGCACAGCCTGGGTGAAGGTGTGGGGAAATGTCAATGGGACCAACCTCCTTGAGGTGGAAGCTGGGGGTGTCCATCATATTTAGAAATTTACACATGCTGTGCCCAGAATTCCTCCTGAGGAAACTTTTCTCTCACAGATATACTTGCCCATGTACATAAAAACCCATGTACACAGATATGCGGTATAGCCTTATCTACAGTAAAAATTGCTGAAACAACTTAATGGTTCCCCAAAAAGGGAATGGGTAATTCAAACACGGCTACCACACAGATGTTGAAAAGACCAAGGCAGACATGAATACAGATATGCGGTGCTTACCTAGATGTACTAGTAACTCAACAGTCCACAGTGCAAGACAGGCTGTGTGGTGTACCCACGCCTGTACAGCTTTACACATACACAGGTTCTCTGGAAAGAAACTGCAGCAACTGGCCATGACGGTGGCCTCTGTGGGAAGGGAGGCTGGGGGTTAGAGAAAGATGCCACTGAATCACCCACAGGGTTTGAAGTTCAAACATGTGCAGGTATGGCTTTGAACAGTTTTCACACATCTATTCATAGGTGAAATTAACTGGAAGGAAACTAGCAAAGCATTTGCCTTTGGGGTCAGCACAGGAGCAGAGGCCCAGGCAGGGCCTTGCTTTGACACACAGATGATGGGTCACACAGTTGTCACCTTGACAGAAGAGTAACAGGGACAGCACACCAGTCACTCTAGGAGCTGAGGCCAGAGGAACTCAGGTATTTCCTTCTAGAGGTAGTAAGTCCACCGAGGCAGATGCCAAGCCGGGTGGTGCCTCGCTGTGTACAATGTTCTGCTCCCTGTGCCCCTATGAGTGACCCTATGAGGTAAGAGCCAGAGCCGGGCTCACACCTGAGCTCCTGGCATGTGGCGGCCCTTTAGAAGACAGAAAGTGTGTGCTTAGCCCCTGAAGCAGCCACGCTGTGCCCAGCGGAGGGCAGGCGCAGACAGCACTCCTTCCCAGACCAGGATGCCACTTAAGATTTCAACAAACTAAACAGACAAGTGAATAAAAGATCATTAAATACCACTTTTTACAAATGTCACAGACGCTTTCCTAGAATAGTTTGTTTTTGGTTTATTTAATCTGTGTAGGGGAAAGAATACCAGGAATTAGACTCTGGGGCCTGCAGGACCCACTACTGTTTTGTGCTAAGCCAGGCACCGTGTTATACTCGATTCCGGTATGGACAGGCAGCTGCAGCCACTACGCAGTTTTACCCCAGTTCCACGGCACATGAGGAGAGGACCAACATTATTCTATTTTGGCAGCACGTGCTTTCAACCCATCTCACAAAACAGTGTCACCAACCAGATGTGCCAAGAGCCAGAGCAGGTGAAGACACCTACAGATGCTGCCTCCTCTGGACACTGCCTCTGGGTGCCTCAGCTCTGCACCCAGAGGGATGCAAAAGAGATCCCCGCAGCACACTTTGAGATGGCTAGGAAACTGCAAATAACCTCAAAGCCATCACTAGAAAAATGGTTAAAATGACCATACCAACACGTACAATATGACATGTTATAGAGCCATAAAAATAACAGTACACCTTGTATGATTCCATTTTAGGGCAGAGAATAATAGGATACATTTTAGTACATCCACAGCCAGAAAATGTCTGAAGGAATATAAATGAAGTTGTCATTAGTAGTTATCTTAGGGGTCCGGGATTATAGAGGAACTTTTATCTTCTACATGGCCTTTTTCTATAGTGTTTGAATTTTAATTACAAGACCAGTGATTTATAAATTCATACACTCCACAGCCCCATCCATTACAATAGCACATAATATAATAACATTAGCCATGGACTTACCTAAATCTGCATAATTTTGGTCTCTTCAGGACAGTTGCTGCAATGCAGGCATAAGCAGAGGACAAAGCCACAGTGTGACCTGGGTGCAGAGCACTGGGTTGGGCATCACCAGCAGACACATGACAAAAGCAATTTAAAAAATTATACCTTGACAAAATTATACATGATTATATGTCTTGGACCCTGGGGGCCTTGTCAGCATTAAGCCCATGAATGCTAAATTCACACACAGATGACAAGAATCTACTGTACCAATTACAGTCTTAGTAGGTCACTGCATACATGATAGATCAAAGATGGCAACTAGCAGAAACTTAAGTTTCATATATGGAGCGTCGTAGAGGATATGAACAACAGATACTCTCATACTTAGGTATGCAAAGCTGGACACCCACTCTGGAGGGCAACAGGGCAGAATGGAGAAAAATGTCGGACTCACGCCCTATGACCCAGGAATTTCACTTCTTGGTACCTACCCTGAGAAACACTCATGCATTGTGCACAAGGGGTTGTGTATGACGATGATCGCACAGAACTGTTTGTAATATCAAAAGATTAGAATACTGTAAATTTCCATTAACAGCAGAATGGCTAAACTCACAGACATACAGTGCAGAAGTTGAAAACAATGAGGGCAGTTCTCTGTGTACTCCCAGGCATCTCCCTACTGTTAAATGAAAAAAAGTAATCAATAATGTACAGGACACAATAGCATTTTACCACTTCTATAGAAAAGAAACCATGCAACACGTTTTTCAGATACAAATGGAAGTGAATAAGGCGAGGTGTAGCAGGAAACACAGCAAACTGGTAACACTGGTTACCCCTCTGGAGGGTGGGGGATTGGTAGTGCCAACGTTGTTGTCGTCACCTTTCAACTCTGTGTAAGGAGAAAACACCCACATATCACTTCTACAAGGACACTGAGAAACAGTGTTGTTGAGAGGCTGAGAGGCAACCTAGTCACCATGGATGGGAGAACTGATAAACTAACTGAGGTATAGTCACATGATGAGCTCTATCCAGTAAACAAACTAAATGAACTATCCCCTGGGCAAGGGCTGAATCTTACCATGGTATTAAATGAGAATGTTCCATAAGATTACATGCAAAATAATAAATTTTCTCTAAGAACAGCTAAAATATAAATATATACTCTGAAAAACACATTTAGATCAGATTCTTTTGCAAAATTATATGAAAAGAAAGCAAGTGAGAGATAAACCCAGGATTCAGGATGATTATTACCTTGGCCTAGGGGGTGGCAGGAGGCGGCAGGGGAGGCGGGTGGTGTGGGACCACATAAGTGGAAGGTGTAGTAAAATCTCAGACTTCACTACTGTAGAACTCATATATATGACCAAAAGCCATTTGTACCCCAAAAGCCATTGAAATTAAATATATATATATACACACACACACACACACATAAAGAAAAAAAAAGAAAATTATAAGAAGTTAATATTGACAGACCTGGAACAAAAAATCAAAGACAGTATTTAGTCATTAAAATTTTGCTATTTCAATTTCATCAGTGTAAATAATTAATTTAAGTGGAGAGGAGTGTTCATTGTAACCATAGGAGTTACTGTCTGTATTGTCCTAGTTTTTGTATTGGATAGGAGATTCAGAAATGCTTACCACATTATTAAAAAACAATTAAAGAAAGCAAGTAAAAGAGAGCCATGTTGTGTCCTGAATCAAAGATTAAGATTGAGATTTACCCAGTTCTGTGTATTTGAGTTCCAACAGAGAGAATATTCTTGCCTTACAGGAGTGTTCTAGCCTCCATTTACCAGATTTTAAAGCATAATGAAAAGTGATGATCATTACATTCCATTGCATTTTATTAACAACAACAACAAAAACTGGAGCCTAAAATTTCCAGAAATAGATCCAGAGAGAAAATGTTAAGAACCATTTGATCTAGCAATCCCACTCCTGGGTATCTACCCAAAGGAAAAGAAGTCATTATACCAGAAAGACACTTGATGGCAGTACAAGTCACAATTGCAAAGATGTGGAACCAACCCATCAACCAGTGAGTGGATAAATAAAATGTGGTATCTCTACACCATGGAATATGACTTAGCAATAAAAAAGAACAAAATAATGTTTGTGGTTTTTTTTTTTTTTGCAGCAATTTTGGATGGAGCTGGAGGATATTATTCTAAGTGAAGCAACTCAGGAATGGAAAACCAAATACTGTGTGTTCTCACTTATAAGTGAGAGCTAACTTATGGGTACAAAAAGGTATACAGAGTGACATAATGGACACTAGAGACTCAAAGTGGGGAGGGTAAGAGGGGGGCAAGGTATAAAAAACCACATATTGGGTACAATGTACACTACTCAGGTGACCGGTGCAGTAAAATCTCAGACTTCACTACTGTAGAATTCATCTATATGACCAAAAGCCATTTGTACCCCAAAAGCCATTGAAATTAAAAAAAAAAAAATACACACACACACACACATAAAGAAAAAAAAGAAAATTATAAGAAGTTAATATTGACTGACCTGGAACGAAAAAACCAAGACAGTATTTAGTCATTAACATTTTGCTATTTCATCAATGTAAATAATTAATTTAAATGGAGAGGAGTGTTCATTGTAATCATAGGAGTACATACATGTTTAGCTACTAAAGAAAAAGTAATCAGAAGCAAATTCAATGGACTTATCAGTTATTATTATTAGACTTATCAAAGACTTATCAGACTGATTTTTAAAGTCCTGGTATAATAGGTGCTTTTTGCACCAACAATAACAGGAAAAATGGAGGATAAGGTTTACAATCATAAGTGGCAAATGTGGCCTTCCCAATGATACTAAGAGTTCATGATCATTATAAAGGTCAATATGAGAATTTCACATGGTTAGTGGTCAAAGAGGAAAAATGCAGAGAGAAACTGTGGTAAAATAGAAAATTATAAAAACCATTCGATCCAGCAATCCCACTACTGGGTATCTACCCAAAGGAGAGTAAATCATTATACTAAAAAGACACCTGATCATAGCACAATTCAGAATTGCAAAGATATGGAACCAACCTACATGCCCATCAACTGATGAGTGGATAAAGAAAGGTGAGTACAGAAATATAGACTAAGACAACTAAAATACCTTAAAAGTACCTTATAACGTTGGATTTGGCAAGGATTTCTTGGATATGACACCAAAAGCACAGACCACAAAAGTAAAAACAGATAAATTAGACTATTTCAAAACTAAAAACTTCTATACATCAAAGAACACAATCAACAAAGTGAAAAAGTAACCTTATGGAATAAGAGAAGATATTTGCAAATCATATATCTGATAGGGGATTAATATCCAGAATATAGAAAGAAACTCCTACAAGTCAACAACAACGATAACTCTAATAACCCAATTTTTAAAATAGTCAAAGGACTTGAATAGACATTTTTCCAAAGACAACATACAAATGACCAGTAAGCATATGAAAAGATGCTCAGCATCACTCCTCATTAGGGAAATGCAAATCAAAACCACAATGAAATGTCACCTCACACCCACTATGATGGCTGCAATCTAAAAAAAGCAGAAAATAACAAGTGTTGGGGAGGATGTGGGAACCTCGGAACCCTTGTGCACTCTTGGTGAGAACGTAAAATGGTGCAGTTGCTATGAAAAACTACAGTGGTTCCTCAATAAATTAAAAATAGAAATATCGTAAGATTTAGTAATACCACTTCTGGCTATATACTCAAAAGAACTGAAGGTAGGATCTCAAAAAGATGTGTGTACATTACAGCATTATACTTGTAAATACAATAATATAGATATTTGTACATAGCACCATTATTTACAATAGCCAAAAGCAACCCAAGTGTCCACTAATGGATGAATGGATAAAAAAAAGATATAAAATAAGAATATTATTTGGATCTTTTAAAAAGGAAGGAAATTCTGACATATGCTACAACATAGACGCATCTCGAGGACACTGTGCTCAGAGAAATAAGCCAGTCACAGACAGACAAATACTTCATGATTTAACTGATATGAAGTGCTTGGAATAGTCAAACTCACAGAAACAGAAAGTAGAATGGGGTTGCTGAGGCTGGAGGGAATGGAATGTTTAATGTTATTTAATGGGTACAGAGTTTGTTTTGCAAGATGAAAAAGTTCTGGAGATTGGTTGTACAACAATGGCGACATACTTAACACTACTGAATGTATACTTAAAAATGATTCAGATAGTCAACTTCTATTATATGTATTTCACCACAAAAATTTCTTAAAGTAGCAAGAAATAAATAAAATTGTAAAAACCTGATGTTAGTGGCTATGTAGGGAAATGGATATCATATACTCACAACAGGAAGTGTAGCTTTCTGGAGTCATTTGAGTCTGTGAAGAGAGTTATAAAACCATAAGTGCTCACTGCCGAGGCAATGCCACTCCAGGGGATACATGTGTACACTAAATTTACAGAGATGCTCACAGCTGCACGATTTAAAGTAGTCAAAACAGTTTAACAGCTCAAGAGATGGGCTACATATCCTTTAGTATAAGCACAATGGCATAAAATCATGCAATCATTCATTCATGATCTTTTTTGAGCACGAACAAGCAGATGAAAGTTATGCTTTCCACAGAAAAATACAATTTCAGAGCATTTATAGACTTCTAGAAACCCATCCATGGGACTTCCTTTGGGAAGGTTAAGAATCCTGAGAAAAAGCCTCTTCAAATGTGTTTGTGAACTCTGCCGGTACAGGGAAATACTACTGGAAACAAAATTAAGTGTAGAAACAGACCAGACCAGAATATACATGCTGATTCCCGTTACATGAAAGGTCCAGCGCCAGGCGGGCAGGCAGCCAGCCACAGAAAAGGGAGAGGGGCCCAGGAGGAAGTGGCTAGACCTGACGCTAGGCACCAGGGGAGGCGGGGAAGGAGGGCAGAGGCAGGAGAGTTCACTGTGAGAGCTCAACAAGGAGTAGCTGCTGCCAAACATCTACATTCATTTACCCGCATTTCACAGACACAGGCTTGGGGAGGTTAAGTAACTTGCTCCCAGACATAAAGTTGCCAAGTAGTCCAGTCAGGATTCGAACCAGCTCCAGTGCCCTATTAGGTCCAAATCCACTCAGATGGGGAAATGGAGAGTCAGGGACAAGCAACAACCAGGGGCCCATTCAGGAAACATCAGCCTGCCCTCAAGGTCTTCTGAATTGAACCCTGCCACTGTGACAACCACCCTCACAGGACAGGGCTCTCTGGCCACAGGAGGTGGGTTCTGAGAGCACCATGCCCCTCCTCACACAAACACAGATTCCACAACACACACCACGGGGAAGAAGGTTTAAATGTAAAAAACGAAACCATACAAGTTCCATAAGAAAGTATGGATTAATATTTATGTACTCTTGGGGTGGAAAAGATCTACACATAACAAGTTCAGAAACCACAGTGATAAACTAACCTAAGAAAATCGTTTAACTTTTATCTACCTGAAACACAAAATTAAAAGGCAACCTATAAACTGGAAAAAAATATTTGCATCAAATATAACAAAAGATTATCAATATCCTTAAGATGTAAATGGCTTTTGCAAAACAATCAATAGAAAAATGACTAGGAATTAGAAAATCATACACACACACACACACACACACGCACACACACACACACCACAAATGGCCAATTGACACAAGGTAGAGATGTTCAGTCACCAGCAGACAAAGCAATGCTCACATCCAGAGGGAAAGCAGACTCGATCCGTCGGAGGAGCAAAGGTTTTCAATGTGATAAAGCCGGTTCTGAGGAAGAGGGGAAGGCATCAGGTTTGCCTCACCAGTGAGAACACTAATTGAAAAAATCCCTCCCTGCTGGGCAGTTTAGCAATATGAACCTGAAGTCTTAAGAGTTTAACAGTCATTTCCTTCTCGAAATGTATGTATTCAGCATTCCCAAAGAGATAACAACAGACGTGAAAAAGTCTGAGCTACAAGGAAAGTCATCGCAAGTATTATTTTCTAAGAGGAAAAAAAAACTAGAAAATACCCTGTATGCCCATTGAAACAAGATTGTTTAAATTGATACAGCCATGCAAGGGAACATCCTGTCATCATTAAAAAAGGTGTTCACTATATATTAAAGTCACAAAATAGAATTTATGGCATAATCCCATTTTTGTTTAAAAATGTACTTATCCCATGCATACAAAAGAAATCTTCCAAAAGCAAATGTGCCCATAACAATTGTTACTGGTAAGATTACTGAGGACTTTTAAAAAAAATTTCCTTATTTGCAAACTTTACAGTAAACTTTTTTTTTTTACATATTAGAACTCAATGAAGAATTATTTAAAAGAGAGGAAAGGCAGTGCAGGGCTGGAGGTCCTGGAGGGTGGCGGCGGGTCGTCCTAACTAGCAGGCTGAAAGGTGCTGGAGGGGATGCCTTCACTCAGAGGAAGTTCACAGCCACCTGCCTTGGAACATGTACCTGTTCATCTTTTCGTAATGTTAGTATTCATTTTGCTATCTTCCTGTTGCCATTTCCAAACAGTGTCAGTATGTTTTTGTTAAATACGAACATTTAAAACATATCGTATCTGTAAGCCTATTTGGGTGTCTTCATTTCATGCCCGCACTGCACCATAATGAGTACCACACAAAGCCAGAGGATGACACTTCCTCCAGAGGTCTCACTGCACATGGAGAGGTTAGCCCTGGCATTAAGGGTCCTTGGAATCTCTCAGCAGTCATAGTCAGTCAGATGCACCAAGGGCAGCTGAGTCAATCTCCTTTTTGTAACAACAGGCCGTTCCTGCGGTTCTCAGTGCTGCCAACCTGGGCATACTGAAGAGCCTCAACCAATACTGGCTCTCAGGGTACTTTCCTTTTTAAAAGAAGTTCAACTTTTGCTATTCTTATGCCCCATAACTTTTAATTTGCACAAGATCAGCCATGCCCACTCACTGAATTCTATTATATTACCCACACCTCTGGAAATTCACAAAGTCTGAATTCAGATCTATGCATAAGGATGCAAACGGATTAGCAATAATTGCTGGCACTGCCATCAACACCTCCTGTCGATCTCACCTGATCTGAGGATAAATGAAGGCAAAGAATGTGGCCCCAGCCCCTGGATTGGAGTGGAGGCAAGGAGGGTGGCGAGCTGTCTTCAGCAGTCGGCCTCACCTCTCTGCTCCTGTATCAACAAGTGCCATTTCATCCCCACTTCCAATCCCCAACATTTATACCCCGTGAATCAATTCTTCTTCAGCATGCCAGTTGCTGGAGACAGCACCATTTACATACAGGCATCTATAGCAGTTATCTTCCAGGGTGGAAGCAAGAGTTTTGTAATCATAAAAAACAGGACGAGAAACAAGGAGTTCTGAAAAGAAGAGAAGGCGGTTATAGAGGTGCTGGGGTAAAAAGCAAAGCAAAGGGGTAAGATAGGAAAGGAGGCCTGGATTGTTTCTGGGGCATCCAGGGAAAGGAGTTGCAAGCAGAAAGAGGACCCTGGATTCTGCACACAGCAGTGCCCCATCTTGGAGATGCCATGAGCACAGACAGAAGGTTTACTAGGTGGGCGGCACAGTGACTTCTCCCCAGCACTCCACCCGTTTGTCAGTAGTGTACACGTGGAGGGGTCACCAAGATATAACGGCACAGGCAAATAAGACACAGTTGCAAGGACGGCAACCAGCCCTGCAGCTCATGGGAAGGAAAGAATCCTTCAGGTCATGATCCCCCACCATTTGTGTTGGTCCCCCTGGCTAGTCCCAGTTCAGCCCTTATCTCCCCTTCTCAGGCAAACAGGCCCAGGTGAGTAGAACAAGCCTCCCTTGCTGCTCCCTTTGAAACAAGCACCTTCCTTCTCAGCACAGAGGCTGGCAGTGGCTTCCATTCTACGCCCAAAGTTTGTCTCCTGTAAGCAAAACCTTACACCCCAAGAGGTAACACAGAACAGCAGTGCAAGGACAGAACAGTCCCACCCAGGAGACAGAGGCAGTTTGCAAGCCAAGATGTATCCTCCAGATTCCACGTGATCCTGCTCACACCTTTGCACAGCCTCTGCTTGCTTACTGTAGCACGCACACAGGGAAGCCCAGACGTTTTAGTCACTCACCAAAAGGAAAAAAACAAGGCAAATTCTTTAGTGAGGTAAGAATTACGCATACACTTAGACCCAAATCCCAGGCACATTCCAGCCTCCCAAAGACTATGGAATATGCATATTATGTGTCCATTTCTGTTTTTATTCAGGCTTTCCCCTAACCAAACAAAAATAAGTACCACTTAGAACTCTAACCAGGTAATGTTTTAAAATATTATGGCAAAGTACTCCCCACCTACACACCCACCTTCATTGGCTTGAGTGGTTTCATCACATTTCAAACCAATGATTACCAACTCTCAACAGAGAGCAGATCCCATCCCCACTCAGCAGTCTGCAGACCACTTGGGATAATACCAGTTCTATCTGTGGTTACCATGCTCTCCTACATGGCCTTAATTACTTGGAGCTAGCAAATCTAGACCTAAATCTACAATATGAAGATACATCCAAAGTCGTTATGAAGGCAATGTGATAGGGGTCGAGAAATGTAACATAGCAATACAACAATTCTAATGAGTTTAGAACTCAAACTTTATTTGTGCTGTAAAGGGGAAGAAAAGTGATTAGTAATTATGTACATGACGTAACAGAATTAGTTCTTACCATACAGAGCAACATACCAGTACTTTCAACCATCTACTTTTACAGTTTCAATTTCACAACAGCATACCCGAGACTACTTCCCCATACATGCGTGACTAATACACTCTAAATCCCAACGACAGTAATTGTTTGCATCATCCCCAAGTCATTGGTTAAGAACTGAACTACCATGTCAACATATTTTTAAACATTTAAAAAATGGAACCCAGAAGACAGAAAGATCCCAACGATAAAAATAACCATGATTTTTAAAATTTCAAGTGAAACTTAAAGGGAAGAAGGAAATGATAAAAAGCCATTGGTATTACTTTACCAATTCAATAGACGCAGCTCAGAACCAAGCAGGGTTTTCAGATCACACATGTAGTAAAGGCACCTCGCCCACTCTCTCCCCACAATCCCCATCCCCTTCCCTTTTTAGGTCTTGTTTTCCAAACTGATTTTAGGTGATAGTTTCCCCTCTAGTCTTGGCTCATTTAAAAAGCACAAACATTCAAATTAAAAATACAATAAATTATTCATTCTAACCTTAGCAAAGGTACATGGATTCTGTCTACCAAATATTAATTTTACAGTGACCACAAAAGGTTATTTGGTTGTTACAAAGACTACAATTTGAAGATACTAGATAGGCAAAAATTTTGCCATTATTAATATCGACCAAACACAGAAAAGACAACAGATGTGTTTCTAAGGCACGATTTACATACTAAATTCCCTTGAAATTCAATGCAATTTCACTTCGCTCATGATTTTCAATCACAAGACACCTGTGACAAATGAGGAACAAATCCAGAAGAGCCCATCTAATCTCGTCTTAAGTGGTCCCTTAAATACGTTAAAAGCCCACAATATAGGCATTTACAAGGCTTTTCTAAGACTTCCAGCTCCTGAAAAAATCACACCTTCACAGTTTCAAATCAACCACCTAAGTTGCTAAGGGGCAGCGAAGGATGCTGATCTGCTGCGTATGCAAGTCTGACGCCCATCTTTCAAGTGACTAATTCACTTGATAACACCCACACCCCAAACAAAACAACCCTCTGAAACAGGCTGTCTTGGCCACCAGGAGGAAGCTGGTAAAGACATTTCCCCTGCCTGTGAGATGGCATCACACACCCCTCCCTTTGGTTCTCGGAAAACTGGTGACTCTGTGTCACCTGTTTTCAGTTAACACTTCTTCAGTCTTCCCCACCTTGTAGCAAAGCAAAACAATTTTTGTTTGTTAGTTTGTCTGTTTGCACTTAAAGTTCTAAGCACTTTGGAAAGTTTCTAAGCAACTTCTCACTTCCAAGCAACAACTTAACCAACACTAACAACTTACTATTATTAATTAGTATTTTCTTGGCTCACCCACGCACTAAATTCCCCAAAGCCCCAGAGAATTCCCTTCAACCTGCATTTCCTACCACCCCCACCACCCACACTGTATCTCTAACCAACCCTCTCCCCTTCTTCACCCTCATCCCTCCCAGTACCAGTGCCAAGCTGCATACCCCCATCCCCCACACTGCAACGCCCACGGGACCGGTGCCAAGCTGTCCCCTTCTCCCCGTCCCCCACAACTCCCACCTCAGGGTCCTCTTACTAGAATGCCAAGAAAGTATTATGAAATCTAACGAAGTAAAGTTCAAGTTTAAAAAAACGAAGCAAGAACAAAAGAGCACTACCGGTGTACCCACCATTCCCTTCTCCTAGTAATCTGCAATGCAATCACAATGCCCAAACTAGACCTGCCATTTCTCACACACAGATTTAGGAATGACCAACTTGTACCCTCCCAGCGTTTAGCACAACACAATGACACCCTTAATTTGACAATCTGCTTCCTCTAATATATCCCCAGTCTAAGGCATTTAAAATTAAACAGCTCTTCAACGCCCCAAGTTATTTCATCAGGCTAAGAACTTCTCCGAGAAACGCACAAGAAGGCAGGCAAACAGGTGGGTAGGTGAGAGGTCACGGGGCTCCATCTGCAAGCTCCATCTACAAGGCATCAATCTGCGTTGTGGCATCAACGTTAAAATGTTCTACAGCTTAGGGATCTTCTTGAAGCAAGGTTCCAAGCACAAAACTAGTATGACCGGAGGCTCAATTTAGAAGATGCAGCATCTGAAAACCTTTACCCCAGGAAAGGAGGGGTGCCTGCTGGCATTCATGGGCTCTGGAACAAGCATTTATTCAAAGCTGATGGCCCCTCGAGCCGGATGCATCTGCTGTGGACTTTTTAAGATTGCCCCCCATAAGCTCATCTGCAAACTTTAAATGGTAGCCTCCTGAATACAGGGCTTCCTGAGCAAGGCCTGGAAACAGAACATTGGAGAACTTCCTCCTCCTAAGCCTCTGGAAATTCAATCTGCAGGCATCAATTGAGGCGGGCTCTCTCC
Organism: Homo sapiens; assembly: GCF_000001405.40. NCBI lineage: Eukaryota > Metazoa > Chordata > Mammalia > Primates > Hominidae > Homo > Homo sapiens. The sequence continues at coordinate 65,424,049 of NC_000011.10, read as the reverse complement.
TCCAGGGTCTCCCCTCCTGCAATGCTAGGACTCACACTGGCCAGGGACTCCATGTCTCCCGGTTCCATCTGCTCGCCATGAGGAACACTATAGTAACAAACCACGGTCCATGAAGCATTTTTGTAACTTTCAGCTGGATGGCTGCAGGCCCACCCAAGGGTGCACATTCACTCCCCACCCTCTCTGCAGGCAAGCAACACCGATCCGCCCCACCCCAGCCTCAGCGGGAAGGCCTCTCTTCCTCCACCATTACCAACAATACCGACTCCAACAGCCACTCGGCTTACTGTCCCGGGCTTACCAGATGACCAGGTAATGTTTTAAGTGAATGGATAAGTTAAAGGGAGGAAGAAGGGGTGGAGTGAGCTCACAAGAAGAGTTTAGCGCCAAACCTAGAGAAAAGTCCAAAAGGAGCACTGCCACCTGGAAAATAAAGCGTTGGTCAATGTTGTCCCCAACACCCGAGCAGCGTGCCTCGCAGTCCCCGCCTGTCAAACATGCTAGGTGCCGCACCAGTCACCGGTGAGGATGGCGCCTTAACTCCACATCACTCCTCAGACCACCCCTCACCTCCGCCCAGGGGCCTGGCTTCGCACCCAGACCTGGACGCTCCACCAGGCTGGGCCCGGCCTGGGCCCCGTCCCAGGCCGAGCGAAAATTACATACCACCCTGGGCCAGAGCGGTCAGCCCCGTCGAGCTAAGTTCAGTTCCACAAGACCAGGCCTCATCCCCAGGCGGGTTCACAGCCCTTGGTCTGGAAAAAAAGGGGCTGCTGGCATGGACAAGTTGAAGATTAGCCCTCCCGGCCCTCCTGCAGCCCTGCACCCACTGCCTGCCTTCCTGATCATTTCCAGGGCTGCTGCGGCCTATTCCTCCTGACTCCTCCACCCCTTCTACCTCTCCCTGCCTTCCTCCTTCCACACAGACCAGCGCACCCGGGCTCGCTCAGCTATGCAAGAGCGGCGCCCTCCCAGAGGTCAAGTTCCCCCTCCACCAGGCAGTAGGGACAGCCTGGCCTGGAGCGTGGCTGTTCTGCCTGGGGGACCCTGCGGATATTTTCCATGCAGCCTGCCCCACTGTGGTCCCCCTAGACCTAGTCTCCTTGCCAAGCTTCCTTCTCGCACCCCCAGCCCGCCCCCTCGTCTCATCTAACTCAGTCATCTCTCCCTGTCTGTCCCCTGAAGCCCTGAGCTAGCCACTTCCTCCCCCACAACTACACCCAGGCGCGCATCCCTCCCTGTCGCTAACTCCGGCTGGACTTGCCACAACTTTTGCTTTTATAGCCCTCAGCCGCGTCACCGGGGTCATTGCTCAACGGGACGATTCCTCCACGGCCACCGGCAAAAAAGTCCCTCCCCGACCCTGCCCGGAGAGACTCCCGGGCGGTGCATGGTCTCCCAGGCGGCCCCCACGCAAGGACCCCAGTGTATCCCCGCTTCTCTTTAACAGTGCTTTTTGGGATCGCGGACAGCGCTCAAGGTGACATTTGGGAGGCGAATGCCATGAGGAAGAAGACCCCTTTTCTTCCCGGATGTTGTTGAGGTCGGGCGGGGGACGCGCTTCCCCGAGAGGGGCTGGGGGCGTGGCGGGCGGGGGCGCCCTCTTGAGTGGGCGACGGGAGCCGCCGGGGTCGCTTGAGGTCACCACGCCCAGCCGAGGCCCGAAAGAAGGGCCGGCAGGACATCTGGAAAATTCCAGGCGGCGGCGGAGGGATCTCTGCAGAGGGCACGTCCCGCCGGGAGGCGCGCGTGACTTTCGGGCGGTGGTTCCGAGTCGGGCTCGGCCGATGACGTCAGCGCCCGGGCGCGGGTTGGGGGCGGGGCGGCCCAGAAGGCCAGCGGGGTGCTGCGAGGGGACGTGGAACGCTCCGCACCCCAACAGGCGGTTTCTCTGGCCAGGAAACCCTGCTGCGGGCTGATAGCGTCCAGGAGCTAGTGGGTGACAACATGGAGCCCCGTGGAGCCGCGCGGGCGCTTCAGGGGCAGGCATCGTGGTTTTGACTCTTCCCAGGGGCCTGGCGAGGGGACGTGTTTCCTGAGAATGCGCATCCCTGCCGGGGTAGAACATTCAAGAAGTGTGTTCAGGATGGATTAAGTGGGAAGAGGCCGTTGCAAAATAATGTAAAACCAAGATATTGTGCGGAAAGCAGTATCTGACATAGCCGAGGGACAGGCTGTCGGCTCATTTTACATTTGGGTGGGGGTGGGGAGAAAGGTGATTTTTATTTATTTATTTATTTTTTATTTGCTGCATTTGCAAGCAGGCATCCCCAGCCTGGCTCTTCTGGAAGCAAACCTGGTGAACTCCTGAGCCCTCCAGCAAGGCGGGCAGGGCCCGAATGTCTGGAGAGGACTTTGGACCGTGTAGCGGGCACCTCCCTTGCTAGGGGGTGCAGGGTGATGAGGAAGCTCTGGCCCCTGAGGTAGAGGATGAAAAAGGACCCCGGTTCAAGTAACCAGAATGGAAAATGGCATCTGACAGGAACTCCTGCCAGGAACCTCTCCCTGGTTAACACCCACACCCCATACAAAACAACCCCTTGAAAGCAGGCCCCCTTGGCAACCGAGAAGAAGCTGGTGAAGACATTTCGCCTGCGTCTGTGAGGTGGTATCAGCAGGCAGGGCTGGGCCTGACATGCACCCCTCCCTGTGCTTCTCGGAAAACTGGTGACTGTGTGTCATCTGACCTTCAGCACAGAAGGTGGTGATGTGGCAAGCCCAGGCTTGCTCCCTGGCGCCTGCTTAGCCCTGTTTCTCTGCCAGGGGAAGATTCCGGCAGTGCGGCCTCCTCCAGGATCTGCCCCATCAGTCTCTTCCTGACTGTATCTCCAGGGGTGGGTTGGGGTGGGGTGATTTGGCCTGAAAGAACCGTGTGGAAAGAGGGAATTGTCTGTCAAAATGTTCTAGAAAGCTGGGCAGCTTATGAAACCAATGGAGGAGTCTTCACTGCTGCTTCACAGTACTGGGCAGTGGAGTCAGCCAGACCTTTCTTTATCTCACCAGGCATCTGAGAGGTGGGTCGTCCCCGCTGTAGTGCTGTTTCTGGGCCCCAGTTGATGTCTTAACTTGCTTTTCTCTATTTCAGGTCTCGAAATCTCTCTAATTCACACACATCATTCCCAAATCCCAGAAACAAACTATGGTAGATTTTATTTTTCAAAAAAGAGTGGGATCCATTCGCTTTTGAAGGCCATGGTGGGAGGATTGCCTAGAGGCCAGGAGTTCGAGACCAGCCTGGGAAACACAGCAAGACCCTGTCTCTACAAAAAATGAAAGAAAAAAAAAAAAAAAAGCCAGGTGCACATGACTGCCTGTAGTCTCAGCTACTGGGGAGACTGAGGCAGCAGGATCCCTTGAGCCTAGGATTTTGAGGCTGCAGTGAGCTATGATTGTGCCACTGCACTCCAGGCTGGCCAACAAGAGTGAGACCCTTTCTAATACATATATATATATAGATTTTTTTTTAAGTAGGGACAATTACTGACATACAAAACATAGGATTCTGTAAAGCATAGGCTTCCCTGTCACAAAGGGAACCAAGTCTCCTTTGTGCCCTTGTATCTGGAGCTGCCTTTGCCACCCTGGGTTTTCAAGGACAAAAGGGCACTGTTTCAGAGGGTCCTTATGTAGAAGCTTTGCTGGCCTCCAAGTTCCACACAGCTCGTTTTTCTCGGGAAAGGAATGTATTTAAGGAGAGATGAGCTGAGGGTAGACAACCACATGGATATCTCTGTCCTGCCTTAAGGGGCCAAAGCTGTGCCCACAGTAAGGAGGGTACACATTGGGCCTGGGTTCTGCTCTCTTCCTCTACAAATAAGTCTAAAAATACCTCTGCCCAGCTGGAGGGTGAGAGCAGGAAGGCCGGTGTCAGCAGATTTCTCTAGATCAAAACAAGTTGTTCCAGAAAACAGCAGCAAACAGAGGCCCTTGGATTCCGGGGTGGAGCTGGGTGGTGAAGGGCCCGCCCTGCCTGTGTGGGTGGCCAACTCCTGCTTCTTCCCAGGCAGACAGAGGAACAGGAGGGGGCTGCTTTGGCAACATCTGGATTCCAGGGTTAGGGCCCTGTCTCCAAGCCCTTTCTTTCTTTTCTTTTTTTTTTTGATGGAGTCTCACTCTGTTGCCCAGGCTGGAGTGCAGTGGTGTGATCTCTGCTCACTGCACCCTCCCTCCTGGGTTCAAGTGATTTTCCTGCCTCAGCCTCCCGAGTAGCTGGGACTATAGGCTTACACCACCACATTGGCTAATTTTTTTTTTTTTTTTTTGTATTTTTAGTAGAGACAGGGTTTTACCACATTGGCCAGGCTGGTCTCCAACTCCTGACCTCAAGTGATCCACCTGCCTTGACCTCCCAAAGTGCTGCGATTACAGGGGTAGCCACCGCGCCTGGCCCCTGTCTCCAAGCCCTTTCTTGCGGCTATTGCCAATCAGGGTCACTGGTCTCCCGGGTGCCTGGAGCCCCACATCTTGTTCTGAAGCCAGGTCAGCTCTGTGGTTTCCAAACATATAGACAGACCAGTCCCAGGAAGTACCCGGGATTTCCCACAGGAGCCCCTGGAAAAGGGGAGCAGAAGCCGGGTAAGAAAGGGTGGTTCTTCAGGCTTATACCAAGGGCAGGACAATGACAGTGTTGCTACTACTGCTTGAGAATGTGCAGGGCCCCAGCCCTCCATTCTCCACGGGTCTAGTTCTGGAGCTGTGGCCTCCAGGGCCATTTTGGGCTCCCCGCTCACCAGAGATCTGAGGCCTAGGCCCTTTCTGAGCCCTGAGGCCCCTCAGCTCAGGGCCTGGGTCTGGAAACTGCACTGTCACTGTGTGCTGGCCGGGAGCCCGCCTTTCACGCCTCGCAGCCAGTGCAGGAAACACAAGCTGGGCCCCACCCCCAACTCTAACCGGCCTCTTCCTGTGAGGCTCCGGCCTGCTCTGCCCCCACCTCTCATGTGACCAGGGTAGGCCACCCCTCCCAGCCTTGCTTCCCCCATTTTGAGGCTCCTCTCGGCCCTAACATCTCTTGATTCTGACAGTGTAGTGTTTCCTGGAACACTCTTCACCTAGTTGCTGCCTAGTCCACTTCCACTGCTCCTTCAGGCCTCTGCCCTAAGGTCACCACTCAGCCAGCCTCCTGACCACAACTCTAAAGCGCCGCCCCAACTTGATCTCCTCGAGGGAGGGGTTTCGGTCTGTTTTGCCCGGGATTGCTGTGCCCTGGCACGTGACTCTGCACTTTGTTTTGTAAAGGTCACTGAGCACCCTGAGGCTCTGGGTAAATATTTGTGGACTGACTGAGGAAGGGAGTTCCCAGGTCAGCTGCAGCCCCATAAATGTGATGACAGGCCCAGCTCTGTGGGGTCCCAGGTCAGGAGGCAGGAGAGGGAAGAAGGACAGCGGCTGCTCTCAGTGGACTGGGACTGCCTGGGGTGGCCAAGGGGAACTGGGGTGCACTCTCAGCCACACGTTGGCAAAGGCATTTGAGGGAGAGGGCATCAGAGGGAGGGGGTCTCCCATGGCCCTGGTTTACAAAGCTGAGGTGAGGTGAGGTGAGCATGCCCCAGGGCTGCTGCACCTACAGGAGCCGACTGTCCCAACCCCAGCCCCACGGGCCCTTCCTCCTTCCCAACTGTCCTGGGCCCTCCCTCAGCACCTCCCATTCCCCCCCCACCCCCAAACATACTGAGCCCTCCGGCTATTTTTAACACTTTGACCTAATGTGGGCTGGTCCACCACATGTGCTGGAAAGCAGGCCGCCCACCAGGAAGGCGAGGCAGGGGAGGACCCTCAGGAGGGGGCTTCTCACTCTTGCATTTGACCCGTCACCTCGGGCTGCGTGGGGTCTGTGCACGCCCTTTCCTCACTACTGCCAAGGCAGATCTAAGGGGGGCTTCCTCTGCCCAGGGCCAAGCCCCAGGCCTCGGGCTGTGCTTTACAGGAAAGAACTTTGCGGTGTCAGCCCCCTGCATCCGGATGTCCTGGGACTGTCCCCTGTTCCGTGCCATGCTAGAGTGCCTGGGCACCTGCCCCTTACCCCAGGCCTTGGTCCCCCGTCCTCCTGAGCACTCACCCACTCCTTGGAGCCTTGCCTGAGCTGGCACCCTAGAACACCCTGTCCTCCTTGCCTCCTCCTGCCTCTTCACCAGCTCACTGCTACCTCTGTCTCCTGTAGCCCCATCCTGTCACAGAGCTCACGAGACCTTCCTGTTCCCACCCTGCCACGCTGAGCGCCTGTGTCCTCACTCCTGTTCCCGCAGAGAGAAGGCCTGTGGAATGCGTGGCTGGGCCCCATAGCCCTGCCTCCCCGGGCTGCCCTGCACCTCCAGCGGCCCCTAGACCTCCTCCAACCCTCCCCACCCTCCTTGGCCAAATAAGCGAGCCCAGCTTTCCTAGGCCCCACACTTTCGCCTGTGCTAACCTTTCCAGCCTCCTCCCCAAGCCCACCCACTGGGAATCCTGGCGCCAGCTCCTCTGAGCAGGGAGCCCAGGTGCTGACATCCCACTACCTCCACCCCTAGGTTTGCAAAGCCCTCTGTCTTCAGGACCGCCAGCCGCCCCCACTGCCAGAGCCTACCACTTCCTCTTGGGTCCCTGCTGATGGGAATGGCCTGCACTGTGCTTGTCCCGGTGGCCCCATCACAGCACCAGTTGTGACTGTCCTTGAATCTCTGAAGGAGCCTTTTCTGCCCCAACCCACCTTGGTCTGACTGAGTGCCCTCTGTGAGCAAGTTGGCCATGGTGCCAGGGCTTCTGCGGGGAGTAGAACCCCCCTGCCCGGGAGGCTGCTGACCTTGACGATACTGTATGGGAGGCCTGTGCTCTCGCTGGCTGGGAGAACTTGTCAGGGTCACTGCCACCCCCACAACAAAGTGCCAAGGTCAGATGGGCACCGGACAAAGAAGTCCTTGGGAAGAGCTGGGACTATTATTCTCTCTTTTGCAAATTATGTCAAATAGTTAAAAATAGCAGGAAGACTTAGTGTGTGAGGTGGGGACAGGAGGTGCTGGAAGAGGGCTCAGGGCAGCTGGGAAGGAGGAAGGGCCCAGGGGCAGAGGCCGGACAGTCAACTGCCTCAGGAGGGAGGCGACTAGTGCCAGGTTGTGCTCACTCCACCTCTTAGATGTCTCCAAATAGCCCCAGTTTAAGTATTTTTACTAAGCTGTCATTTCACAGAAAAGCACACATCTACAGCAGAATCCGTTTCCAGGACATGGATCCTGACCTTTGGAAAACTCAGGACCCATCACGAAGCTGAGGAATGCCCCCGCCCACCACCAGGGAAACAAACCCCTTACCCTGTGTTCTTGAAAGTTGGGGACCCCCATCATGGGCCCAGTGGCAGGAAGAAGGTCAGGGCAGTCAGGAGCCAGGACTCCCACTCTGAGAGCGGGTGAGCCCGCAGCGCCAGACCCAAGGCCCCCGAGATTCTGTCGTGGGGCACGACCCTGGTTCCAGGTTGCCTGGGCGGGCAGTGCTGCTCACTGTCACTGTCCCTGCAGCCCGGCAGGAGGAAAGGGTGAGCTCAGCTGCCCCCTGCTGGCCGCAGCCGAACCAGCAACCTGCAGATGGGAGTAGGCTCCGCCCCACCCACGCTGTCCGCCCAGTGGGGGCGAGAGGAGCCGGGCCACCACACGGCACTGGACTTGCTGCTTAAAACTGAAGTCCTCAGACCCAGGCCCAGCCCTGCACCCCCATTCTGGGTGAAGTTGGGTAGTCTGCCTACTTTCTTTGAAATGTGGGGTGGATTTGGACAGGGAGAAAAATGCCAGGTAGCTCTAAAAGTCCTCTGCACAAAGGAGAAGAATGAGCGATGAGAATCTGTCCCGAGGCCTGCACCTCCTTTGGGTCAGCACTGTCAGTGTCCCTTAGGCTCAAAGTCACAGGCTTTGGTTGACTGTCCCTGCTCCATCCCATGCCCTCTCTCTTTGCTGCATTTACCTGTATCCTACTGAGCCTGTCAGGCCCCCTCCTCCAGGAAGCCTTGTTTGATCACTGCTCCCCCTCCCAGTCTATTGTCTGTCTTTGTGTTGGGTGGTGGCCTGCACATCTGTTGGGGCATCATGTGTGTGCAAAGTGACCCATTTTCCTGGTCTTTATGTTCTTATCCCCGGTGTCATCTGAAAAGCTGCCTGGACTCTGAGCTGATGTCTCCATGGGTAACTCTGTTGCTAATCCTGCAACCCTGTGTGCGGGGAGCAGTTGGAACTCCTGCTCCCTGACAAGTGTCAGAGGCCCCTGGCACATCCACCCCAGCCCTCTCCTTCCCAGCTTTATCTGTGCCCCTTGCACCACTGTTTTTTCAGACTGAGCATGACAGCGTCCTGGGTCGCCTTGGTCGCTGTGGCTTTTCTGAGTCCCAGCAGCACCTCTGGCCTCCCGTGTGTCTCTCCATGCACTGCCACTTGGCTGGGGGCTGGCCACATGAAGCCTCAGCTGTGGGTCTGCGCAAGCCTCTTGCTGGGCTCTGGTTGTGGCTGGAGCCTCCTGTGTCCAGCTAGCCCCGGGTTGGGAAGCCCGCAGGAATGCCCCAGCTGCTGCTGTAAGTGGAGAATGACCTGGAAACCCCAGCCTCAGAAGGGACAGTAGGATCGCATGTGTTGACTGTTCTGGTCACCTCTGCTTCCTGCATTCTGAAGAGTTAGGGAGAGTCTGGGGACTGGGGACTGTGAAGACCTCGTCCCACTGCACTGTCCTCAGGGGCAGTCTGGGCAGAGCCTCTTCAGGTCTTCAGGCCTCTGGATCCAGGTGCTGGCTGAGCCAGGCTGTGCGTGCCAGGCTGGCAGGTGGCAAAGTCACTCCTGCTGCCCCGTGCAACCCAAGCGTAGCTAGGATTTGAAAATAACAGCTGTTCCGGCATTAAAGAACCCCAAAGAAGTCCAAGACAATCATCTGTAGGGTAGTGGTAAGGGTTAAATCGTGTTCCCCCAAAAGGATATGTCGAAGTCCTAACCCTCAGTGCATCAGAATGTGACATGATGTGGGAACAGGATCATTGCAGGTGTTATTAGTTAAGATGAGCTCATGGTGGAGTAGGGTGGGCCCCTAGTCTAATCTGACTGGTGTCTTTGTAAGAACACAGCCATGTGAAGACACAGACACTAAGGAAGATGCCAGATGACCACATAGGCAGAGACTGGCTGTGCAGCCGCAAGCCAATGAATGCCTGAACGGCCAGCAAGGCACCAGAAGCTAGGAGCAGGCAAGGAAGGCCTCTCCTATGGGTTGCAGAGGGAGCACGGCCCTGCTGAGCTGAAACCTGGATTTTGGACTTGTAGCCCCCAGAACTGTGAGACAATCAGTTTACTTTTTTTTTTTTTTTGAGACAGAGTTTTGCTCTGTCACCCAGGCTGGAGTGCAATGGCACGATCTCGGCTCACTGCAACCTCCGCCTCCCGGGTTCAAGCGATTCTCCTGCCTCAGCCTCCCCAGTAGCTGGGATTACACGCATGCGCCACCATGCCTAGCTAATATTGTATTTTTAGTAGAGACAGGGCTTCTCCACGTTGGTCAGGCTGGTCTCAAACTCCCGACCTCAGGTTATCCGCCCGCCTTGGCCTCCCAAAGTGCTGGGTTTACAGGCGTGAGCCACTGCACCTGGCCGAAGTGAGTTGTTTTTTCGGAATTTTTTTTTTTTTTTCGAGACAGGGTCTTGCTCTGTTGCCCAGGCTGGAGTGCACAGTGGTGTGAACACAGCTCGCTGTATCCTCGACCTCCTGGGCCCAGGCGATCCTCTAGTCTCAGCTTCCCAAGCAGCTGGGCACGACAGGCTTGTGCCACCATGCCTGGCTAATTTTTTTTGTTTTTGTAGCAATGGGGTTTCGCCATGTTGCCCAGGCTAGGCTCAAGTGACCCTCCCGCCTTGGCCTCCCAAAGTGCTGGGATTACAGTAGCAAGCCACTGTGCCTGGCCTGGGCACTGTTATTCCCACGAAAGGTCACAGGTGCCCATGGTCATGGCATTGTGCTGCCTTGCCAGGCAAAGATGATCACACAGAGGACAAGGTGCCACTCACTGTCATGGACACCCAAGGAGACGGCCCTGTTCCCAGGACTACGCTGCCACAGGGACAGGTGGCTTACTCCTCCCATCTCTGGAAACATTGTGAACCCCAATCCCCCAGTGGCGCTCATCCTGCAGGCCCAGGTCCTGGGTGGCTGCTGCAGGGCTCAGAGTCCTCCAGGGGTCTGCTACTGTCCCTTCCCTCCCAGGTAGGTGTTGACAGCAGGATCTGTGGGAAACAAACGGCCTCCTGCCAGGCCTGGAGCATGAGGTGCCCTCAGGAAGGGCATGAGCATCTGCAGTTACCCACCTTGGTCCCCACAGGAACCCCAGAGCCCCTCCTGGGCAACGTGGGGCTGGGAGTACAAGCCGCCAAGATGAGACAGCTTCACTCGGGTGCTCCGTGGGCATCAACCTGGCTGGCCTGAGGGCTGCACACCTTGACGTACGTTTCATGAAAACCAAACATGCAGCCTGTAATCAACTCTTGGACTGTCACGGACACACCCTCATTATTTCATATCATGAGCTGCCCCAGAGTTTGTTAGAAACTGATTTTAATAAGTCACATGATACAAAAGAATGAGAACATTCAAAGAATGAGTAAAATACTGCTTTGTCCCAAAGGACAAGCAGAAAATGTTAAGGCACAATGGATGCTCAGAAAACGTAAGAAGCTGAAGGGAAAACACATCATCTGTGTACTCAGACACACACACTCCAACCCATCACACGAACACACCCTCGCCCGCCCATCAGAGAAGAATTCGCCTGGAATCAGCTGGGGGCGGTGGCTCACGCCTATAATCCCAGCACTTTGGGAGGTTGAGGCGGGCAGATCATGAGGTCAGGAGTTCACGACCAGCCTGACCAACATGGTGAAACCCTATCTCTACTAAAAATACAAAAATCAGCGGGGCCTGGTGGCATGCACCTGTAATCCCAGCTACTCAGGAGGCTGAGGCAGGAGAATCGCTTGAGACAGAGGTTGCAGTGAGCCGAGATGCGCCACTGCACTCCTGCCTGGGCAACAGAGCAAGACTCCGTCTCAAAAAAAATAAAAAAATAAAAAAAATAAAATCACCTGGAATCAAAGCAGCAGGGACAGCCTGCGCTGGAGCCGCCAGAACAGGCAGGCGGGCAGCTCCGCAAGACCGAGCAACTCCAGGACGGGAGACGAGAACTGGCAGCTGACATGACCCTGTGACCAGGACATTCCAAAAGACTGGGGGCCCTTCCCAGGCCTCTTCTTTCCGCCTATTATTTTAACAAAGTCCATGCTGCCAGAAGGCAAGCCTACCTCGAAACACCTGGCACATTCACAAGCTACCAAAGGGAGGAGGGTGAACAGGCTCTGATACTTGGAGTAGAGGCCCAAGCTTCCTCTCCCACGGTTTTCCACCGGGAACGAAGACAAAGCCAAGCCCTGTGCAGCCACAGGAAGTCCCAGGAAGCACCTGTGAGACCCGCACACCCACCTCGGAGGGTCCCAGGGCTGGGAAAGCCCTCCTCTCAGGGGCTCTCAGCTCATCTGGGACAAGACAGAGCCCCTGCTCCCCGGAGGGCAAGCTGGGACCAGAGAAGCCAAGCACCCATATCAGTCACCTTTCCAAGTGTCCTCGATAAAGAAGAGAGTGTCCCGTGTGGCCCAGGCTTTCCTGGGCATGCGCCAGCCCCCAGAGGAATCCATGGCGCCACCTGGGAAGGAGCGCACAGCAGAGGTACCCAGGGCACTTCCTGGCGTTGCCCCAGCACAACTCAGATGAACAAAGACCAAACTAAAACCTGAAGACCCAGACACAGGGAGGGGAGGTCAGGTCCGGTCAGTCCCCTAGGGGAGCTGCTTGGGCTCCAGGGAGTGCCCACCAGGGGATTTTCAGTTTTTCACAGACTGTGAGTGTGGGTCTGGAGGCCAGGTGGTCCACAGGATAGCCACCTCCCAGCAGTGACATCACCAAAGGCTATCAGAAAGGCATGCTCTTTCTGGTATCTCGTGCCTGCAAAGGAGACCAGAACGAGGGGCACAGGACCCCAGGTAGGGCCCTGCCTGGCTCCCTCCATTCCTGATTCAACCAGGGAGGTGTGGTGGGGGCCCTCACCGTGTTTCTGTCCCGGTTCAATCCAGGGAGGCCCCTCCTACCCTCCTCAGAGTGGTGGCCCAGCCTGGTATTGGGGGATGGAGCACCAGCAGGAGGAAGGTGGGAAACTGGTCATCCAAGTCCGGGGGGTGGAGCACTAGCAGGAGGAAGACGGAGACTGGTCACCCAAGTCCAGGGAAGAGGCCAAAGGCACACACTGGAGCTTCAGGTCCCAAACCTCAATCCTTGGTCCTCTACCACTGGAGCTGCCACTGGGCACTTCAGAACAGGGACACTGCCCATCTTGAGGTGGGCACAAAGGCATGTTTCTAGGTGAGGGTGGCAGCTGCAGCTTGATCGGATGGTCCTGAGAGAGCAGCAGGGCCCAGCATCCGGGGGAAGGGAGGGCAGGCTGCAGAGGAGCCCTACAGGAGGCCCTGGCCAGCTTTGCACAGCCCGGGCATGGCCCCGGGCCCAAAAGTCACTTCTCCGTGGTCTGAGAAACCTGCTGAGGCAGCCCTCCCCACGTGGTGACCCATGAGACTGTTGCAGCCGGCGCCTGCCCCTCAGGAGGACAGTGCCGGGCCAGGGCCCCCAGTCGCCCTCCTCCTGCCGGGTGCAGCGTCCTCAGCCCTGCTCCAGGCTGTCGCCGGGCTGCACCACGGTGTAGCTCCCCTGGCCCAAGGACAGCTGCCGGCTGAAGAAGGATGTGGTGCGCTTCGGCTTCACTCGCCTGATCCCCTTGCCTGCGAGGGAATGGGAGGGCACACTGAGCAGAGGCGCTGTCCCTGTGTGAGGGGGCTCAGGCCCAGGAAGCCAGGTTCTGGCTCCAGCGCGACGGCTCCTTCCAGAGCCTGGTCAGACTGAGCTCCCCTCATCCGAGCCTCAGCCCCGCTCAGCATGCTACAGTATACCCCAAGCAGCGCTCCCTAACACTGCCGACCTAAGGTCATCACAGACAAGGAGGGTCCTTCATAGCCAAGAGAAGCCTGGGGAGACGTGACAACTAAATGCAGTGTGGGGTCCTGGTGGGATCCTGGCACAGAGGGATGTCTGGAAAACACTATGGAAATCTGACTAAGGTAGGCACTTTGGCTAATAATGGCAATACCGGGTCATTAATTAAAACAAAAGTACCATATTGCTGTAAGATGTTAGTTTTTGGTTTTTTTTGGGTTTGTTTTTTTTTGTTTGTTTTGAGACGGAGTCTCGCTCTGTCGCCCAGGCTGGAGTGCAGTGGCACTATCTCGGCTCACTGCAAGCTCTGCCTCCCAGGTTCACACCATTCTCCTACCTCAGCCTCCTGAGAAGCTGGGACTACAGGCGCCCGCCACGGCGCCCAGCTAATTTTTTGTATTTTTAGTAGAGACGGGGTTTCACCGTGTTAGCCAAGATGGTCTCGATCTCCTGACCTCGTGATCTGCCTGCCTCGGCCTCCCAAAGTGCTGGGATTACAGGCGTGAGCCACTGCGCCCGGCCTTTTGTTTTGTTTTGAGATGGAGTCTTGCTCTGTCACCCAGGCCGCAGTGCAATGGCACGATCTTGGCTCACTGCAACCTCCACCTCCTGGGTTCAAGCAATTCTCCTGCCTCAGCCTCCTGAGTAGCTGGGACTACAGGTGTGCGCCACCACGCACACTAATTTTTGTATTTTTAGTAGAGACGGGGTTTCACCATGCTGGCCAGGATGGTCTCGATCTCTTGACCTCATGATCCACCCATCTTGGCCTCCAAAAGTGCTGGGATTACAGGCGTGGGCCACTGTGCCTGGCTAATTTTTGTATTTTTGGTAGAGACAGGTTTCACCACGTTGGCCAGGCTAGTCTCAAACTCCTGACTTCGTGATCCACCTGCCTTGACCTCCCAAAGTGCTGGGATTACAGGTGTGAGCCACCATGTCCCGCCTTTGTGGTTTTTTTTTTGAGACAAGCTGTGTTGCTCAGGCTGGAGTGCAGTGTTACAATCACGGCTCACTGCAGCCTTACCTCCTAAGCCTAGGTGATCCTCCCACTTCAGCATCCCCAATAGCTGGGACTACAGGTGTGAGCCATGGCTAAGGTTTTTTTAGTTTGTGTAGAGACAGGGTCTTGCTCGATTGCCCAGGCTGATCTCGAACTCCTGGCCTCAGGTGAGCCTCCTGCCTCTGTCTCCCAAAGTACTGAGATTACAGGTGTGAGCCTAGCCAAGACGTTAATAAATTTTTCTTTTTCTTTTTTTTTTTTTGCGACAGGGTCTCACTCTGTCACCCAGGCTGGACTGCAGTGTTGTGATCCTAACTCACTGAAGCCGTAACCCTCTGGGCTCAGGTGATCCTCCCATCTCAGCCTCCCAACTAGCTGGGACTTCAGGCGTGAGCCACCATGCCCTGCTAATCTTTTAAATAGAGATGCGGTCTTGCTATGTTGCGCAGGCTGGTCTTGGACTCCTGGACTCAAGCAATCTGCCTGCCTCGGCCTCCCAAAGTGTTGGGATTACAGCCATCTCACCTGGCCAGATTGTTAATTTTAAAAAGTCAAGCAACAGAAGAAAAATGAGCAAAAGAAATCATCAGTAATTCAGGAAGGAAATCTAAATATGATCAAGCACGTAAAAATTTGCAATCGGCCGGGCACGGTGGCTTATTCCTGTAATCCTAGCACTTCAGGAGGCTGAGGCGGACAGATCACCTGAGGTCAGGAGTTCGAGACCAGCCTGGCCAACATGGCGAAACCCTGTCTCTACTAAAGATACAAAAATTGATCGGGCATGGTGGTGGGCGCCTGCAATCCCAGCTACTTGCGAGGCTGAGGCAGGGAGAATCACTTGAACCCGGGAGGCAGAGGTTGCAGTGAGCTGAGATCATGCCATTGCACTCCAGCCTGGGCAACAGAGCAAGACTGTCTCAAAAAAAAAAAAATTTCCAATCTCATTGTGTTCAAACACCAGCCCAGACAAGTTCCCTTTGGCTCGGAATGATTACACCCATTGTGGGTGAGGGCATGGGAGGCAGACACCATCTTCTCTGCTGGGGAGGGTACACCTGGGCACAACTTCTCTGGAAGGTGGCAGGTATGAAAAGCCTCTTCAAAATCAGCATATCGGCCAGGCACGGTGCTCACATCTGTAATCCCAGCACTTTGGGAGGCTGAGGTGGGAGGATCATTTGATCCCAGGAGTTTTGAGACCAGCCTGGGCAACATAGTGAGACGCTGCCTTGACAAAGAATTTAAAAATTAGCCAGGAGTGGTGGCTCATGACCTTAGTCCCACCTACTCAGGAGACTGCAGAAGGACTGCTTGAGCACGGGAGGTTGAGGCTGCAGTGAGCCTTGACTAGGCCATTGCACTCCAGTCTAGGCACTAGAGTGAAATCCTATTTAAAAAAAAAAATCTGCACACTTTTACATTAGCAAGGCCATTTCTAGGAAAGTATCCTGAGGAAACATTTCAGATTCTAAGGAAGGACTTTCCTGTAGGTGTGCTGTTTAGAAGAGCTGAACGCTGAAAACTGTAATGCCCACAAGCAGAGGACTGGGTCAAAATGAGCGTGCTAAAACCATGCCAAGGAATGCCACACAGTGGTCCAAATTACATTGTAGAAAAAGTTTGCTTTTTCTGATTATAAAACTTATTCTAGGGCTGGGCGCGGTGGCTCACGACTGTAATCCCAGCACTTTGGGAGGCCAAGGCGGGCGGATCACCTGAGGTCGGGAGTTGGAGACCAGCCTGACCAACATGGAGAAACTCCGTCTCTACTAAAAATACAAAATTAGCTGGGCGTGGTGGTGCAAGCCTGTAATCCCAGATACTTGGGAGCCTGAGGCAGGAGAATCGCTTGAACCCGGGAGGTGGAGGTTGCGGTGAGCCGATATCGCACCATTTCACTCCAGCCTGGGCAACAAGAGTGAAACTCCGTCTCCAAAAAAAAAAAAAAGAAAAAACAATTATTCTAAAAATTACAAGACTATAAAAATGACATGTTCATTGTAACAGATTTACGTGCTCCAAGAAGTACAAAGAAAAAGTCAAAGCTACAGCCGCTGACGGCCACAGCTGGGCCCGCCCTCCTCATGCGCATGGCTGCACACATGCTGTCCTGTTACTCATTTCCTTTTTTTTTTTTTTTTGAGACAGAGTCTCGCTCTGTCGCCCAGGCTGGAGTGCAGTGGCGCGATCTCCGCTCACTGCAAGCTCCGCCTCCCAGGTTCACGCCATTCTCCCGAGTAGCTGGGACTACAGGCACCCACCACCACGTCTGGCTAATTTTTTTTCTTTTTGTATTTTTAGTAGAGACAGGGTTTCACCTGTTAGCCAGGATGGTCTCGATCTCCTGACCTCGTGATCTGCCCACCTTGGCCTCCCAAAGTGCTGGGATTACAGGCGTGAGCCACCACGCCTGGCCATTTCTTTTTACTGAATATTATTTTGTGAACATCTTGCCATGTAAAATGTAGATCTCTGGCCGGGTGCGGTGGCTCACACTGTAATCCCAGCACTTTGGTAGTCCAAGGTGAGCAGATCACTTGAGGTCAGGAGTTTGAGACCAGCCTGGCCAACATGGCGAAACCCCGTCTCTACTAAATATACAAAACTTAGTTGGGCGTGGTAGCTCACCCCTGTAATCCCAGCTACTAGGGAGGCTGAGGCAGGAGAATCGCTTGAACCCAGGGTGCGGAGGTTGCAGTGAGCCAAGATCACACCATTGCACTCCAGCCTGGGTGACAGAGCGAGACTCTGTCTCTAAATAAATAAATAAATAAATAAATAAATAAATAAATAAATGTAGATCTTTGTTACTGCATTAAAAAACTTTTTATCATGGAATAATTCTAGATTTCTAGGAAAGCTGTAAAGGTGTAGAGAGTTCCAGAATACCGCCACAACTTCTCCCGATGACAGCATGTTCTGTCACCACATCAGAGCTAAGGAATGAACACTGACACAGTATCTGTTAACTAAAATTCTTTTGGACTTCAATAGTTTTTCCACAAATGTCCTCTCTTCCAGGATCTGACACAAGATGCATTTAGGGTATTCCTTTTTATTATTTATTTATTTATTTATTTATTTGAGACGGAGTTTCGTTCTTGTTGCCCAGGCTGGAGTGCAGTGGCGTGATTTTGGCTCACTGCAACCTCCACCTCCTGGGTACAAGCGATTCTCCTGCTTTCAGCCTCCCAAGTAGCTGGGACTACAGGCGACCACCACCACATCCAGCTAATTTTGTATTTTTAGTAGAGAAGAGTTTTCTCCATGTTGGTCAGACTGGTCTCGAACTCCCGACCTCAGGTGATCCACCCGCCTTGGTCTCCCAATGTGCTAGGATTACAGGCGTGAGCCACTGCGCCCGGCCAGGGTATTCCTTTTTAAAAACAGGGTCTCGGGCTTGGTGTGATGTTTCACGCCTGTAATCCCAGCACTTTGGGAGGCCAAGGCAGGTGGATCACGAGGACAGGAAATTGAGACCATCCTGGCTAACACGGTGAAACCCCATCTCTACTAAAAACAAAAAATTAGGGCCGGGTGCAGTGGCTCACACCTGTAATCCCAGCACTTTGGGAGGCCAAGGCGGATGGACCACAAGGTCAGGAGATCGAGACCATCCTGGCTAACACGGTGAAACCCCGTCTCTACTACAAATACAAAAAAGTAGCCGGGCGTGGTGGTGGGCGCCTGTAGTTCCAGCTACTTAGGAGGCTGAGGCAGGAGAATGGCGTGAACCCAGGAGGTGGAGCTTGCAGTGAGCCAAGATCGCGCCCACTGCACTCCAGCCTGGGCGACAGAGTGAGACTCTGTCTCAAAAAAAAAAAAAAAAATTAGCCGGGTGTGGTGGCACACACCTGTAGTCCCAGCTACTCGGGAGGTTGAGGCAGGAGAATCACTAGAACTGGGGAGGCGGAGGTTGCAGTGAGCCGAGATCATGCCACTGTACTCCAGCCTGGGCGACAGAGTGAGACTCCGTCTCAAAAATAGTTAACTAATTAATTAATTAAAAAAAATATATATATATAGGGTCTCATCGTTGTCACCCAGGCTGGAGTGCAGTGGTACAATCGTAGCTCACTGCAAACCTCCAACTCCTGGGCTCAGAGATACTCCTGCCTCATCAGCCTCCCAAGAAGGTGAGACTACAGGCATATACCACCGTGCTCAGCTAAGTTTAAGTATATTTTGTAGAGACAGGGTCTCACTCTGTTGTCCAGGCTGGTCTTGAGCTCCTGGGCTCAAGTGATCCTCTTTGTCTTGGTCTCCCAAAGTACTGGGATTACAGGTGTGAGACACTGCACCCGGCCTGGGTACTGTATTTTTACCAGCTGCACTCAACACCCCAAGATGTGGTCACAGCAGTGATTTACCCAACGCTTTATTTATTTATTTATTTATTTTTGAGACGGAGTCTTGCTCTGTCTCCCAGGCTGGAATGCAATGATGCAATCTCGGCTCACTGCAACCTCTGCCTGCTGGGTTCAAGCGTTTTTCCTGCCTCAGCCTCCCGAGTAGCTGGGATTACAGGCGCCTGCCATACACCTCGCTACTTTTTTTGTATTTTTAGTAGAGACAGGGTTTCACCATGTTGGCCAGCCTGTTCTTGAACTCCTGACCTCAGGTGATCCTCCTGCCTTGGCCTCCCAAAGTGCTGGGATTACAGGCGTGAGCCACCGCGCCCCACCTACCCAACACTTCAGTAACAGATGTTGAGTCGTTTCCCGGATCACATCCTGGACAATGCTGCAGAACGTCTGTGACGCAGCAGTGAGAAGGGACAGGAAAGGCACTATGGCCAAGGCCCGGGCTCGGCCTGCTCACAGCTGTGTCCTGAGATGGAGGCCAGCTCACACTGGGTCTGGAGCTGCTCTGCAATGCCCTGTCCTCAGGAACTCCCCCCGGTGTGTGCACGCGCATGCGTGTTTGTGTGTGCACATGCACAGAAGGGCTGCTCACCGTCCTCCACGTAGTCGATGGTGGAGAGATGCTGGATCCGGCTGGACACCACACTGCCCTGCCTCCGCAGCTTGGGGCGCTGAACAGGAGCCAGTGAGGAGCTGGGGTCCGAGGGCGAGCCAGTCGCACTGTCCTGGGGGCCTGCGGGCTCCGCCGCCTGGCTCAGTTCGATGCAGTACTCAATGAGACTGCTCATCAGTTCGGCCTGGGGAGGAGGGGGCAGTGTGAGGCCTGGCCAGGGCCCCCTTCCATGCCTGTTGCTGAGCCTGAAATGAGCTCTGCTCTCTGGTTGGGGAAGCAGGGGAGGGGACACACATCACTCAGGAGGGAGGGAGCAGGGAGGCAGGGGAGGTGTCCCACTTGGGTGACTGTGAAGGTGAGTCCTGGTGGATGAGGAGGGGTCTCCAGATCTGGGAGTTCAGGTGGGAAAGAAAGAACATTCTGGTCAGAAGGCACAGCCCAGGAAGGCTGACTCCATGGGCAGAAGCAGGTGGGGAGGGAGGGGGTAGGGAGCCAGCTGCTGCAGAGAGGACGAAGAGTGGGGAAGCGGGGCGGGGAGGCGGGTGGTGCTGGCTGGGAGGAAAACCTGCAGCCAGGAGGAAGGGGCGCGATGTCACCAGGGCAGGGGCGGGCGGCTCCCTGCCAGCACGTTCTTCAAAAGTGACTCCTACTCAACAGGTGTGAAGCATGAGGCACACTGACAGAAAAGATGCAGCAGCCGGGTGCCAGCGGGCACAGCTGGGCACCAAGGACAGGGCCTTCAGGGGTTTGAGGGAGTCGCAGAGGGTGTTAAAAGGGTGGCACCCCTTAGGACACAGGTATTTCCTGAGTGCCTCCCACGTGCCAAGCACTGCTGCAGGCCTGGGATAAGATGAGGCCAAGTAGACAGGAATGGCCACCTGTGCTCCTGACTGGTGGGGCTGGGTCAGATGCTGGAGTGGCCCTGCGGAGACTGGCCTGGCTCCTGCCTCTCCACAGGGCAGCTACAATCCCTCTGGGCTGGGCAGGTGGGCACCGCTGCTCGGCCCAGAAGGAAGAGCAGAGGCCTGGTGGGCTCTCCACGCTCCCTGCCCTCAGCTCAGTCCACCCACACTCCTCTCCTCACCAAGTGGACTCCACCAGCCAAAGGGCAGTGGGCTGGCGAGGGGACGGCAGCCGGTGGGGACAGAGTCCTGAGTGCAACCATAACAGGGAAGCCTACTAAGTTTCCTAGAACAAAAACTCCTGCACAGCAACATGCCTCTGAGGCTCAGGAAGCCTGCCGTTCAAATGCAGCCAAAAGAGGAAGCTCTGCTGAACATCTGTCCAAGATAAAACTCAGCAAGCCAGCGTCAGAAAGGAACTTCCTCAACCTGATGAAGCGCATCTCTGAAGAACCCACAGCAAAATCCCACTTATTCAGTGAAAGACAATGTTCTCTCTCAGGCCAGGTGCGTCAGGGACGCCTGCGCACACCTATCCATCCTACACTGGGGGTCAGAAGCACTGTCAGGCAAGGCAAGCAAGAGGCACACAGATTGGAAAGTGAGACCCAGCTGTCCCAACTCACAGACCACACGACTGTCCACATAGAAAGTCCCAGGCCAGGCCAGGTGCCGTGGCTCACGCCTGTAATCCCAACACTTTGGGAGGCCGAGGCGGGTGGATCACCTGAGGTCAGGAGTTTGAGACCAGCCTGGCCAACATGGTGAAAACCCATCTCTACTAAAAATACAAAAATTAGCTGGGTGTGATGGCAGGCTCCTGTAATCCCAGCTACTCAGGAGGCTGAGGTGAGAGAATCGCTTGAACCTAGGAGGCGGAGGTTGCAGTGAGCTGAAATCGCGCCATTGCACTCCAGCCTGGGCGACAGAGTGAGACTCCATCTCAAAAAAAAAGAAAAAAAGAAAAAAGGCAGACACAGGGGCTCATGCCTGTAATCCCAGCACTTTGGGAGGCCAAGGTGGGAGAATCACTTGAGCCCAGGAGTTCAAGATTAGCCTGGGCAACATAGTGAGACCTTGTCTCTACAAATATAAAATAAAGTTAGCCTGGCATGGTGGTGCACACCTGTGGCTTGGGATGATAGCTTGAGCCCAGAGGTCAAGGATGCAGTGAGCTATGATTGCGCCACTGCACCCCAGCCTCGGTGACAGAGCAAGAGTGTTTCAAAAAAAACAAAAACAATTATATTTCTATATAAGGAAATGATCAATTGGAAATTGAAATTAAAAACAGTGCCATTTACAGTAGCACCAAAAGAAAAAAAAAAAGAAATGGATAAATCTAACAAAAGATGCAGAAGTTTTGTATGCTGAAAACTATAAAATGTTAATGAAAGAAATCAGAGACAAATAAATGGAGATACAGAAATAAATGGACTGGAAGACTTAAGAGGTCAATGACCTCCGAAGTAATCAATGCGATCTCAATAAAAATCCTAGGTAGCCTTTTTTTGGGGGGTGGATAGCGGAGCATGCTACAAATCAACAAGCTGATTCTAAAACTTCTATGGAAACCATTTTAAAAAGAACAAAGTTCTGGTTATCAGACTACCTGATTTCAAGACTTATTATAAAGGTTCAAAAATCAATATATAGTGTGATTATCAGTGAAAGACACACATATATCAGTGGTTTAGAAGAGGGAATCCAGAAACAGACCCACACATGTACAGCCAATTGATTTTCAACAAAGATGTCAGGGCAATTCAATGTCTTTCTTTTTTTTTTTTTTGAGACAGAGTCTCACTCTGTTGCCTAGGCTGGAGTGCAGTGGCACCATCTCGGCTTACCACAATCTCTGCCTCCCCAGTTCAAGTGATTCTCGTGCCTCAGTCTCCCAAGTAGTAGCTGGGATTACGGGCGTGTGCCACCACACCCGGCCAATTTTTTGTATTTTTAGTAGAGATGGGGGTTTCACCTTGTTGGCCAGGCTGGTCTTGAGCTCTGAGCCTAAAGAGATCCGCCCACCTTGGCTTCCCAAAGTGCTGGGATTACAGGCGTGATCCACCATGCCCGGCCAATTCAATGTCTTTTCAACAAACGACACCGAAACAATTGAGAATCTGTAAACACGAACATGAACATTGACCTGTATATCACACCTGATGTAAAATATTGACTTTGGGATGGCTGGGAGGCTTAAATTTATACAACTTCTACAAGAAAACATGAGAAAATCTTTGTGGTCTTGGGTTAGGCAAAATTTCTTAGGAAACAAAAAGCATAAACCAGTCTCCGTCTCAAAAAAAAAAAAAAAAAAAGAAAATTGTGAACTTTGAACATAAAGGTGAGAATATCTTGGAGTTCAAAGCCATGAGGCAGGGAGAGGAGTGCCCTCGAGGGGGGCCAGGAAAATGGGGAGCAGCAGGGGAAGCTGGGGGAGGAGGTGGCTGGTGGGGGCGGAAAGAAGCTTCCAGGAGCATGTAGTTAAGCTGAGAAGGGGGAGGGGGCCCTCCTGTGGCAAAGCAGAGGCCGATGGGGCTAGAAGCAGCCCCCAGCATGGGAGGCGCAGGGGTGGGGTCTGGCTGCCAAGGGAGGGGTGAAGGGCACCAAAAGGAAGCCGGAGAGGTGTGGAATGAAGGATCCAGAGAGACCCGAGATGAAAGGAGGAAGGGGTGGGAACAGTCCTGAAAGGGCCCTGTGGGAGGGAGGGGCGTCTGATGTGACCCAAGTGGGAGAGGGAGGGGCAGGGGAGGGAGGCTGGGGAGGGAAGCAGGGGAGGGAGGCAGGGGAGGGAGGCAGGGGAGGGAGGCTGGGGAGGGAGGCTGGGGAGGGAGGCTGGGGTAGAAGAGGTGCTCGGTGCTGAGTAAAACACGACGAATGAAGGGGAAAATCAAACACAGGCTTGGAGAGGCCCAACGTTTCCACGCCCACCGCAGGTGACTGTGAATAGGGTCACAACAGCACTGGTCTTGGGGACAGGAGGGGAGGGTGCAGGCTGGTCTCAAAGCACTCAGCAAGCCCTCAACAAACAGCTGCCCGAACCCCACAGCTGCCACCACCACCGGCGTGGAGTCTGCAGACCAGGCCTCCTGACCTCCCAGGGCAGCTCTGGGTCAGCAGGACTCAAGGCACCCCTTGTGCCCAGGCCGCTTTCATCCTCAGGCCCAAGGCAGCTTCTCACCTCCTTGCCCGCCAGCCTGGTGCCTCTAATTGTCTGGGACCCAGGGCACCTGGGCCCAGCCTCCCCACCCGTGTGCAGGCACCACCCGCGCTACCTGCTTGGAGTAGATCTTGAGGAGCTTGTTGACAGGTGTGCCCTCGCTGTCCCCGTCGAACTCCAGCCACAAGATGGGCTCCTCCTCCTCGGGGGAGGTGTGGTCCCACGACAGCTCCTGGAAGCGCAGGCCCAGCAGGACATGCTGGCCAGCAGGAGACACAGAGCCAGGCTTGACCCCTGGGCAGAGGTCTGCTCCCCACCCCATCCCACTCAGACACCTGGCCAGGGTGTGTGCCTCTCCAAGGCTGAGTCTACATTTGTTCATGTGTTTCTGTAAGGAGAGAGCCTCAGCTTTCATCAGAGCCTGCCAGGGGCTGTGGTCCAGGGAAGCTGAGATCCCCTCTCCCACAACAGTCCCACCAGCAGGCCAAGCCCCTGACAGCGGGGGAGGCACGTGGGGGAGGAGGCAGGTGGGGAAGCGGAGTCTCTTCTATGAGGTCGGGCGTGGCATCTAGCATGAGGCTGAGCTGGGCCCTGCCTCCCAGGACACAGATGGCAGCAGGGGCTGGGGTCCTTCTTCCGGGACAACCAGAAGCCAGCCAAAACTCTTCTGCTGGCTTAGGAGCAAATTTCTGTCCAGGGACAGGTAATCTGCCCCACAGGGCTGGCTGCTGACGCGGCTCTCTACCCAGGGCTGGCCACCAAACGCAGAAAGAAGAGGACACGGTCAGCCCAAGAGGGCTCCCGTCGCGGGGTCTTCTGGAGCATCAGGCTGTTCTCCAGCCATCAGCCAGGCAGAGCAGCGGGCCCTGCTGCCCTCCCTCCACTCAGCAGTGAAGTCCCAGCTGCGGCCTCCCCTGCCCCGGCCACCCCACAGCCTAGCATGTTGGGCAAGAGGACCCAGGATCACCCTCAGGGGCTACGAGGACATCCAACGGAGGCAGGGTCCCTCCCAGACAGTCCATCCACCTTGCCCCCAGGCCCCCACAGGCCCAGAGGAACCAGGAAGACCTGAGTCAGGAGCCCCCTCCCATCCTCTCCACCCTGGAGGAGCTGGGGGCAGTACCTTCTCTCTGCTATCGATGACGTGCACGCCTTCCAGACTGATGGCCACAGAAACTGGCTTGCGCCCACCCCGGTGCAAAAAGCCTTGGGCCGGCTTGTCAACCTCACCGTGGAAGAAGGCACACCTGGGGAGGGGACTGGGGTCAGCCTCCGGCCAGCACCAGAAATGCTGAGGGAGGCTGCTCGAGGCCCCAACCTGGGCTCTGAGGAACTTCTGCTGTTTGGGTGACTGAAACCCGCCCCAGGGAAGGGAGAAACAGAGGTGGGATGAAGGGGAGGCTTCGTAGGGGTGGCAGCATCTGAGCTGGCAGTGTGCGACCGGAGGGAGAAGGGCCTGATGGCACAGAGAAGGGTGGGCACTGCAGGCGGAGGGAAGCGCGTGGCCCCAGGTGTGGAGCAAAGCCAGTCGTGGGTTTGGCACTTGGTCTGGGGGCCAGGGCTGCTGGAGGTGGCCAGGAGAGCCTGCTGACCACTGTCCAGGCGGAGACCTTTCAGCAGCAGGGACCTGCTGGGAAGCACGAGGAGGTGAGGGGAGTGGCTCCAGGGCTCAAAACTGAGAAGAGGCTGGGCGCGGTGGCTCATGCCTGTGATCTCAGCACTTTGGGAGGCCGAGGCAGGCGGGTCATGAGGTCAGGAGATTGAGACCATCCTGGCTAACAGGGTGAAACCCCATCTCTACTAAAAATACAAAAAAAATTAGCCGGGCATGGTGGTGGGCACCTGTAATCCCAGCTACTCCGGAGGCTGAGGCAGGAAAATGGCGTGAACCTGGGAGGCGGAGCTCGCAGTGAGCCAAGATCGTGCCACTGCACTCCAGCCTGGGCAACAGAGCGAGACTCCATCTCAAAAAAAAAAAAAAAAAAAAACATTGAGAAGAGCTGCCACCTGTCCCTCCTGCAGCCTTGCCTTCTCCTGTCCCTCAGGCTCACCCTTGCCCTCACCACCCACTGAGCCAGAGCCCAAGTTAAACCCCGCTCTCTCCACGCGATGGGATGGGGCTGGAGACCAGCATGGGCCACCTTGAATTCCTGGGGCCGTCCTGCTCCAGCCTCCTCCGGAAGACTTCTGTCCCCCAAGCTCAGCTGATGGCCAGCCCTCCGATTTCACTGAGGAAACCAAAGCAGCCAGGAGAGGGCCACCTGCCGGTCAGCACACATGGGCTGTCACCTCCCCCTCAAAACCACTACAAGACCCGTTGCTTGACCCCATTTTACAGCAGAGTTGTGACAGCTGGTCACACTCACTGTCTCCATCCCTGCTCACGCTCGCCCACCAGGCTGGAGCCCACATCCATCGCCAGCTGCCAGGAGGACAAGCGGGGCATGCGCTAGGAGCTGCTGCGGGTAGAGCCCTCCTGCCTTGCTGGGGGGCCCAGGGCCCCTTCTCACCTGGCCCACACTTGCCTCCCAGCATCTCTCCAGGCTTCAGGTGCCATCCATATGCATAGGATTCGCCAAATACGAGCTCCAGTTCAGACTGCACTAGACACCAGATGCCCACTCGAAGTCGCCAGTGGGGCGTCTAACAAGTATCTCAAAATCAACATGTCCAAAGCAAGCTCCCAGCCAGGCACGGTGGCTCATGCGTATGATCCCAGTGCTGTGGGAGGCTGAGGCGGGAGCATCACTTGACCCCAGGGTTCCAGACCAGCCTGGCCAACAGGCAAAACCCCGTCTCTACAAAAAATACAAAAATTAGGCCAGGCGTGGTGGCTCCCAGCACTTTGGGAGGCTGAGGCAGGCGGATCACCTGAGGTGAGGAGTTCAAGATCAGCCTGGCCAACATGGTGAAACCCTATCTCTACTAAAAATACAAAAATTAGCCGTGCATAGTGGTGCAGACCTGTAGTCCCAGCTACTTGGGAGGCTGAGGCAGGAAAATCGCTTGAACCTGGGAGGCAGAGGTTGCAGTGAGCCGAGATCATGGCATTGCACTCCAGCCTGGCAACAAGAGCGATACTCCATCTCAAAAAAAAAAAAAAAAAAGAAAGAAAAATTACCCGGGCATGGTGCTGCACACCTGTGGTCCCAGCGACTCAGGAGGCTTGCTTGAGCCCAGGAGGTCGAGCCTGCAGTGAGCCACGATTGTGCCACTGCACTCCAGCCTGAGTGACAGAGCAAGACCCTGTCTCAAAACAAAAACAAAAAACCAAATTCCTAAACTTTCCCTGACCACTCCACAGTGCCGCCCCCAGCTCAGCGGAGGACAACGCCATCTGCCAGGGGCTTAGGCCAGTCCTCTCTGCCTCCTCTCCTTCGCTTCATCCACTGCACATCCATCTGGCAAATCCTGTCACTCTGCCCTCAGAACGTCCTGCATCTGACCATCTCACCTGTTCTGACCACAAGGCCCAAGCCACACCCCATCCTCTGGTCTCCTGGCTGCCGCCTGTGCCCAATGACAGGCTCTCCTCAACCTCTGTGTTCTCGTCTCTCTCCACTAGAACATCAGCTTCATCAGGCAGGGGCACGGTGTCTCTGGCTCAGGGGGACCTCCAGTGCCCAGGGAGCGTGCGTGCAGTAGGTGCACAGAGCTGTTTGTTAGACAACAATTGCGTGACAGAGACAGCTGGCTGAAGGCGAGGTCGGCCGGGCCAGTGACGAGGTGACTGTGCCAGGTAGAAGGAGAGGACCCATCCAAGGTGTCCCAGCCCCTGACAGGAGGAAGGGGAGGACAGGTGCCCAGCTTGGAACGGTGGGGCCTGAGGTGCTCGTGACAAGACACCACTTCATGGGGACACAGCTCAGCTGGAGCAGAGGTGGGCTCACTGGCAGCTGTGCTAGCAAAGCCCAAGAACAGCCTGCGGAGGGGGTGGGGGACCGCGGGGCTGTGGCTCTTACCCATAAAACGGCAGCTCGTGGCACTTGAGGAGATAGGCGCGGTAGTGGGTGCCCAGGGCGGCCTCGCACCCGCCGTCGCTGCTGACCTCCTGCACCTGGCGGTAGGCGTTCAGCAGGCCCTGCTCGCCCGGCCCGGCCCTGGCCCCACGGCCCCGGAGGGCAGCAAAGAGACTCTGGCCCCGCTTACAGAGGTGGGCAGGGAGGAAGGAGTCCAGCTTCTCCCTGTGGAGGAAGGAAGACAGGTGCTAGCGGCCCAACCAGAGGTGCCAGGCTCACGGGGGAGGGCGAGGGAAGCAAGGCTGCCTGGAGGAAGCAGACACACATCTACTTCCAAGTCAGAGGCTGGGTAAGGAGCCCACAAGGGGAGACCCAGGCACCAGACAGAGGGGGTTCAGTTCTCGGCCCCCCTCCGAAGGGCAGACTCCAGGGCCAGCCTGTCTGCTTCTGCCGAGAGCAGCTGTACAGCTGGTGAGAGGCACCTCCTGTCCTGCGCCTGCTTCCTTTGCAGAGTGGGGATGGTGACACCCCCACCTGTCCCAGGTGAGCTCCCCCGGCCCTAAAACTTGACAAGCTCTCCAGGTGCAGGCCAAGGATTGTGATGGGGCTCCCTATGAGGCCCACCTGGGGCTGTCCCTCTGCCCGTCTGACCCGGGGTCACCGTCTGAAGCCAAAGGCTCATCCTGCGGCTCCAGATGCCTGCATCTCCATCCAGGAACAGGAACCCGGGCCCCACCTTCCTGCACTTCCCACCAGTCCTGCCTGAGCCGGCAGCCTCTGCACTGCAGCCCCATGTGCACCAAGGGCCCCCATGGGGCCTGGTCCTGTCACCCAACCCTTCCTGCCTCCTGCCTGGTTGGTTACCACGTGTCCACCCAGGAAACTCATAGGAGCCGAAGGGAAAGACACGAGGAGTCACCAGGCCCCTCTTCACCCCCAGAAGGGAAGGAACCCACCACCCTGAGCACCCGCAGTGTGCCCGGCACTGCAGAGGTCCCTGACCCCCACCTGCGAGGGCACACAGACACACAGGGCAGCCAGGCGAGTGAAGGAGGCCCAGGAGATGGGCCCAGGTCTGCAGCTCACAGCAGAGGTGAGAGGCTGAGGGAAGGTCTGGAGGCCGAACAAAGAGCCCCCACCTGCCTAGAATCAGACTGCAGCAGGAGGGTTTCAGAGCAACATCTGTGTCACCAAGTCAGGAACGTTGGGATTTCTGAACTGGTGGAACTTTTATAACCAAAACTGGTGCAGGGGTTTTAATGCTCTCAATGCTTTGTTCTGCCAGATAAAAACGTGAAAACGCCAACCTACAACTAGCACAGGCTCACAAAAGAAAGGGCATCTCCCCCGCCCCACATGAAGGAGGAGAGGCCCTGGCATACCCACAGTTGGTTCCCCGCCTCAGGCAGCGGGTACTCTGTGGGCTGTGGACCGGCCATCAGATAAGCTGCAGTTGGAGCGCTCAGTCCTTTTTTTTCTTTTTTGAGACGGAGTTTCGCTCTTGTTGCCCAGGCTAGAGTGCAATGGCTTGATCTCGGCTCACTGCAACCTCCATCTGCCAAGTTCAAGCAATTCTCCTGCCTCAGCCTCCCGAGTAGCTGGGATTACAGGCATGCACCACCTTGCCCAGATAATTTTGTATTTTTAGTAGAGACGGGGTTTCTCCACGTTGAGGCTGGTCTTGAACTCCTGACCTCAGGTGATCTGCCCGCCTCGGCCTCCCAAAGTGTTGGGATTACAGGCGTGAGCCACCGCACCCGGCATTTTTTTTTTTTTTAAGACAGAGTCTCACTCTGTCACCCAGACTGGAGTGCAGTGACATGCCCTTGGCTCACTGCAACCTCCACCTCCCAGGTTCAAGTGATTCTCCTGCCTCAGCCTCCCAAACGGCTGGGATTACAGGTGTGTGCCACCACACCTGGCTACTTATTGTGTTTTTAGTAGAGATGGGGTTTCACCATGTTGGCCAGGCTGGTCTCATACTCCTGACCTTAAGCGATTTGCCTGCCTTGACCTCCCAAAGTGTTGGGATTACAGGCCTGGGCCACCGCGTCCGGCCCCTTCACTGGAATTATTTCTAAACCTCGGGATAATCCTCCATGGAGACCAGAGACCGGCCTGGGCTTTGGCAGGGCAGACTCAATCCTCGCCACCCAAGGCCCTGCTAATTTACACAGCAGAGAACTCGGCTCCTGGAGAGGGCTGGGAGGTGGACAGCCAGCTTGCCGACCGCCTGGGGAACACCCCAGAAGTCTGGAACTAAGCTGGCCTGTTACTGGTGACAAAGGGTCAGTATCTGGGTGGTCCCTGGCTGTGACTCCAAAAGCCCAGCTCCTCTGACCCTGGCCGGCAGGAGGCAGGGCTCCAGATTCTTCTCCCAGACTTCACTTCACCTGAGGCTCCAGCCCAGGACAGGTGAGGAAAAGGAGGCTGAGGGGCGGAACAACTGCCTAGGGCCAGAGTGAGCCTGCGGGGCTGAGGCCTCCTGACTCCAGGACCCTGCCCCCACCTTGCGAGACTGAAGACTGCTTGTAAGTTCCATTCCAAGGACAAACTCCCCCACCCAGCGCCCCCGCCTCAAGTCACACAGGCCCTCACCTCAGGTCGCAGGCTGCCGGCCGGCCGGGCTGGTAGGGCCCAAGCTGCACGCGGCACACCAGGGCGCCCAGAGCCTCGCAGTCCTCCACGTCGCACGGGTACCGTGCAGCCAGCACGTTGCCCTTGGCCTCCTCATAGAGCAGCCGCAGGACCTCCTCGTCATGGATCTGCAGGGGGGTGTGGCAGGGACAGCCGCTCAGCTGGGCTGGGGCAGGGAGAGCTGCTCAGTTGGGCTGGGGCAAGGTGCGAATGTCCAGGGGTCTAGGGACAGGGAGGCTGGGCACAAGGGGCCAGGCCTGGTGGGGCCACCAGGGCTCCTGCCTCACCTGGAGCTCCCGCCGCTTTGGGAAGAACACGTTCCTTCGGAACTGCAGGAAAGGCTCATCTGGGGAGAGAGGCTGGGTCACTGCCGGGCATCCCCACTCTGCTTAGCCCTCCCCTCTCCCGATTGGCCCAGGCCCTGGCCACCAACCTCACCCACCAGGGCTGAGAAAACCGGAGGGCCGTGCAGAGGGTGGAGTGTGCAGCTCATCCCAACGTGCCCCGGTGGCTCCCAGCCCATCCCCCAATGGGGCTTCACTCAGGGACCCCTTCCTCCCCTGCCAGGGGTGGCTGACGGAGCCTGGGGGAGATGCAGGCCCTGCCCCTCAGCCAGGGCAGCTCCTTGCTGGCAGGGCCCTGGCTGGGCTGGGAGCCAGAGATGCAGACTCAGGTGGTCCCGAGGCAAGGACAGACAGGCAGCAGCACTGACCCATGGCCACGTCATCGTCTGGGGCACTGGTGAAGCGCAGCAGCAGCTCCGGCCACTGGCGTCCCAGCTTGTAGGGCTGGTGCTTGGGTTTCAGCTGCACCTCTGCAGGACGAGATGGGGAGTGGCCCATGCAGCCTCCGGCCAGTCCAGTGGCTGCCCTTCCACCTATCACACCGCACAGCATGACGACAGTCGCAACCAATAGTAACTGAGCAGGTGCCAAGGGTCCAGAGCCATTTACTCTGCAATAACCCTATCCCCCATTTCACCCATAGAGCAAATGAGCCTCAGAGAGGCCAAGTTCCTTGTCCACAGTCACACAGCAAGCGACGGGGGTCTGGCTCCAGGCAGAGCCAGCCACTAAGTGTTCACTGCAGCCCCACGGCAAGCTGAAACTGGAGACTGGCCAATGGAAGGTGCTGGGGCACAAAGGAACCCTCAGTGCCATCAGGAAGCAGAACTGGAAATTGACAACTGGGGCCCAGAGGCCCAAGGGGCTGCCTTGCCCCCCCACTGGCAGAGCCTGGGCCTCCCCGTCATCACTGCCCACCTCTGACACCTCTGAGGAGCTCCAGCTGACCTTCCATCCTGCAAGCTCTGCACCTCCGTGGCCCACACGCAACCCAGCTCCTGCCTGGCCCTCCCACCTTATCTCCTCTCTCACTGCCTCTCCCACTCTGCTCCTGCCACCTTGGCCTTCTTAAATCTCCTTAAATCATCCCCAGCTTGCTTGTGCCAGGGCCTCTGCGCTTGATGTTCTTCTTTTCCTGGACTCCTTTGCCCCAGATCCTCCCGTGGCTGGCTGATTCAGGTCTAAGTTCAAGGGCCACCTTCCCTGGACCCCTAATTAAGGCAGCCCCTCCTCAAAATTTTCCATCACCCCAATGGTGCCACATCTGTTTGCCTTCACAGGCTGATCACTACCTGACATTCCTCGCTGCTGCCACCCACAGGGGCTGCAGAATTGTCCACCGCCGTATCCCTGGGGCACAGTGACCTCGCCAGGGGTTGGCAGAATGACCAAGTGCAGCAGTCCAGCCCCTCAAACTCCAGGCTGCCCCATGCCACCACTGCTCTGGACCCAGGACTCAATGCCTCAGGCCAGGAGGGACAAAGCCTTTCAGCTCACACACCAGCACCCACCAAAAAACAGTGGCCACCGGGTTCTCTGCCTTTGAGAGGTGTGAGGCCACTTCCAAGTTCATCCAGAGATGTATGGGGATGTCCGTCACCGGGGTGCAGGAGCCAGCGCTTGCTCCAAGCTTCCCGAGCGCTGCCTGATCCACATCTCCCTGCTCTACCCTTAGGCAGTCCCCACTGATGGCCAATCGCCCCTCCTGCTGGCCTGAGGCCAGGGGTCCTTGTCTCTGCTCTTTGGGCCATCTGGGCCTTCCACCTGGAAGAGCAGCCACAGCTCCACACGGGCCCCCTTGCCCACAGCCCTTCCACCCACCCCTGCATCCAGCCTCTGCAGCCCTTTCTCGTCCCAACATTTCTGGTCCAGATTTCCCAGAGGCCCCACAGCCCTCCTTTACAACCTAGACCCTGGGCC
Source organism: Homo sapiens (assembly GCF_000001405.40). Taxonomy (NCBI): domain Eukaryota; kingdom Metazoa; phylum Chordata; class Mammalia; order Primates; family Hominidae; genus Homo; species Homo sapiens. The sequence continues at coordinate 65,392,122 of NC_000011.10, read as the reverse complement.
CCACCCATCTGTCACCACCTCCAGTAGGGAAACACCATTTACCCCCAATAGTTGCCTCCCCACTCCCTCCAGAAAGGGCTCCATTAACTCCCCTCACTTGGCCACTGAGCCCCTCATGGGGTCCTCATGCTCTCTCTGTCTGGGAACTCAAAGGGCTGGAGGACATGGAGATCACCCACTTTACAGCAGGGAAACTGAAGCTGGGGAAGGCACAGTGCCTGAGGCCACATGGGGCTACTGGCTAAACCAGGAACAGAGCTCTGCTTCCTAAACCCCCCTTTACCATCCTTTAGGCTCTAAAATTCCAATGGTGGCCGGGCGTGATGGTTCATGTCTGTAATCCCAGCACTTTGGGAGGCTGAGGCGGGTGGATCACTTGAGGTCAGAAGTTCGAGACCAGCCTGCTCAACGTGGGAAAACCCCGTCTCTACTAAAAATACAAAAATTAGCCAGGCGTGGTGTCGCTTGCTTGTAATCCCAGCTACTCGGGAGGCTGAGGCAGAAGAATCGCTTGAACCCAGGAGGCGGAGGTTGCAGTGAGCTGGGATTGCACCACTGCACTCCAACCTGGGCAACAGAGTGAGACTCTGTCTCAAAAAAAAAATAAATAAATAAAATTAAGTTAAATTAAGTTCCACCAGGGTCTTCCCTCCTGTATTCCCAGCATCTAGAATACCACGTGGCCTGAGAGAGGCTTTGCACGTCCTTGTGGAACAAGCACAGTAACTGACAAGATGGGGCCTAGGGACACCCTGGAGACAAGGATGTCCTTCCTGCTGCCTACAGCCCAGCCCTGACCAGCCTTAACCCCAAGCCCCAGCAGCTCAAAAGACTCCTTCCTGTCTTCAGAACTCCCGCAGTCCCAGACACTTCCAGATGGGGCCTTCCTGCCTGGAGGCTGCTATCCAAATGGGACGGAAGGGCCCTGGAGCCCTGTTCCACGCAGAGTGACAACGACATTGAGAAGGCTAAGCCCTGCCAAAACATCCGGCATGAAGGGCAGCTCCAGAAGACAGCGCCCCTCCCTGCCCTTGCAGGGCACTCACGGCCCTGGGGCATCTGTCACCGGTTCACCCCATCAGGGGTGCAGGGGCCGGGGGAAAAGGGTTCTGGGGGGGCCCAAGTCACAGCTGAAGTGGCTTTTCAGCCTCCCTGAACCCAGCCTGGGAACAGAGTGGGTGCTGACTTTGTGCCGGGGTCTTCTGCCACCATCCTCCTGTGTGGGCCGGGCAACAAAGCAGCCCATTCACGGCCTCCGGCCGTGGGAGAGCCGGAATGTGGTGAGGAGGGAGTGGAGACGGAGGAGGTGAGAGGAGGAGGCAGGCTGCCCAGCAGGCTCTGGGAGCTTCCCGAGGTAAGGCAGGGGCCAACCCATGCAGAACTGTACCCCCAGCTTTCAGACACAAACCAAGGGGCCCACAGTCCTGACTCGAGGCCCGGAGGTGAAAGAGAGGTGACCAGGCTGGGCATGAGGTGGCCGAGGAGCCGGGGCAGCAGGAAGAGGGTGGGCGGGCACCTCCCAGCAGCAGCTGAGCAGGAAGCTCCTACTGGCAGGGGGGAGGGGGTGGAGAGAAGGATGAGGGTGGGGAGCAGGGGTGCCAAATGTTCCCTCTCCCCCAACCAGCAGCCTCAGGAGAAGACATAACTGCTGGGGGCCCCTTGGACCTAAACCAGGCTGTCCTACGCACTCCCTCAATGGGACTGGTCACCCTCTTCTTGCCTGCATTCCTCTATAACGAAGGGAATGTGTAAGCTAAGAAAACTCGCCCGGCCTATGGCACCGATTTACTAAACAACATGGGGCAGCCTCTCCCTTGGCCCCCTCCTGTGCGAACCAGCAGGCTCAGAGACCCTGTTCACTGAGGGACCCTGGGCTGAGTGTCTAGAGAGCCACCGCCCTTAAGTCCCTCCATCTTGCAATTTCAGCTTGAAAGGGCAGGATGTGGGTGGTCACGAGGCCAGCCAGGCAGGGCTGGAGGCTGAAGACCCCCCTCCCAGAGAAGTCAAGTCTCTACTCTTCCCACCCTCACTAAGAGCCTCAGGGTCAGAGGGGCCTACTTCCTGAGCCATGTCCCTTCTCCTCCCTGTCCCCAAGGAACAGGAACAGTTCAAAGAGGCCGACCGGGAAGCCACTCAGGCCTGGGTCTGTCTTGCTCCTGCCACACAGTGGTCTCGCCACCCTAACTACAACTTCCATCTGCAAGACTGGCCTAGGCCTGAGGACAAGGTGAAATCATGGTTCCCAAACACCACCCAGGTTGTGGCAAAGGTTATGCTCGGCAGACAAGGCCCCCTTCCTCCCTCCCTCCTGCGGTACTGTTCCTGGACCACCCAGTCCCAGCACGACCTGGGGGGCAGGCGTGTCCACTCCTCCACCACCAGCAGAAAGACAGACAGCAGGGCCAGGAGCGGGGGCCTTCTCAGGGCTCTAGGTGCTCAGACAGGTGGACAGCTCAGGATAAACCCAAGTCCCACCTTTCCCCATGGGCAGTGGCCAGCGGCTCCCCAGCGGCTCCAAACACTGCCCCCTCCCTCCTGTACTGGTCAGTGCCCTTCCAACCCTCCAGCCTGGGCTCCTCACTGCCAAGCCTTACCCAGCAGAGGGGAGACCAGCCAGAGCGCGAAGACATCCAGGGCGATGTCTGGAAGCTGCAGGACCTCGCGGACAGCGCGGTGCAGCTCATGGGCACTGAGCGAGGGCAGGTTCTCCACAGCCAGGGGCACCACCGTGTCATCCGCTAGGTATACCAGCACGTCAGCCGCTGTGATGGAGACCAGGCAGGCTCAGCTGAGGCCTCTGCCTGGCACAGCCAGGCCAGGCCAACCAGGCACCCTCTACCACCCACTGGGGCTGGAGCCCCCACCCTACACCCCTCAGGGGTGACCAGGGCTACGCTCCTGAGACAGAGTCCTCGCCAGAGGCAGAGCCCCAGCAGCCCCAAAAGACCCTATCACGAATGCTATCTATTAGTGCTTCCTTGACACCCTTAAACCACCCAGAAACCCAGTAACTCCTGCCCAGAGACCAGCCCCACCGCAATCCCCCAAGATTCAAATTAAGCCTGGCCATTGCAAACCTGCCCCTCACCACCATAGCTGCCCCAAGGATTCAACTGTTCTTCTGCCCTGAACAAGAACATGCCACAGATGTGAAACTACAGCACAGAGAGGCTGAAACCACAGCATAGAGAGGCTGAAACCATCCTGAGGCTATGGCAGTTAGTCTGGCTGGCTGGCAGGAGCGAGAGCTGGTAACCCGCTGCTGTCCTTAGGCAAGTCTCTCTCTGACTGAGGCTAAGATGCGAAGAGATAATTCTTTAGGTCACCCAGGTTAAAGCAAGTTCCAGGTCTCAGCTTCCTTGGGACTCTTTAAGTCTGAGGACTCTTTAAGCCTCAGGAGTCAATACGAAGCAGGCTAGGGAAGAACAGCCCAAATAGCTGAGAGTTCCCTTGTGACAACTTGTGGGTTCCAGAGCCAAATGGAGACACCTGGAAGAGCAACCAGATTCAAATCCCCATCCCTGAGACTGCAGGCATGGTGAAGGAACACTGGAGTTTGGGGCCGACATACTCGGGTTCCCATCCTTGCCTGGTCGCTGGCCAACTTCAGGGAGTCAATTTAAGTTGTCAGTTGCCTCATCTGTAAAAGTAGAGCTAATACTCCTCCCTCCAAGAGTGTGTGGAAGGGAAGGGCACGGTTTCTCATCTACACAAGAGAAGGTGCTCCTCGGACCCCCAGTCTGTTATGCTCCAGCAGCTACTCTCAGAGATCACAAAATCACTTCGAGGAGGCTCAGGTTCAGATCTACTTCTCAGGCAAGAACTGAGGCACCAGAAGCTGCAGTATGTAATCACCTGGAGAGCTTCCACAGCCTGCCTGGGACTTAACCTCCCTAGGGCCCAGTTTCCTCCCTATCAAATGAAGATCATGATATGATCCCTGTTTTTTTTTTTTTTTGAGACGGAGTTTCACCCTCGTTGCCCAGGCTGGAGTGCAATGGTGCGAGCTCAGCTCACCGCAACCTCCGCCTCTCAGGTTCAAGTCATTCTCCTGCCTCAGCCTCCTGAGTAGCTGGGATTACAGGCATGTGCCACCACGCCCAGCTAATTTGCATTTTTAGTAGAGACAGGGGTTTCTCCATGTTGGTCAGGCTGCTCTTGGAATTCTCAACTTCAAGTGATCCACCCGCCTCGGCCTCCCAAAGTGCTGGGATTACAGGTGTGAGCTACTACGCCCAGCCTGATCCCTGCTTTCAAAAGGCTGTTTGGGAGAAAGAAAGGACACAGCCGGGTGTGGTGGCTCACGCCTGTAATCCCAGCACTTTGAGAGGCTGAGGCAGGCAGATCACGAGGTCAGGAGATCGAGACCATCCTGGCTAACACGATGAAACCCCGTCTCTACTAAAAATGCAAAAAATTAGCCAGGCGTGGTGGCGGGCGCCTGTAGTCCTAGCTACTCGGGAGGCTGAGGCAGGAGAATGGCGTGAACCCCGAAGGCGGGGCTTGCAGTGAGCTGAGATCGCACCACTGCACTCCAGCCTGGGCGACAGAGGGAGACTCTGTCAAAGAAAGAAAGAAAGGAAAGAAAGAAAAAAAGAAATGACACAAAGAAAGTGAACGTGTCACTTTCTTTTTTGTCTATGTTGCCCAGGCTGGTCTCGAACTCCTGGGCACATGTGGTCTGCCCACCTTGGCCTCCCAAAGTTCTGGGATTACAAGCATGAACCACATCAGCCTTCACTTTTCATTCATATAATCTCATTTGAATTTCACAGCTATGTTAAACAAGCTCATTTTACAAATGAGAGCGAGGACCCAACCTGGCCAGTAAACTAGTGACAGAGCCTCTGACTTCTGTGAGTTTTCCACATCTGAATGTACCTTATTATTTCTTAGTCGATACATAAATTATCTTTAATGAAAAAGAAGACAAGCCAGAGCTACTTCTCCAGGGCTGGGGTCCCAGGAGGGTGTGGAAGAGGAGATGCGGGTGGGACCCACCTCGGGCTCCCACGGAGGACACGCTGCTTCGGTGGGATCGCTCAGCGGGGCCGGGCTGCCCGGCACTGCCTTCTGTCCCGTCCATCTGCAAAGGCAAAGAGAAACAGCAGTTACCGGGAGCCAGGGATGGGGGGCTGGAGGTCTCCTCAAGCTCTCGGTGAGTACGGTAAGGGATCCCAGGCTGGGTCCGCAAGGTTGAGCGGCGCTGCCTGGAGGGGCCAAGAGTGCAGACCGGGCGCTGGTGGGAGGGGTGCGGGTTGCTACGGTCAAGAACCGGGGGTCGACCTGGATGCCCAGGCAGGGCAAGGCGCACGCCCAGCCGGGGACGGAGGCCCGGGCCAGACGTCGCTGTGCTCTCACCTCGCAGGGTCGCAGAGCCCGCCACCTGAGAGGCAAGGCTCCTGCCTGGAATCCTGCCCCGCCGCCAAGCCCGCCACCGCCCGCACTCGGGCTCCCGCTAAGGACGCAGCTGACCGGGAAGCGACGCGGAAGCCACGGCGGGAGGAAGCGCGGCGCCCGAGGCCCCGCCCCCTTCGACCCGGGGGAGCCAATGGGAGCCCAGGGCCGCCCCGCGCGGCCCGCGCATGCCCGGACGCCAGCCTCGCGTGTCTCATCACGCCCGTGGGGTGGCCGCGTCACGTACCAGCCCCGCCACCACCAGAGTGACCCAGAGCGAGTTTCCCTTCACAAAGGCCCCGACTGTTGGCCTGTAAGAGGGTTTGGCGAAGATTCGAGAATCAGGCTAGGGGCGTTGGCCTGCCCACGCTGGGTCTTCGGGCTAGTTCCCTGCCTGTGAAATGGACACTTCCTGGCACGTGCCAGGGATCCATGCGGCGCTGGCAGCGGCCTGTACCGTGGCGCTCTCGGCAGTGGTCAGGAGAATGAGTCCTGGCCCAGACTCATCCTGGACAAGTCCCTTCTCCTCTGGGCCTCAGTTTTCCTCATCTGTAAAATGAGGTGGTTGAACTGAATGACCCCCAAGGACTATCCCTACTCTCTAAATGATTATTAATATATGTCTATGTCGGCCGGGCGCGGTGGCTCACGCCTGTAATCCCAGCACTTTGGGAGGCCGAGGCGGGCGGATCACGAGGTCAGGAGATCCAGACCATCCTGGCTAACACGATGAAACCCCGTCTCTACTAAAAATACAAAAAATTAGCCGGGCGAGGTGGCGGGCGCCTGTAGTCCCAGCTACGCGGGAAGGCTGAGGCAGGAGAATGGTGTGAACCCCAGGGGGCGGAGCCTGCAGTGAGCCGAGATCACACCACTGCACTCTAGCCTGGGCGACGGCGAGACTCCGTCTGAAAAAAAAAAAAAATTTATATATATATGTCTAAATCAGAAAACCAGGACAGACACTCTGTTTTTCCAGGGAGCAGTGACATGAGCCCTTACTATCTTACACAACAGCCTGGGAGACCTTGAGGTTTTCCCAGGCTGGGAGGAGACTTGGGGCCCCAAAGAGGCAGGTGTGAAACCACCTACCCTCAGGGCCATGTCACTGACATGTCCTGGTAATGCAACATGTGTGCATCTGAGATGTGGAACTCAGGGAGAAAAATAAGTCCATGGGGCACCTTCTGGGGCCAGAGGAACCAGAAGTTGTCCCAAGTGACAGCAGTGGGCTTGGTGATCAGGAACAGAGGGCAGTGGGTTCACTTTGCCCTGGTTCCCTGGGATTGGAAAGCAGCTCTAGCTCCTGACCCAGTCCAGCCTTCTTTGGTATGTGAACCAGCTCTGCCTGCCCTCCTATGATCCACACTGCCCCACAGCTGAGCCCATGACATCACATTTGCCTTGCCAATGTGACTTAAGGACTTGAGGAAGCTCAGATGTGGGCTGCAGGGAAGGGTGTCCAGTGGGGGCAGGCATCTCCTTCCTGGTTCTCAGCTCTGGGACCCTCAGACCAGGACACACTGTATCTCCATGGCCTCTTGACCCAGCTGGAGTGAAGCAGGAGCAGAAGAGTTCAGTGTTGTTTTGAATGCTTACTGGATGCGGGGCTTGTGCTAGGTCAGGGGATGGAGACTGAGGGGAGACGTGGCCCTGCCCTCAGAAAGTGTCTGTTGTGGTTTAATTGGTGAGTTAAGGAAGAGGGGAAAGAGAAAGAAGCCCAGGAGAACAGCACATTTAAAACCACAGCACTTTGGGAGGCCGAGGCAGGAGGATCGCCTGAGGCCAGGAGTTCAAGACCAGCCTGGGGAACATAGTGAGACGCCATCTGTAAAAAACCCAAAAATTAGCCAGGTGTGGTGGCACACATCTGTGGTCCTAGCCATTCAGGAGCCTGAGGTGGGAGGATCGCTGGAGCCCAGGAGTGTGAGCTCACAGTGAGCTCTGATAGCGCCATCCTGCCACTGTATTCCAGCCTGGACAACAGTGAGACTCTGTCTCCAAAAAAATAAATAAAACCACAGAAGATGACAGCATTGCCTTAAGAACTATGAAATGCTACAGGCAGGAAAAGTCTCTGCTCACTTGCTGTGTGTGGGGCACTGGGCCAGGCCCTTTCCCCTGTTTCCTGTGTCATTCTCATGCGTCCTGAGAGTGGAAATAAGTATTAGCAGTTGCCATTTACGTGCCAGCCACTTTTTAAAGTGCTTTAATCCTTAGAACTCACTAAGAGGTGAGTATCACATCTCTGTTTTATGTCAAAGACTGACACCTGGGAGTGTCTGCGGTGGTGGTGGGGAGGCTAGAACCCGGGTCTAGTCAAGGAGGGGCACTGGGAGAGAGTCCGGGAGGCTGATGGTGGGGAAGGAAAGGCATTCCAGGTAGTGGGAACTGCACGAGCATGGTTAGGACCCCAGGAAAGACCCCCGCTGTGTGAGAGCATAGCAGGTGGGTGGCACCATGGGGGAGGCCTTGAACCCCAGGATGACAGATATGGGGCAGGCGTGTTAGACAGTAAGAACATTTTGGAGGTTGTGAGCTAGAGATTCACAAGATGACGCCATGCTTAGGTGGGCTTCCCTTCAGCAAGGCTGTAGGGAAGTGGGAATGAGGGTCTTTCTCAAACTGGGGTGAGGCGGTGAGATTGGAAAAGAGAATGAGACCCATTCTGAAGTGAGGGAGGAGGCGGCCTCCAGCCTTTAGAGCTGAGAGGCTTAGACATCAATTAGCCCGACTGCTGTCCTACTTTGGCAAACAATAATAGACCCCAAGGCCCACAGAAGAGGTTGCTCAACATCACTGAGAGAGATAATGTAACCGCCCATTGGGTTCACCTTACCCTCTGCCTAGACAGAGCCAATTTGTCAAGACAGGGGAATTGCAATAAGGAGAGTTTAATTCATGCAGAGCTGGCTGTACGAGAGACAGGAGGGTTTTTTTTTTGTTTGTTTGTTTGTTTTTTTTTTTTGAGACGGAGTCTCGCTCTGTTGCCCAGGCTGGAGTATAGTGGCATGATCTTGGCTCACTGCAACAGCTGCCTCTCGGGTTCAAGCGATTCTCCTGCCTCAGCATCCCAAGTAGCTGGGACTACAGGCGCCCGTCATCACACCCGGCTAATTTTTGTATTTTTGGTAGAGATGGGGTTTCACTATGTTGGTCAGGCTGGTCTCGAACTCCTGACCTCAGGTGGTCCTTCCGCCTCGGCCTCCCAAAGTGCTGGGATTACAGGCGTGAGCCACTGCGCCTGGCCTGTATCAGTTATAGTTTTTGCAAAGGCAGTTTCAGGAATAAGAAGCAGAACCAGGACTGCAGCCCAAGCCACCACGAGAGGCCAGTCTTTGGGGATGGTCTTTTAGGATGATCTTTGGGGGTGGCCCAAGGAGCCCCAGGCAGCTCCAGAGGCAGGAGGTAGGAGGTCCTGTTTCCCGAATCTGTCCACCCGGGAGAAAGCAGCAGGGGTGGGTGGGTTCTGCCTTGGCCACAGTGAGAGGAGAAGGGAGAGAAGGACTGGGCCTTGGGCGTCCCCCATGGGAGACTAGGAGCTGCGGGGAGATCTGGAGGGGAGGGTGCAGGTGTCACTGGGCCTTGATGTTTCCCAGGGCCGTTTGGTGATGGGAAGAGGGAACTGGAGCCCCAGGCTGCCGCTGATGCTGCTGGCTGACATTTCCGTTCATTCAGTCACTCAGGATTTATTGAGAGCCCACCCTGTGCCACCCGCTGTGCACAGAACACCCAGAGATCCCTGTCCAGACAGACAAGTTCTTCCCATCGTATGTTGGCGTGATAACTGTGATGGAGAAAGAGAGGAAGAGCCAGCAGTGCCTCCGGCTGGGGAGGCGGGGCAGACCTCACCCAGGTGGTGACATTTGAGCCCCAGCTGGAGGGGTGCCAGGGCAAGAGTGCCCAGGAAGAGGGAAGAGCCAGTCCACAGGCCTGGAGACAGAAGGCTGACTGAAGAAGAGTCTGGAGGCTCGGGTGGCTGCAGCAGAGAAAGCAAGGGGGTGGGTGGCAGGACGTGAGGTCAGAGGAGAATGGGCGGCACCCTGTGGCTCACAGATCCTTGAAAGGGTTTTGGTTTTGACTGAGCAGAATGGTGCCATTGCAGATCAACACGCACTTTAAATAATCAAAACCCCTATCTTTCCCCTGGGAAGGAGGAAGCCGAGGAAGGCTGTGTTTCTGACTCACACGGGGGAGTCGGGGGAGTCGTAAACAACCCTGAAGAGAACAGCCAGGCCTGGTGAGTCACTCCTGGGAGTGGCTCCTCCCCACCCTGCCACGCAGCGGCAAATGCGGGCTGGGCCTACCCCCTGGTGGCCACGCTACCTCCGCACCCGGCCTCTCTCTGTGGCATGGGGGCGGCCATGCCCCTTGGTGGAGATGAATGGGAGTGGAGCTGGGCTGGCTGGGCAGGCAGGGGCTTGCCTCTTGCTGACTAAGGCAGCCCTGGAGGGGCCCGACCATGGGGCAGGAACCCAGTTGCCATCCTCAGAGCGAGGATCATTGGCCGGGCTCGGGGATCAGGGCCTCTGTGGTCCCGGCACGCCTGGCCCGTGAGACTGTACTCTGCACGACTCCTCCAGGTGGCCAGGGTCACCGGAACTGGCTCGCTCTCCTCTGCCAGTTGCCGGAGGTCTGGGCACCAGGCCAATTCTCACCTTCCCGCCAGGGTTAAACATTAGTGGGAGGTTATCAGCGTGGGCCAGGGGAGGGAGAGGGGGGAATTCAACTCTGTCTCCTCTGCTGGAGCCACCAGTTCCCGCAAGCCCAGACAATGCCGGTGGAGGAATTTGTGGCTGGCTGGATCTCTGGTGAGACATTTTTCTTCCTTCTGTCACATCACACCCAATGGTAGGTCACTTCCTCGGGAAGATGGGTGACATGGGAGGAGCAGAGACCAAAGTCTGAGTTCCGGCCTGGCGGGAGGATCACTTGAGCCCAGGAGTTTGAGACCAGTCTGGGCAACATAGGGAGGCCCCTGTCTCTACAAAAAAATCAAAATAATTAGCTGGGCATGGTGGCTCACACCTGTAGTCCCAGCTACTTAGGAGGATTGCTTGAGCTCAGGAGTTCAAGGCTGCAGTGAGCTATGACTGCACCACTGCACTCCAGCCTGGGTGACAGAATGAGACCCTGCCACAAAAAAAAAAAAAAAAAAAAAAAAAGAATCAGGGCATGGTGGCTCACACCTGTAATCCCAGCACTTTGCGAGGCTGAGGTAGGAGGATCACTTGGGGCCAGGAGTTTGAGACCAGCCTGGGCAACATAGGAAGACCCTGTCTTTATAAGAAATGAGAGGCTGGGCGCGGTGGCTCATGCCTGTAAGCCCAGCACTTTGGGAGGCTGAGGTAGGTGGATCATGAGGTCAAGATTTCGAGACCAGGCTGGCCAACATGGTGAAACCCCGTCTCTACTAAAAATACAAAAATTAGCCAGGCGCGGTGGCGCACGCCTGTGGTCCCAACTACTCCAGAGGCTGAGGTGGAAGGAGCCCTTAAGCTCAGGAGGTTGAAGCTGCAATGAGCCATGATCATGCCACTGCACTCCAGCCTGGACAACACCAGCAAGACCCTGTGTCAAAAAAAAAAAGTCTGGGTTCCGTGGAGCACCCCAGAGCCAGCTGTCCCCAGTCCTCTGGGGAGTGGCCGATGGGAAGAAGAGAGGAAGGCACAGGTGGGAGGGTGCTGCCTCTGCCTTCCAAGGCCACTCTGCCTGACACCTGCAGAGGGCGGGAGAGCCAGGTGAGCACCCTATACCTTGAGCCCTGCTCTCCAGGCCCACCCTGTTGGGCTTACAAAGGAAGTTCACCTTTGACCTCACCTGCTGTCCTGAGTCCCCTCTGGGCCTCTGCCCCACCTGGCTGTGGGCCGCAGTCCCGGGCCCTGAGGCCTGTTGTGCTGTGGTCCCAGCCCAGCTTCTGGGTGGCATTCCTCTTAGGAGAAAGAGAGGGACGTTCTGAACCTGCCTCCTGGGGGTGCGACCTCCCCCAAACTCCAGAACCAGCCTCTGCTGTGGAGGGCAGGGCTAGGCAGTGGGCAGGTGGAGGGGAGGGGAGAAGCTCCTCTGCAGGTGCCCAGGCATGACCCCCATCAGGGCCCTGCAGTTCTGCGTGGCCAGCTGGCAGCAGGGCCTGCTCTGGATCCCGGCGACGACATTATGAGTTGAAGAAAGAAGAGTAAAGCTCTCGGAGAGGTGGGAACCTGGGTGATTCTCCCAGAGTCCCGCGGCTCATAGGCGGTGGGATACCCGGGTATGGGCTCCAGCGAGGACACGTACGTCTTTGGCTGGCTCTTCCCTCTTGGGTGTGCATCCTCAGGTGGGGCCTGGGGTCTTAGTCCCTTGTCCCAGTGCCTTCCTGGCCCAGTGCCTGTGTGGAGGGGGTGGCAGGGGCAGCTGGAGTCTCTAGAGCTTGGCAGGAAGGTGGCTGCATGTGTCTGAGATGGCCCTGCTCTCCTTCCTCCTGCCTGAACCCCTCTTTCCTCTTGGCACAGACTTGCTTCCTGGGCCTGGCACGAGGGCCCTCACTCATAGCACCCTCTTGTCACCACAGGCGCTCTGGGCTTGGTCCTGGGACACCCGTTTGACACTGTAAAGGTGAGTTTAGGAGAGCTGCCAGAGGAATGAAAGATCTCACCTGACCCAAATGTCAGGGTGCCCTGAGATCAGGCCTGGCTAATCTTGCCTTTCCTGCCTCTCCTGCTGGTTGGCATCCCGCTTGAGGGGGCAGAGGGAAAGGTTGGCCCACCTGCCCATCCCGCCACCCTACCTGCTCTGTCCTCCCACCCAGGTGAGGCTGCAGACCCAGACCACCTACCGGGGCATCGTTGATTGCATGGTCAAGATTTACCGCCATGAGTCCGTGAGTGGCCCACTCCTTTGGGGTCCTTCCCCTTTCGGGGAGGCATCTGGGGCTGTTGGTACCAGCTTCCCTCTCCAGCAGGGTTCTGCTCCTGGAGGAGAGAAGACCAAGTCTGGGATCCTTGGGGGGCCTGGGTGGTAGCTTAGCACCCCAGAGGCGCAGCCTCAGCCCATCCCTGCCTGTCCCCACTTCCCTGTGGCAGGACTTGGGAGCAGTTTCCAGCCAGAGGCTGCCTTGCCAGGGGTGGAGAGGACAAAGGGGAGGCCCCACGGTGCCTACTCCGCTGCCACTGTGTCTCTCTGCAGCTCCTGGGCTTCTTCAAGGGAATGAGCTTCCCCATTGCCAGCATAGCTGTGGTCAACTCTGTCCTGTTTGGGGTCTATAGCAACACCCTGCTGGTGCTCACGGCCACCTCCCACCAGGAGCGGCGGGCCCAGCCGCCCAGCTACATGCACATCTTCCTAGCGGGCTGCACCGGGGGGTTCCTGCAGGTGAGGGGGCAGTGAGTGGGCACACACAGGTGTCATAGGGATGGTCATCTCGATCTGTCCTCTCCCACCCTGCCCTGGCGACCCACAGCTGTGGAGGCATAGGCCTCTTGGAGGGGAACAAGAGGCCTGTGCTATGGCCTTCCAGGCTGCAGGCCTCTGGGGGAGGGCTGTGGGGAACAGAGGGGGCAAAAGGCAGAGACAGCTGGTGGGCAGTGCCAAGAGGGTGCTGGGAGAAGCAGCCTGGGCCACTCGCTCCAGCTGACGGGGCTTGCCCCCCTCCAGAGGGGTCTGCCAGCCTCAGAGCTGTGGGGAGCCCACTCCCCAAGGAGACCTTTGACCCTGGAGAACCACCAGCACCCCGCAGAGCTGTGAGCCCAGCCCCTCTGGCCGGGTCCTGATGAGGTCCTGACACTCCCCTGGCCCTGCCTGGCTCTACACTTTGCCTGCAGTGCTTGGGTGCCCATGACCTGGGAGCCTCACCTGAGGCCCAGCCCAGCAGGGCATTAACCATTCAGGCACTGCCGTCATCTGGGCTTTGGGCTTTAGAGGGGTGGATGGAGGGAAGAGGGACCAGCTGCCGCCAGTGGGAACCGGTGCTGAATGGGTCCTGTGAGCATAAGCAGGGAGAGGGTGCGCCCGGCACCCACTGACACCCCAGCCGCAAGCCAGGGTCGCCCTCTCCTGGGCAGCTGCCCCCAGTTCCTTGTCACACTTCATGGGGCAGAGAGCAAGGACAAAGGACAAAGTCAGGCTGCTCCTTCAAATGAATTAATGATTAATGAGACCCCCGGAGGCCCCGGCTTTTCTTCTGCCCCTTCTTGTGCGAGGTGCCACCTATAGGTTTCCTGAGCCCCGCGAGCCACATCCCACAAACACAAGGAAGAGAACCGAAGCCCTAAGCTAAGTGGCCAGGCCCGGCTTCTAAGTCACCCTGCCCCCCCAGCTCTTTGGAAAGCAGAAGTGGGGACTGTGAGGGCCGCTGATGGAGCCTGGGTTTACAGTGAAACCTGTGGCTTTAGTTTAACAGAGTCTTAAAGGAAAAATGTGTTTTAGTGTGGAGTGGGAAGAAGAGGCAGGGACTGACAGCCTCTGACGGGCACAGACGTTGCCCTGGTCTTCGCCGAAGCTGACCTTCTGAAATGGCATCTGACACTCCACCACCCCTGTGGGGGTGTCTGTCACCTGGTGTCAGCCTAGCCCTGTCCTCAGCCCCCAGGAGCTCAGGGCTCAGAACACCTCCTGAAGCCCTGAGCTCAGCCCTGCCAGCACGCTCTAGAGGGTGGCACAAGGCCCCATCTCCCAAGGGATGGTACCTAACCTACGACCCTTACTCCTGGGACCAAAGTAAACAAGCGAAGACTTGGCCTGCCACACCCTAAGTACCACCACCCACCACCAGAGGCGACCGCCAGCCCCCGTCGCCATCAGCCATCTCCAGGGCTGAGGAACTGAGCCCATGTACCTGTCACAAAACAAACAAGCAAAAAACAGATAAATCCCTCAGAGACAGGCTAGCCTTGACATGGACCCCGATTCTCACCTGGACTCCAAAAGCTATCTTGACCTACTGGCATCTCTGACCCAAATCTTAATTGCCCCCATCGCCCTCTACATCCCCCCAGCACTGACCCTCACCAGGACTCCAGCCCCAATTCCATCCCAAATCTGTGTAGCATCTGCTTCTGCCGATTCTAAGAGCCCTAGCACCTGCCAAGTCCCCCCATTACCCACCTTCCCACACTCAGAAGCCTCTTTGGTGGGATGCTAATGGGAAGGAGTCTTGCCTCTCTGGAGGCAGGAGGGGCTGGCCTTGTGCCCCTCCGGGCCTCTGAGAGGTGGGCGCAGGAGAACAGCACTCACGAGGGGACCTCCTTCACCCTGGGAAAGGGTGGTTTCTTTGCTATTTCACAGTCACAGGCTGAATCCTTCACTTGGCCCTGCCCACCGTACAGGTATGCTCACTGCCGGCTTTAGGGAGGCCAGAAACCAACCTGCTCCTGCAAAAAGAATCCAGGCTTGTTCTGAGTGCCTGCTGTAGGCCAGGCAAGTTGGTCACTGTTGCATGAGGGGCAGTGCCTCTCACTCTTGGGCCTGATGCCAAGGGAGGTGGCCTGTCCCGGTCGCATGCAGACATCCTGGCCATCCCAGCCACACATGCACGTGAGAGGCTGGGTGCCGGCAGGGTTCCTGAGGGACTGGAAGATGTGGCCCCCTGCCTGCCTCCTTCCTCTTGTGAATATAAGGGGCCAGTTCCCAGCCCAAAGCCCCACCCGGGGCCCTCATGTTTCATCACCAACAGGCCTACTGTCTGGCTCCTTTTGACCTCATCAAAGTCCGGCTACAAAACCAGACAGAGCCAAGGGCCCAGCCAGGGAGCCCCCCACCCCGGTACCAGGGGCCCGTGCACTGTGCAGCCTCCATCTTCCGGGAGGAGGGGCCCCGGGGGCTGTTCCGAGGAGCCTGGGCCCTGACGCTGAGGGACACCCCCACGGTGGGGATCTACTTCATCACCTATGAAGGGCTCTGTCGCCAGTACACACCAGAAGGCCAGAATCCCAGTAAGTAAAGTGGCGTGAGAGGATGGGGGACAGAGGTGTGGGTAGCAGGCAGGGTCCAGCGGGGACTGGGGAAGGAAACTAGGGTCTGGGGAGGATGCTCTGTTCTGGGTCTGACCCCTGCTCTGGGCTCTCTCTGCCCCAGGCTCAGCCACGGTGCTGGTGGCAGGGGGCTTTGCAGGCATTGCTTCCTGGGTGGCAGCCACGCCCTTAGACATGATCAAGTCCCGGATGCAGATGGATGGACTGAGACGCAGAGTGTACCAGGGGATGCTGGACTGCATGGTGAGCAGCATCCGGCAGGAAGGACTGGGAGTCTTCTTCCGGGGGGTCACCATCAACAGTGCCCGCGCCTTTCCCGTCAATGCTGTCACCTTCCTCAGCTACGAATATCTCCTCCGCTGGTGGGGATGAGCCCTGCGGCAATGCCAGCAGCTCCCCATCAGGCCCACGGCCTGGAGGCCAGTTTGAGATTGGAGGCCAGGTTGAAAGCTTGCAAATCAGTGCAAGAGGCTCAGCCCTTCCTAACCAAGGTGCCTCCCACCCGCGCAGATCTGGGCTGGGCAGACACCTGTGGGAGCCGGAAGCCAGGGGGCCTGTGCAGCCTCCCTGTGTAGCTGGCCTTGACTCCTTTGCCTCCCACATCTGTGAAACAGGGAGCATGAGGCACAAGTGAGCTGGCAAGTGGTGCTGGTGACATCCCAGCTCCTGTCCTGTGCCTTCACCTCTTTTTTTTTTTTTTTTTTTTTTTGAGATGGAGTCTTTCTCTGTCACCCAGGCTGGAATGCAGTGGCGTGATCTCGGCTCACTGCAACCTCCGCCTTTCCACCTTCCGGGTTCAAGCAACTCTCCTGCCTCAGCCTCCCAAGTAGCTGGGACTATAGGCGCCCGCCACCACACCCAGCTAAATTTTTGTATTTTTAGTAGAGACAGGGTTTCACCATGTCAGCCAGGATGGTCTTGATCTCCTGACTTTGTGATCCGCCCGCGTCGGCCTCTCAAAGTGCTGGGATTACAGGCGTGAGCCACCGCGCCCGGCTGCCTTCACCTCTTAAGGAGCTCTGAGACTCCACTTCTGAGAGTCCCTGCGGCCTCCCACCTCCCTGCCTTTCAAAGCTCTCTCCCCCATGACCCAGGATAACCCTATGTCTCCTCCCCCAGAATCCTTCAGTGGCTCTCATCACCTTCAGGAAAAGCCCAAACTCCTTCCACCCTCCAGGTTCCTCCCTCCCCACGAGGCTTTGTTCTCCTGGGGTTGCTTCCTGGACCCTGAACAAGTTGTGCTCTCATTGGCCGGGCCTGGCCAGCAGTGCACAGTGCCTGGCAGGTTGACTCTACCATCCCCGGGGCTGGCCCCGCTCTCCTCCGAGACCCAGGCTGAGCCCAGTCCCCTCACCCTTCCTTGACTTACCTCCCCACCTGAGGCTGACTTTGGGGTTCCCAGACACCCTACCCACACACATGCCTTGATCATAGCACTTGCCTGCGCTTCTTCAGAGTCATTAATTTGCTTCTCGGCTTCCCCACTGGACTGTGAGCTGCCTGAGGTCAGGGATTGCGCTTTGGATGGTTTCCAGCCTGAGCCTGGTGCTTGAACAGACGTGTGCAATAAATGCTCGTTAAATGATGCGACTGCACTCCTGACCTGTCTCTTCACGCCAGCTGCCACACCTGCTTCCCTGGTCTTGCCACACAGCTTTCTGTTGAACCTCCCAGCCCCCATTTTCCTGCTCTGACCCTTCTCGAGGTCACCTGCAGTGGAGGATGCTGGGAGCTGGGGGTCTGTCTGCTTTGCCCACTCCCAGCCAATGGTGCTTGTTTTCTTTTTCTTTTTCTCTATTTTTTCTTTTATTAGATACAGAGTCTCACTCTGTTGCCCAGGCTGGAGTGCAGTGGTGCCATTATAGCTCACTGTGGCCTTGAACTCCTGGACTCAAGTGATCTTCCCACCCTAGTCTTCTGAGTAGCTGGGACTACAGGTGTGTGCCACCGCACCTGGCTAATTTTTAATTTTTTTGTAGAGAGGAGGTCTCACTATGTTGCCCAGGCCGTCTTGAACTCCTGAGCACAGATAGCCCTCCCACCTTGGCCTCCCAAAGAGCTGGAGTTACAGGTGTGAGCCACTGTTGTTTTCTTTACCCATCTCACTTGCTCAGTGGGAATTAAAAACTGGCTGAGAGGGTTCTTTTAACTGACAACAAAATTGAGCATCAAGGGCCATTTGTACCCACTAATGTCCCTATCTGGTCTGAGATCAACGTGAGTCCACCTCATGGTGACCTGAATTCCTGCCATTTACTGGGGGCTCCCTGTAGAAACAATCACAGTGTTATGATCACAGTTGATAGAGAGGCAGCCTCGGCTCAGAGACATTATGTAACTTGTCCTAGGTCACACCGCGGGTAAATCATACAATTTGCTTAGATGCCTCTGAGCTTCCAGCCGCAGTGTCCAGTTACTTAGCTACCCTGCTCCACCTGGGCACATGGCTACCCTGCTCCACCTGGGCACATGGGGGTCTTCTGCGAGTCACCTAAGTTCAACTCCCCCCACACCACCCTGGGCTAGACCTGCCGGGACCATACTACGTCACGTGCTCATCAGAGCTCTCCTTCACCAGATCATGTGCTGCAGATGGCTGGAGGCCATCTGCAACTAGTTTTTGTATTTTTAGTAGAGATAGGGTTTCACCATGTTGGCCAGGCTGGCCTCGAACTCCTGGTCTTATGTGATCCACCCGCCTTGGCCTCCCAAAGCGTTGGGATTACAGGCGTGAGGCACCTGGCTCTGTCCTTGTTGCAACAGTTTAGGCCCTTGTTGCAACAGTTTAGCAAGCTTCATCCTGACTCAGTGGGTAAGGTACTGTGAGTTTCTAAGTCAGTGGTAATCCAAGTGTGGTCCATGGAGCAAAGCTTATTAGAAATGCAGCATCTGGCCAGACACAGTGGTTCACACCTGTAATTACAGCACTTTAGGAGGCCGAGGCAGGAGGACCACTTGAGGCTAGGAGTTCAAGACCAGCCTGGGCAACATAGTGAGACCTTGTATCTACCAAAAATTTAAACATTAGCCAGGTGTGGTGGCACTGTGCCTGTAGACAGAGCTGCTTGGGAGACTGAGGTGGGAGGACTGTTTGAACCTGGGAGGTTGAGGCTGCAGTGAGTTTTGATTGCGCCACTGTACTCCAGCGTGGGTGATGGAGCAAGACTCTGTCTCAAATAATAATAATGATAATAATTTTTAAAAAGATATGCAGCATCTCAGGCCCCACCCCAGACCTACCAAATCAGAATCTCTGAGGATGGGGCGCAGGAATCTGTGTTGTGAAAAGCTCTCCCAGGGATTTCTACACATGCTAAAGTTTAAGAATCGGTGTTCTGGGGGCTCCTGATCGTGGGAATGTGCTGCCCTTTCGGGCTGAGAAAGGTGTATGGTGGAAGAGACTCGAACTCCTAGTTTCTAGCAGTCTCTGCTCCTCCTATGGAAAACACAAGGTCCACCTGAGGCCGGTTCCCAGGTGCCTTGAGGCAGGCACTGCCCTTCCTGTGCCTCAGTTTCCTCTGTGATCCCTTTTTTTTTCTTTTGAGATGGTGTGTTGCTCTGTCACCCAGGCTGGGGTGCGGTGGCACGATCTCGGCTCACTGCAACTTCTGCTTCCTGGGTTCAAGTGATCCTCCTGCCTGGGACTACAGGTGCATGCCACCATGCCCGGCTAATTTTTTTGTACTTTTAGTAGAGACGGGGTTTTGCCATGTTGGCCAGCCTGGTCTGGAACTCCTGACCTCAAGTGATCCGCCCGCCTCAGCCTCCCAAAGTGCTGAGATTAACAGGCGTGAGCCACCACCCCCAGCTTTCCTCTGTGATCCCTTCTGATCGGACCATCTCTGAGCCCATCCAGCACCACCGCAGCGCCAGGGATTCCAGGCTGGACATTGCAGCGATGGTACAGCAGGTGTCAGAACACCACTGGGCAGCCCGTGGCTGGAAGGAAGCAAACAGGACGCATGAGGAGGAGGAGGTGGGCTCCTATAAACAGTGCAGGAAGTAGGCAGGAGGACAGGTCAGAGTGGTCCTCTGTTGTTTGCTATTTCTCATCAAATTACCAGTTAGCGGGAATTCCCATTTGGGTGCCCCTCTGTCTGAGAGAGAGCTGTTCTCCTTTTCCCTTTGCCTATTAAACCTCTGCTCCTAAACTCAAAACAACAACAACAAAACAGCAAGGGAGTAAAATGAAAAAAATCTATTTTTTTTGGCTTTAGTTAAATGGGCTCCCATTCTCCCTCTCTGGTTCTATCTAGAGGAGTCTCCTAAAGAGCCTGGAGTGCCCGTCCTCTAAACTCCACCTTTACAGCCAGAGAGAGTGGCCAGACTCAGGTGGGACCAGGGAGTTCCAGGCCCAAGTTCCTTCCACCAATCCATGGCAAAGGCTACCCACTGGGCTGGGAGAGCAGTCCTGGAGTGAGTTTAGGGTTTAGTATGGTGTGATTAGTGAGCAAATAACTCACTCCTGCACAGTGGCCCCAGGAGGAGATGCCACTATTGGAGGGGAGGGCAGAAAGACAAAGATGGGGCAGGAAGGGGCCAGAGAGATTCTAAAAATCTAGATGTTGGCTAGGCATGGTGGCTCTCATCTGTAATCCTAGCACTTTGGGATGCCAAGGTGGGCAGATCACCTGAAGTCAGGAGTTCGAGACCAGCCTGGCCAATATGGTGAAACCCCATCTCTACTAAAAACACAAAAATTAGCCAGGCGTGGTGGCACATGCCTGTAATCCCAACTACTAAGGAGGCTGAGGCAGGAGAATCTCTTGAACCCAGGTGGTGGAGGTTGAAGTGAGCTGAGATTGCCCCACTGCACTCCAGACTAGGTGACAGAGAGAGACTCTATCTCAAAAAACACAAAATTTAGCCGGGCTTCGTGGCTCATGCCTGTAATCTCAGCACTTTGGGAGGCCAAGGTGGGCAGATCACGAGGTCAGGAGATCGAGACCATCCTGGCTAACACAGTGAAACGCCGTCTCTACTAAAAATACAAAAAATTAGCCGGGCATGGTGGCACGCACCTGTAGTCACAGTTACTTGGGAGGCTGAGGCAGGAGAATCACCCGAACCAGAGAGGCGGAGGTTGCAGTGAGCCAAAATCGCGCCATTGCACTCCAGGCTGGATGACAGAGCGAGACTTCGTCTCAAAAAAAAGAAAACAAAACTAGATGTTTTTAATCAGCAGGGTCTCATAAGGCATGCGAAATTGCTTAAGGATTTAACAGATGGTATCTCAGGTTGCTGTTATTTTTGAGAACTCTTTTCGACAGAAGAAATCCCTAAGAACCAGGAGATAGTCTGTGAACCTGCTTTGAGGTTACAAAGGAGGTGGTGTCTGTCAGTCACTTGCAAAGAGCTGATAACTTGAGCAAACATGTTAAATAAAGTCCCATTGGACTCCTGTTGTCCAGCGTCATACTTCTTTTTTTAGCAATGACCACAGCTGAAGAAATTCCAGGAGACTAACTTATGTGTATAGTGACACTCCCTGTGGCTTTCCCCACCACACTCCAGCCTGGGGAAAGCTACATGCGCAGGGAAAGGGGGAAATGACACAACCACGAGATGACTCTGGCTTAAATAACTTTGACCAGACTCAGGAAACAGCTGAGCCAAGGGGGTCCATGCTGTGAATGTGACTTAACTGGTGTCTCCAGCCTGCTCAGGCTCCTGAGTGCCAGGCCCACACTGCTGTCTCTGGTCACACATCCTTAGATGTCCCAAAGGCACCTCAAGTTCCCCAGCCCGCCCTGCTGCCCTCAGCTCCCAGCCCAGGCCGATGCCTCAGAGGAGCTCTCCCTCTTCACCCCCGCCATGCCAAAAGAGTCTCTAACTCCTCTTAACCCTTTGAAAGATTTCTACTCCTTCCCAATTTTTTAGAGATGGGGGTCTCACTATGCTGCCCAGGCTGGTCTCGAATTCCTGGGCTCAAGTGATCCTCCTGTCTCAGCCTCCCAAAGTGCTGGGGTTACAGGCATGAGCTACTGCATCTGGCCTCGACTCCCTCTTTACCAATCCTAACAGCACAGCCCTGGTCCTGTCTCAGATCTGAACATGTACTTTAACTTTTTTTTTTTTTGAGACAGAGTCTTGCTCTATCGCCCAGGCTGGAGTGCAGTGGCAAGATCTCGGGTCACTGCGATGTCTGCTTCCCGGGTTTAAGCAATTCTCTGCCTCAGCCTCCCGAGTAGCTGGGATTACAGGCACCCGCCATCACACCCGGCTAATTTTTTGTATTTTTAGTAGAGATGGGGTTTCACCATCTTGGCCAGGCTAGTCTTGAACTCCTGATCTCATGATCTGCCTGCCTCGGCCTCCCAAAGTGCTGGGATTACAGGCGTGAGCCACCGCGCCTGGCCCAGGTACTTTAACTTTTGGCAGTACAATTCTCCCCAAGTCTCCCTGCTCCTCAGTGGCTTCCCAGTCCTCTGCAGAACCAGGGCAAGCTCCCTCCCGCAGCCTGCAAGGCTTGCAGGCGTGCACCTTCTCTTGGTTCCGTAAGCACATCAGGCTCCCTCCCACCACAAGACGTTTGCACATGCCCTTCTTTTTTGTTTTTTGAGACAGTCTCGCTCTGTTGCCCAGGCTGTAGTGCAGTGGCAGGATCAAAGCCCACTGCAGCCCCAACCTCTCAGGCTCAAGTATCCTCCCACCTTAGCCTCCCAAGTAGCTGGGATTACAAGTGTGTGCCACCTTGCCCAGCTAATTTTTATTTATATTTTATTTATTTATTTATTTATTTTTTTGGAGACAGAGTTTTACTCTCGTTGCCCAGGCTGGAATGCAATGGTGTGATCTTGGCTCACCGCAACTTCCACCTCCTGGGTTCAAGTGATTCTCCTGTCTCACCTCCCGAGTAGCTGGGATTACAGATATGTGCCACCATACCCGGCTCATTTTGTATTTTTAGTAGAGACGGGATTTCTCCATGTTGGTCAGGCTGGTCTCAAACTCCTGACCTCAGGTGATCCGCCCGCCTCGGCCTCCCAAAGTGCTGGGATTACAGGCATGAGCCACTATGCCCAGCCTAATTTTATTTATTTATTTATTTATTTTTGAGAGTTTTGCTCGTCGCCCAGGCTGGAGTGCAGTGGCTTGATCTCGGCTCATGTAACCCACCTCCCTGGTTCAAGCAATTCTCCTGTCTCAGCCTCCTCAATAGCTGGGATTACAGGTGCCCACCACCAAGCCTGGCTAATTTTTTGTATTTTTAGTAGAGACAGGGTTTCACCATGTTGGCCAGGATGGTCTGAAACTCCTGACCTCAGGTGATCCACCTGCCTCGGCCTCCCAAAGTGCTGGAATTACAGGCATGAGCCACTGCATCCAGCCTAATTTTTAATTTTTTTTTTTTTTTGTAAAAATGGGGTCTCATTATGTTGCCCAGGCTGTTTTTGAACTCCTGGGCTTAAGTGATCGTCTTGCCTCGGCCTCCCACAGTGCTGAGATTACAGGCATGAGACACTGTGCCCAGCCGCACATGCCCTCTGCCTGCCTGTGTGCCTCCCACCCAGCCTTCAGCTCTCAGTTCAGCCACACTTCCTTATGGAAACCTTGATCACATTCCTTTGACTTATGCCTGTTGTTTGGAATCACCTGGGGAGTTTGTGAAAATACAAATTGCTGGGTCCCACCCTCGAGTTTCTGGTTCAGTAGGCTTGGGGCGGGTCCAAGATTTGCCTTCCATTATGTTAGAGATAGGGTCTTACTATGTTGCCCAGATGCTGCTGCTGCTGCTGCTGAGAGCAACGCCTTGAGAACCACTGGCCCATGTTCTCACACTGTCCCCCTTCATCATTCTATAATGACACACTCTCATTCGTGTAACCCTTAGGTTATATCTGTCTCTCCTCTAAACTATGAGGTCTGGGAAGCAGAGACCCCTGTGTTAGCTCTTGTCAAAACTCTAGCTGGTAGACCGGGCGTGGTGGCTCACGCCTGTAATCCCAGCACTTTGGGAGGCCAAGGCAGGCAGATCACAAGGTCAGGAGATCAAGACCATCCTGGCTAACATGGTGAAACCCTGTCTCTACTAAAAATACAAAAAATTAGCCGGGCATGGTGGCGGGCACCTGTAGTCCCAGCTACTCGGGAGGCTGAGGCAGGAGAATGGCGTGAACCCGGGAGGCAGAGCTTGCAGTGAGCCGAGATTGCGCCACTGCACTCCAGCCTGGGCGACAGAGCAAGACTCCGTCTCAAAAAAACAAAACAAAACAAAACAAAACAAAACTCTAGCTGGCATACAGAGGTGCTCAGTAAATAGTTGTTGGCTGGGTGCAATGGCTCACACCTGTGATCCCAGCACTTTGGGAGGCCAGGATGGGAGGATCACTTGAGCCTAGGGGTTTGAGACCAGCCTGGAAAACATAGCGAGACCCCCGTCTCTGCAAAAATACAAAAAAATGGCCAAGCGCAGTGGCTCATGCTGTAATCCCAGCACTTTGGGAGGCCGAGGTGGGCGGATCACCTGAGGTCAGGAGTTTGAGACCAGCCCGGCCAACAGAGTGAAACCCCGTCTCTACTAAAAATATAAAAATTAGCCAGGTACGGTGGTGCATGCCTGTAGTCTCAGTCACTTGGGAGGCTGAGGCAGGAGAATCGCTTGAACCTGGGAACTGGAGGTTGCAGTGAGTCAGGATAATGCCACTGCACTCCAGCCTGGGTGACGGAGTGAGACTCCGTCTCAAAAAAAAAAACAAAAAAAAAAAACACCAAAAAAAATCCCAAAAACTTACCTGGGTATGGTGGCATGCAGCTGTGGCCTCAGCTCCTCAGGAGGCTGAGATGGGAGGATCGCTTGTGCCTGGGAGGTTGAGGCTGCAGTGAGCCATGAAGACGTATTGCACTCCAGCCTGGGCAACAGAGCAAGACACTGTCTCAAAAATAAGTAAATAAATAAATAGTTGTTGAACAAATGAGTGAATGAATAAATAAAAGGAAGCAAGCTGGTCTTCCCCACTTACCCTGTGGCAGGCTGGTGCTCCAGAATTTATGTAGTCCCCGCCTACTGGAAAGCAATTAGATTCTCTATCAGTGATAATAAACATAATTTTTAACTTTGGGAAGCTGAGGTGGAATAAGAATTAAAAGAAATTTAAAAATGTGTAAGCAGGCCGGGCGCCGTGGCTCATGCCTGTAATCCCAGCACTTTGGGAGGCTGAGGTGGGCAGATCACCTGAGGTCAGGAGTTAGAGAACATCCTGGCTAACACGGTGAAACCCCATCTCTACTAAAAATACAAAAAATTAGCTGGGTGTGGTGGTGGCGGGCGCCTGTAGTCCCAGCTACTCGGGAGGCTGAGGCAGGAGAATGGCGTGAACCCGGGAGGCAGAGCTTGCAGTGAGCCGAGATCGTGCCACCGCACTCCAGCCTGGGCCACAGAGCAAGACTCCACCTCAAAAAAAAAAAAAAAAAAATTGACTGCCTGTCTTTCTGTGGCTAGTGAGCCTTATCTCTCCCTTTCCCAGGCATTGTGAACTCTGTTTCTCTAGCTGTGCAGCTGCAAGGTCACTAAACAGATAATCTCAAGTCATAAAACATGCTGTTCCTTGAAAAGTTAGAAATAATGTAATGCATGTCTTAAATAACTGTCTTTGTTTCTCGTTTCTGTAATATGCTTCCCCCTGCACAAATCTCCCCCCATCCCACTAAATGCTTAAAAGGTAACCGGACTCCTTGTTCGGGGCTCAGTCCTTTGGATGTTAATCCGACTGGGTCGGTGCACCTAAATAATTAAATAAATCCTCTTCAACCCCTGGGTCTCTCTGATTCCTTAATTATCCCGCTGCAGAGGCAGGAAGATTGCTTAAGGCCAGGAGTTTGAGACTGCAGTGAGCCATGGTCTTGCCACTGCTCTCCAGCCTGGGCGACAGAAGGAGACCCTGTCTCAATAAACAAACAAACAAACATAGTTTTAAAACCATTGCTAACTTTGCAAAAAGTAAGGGAATTTCCCAAGGATCCCTTCAAAACAAGAAAGGGTGTAAATCAGGGTGTTGGAACTGGGGCAGCCCCTGGGCCAAATGCTGATAACTCCATGACCTTGGAGATTAAGGAACCACGGGGAACAAATTAGACCTTGAGTCCACATATGGTGGGGCAGCTGAAACCAAGGCTCATAGTAGATTCCTATGGATCCTGGAAGGGGCTACCCATGCAGTGAAAGGTAGACCAGAAAACCTCCACCCACCAGTAAAGGGAATTGATAAACAAACCCTGCCCCTTTCCTTTGTGGTGGAAAAAACTTAGGAATACTTGGACCCATGAATTCAGAACGACCTGCCTGCTCCCTGTACTCCCTTCAGGTCTGGGATGTCGGCCTCTAGGAAACGAATGTATCATGCTAGTAGTGTCCCCTTGTGTCTTGTGGGAGTAACTACACATTTTTCTTTTTCTTTTCTTTTTTTTTCCAAGAAGGAGTCTTGCTCTGTCACCCAGGCTGGAGTGCAATGGTGCGATCTTGGCTCACTGCAAACTCTGCCTCCCAGGTTCAAGCAATTCTCCTGCCTCAGCCTCCCGAGTGGCTGGGATTACAGGCGCCCGCCACCATGCCTGGCTAATTTTTGTATTTTTTAGTAAAGACAGGGTTTCACCATGTTGCTCAGGCTGGTCTTGAACTCCTGACCTCAGGTAATCCACCTGCCTCAGCCTCCCAAAGTGCTGGGATTGCAGGCATGAGCCACCGCGCCCGGCAACTACACATTTTTCAAACAGGACGCATTCTAAATCAGGATCTTCGGGTTTTCCAGAGATTAAGTCCAACTAATAAAAAATTCCCTCACACAACTCAATAGCAAAAACCAAATCACTCAATTTAAAAATGGGTGGCCAGGTGGCTCACGCCTGTAATCCCAGCACTTTGGGAGGCCGAGGTAGGCAGATCACCTGAGGTCAGGAGTTCAAGACCAGCCTGGCTAACATGGTGAAACCCCATTTCTACTAAAAATACAAAAAATTAGCTGGGCATGGTGGCACGTACCTGTAATCCCAGCTACACGGGAGGCTGAGGCAGAAGAATCACTTAAACCCAGGAGGTGGAGGTTTCGGTGAGCTGAGATCACCATTGCACTACAGCTTGGGCAACAAGAGCAAAACTCTGTCTCAAAAAAAAAAAAAAAAAAAGGCAAAGGAACTACACAGATATTTTTTGAAAGAAGACATACAAATGGCCAACAAGTTTACAAAAAAGTGTGCAACATCACCAATCATCAGAGAAATGGAAATCAGAACCACAATATCACCTTCCATCGGCCTAGAAAAGAAAAGATAGGCCGGGCGTGGTGGCTCAAGCCTGTAATCCCAGCACTTTGGGAGGCTGAGGCAGGCGGATCACAAGGTGAGGAGATCAAGACCATCCTGGTTAACACGGTGAAACCCCGTCTCTCCTAAAAATACAAAAAAAAGGCCGGGCGCGGTGGCTCACGCCTGTAATCCGAGCACTTTGGGAGGCCGAGGCGGGCGGATCACGAGGTCAGGAGATCGAGACCATCCTGGCTAACACGGTGAAACCCCGTCTCTACTAAAAACACAAAAAATTAGCCGGGCGTGGTAGCGGGCGCGGTAGCGGGCGCCGTAGCGGGCGCCTGTAGTCCCAGCTACTCGGGAGGCTGAGGCAGGAGAATGGCGTGAACCTGGGAGGCGGAGCTTGCAGTGAGCCGAGATCGCGCCACTGCACTCCAGCCTGGGCGACAGAGCGAGACTCCGTCTCAAAAAAAAAAAAAAAAAAAAAAAAATCAGCGGCCGGGCGCGGTGGCTCACACCTGTAATCCCAGCACTTTTGGAGGCCGAGGCGGGCGGATCACGAGGGCAGGAGATCGAGACCATCCTGGCTAACACAGTGAAACCCCATCTCTACTAAAAATACAAAAAATTAGCCAGGTGCGGTGGCGGGCGCCCGTAGTCCCAGCTCCTCGGGAGGCTGAGGCAGGAGAATGGCGTGAACCTGGGAGGCGGAGCTTGCAGTGAGCTGAGATCGCACCACTGCACTCCAGCCTGGGCGACAGGGCGAGACTCTGTCTCAAAAAAAAAGAAAAAAAAAAAAGATAACGAGTGTTGGTGAAGGTGTGGAGAAAAAGGAACCCTTGCACGCTGTTGGTGGGGACGTACTTGGTTCAGTTGTTACAGAAAACAGTGTAGAATTTCCTCAAAAAATGCAACATAGAACTACCATATGATCCAGCCATTCCATTTCTGGGTATATATTTAAAGGGACTGGGTCAGGTGTTGTGGCTCATGCCTGTAATCCCAGCACTCTGGGAGGCGGAGGCAGGTGGGTCACCTGAGGTCAGGAGTTTGAGACCAGCCTGGCTAACATGGTCAAACACCGTCTCTACTAAATTAGCTGGGCGTAGTGGTGTGCACCTGTAATCCCAGGTACTAGAGAGGCTGAGGCAGGAGAATCACTTGAACCTGGGAGGCAGAGGTTGCAGTGAGCCAAGATCGCGCCATTGCGCTCCAGCCTGGGCAACAAGAGGGAAAACACCATCTAAAAACATAATAATAATAAAATAAATAAGTAAACAAATAAATAAATAAAACAGTGCCTGGCCAGTAGTAAGCACTTTAGAAATATTGATTTGTTTAAAGGGCCTTAAGAGGAGCAATCCTGTCTGTCTTGTTCTCTGACGTATATTACAGGTAATTTTCTATTTCTCTCTCTAGTTTGAGGGCAGTTTAGGAACAGGACTGTGTCTTCCTTATCTTTGTTGCCTGGGAGCCTTAGGTGCCATCTGAACATAGAGGGTGTTCATTAGAGGCTTGGAAATACACTGAAATAACACATAACGTCTTTGTCCTTCCCTCCCCTGCCTTGCTCTGCATGTGGCAACACTTGCATAATTGGATAGGATTGCCTGGCCTTGATAAAAGATGAGGTCTGTTGGGAATAGTAGATGCTGCCTTTGCTGCCTCTCTTTCCTTTCTATCCCACCTCTTAGGATGTCCAAGCAACTGTGGGAGCTTCCTAACTTACTTGGTCCTGAATTTCCACATTTGTTCCCCATCTGCCGATCTGTTCTTCACGCAGCAACTAGAATGAGACTTTTTAAAAACATAAAACATAGGCCAGGTGTGGTGGCTCACGCCTGTAATCCCAGCACTTTGGGAGGTGAGGCAGGTGGATCACCTGAGGTCAGGAGTTCGAGACCAGCCTGGCCAACATGATGAAACCCCGTCTCTACTAAAAATACAAAAAATTAGCCAGGCTAGGTGGCGTGCGCCTGTAATCCCAGCTACTCGGGAGGCTGAGGCAAGATAATCGCTTGAACCAGGGAGGCGGAGGTTGCAGTGAGCCGAGATCAGGCCACTACACTCCACCCTGGGTGGCAGAGTGAAACTCCGTCTCAAAAACAAAACAAAACGAAACAAAACAAAAACATAGGCTGGGCGCAATGGCTCACACCTGTAATCCCAGCACTTTGGGAGGCTGAGGGATTGCTTGAGACCAGGAGTTTGAGACCAGCCTGGCCAAGATGGAGAGACACCCTCTCTACCAAAAAAAAAATTTTTTAATTAGCCAGGTATGGTGGTGTACACTTGTATATTTGTAGTCCCAGCCACTCAGGAGACTGAGAAGTGAGGGTTGCTTGAGCTCAGGAATTTGAGGTGGCAGTGGGCCATGATTGTGCCACTGTACTCCAGCCTGGGCACCCAAGTGAGACTCTGTCTTTAAAGAAAAAACAAAAAACCAAAAACACACACATGAAACATATCTTGCGGCTGGGCGCGATCGCTCACGCCTGTAATCCCAGCACTTTTGGAGCCCCAGATGGACGAATCATGAGGTCAGGAGTTTGAGACCAGCCTGACCAACATGGTGAAACCCTGTCTCTACTAAAAATACACACACACACACAAAATAGCTGGGCGTAGTGGCGGGCACTTGTAATCCCAGCTACTCAGGAGGCTGAGGCAGGAGAATCGCTTGAACCCAGGAGGCAGAAGTTGCAGTGAACTGAGATTGCGCCGCTACACTCCAGCCCTGGAGACAGAGTGAGACTTCGTCTCAAACAAAAAACAAAACAAAAAAACATATCTTGTTCCTCCTTTATCTGAACCACACAGCCCCAACCCACCCTGCAAAAAAAAAAAAAAAAAAAAAAAAAAAAGGCAAACCAACTTCCTATTTTGCTTAGAATGCAACCTAAACACTCCCTGGTGAAAGGCCCCTGTCCACCTCTCTGACCTCCTCCCCTCCTTGGCCTCCCTCACTTGCGGCCACAGGCACTGCTTTCTGTTTCTTAACCCTGTGAAGCTGTTTCTAACCACCTGGATTGGTACCCACAGTTCCCTTTGCAGAGAAATTCACAACGCAGCTCACAGGTCATTTTCCTGACTACGCACCCTGTCACTCTCTCTGACATCATTATTTTATTTTCATCTTGACACCTTTCGCTGTCTGAAATGACTGTGCTCATGGGTTTAATGTCTGCTCTTGCTCTCCCTCTTCTAAAAAGTAAGGGCCTTGGCTGGGCATGGTGGCTCACGCCTGTAATCCCAGCACTTTGGAAGGCCGACTCAGGCTGATCGCCTGAGGTTGGGAGTTCGAGACCAGCCTGATCAACATTGGAGAAACCCTGTCTCTACTGAAAATATAAAACTAGCCAGGCGTGGTGGCGCACGCCTGCAATCCCAGCTACTCAGGAGGCTGAGGCAGGAAAATCACTTGAACCCGGGAGGCGGAGGTTGTGGTGAGCTGAGATGGCGCCACTGCACTCCAGCCTGGGCAACGAGAGCAAAACTCTGTCTGAAAAAACACAGCAAAACAAAACAAGACAAAAAACAAACAACAACAAAAAAAGTAAGGGCCCTGACAGACGGGATCCTCTCTGTCTTGTTCACCATTGACTTTAAGGTCCCAGAACAGGGCCTGAGCCACAAGCTAAGCATTCGGGAATACTGCTTGCACGAGCAGATGAAGTTACCTGCAATTGGGAAATGTCTGCCATATGATAGCGATTCAAGGAAGGAAGAGATTAATTATGGCTCTTTTTAAAAAGCTCCGGGAAGAGGCCAGCTGTACAGCATTGTGTTATATTCTGCTACTTTGACAGGAGTGGGACACCTGAGGACAGAGAGCTAATCTATCTGCTCTCTGTTGCTTTGGTAAGACCTGTAGAGATTGTGTATTTTTTTATTTTTTTAAATGGAGTTTTGCTCTTGTTGCCTAGGCTGGAGTGCAATGGCGTGATCTCGACTCACCACAACCACCACCTCTCGGGTTCAAGTGATTCTCCTGCCTCAGCCTCCTGAGTAGCTGGGATTATAGGCATGCGCCACCACGCCCGGCTAATTTTGTATTTTCAGTAGAGACGGGGTTTTCTCCATGTTGGTCAGGCTGGTCTCGAACTCCTGACCTCAGGTGATCTGCCCGCCTCGGCCTCCCAAAGTGCTGGGATTACAGGTGTGAGCCACCACGCCCAGCCTGTAATTTTGATTTCAACATTTAGAAAGAGATATAGGGCCAGGCGCAGTGGCTCACGCCTGTAATCCCAGCACTTGGGAGGCCGAGGTGGGTGGATCACCTGAGGTCAGGAGTTTGAGACCAGCCTGACCAACATGGAGAAACGCCATCTCTACTAAAAATACAAAATTAGCTGGGCGTGGTGGCGCGTGCCTGTAATCCCAGCTACTCTGGAGGCTGAGGCAGGAGAATCACTGGAATTTGGGGGCAGAGGTTGCAGTGAGCCAAGATCGCGCCACTGCACTCCAGCCTGGGCAACAAGAGCAAAACTCCGTCTCAAAAAATAAATAAATAAAATAAAATAAAAAGAGATATGGGCTGGGCGCAGTAGCTAACGCTTGTAATTCCCAGCACTTTGGAAGGCCAAGGTGGGCGGATCACCTGAGGTCAGGAGTTTGAGATCAGTCTGACCAACATGGAGAAACCCTGTCTCCACTAAAAATACAAAATTAGCCCGGCGTGGTGGCGGGTGCCTGTAATTCCAGCTACTCGGGAGGCTGAGGCAGGAGAATTGCTTGAACCCAGGAGGTAGAGGTTGTGATGAGCCAAGATCGTGCCATTGCACTCCAGCCTAGGCAACAAAAGCAAAACTCCATTTCAAAACAAACAAACAATAAATAGGCCGGGCGCAGTGGCTCACGCCTGGGTAATCCCAGCACTTTGGTAGGCCGAGGCAGGCGGGTCACCTGAGGTCAGAAGTTTGAGACCAACCTGACCAACATGGTGAAACCCTGTCTCTACTAAAAATACAAAAATTAGCTGGGCATGGTGGCAGACACCTGTAATCCCAGCTACTCAGGAGGCTAAGGCAGGAGAATCACTTGAACCCGAGAGGCGGAGGTTGCAGTGAGCCAAGATCGTGCCACTGCACTCCAGCCTAGGTGACAGAAGGAGACTCCATCTCAAAAATAATAAAATAAAATAAAATAATAAAATAAAATAAAATGAGATACATCAGAACTGGAAAGGTTTCAGAAAAGAACAATTTATATGAATTCAGGGTAGAAAAAATAGACTTCTGTGAGGAAAGGCTAAATGATTTGGGATCTCAGCCTAGAAAATGATAGGCCCGCAGGTGGCTTCATAAGTGTTTGAAAGGGAGTTGTTAGTTCGAGCTGCCAGGTGTGGAGTTGGTCAATTAGGACAACGAAGCAAGCTGAAAGTAACACAAAAGCTTCTTTTCATTCACTAAAACCTACAAGCAAGGGGCAAAAACAGGCCCCAGCTCCCCAGCGTTCCATTTTACAGAGCAGCACGGGACAAGGGTCAGACAGGAACAGTCTCATCGTCAAGGAGTTTCAGAATAAAAAGAATAAAAGCTCCTGCCTTTTTACAGACCTGACCTGAAGTGGGCTGTAGGGAGGCAGGGGAGAAGGGCTGAAATGAGAAGTACTGAGTCAAAGCGGAGAAAGGATAGAATGAGAGGTACTGCGTCAAAGCGGAGAAAGGATGGAATGAGAGGTATTGAGTCGAAGCGGAGAAAGGATCTCAGTCATTGCTCCCAGTAAGGAGGTCTTGGTAAAGGCTGTTGGAAACTGCCTCAGCCCAGGTCTCCAAATGGAGGTGCCCAGCTAGGAATGCAGGTGAGCTTAGGAACAGGGCAGTCTGGGGGCCTGGAGTCCTTGACTGCAACTCTCTCCGGAAACCTGCAATGCACAGGCGATGCACCAAGCTGGGGTGAGAGAGCAGCTTCCCTCCATGAGGACTGCCAGGCAAAAGTCTTGTGACTGCCAATGGTGAAGCCTGAAAGGTCACCCTTAGGATTTTGGCCTGGAGCCCGTATTTTTATTTTATTTATTCCTTTTTCAAGAGGGAGTCTCGCTCTGTCGCCCAGGCTGGAGTGCAGTGGCGCTATCTTGGCTCAGTGCAACCTCCACCTCCCAGTTCAAGCGATTCTCCTGCCTTAGCCTCCTGAGTAGCTGGGACTACAGGCGCTCGCCACCACACCTGGCTAGTTTTTGTATTTTTGATAGAGACGGGGTTTCACTATGTTGGCCAGGCTGGTCTTGAACTCCTGACCTCAGGTGATCCACCCGCCTCGGCCTCTCAAAATGCTGGGATTACAGGCGTGAGCCACCGTGCCCAGACAGTATTTTTATTTTATTTTTTTATTTTTGAGACGGAGTCTCATTCTGTCACCCAGGCTGGAGTGCAGTGGTGCGATCTCCGCTCACTGCAACCTCCGCCTCGTGGGTTCAAGCGATTCTACTGCCTCAGTCTTCCAAGTAGCTGGGATTACAGGTGTGTGCCACCACGCCTGGTTAATTTTTGTATTTTTAGTAGAGACAGAGTTTCATCATGTTGGCCAGGCTGCTCTTGAACTCCTGACCTAAAGTGATCCACCAGCCTCGGCCTCCCAAAGTGCTGGGATTACAGGCATGAGCCACTGTGCCCGGCCTGCAGCTTGTATTTTTACCAGCTAGAGTCTATCTGCGTCCAAAGCCCATATCCTTTCCAGGTAAAACCATTTTCTTTTCTTTTCTTTTTTTTTTTTTTTTGAGTGAGTTTCACTCTTGTTGCCCAAGCTGGAGTGCAGTGGCACCATCCTGGCTCACTGCAACCTCCACCTCCCGGGTTCAAGCGATTCTCCTGCCTCAGCCTCCTGAGAAGCTGGAATTACAGGCATGTGCCACCACGCCCGGCTAGTTTTTATATTTTTAGTAGAAATGGGGTTTCACCATGTTGGCCAGGCAGGTCTTATAAACTCTTGACCTCAGGTCATCCACCCACCTCGGCCTCCCAAAGTGCTGGGATTACAGGCGTGAGCCACCGCGCCCTGCTGGTAAACCATTTTCTTTACATCCTACTCCCAGGATCTGGCTCACGCTTCACCTTCTCTCACCTGGATCAGTCAGAGGCTCTCTGCCTCTAGGTTTCACATCTTTGACACACCCTACACAGACTCCGTTATTCTAGAACCCCAAGAATGACTTGTTCCTGCCTACCTAAAACCCTCTGATGGTGTCCTACCCCTAAGCCTGGTTGGCTAAAGGCCCTTCCTACTCTCCAGGTCTCTCCTTGTACTCTGCCCCTACCTCCGCAAGTATGCTATGCTCTGGCAGAACTGCCTGCCCCCGCCCCCAGCACACTGTGCTCCTTCACTCCAATCAGACTCTGCACACGCTGTCCCTTGGCCTGGGACGCCCTTCAAACTGCAGCTCAAAGCTCACCTCCCCCTGGAGTCTCCCTAGCTCTATGGGGCCAGGCACTTTGCACAGCCGTTATCACAGCCTTAATCACACTCCACTGTCATTGGCTGCAAGGTTCTGTCCAGAAGAGACATCATCTTTGCAACCTTGTTCACATAGGAGGTCTTGCTGAAGTGATGTTGTGAAATAAGCAAATGAAAAAAAAAAAAGAAAGAATGAATGACTATTCCATTCCAATTCCGGCTCCTTTCTGTTTCCCTGACATGTCCGTAGCCTGCCCAACCCCAAACACACACAATCTGAGAGCGAAACTATTGGAGCTGCAGCTTATCTGGGGCAGTAGCTGGGATCTGTCTGTCCTGGAGCTTCCCTCTCAGGAGGGTAGCCCACAAGCAGTGCCCACACCCTGAGAGTCCTTGCTGCTGAATATCTGGAAAAGGAGGATCCCTACTGGTCATGGACAGACAGCTGCACCGCAGTGACCATCAGCAATTAATTTTCCAAATCTGAATGGAAAATGTTTACCCTTCTCCCATGAAAATAACACCCTGGCCTCTTTTCTGATTAAAAACTTTATTTTCAGAAGCAGAACTGTTTTTAACACAAAGTTCAAGGAAGCAGTCTGTCCAAAAAGCCCAAATTCCACCTTTCTAAGTGGCTGCCTCTAGACTAACTCCCTTTCAAAGGCTCTAGAACTTTCAAGCAGGGTCTAGAAACTAAGCATCCTGGATTCCTACCCCCGAAGCCCCATCTTTAGAGCTCTCTTCCTGGGGTTTGGACGACTGCCACTCCAAGCTCAGACTTGGTGTCCCAACTTCTCTCCCTTCTACACCTTTACGACAGTTCTATTTCCACAGGAAAGAGACAGCCCGATCTGCCTTCTGAAGAGGCCGTTTCCATGGGAAACAAGAGAGGAAGGGGCTCTGGCAAGCAGTGAAGGCGCCTTCATAGGCAGCAAAGCCGCTCCACCTCCTCCTCACAGTCGTAGAATTTTTCGAATAGCTCAGGAGAAGTGCTGTTGCATTCAAACCACCTCCTCAAGGTGCCCAGGGCCCGGAGGGCATCAGCTTTGGTGGGCAGGGGCTCAAAGGCACCCTCTCTGTCCCCCTTCTCGTCTTCAGTGCCTATCTCCTCCTTACATACTCCAGACCTTGGCTCCTCACCCTCCAGGTCCACAAAGCGGGAAAACTCCTCCAGGCTCAGCCCGCCGGGGACTGGTGGCATCTCAGAGGTTTTGTGCGAGGACGGGGGCGTTTTGCCGGGAGCCAGCCCTTCTTGAATGAAGCTGCTGAAAATGAGCTGAGGAGGCACCTTGGCCCAGGCGGCAGACGCCACGTGCAGGGCGTCCAGCACGGTGATGCCTGCCCCGGCCTCGGCCAGCGAGGTGCCATCCCTCTCGCTTTGGATGGCAGCCAGTTTGCCCAACAGCCGGTGTCGGTAATGGGCCTTAAAGGCCCGGACCACTGAGCTGGGCAGGGGAGGCGTGGTGCTAGAGGCGGCCAGAGGCAAGAGCTTCACGTGGTAGAGCCCAGGCAGGCCTGCCAGCTCCTCCACCACTCGGGCAGCCAGCAGCAAAGCCACCTGTCGGCCCTGCTGTCCCATGTCCCGGTCAAACTGTGCCAACCACTCTAACCAGGGGATGCCCAGGTCCGGGTGGTAGGAGGCAGGCAGAGCCTCACTGCGGATCCCAAAGAAGCATCTCGGGGCAGCCTGGAGCCCACCCAGCAGTACCCGCCGCTTCTCGGTGCCCCTGCTGTTGGCACACAGCAGCACCTGTACTTGATCACATGCACCAAAGCTGCCGGGCACTGCCCGATACAGCAAGGGCAATTCAGCACAGCCAAACACGTCCTCTGGAGAGAAGTCTTTTAGGGAAAGAGGCAGCTGAGCCTGGGATGTGAGCCCCGGGGGAGGTGGCTCAGGGGGGAATGAAGGCGCAAGAACATGGCGGGCCCCAAAGCCGACGTTGTTTCGGCGTTTCCAGCGGACCAGCCAGCCGATGCTGGGCACGAAGTCCTGGCCCATGATATCGGCCAGCTCCTTGGCTTTGTGGAGCAGCATGGGCCCCGTCACGTCCCAGGCCTTGGCCCGGGCAATGTGGTACCAGCAGAGCAGAGCCTCGTCGATCCCGCTGTACTTGGACTCCCGCTTGCGCTTGCGCTCTCGGTTGGCTGTGCCGCTGCACCAGTCCGCCAGCAGCTTCTCCTTATTCTTGCAGATGCGCGAGATCTGGGGCTGGGAAACCTGGAAGCGCCGGGCCACCTCCGACTGGGACATCTTGGACTCATCCAGGAGTTCCAGCACCTGGATCTTCTCGGCCAGGGACAGGGCGTGAAGCTTCTTCTTGCTGCTCAGCTCCATGGCCTCTCCGGGGCACCTGTGCGGGGAGGAAAGATTGAGCGGGTAGAGTAATCTGAGGCCGGAAGAGCTAGGAAAGGAGCGCAGGAGGGAAAAGAGATTAGATGAGGACTTGCGCAGGCACCGGGTGAGACTGGACCCGCTGAAAGAGGAAGTGGCTAGGCCGAGTGGAAGCCGGCTGGCCCCGTCCCCAGGATGCCAGGGCAGAGCTGGGGAGGGGGCGTCTCTCCACTCAGAAGGACAGGGGAGTCTGGGCTGGGGTCTGGCCTCACTCGGGAAGAAGGATGAAAAGTGCAGGGGACAGCTGCAGAGATAACAAAGGCATACGGACGGGGGAGGGCCTGGGACTGGGGCCGAGGGGGCAGGTGTGGGGCTACGGGGCTGCGGGGGAGGAGCCCCCGGGAGGGAGTGGGAGGCGGCTTGGGCTGGATTCAGATGACGCCGCTGGGGGGTGGGAGGTGGGTGGATGCACACAGAGTTGAGGTGACAGGTGTACAGACGACAAAGGGGACAGAGGGTGTCTGAAGGAGCGAGGCTAATTTGGTGCCGGGTCCTGAGAGGGAGGCTAGGCGACGGTCAGTCCTGAGGGGAGCGAGAGGGCAGGGCCGAGGGCGCAGGTGCACGAGCGACAAAGGGCGGGAGGCCTGAGGAGGCTGCGGGCAGCGGAGGGGCGGGGTGTCCCCGCGGGGAGGGTGGTGGCCTGGGAGGGTCCCAGGGCGCGGGAACGAACGCCCGGACCCAGGCAGGCCGGCAGCCGGACTCCGTGCCCTGGCCGGTCACTCCCCCTCGACCCGGAGTATGTCGGCGGGGCGGCCCCAGGCGCCCGCCCGCCCGGCCTCCCGCTCCGCACCCACCTCAGGCGCTGGTCCCGCGGCTCCAGCCCCTGCCCCCAGCCCGGCTCCCGAGCCCCTGTCCGGGCGGCGACAGCAGAACAGGGGAGGGATGGGCGCCACGACCCCGAGGGCAGAGCGGACCGAGGGCCTGCGCGGACGGCGGGCGGGCGGGCGCGCGCACAGCAGAGTCCCGTGCGCGCCGCCCGCGCCGGGCTCTCTCCCGGCTGCGAAGTCCGCGGTGCGGCCCCTCTGCACCCACCCGCCGCAGCCCCGCCCCGGCCCAAGCAGATTGGTCCTCAGTGGCGCCCCGTCCCTCCCCCGGCTAAGTTTCATTGGACGTTGCGGAAGTGGCGGTTCGTCGAGCCCCTCTGGGGGCGGGGCTTCTAGCGCGGAGGGGCGGGAGGCGGAGCCAGGAACCAGCAGGACTCCCCTGGGCGCCTCCAGCAGCCGCCGACCCCGAGGGCCCGACGAGCCCTGTAGGTGGTGTGGTGACCGCCGAGCTGACTTGGCGTCCCAAAGCCTCCCTGGCCGTGACCCTAGACCGCATCGGCTTCTTCGTCTACCAAGCAGGGCTAACAGCCCTCACGGAATTGTTTTGGGAAAACGATGAAAGGAGAAAATGGATGCAAGCTTTAAGCCACACAAAAGCTGGTTACCATGGACAGCGCTGGCTCGAGTCTGTCGGCCACGGAAACACTGCATGCTTGGGCCAGTAATGATTTAGGACGAGTATTTTATTAGATTTGGTACTTTACAAGATTCAAGTTCTTAAACTCAAGATCTGGCATCGTTCCCTTCCCTGCTAACCTTCAGTCCCGAATTAAACGCAGACGTCTTGACCCGCAGCCCAGCTGCTCTCCAGCCTCGCTGCTCCCTCCGCTCACAGCTCCGCATCCTCTGCCTTCCTCACAGGCTTCCGTCCGCACCCCCGTCCTACCGGCTGACACTGTCCAACTCTCCAAGACCCATCTCAAATCCTACCTCCCGCAAACCCTTCCTAAATTTCCTCACCTAGGCCTGCTACAGCGTTCTTATTTTCCACATTTCTTTTCTGGCTCTCGGACTACTCAGCTGCCAAAGCGCATCCATTGCTGTACTCCCTCTCTGCCTGGCCTACTTCAGTGGAAAAGCATGAGGACGGGCTGCGCTCTGCTCCTCACACAATCCCCAGCCCAGAGCACCCTGCTTATTTATTGAACATAACAGTGCAGGCCGGCCTAGGCTTCCCATAGGCAAGGATGACTTTCAGAATGTTCTAGAAAAAAGGATACTTCAGGGGGCCCATAACTGCTTGATTCAAATCTTTCCTTTAAAAACATAAAAACAACAGTTGGACTTCTAAAACACACACTGAAGACATACGCGCTGCCACGTAAGCTCTCCACATGTTCACTTTGCCTTCAGGGAAACTGTGTGCACATCAACGTGCCCTGGGAAAGGCTGCAGGGCTGCACTGCGGGCAGTTCAGATCCTAGAGCACTTGCTCTGGCCTGGGAGCGCTGCAGGCAACTGAAGCCACACAGACCCTGCTCCTGCAAGAACTTTTGTGTGTGTCCCATGGTGATGTCATTAGTTTGCTTATTAATTATATTTATATAAACTTCTGGTCCTGTTTTAAATGTCTGAGATTGCAAGGTCAACTGTTATAAACCTGTCATCACTTCCATCTATGTATCCAAGACTAGGAGAATTCTCCAAATCAACTGAAACATAAAAATAGATGTTAAAGTTGATTTTAACCCAAATTTTGTATTGATCAAAACAGCTTCATTGTTCTTTATAACAAAGAATTGTTATAAACTTGAATTTATGTAACAAAACAAAATAACCAATTTTATATTCGCTTTACATATTGGGGTTCCACAAAAAAATTTTAATTTGGGGGGAAAAAAGCTGTATTTCAAAACATTAAAAAAAAAAACCACCATCATGGAAATCTTAGGATGAAATGGCCTTCTTAATGGAGAAAGGCAGGAGATAAACCATCCAGCAGAGGGCTCTGTGTAAAAACATTTATTTTTACTAATGTTTAGAATACAGGAACTAAAGAAAGAAAAAAAAAAGACACCTCAACTCCAAAGCGACAGTGAGTTAGGGCCTGCCCACGGCCAAGGGGGAAGGCTACTCCAGGGTGTCCTGGCATGGACTGTCCCCCCACTACTTAATGTCAGTGCCACTAAGCAGAAAACTTGAGGAATCAGGGTGTGAAGACCTTACCAGCTGCTAGCGAGCGTGCAAGGGAAGAAAGGGATGTCTATGTGGCTTCCCCATGAGCTGAGAGCCAGGATACACGGGGCAGGTGGCAGAGGCTCCCAATTCAGTTAAGAGCAGGAGGCTGAATGCCCAGGTCCAGGAAGAACAAAAAGGGGATTTTGGAGGTAGGCTTTTTTGTTGTGTTAAAAAACAGGCACATTATCCATCTCCTTGTGGCCCCCGAGCTGCTGGCCTGGCCCCCTGATCCTTCCCCTCTCCCCACAAAACCAAAAGGAGTAGGAAGGGAGGCAGAAGATGAGAAATTCCAAGGGTGGGGAATGCTTCAGTCACTGGAGACCGACCGTAAGAGTGAGCCAGGAGAGCAATGGGAATAACAAGGTGAAGCTACTGTTCCCCCTGGGGTGGGGTGGAATGGGACAGGGCAGAACCAGGAGGGTGACCGAGAACATCCTGACTCCAGAAAAGAACACTCTGTAGCAGGAACACAGGGCCGCAGAGAGCCACTCTGGAGGAAAGAGGTGAGGCTATGCGGCACAGGGGCATGAAAAGCTCCTTGTGGACGTGGCCTCAGCTTGCTCGCTCCCAGCTCCCTGGCCTGGCTTGCCTCTAGAGGACAGGAAAACTCTGGAGACCAGAGGGGAGGCAGAACACAGAGAAGTGAGCTGCTCTCCCACTCTTTCTAGGAGGACACTGTTTGAACCCTGTGATCACCAGGGGCTGGGCCCAAGGCAAGCAGAGTGAATGCACTTAATGGAGAGCAGAGAGAAACTGGGCCACACGCACGCCTAGGGGCAGTGTGTTGCTCCTTTCTCCCTGAGGGCCTGGGGCCAGAGGTGGTCAGAGCTGCCACCTCAGCTTGCAGCTGCCAAAGGCAGGCTGGCACAACCACCCCAAGGTTCTCTGGATTTGTGAAGGAGAGGAGGAAGAAGGGAAAGATGGGTATGAAATATGAAGTGGAGGAGAGAAACAGCCTTAGATATGTCGGGGAGCAGGTGGGTGGCCACATCAAGAGGAGTTCTGGTTCTGGTAGATGGAAGCTTTCTCTTTCAACAGGTCCAGACACAGGTGGCAGCTCCAACTTCCTGCAGAGAGGCAAAATGGGGTCAGGATGGGTCCCACACAATCCCCACCTGCTTGCAATTCCTCTGCTCTTGATACCCCATCTCTATAGCAGGATCAGCTACAGGTAGGACGAGGGATGCTCTGCAGCAGGAAAGTTCCATGGTTTCCTGAGCTGGGATAAACCTCTAAGTCTTCAAATATTATGAAATATCATCCTCTATGGAGATGAAAGAAATAATCATCTAGAGGACTTCAGAATACTGATGCCCAGGCCCTCTTGGCCCTATTAAATCAGAAGTTTTGGGAGTAGGAAGAGGGCCTGGGAAGACAGAAGTTTGTCAAGCACCTCAGTTTTAAGACTTGTGTAGTTTCACTAAAAAACACAAAATAATTGTCCCTTATATGAAAAACAATTGGGTCATTCCTTGTTTATTAATATTGACTATGGCTGAATTCTTCTAATTTTTTTTGAATAAAATTAGTCCTTAATGCCTTGAAATGATAAGCAAAATTATACCTATGCGCATTTGGACATTATTCTAGGGCTTTTATCAGCTCTTCAGAAACAGGTGACTCAAAAATGTAAGTCCTTTCTAACCCAAAGGTCAATACGGTTGGCAAAGTTTTCTGTAAAGAGCCAGAGTGTTAAATATTTTAGGGTGTGTGAGCCACATACAGTCTCATGCATTTTTTTTTTAACTCCCTTTATTTTTTTTTTTTCTGAGACAAGAGTTTCCGCTCTGTTGCTCAGGCTGGAGTACAGCAGTGTGATCTCAGCTTACTCTAACCTCTGCCTCCCAGATTCAAGCAATTCTCTTGCCTCAGCCTCTATAGTAGCTGAGATTACAAGCGCACAGCACCACGCCCAGCTAATTTCTCTATTTTTAGTAAAGATGGGGTTTTGCCATGCTGCCCAGGCTGGTCTTGAACCCCTGGGCTCAAGAGATCCCAAAGTGCTGGGATTACAGATGCGAGCCACAGTGCACAGCCAGTTTTTATATTTTTAAGGGGATTTTCTTCAGGCTAGATGCAGTGGTTCACACCTGTAATCCCAGCACTTTGGGAAGCTGAGGTGGGTGGATCACTTGAGCCCAGGAGTTCGAGACCAGCCTGGGCACCATGGCAAAACCCCGTCTCTACTAAAAATACAAAAATTAGCCGGGTGTGGTGGCATGCCTGTAGTCCCAGGTACTCAGGAGGCTGAGGTGGGAGGATTACCAGATTACCTGAGCCCGGGGAAGCAGAGGTTGCAGTGAGCTGAGATCATGCCACTCCACTCCAACATGGGCAACAGAACAAGACACTGTCTCAAAAAAAAAAAAAAAAAAGAAAGAAAGAAAAAGAAAAAGAGAAAAGAAAAGAAAACAAAACAGCTTGCAAGCTATTTAAGCTGGCTGTGGCTGGATGTGGTCCATAGGTTTTAGCTTGTAGCTTGCTGACCCTGACCTAGAACATCTGATACTTCTAGGGGTTGCCCCTCAGCTGCCTTAACACTACAGTGAGGACACTCGGGCCTGCAGCTCTCCACTACCTCGATGTCCCACAGAACTTTAATAGGAAAGCCATTCTGTAACATAGATCATCTGTTTGATGGTTTAAAAAAACAAAACAAAACAAAACATAAACATGCGACTTCTCCCCAAAGCAGATTCATAAACTGGGCCTGACAGAAGCTGAGTACTCCCCTACAGCTGCTAAAGGACTCTTAGACATTGTCAGGGGCCTCATTCTCTAGAGGGGTGACAGCAGTTTGACCGATATGTTACAAGTCAGCTTACATCACACAATGAAACACTTTCTCTTGCCTGTAATGCTGGCCCACATCCTTTGTGCACAGTAACAGCTCCTGGGCATTTGTGTTCTGAGTAAGCTACTGAATTTCTGTTGGCTTTTTTTTTTTTTTCTTTGAGATGGAGTCTCGCTCTGTCGCCCAGGCTGGAGTGCAGTGGTGCGATCTCGGTTCACTGCAAGCTCCGCTTCCCGGGTTCACGCCATTCTCCTGCCTCAGCCTCCTGAGTAGCTGGGACTACAGGCGCCCGCCACCACAGCCGGCTAATTTTTTTGTATTTTTAGTAGAGACGGGGTTTCACCGTGTTAGCCAGGATGGTCTCCATGTCCTGACCTCGTGATCCG
Source organism: Homo sapiens (assembly GCF_000001405.40). Lineage (NCBI taxonomy): Eukaryota > Metazoa > Chordata > Mammalia > Primates > Hominidae > Homo > Homo sapiens. Next base: position 65,349,569 of record NC_000011.10, on the reverse strand, counting down.
CCCACCTCGGCCTCCCAAAGTGCTGGGATTACAGGCTTGAGCCACCGCGCCCAGCTGCTACTCAATTTCTGTACAGGAGGTGTTTATGTACAGAAATCCAGCTGGAAGGGGACTTGTGGAGATGCAACCAATTCTTGGTGCCACCACTGGTTTCAGTGAATAGCTTTAATAAATTTGGACCATTATTACAGTAAGTTATCGGAGAAGCAGACTGACCCATTCAGGCTCCAAAGTCAAGTCCCTTCCCAGTTCAGAAGGGGAAGGGATAGGAAATAAATGCTCAAATCTATCAAATTTCAAGAGTTGACTGCAGAAGTTTCACATCAGATAATCTACCACTTGAGTTTTCTGGACTGGTTGGAAGAAAATAAATCATTCCTTCTGGGTGCCTGATCTCGGCTCAGCATCTGCTTTCTTCTGGGCTGTTGATTTTCTGTTGTAAATGTAGCTGATAATGTGCAAACACTAAACCCTTTAAGTTGAAATGTTAGGAAGGCATTCTAAACTGAGCCAAGGCAAGGTGCTTTACTCCCTAATTTGGAAGAATATGTAAGTGATAACATAAAGAACATAGAACTCAGTATTTTCCAAGTAACTAATAAAGTAATTGTTCTGAGTAAAAGATCTGGGCAACTTACCTTCAGGGGGCTCAGACATGGACGGGGTGAGACAGTACATGTGGTAGCCACGATCGCAGTCATCACAGAAGAGCAACTGGTCCTGAAGTAGGCAAGAGGGAAGAGGATGGGGACTGAATAACTGATGTGCCTCAGGCCACTACAGGACACTGCTATTTCCAAGAGGGGTAGGTAGCAGGTAAGAACAGATGTGAGAATCTTATGTGGGAAACCATGCTGCCCCTCTCCACCGCAGATCCAGTCACTGTCATTTCTCACTTGGGTCCTTTCAGAGCTCCTAATTGATCAAATCACCTCCACTTTTTTTTTTTTTTTTTTTTCCCTAAAGCCCAAGCTCTATGGTATATTTTTTTGAGACAGGGTATTGCTGTCACTCAGGCTGGAGTGCAGTGGTGCAATCACGGCTCACTGCAGCCTTGACCTCCTGGGCCCAAGTGATCCTCCTACCTCAGCCTCTCAAGTAGCTGGGACTATAGGCACACACCACCACACCTAGCTAATTTTTCAATGTTTTTGGAGAGACAAGATCTCCTTACGTTGCCCAGGCTGGTCCTGAAATCCCAGGCTCAAGCAATCCTCCCACCTCAGCCTCCCAAAGTGCTTGGATTACAGGTGTGAGACGCCGTGCCCAGTGACTATTTCTTTTTGAGACAAGGTCTTGCTTTGTTGCCCAGGCTAGAGTGCGGTGGTGTGATCATGGCTCACTGCAGCCTCAAACTCCTGGGTTCAAGCAATCCTCCCACCTCAGCCTGCCAAGTAGCTGGGACTAACGTGTGTGCCACCACACCTGGCTAAGTGTTTATTTTTTTTGTGGAGACAGGATCTCCCTATGTTGCTCAGGCTGGTCTTGAATTCCTGGGCTCAAGTGATCCTCCCGCCTCAGCCTCTCAAGTGTTAGGATTACAGGCATGAGCCTCCATCCTTGTCCCTACAGTCTACCCTCCACACGGCACCCAAAGTCATCTTTTTAAAATATAAGACAAGGGCCAAGCACGGTGGCTCACACCTGTAATACCAGCATTTTGGGAGGCTGAGGCAGGTGGATCACCTGAGGTCAGGAGTTGAAAACTAGCTTGGCCAACATGGTGAAACCCCGTCTCTACTAAAAATTAGCCAGGCGTGGTGGCGGGCGCCTGTAATCCCAGCTACCTGGGAGGCTGAGACAGGAGAATTGCTTGAACCTGGGAGGCAGAGGTTGCAGTGAGCCGAGATTGCGCCATTGTACTCCAGCCTGGATGACAAGAGTAAAACTCCATCTTGAAATAAATAAATAAATATAAAATAAAATATAAGACAAGGCCAGACATGGTGGGTTCATGCCTGTAATCCCAGCACTTTGAGAGGCCAAGGTGGGAGGACTGCTTGAGCTCAGGAGTTTGAGACCAGCTCAGCAATATGGCAAGACCCTGTCTCTACCAAAAATATAAAAAAGTAGCCAGACATGGTGGTGTGCATCTGTGGTCCCAGCTACCCGGGAGGCTGAGGTGGGAGGATTGTACTGCTTGAGCCTGAAGGGAAAGGTTTTAGTGAGCTAAGATCGCGTCACTGCACTCCAGCCTGGATGACAGAGAGACTCTGTCTCAAAATAAATAAATAAATACATAAAGAATAAATAAATAGCTGGGTGCAGTGGCTCACGCCTATAATCCCAGCACTTTGGGAGGCTGAGGCAGGCGGATCACCGGAGGTCAGGAGTTCGATACCAGCCTGGCAAACATGGAGAAACCCCATCTCTACTAAAAATACAAAATTAGCCGGGTGTGGTGGCACGTGTCTGTAATCCCAGCTACTTGGGAGGCTGAGGCAGGAGAATCACTTGAACCCAGGAGGCAGAGGTTGCAGTGAGCTGAGATTGTGCCACTGTACTCCAGCCTGGGCGACAGAGCAAGACTCCATCTCAAAAAAAAAAAGTAAATAAATAAATACATAAATAACCATGTCACTTCCCGAGTAAAACCCTTCAACAGTGTCCTGTTGTACCTAGAATAAAACCCGAGGCCCCAGAGATCTGGCAGTGCTTGCCTCTCTCATCTCATTGCCCACCATACTCTCCCATGCCCTGTCATCTGGCTTGTCCAACATAAGGCCTTGGCGCTGGCTGCTCCTTTCCTGGGATTCCTCTACCTCCAAATCTTGACTGGCTCCTTGGTATCACCAAAATTTCAACACCAGCATCACCCTCCCAGAAGAGCCATACCTGACCATCAAAATAAATCACTTATGCAATTATTCTCTGCCACAGTACTGATTTCGTTTTTTTCATGGCACATTATACAAATCTCATTTACATCCTTGCTTATTGTTGTTCCTGTAAGAATGTAAATCTCATGAGGCAGGGACCTTGTTTGTCTTTAGCATCTTTAGTGACTAGAACAGTGTCTGACATAAAATCAGCACTCAATATATATCTGGCAACAAATCAGAGTTCTGACTGAGATGCTAGGGAGGGGCGTGTGGCATGTGGGAGGGATCCTGCTCCCTTTTTAAAAGAAAGCTCACTTTAGAGGGAACTGTGCAAACAGCAGTAAAAGCCCAGAAGGAGCCATGCTGAGGAGGGGGCGGGGATACACACGTCATTCTCGGAGGTGCCGCAGATATTGCAACATTTGCACTCGATGCACTGCCAGCGGTATGTCTTCACTGCCGCCATCATCACGGGGGTAAATTGGAGGCAAGATGGATGCCCTGTAGTGGGGGAAGTGAGTGAGACAGACAGTCGGAAATGCGGGGGGAAGAGAGGAGCTCCTGCCTGTGGCTACATCTTCTCTTGGTTAGGAAAAGCGAGGTGGGCTGGTTATGACAGCCCTAGAGGCCAGCAAGCCAAGAGCCCCTTGGGGACTGGGCAAAGCAGCAGCCTTCACGGGAAGCAGTACCTGAGCGGCCACAGTCAGAACAGGACACCAGCTCCTCGGGTTGTCCCGTCTTCTTGTTAATCTTTGAGTCCCCCAGGCAGAAGTCACAGTAGTTGTTGGGCAAGGCCAATCCATCAGGACCCTTTTTGGCTACAGAGAGAAAGAGTTTTGATGACACCCATGGGGGTCCCTGAGCCACTCAACACCCATGCAAGGAGTGGTTTTCATAACCAGGCCAACTTCTGCTTGCCCACCACTTCTGACACCTCAGCTTACATTTCTGCTCCTCAGACCTCTGGGAAACAGGAGTGGGTGGTTGAGAGTCTTCCTTGTCCTCGCCCTCCTCCTCAGCCAAGTGGGAGTGGGCATAGTGGTAACTGAGGCCTGGTCGGTTCTTGTAACGTTTTCCACAAACTGAGTGGGAAGAAGATTGCAGAGAAAGGTGTTAGGATACAAGAGTGCCATGTCCCCATCCCTGCAAGCTGTGGGGGCTCCACCTGAGGCAGAGGGCAACCATCCCTTCCCCTAGCAGCTCCACTCTGGGACAGGCCTTGAGTGACGGCCACTTCCCCTCAGCCAGGAGCATCAGGCCGTGGGGCTCTCTAGCTTCTGGGGCTCTTTTCCCTCCTGAACTCCAACCCCATGGCCACCACTGCTCTTCCATGTTGACTTTTGGGGGGCTTAGCCCTTGCCCCATCACCAGTTAGTTGCTCTGGGATATACTAACAGTCTGGGACGCTCCAGGTCAGGAAAGGGAAGGATATTCCTATATCTTTGGGGTGGCAGGAAGGGGGAAAAGTGGATAAGACTCCAAACTTTTTTACCCCTCAGTAAATGTGGGAGGCTCATGCTACCCCACACACCATGGAGCCCATCTCCCCTGAATGTGGGTAAACAAGCAGGGGATGGGTTTCTTGGGGATAGCCTATCAATGAAGCCAGTTGGGCAGTTGGTCCCCAAAGAAATTCAAGCACACTCCCATGTAATTGCCCTGTCCAGGCCTGCCAATCAGCAAGGAAAGCAGATCCCCATGAGGCATTTTGTCATCTTGAGAAGTAATACCAAGAAGGGCAAGGGGGCCAGCAGGAAAGGAGTGGGGAGAGAGGATGGCAGGAGGAGGTGGTGGGGCAGTGGGGAACATGAGCTGACCACCAGCTGCCTGGTCTGGGGAGGGAGCGGAAGGGTCTGATTGTAATGGGCTCCTGATAATGCTTCTGAAGCCACCCCATGCACTGGGCCGAGCAGCTCTAGGAGCAGGTTTGTGGGAAACAAGCAGTGGTAAAGGCAGCCTTCAGGACTTTGAGGAGTAGAGCACAGCAGAAATTCCACTGCTCCTACCCCCATGCCATTCCAGAGATTTTAAAGCTAGCATCCCAGGAAATGAGAAAGGCAGGAGGAACAAGGGAAGAGGGAAAAAGGGAAAGGAAAACCACAAGTCTGAAAAGTTGAGAGAGCTACCTCTCTGGGGCGCTTTCGAGGTATGCTTTTGTTTGAAACTATCTGAAAGACAGAAAGAAAAGTCATGAGAAGAAGGCCTTGATACACTTGAGACAGGAGCAGCAGCAGCAGGAAAGCAGAGCAAACGAGAGAGAAACCCCAGCGGCGATGGTGCTCCCAGGGTGGAGGGACAGAAGTGGGGCAAGGCAGACAGAAAGAAAAAGAGAACAGACGTTGAAAAACTCAGTGTCAGACCCCTGGGGCCCTGGCTTAACTGAGGCCAGGAGACCTGCAGGCCATCTGTTGAGAGGCCAACCCTGCCTGCTGTGGCCCCCACAAGCAACCCTACCCCAGAGGATGGCAGAAATCTTTCCCAGAGCATGCAGGTCCCACCCGTCATATAGCAGGGACCCAGGCCTCCCAGGGGTCTCAGACGGAAGCAGTCAGCAGGCAGGACAAGAGCCCAGGTTTGTTTTAATACTCTGGGCAAAAACACAACCCTCCCTCCTCTCATATCCAGAGCAGGAGCTGGGTCCAAGGCAAGGTCTACCCACCCACTTGTGAGGCACTCACTGTCACAGGCATAGGGCTTATCCCGGTCCTCCAGGATGGAAGCATCCAGCTTCTTACGGGCACTGCCCACACCCTTACCCTGCCAAGAAGAGCAAAGAGACACCCTTATTTTGGTAGCTGGGCCTGAGGAGTTAGACTCTTTTGGAAGTGGCCGCTAATCTCACTTGAAATAAAATAAGGAATTCCCTAGGCCACCCTGTCCCAAGATGCAGGCAGCACGCTGGCCCCTCACCTTGGATTTCCCCTTTCCCCGACGCTTGGGAGTATCTTCTTCATAGTCTTCATCATCGAGGTCATCCAGGAAGTCATCTGGTTCTAGGATCCGCTGAGTGGACAGGAGGGTTAGCATGGGTAGAAATATGTGCATCCAAAAGCTCCCCTATGATGAGACTGGCCAAGGCCACCCAGAACCTCCTCTGTGACGTGGTCCCACCCACACCAGCCTCATTCCTCACCAACGCCTTTCAAGCATGCTATAATCCTGCTCCTGCTCCCTTCCATACTTTGGGATATCTTTCCCCTGTGCTTCACGTTATTTCCTTAGCCTGAAATGCTTTCCCCACCATGCCACATGGCCAAATCAAATAGCATGCTTCCAAAAGGTTGCCCTGATGCCACAAGCAGCCATGCCCTCTCCTGCCTCTGATTGGCCACCCTGGGAGCACATTATTGGTGGTTCTGTCCTGACACTCGCCTCCTAGTTTAAATTAAAATGTTGTTGCTTATTTGTGTGACCTTGTGGGAAGCTTTTTTTTTTTTTTTTTTTTTTTGAGACAGAGTTTCGCTCTTGTTGCCCAGGCTGGAGTGCAATGGCGCAATACTGGCTTACCGCAACCTCCGTCTCCTGGGTTCAAGCGATCCTCCTGCCTCAGCCTCCCAAGTAGGTGGAATTACAGGCATGCGCCACCACACCTGATTAATTTTGGATTTTTAGTAGAGACGGGGTTTCTTCATCTTGGTCAGGCTGGTCTCGAACTCCCGACCTCAGGTGATCCAACTGCCTCGGCCTCCCAAAGTGCTGGGATTACAGGCGTCAGCCACCGTGGCCGGCCATGGGAAGTTTTTTTTTTTTTTTTGAGATGGAGTCTCGTTCTGTCACCTAGGCTGGAGTGCAGTGGCGCAATCTCGGCTCACTGCAAGCTCTGCCTCCCGGGTTTGCGCCTGAGTAGCTGGGACTGCAGGTGCCCACCACCACGCCTGGCTAATTTTTTTTGTATTTTTAGTAGAGACGGGGTTTCACCATGTTAGCCAGGATGGTCTCGATCTCCTGACCTCAAGATCCGCCTGCCTCGGCCTCCCAAAGTGCTGGGATTACAGGCGTGAGCTACCGTGCCCGACCCATGGGAAGTTTTTAAACTGCTTTGTTTCAGCCTCTGTGTGAAATGGGGAACACAGGACCTACCCCATAAGGTTGTACAGACTAAAGGAGAAAGGGCATGAAAAGGCACTTAACCCAATGCTGGCATATTTATAGCTGTTATTTTTACATGTATTCTTATCTTCTCTGTTGGCAGAGACTAAGTGTGCTTCACTGTGTAACCTCAGGGACCAAAAAACTGTGACACAAACTTTTGTGATAAAAGAGTAAAGCACTTAGGGATAAAAGTTTGTTTCCCTCCCTTCCCAGACAGGGTCTCCCTCTGTTACCCAGGCTGGAGTGCAGAGGCATAAGCAGAGCTACAGCTTCAATCTCCTGGGCTCAAGCAATCCTCCCACCTCAGCCTCCTGAGTAGCTGGGACTGCAGGCGTGTGCCACCATGCCCAGCTAATTTTTTATTTTTATTTTTAGTAGAGACAAGGTCCTGCTATGTTGCCTAGACTGAAAAGTTTTTGAAGTTTCCTCTCAAATAGTTTAGCAAAGACAGATAAGGCAAATGTGGCAAAATGTGGAATTGATAAATCTAGGTAAAGAGTATGTGGTATTTCATTGTACTATTCTTGCACCTTCTGGTTTTAATTTTTTTTTTTTGTTGCCCAGGCTGGAGTGCAGTGGCATGATCATGACTCATTGCAGTCTCGAACTCATAGGCTCAAGTGATTCTCCCACCTCAGCTTCCCTAGTAGCTGGGACAACAGGCGCATGCTGCTATGCCTGGCTATTTTTTTTTAATTATTATTTTTTTGTAGAGATGGGGTCTCACTTTGTTGCCCAGGCTGGTCTCGAACTCCTGGACTTGAGCAATCCTCCTGCCTTGGCCTCCCAAAGTGCTGGGATTACAGGCATGAGCCACTGCATCTGGCCTATTTTAATTTTTTTAATGAAAATTATATATGTGTATAATAATAACCTTCTGTGATAAAAGTGAATGAATGAGAGTCTATAGTTAGAAGCAACAGAGAAGCCAGTCAGTACCTGACAATAATCAGGGACTGAAGTAAGAACAGAACTGCAGGGGCCTGCTTCCTGGACTCCAGCTTCTGTTTCAGTTCTAGAAACTAGGTGGCCCCCAGTGAAGAGGAGGCTGATTTCCATCAAAGCTCCCTTAGCCACAGGGATAATCCTGTACCTTTCGCGCTCGACTGTTGGTCACAGGAAACTCGCCCAGGCTGTCATCATCAACTCGGGGATCCGGGGCACCTCGCTTCTCCAGGGGGTCAGTGCGCAACAGAGCCTCTAAACTACTGCCATCCTGAGAGATCAGCCCCTCCTTCTTCAGGGTCTGGTCTGTGTCTGCAAGCAAGGTCAGGATAAAGCAAGGCTCAAAAGGGCTGAAAGCAGACTGCTCTGAGTCCACATAATGCTGGGGCTTACCAAAGGTCTGTCACTATCTTTTGTTCTCTGCACGCCCAGGAATTAAGACACCCTAGTTCACTTGGCACCATAACTTATCTGTTTACCTGTCTCCCCTTCTAGACTGAGGTCCTTAAAGGAAAGAATCACATCATATTCATTTGAGTATATTTGGGATCTAGTACTGGGCCTGGTATATCACAGTGATTAGCAGGCTCTCACCATGCAGCAGGCCACGCCTCTGCTCAGGAAGTATGTGCCTTACCTGGCTTAATAGATGGGAAGGAAAGTCGTGGATCCTCAGGGGGATGGGCTCGCCGCTTTTTCCGCCAGCGCCGGGCAGGGTAGGAGTACAGCTGTCCGGAGGCCAATCCTGTGGCAGGAAGAAAGATAGAAGTCAGGCCCTAACCCAGTATTAGAAAGTAATACCAAACACTTTCTAATTAAGTAGGCCCCCCTTTGAGTTCTAGAGCAAGGGAGAAATTCTGACAGTGAGGGCCTAGGGGGTTAGGTGGAATAGTCTGTGGAAAAGAAAAATAGATATATAAGCTTCAGGGCCTTGGCTAACACATAGTTCTCCAGACACACAATGGCCTCAGCAGGGCAGAAAACAAAGATGCTGGTATCAAACATCTGCTTCATCCTCCCTGGGTTTCTAATCACAGGAAGACCATATTCATCCATAGGTGGAAGGCAGTAGGGAAAACCCTATCAACTGTCTCATCACCTAAGATGAGGAGGCTTCTTCCTCCTTATGCTCCTGAGTCCCCTTCTCCCAAGTCTGGACCCTCACCTGGACCCCGGTGTCGCTTTTCCATCCAGATGTAACAATTGCTCTGGGCTACTCCGGTCTGTGAGTCCAAGAAAGGCAGGCGCACGCTGCGCTCAGCACAGAGGCGAGCATTGTAATTGTGGCACTGCTCCATGGCATCTTTGTAGTACTGCTCCCCAAGGCTGCAGGGAAGATAGAAATCAGGCGTGTATGTTGGAGCGGGGGGCATAGGGTGCTGAGCTATTCCTCTCCCCTGCCATCTGCTTCTCTAGAAGGCTCAAGGGACTGGGTGGCTGTCTCTTCCGTTCTATTTGCCTCCACTTCTGCCTCATGGGACACGAAGCCCCTTTTCTAGGCCATCATGAGGAATTACTTTACAAATAAATTACCATCAGGAACACATGATTTCATCATATGTCTAATCAGACTTAAGTTTAACCCCCAAAGAGGTGAAAGAATGTTCACTCCACGTGTCTCACAAGCCCACCCCTGTGCTAGTTAAGATGCTATTTCTCTTAACCCTTATGAGGCTAAGAAGCAGATGATAGTCCCTCCTAAGTTCCTCCTTATTCCCTCTTTCCTAGAATCACCTCCCAAATAAACTACATGCTCCCACATCCTTGCCCCAAGGTCTGCTCCAGAGGGAAAGAGTTCAAAGTCTAGGGGACTTATTAAAATGTATTTAGCAAACTATGGTAAATCCATACAATGAAATTCTACTTAGCCATAAGAAGGAAGCTCTTCACATACTGATATTAAACAATTTCAAGTTAACTAGGGACAAAAAGCAAAGCAAGGTACACTGCTGAGAAGCGTCAAATAAAACTATCATTTATGTAACAAAATGGAAAAGAAACTGCAGGTCAGCGGGGAGAAAAAGTGGGTGACTAGGCCACTTCCTTCCATATGCCTTTTTATATCTTTTGAATTTTGAACTAGGTTTTTAATCAACTAATTAATTTTACATTTATGGAAGATGTCTACAAGTACCTGAAGTTCCTTGAAGCTTTTATTGAGCACCATCACTCATAAGAAACTTGTTTGCTCTAAGGCCCATCTTAGGGTTCTTCTCCATTCTCACAAAATAAAATTATATAGGAAAAAATCTTCTTGGTCTCAAAAGACTCAATTTGAAATCTGAATCAAGGGTAAATCTTTAAGTGGAAAACTGGAAAACTGCACAGTGCCAGGAGTTATCTGGTTCTAAGAAGCGTGTATATAGAACCTATCTTGTTCTCATCTTGCAGGGTTTAACAAGGACTTTGGTAATGGAGGTTAACAAACTCGATCTTATATTCAATCAATCTTGTTTTTTTTTTTTTTTAAGAGACAAGGTCTCACTATGTTGCCCAAGCTGGACACAAACTCCTGGCTCAAGTGATCCTCCTGCCTTAGCCTCCCAAGTATCTGGGAATAGAGGCATGTGTCACAGTACCTGGCGTCAATCAATCTTAAACCAAGGGCAGAATTGATTTATTTCTCATAGTATCCCTAATACTCATGACGATGTCTGAGATACAGTCAGACTTGACTTGAGAGTAAAAAGACCTGGCTTGCCTGCAAGTCACACGAACATGGACACTTAGTCAGCCCAGGTGGACCTTGGTTACTCTTCTATAGATTGAGGAGGTTGGACCAAATGAGCTTTGACATATCAGGATTTTACAAGAAACAGCCTGGGGATGAGACAGCAAACAGATTAAGTCTCTGTGGTTTCTGTCCGTAACTCGGGCTACACCAACAAACCCTGCTCTAGAATGTGACAGGGTCCTTCAGTGAGCAGCCACAATAGACCACTGCATAACTTAGCATGTGCCCAGCAAGTAAAAAAGACACATACGACACACAGAGACGGCAATGCCACAAATATAGCCTGGCGTGATTCAATGAGCTGTAATGACTGTAATCTGAGGTAGGCACGAATCTCACGTTGGAGAGCAGAATGGAGAAGGCAGCCTTGCCTCTGTGGGCTCGCCTTTAGGAGGCAGCCACGTCTTCACCACACAGAATAAAATTGGATAAACAAGGTTGAGTGCGGCAGCTCCTTTGTTTCTGCTGATGGGAATTGATACGGACACTGGAAGTCAAATGGAAGGCAGGGCCAGGCTGGCGAGTGCTGCAAAGTCAGAGCAAGGAGGCTGGAAACAGTTTTGCGGGGAATGAATGAGAGATGTTCTGTCAGGGCTCTTGTGAGCTACATAAGGCAGGCAAACAGTCTTGGGGGTAAAAGGGCTGGGAAGGAAACACTGAAGTGTGGGGGGAGAATCTCATGAAGAGAGAACAAGACAGCATGACAGTGAGCTCTTAAGAACTTAAGGGAGGCCGGGCACAGTAGCTCATGCTTATAATCCCAGCACTTTGGGAGGCCAAGGCTGGTGGATCTCTTGAGACCAAGAGTTAGAGACCAGCTTGGGCAACATAGTGAGATCCCATCTCTACAAAACGTTAAAAAATAAAAATAAAAAAGGCCTGGCGCAGTGGCTCACGCCTGTAATCCCAGCACTTTGGGAGACTGAGGTGGACGGATCACCTGAGGTCAGGAGTTCGAGACCAGCCTCAACATGGAGAAACCCTGTCTCTACTAAAAATACAAAATTAGCCGGGCGTGGTGGTACATGACCATAATCCCAGCTACGGGGGAGGCTGAGGCAGAAGAATTGCTTGAACCTGGGAGGCGGAGGTTGCGGTGAGCCGAGATTGCGCCATTGCACTCCAGCCTGGGCAACAAGAGCGAAACTCTGTCTCAAAAAAAATAAAATTAAAAAAAACAAAACAAACAAACAAAAAAACCATCAGCTAGGCTTAGTGATGCATGCCTGTGGTTCCACGTAGCCCCTGGGGCGGATGAGGTAGGGGAATCATTTGAGCCTAGGAAGTTGAGGGTGCAGTAAACCAAGGTTATACCACTGCACTTCAGCCTGGGGGACAGAGGGAGGCTCTGTCTCTTAAAACAAAAAAAAGCAATAACAAAAACTTAAGGCTCCGATACCAAGAAATGTCAAGTTAACATTAACATTGTTCTCTCTCTCTCTCTCTCTCTCTCTCTCTCTCTCTCTCTCTCTATATATATATATATATATATATATATATATTTTTTTTTTTTTTTTTTTTTTTGAGATAGAGTCTTGCTTTGCCGCCCAGGTTAGAATGCAGTGGTGCAATCTCGGCTCACTGCAGCTTCTGCCTACTGCAGCTTCTGCCTCCCGGGTTCCAACGATTCTCTTGCCTCAGGCTCCCGAGTGGCATGCGCCACCACGCCCAGCTAATTTTTGTATTCTTAGTAGAGACAGGGTTTCACCATGTTGGCCAAGCTGGTCTCGAACTCCTGACCTCATGATCCGCCCACCTCGGCCTTCCAAAGTTCTGGGATTACAGGTGTAAGCCACCGCGCCCTGCCTCTAGATTTTGCCTAGAAAGTTTCAAAACCAATCAGCAGCTACAGCTATACTATTATTTTACTTTCCTAGTAAGAACGCTTAAAGACTTTCTCTCTTTTTTTGAGACGGAGTCTCGCTCTGTCGCCTGGGCTGGAGTGCAGTGGTGTGATCTCTCCTGGGTTCAAGCGATTCTTCTGCCTCAGCCTCCTGAGTAGCTGGGACTACAGGTGCACGCCACCATGCCCAGCTAATTTTTGTATTTTTACTAGAGACGGGTTTCACCACCTTGGCCAGGCTGGTCTCAAACTCCTGACCTTGTGATCCGCCCGCCTCAGCCTCCCAAAGTGCTGGGATTACAGGCATGAGCCACCGTGCCCGGCTTCTTTTTTTTTTTTTTTTTTTTTGAGATGGAGTCTTGCTGTTGCCAGGCTGGAGTGCAGTGGTGCGATCTTGGCTCACTGCAACCTCTGCCTCCTGGATTCAAGTGATTCCCTTCCCTCAGCGTCCTGAGTAGCTGGGATTACAGACACACGCCACCATGCCCAGCTAATTTTTGTATTTTTGGTAGAGTGGGGTTTCGCCATGTTGGCCAGGATGGTCTCAATCTCCTGACCTTGTGATCTGCCCGCCTCGGACTCCCAAAGTGCTGGGATTACAGGCATGAGCCACCGCGCCCAACAGCCTCTTTCTTTTTTTTAAGAAAGAGTCTTAAAAGTGTCACTCAGGCTGGAGGGCAGTGGTGTGATATCAGCTCACTTCAACCTCTGCCGCCTGGGTTCAGGCGATTCTTGTGCCTCAGCCTCTCAAGTAGCTGGGACTACAGGTGTGCGCCACCACACCTAACTAATTTTTATAGTTTTAGTAGAGATGAGGTTTCACCATGTTGGCCAGGCTGGTCTCAAACTCCTGACCTCAAGCAATCTGCCTGCCTCAACCTCCCAAAGTGTTGGGATTATAGGCGTAAGCCACTGCACCCAGCCAAGACTTTCATTTCTGACATCACATTCGGAAGGGATAGAAATTTACAAATAAGAAAATTCTTTTCCCAGGACAAGATGCAAGTCATACAAGATGAGGGGCCGGGCGTGGTGGCTCACGCCTATAATCCCAGCACTTTGGGAGGCCGAGGCGGGTGAACTCCTGAGGTCAGGAGTTCAAGACCAGCCTGGCCAACATGGTGAAACCCCATCTCTACTAAAAACACAAAAATTAGCCAGGTGTGGTGGTGGGCACCTGTAATCTCAGCTACCCGGGAGGCTGAAGCAGGAGAATTGCTGGAACCCGGGAGGCGGAGGTTGCAGTGAGCCAAGATCGTGCCACTGCATTCCAGCCCGGGCCGACAACAGTGAGACTCTGTCTAAAAAAATAAAAAAAAAGAAAAGATGAGCTAGTGGTCCTGACCTCAATGTACTCAATGTATAACATCAGCTGTCAGAAGACTAGGCACACTATAATCAAGAGAAGTGCCATATCTCCAAATGAACTGGAAGAATAGAAGCCCCTTCTTAAAGGGATAATTCTGTGGGAGTACGTATTAATTGTGATCTGAGGCCCTGTGCAGCTAGAAATGAGGAGGAGAGAGTTGGTTTCTCATTACTGGCATTCAGGAATTAGTGGCTGGTGATGCTCACAATCTCTACAGTTTTTCAAAGAGAAACAAGATGTCACGCTCTGTTTAAATGGGCAACCCCTCACTTATGACACAACTTGAAAGCACTGGCAACCCTATTTCTCTGAGGAAAATCTTCCAACACGAAGAACCTCACTACGTTTAACTCCCAAAACCTAGGCAAGTCTGATACTCCCCCAGTACAATGAGAATCTTCCTTTTTATTTTTGGAGAAACCTGTGTAAAACATCCCCTTACAATGGGATGAGGGAAGTCAACAAAGACGCAGGGAAACAAAGAAAGAACATCTGAGTCAGGAAGGATAACTGGATAAATGGTAGATCAACAGTGTCATTTCTAAATTGAGAAAAATGTCAGCCTGAAGAAAGAGCTGGGGAAACTGGAGTGGGCAGATCAGAGAGAAAGACAATAGCGTTGGGAGGAGGGGTGGCTGAAAGAGACAGCAGGATAGAGCAGAAAGCAACTTAAAAAAAAAAAAAACAAACCACAAGAGGAGGAAAGGCACTTAGCTTAATGGAAGTGGGAAAGCATTCTCAAAGAAAAGGCTTCAGGCAGGAGGGAGAAGCAACTTACTCTTTAAAAAGGCTCTTAGGAAGAGTGGGGCTCAGGCCACGACAAAGACAGATGAGAAGCTGTGAGTCCCTTAGAAGAGTTACCGAACCTTTACCTCGTCATCCAGTCAAAATGCAAAAACCCTGACTGGACAGCTAGACACCACTCAATTTTCCCACCCTTGCACCAAGCCCAACATACCCATTAAAAGAAGCTCTATTCGCCCACCATGCATTAACCCAATCTAAAACTCATTCTGATTCTTCTGTAGGAATAAATCAAGTCCCAAAGCATCTTTAACTCACAGGAAGCAGTTCATAGGCCAGCGTCCATGGCCCCAACAGCTATTAACTTTAACTTTGCTTGAAATCTGACCAGCACAATGGTATCGTATAATAGGAAGAATGCCCACCTAGATGCCCCTTTAGGCTAAGCTGTCCTGAACGGCTTCGGTCCAGTTGCAGGTTTTTGATGGCTGCTACTGGACGGGGCCAAGGCCCACTCCCCTGAAGTTCCTTCCCTTCTGGATCCGCTCCTCGATAAATTCTTCCCAAGAATATTTGTAGTCTTAGGTACCTGCCACCCAAGATCCTCCCAAACATCACGGGGCTGCCTGGAACTGAAACAGCCAGCCCCGCAGTGCACTCCGCAGGGGCCGCCGAGCCTGTTGCTGCAGCGAACGGGACGGGACGGGGCGGGGTGGGCGGCGGGCCAGCCGTAGGGCCGCCCGGGCCTCGGCCCCGCTCCTCCGGACTGAGGCGTCTCGGGAGAGGACCGGGACGGTGAGTCTCGCGTGCAGGCAGGGCGCCATGCTCTGGAAACCGTCAGCCCCGAGGAACGCTGAGGCCACACAGCCCCGCAGGGATGCCGCCCGTCGGGGCTCCAGTGTGCCCCCACCAGGGCCTCCACAAGTTTCCAAAGAAGCGCAACGTCTTCTCCGGAGTCTCCTGTTGCCCTCCCCACCAGGAGTCGCAACATGGCTTTCCCGGGGATGTCCCTCTCTCCGCCTAGTCCCTTCCCCCACCGCCCCCTACTCCCAGGCCCTTTACAAAACCTGCCGCCCTAGGAGAGAAAGAAACGACCACTCACAGCTTCACTACATTCTCCACCACAGCCGCCATCTTCCCTGTTCCTCTGCCTCGGGCCGAGAAGCCCCACAGTCCGCAGCGCGCAGGCGCCGGGACCGCACCGGGGTACCAGGTTCCTTGCCCTCTGCGCAGGCGCCGTCCGGGCGCGCGCACTAGAGCGAGCACTGAAGAAAGAGCTTTACGCCTGTTCGCGGGGGCCGGGTAGGAAATGCGTGGACCCCACGGGAGCCCGACGCGCAGGCGCAACCGGAGATTGGCATGCATCCCGGAGCTCCGGTTCGAGGCTTGCCTCTAATATTTAGAGGAGCAGGAGCCGGGGCCGGGCGCGGTGGCTCACGCCTGTAATCCCAGCACTTTGGGAGGCCGAGGCGGGCGGATCACGAGGTCAGGACATGGAGACCATCCTGGCTAACACGGTGAAACCCCGTCTCTACTAAAAATACAAAAAATTAGCCGGGTGTGGTGGCGAGCGCCTGTAGTCCCAGCTACTCGGGAGGCTGAGGCAGGAGAATGGCGTGAACCCGGGAGGCGGAGTTTGCAGTGAGCCGAGATCGCGCCACTGCACTCCAGCCTGGGCGACAGAGCGAGACTCCTTCTCAATAAATAAATAAATAAATAAAGGAAAAAAAGAAAAAGAAAAAAGATTAGCTGGGCATGGTGGTGCATGCCTGTAATCCCAGCTACTAGGGAGGCTGAGGTGGGAGGATCACTTGAGCCCAGGAGTTTGAGGCTCCAGTGAGCCACTGGAGCCACATCACTGCACTCCAGCCTGGGCAACAGAGCGAGGCTCCATCTCAAGAAAAAAAAAAAAAAAAAGGAAAAAAAATATATATACATATATATATACACATATATATATACACATATATACATATATATATATACACATATATATACATATGTATATATATACATATGTATATATATATATATATATATAAATATAATCACTAAAGCTGAAAATACACATACCCTATGACCCAGCAAAGTCCACTCCTGGATATACACACAAGAAAGCTGTACAAGAAGCTGAGTGCAATGCCTCATGCCTGTAATCCCAGCTACTTGAGAGGGTGAGGTGGGAGAATCACTTGAGCCCAGGGGTTCAAGACCAGCCTGGGCAACATAGCAAGATCCTGTCTCTTAAAAAAAAAAAACAAAAAAAAACAGGCCAGGAGCATTGGTTCACGCTTGTAATACCAGCACTTTGGGAGGCCACGGTGGGCGGATCACGAGGTCAGGAGATCGAGACCGTCCTGGCTAACATGGTGAAACCCCATCTCTACTAAAAATACAAAAACAAAATTAGCCGGGCATGGTGGCGGACGCCTGTAATCCCAGCTACTGGAGAGGCTGAGGTGGGAGAATGGCGTGAACCTGGGAGGCGGAGTTTGCAGTGAGCCAAGATCGCGCCACTGCACTCCAGCCTGGGTGACAGAGCGAGACTCCGTCTCAAAAAAAAAAAAATAAAGCTGTACAAGAATGTTCGTAACAACATTATTTGTTTATATTTATTTATTTATTTATTTTGAGACGGAGTTTTGCTCTTGTCGCTCCTTAACAAATTCTTCCTTCCAGCCCAGGCTAGAGTGCAGTGGCACTATCTCAGCTCACTGCAACCTCCACCTCCTGGGTTCAAGTGATTCTCCTGCCTCAGCTTTCCGAGTAGCTGGGATTACAGGTGCCCCCAGCTAATTTTTGTATTTTTTGTAGAGACAGAGTTTTACCACGTTGGCCAGGTTGGTCTCGAACTCCTGACCTCATGTGTTCCGCCCGCCTAGGCTTTCAAGTGCTGGGATTACAGGCATGAGCTACCACGCCTGGCCAGCTGATGTAACCTTTTCTTAAACAATCCTAAAAGAACTGAAAGCTATTGATGCTGGGTTCATAAGCTGCCTTTCCAATTATATGCAGCTAGCCTATTTATTATTAGTACTATTTTTAAATTCAAACTTTTAATTGAAATATACATAAAGAGAAGCACATAGATCTTATGTAGCTTGACTAATTTTTTTTTTTTTTTTTTTGAGACGGAGTTTCCCTCTTGTTGCCCAGGCTGGAGTGCAATGGCGTGATCTCGGCTCACTGCAACCTCCGCCTTCCGGGTTCATAGCTTGACTAATTTTTTTCAATTTTTTAATTTTTGTGGGTACATCGTAGGTGTATATATTTATGGGTACACGAGATGGTTTGATGCAGGTATACCATGCAAAATAATTGTAGCTTGATTGATCTTTACAAAATAGACAAACCTGTGTAACCACTACCCAGATGAAGAAAAAGACATCACTAGCACCTCAGTAGCCATCTCATGCTTCTAGCCCTAAAGATTAGTGTGTCTGTGTAACTGTATGTCAATGGAATCATACAATATGTCCTATTTTGAATTTGGCTTCTTTTGTTCAATATTAATTTTTTCCTTTTTTTTTTCAGCCCCCACAATGCTTTGTCTACAGTATTACATTTTTGAGATTTTTTTTTTTTTTAAGACAGGGTCTTACTTTGTCATCCAGGCTGAGTGCAGTCGTGTAATCATGGCTCATTGCAGCTTCGACCTCCCAGGCTTAAGTAATTCTCCCACCTCAGCTTCTCGAGTAGCTGAGACTACAGGCACACCACTACACCCTGACTAATCTTTTTTTTTTTTTTTTTAAGACAGCGTCAGCCAGGCATGGTGGCTCATGCCTGTAATCCTAGCACTTTGGTAGGCCGAGGCGGGTGGATCATGAGGTCAGGAGTTCGAGACCAGCCTGACCAACATGGTGAAACCCCGTCTCTACTAAAAATACAAAAAAATTAGCTGGGCGTGGTGGTGTGCGCCTGTAATCTCAGCTACTTGGGAGGCTGAGGCAGAAGCATTGCTTGAACCCAGGAGGCGGAGGTTGTGGTGAGCTGAGATTGTGCCGTTGCACTCCAGCCTGGACAATAGAGCAAAACTCCGTCTCAAAAAAAAAAAGACAGTGTCTCAAAAAAAAAAAAAAAAAATCTCAGTGGCACAATCTTGGCTCACTGCAACCTCTACATCCCTGACTCAAGCAATCCTCCCACCTCAGCCTCTCTGGGACTATAGGCACACGCCACCATGCCCAGCTAATTTTTGATTTTTTTTTTTATAGAGACAGGGTCTCACTATGTTGCCCAGGCTGGCCTTGAGCATTCCTTGCGTTCTGGCCTCCTGAAGTGTTGGGATTACAGGCGCGAACCACCATGCCTGGCTGAGATTCATTCATGTCCTTTTGTGGTAATAGTTCTTACATTGCTGTTTAATCCATATTACTGCTGATGGGCATTTGGGTTATTTCCAGTTTGGAGCTATTACACATAATGCTGTTACGGGCTGGGCGTGGTGTTTCACGCCTGTAATCCCAGCACTTTGGGAGGCTGAGGCTGGCAGATCACTTGAGGCCAGGAGTTCGAGACAAGCCAGGCCAACATGGTGAAACCCAGTCTCTACAAAAAATACAAAAGTTAGCCGGGCGTGGTGGTGGTGCCTGTAATCCCATCTACTTGGGAGGCTAAGGCATGAGAATCGCTTGAACCCAGGAGGTGGAGTTTGCAGTGAGCCAAGATGGCTCCACTGTACTCCAGCCTGGGTGACAGAGCAAGACCCTGTCTCAAAAAAAAAAAAAGAAAGAAAGAAAGACATGTTACGTCGCCGAACAACAGGTACTCTCTCTATATAGAAAACAGTATATATAGTGTTTCTCTGACAGACAGGAATCACGGAGTAGGAATTTTACATGCACATTCTTGGAATCTCAACTCTGCGCTCTGGCTGATTTAGAGCTTTTAAGACCCAAGGGAATAATGCTTCCACCAGGGGGCGCAGTAAGTTTCTCTAAATCACGATCAGATCGTCCGTCAGTAGGCCATATTTCGCTCCACATGCCACTGGGCAAGAAAATAAAAAGCGGGTCCCACTGTTGGCTGGGGCGATCAATTCCAATTGTAAAGCTTAAGATTGCTATTACCCAGTGGGGGCAGGGAGAAAAATCCGAGGAACTCCCCTGGGATGGCTCTTAATATTTTATTCGGGTAGGTAAGGGGAGATAGGCTCCTGATTAGATACTTGATTCCAACCTTCCCTCTGAAGACAAATTAAAAAAAGAAGAGGAAGTGAAAAAAAAATCTTAAAAGCATTGAAAAGCTAATAGTACAGTGAAGAATTATTGTGCCAACATTGAGGAAGCTAAAACCCAGAGAGGTAAGTTCAGCTTTTGAAGCAGTTTTTGTCCTGGAGGCATTTACTGATCTGGAAGATATAACCATGAAGTTAAACTGTTGTTTGGCAGTCTTTGTGGGGAGGGACGAAAATAAAAACCCAGAGCTTGCTCAAAGTAGGAAGTCAGATACCCCACTACTGACACGTATGTGCTGTAAGATACAAATCAATTTCCATGGACTTATAGTTCAGAATCCTATTATCTGTTTGGTCCAGGAAAGGGGGAGAGGAAAGCTCAGCCTTGAACTTGGATTAAGGTGGACCCATTTTTTTTTTCTTTTTTTTTTTTTCTGAGACGGAGTCTCTGTCGCACAGGCTGAGTGCAGTGGCACGATCTCGGCTCACTGAAGCCTCTGCCTCCCAGGTTCAAGCAATTCTCCTGCCTCAGCCTCCTGAGTAGCTGGGACTACAGGCACGAGCAACCATGCCCAGCTAATTTTTTATATTTTTAGTAGAGACGGGGTTTCACCATGTTAGCCAGGATGGTCTCGAACTCCTGACCTCATGATCCACCAGCCTTGGCCTCCCAAAATGCTGGGATTACAGGCGTGAGCCACCCCTCCTGGCCCAAGATGGACCCATTTTTGAAATGTTCCCAGTTACCTGACAAAAGCAAGCATATTTGGTACCAAGTAACATCCTTCCTGAAGGAATGTACTGTAATCCTAGGCCTCAAATTATTTCTTTTTGTTGTTGTTGTTGTTTGTTTTTTGAGATGGAGTCTCGCTCTGTCGCCCAGGCTGGAGTGCAGTGGCGTGATCTCGGCTCACTGAAACCTCTGCCTCCCAGGTTCAAGCGATTCTCCTGCTTCAGCCTCCCGAGTAGCTGGGATTACAGGTGCCCACCACCACGCCCAGCTAATTTTTGTATTTTTAGTAGAGATGGGGTTTTGCTGTGTTGGTCAGGTTGGTCTCGAACTCCTGATCTCAGGTGATCCGCCCACCTCGGCCTCCCAAAGTGCTGATATTACAGGTGTGAGCCACTGCGCCTGGCCTGTAGCTTCTCCATATATTATTGCTCTTCTTGCTGTGGTCTCTCCTGTTGCCCAGTCTGGAATGCAGTGGTACGATCTTGGCTCACTGCAGACTCGACCTCCTGAGCTCAAGCGATCCTTCCATCTCAGCCTCCCAAGCAGCTGAAGCTACATACATGTACCACAACACCCAGCTGAATTAAAAAAAGAAAATTGTGTTTTTTTGATAACAGAGTCTTGCTCTGTTATCCAGGCTGGAGTGCAGTGGTGCAATCTTGGCTCACTGCAACCTCTGCCTCCTGGGATCCTTGCCACCTCAGCCTCCAGAGAAGCTGGGACCACTGTTGCACACCCATGCTCAGCTATTTTTTTTTTTTTGTATTTTTAGTAGAGGCGGGGTCTTGCTATGTTGCCCAGGCTGTCTCGAACTCCTAAACTCAAACAGTCTGCTTGCCTCGGCCTTCCAGAGTGTTAGGATTACAGGCGTGAGCCACTGCACTCAGTTAGTATATTTTTAATAGATTTTTTTTTTTGAGAAGGAGTTTTGCTCTTGTTGTCCAGGCTAGAGTGCAATAGCATGATCTCAGCTCACTGCAACCTCTGCCTCCCAGATTCTCCTGCCTCAGCTTCCCGAGTAGCTGGGATCACAGGCACGTGCCACCACGCCTGGCTAATTTTTGTATTATTAGTAGGGACGGGGTTTCACCATGTTGGCCAGGCCAGTCTCAAACTCCTGATCTCAGGTGATCCACTCGCCGTGGCCTCCCAAAGTGTTGGGATTACAGGTGTGAGCCATTCTCCTGGCCTTTAATAGATTTTAATTCTTCATTCTTCTTTATTTCCCTCTGCTCCTGTACATAGGGTGTATTGGTAGTAATTAACTTTACGATACAGTTCATAGGTTGCAAAATGTTGAGATGGATGATAAGGGAATTGCAGGAGGAATGGACATCATCCAGAAACGCTAGACTTGGGAGTGGATATGATAATTAGCAAGACTTTGACTTGTCTCCCTTCGGAGAGAGTGAATTTTTTTTTTTTTTTTTTTGAGACGGAGTCTTGCTCTATTGCCTGGGCTGGAGTGCAGTGGCATGATCTCTGCTCACTGCAACCTCTGCATCCCAGGTCCAAGCGATTCTCCTGCCTCAGCCTCCTGAGTAGCTGGGATTATAGGCACCCACCACCACGCCCGGCTAATTTTTGTATTTTTAATAGACACGGGGTTTCACCATCTTGGCCAGGCTGGTCTTGAATTCCTGACCTGACCTCAGGTGATCCACCCACCTCGGCCTCCCAAAGTGTTGGAATTACAGGCGTGAGCCACCGTGCCCGGCCGAGTGAATGTATTTTTGACAGAAAGAGGGATAGACTCACTATACTACATAGGCCAGATATGTTGTTGCTGTTTTTTGAAGACAGAGAATAGGATATAGATGACTGTTGGGCATGTAAAACAGTGCACCGCAGGGGCATTTGTCATTTTGTTGATTGTCCAACAACTTCTCTGCCTATTTTGGGGAATTCCTTTGTAGGTGTGTTTGTGCAGTATAGTGTCTAGATAAGCCGAAGTGGGAAGGTCCTTCTCTCTACCTTAGCTACTTTGTTTTTTTTGGGGGGGAGGGAGGGTTTGGGTTTTTTTGTTTTTTTTTGAGACGGAGTCTCGCTCTTGTCACCCAGGCTGGAGTGCAGTGGTGTGATCTTGGCTTACTGCAACCTCCACCTCCCAGGTTCAAGTGATTCTCCTGCTTCAGCCTCCCAAGTAGCTGGGATTACAGGCACGCGCCACCACACCTGGCTGATTTTTGTATTTTTAGTAGAGAGGGGGTTTCACCATGTTAGCCAGGCTGGTCTCGAACTCCTGACCTCAGGTGATCCACCCACCTCGACCTCCCAAAGTGCTCAGATTACAGGCATGAGCCACCGTGCTCGGCCAGCTACCTTGTTTGAAGGCGGTATCCTGAGCTGCTAATCCAATGCTTCAGTTCTGTTGCCTAGTTCCCTTTCTCCACCCCAACAGGGCAGACCAGCCCCGAGTGGTTTCCCAGGGCCCTGTGGCTGGTGCCTGATGCAGGGTGAGTTGAGAGCACTTTGGGGACCCAGGACAAGAATCTCCTCCTTCCATGGCTACTCCGGCCTCAGCTCAGGTCCAGGGTGAGTTGCTGTCTTCCACTGGGTGAAGCTCTAAGGATGGTGTCCTTTTTTCTTGTCTTCCCCTCCCCAGAGAGCAGGAGATAAACCACTGAAGTGCTGAGGGGCCCCACAGGTAAGAAGGTGCTGGCCCTTCAGTTCCCCGACCCTCTGTCTTCACAAACGTTACCAGGGCCTGAAGCTGAACCCCTGTAGGGACAGAGAGATGCAGTCAAATACAGGCTGTTGGGGTCCCACAGACCTGGGTTTAAATCCCATTCCTGATAGTATATCAAATCTCCAGTCTCCATATGATGACAAAAAATTCAAGTGAAAAACAAAAAGTTAGCCGGGAGTAGTGGCTCACGCCTGTAATCCCAGCACTTTGGGAGGCCAAGATGGATGGATCACCTGAGGTCAGGAGTTCAAGACCAGCCTGGCCAACATCATGAAACCCTGTCTCTACTAAAAATGTAAAAAATTAGCCAGGCATGGTGGCAGTTACCTGTAATCCCAACTACTGGGGAGGCTGAGGCAGAAGAATCGCTTGAACCCAGGAGGCGGAGGTTGCAGTGAGTGGAGATTGCACCATAGCGCTCCAGCCTGGGCAACAAGAGCGAAACTCTGTCTCAAAAAAAGAAAAAAAAGGGAAACAAAAACATAAAGTTTGGTGGGAATGTAAATTGGTATAGACACAATGGAAAACAATATGGCAGTTCCTCAAAAAATTAAAAATGTGATCCGGCCATTCCACTTCTGGGTATTTACCCAAACGAACTGAAAGCAAGGTCTTGAACAGATATTTGTGCACCCTTGTTTATAGCAGCACTATTCACCATAGCTAAACGGTACATCCAGCCTGAGTGTCCATGGACGAACAAATGGATACACAAAGTGTAGTATATACATGTATACAATGGAATATTATTCAGCCTTAAAAAGGAAGGCCATTGGGACATATGTTACAACATGGATGAACCTTGAGGACATGATGCTAACAATGAGGTACTTAGAGTAGTCAGATTTATAGAGACAGAAAGTAGCATGGTGGTTGCAGGGACTAGGGGGTGGGGAGAATGGGAGCTAATGTTTGATGGAGACACAGCTTCCGTTTGGAAACATGAAAACAATTCTGGAGATGGATGGTGGTGATTGTTGCAAAATAACGTAAATGTAGTTAATGCCACTGAAATGTATACTTAAAATGGTAAATTTTATATTATATATATTTTACCACAATAAAAAAAAAAATGCGGGCTGAGTGCAGTGGCTCATACCTGTAATTCCAGCATTTTGGGAGGCCGAGGAGGGAGGATCACTTGAGCCCAGGAGTTTGAGACCAGCTAGGGCAACATGGCAAAACCTCATCTCTACAAAAAATAAAAATAAAAGGCTGGGCACGATGGCTCACGCCTGTAATCCCAGCACTTTGGGAGGCCGAGGCAGGAGGATCAGGTCAGGAAATCGAGACCATCCTGGCTAACATGGTGAAAACCCATCTATACCAAAACTACAAAAATTAGCCGAGCACGGTGGCATGTGCCTGTAATCCCAGCTACTCGGGAGGCTGAGGGAGGAGAATCTCTTGAACCCAGGAGGTGGAGGTTGCAGTGAGCGTGCCACTGTACTCCACCCTGGGCGACAGAGCCAGACTCAGTATCAAAAAAAAAATAATAATAAAATAAGGCCGGGCACAGTGGCTCACGTCCATAATCCCAGCACTTTGGGAGGCCAAGGTGGGCAGATCACCTGAGGTGAGGAGTTCGAGACCAACAAGACAAAATCCTGTCTCTACTAAAAATACAAAAATTGGCCTACAAAAATTAGCTGGGCACCGGGTGCGGTGGCTCACACCTGTAATCCCAGCACTTTGGGAGGCCAAGGCAGGAGGATCACAACATGGCCAAGATGGTGAAACCCCGTCTCTACTAAAATACAAAAAATTAACTGGGCGTGGTGGTGCATGCCTGTAGTCTCAACTACTCGGGAGGCTGAGGCAGGGGAATCGCTTGAACCCGGGAGGCGGAGATTGCAGTGAGCTCAGATCGTGCCACTGCACTCCAGCCTGGCACCAGAGCAAGACTCCATCTCAAAACAAAAACAAAAATAATTAGCCGGGCATGGTGGCAGGCACCTGTAATCCCAGCTACTCGGGAGGCTGAGGCAGGAGAATCGCTTGAACCTGGGAGGCGGAGGTTGTAGTGAGCTGAGATCGTGCCACTGCACTCTAGCCTGGGCGACAGAGCAAGACTCCGTCTCGAAATAAATAAATAAATAAATAAAATGTCCAGAAATAATAAAAAAATGCATTCTCACACACACACACACACACACACACACACACACACACACACACACACTGTGTAATGTTTGTGAAAGGCTGGGGGAGTGGTGGGTGTCTGGGATTCCAAGGTCACACAGGTAGAAAAGAACTGGCTGAGGGTGGAAGAAGGGGCCACCGGGCCCCACCTTAGGCCACTCCCCTCCTCTCTGTCTCCACCATCCTCACCTGGGTCCAGTCCTCCTGCTCATGCCTGCCATGGCTACCTCCATCCCCGACCTGGCGTGGGTGATGTCGTTCCTCAGGTCTAGATCTGACCACCTATCTCTTCTGCTTTCACGTCCTTCAGCAGCACCCCATCGCCTCAGCGTCAGCCTGGCCAGCGAAACTCTTCCCTGCTGCCGCCAGCCTGTGTTCCAGCTTCACAGTCCCGCCCTTCCCGAGCCCCAGTTCTTTCCTTCATCACACACTGCAACCATTTGTAACACCTTTCCTGGACGGGCATGGTGGCTCATGCCTGTAATACCAGCACTTTGGGAGGCTGAGGCGGGCGGATCAACTGGGGTCAGAAGTTCGAGACCAGCCTGGCCAACATGGTGAAACCCCGTCTCTACTAAAAATACACAAAATTAGCTGGGAGCAGTGGCAGGCATCTGCAATCCCAGCTACTCGAGAGGCTGAGGCAGAAGAATTGCTTGAATCTGGGAAGCGGAGGTTGCAGTGAGCCGAGATTGTGCCACTGCACTCTAGCCCAGGTGACAGAGTGAGACTCTGTCACACACAAAAAAACAAACAAATAGACAACAAAACAAAAAATTAGCCAGGCATGGTGGCGTGCACCTGTAATCCAAGCTACCTGGAAGGCTGAGGCAGGAGAGTAGCTTGAACCCGGGAGGCAGAGTTTAGTTAGCTGAGACTGTGCCATTGCACTCCGGCCTGAGCAACAGAGTGAGACTCCGTCTCAACAGAAAAAAACAAAACAAAACAAAACAACAACAACAACAACAAAAAACCCTTCCCTGTGGCTAGTATAAATGTTATCCCTAGTTTTCTCAATAACCCTGTGAGGTAGCTATCAGTGGCTCTTTTTTTTTTTTTTTTTTTTTTGAGATAGAGTCTCACTCTGTCACCAAGGCTGGAGTGGAGTAGCGCAATCTCGGCTCACCGCAACCTCCAGCTTCCGGGTTCAAGTGATTCTCCTGCCTCAGCCTCCCTAGTAGCTAGGATTACAGGCACGTGCCACCATGCCCAGCTAATTTTTGTATTTTTAGTAGAGACGGG
Organism: Homo sapiens; assembly: GCF_000001405.40. Lineage (NCBI taxonomy): Eukaryota > Metazoa > Chordata > Mammalia > Primates > Hominidae > Homo > Homo sapiens. The sequence continues at coordinate 65,323,035 of NC_000011.10, read as the reverse complement.
GTTTCACCATGTTGGCCAGGATGGTCTCGATCTCCTGACCTCATGATCCACCCACCTTGGCCTCCCAAAGTGCTGGGGTTACAGGTGTGAGCCACCATGCCTGGCCTGCTCCATTTTAGAGATGGGGAAACTGAGTCTCAGGCCAGGTGCAACTCGGAGGTCCACGCTCTTTTGCTGTGTGGTGTCTGCTCTGTCTTCACTCTGGTTCCTCAGTGCCTGTGCTTACATATGAGTTATCTGGCTGGTAGCTCCGATTTGGCTCAGAATCACATCTGATCACATTAATGAGCCCTGACACTCCCTGACCTCCCTGCTAGGCATTCCTGATCACGTTGTTTTCTTCGTAGCCTTTACCACTGCTGGAAATCATCTCTTATTTGTTTACCAATTTAATATCCCCCTTCCAACTAGAATTTAAACTCTTAGAGAGCAGGGATGGCGTCTGCCTTGTATCCCCAGCACCCGGAGCCGTGCCTTGTATACTGGAGATGCTCAGTAAACAGCCGTGGATGGAATGAATCTTGAAGCAGCACTGTTAGACCCTCCCAGCTCCAAGCATCCCTCCTGCATGCTCCCTCGGTGCTCTTAAGCTGGAGAAGCTGTTGGTCCCTTGCACACTTTGTGGTTATTCTTTTATTCTTGGGTGTCCCCCACCAGACCCCAGCTGACTGGGCAGGGATTGGCCCCAGGCTTGGCACAGTGCCAAGCCCACCCCAGTGCTCAGCCACCTCTTGCCAAACATCTGAATCAATGTCACAGCAACACTTGGTTTGCTCCTGTTGCATTCTCATGACAGGCTCAGCGTCAGGTACGACGTTCTTGAGGGCAAGGCCTGTCCTCCACAAAGCCCTCTGGGGCTGGGGTCTCCAGAGGCAAGCCCTCAGCTCTGGGAGACTGTCTGCCTCCGGGAGGAAACCTGGGGCAAAGGGACAGGGAGCTCCGCCACCAGCAGCAGCATGTTTTATTGCAACCAGAATCCCCGGTCACGTGGGGAAGGGATTGGAGCTAGGGATGAGGCAGGACACATCTGGTCCCTGACAGGACACTCCCCGTCCAGGATGCAAAGCCAAAGGCCCGGAACAGCCTGCTCAGTGGCTGAGCCCTGTGGCCAGCTGTGCCCTGTCTCTTCCCCTGCCCCCAGTCAGGGCATCCAACGGGGCAGAGGCAGAAGGGACGTGAAAAGGGGGGTCGGTTTCAGCAAAGCCTTCACCCAGGGACCTGAAGGAAGAAGGAGTATTGTGATGGGGTCCAGGTGCCCCAAGATGCTCAGGGCGCCTGGGCTGACTTCAGGATGTGTCCATGTGGTTATCAGAGGAAAGCGATGGGGCCTGCCCTGCCCACGTGGAGAGGGAGGGAGAGGGGAAACACGGCTCAGAAGGAGAATCACTGGCCAGCGACCATACAGGTGGGATCTTGGGACCCTGACTCCGCCGCCAGGGCCGGGTCCACACCCCACCTCCTGGCTGGGCCCCACCTGGGACCCCAGCCTAGGCAGCCTCGTGTCCTATGTGGGGATCTGCATGCTGTCCAGGTCCTGATCCATGATCTGCAGGACATCATCCAGGATGGAAGGCCCCAGGTCCACGTGCAGGGACAGCAGGGAGCTGGCATTGGACAGGAAGGGCTCCTCGGCCCCTGACTCCGGGGTCAGTCCACTGTTGGGGGAGCCAGTCTCTGGAATCCTCCAGATGTCCACACTCCCTCCCTCCTGTGGGGAAGGCTGAGGGGTCTCCAGGTGCAGGCGAGGGGGCTTGGGTGGAGCCTGGGCTGTGGGCAGGGTGAGAGCCTGGGGTCCACCGATAACCGGGAGGGAGATGGCGTTCTTGAGCAGAGGGGATGGGCCGTCCGGGAGCTCCCGCCCACACACGGTGGCGGTGCGGGTGAACTGGAAGGGGAGGTCGAAGGTGCCATCTTCTTCAGGCCCCTCCACCATGGTCCCCGGCAGGAGGTGGAACTTGCCCTGCAGGAAGGAGATGTCGCCAAACATGTCACTGCCGCCGCCACTGCCAATATGAATGGTGTGGCGGAAGTCCCCCAGCGGTGGGCTGATCATGTCCGAGGACAGCAGGTCCCGAAGCTTCTCCTTCTTGCCCTTGCGACTGCCACGCTTCAGATAGATGGGCACCTTGGTGGACATGGTGACCTCACCACCAGGCCTGGCTGTGAGGCTACGGGCCGCCTGCTGAGACCACACCTCCTCTCCAACCCTCAGCCAGAGGAAACACTCGTTCCACGGGGTGGTTTGCAGGTGCCAGAGCTCGCCAACGGGCTTCTGGCTACAGTGTGGGGGCACGAACAAAGTTGGCCCAAGGAATTAAAAAAGATTAGAGATCAATGAAGTCAGTGGGCTGAGATAACAAAAATCACGTTCTCCCCAAAGGACGGCAAACTCTTCTGAAGAATTGAAGCCAGAAAGGTAGGAACTGTGTGGGCAGCAGTGCACTTTGGTCTTGTCACCGAGGGTTACTTGTCCCCGGTCCAGGGCTGAGGAGCTGAAACACAAAGGGTGCACACCTGTCAGAGACAGCGGGACCAAGGTCAGATGCAAACATCTTTTTTATTTTTAAGATGGAGTCTCACTGTGTCACCCAGGCTGGAGTGCAGTGGCGCAATCTCAGCTCACTGCAGCCTCCACCTCCCAGGTTCAAGCAATTCTTCTGCCTCAGCCTCCTGAGTAGCTGGGACTACAGGCACGTGTCACCATGCCTGGCTAATTTTTGCATTTTTTTTTAGTAGAGACAGGGTTTCACCATGTTAGCCAGGCTGATCTTGAACTCCTGACCTCAAATGATCCGCCCGCCTCGGCCTCCCAAAATGCTGGGATCACAGGTGTGAGCCACCGTGCCTGGCCAGAAACATCTTGTTTCTGGGCCTCTTGTGGTAGCCATGGGATCCTGAGGGGGTGGGGCACTCCCCTTGCAGGGAATTGTACTGGGAGAAGCATGTCTTCACTCTAAGACCTACTGCATCTTATAGACTCACCACCAGGGCCAAGCTCCTCCCCTTACAGGTGGGAAACTGAGGTGGGAACCTGAATGACAGGTCCAAAGTCACACAGAAAGTCCTGCTCTATTCTCTTGCCCTGGGTCCCCGGCAAAGTAGGTCTCATCACCCTTATCCAGGTACTCATACCATACCCCCCACCTCCATTGCACATCACCTGTGCCCCACAATGTAAGTGCCAGATTGTGGGGGGCCTCACAAATGGCCTTGACTCCCTACTTGACCAAGGACAGAGAGCTTTGTGACCACTGTCTCTCCCGCCCAAGCCTGGCGGGGACCTGGAGCACAGCAGATGTTTGGCCAAGGGTGCTGGGTGGCTGGCACTTCCCATTTGACCCAATCATGTCCCACCTGGAGGTGGGGTCGTGTTTTCTCCTCTGCCTATTAAGAGTTCCTTATGGGTAGGGGCTGAGTCTAGGATACTTTCTGGCCTTCCTCCCTACCCTGGCATCTAAAGAGAAGGTGGAGTGGGGAGTACATATATTTTTTAGTTGAGGGGGCCTCTGCTCTGTACCTGAAATTCTTCTGCGCTCTTTGCAGACACATCTCAATTAATCAACACAACCACCCTATTATCAACCCTATTTAAAAATCAGAGGTGTTGGGGCTGGGTGCAGTGGCTCACACCTGTAATCGCAGCACTTTGGGAGGCTGAGGCAGGTGGATCACGAGGTCAGGAGATCAAGACCATCCTAGCTAACATGGTGAAACCCTGTCTCTACTAAAAGTACAAAAAATTAGCCAGGCGTGGTGGTTCATGCCTGTGGTCCCAGCTATTTGGGAGGCTGAGGCAGGAGAATCGCTTGAACCCCGGAGGTGGAGGTTACAGTGGGCCGAGATCGCCCCACGGCACTCCAGCTTCAGCTACAGAGGAAGACTCCATCAAAAAAAAAAAAAAAATCAGAGGTGTCAAAATTCAAAATTGAACCTGAGGTGAACCTACAGGTGAAAAATTTTGGAGGATTCCCACAGGGCATTGCAGAGAGAGAGAAGCAAAATGCAAAAACATAATATAGATCATCCATTTATTGAAAGCATTGACTACCTACCTGCCTCCCTGCTCTGACACATATGCATGTTGTGTAACTGCATGGGTACAGGTCTGTGTAGAATTCTGTCCTATACAAAAAAAAAAAAAAAAAAAAAAAAAAAAAAAAAAAAAAAGTCAGGTGCAGTGGCTCACTTCTGTAATCCCAGCACTTTGGGAGGCCGAGGTGGGCGGATCACCTGAGATCAGGAGTTCGAGACCAGCCTGGCCAACATGTGGAGACCCCATCTCTACTAAATATACAAAAATTAGCCAGGTGTTAGGCCGGGCGCGGTGGTTCACGCCTGTAATCCCAGCACTTTAGGAGGCCGAGGCGGGCGGATCATGAGGTCAGGAGATCGAGACCATCCTGGCTAACACGGTGAAACCCCGTCTCTACTAAAAATACAAAAAATTAGCCGGGCATGGTGGCTGGCGCCTGTAGTCCCAGCTACTCGGAAGGCTGAGGCAGGAGAATGGCGTGAACCCGGGAGGCAGAGCTTGCAGTGAGCTGAGATCGCACCACTGCACTCCAGCCTGGGGGACAGAGAGTGTCTCCATCTCAAAAAAAAAAAAAAAAAAAATTTGCCAGGTGTGGTGGCGCAGGTCTGTAATACCAGCTACTCGGGAGGCTGAGGCAGAAGAATTACTTAAACCCGGGAGGCAGAGGCTGCAGTGGGCCTAGATCGCGCCACTGCACTCCAGCCTGGGCAACAGAGAGAGTCTCCGTCTCAAAAAAAAAATTTGCCAGGTGTGGTGGCACAAGTCTGTAATACCAACTACTCAGGAGGCTGAGGCAGAAGAATTGCTTGAACCCAGGAGGCAGAGGTTGCAGTGGGCCTAGATCGTGCCACTGCACTCCAGCCTGGGTGACAGAGTGAGACTCCGCCTCAAAAAAAATAAAAAAAATTAAAAAAAAAATTTAAAACACAGAGAAAAATCTAGAAGGCCAGCCCTAGGTTGTCATATGGGCTACCTTGACTAGGGTACACAGCAGGGATGGGGGGTGGGGTCACTGATATGGGAGGAAAGGAGTCATCAATAAAAATAACCTATAATATTTTGGTCCCATGACTATGACATGATAAATGTGTGTAATATATATAAATATGAAAAGATGGAACAGTGGTTTTCTCAAAGTGGTAGAATTTCAGGTTGATGTTTCCTTTCTTGTTCAGACCTCTATGAATTCAAATTCTTACTAATAAGCAATGTATTATTTATATGCACATATTTATGTAGTCAGAAAAAAATTAAGCTATTTTTAATGTGTAAAAATAAATAGCTATGAAGGGGTGTCATACTGATTTAACAGAAAAAAGAAATGAAGCAAGCACTCCCTCTGCTTGAGGGTGGGGGACGCACATGGGACCTGATTGGTCCAGTACACATGAGCCCAGATGTAGACTCAGCATAAAAGGCAAAGAGAGAAACTTGTCCAAGGTCACCCAGTGAGTAAGGGCAGCATGGGAATTCAAGCCAGATGAGCCCACCCTCCTGTACCACTCCCTCCCCAGGCCCAGCCAGGGGCTCACCAAAGGTGGCTCTTGCCAGTTCTTTGCCTCAGTTTTCATTCTGGGCAGGGTGAGGGTGGGGGTGAGGGGGTTGGGAGGCGGGAGCAGGAAGGAGGAAGGAGGATGCAGGAGAAGCAGAGTCCAACTGCCCCCCTCCCCCCACCAGCTGAGGCCCTTGCTCAGGAAACCCCACCCCAGGACCGGACACCCGGGTCAGTCGTACTGAGCCACAGAGGCCGGACATCTTACCCCTCCCAGAGCACCTGGAGCTTAACAGGAAACAAAGGAATGACTCTCCCGTGGCGGAAATCCAGCTCAGCTTGCAAGGAGCTGGGGGAAGGGTGGGGACGCATGGGCACCCTGAGGTCTTGGAATCCCGTCACGCATTCATCCTGTGTCAACCATGCCAGGCCTGGGGGCCATGCTGACAAACATGCAATTTGTCGCTCGTCAGGAGAGAAGTCCTGGGGGGGGCTTGTCTTCCTTTTCACTCATGGAGCGTGGGGCTGACTGGTGGGATGTACCCAGAGCCTGGGCCAGGTCCTCCCCGCACCCCCAACCCCATCACACGGCAGCGCCAAGACAGCCTGAGTGTTTCCACAACAAATTGGGCGTCCCTGACAGCTGTCTCACTCACAGCCAGATGTACACACCCAATTCCAGATGTGGGGAGAATCGAGGGTGAGGCCAGCATCAGCGGCCCAGGGGAGAGCTGGGAATTACAACCCTCACGCCCCAGGAATTTAGATTTGGCAACTGCAAGACCCTAGGATCCAGCTTGCCACGCACAGTTTCTCATCTTAAAGCTCCCAGTCACGGCATGGTGGGGTCATTACGGCCCTTTACAGAAGTCGAAGCTGAACCTCAGAGATGTTAAGTAACATTGGCGACGTCATCCAGTTAGGAAGTGGAAGAGTGGGTACCCAGCCTGGTCCACGTGGTTCCCATGCAGTGGGCCACGCCTACTTCCATAATATGTTTGGGGAGCGGGAGAGAAAGGGGCTCACAGCTAGGCTGGGAACAGTGGGTCCCCAGATCTCCTCCATCTACATCCTGACCTTTGGCTGCCCCCGTCTGCCCAACTTTCATGTGTCCAGAGATATGAGAATGAGGTCTCCATCAGGACAGGGCTGTGGGGAGCTGGGAGGGGAGCTCCCTGCAGCAGTCGGGGAGCAGATAGGAGCATCCTAGCTCTCTGTGATTGCCCTGGACAGGAGCCCTGGACCTCCCAATGAGAAAATGACTTCCGGCAGGCAGGGATCCTCCTATCATGAAGAATATTAGGCCACCTCACACCCCCTCTTCTCCTAAATCAGGAGACTGTCCTTAAATCCAGCTCCACCTGGGACTTCCTCAGTAACCTTCAGCAAGACGCCTCTCCTCTCTGGGTCTCACCTTTCCCATCTATAAAATGGGCTGACAACGAAGCCACCACTAAAGGGCCACTGGAGATCCCACTGCAATATTGCAGGTGAGAGCGCCAATGTACAATAGCGGGGTTCAGCGGGTCACTGTAGGTTTTATCATTCATTCAGCAAATATCTACAAGGCCTTCCTTCCTCAAGCACTTCGATTCTCCGGGGCCAGTGCTTTGAACAATAGCAAAAACGAAGGGCTCCTGACCCCAGGCGTCCACCTCCTCCCGCCCTCCTAGACCTCGAGGATGCAGAGACCCTCTAGCGGCCGCTGGGTCTCCCGGGGTCCCGGTGCCTCCGGAGAGGTGCCCGGCTCCGCGGCCGCCAGGTGGCGCGCGTGCTCCCTTGATCGCCTCGTGTCCCGGAGGACTCCGAGAGCGCACCGGGGTCTCCAGCGCCCCTCCCCCGGGCTCCAGGCAGGCGGTCCCCAAGGAGCTGCGCGTTCAAGTACCAGATGGGGATTACCTGCGAGATCTTTTTGCTTCGGGGTTTCTGGTCCCACAATCGGGGAAAAAGGGGGCGATTGGGGACCCTGCCCTAGTCTCCAAGCTCTGGGAGGAGCCTCCCCCCTGTGCTTTCCGGCCTGGGCGATGTCCTAGTGTCCGCTCGGCACAGGGCCAGAGCTCGGGCGTGCGGGCCCCCGCCCCTCCCACGGGTCCGGCTCCTTAGCTCCGGCTCGGGTTCCTGCGCCGACCCCTCCCCACTCCTACCCGGGCGGAGCCCAGCCCAGCCCGGATCCGTTTCAGGACATTCGCGGCCGCAGCTAAAGATAGGAGAACAACTCACTATCGGCTAAAAATACGGCCCCCAGCCCCGGTGGGGATGCTGGGCGGCGGGGCACCCCTGGGTCTCGGGAGGGGGGCGGGGGCCCGGACACAAAATGGAGGGCAGAACGGGGAATTCGGGGTCGGGATGCGTTGCGCCCCCACGGACCGTGGCGGGCACGGGCGAGGCTGCGGGAACCCAGATGCGGGTGGGAAGCCCCATGGAGCCCTAGGAGCCCTCGAAAGGAACTGAGTGAGGTGAGAGGCAGAGCCAGGGCGCGAGCTGGGGCGGGGCGCCACAGAGATGGGCCTCTCGGGGGACCCCCGCGAAGCTGCGAAAATCCCAGCCCGAACTCACCGTGAGGCGCGCAGACGGCAGACCGGCGGACAGCAAGGTCTCAGGAGCTGGACAGCGCGGCGGCCGGACCCGACCGGCGGTGAACTTACAGAGTGCACCGCGGACCCCGCAGCCCCGCCCCGGCCCGCGGAGCCAATGCCGGGGCCGCGCCAGCCAAGCCCCTCCCCATCCCCGCCCAGGCCCCGCCCCACTCCGGGCACCGCCCGGGGCTCCCGGCGTGGGAGGTGCCGCTCCCGGGTCCAGCGGTCGCGCGCGCCCTGGAGTCCTGTCCTGGTTCTGGCGGCTGAGGGCCGGGTGGCGCAGGCGGCCTCCGGCTGTGCCCATGGGAACTAAAACCTTCGGTTCTAGAAGAGCCGGGGGAGAGGCTCCGGGAAGACCGAATTCTTCAGAAATCGCAGAGAGACCTTGGACCGGATCCTTCCCTGCAGGGCTGCGTCGGGGAAGCGCCGGCACAAGTATATTCAGCGACTTCCTTGGAAGCGCCTACGTTAGAATACTACAAACTTACAAGCTAGTTGATCAGTTTACCTCCCACTAGAAAAGACAGTATGGGAAGGCAGAGGCCGCGTGGCCTGGACCCCCGTCTTTGCTGTCAGGCTTCCAGAGTGAAGGTGGGGCTCATATTCAGACTAGTTCCTGGTCCATTCATTCTTTCAGTCAGTCAGTCAGTCATTCCTACAGGGCCAGAAACTTTTTTTTTTTTTGAGACAGAGTTTCGCTCTTGTTGCCCAGACTGCTCACCGCAACCTCCGTCTCCTGGGTTCAAGAGATTCTCCTGCCTCAGCCTCCCGAGTAGCTGGGATTACAGGCATGTGCCAGCACACCTGGCTAATTTTTGTATTCTTAGTAGAGACGGAGTTTCTCCATGTTGGCCAGGCTGGTCTCGAATTCCCGACCTCAAGTGATCTGCCCGCCTCGGCCTCCCGAAGTGCTGCAATTACAGGCGTGAGCCACCGCGCCCGGCCCAGAAACATGTTTTGAAGGGCAGGCACCGCACAGGGTGCTGGAGACAGACTGAAGGAAACTGCACCTCTCAGTGACTCAAGAGAGATTTGTTGAGTATCTACCAAGTGCCTAGCGCTGTTCTTGTCCCTGGGGATTCAGCCTCTGGATTGGGACCTGCAGCCCAGAGAAGGGAAATGGGGGAAATCCAAGTTCCCAGGTACATCATGATACCCTTCCAGGTGGGTAAGTGCTAAGAAGAGTGGGGCAGAGGAAGTGGTGGGTAGTGACGGGGTGGACAGACCTCACTTTCTAGAGGATGACAGCTATGCCAGCTCAGTGTGACCAGGATGGTTGGCTTCAATGCTGTCAGTGTGGGAAGGGCTTTTAGGGAGGCAGAGCCGGGAAGACCTCAGTGGGGGAGGCAGGATGCTGGGGGTGGGGGAAGATGCCAGACAAGCTGGGAGGTCCGGATGGGAAGAAGGGGATCATGGTAGGTAAAATAACAGCCCCCCTAAATATGTTCACATCTAGCCAGGTGCTGTGGCTCATGCCTATAATCCCAGCACTTTGGGAGGCCAAGGTGGGAGGATTGCTTGGGTCCAGGAGTTTGACACTGACACCAGCCTGAGCAACATAGTGAGACCCTGTTTCTACAACAAATAAATTAGCCGGACATGGTGGCTCAAGCCTGTAGTCCCAGGTACTCTGGAGGCTTAGGTAGGAGAATTGCTTGAACCTGGGAGGTTAAGGCTGCAGTGAGCTGTGATCACGCCACTGCACTCCAGCCTGGGCAATAGAGCAAAAACCCATGTAAAAAAAAAAAAAGAAAAGAAAAAAAGCCCACATCCGAACCTGTGTAATCTATGAATATGTTTTGTTACATGAGAAATGGAAATGAAAATTGCCAATGAGGGCTGGGCGCCGTGGCTCATGCCTGTAATCCCAGCACTTTGGGAGGTCAAGGCAGGTGGATCACGAGGTCAGGAGATCGAGACCATCCTGGCTAATATGGTGAAATCCCGTCTCTACTAAAAATACAAAAAAAAAAAAAAATTAGCCGAGCATGGTGGCAGGCACCTGCAGTCCCAGCTACTCGGGCGCCTGTAGTCCCAGCTACTCAGGAGGCTGAGGCAGGAGAATGGCATGAACCTGGGAGGCGGAGCTTGTAGTGAGCCGAGATCGCACCACTGCACTCCAGCCTGGGCGACAGAGCGAGACTCCGTCTCAAAAAAAAAAAAAAGAAAAAAAAGAAAATTGCCAATGAAATTATGGTTGCAAATCAGCTGACTTTAAAATAGCTTATGCTGAAGTATCTGGGTGGGCCAGTGTAATAACAAGGGTTTTTAAAAGTAGAAGCAGGAGACAGAGAAAGAGATGTGATAGGCCGGGCGTGGTGGCTCACGACTCACGCCTGTAATCCCAGCACTTTGGGAGGCTGAGACGGGTGGATCACAAGGTCAGGAGTTCAAGACCATCCTGGCTAACACGGTGAAACCCCGTCTCTACTAAAAATACAAAAAATTAGCTGGGTGTGGTGACACGTGCCTGTAGTCCCAGCTACTTGGGGGGCTGAGGCAGGAAAATCGCTTGAACCTGGGAGACAGAGGTTGCAGTGAGTCGAGATTGTGCCATTGCACTCTAGCTGGAGTGACACAGCGAGACTCCGTCTCAAAAAAAAAAGAGAGAGATGTGATGACTGAAGGGCCAGAGAAATGATGTGTTGCTGCCTTTGAAGATGGAGGCAGAGGCCCCAAACCAAGGAACTGCTTCAGAAGCTGGAAAATACAAGGAAACAGGTTCTACCCTATCTACCCTAGAGGCTCCAGAAGGAACACAGCCCTGCCCTCACCTCCTCACCTTGATCTTAGCTCAGTGAGACTCACACATTGGCCTTTTTTTTTTTTTTTTTTTGAGATAGAGTCTTGCTCTATTGCCCAGGCTGGAGTGCAGTGGTGCAACCTCGGCTCACTGCAACCTCCATCTCCTAGGTTCAAGCGATTCTCCTGCCTCAGCCTCCCGAGTAGCTGGGGTTACAGACGCCCGCCACCATGCCTGGCTAATTTTTGTATTTTTAGTATAGATAGGGTTTCACCATGTTGGCCAGGCTGCTCTCAAACTCCTGACCTCAAGTGATCCACCCACCTTGGCCTCCCAAAGTGCTGGGATTATAGGCATGAGCCACCTCGCTCAGCCCCATGTTGACCTTCTAACCTATAGAACTGTAAGATCACGAATTTCTGTTGTTTTAAGCCACCTATTCCATGATAATTTGTTGTAGCAGTGATAGAAAACGAATCCAAGGAGGTTCAGGTTTTAATCTTGAGTGTGCCCTCAACTCTGCAGGGAGTATTGGTCAGGTGGATTCTGCCAGGAATGGCCTGGCAGCTTGGAGGAAAACAGGCCTGGACCATTGAGTAAGTGGCAATGATGGCCCTGGGCCAAGCTGTGGTAGGGGTGAGTAAAGGGTGTGCCTCTCCCCATTCTTGCCATGGGACTTTGCCAGGCCGCCCTGTGCCCTTTACCCATTGCTTCATGTTCCTGAATTCTTTACATCCTCCTGGGGGTGCCTAGTGACGTGGCCAGAGCCTGAATCACGATCCCCATTTTACAGATGGGAACTAAAGCTCAGGGCACCGACAGTGATTTGCTGAGCCTAGAAGTGGCAAGGCATGTGGGCTCTGGCCCCTCCTTCTCTCAGGCTTCTAACCCCACAGGCATCATTCCTGCCCATCCCCAGGACACAGCTCTCAGAGAGGAGGGGCAGCTGAGTGCCTTGAGCCCCGGCCTCTGAGCCATCAGTCAGATTCTGAGCTGTCTCTGCTGCTGCTTTGCTCTGTGGCCACAGGCAAAGGACCTTCCCTTCCAGAGTCTCCTTGCCTATAATATGGGGTAGTAGCATCAGGTCAGGCAAGTCCCAAACCAGATAAGGGATGGACATGCATGTATTTTGTTCATGGGAATACGCAGCCCCTCAGGTGGCATTGTTTCACGGACACATTAGACAAGAGCTTTGGGGCCTGGCCAGCTGGCTGTGCTGCTTGATCGGAATGGCTGTAATGATGAAGCCACCTAAGCCTGCGGGAATGAGGCTCAGGCCAAGCCCTCATCCCCTGCCCATCTGCTGAGAGTCCTCCATTGGGGGGTAGCGGTCAGGGAAGGGTCAGGCACTCCATTCAGAGCTGGGGACAAAACAGAGTTACAGGGATGGAAGATGGAGAAACAAAGCCTCTCACCCAAGGCCACACACAGCTGGGGACCAACCCCGGAGCTCTTTGAAGAAGTTCTGTGGGGGGTGGGTGATTAGGGGTCCCTCGGGTAGGGATAGAGAGCAGCAGAGCCCGCAAACCTGGTCCAAGCTCCTGCTTTCCTCCCTGAGCCTTCCAACCAGGACTAGAAATGCTATCTGCACTCTGGGGACTGTTTTCAACCCACCTGGATGTGACGTGTTCCGCCCAGTGCCAGTCCCCTTGCCGCTCAATCCACTCCTGCTGTCATTCAGAGCAGGGGGCCCGACCAAGTCCACATCGCAGGAGTGATCGGCGCCTGGCCCTGGGTTCTGCGCTGTGCAAGCATGCAGGGAGGGCGCTTCCTTCTCCCCATTCACAGATGTGGTTGTCACTTGGCTGGGGCCCAGGGGATCCCTGAGGAGGTTCTGCTGAATGGACAGGATCTTTGTGTGCACACCCAGCATCGCCATGGGAGCCCTGCCATTCATAAGGCCATGTATAAAACAGGATTTCATTTACTAAACTTGGCTTTTTTGTGCAAGTTCTCAGGCTATATGTAGGGGCCTGGGGTGTGGGTAGGGAGGCTGGAATAGCCTGAGCCACGGGGAAGCGTGGCCTGCATTTTGACCCAAGACACTCAGGCCAAGCGCTGCATCCCCCAGCCTGGACCCTAGGGTCTGATGCCTCAGCCAGGGCCTGGACTGTCCTGGACAGAAGGGCTCCTGGACACCCTGCTACCTCAGGGGCAGGATCCAAAAGGGCATCTGGGGCTGGATGTGGTGGCTCACACCTGTCATCCCAGCACTTTGGGAGGCTGAGGTGGGCGGATCAACTGAGGTCAGGAGTTCGAGACCAGCCTGGTCAACATGGTGAAACCCCGTCTCTACTAAAAATACAAAAATTAGCCAGGCGTGGTGGCACACGCCTGTAGTCCCAGCTACTTGGGAGACTGAGGCAGAAGAATTGCTTGAGCCTGGGAGGCAGGGGTTGCAGTGACCAAGACTGTACCACTGCACTCTAGCCTGGGTGACACAGCAAGACTCCATCTCAAAAAAAAAAAAAAAAGGCCGGGCGCGGTGGCTCACGCCTATAATCCCAGCACCTTGGGAGGCTGAGGCAGGCCGATCACGAGGTGAGGAGATTGAGATCATCCTGGCTAACACGGTGAAACCCCGTCTCTACTAAAAATACAAAAAATTAGCCTGGCATGGTGGCGGGTGCCTGTAGTCCCAGCTACTTGGGAGGCTGAGGCAGGAGAATGGCATGAACCCAGGAGGCGGAGCTTGCAGTGAGCTGAGATCACGCCACTGCCCTCCAGCTTGGGCGACAGTGCGCGACTCCGTCTAAGAAAATAAAAATTAAAATTAAAAAAAAAACAAAAGGGCATTTGGGAGGGGCAGAGCAGGCCACGATGGAGAAACACCCAGAGCAGGGTATTTGGCTTCTGTCTCCTCAGCCTGGAGCCTCTCCCTTGTCCTGAGATGGGCCCAATAGGCTCCCCAACCAACCCCACAGCCACCTCCCCGACTGTGATCACTACACAGGGACTGACTCAGCCCTTCCTTCCCCTCCCAGCCTCTCCTTCCTGGAAATTGCCATCACCAGCGGCCATAGCACCCCCATGGGACCTGGGGGATGGAGTTGGAAGCCCCCTCCGGCAACACTGGCCAGATTGGAGAGACCAGCAGGGAAGCTCCCTCCTACCCCCAGGGAGGCTGAAGCCAGCTCTCCATGGGCACGAAACCTGGAACCCAGGACCCTGGGGGGCAGGTGAGATGACAGGGACTTGGGGTCTGGGAGCAGAGTCACAGGGAAGAGTGGCATCTAGGGGAGGCGCATCTTGGGGGTGCATCTAGGGGAGGTGCTAAGAAGTGACAGGGGTCTCTGGAGGTGCCCCAGTCCCTCTGCTGGGATGCAGGGTGGCAGGGAGCTGAGAAGGTGCTCAGCCACCCTCTGGAAGCTTCTGACGTCCCAGCCTAAGCTCAGCCTGCAGGGCCCTGTGGCCTGAGCCAACCCCAGACCTGGGTTGGATTTTTTCCTTGTTTCTTGCTTCCTTCCTCCCCTGGACTCCTGCCAACTCCAGCCCTGCCCTCCTCGCTCTTCACCCCACTTCAGAGAACTGTGACCCACTGGAGGCTGGGATTTGAGATGAGAGGTCACCCTCGGAGTTGGCTCCAGCTGCTGCCTCTGCCTGGGACCCCTCCTTGGGAGTTGGGTGGCAGGGCCTTGCTGGGGGCACTTCCCTTCGCATCTGGATTTTGGCCTCGGGCCCAGGGCTATGGGGGTTTCCAGAGTGGTGACAGCCTTGTCCTAGCAGGGACCAGCCCAAGCACTTCCTCCCAGAGCCCTCTGGGAGCGTCCCAGCCCCAAGGCTGTCATTTTGTCGTAGGGAGTAAATTGTGGAGTCAGCAGAGGCTGTCTTCCACACTTTCTGTGCCTTCCAGGTATCCTGTCATTCCTCATTCTGAAAACCTAGGCTTGCATCTCTCTTGTGCCTAGGGCTATGCTGGACTAGAGAAGACACAGGTGGCCAAAGCTGGACCCAGCCCTCAGGGAACAGATAACCTGCGTGAGAAACAAATAATTGATTCTGCCCTTTATCCCTCCCGGGCCAGCACGGAGGGGTTCAGCCAATGACTGGGAATTGAATGAAAAACCAAAGAGAACAGCCATGAGATCTGTCTGCTATGGGTGGGAAAGCAGATGGGAGAGTGAGAAGGGCTTCAAGGAGAAGGTGATATGTGAACAGGGCATAAATGGATGAATAGGAGTTTGCCAGGCACAGAAAGGGAAGGACATTCCAGGGGAAGCAGGCAGAGGCCTGGCAAGGCAAAGGCCAGGAGGATTGCAAGTAAAGTCATGGTATGAGCAGAAAACAAGAGAGGTCCAGTTGCCCATGGCATAGGAGAGGGGACAGGCCAAGAGGGTAGTGGGTAAGCACTGTTTTCCCTGCCCAGCATCCATCTCTCACTCTGGTGACTGTCCCTCAGTTTTCTAGTCTCCAGTGTGACTGGCCCCCAACCCTCAAGCTCTAAAAGTGGGTTTGAGTCCTGTGCCTAGCCAGTCTGAGTCATGGGAATGGCTCCAGCATATGACATCAGAGAGCATCAGCCCAGGAACTTGATGGGACTGTTAGGGTCACAAATGTCAAGATGCCAGCCCAGAGCTGCTGGTGGCCAGCTCTGCCACCCTAAGGGGGGAGCCTGCCTAAGAATAAGGCCAACATAGAAGAAAACAGCACCAAGAGAATGAATCTCAATGACATTGCCTGTGCTCCTGGATCCAGTCATGCCTGAAGCAGTTTCTATTCTACGAGCCAACAAATTCCAGTTTTGGCTTAATACAGTTAGGGTTGGGTCTGTCACTTGCCACTGAGAATGAAGGGCCCATTGCAGAATAGCTAAAGGCAGGTGATCACTCATGAGAGTTGCCGAGTGCTGTGGGAAAGGCAACGATGATCTGTGTGTAGAGGTACAACACCATCAGAACTGCATTTTCTTTCATTTAAATTACTTTTTGAGGCCGGGTGCGGTGGCTCACGCCTGTAATCCCAGCACTTTGGGAGGCCAAGGCGGGTGGATCAGCTGAGGTTAGGAGTTCGAGACCAGCCTGGGGAACATGGTGAAAACCCGTCTCTACTAAAAATACAAAAATTAGCGAGGCGTGGTGGCACGTGCCTGTAGTCGCAGCTACTCAGGAGGCTGAGGCAGGAGAATCACTTGAGCCTGGGAGGCGGAGGTTGCAGTGAGCCAAGATTGTGCCACTGCACTCCAGCCTAGGCGACAGAGTGAGACTCTGTCTCAAAATAATAAAATAATAATAATAATAATAATAATTACTTTTTGATTAGGTAATGCTCTTTCTTTTCTTTTTCTTTCTTTGAGATAGGGTCTTGCTGTATCGCTGGAATGCAGCGGCGTGATCACTGCTCACTGCAGCCTCAACTTCCTGGGCCCAAGCAATCCTCCTGAGTAGCTGTGACCACAGGCACATGCCATTTGCT
Source organism: Homo sapiens (assembly GCF_000001405.40). Lineage (NCBI taxonomy): Eukaryota > Metazoa > Chordata > Mammalia > Primates > Hominidae > Homo > Homo sapiens. The sequence goes on along the minus strand of NC_000011.10, from coordinate 65,306,779 downwards.
AATCTTTGTATTTTTTGTAGAGACGGGTTTTCGCCATGTTGTCCAGGCTGGTCTTGAACTCCTGGGCTCAAGCAATTCATCTGCCTCGGCCTCCCAAAGTGCTGGGGTTATAAGGGTGAGCCAAAGCGCCTGGCTGAGGTAATGCTTTCATGTGATTCAGAATTCAGAAGTTGGCTGGATATGGTGGCTCACACCTGTAATCCCAACAGTTTGGGAGGCCAAGGTAGGGGGTGGGGTGCGGATCACCTGAGGTCGGGAGTTCGAGACCAGCCTGGCCCACATGGCAAAACCTCGTCTCTCCTAAAAATACAGAAATTAGCCAGGCATGGTGGTGGGTGCCTGTAATCCCAGCTACTCAGGAGGCTGAGGCAGGAGAGTCGCTTGAACCTGGGAGGCGAAGGTTGTGGTGAGCCAAGATCACACCACTGTACTGGGTGCCTGAGCGACAGAGTGAAACTCCATCTCAAAAAGAAAAAAAAAAGAAAGAAAGAAAAAGAAATTCTGAAGTCCTAAGAGGCAAGAAGTCTCATCCCTGTCCCCCAGGGACAGTTCTCCATTCTGCTATAGCCAACTGGTGTTATCAGTTTCTTGTAAACACTTCTAGGGATATTCTTGCATGAACGAGCAGGGCCCCTCTCATTTTTTTTTTTTTTAACACAAATGTCAATATTTAGACAAGTAGAGTTCCAAAGTACTGCAGGCCCTGGTGGTAGCTGGCGGAGGGCCGTCCTGCTCGGGACTGTGAGAAGCCCTTTCATTGAGCCTCTGCTGTTCATGCTGTTTGACACCTTGCGTTTTCCAGTTAACGTTATATTTTGGAGACCACTCTACATCAATACATAGAGTGTGTCCTCATTTTCACAGCTGCACGGTATTCCAGCACAAGGATGTATGGTAATTTACAGATGCACTTCTTGGCAGAGGGACCTTCAGGTTGCTTCCAGCCCTTTCTCAAGACAGGCCGTGCCGCAGTGAGTCATCTGTACAAAAGCCCTTTCACACATGCACGAGCGCTGCTGCGGAATACATTCCCAGAAGGGACTTGGGAGGACTGGGGGGCAAAAGATACATGCAGTGGTGTCTTATTATTGTTATTTTAGAGACAGGGTCCTGCTCTGTCACCCAGGCTGGAGTACAATGTACAATGGTGTCATCATAGCTGACTGCAGCCTCGACCTCCTGGGCTTAAGCCATCCTCCCGCCTTGGCCTCCTGCGTGGCTGGGACTACAGGCACGCACCACCGTGCCCAGCTTGCAGTGGTCATTTTGTCAGCTCTGTCAGCTTGTCCTTCTTGGAGACTGTGCCAGGTACCAGGCCCCCACACAGTCAACAGGGCTGTTTCTCCTCAGGCTCACCAGCCCCTGGTTTCCACCTATTTTGATTTTTGTCCATCTGAAAGGCAAAAACTAAACAAAACAAAGGAATTTGGGTGTAGTTAGAGTTTGCGTTTCTCTTACGATGCGTGAGGCTGGTCACCTTTTCATTTGCTTAAGAGCCACATGTGTTTCTTTTTGGTGAATGAACTGCAGAATTTCTGCAGAGGTGGTGCCGGGCAGCTTTGGAGAGGGGGGCCTGGAGGGAGGCCAGACTAGAGGCAGAGGCCACTTCTGGGGACAGTTAGCGTAGAAGGGAGAGAAAATTTGGTCCTGAAGAGTGGTGTGAGAGCTGGAGATGGAGATGATGAAGTTGAAAGGCTGAGATTAGGTGATAGGTTAGCCCCCATGGAGGGCCATGGAGGAAGAAGGGGGAGTCAGGCCCAGTCCAGGCTTACAACTTGGGTGACAGGGTGGGGGTGGGGGGAGAATGGAGCCCGCAAGGGTTTTGGGGGCCAGGATGATGTGCTGCCTGCCTATTCTCCACACCACATGGTGATAGACAAAAACACCACTCTGACTGCCACGTGCCCTGTTCGTGTGCTGCCATGGTCACAAACCTGCAGCAGGGCCCCTGCTAGCCTCTTCAGCCTCCAGCCAGTGCTCCATGCCTGCTGCCCTGAACATGTGCCTGTCAGCTGTCGGCGGTGCCCAGCCTCCAGGGCTAGGTCCCTGCACATGCTCCTCCATGAGCCCTGCGATTTGCTCCCTCCACCTCACCTGGCCACCCCCATGCCTCCCGTGGCTCTCAGCTGTGATGTCTCCCCTCAGGGAAGCTTTCTGGACCCCCATTGATGTTGGGTCACCTTGTGATACCGTGGGAAACTCTGGACCATGGACCTCTCCGTGGCGTTGTCATTTGGTTCATGTCCATTTTCCATTGGATCATAGCCAGTCCCCCAGAGTGTGTGCCATGTGGTAGGCACCCAGTGAATATGGATGAGTGGATGGATGGGTGGGTGGGTGGATGGTTGGGTGGATGGGTGGGTTGATGGGTGGGTTGATGGATGGATGAAAAGATGGATGGTTAAGTTCATGGGTGGGTGGATGGATGAATGGATGGATGGTTAAGTCTATGGATGGATGGATGAGTGGGTGGGTGGGTGGATGGAAGGATGGATGGATGGAAGAAAGGATGGATGGTTACGTGGATGGATAGATAGATGGGTGGGTGGGTAGATGAATGGATGGACGGATGGATGGAAGAATGGATGGTTAGGTAAATGGATGGGTGGACGGATGGGTGGATGGTAGGATGCCGGGGATAGCAAGAAGAGGGTGTATGGGAGACACATGTTTAGGAAATAAAAGTTGGGAGCTGGTGACCCCTCCTCTGTGCAGCACCCACCACAACTCCAGGCACCTCTGCCCTTGGCCTGCTCTGGTTTTCTCCATCTGACACACTTGACTCCATCTGATGCTCTGCAGTGTCCACTGTTTACAGGTTTCTGTGCTGGAGTGGCAGCTCTGGGTGGCAGCAGAGATTCTGTCCACTCATTCATTTCTGCATCCCGCTGCCGAGGAGAGACCCCCAACCTGCAGGGCCCTTAGCAGGTGTTGTGCTGTCCCTGCAGGTGGGCCTCCCACCTCTTTTCTTTCCAAGCTGCCTGCTTCTGGAAGGTGGAGAGGCATGTCATAGGAGGGCACTGCTTCTGCAGGAGTTTCTTTGTGGGCCTACTATGTGCCAAGCACTGTCTAGGGACCAGTGAGACAACAGTGAACATGACACTCCCTGCCCTCAGGGAGCAGGGATTCTGAGAGCCTGCCTCCCAAGGAGGTGGATGCTACAACAGCTGTGGGGTGTGGAGTGCTTACAGAAAGCTGGATCGACATATAAACATTTGTATATGTCTATTCCCACCACTCTACCCCCTCTTTTTTTTTGAGACTGAGTCTTGCTCTATCGCCCAGGCTGGAGCGCAGTGGCACAATGTCAGCTCACTGCAATCTCCACTGCCTGGGCTCAAGTGATCTTCCTGCCTCAGCCTCCCAAATTGCTGGGATTATAAGCATGAGCCACTGTGCCCATCCCCACCTTCTTCGGTTTTTTTTTTTTTTTTTTTGGAGACAGAGTCTCACTCCGTTGCCCAGGCTGGAGTGCAGTGGTGCGATCTCCGCTTACTGCAAGCTCCACCTCCCGGGTTCACGCCATTCTCCTGACTCAGCCTCCTGAGTAGCTGGGACTACAGGTGCCTGCCACCATGCCCGGCCAATTTTTTGTGTTTTTAGTAGAGACGGGGTTTCACCGTGTTAGCCAGGATGGTCTTGATCTCCTGACCTCATGATCCACCCGCCTCGGCCTCCCAAAGTGCTGGGATTACAGGCGTCAGCCACCGCGCCTGGCCCCCACCTTCTTTTAAAGTAATCCAGACACATGGTAAAAAATTTCAAACACAGCTGGGTGTGGTGGTTCATGCCTGTAGTCCCAACAATTTGGGAGGCTCAGGCAGGAGGATTGCTTGAACTGGCCTGGGCAACGTGGCGAAACTGTCTCTATCAAAAACTCAAAAATTAGCTGGGTGTGGTGGCGCACACCTGTGGTCCCAGCTACTCAGGAGGCGGATGCAAGAGGATCACTTGAGCCTGGGAGGTTGAGGCTGCAGCGAGCTGTGATGGCACCACAGCACTTAGACTGGGCGACAGAGTGAGACTCTGTCTCCAAAAAAATAAAAAAAAAAATTCAAACAGGTTGAGTGTGGACATGACAAATCGTTCTCTGAGCCCTCCTACTCCTGACCCCTAGCCCTTGGACACCCGTCCCCAGAGGCAACTACTATTACTAGAAACATTCTAAGGGGCAATTTGAAGGGGCCTCGAGTCCTCAGGAGGAAAGTGGACCTTCAAGGGAAGAAGCTGCCAGGAATCAGGAGTGAGTATGCCTTTTCCCCCTATTCGCTGGGAATCAGGAGTGATGGTGCCTTCTCCTTTTTCCCCTTGTGCCACCCTTGTGCCCTGTTCTGTGGTAGGAGGCAGGTGGTGGGAGGGCAGGGTCCCCACCCTGTTGAACAGGGCCAAGCCTGCCTGACGGAGGCAGGTGTACCCCTCATCCACCCCTGAAAGGCACTTCCTCTGAAGCAGGAGCGGGGCTAGGGGTGCCTCTACCCAGCAGCTTTTCTCACTCTTTGGGTGGGGCCTGCTGACTCAGCACGAAAATGCTCAGCCCAAAATGCTTCAGCCCCTGGGAAGATCTGGGAGCGATGGGAGTGAGCAGAGAAGATGGGGCTTGGTAGGGTCCTGCTGGCTGCTGGGCAGAAGCCTGGGATCTCAGGGAGCAGTGTGCAGGGGCCAGGGTCAGCAAGGTTATGGGCAGCAGCTGTCCCTGAGACCTCCCAGGGGCCCCTTTGCCTGGGCAGCTGCAGGGCCTCAGCTGTCAGGCAGGCTCTGGGTGGGGAGGAGCCTAGAGCCCCGGGAAGAGGCGGGGCAGGATGGAGGAATTCAGAGCCAGCGGCAGTCCAGCTGGGTCTGAGGGCAGGCCAGCCCCTAGGCCCCTGGGCATTTCCAGGGCTGACCCACGAAAGCAGCAGTAGGCATGGTCGCTTGGGGACTGAAGACCCAGAATGACCAATGACGGTGACAGAAGGTCCCAAATGCCTGAATGCAGCTGGGAGTCTTGCCATGAACAACCATGGGTGTCTTCTGGTCTCTTTAGCCAGAAATCCCAGCACCTCTCTGTTGCCATCCCTCTTCCCTCCCCTGCCCCCAGGCCAGTCCCACCCTTTTGCCTTGTTGATCAGTGATGCTAAGTGCAAGTGCTGGCCAGAGTCCTCTCCATGGTGCGGATGTTGCCCATCCATCTCTCGGCCACCCTCCCAGCACCCAGTTCTGTGGCTTTTGACTGCAGTGACTCCCACATCTACCCCTCCAACGCCCATGTCTCACTGGAGTGCTGCTTCCAGTATTCCAATGGCCCACTTGGTGCCCCTCTTCCTCCCGACCTGCCCCAACAGACCCAGGCCCCTCCCCTGAGCCCCTCTCCCCTCAAACCACCCCTTTGCTACATGCTACCAGGTACTGAGGCTGCACCTGGGACTCCTCTTAAGTTGGTCCTTGTTGGGTGGTCAGGGTGAGGCACAGGGGGTGGGAGGCAAACCCTTCCAAGATTCTCTGGGGCAGAAAGAATCAGGTCCAAATGCCTTAGCAAGACTTCACAATCTGGCTCTGAAGCACCATTCCGGGCCCATCACTGCCTCCCTTCCCTTTCCCTCTTTTCTTTTACCCCTCTCTCGCCCTCTGTCCCTCCTCCCTCCCTCTCTTTGCCTTGTCTTCCTTCGTAAATCTAAAGCCCCTCCCCATTCCTAGGAACATACCCAAGAGAACTGAAAACAGGTGTTCACACAAAGCTTGCACACAAGCGTCCACTATTCATAATAGTCCACAAGGGGAAAAACCCGACAGTGGATGCACTGATAAAATACCGTATAGCCATACAGTGGGATCTTAGCCATAAAAAAGAATGGCGGACTGATACATGCTGCTGCAGGGACAAACCTTGAAAACATCATGCTAAGTGAAACAAACCTGACAGGCCGGGTGCAGTGGCTTACGCCTGTAATCCCAACACTCTGGGAAGCCGAGGTGGGCGGATCACTTGAGGTCAGTGGTTCGAGACCAGCCTGGGCAACATGGTGAAACCCTGTCTCTACTAAAAATACAAAAATCAGTTGGCACGGTGGCGGGTGCCTGTAATCCCAGCTACACAGGAGGCTGAGGCAGGAGAATCGTTTGAACCCGGAAGGTGGAGGTTGCAGTGAGCAGAGATCGTGCCACTGCACTCCAGCCTGAGTGACAGAGTGAGACTCTGTCTCAGAAACAAACAAAAAAACAAACAAACAAAACCTGACAGAAAAGAGCATGGGCCAGGCACGGTGTCTCATGCCTGTAATCCCAACACTTTGGGAGGCCGAGGCGAGTGGATCACCTGAGGTCAGGAGTTCTAGACACACCTGTAATCTCAGCTACTCAGGAGGCTGAACCCTGAGGTCAGGAGTTTGAGACCAGCCTGGCCAATATGGCAAAACCCTGTCTTTACTAAAAATATAAAAATCAGCCAGGTGTGGTGGCAGGCACCTGTAATCCCAGCTACTCAGGAGGCTGAGGCAGGATAATCCATCGAACCCGGGAGGCAGAGGTTGCAGTGAGCCGAGATTGCGCTACTGCACTCCAGCCTGGGTGACAAGAGCAAAACTCTGTCTCAAAAAAAAAGAGGATGTATTGTATGATTCCATTTATACAAAATGCCCAAAATAGGCAAATCTACAGAAAAGAAATTAGATTAATGATTGCCAGGGGATGGGATTAGACTGCTAATGGGTGCAGGGTTTCCTTTGGGGTGATGAAAATACTCTGGAATTAGATGGTGGCGAGGCCTGCACAACACCATGAACATACTAAAAACCACTGAATCATACACTTTAAAATGGGCATGGTGGCTCACGCCTGTAATCCCAGCACTCTAGGATGCTGAGGCGGGTGGATCACTTGAGGTCAGGAGTTTGAGACCAGTCTGGCCAAGATGGCGAAACCCCGTCTCTACTGAAAATACAAAAATTAGCTGGGCGTGGTGGCAGGCGCCTGTAATCTCAGCTACTCGGGAGGTTGAGGCAGGAGAATCGCTTGAACCTGGGAGGTGGAGGTTGCAGTGAGCCGAGATCGCGCCACTGCACTCCAGCCCGGACGACAGAGTGAGACTCTGTCGGGGTGGGGTTGGTGGAGTGAGAAATCAGCGCAGATGGCTACTCCCAGCAGTAGTGAAGCAGCAAGGCCAGGTTGAGCTGGGCCGGGTGCCCTGAGGTCAAAGGAAAGGAAACCCCAAGCCCCAGTGGCTGCAGAAGGCAGAGCTGGATGGAGGATCCGCGCCATGGCCCTGCCGGCCCCCAACCTTGGGTGCCCCTCGAGGCCCTAATTCCCTCGCTGCATTCTTGGCACCCACTTGGGTTCCCAGGAACAGCAACTAGGAGTGGCTTCTGTTCCCTCAGCAGCTCTCCCTCTCCCTCTCAGAGACTGGAACCCTAAAGGGAAGCCACGAGGCGGGTAAGGGAGGGCGGCTCCTTCTGCCAGGGCAGAGGCAGGGCAAGGGCATGGGCATGGGAGGCAAATCCTGGCAAGAGCTCGGGACTATTTCTTCAGGACCGTCTAGTTGGTGTCTCAAGGGCAGGGGCCATGACCAGATCAGGGAGAGGCCACCAAAGGGGGCTGAGGCAGACGGGCCTGACCTCCTGGGCACCCTCCCACCCTCCGTCACTGACACGCCCCCAGAGCCTGCTTGAGAATACCTGGGATGACAGATGCCTGGGGAAACTGGTGACACAGCTGAAGTGGGGTCTAGGGACGGTCAGCCAGCAGTCACTTGGCACCTTCCTGACAAGAGCAAAAAGGAACTGTCTGGTGGCAGAGGCACGCCTGCCAGACCTGTCTGCTCTGGTGTTAGCATCCCGCTTTCTCTTTGTCTGACTCTTAAATGCCTGCTCCGGCCCTCCCGGCCCTCCCAGATCATTTCCAACAGTCACACGACTGGTATCCAGGCAACCATTGCCTGGGCTCCCAAAATTCCACATCCGGAGGCTGACAAGTCATGGTGCCCCCGTGGAACACAGCTGGCTGCTTCATGTGTGGAGGAGCTGGGGGAGAACGGAAAAATCCACTCCCCACGCAGGGATGAGTTTCTAATTCTTGGCCTCAGAGGAGGTGCCTATAAAACTAATGAAATAAAACAGCTGCTCCTTGTGTTTAAAGGAAGACCTTTTACTGTACCCTGGTCAGGTCTGGGGCTCGATTCCATTTCACCGTCAGAAAGGTGAGAGGCAAAAGTTGGCCACTGTTAGGTCATCTATTTATCTCGGAGTCAAGGCATAGACACCAGCAGCTTGCTGCCCCCTTGCCCACTTCCCTGCCCTGACAGCTGGGGTTTGCCGGTCTTGGCTCTGGCATGTGAGGCAGGACAGCCTGCCAGCTTAGGGCAGGAAGCCACTCCACGTCTGGCCAGTGACAGCTTTTCCCCAGATGCCAGGACATAGGGGCATGGGACGTGCTGTGAACCCTGGAAGGCCTGACCCTGTCTGAGTGTTCTGGGCTGCAGGCAAGCCCTGGCTACTGCGCGACTTGGCAAAGCAGCTGCCACCAGGACTCCAGCTTTGGAACAGCCCAGCGAGGCGGCCCCCTCCAGATGGAGAGGTCAGGCTGGGACCACAGCATGCATGTGAGGAACTGCGCAGGGAGGCCCAGGCATGCAGCCAGTTGCTTGCTCTGCAGCCCAGCTCTAGGGCCCACCCAGTGCACCTCTGCAGCATAGAGGTCACTGGGGCCTTTGGGGGATGAGGAGTGGGGCTGAGAGTTACCCACTGGACAGGACTGGGGCTGGATAGAAACCCAGTGTGACTGACACTCTGCCTTCTCTGGACATAGGTCAAATAGGCAACATTCTTTGTCTACTACCAGGATAAAGAAAATAGAAGAAAGGGGCCGGGCGCGGTGGCTCACGCCTGTAATCCCAGCACTTTGGGAGGCTGAGGCGGACAGATCACAAGGTCAGGAGATCGAGACCATCCTGGCTAACATGGTGAAACCCCATCTCCACTAAAAATACAAAAAATTAGCCAGGCGTGGTGGTGGGTGCCTGTAGTCCCAGCTACTCAGGAGGCTGAGGCAGGAGAATGGCATGAACCCGGGCGGCAGAGCTTGCAGTGAGCCGAGATCTCACCACTGCACTCCAGCCTGGGCGACAGATCGAGACTCCGTCTAAAAACAAAATAAATAAATAAAAGAAAATAGAAGAAAGGTCAAACTCAGAAGTCACACTCAGAATTTAATTTCTCCAAAAGTTGTTTCTGTGTTTGATTCATGTAGAAAATCACAAAGCCTTCTCGCCTTTTCTGAGTGGGCGGGATCCACAGCTGGCTTACTTCTGGACACGGAGCATGGACTGAGAAGCAAGAGCTTCCTTCCAGGAGAGGCACCACTCAGAGGCAGGCCCGGCTGCACAAGTCCTCCCTGCTGGGCCTGGTCACTGCAGCTGCCCCTCCCTGGCTGGCTCCTCTCTCCTTTCCCACCCAACTGTTCACCTTGTCACAGGGCTATGTCTTGGCTCTTGGCTAAGACTTTAAGGGCCCACACAGCAGAGAACAGCAGAGGACAGAAGCCTCAGATCCTGACGACCTGCACAGCAATGCATGGGCTCTGCCTCTCTGCCCCGTCCGCTGCCGGCCTCCTAAGGTAGAGTCGGGCGAAGGTGCCTCCCACCTGCCCTTTGGTAAGGCGCCCAGGGTTCACACAGACACAGCCGAGGACATCCTGGGGAGGAGAGGAGAGGTGACAGGTTTGGAGAGCCTCAACTAACTGGGAACCAATGTGAAAAAGAAGTGCCATCACATGGCTGGACCCCAAAGAGGGTTTTAGAAAATGGAAACGAAGGCAACCAAATCACCAGACACATTTTCAGTCACTTTTTTTTTTTTTTTTTTTGAGATGGAGTCTCGCTCTGTTGCCCAGGCTGGAGTGCAGTGGTGAGATCTCAGCTCACTGCAGCCTCGACCTCCCGGGTTCCAGCGATTCTCCTGCCTCAGGCTCCCAGGTAGCTTGGATTACAGGCACCCACACCACCATGCCTGGCTAATTTTTGTATTTTTAGTAGAGATGGGGTTTTACCATGTTGGCCAGGCTGGTCTCAGACTCCTGACCTCAGGTGATCCACCCACCTCGGCCTCCCAAAGTGCTGGGATTACAATTGTCAACCACTGCGCCCGGCCTCAGTCACATATGTTAACTTGTCACTAGAAAGCTTTGAATTCCTTTTAAGTCTTTCAAACAGAAGAATGAGGTGACTTGGCAGAATGACAATCAGCTCCTAAACTTGGAGACAAACCTGATCTAGCTGTTTACTGCTTTCTCATGTGAAAAACTTTTTTTTAACCTCTTGAGATTGAACTAACTCTTGTTTGGCAAGAGGGGGACTGGTCTAGGCAGATTCCTTGTAAGGGACCTAACTCCAAGGCAGGCAGGGCTAAAGGGTGGCAGAGATCAAAATGACCCAATAGCTTCTTCAAGGTATTCCCAGCTGAGCCCACTTGGAGGTCATATCAGAATTTGGGAGGCAGAGGACAGGCAAGTGTACATATGAAATCTTCCCCAGGTCACCTCTATGTGGCCTGGTGAAAGCCCTCATTTGAGGGCCTTCCTAGTCATCTGGGCTCTCGTTCTCTTGGGGAGGGAGGAGAGGACACTGTTTACTCAAGCATTTTACTGACAGAGTTGTTTGTTTTCTGGTCCCACCACCTCCCCAAAGAAACAAGGCCACAGGGCAGGGTGCTAGAGGCCCCATCCCCATCAGCTGACCCATGAGGGGTGAGTGCCGGGTGGTCTAGAAGGGAAAGTCAAAGACTGGGTTCTGGTGTTTCTGGGAAAAAGCAGAGTTCAAACCTACCTTCACGAAGTACCTCAGCTCTGACGGGATGATGAGGACATCTGGGGTGACAGGCAGCTGTGCGTAAACATAGAACGACTCATAGTCAATGGCCATGTCTTCTTGGGGCGGGTAGAGTGGGTAGTAGCTACAGAGACAGAGAGAAATTGTCAGCACTAGCTGACCGGGGGGCCCCCTTCTCAGACAGAGTCCCCCTAGGTACTGGCTTTCGTGCTGCTGGCATCCACAGACCGACTTTTTCTCTGTGTGTGTGGGGCAGAATGCAGGCTTGTCATCACAGGGTAAAGTTCCCTGCTGGTAGCCTGGTGAAGGCTCTTACAGTCATGCTTGTCATAGCTCCATGACCCCAAGGCACTCTCTCCACAGTCAGGGGTCCCAGCGGCAAGCTCACCTCCTCTGGGTCAAGATGTGCTTGAGTATTCGGCTGAATCTGTCTGAAGTTCCGGAAGAACTGGGAAAGAAAAGAAAGCATGAAAACAGAACTCTGTTTTTCAGCCCATTTCTCTTCAGGGAGGACTGGAGAATTTAATAAACCAGAGAGAAGGTAAATGGCCAAGGCACAGCAACAAGAGGAGGATGCCTCTGGGGAAGTTTAAAGACCCACCCACAAGGAGCTCAGTCTGTCCCCACATGAGGAGGGACGCAGGACACCAGGTTGAGAAGGGAAAGCACAGGAATCCCTCATAATCAAGATCAAGGAAGGCCATTAGCCAGCACCGTACTGTGCAAGAGGATGCAAAGTTGGCACCATCATGAGGCGGGTGTGTAGCCAGGCTGACCTGAATCTCAAACCTCAGCCAAGGAGCCGCACCCGTCTCGCTTCACACGCGAGTCGCTTCACATGCCCCTTCCCATCAAGGATGACGGCAGAACGGAGCTGCCCAACTTCAACTCAACAAATTTGTCAGGGCCTGATTCTCTGCAGAGCTGGATGTTGTACTGGTAGTGAAGAAAATCCTTCAGAGAAAATTCCCAGTTTATCCTCCACAAACAGGATGTCCACATTTGTTTTCAGGTCACAAATTTGGGAAATGAAAAAAAAGGGGAGCAGAAAAGAAAATGTAGATGAATTTTGATGCCTTTAAGTGCAAAGACAGAATGGACGTGGTTCTTTGGGGTCTCAAACGCAGTTTAGAGAGGTGGTAACAGAAACTAATGCATCCAACCCCTCCCCTTGGGTACAGAGAAACTCAGATGGCTAGAGGGTCTGGCACAGCTTGCTGCTTTCAGCTCTCTCTGGTCAAGACCGTTAAGCAGCCCCTTGATTTTCTTGGCTGCAGAAAGGGCTGGGACCAGAAAGCCAGTCATCCTGCTTGGGGCCTGGAACACACTTCTTACCTACTGATCTCCTCGGCCCCCAGGTGGAAAAGCAGATCTGTGGATGTCAAGCCGAAGATCACTCCGTTTATGGAGAGGCTGCAGGGCTCGGACACAAACTGTACTTGCTAAAATGAGAACGGATTGAAACAAACATTTGTATGCCAAAGCTAGAAACATCTTCCCATGAAAGTGGGGGTTGTCTGAGGGCTGGGGAGACCACGGAAAGGGGGACCAAACCAACATACATCAAGCTTTTGGACACATTTGCCTGTTTAAAAAAAGGAGTTTAAGATTCAGGCTGTACGCACACCCTAAAGAGGCCTCTCCACCCTCCCCTTCAGGGCCAGAGCTAGTGGCAGAGGCATGCTGGATTCTGGCTGCCTGCTGGTCAAGGAGTGGGTGCTGCTACCTTTTTGTCCTCTCGAGACAGATCGGAGTAGCTGAAAGGCGGCTGGGGGTACACAGGCTCATGGTGCACATCTCTCAATGACGGGACAAAGACAAGGTGGGAGCCGGAGCTAGTATGGCAAAAGAACAAACAGAAGAGTGAGAAAAGTGAGTGCAGTTGAGTTAGAACAGCTGCGCAACAGGTGGGATGCCTCAGGCTGGAGGCAGAGCCCACCCCGAGGGAGGCAGCTCAGAACTGCACTCTGTTATGAACAGAGACGCTGTTTCCCATGGGACACTGGGAGTAAAGGACAGTTTGTTCTACTTCACACCCATCCATCTGGACAGGCTCCGATTGCCTGGGACACTTTCTTGTTGCTCTGTGTGGCTTTCTACTGAGAGGATGGAGACTATTTTTTGGCAGAAAAAGGGGCAAAGAAATGGAGATCTAGAAAGTCTAGAAAGACAAGGATGTGAATAAAGAATCACAGCCTCAGAGCCAGAGTTTAAACCACAGCTTGGACTCATTACACCTTCTAAGCAGGTGTAGCCTGCAGGCAGTAAACAGTGTCCCTGCCACACCTTGGTAGGGTGCATGGAGCTGGGGCATTTTTCCTAGGGAGAAGGCAGGCATACTAAAAAGACCCTGAGACTGCTTTTTTTTTTTTTTTTTTTGAGACAGAGCCTCACTCTGTCGCCCAGGCCGGAGTGCAGTGGCATGATGTGGGCTCACTGCAACCTCATCTCCTGGGTTCAAGTGATACTTGTGTCTCAGCCTCCCGAGTAGCTACAACTACAGGTGCACACCACCACACCCACCTAATTTTTGTATTTTTAGTACAGATAGGGTTTCACCATGTTGGCCAAGCTGGTCTCAAACTCCTGGCCTCAAGTGATCCACCGACCTTGGCCTCCCAAAGTGTTGGGATTACATGTGTGAGCCACCACACCTGGCCTGGCTTCGTATTTAGAAGATCCAGCTGAAACCCTCTGACTGACTGAACACTGGGCCATAATTACTGGACAACCGAGACACAGACATTTCCAGTGGGAGGCAGAAAAGCCCAAGCGGCCTCTCCCTGAGCCATCGCATCCCTCCCCTCTCACACATGGAAATAATGCCCTGAGTTTCTATTTCTCAGCAGGTTGTCATGCAAAAATGAAAGAAATATTTAACAGCAACAGTAAAAGCACAGATGACAGCAGATGTTTCCTTTGATGGAGCAGGAGAATCTCTAGGGTTACAACATACAAGTGAAGAAGAAAGTTGTAACTCTGGGGGCCAACTATTTATTTTTCCCAGCCACACAAAAGAGGAAGAAAGCCCCGTTTCCTTGGTTCCCTTAAGATGACCTTGGCAGAGGGGCCGTTTATAAATCAAATAGGCATAAGGTATTACTTTGCGGGCATGTTTAAAATCCACCAATAGCTCTCACTTCCATCTCTGTCTCTTGCTTAAAACATGTGGACTTCTCAGGCATACATACACTTTCACATGTGATAAAGGTGCTGGTGACAGCTGTCACCCTTATCACTGTTTGTGGTGTCCTCTCAGAGTGTGAACTGAGATGTCTATAACAGAAAATCAGAATCCTGAGACCAAAGGTGTTTGCATATTCATTATTGTCCCTTTGACACTGAGAAGCTCACTAGGGTGATCCAGTCCACCATTTGGGTGCCAGGGTCTGGTAAACAGGCCACAGGGTAACTTGAATGGGACAATCTGTGCTCCACATCTCAAGGGCTTGACATCTGTGATAAACACAAAGGACTGAGGTGCAGCTGGCTGCTCTCAAGGGACAAAATTGCCCTGTTTCAGTGTAGGCTTTGGAAGGGCAATAGTTAAGGAGGAAATAGCCTTCCTGCTCATGGTTAGAAAGCGCCTATAGAAGGAGGGATCAGAAAAACATCCCAACTATGCTCAGCATTGCACAACCTCGTACGTCACAGCGGGAGGGTCCTCCAGCTGCTCCCGCAAACAGGACGAGAACCGCGGGCTCTGCTCGCTTTCTCTGAGGTGCTTTCTCACTGGCTCTTTTTCTTTTTCTGAGATGGAGTCTTGCTGTGTCGCCCAGGCTGGAGTGCAGTGGTGCGATCTCGGCTCATTGCAACCTCTACCTCCTGGGTTCAAGCAATTCTGCCTCAGCCTCCCGAGTAGCTGAGACTACAAGCACCCACCACCACATCTGGCTAATTTTTGTATTTTTAGTAGAGATGGGGTTTCGCCGTGTTGGCCAGGTTGGTCTTGAATTCCTGACCTCAAGTGATCTGCCCGCCTCAGTCTCCTAAAGTGCTGGGATTATAGGCGTGAGCCCCGTGCTTAGCCTGGCTCTGACTTTTACTAATGATGACTCAGCTTAATGCTCTGCATTTCTGACCTCTCAGGAATACAAAGAAATTCTCTGCCCAAGAACTGTTTATATACTGTTTCTAGAAGGGTGGGGCAGCTCCCCCTGCCCTGTGGCACACACTGGCCATAGATGAAAGTGCCTGGTGGTGCTGGGCTCTCATCCCCAGTGTGACAATGCCTCATCTGTGCTTTATTTCTATCACTGCTGTCAATACCACACGGGGTAAGGAACCAAAAACAGAACCCGACCTCAAACTGAAAGCACCCAGCCAGTGTTAGGGCACTACAACACAGTCCCTGCCTATCCCCAAGGGCTGACAAAAGAACACAGCCCTGCTCCTGTGTTTTGGGGGTCTATCTCCTGAGGAGTTCCAACCACTCTCCAGGCCTGATGAACTTGACCAGGATCACAGCAAATCTGGGGAAGAGGGAAGGCACCTGCATCACCTTCATCTGAGGGAGGCAGGGGAGGAAAGGGCAGAACCAGACATGGTTGTCACTGGCACAACCCAAGTCTCTGATTCTGGGGTGAGTTGGGGGATGTTCTTTATTCCAGCTGTGACATCTACCATCCTGGCCCACACTGCTGGTACAAGAAGGTAATGTTACAACTTATTGATTCTGGGATCAGTTCTCATGGCTAAAAGGCGGAAGGTTAGACATCTTATTTTAAAAACCACCTTTGTGACAGACTCGTTTTTAAATGCTTAGCCTCAGGAATATTTGTATTTTATTAGCTCAGCTACAAGCATGCAGATCTTGTGAGGAGATCTACCACCTATACCAACTTCTTTCAAACCCTGGCACTGGGGAAAAGGGACAGGAATGGAGGATGTCAGATTTCTGAATAACTTTCCACTTCCGGCTTTAGCCTCTTCCTGGAACAGTGACTTTCCTCTCAAATGAGAACTGCACAGCTCTCTCATCACTGCTGTAACCTCTCACAGTTCCTTCCGTTTGGTCTATGGCAAGGATTCAAGGCCCCACCCTCACTGAGAGTTTCTATCACCACCAGCTGTAGCCACTGGCAGCTTCCCACGCACCCTGGGGAAGCACTGACTTGGGAGGAACTTGGGCTTACCCAATACAATCACTTACACAACAAGATGTTTGGGGTCTCACAGGATTTCACTGCGTAAGTCATCAAACACTTCTCAAAACCATCCTGGGAAGATTCCCGTGGAATATTAGTTTATACAAAAGGGAGTGAGAAAAGGAACTAAGTATAGAAGAGAAAGAGCAACCAAAGAGTGAGAGCCGATGCAGCCTTGTCAAGTATGTTTATCTTTGTGTTTTACAGAGATGCCTCTTAACTTGCACTTGAAGTTCAAGGGTTCTAGCTGATCTCGGTAGTTCAAAAGGAAGGAAAGAATAGGAACTGCCATGATTTTTTTTTGGAAAAGGAGTTTTGTTCTTGTTGCCCAGGCTGGAGTGCAATGGTGTGGTCTCGGCTCACTGCAACATCTGCCTCCTGGGTTCAAGAGATTCTCCTGCCTCAGCCTCCGCAGTAGTTGGGATTACAGGCATGTGCCACCACGCCCAGCTAATTTTGTAATTTTAGTAGAGATAGGGTTTCACCATATTGATCAGGCTGGTCTTGAACTCCTGACCTCAGGTGATCCGCCTGCTTTGGCCTCCCAAAGTGCGTGAGCCACCACGCCCAGCTTTTTTTTTTTTTTTTTTTTGAGATGGAGTTGCGCTCTTTTTGCCTAGGCTGGAGTGCAACGGCACGATCTTGGCTCACTGCAACCTCTGCCTCCCAGGTTCAAGTGATTCTCCTGCCTCAGCCTCCCAAGTAGCTGGGATTACAGGTGCCCACCGCCACGCCTGGCTAATTCTGTATTTTTAGTACAGACAGAGTTTTACCATATTGGCCAGGCTGGTCTCAAACTCCTGACCTCAGGTGATGTGCCCGCCTCGGCCTCCCAAAGTGCTGGGATTACAGGTGTGATCCACTGAGCCTGGCCCTGCCACGACTTTTAAGCAGTTTCAGTTTCTTAATGGGAAGCTCTGGAGAAACCTAAGAAGCTTAAGGTTCTGTCCAGTATTTTGAAATCTGACCTTCTTGTGCCTTCAATAATTGTTCGTAGACACTGCTTGAAAATGTCTTCAAATGGACTTGTCAGTAGACAATTCTGCAAGAAAGGAAAGGAGACAGATTTAGACGGCAGATGTTTGGTGTTTATTCACTTGTTTAACATTGTTAGGTGACCCATAGAAGTCAGCTGTTGGGCTAGGAGCTGAAGGAGACGCAAAGATGAAAAAGACATGGTCTTTGTCTTAAGGAGCTAAGTCTAGTCGAAGGGAGGAGAAGAGATGTGGGAATTAACCCTCTTGAATGCAATCTGAGAGAGACTAAAAGAAAGAGTACTTTGAAATATTTTCCATGGAAGGTAAAGTATCGTGAGACGAAGGATTGGAGGTCCCAGACCTCAGCCATGGAGATGTCCCAGGAAGGACCATTCGTGTTTTATGCAAAGGACAGCAAGATGAGTTATAAGCTTGGGGTATTGGCCAGGACAGGTTCTTTCACAGGGCAGCCCATGACTGCCAGACACCTGCATTTGTGCTAGTGCTCTTGTGCCTTAGCAGCAGGCATCACAAACAAAGGAACATTAGGACTTATATGTCCCTCCCCCAGCTTCCAGACAGCCTTGTATTCTGGTGAAAGGAGGCCCTTGGATTCCAGATCTTTATTAATAAAGTGCTCTGCTAAAATGATTTTCTGATTAGCCACAGGACTTAATGTGTTTGTTACAGATGTGGGATAAACACTAAAAAATGAAAAGTGAGAGCCTGACTGGATTCAAGTACCCAGGACCCCTTCCCACCCCAGCCCACTCACCTCCACCTGTTCATGCTTAGCATCCAGGAAAGGGCCAAACTGCAAGGGGAGAAACAAAGACACCAAAAGAACAAATCAGAATCACTTGTGTCTGTGAATGACTTCAGATACCTCCTCTGGCAGTTCTCTGTGGAGGGCTCATCTGTCCCTCCAAGGCTGCCTGTAGAGCCTGGGGACAGTTAGCAGATGGGCTGGCGGGGCGCCAAGCCAATTTCACAGGCAGAAACACGTTTGCCCCAGATGGAGGGAGGCTCCCAGAGCCCCATAACCACTATAACACTGGGCTCACATCTGTAATCCTAGCACTTTGGGAAGCTGAGGTGGGCAGATTGCCTGAGCCCAGGAGTTCAAGACTAGCCTGGGCAATATGGTGAAACCCTCTCTCTACAAAAAAATACAAAAATTAGTTGGGCATGGTGGCGTGTGCCTGTAGTCCAAGCTATTCGGAAGACTCAGGGAGGATAGGGGAGGCTCACTTGAGCCCAGGAGGTGGAGGCTATAGTGAGCCGAGATCGCACCACAGCACTCCAGCCTAGGTGACAGAGTGAAACTCTGTCCCAAAAAAAAAAAAAAAAACAAAAAACAAACGAACAATAAAAATGCACACTGGGTTTTCTGACTTTCTAAATCTAGCAAGGTAAATTGATCACCATACTAATAATAGTATTTTGAGCTTTAAAAAGAGATTAGTTCAGAAGTTGGAGTAATGAGAAAGAAGTAAGAATACTGTAAAATCAACGAAGGGTGGAAAAAAAAAGTTGGGCTTTTATTTTTATTTTTTGAGATGGAGTCTGACTCTGTTGCCCAGGCTGGAGGGCAGTGGTGCAATCTCAGCTCACTGCAACCTCTGCTTCCCAGGTTCAAGCAATTCTCCTGCCTTAGCCTCCCAAGTAGCTGGGATTACAGGTGCCTGCCACCATGCCCAGCTAATTTTTTTGTATTTTTAGTAGAGATGGGGTTTCACCATGTTGGCCAGGCTGGCTTAGAACTCCTGCCCTCAAGTGATCCACACATCTCGGCCTCCCAAAGTGTTAGGATTACAGGCGTGAGCCACTGCGCCCGGCCAAAGTTGGGCTTTTAAATCTAGCAAAGGCCCATAGATATATATACCTCTCCAAAGATGTAGATTAAGAATGAAAAGATATTTTCTAAAAGGAGGAGGGACTGACATGCTTCCTAAAAATTTAGAACTTCATTAAAGCCATTTTCCAAGGCTGACTCCTCAGCTTTCCCACTGGTGCCTCTTACCAGGATGCAGACATCTGGCCGGTCATGGTTGATGACAGCAATCAGGTCAAGCAGGGGGTCATACGTGATGCTGTCAGATGTGGTGTATGGTCCACAGGCAACCAGGACCATGCTTTGCTCAAAGTCTAAGACAGAGGTTATAGGTCTTGATTAGAAGAGGACTAGTATTAGAATGGTGGGAGGAGAAAGGACAATGATGGGAAATGCCACAGGATTTAACTCATTGAGTCCTTTATGTGTGAAACTCTGGGGACCCAAGGTAAGGAAGACCTCATGTCCACCCTCCAAGAACACTCCACTAGGTGATAGAGACAGAGACAGGCAGGTACACGAATACCTAGAACATGCAGTAGAAACTTTATGAGCTGTGCACATGAAAGATTCGAGGAAAGTGGCAGTCAGGAAAGAATTTACCAAGGTGGAATTTGCTAACACGTTTGAGAATTTTTGGGGATCAAGGGCAAGGCAGGGTACAGGATAGCACTGAGACCTGAGTGTGCTCAGTGTTAGGAAATGTCTGGTCGTCCAGTGTGGCTGGAGAATGTGGGGTACTGAAGAGCCCAGAAAGACAGGCCGGGGAATGGGAGACTGGAACGGGAGACTCCAGGGTGATGGGGTGCAGGGGCCACCCATCACGCTTTGCCTTTTTCCTAACAGCAGCTGCTTTCCTTTTGGAGAATCAGCCCATCCCTCCACAAGGCAGTCTACATGGGGCTGTAAATTGGGTGCTCTGTCTTCCTCTAGCCAAGGGCAGGCACATGACCCAGAATGGCACAAGGCCATTCACACTCTCCTCCCAGGGTCTGCAATCTTGAGGTGAACGATCCAAGGAGAGAAAAAAGATTAGAGCTAACCTATTCCAGCTGAGGTGCCCAGATGAGACAGCTGGGGAATTCCTGCTACCTGGATGCTAGAGTTCCTGGGCTCTCATCTTGGTTCCAAGCCTCGGTTTCTAGCCACGTGTCCAGTCTGTGAGCTACCTGGATCTCCCCTAATAAATTCCTGCTTTCTTGTTAGTCTGAGCCAGTTTCTGTGGCTTACAACAACAAAATCCAAAGATCCCTGGCTTCTTAACATGCTGTTGTGTTAGTTTCCTATTGTTGCTATAACAAGTTATCACAAACTTAGTGCCTTAAAACAACACGAATTTGGCCAGGTGTGGTGGCTCAACGCCTGTAATTCCAGCACTTTGAGAGGCTAAGGCGGGAGGATCCCTTGAGCTCAGGAGGTCGAGACCAGCCTAGGCAACATAATGAAACCCTGTTTCTACAAAAAATACAAAAATTAGCTGGGCAGAGTGGTGCGTACCTCCTGAGCCTATAGTTCTAGTTACTTGAAGTGGGAGGATTGCTTGAGCCTGGGAGGTTGAGGCTGCAGTGAGCTGTGATCATGCCCACTGCACTCCAGTGAGACTGTCTCAAAAAAAAAGAAAAAAAAAAGCCCACGAATTTATTATATTACAGTTCCAGGGGTCAAAAATCCTAAACTGAAGGTGTGGGCAGGGCTGAGTTCCTCCTGTCTGGAGGTTCTAGAGAAGAATCCATTTCCTTGCCTTTTCCAGCTTTCAGAGGCCACCTGCATTCCCTGGTTCATGGCCCCACCTGCAGCGGCAAAGCCAGAAGCCTAAGATTTCTCTATTTTGAAATAAAATTTTTCTTTAGGCTTCCTCAAATCACAGCAGCCTAACATTTCTAAGCTCTGACTCTGATTCTCTTGCCATTCCTCTTATAAGGACCCTTGTGATTATAGTGGACCCACCTGGATAATCCAGGCTAATCCCCCATCTCAACAGCCTTAACTTAATCACACGGGCAAAGTCTCCTTTACCACAAATGGTAAAATATTCACAGGTTCCAGGGATTCCTGGGGCTGTGATTCAGTCTATCATGGTAATAATACCATGAACTGACAGAGCATTCAAGGTGAAGAGCAGGTTTCATGTGGTGGTGGGGTAGGGGACAAAGTTAAGTTTGGCTCTGAGAAGCCTACAGGAGATGTGAGCCCCAGTGTAAGCAGTGAGTCTCTGGAGGGCGAGGGCCATGTCTTATTCTGTATCTCCATGAGTGCCTCATTTAATTCCTTGTACAAAAGTTCATTAACAACCTGTTAAACTGTTTCCAAAGGCTTCTCTGGTACACAGCTCAGGCTCCTGGTATCTCAGCCAGGTTGATTTCATTACCTGAAGTTGACCTAATACCAGCATGCCACCCTTGCCCCCTATAAATTTGTATTTTCTTTTTTTTCTTTTTCTTTTTTTTTTTTTTTTGAGATAGGATCTCACTCTCACTCCTAGGCTGGAGTGCAGTAGTGGTATGATCATGGCTCATGGCAGCCTTGAACTCCTGGACTCAGGAGAGTGATCCTCCCACCTTAGCCTTCCAGGTTGCTGGGACTATAGGCACATGCCACCATGCCCACACCCAGCTAATTTTTTTTTTTGAGACAGAGTCTAGCTCTGTCGCCAGGCTGGAGTTCATTGGCGATCTCGGCTCACTGCAACTTCTACCTCCCAGGTTCAAGCGATTCTCCTGCCTCAGCCTCCTGAGTAACTGGGATTATAGGCACACGCTGCCAAGCCAAGCTAATTTTTGTATTTTTTAGTGGAGATGGGGTTTCAGCTTGTTGGCCAGAATGGTCTCTATCTCCTGACCGTGTGATCCGCCCACCTCGGCCTCCCAAAGTGCTGGGATTACAGGGGTGAACCACTGCGCCTGGCCTAATTTTTGTACTTTTTGTAGAGATGAGGTTTCACCATGTTGCCCAGGCTGCTCTCAAACTCCTGTGGTCAAGCAATCCTCCTGCGCCAGCATGAGCCACCACGCCCGGCCAAACTTGTGTTTTCTGATAAAATGTGCAATATCACAAGGTCCTAAATTTCACTCCTGATTCTAGGTCATCTCCAAGAATGGCTCTGGCCACTGTTACATGCATGGGGTGTTGACAACATGCTAGTATCAGTGATCTGGTTGCTAATCCTTAACAGTGCTCCACTGTGCTTACAAAAATGCCTTGAGGGTTGGGTGTGGTGACTCATGCCTGTAATCCCAGCATTTTGGGAGGCCGAGGCGGGCAGATCACCTGAGGTTGGGAGTTTGAGACCAGCCTGACCAACATGGAGAAACCCCATCTCTACTAAAAATACAAAAATTAGCCAGGCATTACAGGTGCATGCCTGTAATCCCAGCTACTTGGGAGGCTAAGGCAGGAGAATCGCTTGAACCCGGGAGGTGGAGGTTGCGGTGAGCCGAGATGGCGCCTTGCACTACAACCTGGGCAACGAGTGAAACTCTGTCTAAAAAAAAAAAAAAGAAAAAAAAAACAATGCCTTGAAATACAGAAATACATACATATATTTTTTTGAGACAGGGTCTCACTCTGACACCCAGGCTGGAGTGCAATGGCACAATCATGGCTCACTGCAGCCTTGACTTCCTGGGCTCAAGCAATCCTCCTACTTCAGCCTCGCAAGTAGTGGGGACTATACAGGTGTGCACAACCACACCAAGCTGATTTTTTTTGTTTTTATTTTTTGTAGAGATGCAGACCCACTATGTGCCGGGAGGCTAAACTTAAACTGGGCTCAAGCAATTCTCTCACCTTGGCCTCCCAAAGTGCTGGGTTACAGAAGTCAGCCATCACACCTGGCCACCTTGAAATAAATAAATTCTATCTATCTATCTATCTATCTATCTATCTATCTATCTATCTATCTAGTGTCTTACTCTTTCACCCATGCTGAAGTGCAGTGGCATGATCACGGCTTACTGTAGCCTTGACTTCCCAGGCTCAAGTGATCCCCGCACCTCAGCCTCCTGAGCAGCTGGGACCACAGGCACATGCCACCATGCCGAGCTAATTTTTTTTTTTTTTTTGTAGAGACAGGTTTTCGCCATATTGCCCAGGCTGGTCTCAAACTCCTGGGCTCAAGTGATCTTCCCACCTCAGCCCTGTGAAGTGCTGAAATTATGTTGAAATATTTAGAAGCAAAGTTTGTCAAACTTTCTTTTTGCCTTTCCACAACTAGATTAGTTACCACATAACACTAGGGTTTTAAAGAAATTCTTTTTGGCCGGGCATGGTGGCTCATGCCTGCAATCCCAGCACTTTGAGAGGCCAAGGCAGGCGGATCACAAGGTCAGGAGTTCAAGACCAGCCTGACCAACATGGTGAAACCCCATCACTATGGGGTTTTGTAAAAATACAAAAATTAGCCGGGTGTGGTGTACGCCTGTAATCCCAGCTACTTAGGAGGCTGAGGCAGGAGAATCACCTGAACCCGGGAGGCGGAGCTTGCAGTGAGCCAAGATCTTGCCACTGCACTCCAGCCTGGGGGGCAGAGCGAGACTCCATCTCAAAAAAAAAAAGGAAGTTATTTTTAAGTTTTCACTTTAGAACAAATTTAGAATTGTAGAGAAGTTATGAAGATAGTACAGAGTTCCTGTGTGTCTTTCACCAGTGGCCCCTAATCTTAACATGTTAGGTAACCATGAACATTTGTCAAAATTAAGGCATTAATGCTGGTATATCGCTGTTAACTAAATTCCTGGATTCTCGAGGTTGAGTGTTAGAGCCAGAAAAATAAAAAAGTAAATTCCTGGCTTTATTCAGATGTTGCTAGTTGTTCCACTGATGTTCCCGTTCTCTTCAAGGATCCAATCCAGGATGCCACATTATACTTTCAAAAAATTAATTAATTTTAATTTTTTTTAAGAGTCAGAGTCTCGCTCTGTCACACAGGCTGGAGTAAAATGGTGTTACCATAGCTCACTGCAACCTTGAACTCCTGGGCTTAGGCAATCCTCCTGTCTCAGCCTCTGATTAGCTAGGACTACAGGCATGCACCACAAGCCCAGCTAATATTTTTTTTAATTTTTAGTAGAGACAGGGTCTCCCTATGTTGCCCAGGCTAGTTTCCAACTCCTGGCCTCAGGTGATCCTCCCACCTTGGCCTCCCAAAGTGTTGGGAATACAGGTGTGAGCCACCGCATCTGCCCATGCTGCATGTAAATAAATTCTTTTTGAAATCGTACATCTTTTCCTTTCCAAGGCAACCTTCAAAAATACCTGTTAAACATTAGTCTTTAAACAACATGCTTCATGTAGGCAGAACTCAGGCGACAGCACGACCAACGCTCACTGGGCTCAGACCAGGGGTCTTGTGACAAAAAACCTACGAACTCATGATGGTGGCGCCCTCACTGCTTGGTCACATTGCTCTTCAGCAGCTTCTGCAGCTTTCTTGGGCTTGGGAAACTGCACTCCTGGACTCATGTCTACCATCCTCATTGTTGGCAAAACAATATTTGAACCGAAACTCACCTGCATCCTCTTCAGTGGGCTGATAAAATGGAAGTGGCACACCCTAAAAACAGGGGAAAAGCTCAAGTAAGGTCTTGCGCCAGGCATCACCTTGGTAAGGAAAGGGGAGGGCACCAGGTTGGGGGTGGTGCAGGTGTGTGATGGGAGGACAGTGGGGAGGAGCGAGAGGGCAGGGGAAGGATGTGCCTCTGTCTTGCTCCCTGGATCTGATGGGACCTGCCATTTTTCTATACTGCTCAGAGGGCAAAGAAACCCAGGTAATGGGAGGTCACTACTCAATTGTCATAAAATACCCAGCAACAAGTGGGAGCAAAACAGGTGCCTAAAGTATCAGTGTACTTCTAGGCAAGGATGGGAGAGAATGGTTTCTTGCTACTTTTCCTGGCATTCTACGAAAATCTCTGGAGGATTGTTGCCTAGAGCAGGGATAGGTAACCTTTCGGCCTCTGGGCCAAATTTGGCTGCAGCCCACTATTTAAATAAAGTTTTATGGGAACACAGCCACAGTCATCTGTTTAAGAGTCCTCTATGGCTGCTTTTGTAGACAAAGGCAGAATTGAGTCATTGTGACAGAGACCATATAGCTACAAAGTCTAAAAGAGTTACTGTCTGGCCCTTTATAGAAAGGGTTTGCTGACCCCTGGCCTAGGGGTGGGTTCCCACTTACAGATGGAGAACTGACTAACAAATAAATGGGCTCCTAAAAAGGACCAGTTTCTAGAACAGACAGCTTCCAGACATACTTTGTCTGAAGCAAACCAAGAGGCAAGTGGGGGTACTGCTGTGTACCTCGTAGAGTTTGGTGGCAACAAGTTTCCTACCAGTGGTGTTGATTCCTTCCATAATTACAACCTGAAAGACAAAAACAAACAGGATTGCTAAGCAGTGGAGATCAATGAGGTCTGGAATACATTATTTTGAGGCAGTTAAAAGCATTGTCCAACTACTCTCATTCTGTAATCATAAACTTAGGGCATTTTTGTAGAAAACGAATTAAGGGCGTTGCATTAGTAATAATAATTATGCTCTATATAAGTGATCTAATTTTCACAACAATCCTATGAGGTAAGAATTATTATTTCCATTTTGTGAGTGAAGAAACTGTAGTTTAGATGGTTAAGTACCTTGTGCACAGTCATGCACCTCATGGAGCGGGGAGTTGGGATTTGAGGCTGCGCAGTCAGGTCCCAGAGCCTGGGTCAGAGCATGGGGGAAACAGGAATCCCAACAGTGGTGTCTGCTCTGGGGCATGTGCTCCAGCTGCACCCCATGGCAGCAGAGACAGGAACTGAGGAGCAGCTGCGCATGGCACAGCACCTACACTACAGGGGTAAAGAGTGCGCCTGCATTCTGGTGGAACTCCTCCAATCTCACCTGTCCAGGAAACAGAGAATATTCCTTAAGCTCAGATAAATCCACTGGAATTTGAGCACCCGAGGAATGTTCCCGGTCTCCCTCGAGAATCACTGACTTGTTGTTCAGCTTCCCGTTGCTATCACAGCCAATCTGGCCCAGCAGAGTGACAGGCTCCTACCAAAGGAAGGTCACAGCATAAGAATGACAGTCTTTGGAGCAGGAGCTCAAAATCTGAAGTCGATAGGGTGAATAGCAAAACAAACTGCAAACAACAAATACATTTCTTGGCAGGGCATTGCTTTGACCCTGAGGTGACTACCGCGTCATCACTGACTCTCAGGATGGAAGAACTCTGAAAGGGCATCTTGTCCACCCATCCACCCAGCACTTGAGCCTTCCTAGGAGGCTGCCTAAGTGTGAGCATCTCTAGTGTAGGGGAACTTGCCCCTGGATGCCTACCCCAC
The DNA here is from genome assembly GCF_000001405.40 of Homo sapiens. Lineage (NCBI taxonomy): Eukaryota > Metazoa > Chordata > Mammalia > Primates > Hominidae > Homo > Homo sapiens. Next base: position 65,280,701 of record NC_000011.10, on the reverse strand, counting down.
CCTGTCCTCACCACCCCAGGGCAGCCCACTGCATCTTTGGGCAGCTATAACTACTTAATAATAGCTAACATTTCTTGAGCTTACTAAATACCATGCACTGTTCTAAAATGTATTCTTAGGCATTTTATATGTATTAACTCATTTAATCCTTGCAACAACCATCGGGTGGATATTACTGTATCCATTTTACAGATGAGGAAAACAAGCAACAGAAAGGTTAGATAATTTAGTCAAGGTCAAACTGTGGGTGAAGCTTGGGTTTGAAACCAGAAATTTGGCTCTAGAGCCATATCCTTAGCCACATACCATACAACCTCTTAACAGGAAGTTCTTTATTAATTGAGCTAAAATCTCTGTCTCCATGGCTTCCTCTGTTCTGTTCCCACTCTTGGGAGAAAACAGAGGAAGTCTCATCTTTCCCAGTGATTGTGCCTCCCTGCCTTCCCTCAATTACTTCCTTCCAAGTCCTCTAACACTTCCTTCTATGACACAGTTCTGCATCACTTCCCCAACTGATCATTCTTTGAATGTAAACATTGACAAAGGTACTTTAAAGAAACTTCTAGAATATATTTCCCCTTAGATTAGAAAACATTCTAGAGAGAAAGCACTGGTATATATGCCAGATTAAACTATGATATAAAGATACTATTGGCAGCAGTTTGTCTATAACAAGAGACCAAACCAGGGGAGAGACTGTGAGTCATTGTCCAGAGAACAAGATTCTGAAAACCCCACCGTCGCTGCTGTCCTTTTATCTCGATACGTGAATGCTTCTATTTGTGGGAAATCCCCGGGGAGCTACCTGACTCACCACCAAGGGAAACAAGGCCTTGAGTCTCTGCTTATGTGCAAGACTCTAATCCAAGTGGGAAGAAAATCACTCTCTGGCCACAAAACCAGACAGCACTTACAAATCTTTCTTCAGAAGGGCCCATTTTCCCAAATTCAACCAAGACAGATGTTCAAACTAGAACACAGACAAGAAGTGAAAAAGGAAGCAAGAAGGATGCCTCTTGGTCATCGATTTAAAAACGTAATATTAATTAGTGAGAACTATTAGAACAACTCTTACCTGTGCTGGGGCTAGCAAAGGAGTGAAAGCTTCAATCTTGTAATGTTCCTTGAGTTCGCTGCCAAGTTCTTCTATCTTACAGGTCAGAACTACAATCCCAGAAGTGGAAAAAAGTATTATGTTTAAGACATTTCACTTGCCAAGAAGAGAAAATACAGCACATTGTAAAATATTAAAGTCAGTCATTTTACAGAAGCAGGAAGGGTGCCTGGACATCTGGCCAGTTTAAACCTTCTAAAACCTTTGCCAATTTTCCGATATTTGGTTGCTGAATCTGGCCTTCCATCTGGCCACAGGAGACCCCATAGCACAATTCCAGGGAATCAGCATGAACCCCACCCCATCTCCAAGTCTGCCCTTTACTCAAGTCCTCACTGAGGTTTTAGGCAAGTCAAGGCCAACCTGAAGAAGGCTTCTAACGAAGGAACCATGAATATCTTTAAGTTGAATTCCTTTACATCGTTCAAGTTTTTGCTGCTGGGAATGGTTATGTGCGTTTTAGCAAAGTGAAGTGACTTGGGGCAATCACTGATAGTATTGCCCGTGTCCCTCCATTACTAGGGCTTCCATGAGGACATCTACCAACTCATACATTGAAAGGCAACCTTGGAACTTGTTCTACCAGCCTAGCTGAAGCTTTGTTACTCTACACCCTTCTAGGTGGTTTTATATCCACCAGAATTTCAAAGGGAAAAACAATCACCTTCTCGAATGTCTGGGAGCTTCTGAAACATGGATTTGTAGCTCCCAGTTAGTGCCTCTGGACATCCCAAGACCTTCAGGCTGATGTTTCCAGCTCCTCCTCTCCCAGACCAAGATACTCCCTGTGCTAAGCCGAAGGAGGTAACCACTTCTCCTCGGTTACTTCGTGAGTTGTATTTCTGGGAGGGAGTAGCACTAATTGGAAGCAAAACAGGTTAATATTACTGTGTTCATATCTAAAGGGAGAGAAGAATAAAATGAGGTTACCTTTGGAAATGGGGACTGGAGAAAAGGAAGGTGGCCTCATAGTTTATAAATTGAATCAGTTTAATGGGGTTGGACATACCCAGACCTTTAAGGAATTTCAGGAATGAAGGGCTGAGGAATACCAGGCTGAGGAATACCAAACATTTTTAGAGAAGTTTAGAGACAGAAACGTATTTTAAAAAGTTGTCGTTCTCTTGGCATTAAAACTAAGCAAGGCAAAAAGATCCCCAGATTCTGAATTGATTAAAAGGCAAACTTTAAGTCCCATTTTTTTCTTCTCATGAATTTTTAGCATTTATTGGAACATCATCTGAGCCTGCAACTGTGGATAAGCTAAAACTTGCTGAGCATATATAAAAACTCACAATATGGTTCAAGGTAGAAACAACAATAAAATGAAATTCAAATTAATCAATTTTCCCCAGTGTCTATGGAGGTGGGTAAGTAATGAATTAACAGTCTGGTGATGTGCAAACATTCCCATTTTTCTAGGCTCAACTGCCAAGTTCTCACATTTCCACTCCCTGACTGGTAAATTATACCTCTAAGAACACATGGATATTGCTGATCTGCTTAGATGACAGTGAGGTCTTCTAATCCTCTGGTTGTAAACACGCCGTACAGAGAGGTCTATTTAAAACAGGCTTTGTTTAATGCACTGAAACTCTGCGGGAACCAGTTTTATGTGGGGCACCATCGCAATTAATGCCATCATTCTTTCTTTTCACAGCCTACAGAAAATGAGCTCAATTAATTATCTCAATCTCCAGTGCCACCTCTACGTGAATAGTTTAGAAGTTACTTTCATACATTACAAAACCAGTTTCTGCTGTCAGCTTTATTAGTGTGCATTAAAAAATGACTAGGCAGCATTTTGCCAGCTTCTCCAAGCTCTTCCCTGGGAAGCTCCATGAGCCATCCATTACAGCAGGCCCTTTAATGCAGCAAGATGCTCACATGAGGACAGTTGTAAACAGATCTACAGGTTTCAGAGCATTGTATTGACATTTGGAGAATATAACTCCTGCAATGGTGCTGGCACGTCTATAAGAACCATCCCTACATACCAGGTTGCAAAGATGCTCTTAAGTCTAGAAAGCTTTCTTCCAAAAAGCCTGAGAACTCCCCAAAGCAGCAGTAGACTACCCTAAAGTAAAACTGTCCTTCAAAATCCAATTACTGCCAGGCATGCTGGCTCATGCCTGTAATCCCAGTACTTTGGGAGGCTAAGGCAGGCAGATTGCTTGAGGCCAGGAGTTCGAGACCAGCTTGAGCAACATGGTAAAACCCCATCTCTACAAAAATTATAAAAATTAGCTGGGCTTGGTAGCATACACCTGTAGTCCCAGCTACTCAGGAGGCTGAGGTAGGAGGATCACCTGAGCCTGGAAGGCCAAGGCTACAGTGAGCTATAGTTGTGCCACTGCACTCCAGCCTGGGCAACAGAGTAAAAGCCTATCTTAAAAAAAAAAAAAAAAGAAAGAAAAGAAAAAAAAAATCCAATGACCACTCACCTTGAATGACTGCAGAGCTTCTATCACCACCTTTCTAAAGTGATAGAGCTGAAAAGGCCGAGAGCAGTGGCACATGCTTGACATCCTACACTTTGGGAGGCCAAGGCGGGTGGATCACCTGAGGTCAGGAGTGCAAGATCAGCCTGGCCAACAGGCGAAACCTCGTCTCTACTAAAAATACAAAAATTAGCCAGGCATGGTGGCGAGCGCCTGTAGACCCAGCTACTCGGGAAGCTGAGGCAGGAGAATCGCTTGAACCGGGAGGCAGAGGCTTCAGTAAGCCAAGATGGTGCCACTGCACTCCAGCCTGGGTGACAGAGTGAGAGTCCATCTCAAAAAAAAAAAAAAAAAAAGTGATAGAGTTGAACAATCTTAAGCTCTGGTTCATCTAGAAGTGATCCAAAGTAGAGGTAATGACTCCTGGCAGTTGGTGTTTCCCTGAAGGGTTAATACTACTGCTCCGGAGCCTCATCTTGATGTGGAAACTCCTAAAAACCCATCTACTCAGCAGAGCACTTGCCTATGGAATTCTCTAATATGAGACGTGTCATTTATGGATTTCAAAAAATTACATATGATCTTTGTGGATTTATGTGCAATGGTGGCAGAGGGACAAAATACCAATTAAGTCAGGGCAGAGTCACAGTGACAAGAAAACTCTCAGAAACTAGTTCTAACCTGACTTGGAAACAATAAACAGGTTATGAAACATTATGAACAAAGATATGTGCTTTTCTTTAAAAAAAAAAACTTTAGATGAAAAGAAAGAAAAAGAAACCCAACAAAACACAAACAGAAGCAGGTGGAAACCTACTTGCCTCTACTGACAAGACCTGTTAAGACTCTTAGACTTCTGAATAGACAGGTTGTTTTCAATACAAGATATCAGTTCCCGATCTAGGAAATGAGCCCTAGAAAAGTGGGTGGAAAGTGAGTTTCCTTAATTACCGTAAGAAACAGTAATTTTCCACAAAGAAAAGGAGAGCAAGGAAGGCAGAGAGCAATAGGCTTTCAAGCCAATTCACTGCAGAGGTACATGCCCACCTATAGTTAATTAATAACTCTGCTGTTAGCCTTCCTCAGATAGCCAGAGAAAGGGGAGGGGAGGCCAGCTTTATGGCACTTGAATGAATTATGATCCATACCTTGGAGAGAAACTTGACGGTGAGAGTAGCTGATGGGGGCTACGAGTTGACACACTCCTTTTTGTTAGGGGGGTTTCTGGGGTAGAGATAGCTCGCTTCTGAGAACCCTAGGGAAAAAAAAGGAAAACAAAATCTCAGTCCTACTAGACCCAATACTAATTAAGTGTATAGTACCTTGGAAGAAAAGGGAGAACATGTCCAAACGAAGGCACAAAATAGGACTGGGTGGGTTCTCTTCTTAAGGCCCCATCATCCAAGCATAATCTCAAAAAGAAATCTTCAACAACTGTAACCAACATTCAGGACACTGTCCCTATTTTGAAGGCAATTACGAGAAAGCAAACATTTTCCAAAAAGGACCACCAGGCTGGTAATGTGTCCTGTCAAATCCTTCATATGTTTACTTTCTGTCCCTACCTCTATGTTTTCAAACAGATATGAGTTTTACAATGCATAGTTTTGATCTATGTGTACACATTTTCCTGAGAAGGAATGGGACATTACTACTTACTTTGGCAAAGTCTACCATACATTTTCAAAGGAAATGACTCCAGGCAGATAACAAGGTTGAGCTCATACTTGAAGAGTTAGCAAACATCTGATGGTCACTCCTTTTTTTTTTTTTTTTTTTTGACTCATCAACAAGAATCCAAAGATAAGCCCAGAACGGAGGCTGAAACCTACAGTCCAGAGACCTATTGCTCCCTAAAGTCTAGGATAATCGACTGTAATAGAGAAAACAAAATCCTTGCCTGGATAGCAGCCAGGAAGCCAGCTAGTCTGCAGCTTTCCCTGCCCTAGGGCTCCTCCTGGCTGCAAGTTTAAGAAGTTATATTGCAGAGTGGTCAGCTGGTGGCAACTGCAGGACAGAATGCCAGAGAACAGATTCAAAACCATCAAAACCAGCTGCAATGGAAAATAGATTAAAAAAAAAATCCCTTATTCTACTACCCTGATATAATAACCAGTTTTGAATATTCCTTAATGGTATTTTAATATTTTTCTAGGCCAGGGGTGGTGGCTCATGCCTGTAATCCCAGCACTCTGGGAGGTCAAGGTGGGAGGATCACCTGAGCCCAGGAGTTCAAGACCAGCCTGGGCAACGGCGAGACCTCATGTCTGAGGAGGAAAAAGAAAAGCCAGGCGTGGTGCCTTATAATTTGTATATTAAGATTACAAATACACAAATTAGAATATACAAATTATAGTCATAATCTTAGTTTAAATATAAACCTAAGTATTTTATGTGCTGAATTTTTTCACTCTATATTAATTATCAACATTTTCCCACACTGTTACATTTTTAATCTTTTTTTTTTTTTTGAGATGGAGTCACTGTCACCCACGCTGGGGCACAGTGGCAAGATCTCGGCTCACTACAACCTCTGCCTCCTGGGTTCAAGCGATGCTGCTGCCTCAGCCTCTAGAGTAGCTGGGACTACAGGTGCCCGCCACCACATCCAGCTAATTTTTGTATCTTTAGTAGAGATGGGGTTTTGTCATGTTGGCCAGGCTGGTCTCAAACTCCTGACCTCAATTGATCCACCTGCCTCGGCCTCCCAAAATGCTGGAATTACACCCATGAGCTACTGCACCTGACCCAATCTTTTTCCCTTTTTTTTTTTCCGAGACGGAATTTCACTTCGCTCTTGTTGCCCAGGCTGGAGTGCGATGTGCGATCTCGGCTCACTGCAACCTCAGCTCACTGCAACTCCACCTCCCGTGTTCAAGTGATTCTCTGGCCTCAGCCTCTTGAGTAGCTGGGACTACAGGCATGCACCACCACGCCCAGCTAATTTTGTATTTCTAGTAGAGATGTGAGTTTCGCCATGTTGGTCAGGCTGGTCTCGAACTCCTGATCTCAGGTGATCCACCTGCCTCGGCCTCCCAAAGTGCTGGGATTACAGGTCTTTATCCTTTTTAGTAGCTGTGTTATTTAATTAAACTGACCTACAATGATTTACATAATTACTTCTCTATTGCTGGATTATGGGTTGCTTGTAATTTTCAGTGATTACAAGTAATGCTGAGTCTCAGGTGAAAAGTGATTTGGCAAATTAAGATTTTAAATTAAAAAAATGCTAAAATGCGTATCTTCATGCATACAGCTTTTCCCATAATTTGAATTATTTCTTCAGAAGAGTTTTTTTTTTCCCCCTAGGGAGAATTACTGGGTCAAATGATAGAAAAAGATTTTATGAATTTGGCCAGGGATGGTGGCTCGTGCCTGTAATCCTAGCATTTTAGGAGGCTGAGGCAGGAGGATCACTTGAGCTCAGGAGTTCAAGACCAGCCTGAGCAACATAGTGACACCCTGCCTTTATTTTTTTTATAATTAAAAAAAAAAGATTTTATAATTTTAACACATTTTCTCAAACTATCCCTCCAAAAGATTCTCCTAATATACAGTGGGCTACAACACTCCACGGCCAGTGTTGTGGGGCAGGGATATTTTGAGAGAATGACAGTCTGTCTCGCAAGACGTGGCAAGGTGACAGCACTTTGGTAAACAAGGCACAGTCTGGTGTTCTAGTCCTCAGCCTCAGGGCTGAAATCCAATAGTGTTCACCAACTCCAGTACCAGTTCTCAAGGATGCGCTCCCTTTAACCAAGCTCATACGATTCATTATTAACACTTAATGCCAATTTCATCATGTTTTTTTGTTGTTGTTGTTTTTGTTTTTTGAGACGGAGGGTTGCCCAGGGTGGAGTGTGCAGTGGCATGATCTCAGCTCACTGTAACCTCCGCCTCCTGGGTTCAGGCAATTCTCCTGCCTCAGCCTCCTGAGTAGCTGGGATTACAGGCATGTGCCACCATGCCGGGATAATTTTTGTATTTTTAGTAGAGATGGGGTTTTGCCATTTTGGCCAGGCTGGTCTCGAACTCCTGACCTCAGGTGATCCATCCACCTTGGCCTCCCAAAGTGCTAGGATTACAGGCATAAGCCACTGCGCCTGGCTAGTTTCATCTTTTCTTTTTTTTTTTTGAGATGGAGTTTTGCTCTGATTGCCCAGGCTGGAGTGCAGTGGCACGATCTCAGCTCACTGCAACCTCCGCCTCTGTTCAAGCAATTCTCCTGCCTCAGCCTCCCGAGTAGCTGGGATTACAGGCGCCCGCTGCCACGCCCGGCTAATATTTTTGTATTTTTAGTAGAGACAGGGTTTCACCATGTTGGCCAGGCTGGTCTTGAACTCCTGACCTCAGGTGATCCACCCATCTCAGCCTCCCAAAGTGCTGGGATTACAGGCGTGAGCCACCGCAGTGGCCGGTTTCATCATTTTTAATCAGAAATGTAGTCACCAATGGTACCATATTTTCATATCCTAGGGTAAGCACATTCTCACACTCACAGAGAAAATCAAATTATAACCAAGGATGCCAGTTTATTAATTTACTAGAAATATAATTGCCAAGGGTATGGGAACGTCAAGTCCTCAGGCTAACACATTCTCTCCGTTAGGGACATGGCAGCCAAATCATCAGCAGATTTATGGTGAACACGGAAGCAAAAGAACAGCTGTCAATCGTACAGGTGAAATATTTAATAGTGATAAGCTAAAATCACTGACATATCATATTTACCTCTATAGCAGAGGGACACCTGTTCCCAAGACCTGACAAGGGTCAGGCAACCTCAGCCTGGCACTGTTTGTATGGAAAGGCCAACATTCACACTTTTCTTTTTTTTTGAGATGGAGTCTCACTTTCTCGCCCAGGCTGAAGTGCAATGGCATGATCTCAGCTCACTGCAACCTCCGCCTCCTGGGTTCAAGTGTTTCTTCTGTCTCAGCCTCTCGAGTAGCTGGGATTACAGACACCCACCATCATGCCTAGCTAATTTTTGTACTTTTGTAGCGATGGGGTTTCACCATGGTGGCCAGACTGGTCTCGAACCCCTGACCTCCAGTGATCCTCCCACCTCGGCCTCCCAAAGTGCTGGGATTACAGGTGTGAGCCACCATGCCTGGCCACACTTTGACTATTTTATCATGCTGCCATTGATGCATGGCCTAACAGTGACTGAACAATTTCCATGTGATAAGTACTGTTCTAAGCATTTTACGTATCTCTAGCCTGGACATATTGTTTGCTCAACATTTCACTCCAACTCATTTAGCGTGGAATTCACAGTCACAAACTTTTTTTTTTTTTTTTTTTTCAGACGGAGTCTGGTTCTGTCATCCAGCCTGGAGGGCAGTGGTGTAATCTTGGCTCACTGCAACTTCCACCTCCCGGGTTCAAGCGATTCTCCTGCCTCAGCCTCCTGAGTGGCTGGGATTATAGGCACCACCACCATGCCCAGCTAATTTTTTGAGTAGAGATGGAGTTTCGCTGGTCTCGAACTCCTGACCTCAAGTGATCCACCTGCCTCAGCCTCCCGAAGTGCTGGGATTACAGGTGTGAGCCACTGCACTCGGCCTCACAGTCACAAACTTTGATTCACAATTTAGTCTCCTAAGTATTTCCATAGCAGGAATGGGGTATCCTAAATATGGGATTTCAGTCATTGGAAGGGTATCTACTTCAATAGTAAAGTAAACAAATTTGCACCTGGCTTACGCATCAGTCTACTGACAGCTGGGTTACCATGAGTCAGACTCCGGAATATGATCAATTCTGGATACACAGACAAATTACATAAAATTCTGGATCTGTGAAGCTGTTAACCAGATAAAACCGTGGTGGTCCCATTGGTATTGCAATTGAGAGAGCCAACCACACTCCCTTATTCAGAGATCTTTCAACAACTATTAACATGCCAGGGTGCTGGGAAAACAGCAGCAAGTAAAAACAAAGTCTCTATTCTCAAGGAGCTTCCATCTAATGGAGGGAAGGCCGACTAAAACAAAAAAGTAAGTATATAACATGTTTGGTGGTAATAAAGCAAGAGAATAATAAGGAGAAAAATAAAGCAAGAAAATAAAACAGAAGAAGGGCTTTGTTCTTTTAGGCAGGCTTGTTCCCTGACAAGGAGACATAGGAAATGAACCCATATTTGGCACGGCAGAAGCAGAGAGCAAAGGGGAGCAGGGAAAGAGGACAGAAGGAGGAGGGGGCCAGCTCCTACAGAACTTCACATATGCTGGTTCAAACTTTGCATATCAGGAGGAAAGACGAAAAGCCAGTGGGAGAGATGTGAGCAAGAAAACCTGACCTTTTGCTGGAAAGGAGCACTCTGGCTGCTGGGTGGAGAGGTGGTTAGAGGTGGATATGGCAGAAAGAAGCCAATGGACTAGTTAGGAGGCTGTCCCAATCATTCAGGAGACAATGATGCTGTGGACCTGGTGGTAGCAGTGGAAATGGTGAGAGGTGGCCAGATCCTGGAGAGGGATGACAGGACTGGTAGCTAAGTTGGATGTGGGGTGTGAGAGAAAAAGGATTTAAGGAGGTCTCCAAGGTTCTTGGCCTGAGTCAATGGAAGAACGGAGGTGTCCTTCACTGGGATATGGACTCAGAAAACCACTTTAGGAGGAAAATCAAATGAGTTATAGTCTCTCCAATTTTAAGAAACTCTAACAAACACCTAATTATTTCTTTTAATATTATATGCACCTGGTTTTGTGTTAGCAACTTCATGGGGCACATTTTTGGCCCTCTTACTCTCCACAGGCATATCTAAACTATTTACCTTCTTTCTTCCTGAGACAGGGTCTCACTTTGTCATCCAGGCTGTAGAGCAGCGGCATGATCTCTGGTCACTGATCCTCCTGCCTTGGTCTCCCGGAGTGCTGGGATTACAGGCATGAGCCACTGCACCCAGCCCTTACCTTCTTTCTTATGATGTAATTTACTTTGAATAATTAAGGCTCCCTCCATGTTTATGAATTTCTACAAATTTATTTAGTTAGTATAAAGAATAATTACTGGGCTGGGCACGGTGGCTCACATCTGTAATCCCAGCACTTTGGAGGCCGAGGCAGGTGGATCACCGCAGGTGAGGAGTACGAGACCAGCCTGGCTGACATGGTGAAACCCCGTCTCTACTAAAAATACAAAAATTAGCTGGCCGTAGTGGCGCATGCCTGTAATCCCAGCTACTCAGGAGGCTGAGGCAGAATTGCTTGAACCCGGGAGGCGGAGGTTGCAGTGACCCGAGATCGTGCCATTGCACTCCAGCCTGGGCAACAAGAGGAAAACTCCATCTCAAAACAACAACAACAACAACAAAAAAGAATAATTACTATTACTGAATACATTGCATAGGGCAATGTAAATTACCTCTTTCTTATGATGTAGTTTACTTTGAATAATTAAGGCTCACTCCATGTTTATGAATGTCTACAAACTTATTTAGTTAGTATAAAGAATAGTTACCATTACTGAATACATTGCATAGGGCCTGATACTTTACCTATTTATTTCCTCTTCAAGCCCTCCAAGATGGGGGATATTGTGCACTGGCTGTCAGCTTCTTGAGGGCAGAGCCCATCCATGTCTGTTTCATTCACCATTGTTTACTCAATGTCTAGTGCAGTACATAGTTGTTGTTGTTGTTTTTTTTTTTTTTTTTGAGACGGAGTCTCGCTCTGTCGCCCAGGCTGGAGTGCAGTAGCGCGATCTCGGCTCACTGCAAGCTCTGCCTCCCAGGTTCCCGCCATTCTCCTGCCTCAGCCTCCCAAGTAGCTGGGACTACAGGCGCCCACCACCACGCCCGGCTAATTTCTTTTTTTGTATTTATGGTAGAGACAGAGTTTCACCATGTTAACCAGGATGGTCTCGATCTCCTGACCTCGTGATCCGCCTGCCTCAGCCTCCCAAAGTGCTGGGATTACAGGCATGAGCCACTGCGCCTGGCCACATAGTTGTTGCTGGATAACTGAATGAATGAATCCTGATATTATGGATAAGGAAACTGTCTCAGAGAGATAAAACAACTCACTCCAGGTCACCTAGGTCTTCTGACTCAGACTTTGAAGGCAATGCTTTTCCACTACCCTACTTGACCTTTCACACTGGGATCCAACACAGAACTGAATTATTCAATTATAGTATAAAACTATGAAACTATTCAAAAAGGGCAATTATGGAGAAATTATGTTTATAGAAATGTTTTATGTTGTGCTGAGAAAAGCAGGATAACTATATGTTTATAAGGACTGCCATTATGTAAAACATTTAGACATATGATCAGAAAGGAAGATGTATAAGTGGAAATATAGTAGGAAATGCATGAGAGTGGTTGATTTTTTCCCTCAGATCTTCAAATGTTGTGAAACTATTTTAAAATGTTACTTGTAAAATGCAATGTCCAAACACTGTTTACTTACCTTTGAAGGTGTGGTGTAAGAGTTCAAGAGGATTTCCTCTTCTTCTTCCACTTCAATTCTAAGAACACTGGTTAAGAAAAACAATAATGGCTGGGCACGGTAGCTCATGCCTGTAATCCCAGCACTTTGGGAGGCCGAGATGGGCGGATCACGAGATCAGGAGACAGAGACCATCCTGGCTAACACAGTGAAACCCCGTCTCTACTAAAAAAAATACAAAAAATTAGCCGGGCGCCTGTAGTCCCAGCTACTCGGGAGGCTGAGGCAGGAGAATGGCATGAACCCAGGAGACGGAGCTTGCAGTGAGCTGAGATCACACCACTGCACTCCAGCATGGGCGACACAGCGAGACTCCATCTCAAAAAAAAAAAATAATAATAATAATAATAAACTTTCATATAAGGCAAGGGCTGATTGCTAGAAGAAATCTCAATATTAGGCAATTTTTACTATTATTATTATTGAGATGGGGTTTCCTCGTCGTCCAGGATGGAGTGCAGTGGCCTGATCTCAGATTACTGCAACTTCCACATCCCAGGTTCAAGAGATTTTCTCACCTCAGCCTACCAACTAGCTGGATCTACAGGCGTACATCACCACACCCAGCTTATTATTATTATTTTTTAATTTGTACTTTGGCCGGGCACGGTGACTCACGCCTGTAATCCCAGGACTTTGGGAGGCCTAGGCAGGCGGATCACCTGAGGTCAGGAGTTCGAGACCAGCTGGCCAACATGGTGAAACCCTGTCTCTACCAAAAAAAATACAAAATTATCCAGGTGTGGTGGTGTGCACCTGTAATCCCAGCTACTCAGGAGGCTGAGGCAGGAGAATCACTTGAGATTGGGAGGCAGAGGTTGCAGTGAGCTGAGATTGCACCATTGCACTTCAGCCTGGGCAAAAAGAGCGAAACTCCAACTCAAAAAAAAAAAAAAATTTGTACTTTTGATAGAGACAGGGTTTCACCATGTTGCCCAGGTTGGTCACAAATTCCTGGGCTCAAGTGATCTGCTTGCCTCGGCCTCCAAAAGTGCTGGGATTACAGGCCTGAGCCACCGTGCCCGGCCTTATTATTTGTTTTTAAATTACACATGCGACTACAGACAAATTATAAAATACAACATGTAGCTTGGTGCAAAGACCTTCAGCAGAAAAGGATACAGCTCTTGAATGGAAACAATGTCTCTAGCTCCTGCATGGCCACTGTCCTTGCAGGTACTATGCCTGGCTTTCGATAATCTTTTGCTCAGAAACTGAAAAAGAAAAGATAGTGAATACAGTACTTCATAGTCAAGTAATAGCAGAGGTGTTTTCAAAAGCCTTGAGATAATAAAAGGTATTCAAAATATAATCAAAGATCTAACATTCCTCAAAGAATTAAGATACACACAGACTAAAAACAAAGACATCCCATGACTGTCTATAACATATAACAATCCTAATAATACCAATTATTTGGTGAAGACTTATCACCTGCTGGGCATAGTTTTAAGTGCTTTATGTCCATTCTCATTTCTTTTTTTTTTGAGATGGAGTCTCGCTCTGTCCCAGGCTGGAGTGCAGTGGCGCAATCTCAGCTCACTGCAACCTCCACCTCCTCGGTTCAAGCGATTCTCCTTCCTCAGCTTTCCGAGTACCTGGGATTACAGGCGCCTGCCACCATGCCCAACTAATTTTTGTATTTTTAGTAGAGACAGGGTTTCACCACGTTGGCCAGGCTGGTCTTGAACTCCTGACCTTGTGATCTGCCTGCCTCGGCCTCCCAAAGTTCTGGGATTATGGGCATGAGCCACGGCGCCCAGCCCCATTTAATTCTTATAACAATCATAAAAAATACAGATTATTAGACCCAATGTCAGAAAAGGAAACTGAGGCTCAGGGACATAGTTTGTCCAAGCTCACACTGGGACTGGAATCCAGGCCTGACTCGAAAGCCCACACTCCTCTCAATATATCACAATGCCTCCCCTGTAGAGCAGAAATGGAGAATCACATTATTAGTTTGCTTTCATTTTGTTCTTACCTCATGCTCAAAAGAGTTCAGGATCTCTGAGGTAAGGCCAACTTTATGTGTGCTGGTGCAGAAGGCTATAAGCTCGCCTACCATTCCCTCCTCATTCTGTCCATACTGAACACAAAGCTCTACCACTGTAGAAAGGAAAATTGGACAAGTAAAAACTTAGTTCATTTCTCGAAGTTTCACCTAGAAAAGCAAAAATAATCCTGGTTTACTCCATCAATGTTTATTCAGAATCTATTAGTGCCAGGCACTGTTTTGGGCAATGAGAAAACAGAAGCATCCTTGTCCTTACAAAGCTCACCACTGAGGGGAGACAAAAGAGGATAAGGGCAGAATCAGGGGGACCAATTAAAGAATCATGGAAAAGCCCAGGTGAGAGATGATGGTGGCTTGGATCAAGGTGGTGGCAGTGGAGATGGCGAGAAGTGGCTGGACTCTGGATAGGACTTTACATGCTGGAAGTGAAGCCAGTGGGATCTGCTAACTGAATGTAAGGTATGAGAAAAAGAAAGTCAAGGATGATGCTGATATTTTTAGCCTGTGCAACAGGAAGAGTGGCGTCCCTATTAACTGAGATGGGGAAAAGAGCCAGAGGAACTACTCTGAGGAGAGAGAGGAGATACCAGGAGCTTAGTTTTAGACATGCAGAGTTTGAGGTGCCATTTAGACATCCAACTGGAGACAGCAGGCTGAACAAACCAGCCTGTAGTTCAGGCAAGGGTTGTGGGCGGAGGTATAAATTTGGGAACCATCAGTAAATACATGGGATATAAAGCTATGAGACCCCAGGTGAGATCGCCAAGGGAGTGAGCGTATCTAGAAGGGAGAAAAGATCCCAGGCTTGAGTCTTGGGGCGCCTTAGGGCCTCTGAGGATGAATCGGCAAAGCCTGAGAAGCGGTGACACAAGCAAAGCTGAAGAAAAACTAGGAGTAAGCCGGATGCAGTGGCTCACGCCTGTAATCCAGTATTTTGTGAGGTTGAGGTGGGCAGACTGTTTGAACCCAGAAGTTTGAGACCAGCTTGGGCAACAGGGTGAAACCGTTTCTATAAAAAATACAACAATTAGGTGGGCTTGGTGGCATGTGCCTGTAGTTACAGCTACTTGGGGGCTGAGGTGGAAGGATTGCTTGAGCCAAGGAGGTTGAGGCTGCAGTGAGCTGTGATTTGCCCATTATACTCCAGCCTGGGCAACAGAGCAAGACCCTGTCTCAGAAAAAAAAGAAAGAAAAACTAGTAGTGTCTAAGAAGCTAAAAGAAAAATGTGTTTAAAAAAAGAAAAAATGACAAACAGTGTCAAGTGCCGGTGCTAATTCAATTCAAGATGAGGACTGAAAATTCATCACTGGTTTTAGCATGGTGAAGGTCACTGGTGACCTTGAGTAGAGCAGCTTTGGTGAAGTGGTGGCAACAAAAGAACTTACTGAAATGGATTTAAGGAGGAAATATTTAAAGATGGCAAGGCCCCCCCCCTTTTTTTTTTGGAGACAGAGTTGCACTCTGTTGCCAGGCTGGAATGCAGTGGCACGATCTCGGCTCATTGCAACCTCCACCTCCCCGATTCAAGCGATTCTCCTGTCTCAGCCTCCCAAGTAGCTGGGACTACAGGCATGCGCCACCATGCCCAGCTAATTTTTGTATTTTAAGTAGAGACCGGGTTTCACCACGTTGGCCAGGATGGTCTCCATCTCTTGACCTTGTGATCCGCCCTCCTCCGCCTCCCAAAGTGCTCGGATTACAGGCGTGAGCCACCGCACCCGGCCGACCCTTTTGAGGTCTGCTGTAATTGGGAAGGAGAGAACTGGAGTGGGAAGTAGGGTCAACAGAGTATTTTAAAGGCAAGATTGGAAGCACATTTCTATACTAGTAGGAAAAAAATCTTGTAGCAAGGAAAATAGAAAATATGTAAGACAGGAGAATTACCAGTGATGTCCTTAATTGCTTCAGAAGGAATGGGGTTTAGGACTCAAGTGGAGGACTTGGATTTTGCTAGGAATACGGAAAGCTTATTCATTATAATAGGAAAGAAGGCTAGGTATATGCCACAGATATGGGTCAGTGAGACATAATGGTGGTAGCTGATCGAAGTTTTCTAATGCTTCTACATTTTTCAGCAAATAATAGAAATTTGTCAGCTGAGAGTGAGGGTGGGACAGAAGGATGTTACAGGAGAAGGTGGAAAACAATCATCTGGAAGACTCAGAGTAAAGAGACCAGGGGCCTGGCGCAGTGTAATCCCAGCACTTTGGGAGGCCAGGGTGGGCGGATCACCTGAGGTCAGGAGTTGAAGACCAGCCTGGCCAACATGGTGAAACCTTGTCTCTACTGAAAATACAAAAAGTAGAACAGGTGTGGTGGCTCACACCTATAATCCCAGCACTTTGGGAGGCCGAGGTGGGAGGATCACTGGAGGTCAGGGGTTCGAGATCAGCCTGCCCAACATGGCGAAACCCCATCTCTACTAAAAATACAAAAAATTAGCCGGGCGTGGTGGCGGGAGCCTGTAATCCCAGCTACTCGGGAGGCTGAGGCAGGAGAACCGCTTGAACTCGGGAGGCAGAGGTTGCAGTGAGCCAAGATTGCACCATTGCACTCCAGCCTGGGCAATGAGAAACTCCATCTCAAAAAACAAAACAAACAACAACAAAAAAAACAGGGAAATACGGTTGACTGTCAGGAAACATTAAGGTGCCACTGAAGTTACTGATGATCCAAAGTCCACAATTCCAAAGCCATTGCCATGAGATGAAAGCAACTGGCATCTTGGCCTGAAGCCTTTACAAATCTGGTTCACATAACTAATTTCTCTCATGCTGATTTCATGCTTACCACATACATTTCTGACTATGATCAGGTTTTCCACTTAAGTCTTTTTTTTTTTTTTGAGACAGAGTCTCGCTCCTGTTGCCCAGGCTAGAGTGCAATGGTGTGATCTCGGCTCACCACAACCTCTGCCTCTCATGTTCAAGCGATTCTTCCGCCTCAGCCTCCTGAGTAGCTGGGATTACAGGCATGCGCCACCACGCCCGACTAATTTTGTATTTTTAGTAGAGACAGGGTTTCTCCATGTTGGTCAGGCTGGTCTCAAATTCTCGACTTCAGATTATCCACCTGCCTTGGCCTCCCAAAATGCTGGGATTACAGGCGTGAGCCACCACACCTGGCTAGTCTTCTTTTAAAAAGAGAAGGACCGAGCCTGCTGGCTTATGCCTGTAATCCCAGCACTTTGGAAGGCCAAGGTGGGTGGATCACTTGAGGTCAGGAGTTCGAGAGCAGTCTGGCCTACATGGTGAAACCCCTTCTCTACTAAAAGTACAAAAAAAAATTAGTCGGGCCTGGTGGCGGGCGCCTGTAATCCCAGCTACTTGGGAGGCTGAGGCAGGAGAATCGCTTGAACCTGGGAGGCGGAGGCTGAAGTGAGCCGAGATTGCACCACTGCACTCCAGCCTGGGTGATAAAACAAGACTGTCAAAAAAAAAAAAAAAAAAAAAGAGAGAGAGAGAAGGCACTGGGCATGAAGACTTGAAGTATTCTGGTTTCTGAAAGGAATTTCTCACCATAAATTAACGTTTCGTTATCTTTTTGTATATAAGAAGTTCAAAGTGTTGAGTGGTTAAGGCAGGTGCACATTCATACCGATTCTAGAACTTCCACATCTCCCAGGCTTTGCTTCAAATGACTCCTTACACTGCTCTACAGCTTGACCAACACGATGGACCCGTATGATGCAGCACGGGACTCCAAGGCAGGACACCTGGCTTCACAGACAGCTCAGGCAATTAGCTTTCCTTGTCTGTTTCTCCATCTGTAAAGCTCCCTAAAGCTCCTTCCACAGCTCAAATTCAATTTTAGGAACCTACCTCAAGGGATTCATATTTGCACAGACCACCAACAGCTATGATAAAATAACTGATGGATCAGCAGAGGTTTAAGGTGTAGGCTGGAAAGGGAGGAGCCAAGAATAAAAAGCTACATTTCAAAACCCCCACATCTGTTGCTTTGTTACCGGGGCTTCAACAATTTCCAAACTCAGGTGCCACCAGTGCCTAGTCTCTATCTAGCACATCCCAATTCCGCCTTTCGGGAACTTCGAGTTGGTTTAAAATCGTGCTGCATATTCCTATTTTTGATTTGGCATCCAAGCGGTACCCGGTGGGCATTTCAAAGTCCCCACATCCTAAATCTCAAAACTCAAGTTTGATTCTTCATCTCACAGCCACCGAGAACTCTGCTCCAGGGGAAGTGGAAATTGGAAGCGCTCCACTTTCGGTTCTAGGCGCCGAGGAACTCGGGCGAGAGCGTGGAGCACGGCTGCAGGGCGGGAGGGGTGCGGGACTCACATTTCTCAATTAGAGCCTCCTCGCAGTCTAGGCCGAAGATCTGCAGCTCCTCCGCCAGCTGCTGGGCGGATGCGGACATGGTCGCCCAAGCCAGGGGCCGGGGAGCCGGCCCACCCAGCTCCGACCTGCGCCCAAGAAGCCCACGGGGGTGGCGAGCGATGAGCTCCTCGCCCTCTTATCCTTCCCCCCTCCGCGGACCGTGACAGGAGGTGACTGGCCCAAGCAAGACCTCAGACCGTCAGAAGGCCCCGGCCGTCGGTCACAGAGAAATACTTTTTTTAAAAAATGAAGGGGTGGCTCCCAAACGCCCTGAATGGAGGGAGCAGAAATCTCGAGAGGACGCTCTCCTGGTGAGAACGTCCTGCTTCCCAAAAGCTACCGCTGAGCTTCTCAGTGACGGTGGCAGAACTGAGTGGCCGGAAAAACCCGCCAAATGGTTTGTGCAGTGCACGCATGCGCGAAACCGGGAGCCAACCCCAAACCTTCCCCTTGCTTTCCCCGGCTCATTCCGGAACCCCACGCGCGCACGCGCGGCCCAGGGCGCGTGCGCATCAGCGGGCGTGTGGGCGTCTCTACGCACGCGCCTGGCGGCCCGCCAGTCAGCAGCTGCGCAGTTCTCTCTCACGGCGCGAGAATGCCGGTTGTGACTCGCAACGCCCGGGAGTTGCCTACAAGGAAACTGAGTCTGTGTGCGGATGCCTGTTTTCTGGGCATCGGCTGCTCGATAAAACTCAGTGGCGCATGTTTGTCACCCTTTTGCCCTGTTCCGTGGTGCGCAGGCGTTGTCGTGCGCGTGCCTTCGACTATCTAAAACTTACTGTACCCCCTTCTCCATTCCCCTTGTCATCTCTGCCTGTTGTGCCCTTGGTTCATCCTAAAAGAATGGCTTCAGTAGGGAATCTGGTTGCCATGGTTATTATCGTGCTTATCACCGTGGTGCCAGCCACAGTGATGGGTATGTTTTCTGAATCTGGGGCATTTGGGGGGATATGAGGTGGGAAGGTGACGGATAATTTAGTTTTGGACACGTTAAGTTTGAGTGCCTCTGGGATTTCCAGGTAGAGATTCCCAGTGGGTGACTGGAGGCTTGGGAGTGAAGGTAGGTCACTCAAGGATAGAGTTTAGGGGTAAGATGAGAAGAGGGTTCTCCCCTTGAAATACACCGTAATTCTTTGAGCCAAAAATCTCAACCGTAGGCGTCATACAATGCTGGTGGGATGGTATAGAGCGTTTCGAGAAAACAATTTAGCAATATGTATCAGGAACCTTTAAAATGTCCATCCCAGGCCAGGTGCGGTCACTCACGCCTGTAATCCCAGCATTTGGGAGGCCGAGGCAGGCGGATCACTTTGTAGCAGGACGAGCCACAGACAAAACTCCTCAGACACCCGAGTTAAAGAAGGAAGGGGTTTATTCGGCTGGGGTCATCGGCAAGACTCCTGTCTCACCAGCCGAGCTCCCCGAATGAGCAATTCCTGTCCCTTTTAAGGGCTCACAACTCTAAGGGGGTGCGCCTGAGAGGGTCGTGATCAATTGAACAAGCAGGGGGTACGTGACTGGGGGCTGCATGCACCAGTAATTAGATCAGAACAAAACAGGATAGGGATTTTCACAGTGCTTTTCTATACAGTGTCTGTAATCTATAGATAACATAACTGATTAGGTCAGGGGTCCATCTTTACCAAGCCTAGGGTGTGAGGCCGGGCTGTCTGCTTGTGGATTTCATTTCTGCCTTTTAGTTTTACTTTTTCTTTCTTTGGAGGCAGAAATTGGGCGTAAGACAATATGAGGGGTGGTCTCCTCCCTTAACTTGAGCCCAGGAGTTCAAGATCGGCCTGGGCAACGTGGCGAAACCCCTTCTCTACAAAAAATTAGCGGGCGGTGGTGGCGGGTTCTTGTGATCTCAGCCACTCTGGGGGCTGAGGCTGGAGGAGCGCTTGAGTTCGGGAGGTCGAGGCTGAAGTGAGTCATGATCGCCTCACTGCACTCCAGCCTGGGCGACAGAGCAAGATCGTGTCTCAAAAAGCAAACAAAGGCCGGGTGCGGTGGCTCACGCCTGTAATCCCAGCACTTTGGGAGGTCGAGGCGGGAGGATCACGAGGTCAGGAGATCGAGACCATCCTGGCTAACACGGTGAAACCCCGTCTCTACTAAAAAAAAAAAAAAGAAAAAAAAAAGAAAGCCTAGCGTGGTGGCGAGCACCTGTAGTCCCAGCTACTTGGGAGGCTGAGGCAGGAGAACGGCGTGAACCCGGGAGGCGGAGCTTGCAGTAAGTCGAGATTGTGCCACTGCACTACAGTCTGGGCAACAGAGCGAGACTCCGCCTAAAAAAAAAAAAAAGCAAACAAAAACCGAAGTATGTGTGACCTCTAGTCAGCCAATGGCTGCTTGGCTGTATTTTGAATTTAGGCCTAGTTAGCCACTCCGGATCCATCATGAACCTCTTTTGGGGTTCACACCCTTAAGCCTCAAATATTTACTCTCTGGCTCTTTACGGAAAATGTTTGCAGTTTCCCACCATCAGCAATAACCAATGGATATCAAATGTGTTACATACATATTTTTCCCAACCTGTCTTTTAACTTTGTGGGTTTTTTTTTCTACCACACAACACTGTGCAATTCTTTTCCTGTATGGGTTTTAGGTTTCCTGCTTTGTTTAATAAGGTCTCCTCGACCTAAGCTTATGCAAATATTCTTCCAATTTTTGTTTTATTAATTTTACTTACGTTTTGCCTTTAGTTCGCTAATCCACCTAGAATTAATCTTATTTGTGATGTGAGGAAGGATTTAGCTTTGTTTTATTCCTGACAAACAGCCAGCATGTCAGCAGTTATACTTAGTAAATAAAACATTCTTCAACTGACTTGAATTGTGATCTTTCATGTATCAAGTCCCCATAAACACTTGAATCTGTTTCTGGATTTTCTGTTTTATTCCACTGATTTATTTGTTGTCTTTTCTGTGTCAATATATTTTGATTGCAGGAGTAAATCAAGTGGGTTTTAGATCTGTGACATAGCCAAGTCCTAAAACAATAGTAGCTGAGACAAAATAGAAGTTTATTTCTCTCGTCAGATAAAATAATTTCAGAGATAGGTAGCCCAGGGCTAAAATGGTGGCTTCACGTTCATCAGGCCTCCATCGTTCCACTCCACTGTCCTCGAATTAATCTCCATCCTTACAGTCACCTCATTGTCCAAGATGGCTTCTGGAATTCCAGCCATCAGATTCACATTCCATTCCAGGTAGCAGAAAGTAGGAAGAAGAAAGGGCAAATAAAATTTTAAAAACATAAAGCAAGAAAAGAGAGTGAAAAGAGAAATGAAATGAAAAGGGAAAAAAGAAACAAAAAAATGACTTTTGCAAACCGTTGTCTATACATTTTTGAAGAGGAGTCTTTCTAGAAGTCCTTCCCAACCACTTTTGCTTATACTTTAGCCACATAGCCATACCTTTAAAGGAGGCTGGGAAAGCCTCCTTATAGGTTTAAAAGTTATATTGTAATATTATTGAGGAAACACATTGCTACCCCATCAATATACAAATTTTGTTACTAAGAAAGGAGTTAATACTAGGTAAGCACTTAGTAGTGTTTGCCCCAGGTAGCTTTACAGTAACTTCCCAAAACTGTTGAAGCATTTTACTATTTTTTTTGGGGGGGGACAGGATCTTACTTTGTTGCCCAGGCTGGAATGCAGTGGTGTGATCAAGCTCCCTGCAGCCTCAATCTCCTGGGTTCAAGCCATCCCCCCACCTCAGTCTCCTAAGTAGCGGGGACTACAGGCACGCACCACCACACCTGGCTGTTTTTTTGTTTTTGTTTTTGTTTTTGTTTTTGTTTTTGAGACAGTGTCTCATTCTGTTGCCCAGGCTGGAGTGCAGTGGAGCGATCTCGGCTCACTGCAACCTCCGCCTCCCAGATTGAAGCGATTCTCATGCCTCAGCCTCCCGAGTAGCTGGGAATGCAAGCGCCCATCACCACACCCAGCTAGTTTTGTATTTTTAGTAGGGATGGGGTTTCACCATGTTGGCCAGGCTGGTCTCAAGCTCCTGACCTCAGGTGATCCACCAGTCTCGGCCTCCCAGAGTGCTGGGATTACACCACCACGCACACCTGGCTAATATTTTTGTTTTTTAATAGAGACAAGGTCTTGCTGTGTTGCCCAGGCTTGTCTGGAACTCCTGGGCTCAAGCAATCCTCTTGCCTTGGCCTCCCAAAGTGCTGGGATTACAGGTGTGAGTCACTGTGCCTGGCCTAGTTTTTAGGAAACCATTTTAAACTTTTAAAGTCATTTTATACAGTATATCCTATCCCCCTCCATTCTGATAGGAAGGACTTAAATATTTTTATATATTTAGGAGAAATGAATACTTTAAGCATTCCAAACAGGATCCTGGTATATCTCTTCATTTTTTTAGGCTTTTTGTCTTTGTCTATCAATCCAATTTTATAGTTTTTCCCATATAGACCCTGTTTTTGTTCAATTTATTGACACAATATCTTCTGTTGCTTTTATGAATGTAATGTTTCTCCCGTATTGTTTTTTGTTTTGTCATTGCCAGTTAAAGGAAAGTTACTGGCTTTTGGATTGTAAATTTTTTTTTTTTTTTTAGACAAGATCTCACTCTGTTGACCAGGCTGGAGTGCAGTGGTGTGATTACAGTCACTCAAGCCTTCCACCTCAGCCTCCCAGGTAGCTGGAACTATAGGTGTACGCCACTATGCCCGGCTAACTTTTGAATTTTCTGTAGATTCAGGGTTTCACCATGTTGCCCAGATGGATCTGGAACTGCTAGCCGCAAACAATCCACTCGCCTCAGCCTCCCAAAGTGCTGGGATTACAGGTGTGAGCCACAACTCCCAGCCTTGGACATATTTCTTGCAACCAGTCACTTTGACCAAATTCTCTTAATAATATTAATGTTTTAGGAGAGTCTCAGATTTCCTAGATTATAATAACATTTTCTAATAAAAAATATTTTTCCCTTCTTCTCAAATATTGATACTAATCATTTTATTTTCCTGTCTTGGTGCATTGAACCAAACCTTGGAATCATTGTTGAATCACAGTAGGCATCCTTGCCTTCTTCCTGTTGCTGATGGCACTGGCTTCAGCATGGCCTCCTTCGGTGTGATGGGTGTTATTGGGTTGTGTTAAGAATGCATAATCTGCACTTTGGGAGGTTGAGGCGAGTGGATCACGAGGTCAGCAGTTCAAGACCAGCCTGGCCAACATGGTGAAACCCCGTTTCTGCTAAAAAATACAAAAAATTAGCCGGGCGTGGTGGCAGGCGCCTGTAATCCCAGCTACTTGAGAGGCTGAGGCAGGAGAATCGCTTGAAACTGGGAGGCGGAGGTTGCAGTGAGCTGAGATTGCACCATTGGACTCCAGCCTGGGCAGCAAGAGCGAAAACTCCATCTCAAAAAAAAAAAAAGAATGGCTCACACCTGTAATCCTAGCACTTTGGGAGGCCAAGGTGGGCAGATCACCTGAGGTCAGGAGTTCAAGAGCAGCTTGGCCGACATGGCGAAACCCTGTCTCTACTAAAAATACAAAAATTAGCAGGGTATGGTGGCAGGCGCCTGTAGTCTCAGCTACTTGGGAGGCTGAGGCAGGAGAATTGCTTGAGCCCAGGAGGCGGAGGTTGCAGTGAGCTGAGATCATACCACTGCACTCTAGCCTGGGCAACAGAGTGAAACTCTGTCTCAAAAAAAAAAACAAAAACAAAAAAAAAGGAATGCATAGCATAGTCAGGGTGTTGTTTTTTTATCTAGTTCTATTTTACTTAGAGAGTTTATTAGGAATGACTGCTGAATTGTACCCAACCCCGCAAGGGAATGATTTTCTCCTTTAACTAATGGGTGTAAGAAAATGTGTCAGGCCAGGCGCGGTGGTTCATGCCTGTAATCCCAGCACTTTGGGAGGCCGAGGTGGGTAAATCACGAGGTCAGGAGTTTGAGACAAGTCTTGTCAACATGGTGAAATCTCGTCTCTACTAAAAATACAAAAATTAGCCGGGCACAGTGGCAGTCGCCTGTAATCCCAGCTACTCAGGAGGCTGAGGCTGGGGAGAATCGCTTGAACCTGGGAGGTGGAGGTTGCAGTGAGCCAAGATTGCACCATTGCACTCTGGCCTGGGTGACACAGCAAGACTCCATCTCAAAAAAAAAAAAAAAAAAAAAAAGAAAGAAAGAAAAGAAAAGGAAAGAAAGAAAGAAAATGTGTCACTTTAATCATAATAAACATTTACTTTCTTTTAAAAGATAATGTATTAAAAAGTTTTGTGCATCAAAGATTACTATCAAGAAAGTGAGAAGACAATCCACAGAATGGGAGAAAATATTTGCAAATCATATATTTGAGAAGTGTCTAGTATCCAGAACATATAAAGAATTCTTACAACTCGCCCGGGTGCGGTGGCTCACGCCTGTAATCCCAGCACTTTGGGAGGCCGAGGCGGGCGGATCACGAAGTTAGGAGATCGAGACCATCCTGGCTAACACGGTGAAACCCTGTCTCTACTAAAAATACAAAAAATTAGCCGGGTGTGGTGGCGGGTGCCTGTAGTCCCAGCTACTCGGGAGGCTGAGGCAGGAGAATGGCGTGAACCCAGGAGGCGGAGCTTGCAGTGAGGCAAGATGGCGCCACTGCACTCCAGCCTCGGTGACAGAGCAAGACTCCGTCTCAAAAAAACAAAAACAAAAACAAGAATTCTTACAACTCAACAATAAAAGACAGGTGATTCACTGTCTTTTATTGTCAACAATAAAAGAGAGGTGATTCGCTGGAGGTCACGAAGCTGTAAGTAACAGAAAGTAACTGTGGACCAGTTGGTTCCTTTACATTGCATCTGGGTAGGTTTACAGAAACTGTTGTGGGGAGCACACAGGCAACAATGGAGTGAAATTTACAACCAGCTCCTGTAGCTGATTTCCTGGACTCCGATTGCAAATGGGGACCTCATGGATCTCACATTAGTGTGAAATGATAGAAGAGGTTAATGCCAGGGTCCAGTTTTACACTGTTGTTAGCACACACAGAGTGGATGGTCACATGTATTGTAGCCCACCTGGAGTGAGCACAGAGTGGAAATCAGATGGAACATGATTTTAACTCTGATAATTTATATGTTTGGAAACTGCAAAAGGATGAAGGGTGGCTTTGAGAGAATTGAGTCAGATAGCAGAAGTATGTATAGTATGTGACATATATAAGATTTTATAGAATATATAACATATATAGATAATAATATATATTATGCATATAGTTACACACACACACCAAGGATGCCAAAGAGGAATTTTAGGTTTGGTTTTGTTTTGTTTCAGGCAGAGTCTTGTTCTGTTGCCCAAGCTGGAGTGCAGTGGCTTGATCATGACTCACTGCAGCCTTGACCTCCCTGGGCTTACGTGATCGTCCCACCATAGCCTCCCAAGTAGCTGGGACTTCAGGTACACACCGCCATGACCCGGTTAATTTTTGGTTTTGGTTTGTTTGTTTGTTTCGTAGAGATGGGGTTTTACAGTGTTTTGTTGTTGTTGTTGTTGTTGTAGAGACGGGGTTTCATCATGTTGCCCAGGCTGGTCTTGAGCTCCTGGGCTCAAGTGATCCACCTGCCTCAGCCCCTCAAAGTGCTGGGATTACAGGCGTGAGCCACCATGCCCAGCCTATTTTATACTTTTATTTCATTTATTTTACACTGTTATTTATGTGGTTTGTTTTTTGTTAGTTAGTCTGTTTGTTTGTTTGGGACAGAGTTTCACTCTTATTGCCCAGGCTGGAGTACAGTGGCGCAATCTTGGCTCACTGCAACCTCCGCCTCTGAGGTTCAAGCAATTCTCCTGCCTCAACCTCACAAGTAGCTGGGATTACAGGCATGCACCACCACGCCTGGCTAATTTTGTATTTTTAGTAGAAACGGGGTTTCACCATGTTGGCCAGGCTGGTTTCGAACCTCTGATCTCTGGTGATTCACCTGCCTCGGCCTCCTAAAGTGCTGGGATTACAGGCGTGAGCCACCACGCCTAGTCATCTGTGTTTTAATTGTGGTAAAAACACATAACATAACATGTATGATCTTAACCGTTTGTAAGTGTACAGTTCAGTAGTGTGAGTACATGTTTTATTTATTTTTGATGCTCTCCAGAAGTCGGGAATTTGGGAATTTTGGGAGGCACCGCCCTACACTGTAGGTATATTGCCACCAGGTGGTGGCAGTGTAGCATGGTCCTCAGGGTCTGGTCTGAGTTTCTCCAGGACTGTCTTTTACACTATTTATTTATTTCATGTGTATAACTTTATGGGGTGTGAGTGTAATTTTGTTACATGCATAGATTGTGTAGTGGTGAAGTCAGGACTTTTAGGGTATCTGTCACCTAAATAACACACATTGTATCCATTCAGTAATCTCTGATCACCTACCCCCATTCACCCCCACTCACCCTTCTGAGTCTCAGTTCTCTACCATTCCACACTCTACGTCCATGTGTACATATTATTTAGCTCCCTCTTAGAATTGAGAATGTGCAGTATTTGTCTTTCTGTGTCTGATTTGTTTTACTTAATGTCCTCCAGTTCCATCCATGAATGTCCTCCAGTTCCATCCATGTATGTCCTCCAGTTCCATCCATGTGACTGCAAAATACATGATTTCATTCTTTTTTATGACCCAATAGTATTCCATGGTGTATATGTACCACATTTTCTTTATCCAATCATCTGTTGATGGACACTTAGGTTGATTCCATGTCTTTGCTCTTGTGAATAGTGCTGTGGTAAATGTACTGGTGCAGGTACCTTTTCGATGTAATGATTGCTTTGGGTAGACACTCAATAGTGAGATTGCTGGAGCACATGTTAGTTCTATTTTTAGTTCTTTGAGAAACCCTTGTATTGTCTTCCATAGAAGTTGTACTAATTTACAATCCCCCAATAGTGTATAAGAGTTCCCTTTTTGGCCTGGCATGATGGCTTACACCTGTAATCCCTGCACTTTGGGAATCTGAGGCTGGTGGATCACTTGAGGTCAGGAGTTCAAGACCAGCCTGGCCAACATGGTGAAACCCCATCTCTACTAAAAATACAAAAATTAGCCGGCATGGTGGCAGGCGCCTGTAATCCCAGCTACTCAGGAGGCTGAGGCAGGAGAATCACTTGAACCCAGGAGGCAGAGATTGCAGTGAGCCAAGGTCGCGCCACTGCACTCCAGCCTGGGCAACAGAGGGAGACTCTGTCTCAAAAAAAAAAAAAAAGAGTTTCCTTTTCTCCACATCCTTGCCAACATCAATATTGTTGTTATTCAAATTTTCTTCCTCCCAAAATCCCTCCGTGCTGTTATCTGAAACTGAGGCTTTCTGCATAGTGGGAGGCAAGATTTAAAAAAACAAAGCTTGGGCCAGGCACGGTGGCTCACGCCTGTAATCCTAGCACTTTGGGAGGCCGAGGCGGGCAGATCGCCTGAGGTCAGGAGTTCAAGACCAGCCTGGCCAACATGACGAAAACCCATGTCTACTAAAAATACAAAAATTAGCTGGGCATGGTGGCGGGTGCCTGTAATCACAGGTACTCAGGAGGCTGAGGCAGGAGAATCGCTTGAACCCAAGAGGTGGAGGTTACAGTGAGCCGAGATTGCACCACTGCACTCCAGCCTGGGTGACAGAGCAAGACTCTGTCTAAAAAAAAAAAAAAGAATACATTCTTTTTTTTTTTGAGGCGGAGTCTCACCCTGTCACCCAGCCACCGTGCCCAGCCTAAGGAATACATTCTATATGGTTTTGTTTATATGAAATTCAAACATAGGCAAAACAAAATATAAAAGTTATCCAGCTGTACTTAAATTTACATTTAATGGAAAAGGTTATATCTCTTTTTTTTTTTTTTTTTTTTGAGACAGAGTTTCACTCTTGTTGCCCAGGCTGGAGTGCAGTGGCGCAATCTCAGCTCACCACAACCTCTGCCTCCCAGGTTCAAGTGATTCTCCTGCCTTAGCCTCCCTAGTAGCTGGGATTACAGGCATGCGCCACCATGCCCGGCTAATTTTGTATTTTTAGTAGAGACGGGGTTTCTCCATGTTGGCCAGGCTGGTCTCGAACTCCCGACCTCAGGTGATCTGCCCACCTTGGCCTTCCAAAGTGCTGGGATTACAGGCATGAGCCACCGCGCCCGGCCGGTTATATCTTGATTAAAAGAAAGTTTAAAAGGTGATTTGAAGGTTCAGCACTCCGCTGTAGCTTTGCCCCTGCTCAGTGATGCTGGAGGAGGCCACGGTGCTCTGGTCATATATCCAGACAGGCCTCACTGCCCAGGCCCAAAGAGGAGGAGCTGCTGTGGTTTAAGATCTGCCACTGGGGCTCAGAGACCCTCAAGCATTGCTCAAGCTTTGGGTCCTTGCTCAGCAGAATGAAGACCCCCAGCAGGTCCCTATCCCTGACACGGCTCGGACAGGAGATCTATTGGTCCAGTTATCACCTGTCCGGCAGTGATGTTCTGGGGTATGGCTGTGAAGTTCTGCAGGAAGTTGTGGCAGGTGAGCAGGCACGCAGGGAATAGCGTGAGTGCAGTCTGGATGATCTGGAAGTTTCCTGTGCCGCCGCTGTGGAGCAACTCCAAGAACCCGATCCTACTGTCTCACTGCTACTGATCACTGAGGCTTCTCCACACACGCCCTTGTGGTCAAAGAAATGTACTCCCTGGCCTCATTCTTCTAGAGGATTGTTGGGAAAGAGCTTCTGGGTATTTGTCCAGCACACTGGTAACTTACATCTTGTTGGCTCTCCATCAGGAAACAAGGTGTCCTCAATATATAAATATTCCAGCCGGGCGCGGTGGCTCACACCTGTCATCCCAGCACTTTGGGAAGCTGAGGCAGGTGGATCATCTGAGGTCAGGGGTTCAAGACCAGCCTAGCCAACATGTTGAAATCCCATCTCCCCTAAAAATACAAAAATTAGCTGGGTGTGGTGGCAGGTGCCTGTAATCCCAGCTACTCAGGAGTTGGAGGCAGGAGAATTGCTTGAACCTGAGAGGCGGAGGTTGCAGTGAGCCGAGATCATGTCATTGCACTCCAGCCTGGGTGACAAGAGCAAAACTCTGTCTCTCTCTCTCTCTCTCTATATATATATATATGTGTGTGTGTATATGTATATCTATATATCTATATATATACACACACATATATATAGATAGATTCCTATGTAGATTCCTATATAGAATCCTTCTATATAGATTCCTATATAGAAGGAATATATATGTATATATTCCTTCAGGGATTAAACCTTTCATGTGACCCATTTAAATGGAAGCCTTCCAGATATAATCCCTGTGTCTTAATTTCAAAGCCAGTCACCAATATTTATTGAGGTTCCATAAATCAGTTGTCTCTCCCAAGCTCAGGGGCATTATTAGACCTGTGTGACAGCCAAAAATTCTATCCCAAATTCTCTGATTCAACCTTAGTTAAGATGAGAGGTGGAGCAATAGGCCACTGTCAAGCTCACATCCAACGAGGCCAGGCAGAGGCCAAGTCCTGACTGATTTGACCTGTAAAGGCACGATGAACCACTTTTAGATTTAGGGTTTATTCTCTACATAGACAGTGAAAAGGAGGACAAGCCTAAGGTGCCAGCCCCTGCGGTCCTTGTCCTCTACGCCAAAAAGGAAGACCCTGAAAGAGAAGGGGCTTGTGACTGCAAGGGGAGTTGGGCGATGCCCCGTAGCTGAGGAGCCTGTTCCAGATGCAGCTGAGTAATTTTATCTTCTGCAGCTGTATTCAGAGGAGGGCAGGGTGCAGAGCCTCAGATCTCACAGAACCTGGAGGTGATGCAGAACCGTCTCATGACAGCCTCCAGGGGGAGACGGGGAGGCCAATGGGAGGTGGCCTGGTAGTAACTCCTATAGGCCTTTGACCCTCTGGATGATCGCAAGAGGCATCATCTGATGCCAAGACTCAGATGAGCTGCAGCTGAAGCCTTTGCCACCTGGCCTAAGTATTTTGGTCTCTGGCCAGTCTTCTCTTTCTTTCTTTTCTTTCTTTCTTTCTTTCTTTCTTTCTTTCTTTCTTTCTTTCTTTCTTTCTTTCTTTCTCTCTCTCTCTCTCTCTTTCTTTCTTTTTTTGGGATGGAGTCTCACTTTGTTGTTCAGGGTGGAGTGCAGTGGCACCATCTCGGCTCACTGCAACCTCCACCTCCCAGGTTCAAGTGATTTTCCTGCCTCAGCCTCCCGAGTAGCTGGGATTACAGGCATGCACCACCACATCCGGCTAATTTTTGTATTTTTAGTAGAGATGGGGTTTCACCATGTTGTCCAGGCTGATCTCGAACTCCTGACCTCAGGTGATTCACCTGCCTTGGCCTCCCAAAGTGCTAGGATTACAGGCGTGAGCCCCCACACCTGGCTGGTCTCTGGCCTTTCATGTATCCAGCTAAGGACTCTCAGAGGTATAGCTGCCACATCAGATACTGTAGTTGTTTGCACTCTGCCTCCTGGGCTCAAGTGATCCTCCTGCTTCAGCTTCTCAAGTAGCTGGGACTACAGACACATGCCACCACCATATATATATATATAATTTTTTTTTTTGGAGATAGGGTCTTTCTCTGTTGCCTAGGCTGGAGTGCAGTGGCATGATCTCAGCTCATTGCAACCTCTGCCTCCCAGCTTCAAGCAATTCTTGTGCCTCAGCCTCCCAAGTAGCTGGGATTACAGGTGTGCGCCACCATGCCCAGCTAATTTTTGTTTTTTTAGTAGAGATGGGATTTCACCACATTGGTCAGGCTGGTCTCGAACTGCTGACCTCAAGTGATCTGCCTGCCTTGGCCTCCCAAAGTGCTGGGATTACAAGCGTGAGCCACTGCACCCAGCAATACCATAATTAAACAATTATTTAAAATTTTTTGTATTTTTTTGTAGAAACATGGTTTCACCATATTGCTCAGGCTGGTCTCGAACCCCTGAACTCAAGTGATCCACCCGCCTCTGCCTCCCAAAGCACTGGGATTACAAGTGTGAGCCACTGCCTGGCCTCAAAATCATTTTTTTCTTTTTGAATTAGAGACAGGGTTTCACCATGTTGCCCAGGCTGGCCTCGAACTCCTGAGCTCAAGCTATCTGCTGGCCTCAGCCTCCCAAAGTGCTGAGATTACAGGTGTCAGCCACCATGCCCGGCCCCAAAACATTTTATTTATTTTATTTTATTTTATTTTTTTATTTTATTTTATTTTATTTTATTTTATTTTATTTTATTATTTTATTTTATTTTATTTTATTTTATTTTATTTTATATTTTATTTTATTTTTTGAGATGGAGTCTTGCTCTGTCACCCAGGCTGGAGTGCAGTGGCACAATCTCTGCTCACTGCAGCCTCCGCCCCCCCAGGTTCCAGCAATTCTCCTGCCTCAGCCTCCCGGGTAGCTGGGATTACAGGTGCACGCCACCATGCCTGGCTAATTTTTGTATTTTTAGTAGAGATGGGGTTTCGCCATGTTGGCCAGGCTGGTCTCGAACTCTTGACCTCAGGTGATCTGCCCGGTTCAGCCTCCCAAAGTGCTGGGATTACAGGCGTGAACCACTGCGCCCAACCAACTATTTTATTTTCTTTAGAGAACATGAGATGAATGTGGCCGTTAACTGTGACTGCCAGCAGGCTGACCAGGCCTACACAGCCAGGGTCCGAGCCAGAGCCAAGCCACCAAAATATGCCATTAAGCAAATTGTGAGGCAAGAGGTGCTGGCCACCACACATACCCCACCTCGGCTGACTCCAAGGAAGTCCAGGGCAACGTGATTGTCCATGGCCACTTGTGTTGGTGCATTCCGAACAAACAGTCTGTGAAAAACACACAAAACCATCCAAAAATAACAGGATGAAACAAAAGGAATCAAACCAGCTCAGAAAGTGAATCTTGTACCATTGTGTTAAGTGCAGGCTGTTCCTTCCTGGCGGAGCCAGTAGCTGTTGGGAAGTTTCTTTTATTTATTTATTTATTTATTCATTTATTTATTTATTTATTTAAGACAGAGTCTTGCTCTGTCACCCAGGCTGGAGTGCAGTGGCACAATCTCGGCTCACTGCAACCTCCGCCTCCCGGATTTAAGCGATTCTCCTGCCTAAGCCTCCTGAGTAGCTGGAACTACAGGTGTGTGCCACCATGTCCAGCTAATTTTTGTATTTTTAGTAGAGATGGGGGTTTCACCATGTTGGCTAGGTTGGTCTTGAACTCCTAACCTCAGGTGATCTGCCTGCCTTGGCCTCCCAAAGTGCTGGGATTACAGATGTGAGCCACTGAGCCCAGCTCATTTATTTTTTTGAGATGTAGTCTCGCTCTGTCAGCCAGGCTGGATCACAGCTCACTGCAGCCTTGGCCTTCCTGGGCTCAGGTGATCCTCCCACCTCAGCCTCTCAAGTAGCTGGGACTACAGGTATGTGTCACCATACATGGCTAGTTTTTGTATTTTTAGTAGAGACGGGGTTTCACCTTGTTGCCCGGGCTAGTCTTGAACTCCTGGGCTCAAGCAATCTGCCTGCCTCCGTCTCCCAAAGTGCTGTGATTAGAGGCGTGAGCCACGTCCGGCATGTTGGGAAACTTCTGATTAAGATTCTTCATTGGTCAGTGCTCAAGTTGAGGTGGCAGTGGCAGTCTGGGTTGAACTGGCTGAACATCCTATGGACAGGAGCTGAAAGAGCTCAGTGGTCCCTGTCTCCACCTGACCTCCCAGTTTCCTTCCCTCCAGCTGTGGATCCCGTTCTCCCTCCACAGCCCCAGGGTCCCCATGACAAGTTCCTGCAGCGATGGCTTCACCCTTTTTCTAATCTCCGCCAGGTCTTCCCCATACCATTTGCCCAGACTTGTGCCTAGGAGGCCAGGCAGTTTCTCCTTATACACCTTGTTTCGTTTCTTTTCTTTTTTCTTTTCTTTTCCTTTCTTTTCTTTTTTCTGAGACTGAGTCTCGCTCTTTTCTTTTCTTTTTTCTGAGACTGAGTCTCGCTCTATCGCCCAGGCTGGAGTGCAGTGGCACGATCTCAGTTCACTGCAACCTCTGCCTCCCAGCTATAAGTGGTTCTCAGGCGTCAGCCTCCTGAGTAGCTGGGATTACAGGTGCCTACCACCATGCCCAGCTAATTTTTGTATTTTTAGTAGAGACGGGGTTTCACCATGTTGGCCAGGCTGGTCTTGAGCTCCTGACCTCAGGTGATCTGCCCACCTCGGCTTCCCAAAGTGCTGGGATGACAGGTGTGAGCCACCACGCCCGGCTTCACCTTGTACTATTCTAAAACATCTGCTGCCTGACTGTGGGCCATGCCAGGTCCACATTGGGAGCTGTCACCTCATGTTCATGATCATTATCATTGGTCTCCATAATTGCCCAAATCCAGCAACCAGAGTGGCTGCAAAAGAAGCATGAGGTTAGAACTCCCCGTCCTCAGCACTCACTCTCTTCTTTGCTACTTGAAAGTCCAGTAGCCTGTTTTCCCAGAGTAGGCATGGAAAGAAAGCAGAAGAGGGAGAAGGGTGAGTTATGTGGTTTGGTCTCATCCAGCCAGTCTCGGCCTCCTTGCTCCTCCCCAACCTCGTAATCAAACAATTATTTAAGTTGGTGGGGGGCATTCCTCCGGGGAGACACCTGCATTTAGAGCTAAACTTTAAAGGCAAAAGTCCATCTTTTGAACATACCTGCTGCCTGGCTGCACAGGTCTGACCAGTGTGGTCATGGGTGGGTGACGATGTAACAAGGTGCATTCTGGCTGCTGTTTTCTGGGGCAACACCACAGCCCAGATTAAGCAGAGTTCTCTTTTCCACACACAGTTGTCAGCAACTTCCTTGAGGGCTGCACAGCAGCAATGGCCCAGGACACCTTCGGTCTTTCATTTAGCTGATCTGCCTGTGAACCAGGCCCAGGCAATCACTGGTATCCTGAATCCTCCGGGCACCTTGACCTTGAGCCGTCTCCTTGCAGCCACATAGCCACATGGCCTAATAATACTTGGAAATGTATAGAGATTTCAGTAAGAAGGTTGTCATTCATATATACAGATACATATATATATATATATATATATATATATATATGTGTATATATATATATATATATTTTTTTTTTTTTTTTTTTGAGACAAAGTCTCACTCTGTCACCCAGCCTGGAACCATCGTAGCTCACTGCAGCCTCAACCTCCCTGGGCTCAGGTGATCCTCCCACCTAGGGCTCCCAAGTAGCAGGGACTACAGGCACACACTACCATGCCCAGCTAAATTTTTTTTAGCAGAGATGGAGTCTTCTGATGTTGCCTAGGCTGGTCTCTAACTCCTGGTCTCAAGAGATCCTCCCACCTTGGCCTCCCAAAGTGCTGGGATTACAGGCGTGAGCCACTGTGCCTAAACTTGTTATCACAGATTTTGAAAATAAAATGTACTGACTATTCAGTGTTTCCAGATGGAAAAGAAAAGAAGTCTGGAGGTGATTTGCCAGTTACCATAAAGATTATTATAAAAGGTGCCAGGCATGTGGAATCCTATTTAAACAGCCCAGTCTATATGTCATCATTGGGCACTCATTTTTATTTAATAGTTCCTGGCCAGTGTTTTTGGCTAAGGACAATGGTAGTCAAAGGCTTTATGGTTTGATTCCGTGGCCTGAAACCTGTAACCTCAAGATCATTTATACTTGTCATAGGAAACTTCATGGTCAGAATATTTCTTCAAGAAAATCTAGTTTGTGGCCAGGCGTGGTGGCTCACGCCTGTAATCCCGGCACTTTGGGAGGCCAAGGCGGGTGGATCACTTGAGGTCCGGAGTTCGAGACCAGCCTGACCAACGTAGAGAAACCCCATCTCTACTAAAAATAAAAAATTAGCTGGACGTGGTGGCACATGCGTGTAATCCCAGCTACTCAGGAGGCTGAGGCAGGAGAATTGCTTGAATCCGGGAGGCAGAGGTTGCGATGAGCCGAGATCACGCCATTGCACTCCAGCCTGGGCAACAAGAGCGAAATCCAGTCTCAAAAAAAAAAAAAAGAAAGAAAGAAAGAAAAAGAAAAAGAAAGAAAATCTAGTTTGTTCACTTAAAAGTATGTATTGTCTGTGTGCAGGGAAATCAAATTAGCTTACTAACTCCATGGTAAGTAACTCATTAACTATGAGGTCACAGTCTTGTTATAATTAACCTTATCTGCTGGATTGGAGTGGGCTCTAGCACTGGTTTTTTTGTTTTTTGTTTTTTGAGACGGGGTCTCACTCTGTCGCCAGGCTGCTGGAGTGCAGTAGAGCAATCTCAGCTCACTGCAACCTCCGCCTCCTGGGTTCAAGTGATTATCCTGCCTCAGCCTCCCGAGTAGCTGGGTCTACAGGTGTGTGCCACCATGCCCAGCTAATTTTTGTATTTTTGGTAGAGACAGGTTTTCACCATGTTGGCCAGGATGGTCTCAATTTTTTGACCTCGTTATCTGCCTGCCTTAGCCTCCCAAAGCGCTGGGATTACAGGTGTGAGCCACCACGCCCGGCCTGGTATTTTTTTTTAAAAAGCTCACAGGTGATTCCAAGATTGAGAACCATTATTCTAAATTTTCTTCAAAAATAAAAATAAAGGCTGGGTGTGGTGGCTCATGCCTGTAATCCCAGCACTTTGGGAGGCCAAGGCAAAAGGATTACTTGAGTCCAGGAGTTTGAGACCAGCCTGGACAAAAGAGCAAGACCCTGTCTCTACAAAAACTTTAAAAATTAGCCAGGCATGGTGGCAGACACCTGTAGTCCTAGCTACTTGGGAGACTGAGGCGGGATAATTGCTTGAGCCAGGTAAGTCGAGGCTGCAGTGAGCCAAGATCATACCACTGCAACTCTACCCTGGGTGACGTAGTGAGACCCTGTCTCAAAAATAAATAAATAAAATAATAGTCATTCACGGCCAGGTGCTGTGGCTCAAGCCTGTAATCTCAACACTTTGGGAGGCCGAGGCAGGTGGATCACCTGAGGTCAGGAGCTCCAGACCAGTCTGACCAACATGGTGAAACCCCGTCTCTACTAAAAATACAAAAATTAGCTGGGCTTGGTGGTGGACGTCTGTAATCCTAGCTACTCAGGAGGCTGAGACAGGAGAATCGCTTCAACCCAGCAGGCAGAGGTTGCAGTGAGCTGAGATCACGCCATTGACCTCCAGCCTGGGCGACAGAGTGAGACTTCATTTCAAAAAAAAAAAAAAAAGTCATTCACTCTGGCAACATGAACTGAGCACCTGCCATGTGCAGGCCAGGTCAAGAAAAGATGATTTAACTTTGCCTTTGAGGAGCCACTGGAGAGATCAGCATGTAAATGGACCCATCACAACACAATGGGAAAGTGCAATAAGGAGATTGCAATAGAGGGCATGGGGCAGCAGGCTGGGGTGGGGGGGATGGGGGTGGTGCGGGGGAGTGGAGCAGCACGCAGAGGTAGGCAGGTGTGGTCAGTGAAAGCTGCCTGGAAGAGGTAACCCCCAAGGTGAATCTCAAAGCATGGCCAGGCACAGCAGCCCTCTGCCTATTGAAATCACTGATTTGCTGAGGGCTGTGGGTGGAGAACAACTCGAATGGAAAAGCTCATGTAGCGGATCACACAGGTGTTCCCTGACATGTTCAAAAAGAGGTTAAATCCCTGGGGAGGAGCTGAGGATTCAGTGCATCAATAACAGGGCCTTGGGACAAGTCCTTGGGGGAGTCACATTCCACCTCTGCTCCAAGCTGTTGGAAGACTAATCTTGGCAAAACGGCAAGCTGCCATGCTTCCTGCCCAGACTGTGATAGTCTTGTTTCTTCCCTATATTGTGCCTTTCTTTGGGCTGTAGGGGACTGAGAATTGATCTTGTTGGATTATCTGGTAACTCCAGGAAGAAGGGATCAGACAAGAAAATTTGGCCAAGACAACCCAATGGGCCAAGATTCGAATCCCTTATAAATCTAATCTGAATTCCAGTGAAGGTTAAGGTCAGGGATACATGGCCAACACCTGGGCTGGAAATAGATCTGAGGCCAGCGGGATGCTGTGCCAAACTAGGCCTTCTCCTCTCTGTAATCCCAGCATTTGGGGAAGCTGAGGCCAGAGGATTGCTTTAGGCCAAGAGTTCAAAGCCAGCCAGGGCAACAAAGCAAGACCCTATTGCTATGAAATAAAAAAAATAGCTGATCATAGTGGCACACACCTGAAGAAGGCTTCTGGGGAAAAGAACCATATCCCAGTTCTGCAAAGTGGTATTGCTAGGAATGCAAACAACGCACAAAGGTCTCCATCTATTGCGGGAGTCTGTTTTGATCATTTCTTCATCAACTATTTATTAAACATGCAGCTTCTGCAAGGCCACTATGAGGGGCTGCTGGAGCTACAAAGGTAGGCAAGAATGCCTGCTATGGAGACATTTTCCTGTCAAGGAGGTAAGACACACACACACGGGGGAAAGAGCTTTAATCCCATAAGGCAGAAGAGTATTTACTCTTTCCGGGTGAGTGGAATAGAATGAGTTCTCCACGTTTCTCAAGGATGAGTGGGGCTATTCCAGGGACAACCCTTTGGCAGAGATATCACCCTAACCCTGCAAAGACACAGCATTCTCAAGTGGAACAAGAATA
The DNA here is from genome assembly GCF_000001405.40 of Homo sapiens. Taxonomy (NCBI): domain Eukaryota; kingdom Metazoa; phylum Chordata; class Mammalia; order Primates; family Hominidae; genus Homo; species Homo sapiens. The sequence goes on along the minus strand of NC_000011.10, from coordinate 65,242,784 downwards.
AACAGTGATATGATTTGGCTCTGTGTCCCCACCCAAATCTCATGTTTAATTGTAATCCCCGGTGTTGGAGGTGGGGCCTAGTGCAAGGTGCTTGGATACTGCGGATGGTTTCTAATGGTTTGGCACCACCCCCCTAGTGCTGTCTCGTGATAAAGAGTTCTCACGAGATCTGGCTGTTGTAAAGTGTGCGGCACCTTCCCCTTCACTTTCTCTCTCTCCTGCCAGCCATGTGAAGACGTGCTTGCTTCCTCTTTGCCTTCTGCAATGATTGTAAGTTTCCTGAGGCCTCCCAGCCATGCTTCCTGTACAATCTGCAGAACTGTGAGTCAATTAAACCTCTTTTCCTTGTAAATGACCCAGTCTCAGGTAGTTCTTTATAGGAGTGCAAGAATGGACTAATACAGAGACATTTTAAGGGGCAGATTGGGGATGGGAAAGGAAAACAGTCTCTCCTTTGGTCCCTGGGACTGGCTTCTCCTGGCTTTCTATGCATTTGTAACACAGATTGGCTGTTTCTGGTGGGGTTTCCCTCCAAGCAGCCCTGGCTTGTGGGTGGCTGTCTATAGGAGCCATGATGTTTTCAGCGACCTTTCCTCCAGTTCAGCACCAGTGTCCCCAGGGGCTCCTGGGAGAAGCCCCCAGGGGGCCGTCTGGACATCGGCTCAGGTGCTGCTAGCAAGCACCAGGTTCCAGGCAGCTTAGATGGTCTCTTTGAGGGGAGATGCTCTCAGCTGCTGAAGAGAAATTTCTTCACTCTTCTCTTCTACATGTTTCTTGGAAGAGCCTTCTTTGACCCTGTAGAAATGAAAAGGCAGAAGGCAGTGGTGAGGGGCAGGTGGTGTGCATGTCATGGGGAGGGTGGTGCCATATGCACAGGGTGCAGCTCCACCCTCCTGAAGCCAGAAGGGAGGTGGATGCTGCAGTGGCCCCTCCTCTGGATTCTCTTGGGCACCCTGGTGGCCACCCTCCTATTGTTCCTCCAGCTCCCTCCTTGCTCTATCCCTGGGGTCTTGCAGCTGGCAGAGGCTGGCCTGTCTGGAAACAGACTTGGGAGAGCTGCAGGGTCAAGAAGTTCAACAAAGAGTCTTACAGATGAGGACCTAGAGGGTGGACACATGCCCAAGGTCACTTGGCTGGAGAACAGGGGCCAGCAGACACCCCCAGCGACTGGGCACTATTAGCACCCTTCTTCTCCCACCCCAGGAGGCAGGGAGGGACAAAGATTAGGGCTCTGAGCCACTCCTGCCCTGCCCTGGTTGGCTCTTGAAGAAGTCAGGGGAGGTTGAGGGTGGTGGGGGGCTTGCCTGGACTTTGAGGCCCCCTCAGTCCCAAATAGCCTGAGGCTACCCCACTGGCTTTCTATCACTTGACAAGATCCAATTTTGCCTTTTTTGATGGGGGGGTAGAAATGGGGGTCTTGCTATGTTGCCCAGGCTGGTCTTGAACTCCGGGGCTCAAGCAATCCTTCCGCCTCAACCTCTCAACGTGCTGGGATTACAGGTATGAGCCACCATGCCTGGCCTATCGCCTTAAAAAAGAACCCTCTAGTCTTTGAAATGATTTATGTTCTAATTCCTTCCATTTATTTTTATTTTTGTATTGTGGACACTGATAACTGTTTTCCCACGGAATTATCTTAGTTTTTTTAATCCTCTTTTTTTTTTTTTTTTTTGAGACGAAGTCTTGCTCTGTCGCCCAAGCTGGAGTGCAGTGGTGCAATCTTGGCTCACTGCAACCTCTGCCTCCTGGGTTCAAGCGATTCTCCTGCCTCAGCCTCCTGAGTAGCTGGGACTACAGGCGTGCCACCATGCCCGGCTAATTTTTGTATTTTTAGTAGAGACAGGGTTTCACTATGTTGGCTAGGTTGGTCTCGAACTCCTGACCTCATGATCCACCTGCCTCTGCCTCCCAAAGTGCTGGGATTACAGGTGTGAGCCACCGCGCCTGGGCTGTTATCCTCTTGTTTTAATCGTTTCATATCTTGCCCATTTCTCCTGTCTACTTTAAGCTGTTTCCATTTTTGGATTTTTTCCAGCATTCATACTGTTTTATCTATGTTTCTATCCTTGCTTTTTAACTCTTCTATTTATAATATTTTAGTCGATTGGCTTAATCTTCCCAACTCCCCCACCCCAACCCCACTGAGATGGAGTCTTGCTCTGTCGCCCAGGCTGGAGTGCAGTGGTGCGATCTCGGCTCACTGCAACCTCCACCTCCCGGGTTCAAACGATTCTCCTGCCCCAGCCTCCTAAGTAGCTGGGATTACAGGCACCCACCACCACACCTGGCTAATTTTGTATTTTTTTTTTTATATATAAACTAGAGGTTTATTTTTCTCTACTTAAAAAAGTCTGGAATTAGGTAGTCCAGGGATGTTGACAAATTCATCACGCACTTCCTCCTTTCTTCTCCACCATTCTTAGCACATGGCTTCCTTTCTTTTTTTTTTTTTTCTTTTTTTTTTTCTTTTTTAATTTATTTTTTTATTGATAATACTTGGGTGTTTCTCACAGAGGGGGATTTGGCAGGGTCATGGGACAATAGTGGAGGGAAGGTCAGCAGATAAACAAGTGAACAAAGGTCTCTGGTTTTCCTAGGCAGAGGAACCTGCGGCCTTCCGCAGTGTTTGTGTCCCTGATTACTTGAGATTAGGGATTGGTGATGACTCTTAACGAGCATGCTGCCTTCAAGCATCTGTTTAACAAAGCACATCTTGCACCGCCCTTAATCCATTTAACCCTGAGTGGACACAGCACATGTTTCAGAGAGCACAGGGTTGGGGGTAAGGTCACAGATCAACAAGATCCCAAGGCAGAAGAATTTTTCTTAGTGCAGAACAAAATGAAAAGTCTCCCATGTCTACTTCTTTCTACACAGACACGGCAACCATCCGATTTCTCAATCTTTTCCCCACCTTTCCCGCCTTTCTATTCCACAAAGCCGCCATTGTCATCCTGGCCCGTTCTCAATGAGCTGTTGGGCACACCTCCCAGACGGGGTGGTGGCCGGGCAGAGGGGCTCCTCACTTCCCAGTCGGGGCGGCCGGGCAGAGGCACCCCTCACCTCCCAGACGGGGCGGCTGGCTGGGCAGGGGGCTGACCCCCCAACCTCCCTTCCGGACGGGGCGGCTGGCCGGGCGGGGGGCTGACCCCCCCACCTCCCTCCCGGACGGGGCGGCTGGCCGGGCAGGGGGGGCTGACCCCCCCCGACCTCCCTCCTGGACGGGGCGGCTGGCCGGGCGGGGGGCTGACCCCCCCCACCTCCCTCCCGGACGGGGTGGCTGCCGGGCGGAGACGCTCCTCACTTCCCAGATGGGGTGGCTGCCGGGCGGAGAGGCTCCTCACTTCTCAGACGGGGCAGCTGCCGGGCGGAGGGGCTCCTCACTTCTCAGACGGGGTGGTTGCCAGGCAGAGGGTCTCCTCACTTCTTAGACGGGGCGGCCGGGCAGAGACGCTCCTCACCTCCCAGACGGGGTCGCGGCCGGGCAGAGGCGCTCCTCACATCCCAGATGGGGTGGCGGGGCAGAGGCGCTCCCCACATCTCAGATGATGGGCGGCTGGGCAGAGACGCTCCTCACTTCCTAGATGTGATGGCGGCCAGGAAGAGGCGCTCCTCACTTCCTAGATGGGATGGCGGCCGGGCTGAGACGCTCCTCACTTTCCAGACTAGGCAGCCAGGCAGAGGGGCTCCTCACTTCCCAGACGATGGGCGGCCAGGCAGAGACACTGCTCACTTCCCAGACGGGGTGGTGGCCAGGCAGAGGCTGCAATCTCGGCACTTTGGGAGGCCAAGGCAGGCGGCTGGGAGGTGTAGGTTGTAGCGAGCCGAGATCACGCCACTGCACTCCAGCCTGGGCACCATTGAGCACTGAGTGAACGAGACTCCGTCTGCAATCCCGGCACCTCGGGAGGCCGAGGCTGGCGGATCACTCGCGGTTAGGGGCTGGAGACCGGCCCGGCCAACACAGCGAAACCCCGTCTCCACCAAAACCAGTCAGGTGTGGCAGCGCGTGCCTGCAATCGCAGGCACTCGGCAGGCTGAGGCAGGAGAATCAGGCAGGGAGGTTGCAGTGAGCCGAGATGGCAGCAGTACAGTCCAGCTTCGGCTCCGCATGAGAGGGAGACTGTGGAAAGAGAGGGAGACCAGAGGGGGAGGGGGAGGGGGAGGGGGAGGGAGAGGGAGAGGGAGAGGGAGAGGGAGGGAGAGGGAGGGAGAGGGAGAGGGAGAGGGAGAATGGCTTCCTTTCTTAAGGTTACTTCATGGTCAAAGATGGCTGCTGCAGCCCTCAACGTTTTGCTTGTGTTCCCGGCAGCGGGAAGAAGGAAGTAGCAAGAGCCTAATTTTGTATTTTTAATGGAGACAGGGTTTCGCCATGTTGGCCAGGCTGGTCTCAAACTCCTGACCTTAGGTGATCCACCCACCTCAGTCTCCCAAAGTGCTGGGATTACAGGTGTGAGCCACTGCACCTGGCCCATACATGCACTTTAACACTCCGCCTCCCATACCCTCATCCTCTCCAAGCCCTGCTCAGCACCCAGATGAAGACTGTCCTCCCCCACTTGGCCTGCAGGGAATAAAGTGGACAGGGACAGGGGAAGATATGAGGCTCTCGTAGTTGTCCAGACAAGAGACAATGGTGGCTTGATATAGGGCCATGGACACAGGGCTGGAGAGAGAATGACAGATTTAAGTCTATTCTGGAGGCAGAAATGATAGGACTTGGGCTGGGCGCCGTGGCTCACGCCTGTAATCCCAGCACTTTGGGAGGCCGAGGCAGGTGGATCACAAGGTCAGGAGTTCAAGACCAGCCTGGCCAAGATGGTGAAACCCCATCTCTACTAAAAATACAAAAATTAGCTGGGCATGGTGGCGGGCGCCTGTAATCCCTGCTACTCGGGAGGCTGAGGCAGGAGAATCACTTGAACCCGGGAGGCGGAGGTTGCAGTGAGTCATGATCGCACCACCGCACTCCAGCCGGGGTGACAGAGTGAGACAATGTCTCAAAAAAAAAAAAAAAAAAAGAAAGAAAAGAAATGATAGGACTTGCCAAAGAATATATCCTTGATCTCTTGCAGTTCAGCCTTGGCCCATGGCTCAGGTTAGAGATGGAATGTTTATGGGAGTTATTTCAGGGTTGCAAACACAGCACCTATACAGGCCACTGGGTACAGATGGGTCCACCTTTGGGATCAAGCTGACCTTCAGAGAGGGTTACAGACGGGCGCGGCTACTGTTCCTGTCACCATTCCCGCAAACTAAGGGTCTTCCCTGAGCCCACTGTTGCTGAGAAATGCTGCAAGAAGCAGCCAGATCAAGTCCCCTCTTGAGTTTGTTTTAGAAACATTGTCCAGGACATTGCTGTCACCTTAGTGACCTTTCTAATGAGACCCACACTTGAAGCCAAGATGATCTTAAAAAAAAAAAGAAAAGAGGGGTGGGGGGCCAAGCAGTGAAGAGAAACCTCTCCTAGTGCTAAATGCTAAGGAAAGCTTCACTCTCCTGAGGGACTGGTATTTGTTTTCCTTTCCAAGAGCAGCCATGAATGGGGTCTCCCTTTCTGTTGTGAAGAAGCCCAGAACCAAATTTGAAGCCTGCACAGCAACCATGGGAGCCTGTCTTTGCTTCACTTTCCTCCGCTCTCCTCTCCTCACTTCTCTGCCACGTCTCACTTCCAACCCACGTGTTTCCTTGTTCACGGTTTATTCTTTTCTACCTTCGTGATTGGGTCTGTTCTTGGGGAAAGCTAAGCCAGTGCAGATGGAGGTGGGGGAGGCATCTCACAGCTCTGGTGCATCTGGCCAGGACATTTCCGATACGCAGGAGTGGGGAGGGCACCCCATTTGCCCCCCAGTTATTTCCTGTAACTTTCGGCCTCTTGGTGCTGGAGGCCCCTCACCTCCTCTCCATGGCTGCGATGGTCTCCACCAGGGGCATGTTGCGGGTCTCGGTCAGGACGCAGACGGCCAGCCCAGCCAGGATTGCGGTGGCCCCAAAGCTCACGGGTGGCAGGATGGTGCTGTATTCCCCAAGTGTGGTAACCAGGGGCGCCGTCAGGCCCCCGAGGCGGGCGTGGACAGAGGCAAAGCCCATCCCCATCTGCCTGTGGGAGGTGTGTGGATGGGGATGGGTCAGTGCAGCAACCTGCACCCCTAGGGGCCCAAGAGGGCCACGCCCTGAGTGTCAGAGGACAGGGCAGGAGGGACCAGGGGTCCTGCCTCGGTGAGCCCAACAGGTCTCAACCTGCAGCATCTCCCCCCATGCACCCACCTGATCTCCGTGGGGTACAGCTCGCCGGTAAACAGGTACACACAGATGAAGGAGCTGGCCAGGCAGCCTTTGCCCAGCGCTGCCTGGGCTGTGCACAGGATCTGCGTGCCTAGACAGGGGAGTAGGGTGCAGCTGAGGAGGAGGGGAGGAGAGGGAGGCCCAGGGTGTAGTGGAGAAGGGTGGAGCCTCAGGAGGGGATAGGGCGAGGTGGGGGGAAGAGGCAGAGCCCACTCAGAACCCAGAGGAGAACCAGGATTTCCACCACCTCCCCTTCCCAACTGTTCCTAGGACCCAGGAGTCCCCTGACTGCCCTTCTCTGACTTCTCCCTCCTTGCTCCTTTATTTGCATCTGTCACCAAGTCCTGCTGGGTAGGCAGGTGCTTTAGAGTCAGGCCTGGGTTCAAATTGCAGCTCTCACCCCGCTGGCTGACCTAGGTCAGTGTTTCTTACCCACTCTGCACCTCCCTGTCCTCATCTGTAAAATAAGGAAAATAGCAGCACCTGCTTCATGGGGTTGGCGTAAGCTGGACACAATGCCAGGTGTGCAAAGTGCCCATTAAATGTTTGCCATTGCCTTCATTTTCTTTCTTTCTTTCTTTCTTTTTTTTTGAGACAGAGTCTCTCTGTCACTGAGGCTGGAGTGCAGTGGCACAATCTTGGCTCACTGCAATCTCTGCCTCCTAGGTTCAAGCAATTCTCCTGCCTCAGCCTCCTGAGTAGCTGGGATTATAGGTGTGCACCACCGCGCCCAGCTAATTTTTGTATTTTTAGTAGAGACAGGGTTTCACCATGTTGTCCAGGCTGGTCTCGAACTCCTGACCTCAGGTGATCCACCTGCCTTGGCTTCCCAAAGTACTGGGATTACAGGCATGAGCCACCGCGCCCGGCCCATTGTCCTCATTTTCAATATGCTTCTCCCGCTGTTGTTTATAAGTAGCAAAACCCCTATTCAAACATCCAACGTTAGGACAGCAGTCAAGGAAATGATGGTGCCTTCTCTGGCTGGGTGGCAGCCCTGGCTGCACATTGGAATCAGGTGGGGAGATTTTATAAAACACTCACACCTGGGTCTTACTCAATGTCCACTCTAGCAAGACCTACTGGGGATGGGCTCAAATTTGGGTATTTTTTAAAGGTCCCCAAGAGATTCTATTGTGAGGCCAGAGTTAGAAACATCAATCTAGATGAAATATTATCTAGGCTGGGTGCAGTGGCTCTCGTCTATAACCCCAGCACTTTGGGAGACCAAGGCAGGCAGATCGCTTGAGCCCAGGAGTTTGAGACCAGACTAGGCAACATGGCAAAACCCTGTCTCTACACAAAAAATACAAAAAATTAGCCAGGTGTGGTGGAATGCACCGGTAGTCCCAGCTACTCAGGAGGCTAAGGTGGGAGGATTGCTTGAGCCTGGGAGGTCGAGGCTGCAGTGAGCCATGATTGTGCCACTGTACTCCAGCCTGAGCCACAGAGTGAGACTCTGTCTTAAAAAAGAAAGAAAAGAAAGAAAAAGAAAGGAAGAAAGAAAAGGAGGGAGGGAGGAAAGGCAGAAGGGAGGAAAGGAAGAAGGGAGGGAGGGAGGAAGGAAGGGAGGGAGGGAGGGAGGGAAGGATCACATAGCAATAAAAAATCAGGTCCATGAGGCCAGGCACAGTGGCTCATGCCTGTAATCCCAGCACTTTAGGAGGCCGAGGTGGGCAGATCACTTGAGGTCACGAGTTTGAGACCACCCTGGCCAAAATGATGAAACCCCGCCTGTACTAAAAATACAAAAATTAGCCGGGCATGATGGCACGCATCTCTAATCCCAGCTACTCTGCAGGCTAAGGCAGGGGAATCACTTGAACCTAGGAGGCAGAGGTTGCAGTGAGCACCACAGCACTCCAGCCTGGGCAACAAATGAGACTTCATCTCAAAAAAAAAAAAAAAAATCAGGTCCATGAAACATTTGTGCTAACATGGAAAAGAATGTGTATGTTTCAACATATAATGAAATAAGGGCACTATATATATATATATATATATATATATATATGTACACATGCACATATATACATATATATGTATGTATCCTATTTATATTTTTGTATGTATAAACATATAAAATATCTCAACTATGCTGAATACAAATCTATAAATAGGAAAAAAGATTGGAATGAAATAGGTCAAGACACCAATAATAACATTTATCCATTTTACAGGTGAAGAACTAAGGCACAGAGAAGTTGGACAACCTGCCCACGGCCAAGGCTGCAGTCACAATGGGCACATGGTTTGGCCCATGCTCTATGTCGCTGCTATTCAACCCTGGCGTCTTGCTGGACTCACTGGACAGTTTGTAAAATACTGAGGGTTGAGTTCCACTCCTTGAGATTCCCAGGGCGCTGGCATGGAGCACCTGGGCCCTGGGAGTTTTCAAAGCGCTCCAGGAGAAGGTCATTTTAGCCAGGTTTGCAAACCACTGTTCCAGGGCCAGTCCAGCTGAGGTTTGAATCCTAACTTCTCAACCCTTGGACATGCTGCCTGCTCAGACTTCGGGGGGCCGCACACACTGCTGGCCACACCGAGCCAGCCCCTGTGCTCTCCAGCTGCTTAGGTGCACCTGTCTAACCTCCCTGGCCACACAGTAGAAGCTCTGAGGGCCAAGGCTCAAGACCTCCACCTGCCACTAATTGCCACTGGGCACTAAGTGCTTAATACAAACTCTAGTAATCAACAGTCGCTTTCTTTTTCTTTTTTCTTTTCTTTGAGTCTCACTCTGTCTCCCAGGCTGGAGTACAGTGGCACGATCTTGGCTCACTGCAGCCTCCGTCTCCTGGGTTCAAGTGATTCTTCTGCCTCAGCCTCCCAAGTAGCTGGGATTACAGGTGCACACCACCACGCCCAGCTAATTTTTTTGTATTTTCTGTAGAGACGGGGTTTCACCATGTTGGCCAGGCTGGTCTTGAACTCCTAACCTCAGGTGATTTGCCCGCCTTGGCCTCCCAAAGTGCTGGGATTACAGGCGTGAGCCACCGTGCCCAGCCTAACAGTTGCTTTCTTTTCAGATCCGGAGACATACCCTTCAGCCTTGCTGCCATGTGAAATTTGTTGTCTACCAGACCCCAGAGGCTCCCAGTTCTTGGTGTGCAGCAAGGGCAGAAGTGGGTGACTCACCTTCTGGCACAAACATGTTGGCGATCACCATGAGCCCGGCCAGGATGAGGAAGGAGGCCACCGTGGCACGGCGGCCCACGTAAATCATGGTGGCGGTGGCCACCAGCATGGCCGGGGTGTTGATGATTCCAAACAGGGCCTGCACCAGGTATAGGCTGAGCCCAAACTTCTGCAGGTCCATGGCCAGGCCATAGTAAGCCACAGAGTTGGAGAACCTGGGAGAGGCAGTGGAATGGTCCTTGTTCACCCCATGGTTCACTGTTGTGAGCCCAGGGGAGGGGACACAAAGGTGGATGACACAGGATTCCTCTCCTCGGGGAGGTAAAATTCCCTGACTTTCCATAAACACCCCTTCACGGTCTCCTAAGTCTCTGTCTTTAGTATTAGAGCTCAGACCCCTCCCTCCACATCCCTTTCTACCACCCACTCCTGGATCCAGTGCATGGGTTCTGGAGTGTTTGCTTTTCTCTGCAGTACCCACCTCAGCGCCGAAATTAAGGCAGTGCTAAAAAATAAAAAGAGAAGAAGATGGAGGAAGGTCAAAGGACACAGGAGCCAATGTGGAAGAGCTCCCAATGGCCAAAGCTGGAGGAATTTGGGAAATAAGGTAAAGAATGTAGTATCTACTAAATAAAGGAAAAACGTTGTTGAATTATAACCCAAAGTATAAACTACATGGTTACACATGAGCCTATATAAATAAATGATTTCATAAATAAGTCTTTCTTAAAGAAGAACTCCAAACAATGTGTGTAAATACTCCACTCCTAGGCTGGGCACGGTGACTCATGCCTGTAATCGAAGCACTTTGGGAGGCCAAGGCGGGTGTATCATGAGGTCAGGAGTTCAAGACCAGCCTGGCCAAGTTGGTGAAACCCCGTCTCTACTAAAAATACAAAAATTAGCCAGGCGCCTATAATCTCAGCTACTCAGGAGGCTGAGGCAGAGAATTGCTTGAACCTGGGAGGCGGAGGTTGCAGTGAGCCGAGATCGCGCCACTGCACTCCAGCCTGGGCAATAGAGGGAGACTCCATCTCAAACAAAACAAAACAAAACAAAACAAACAAACAAACAAAAAAATCCATTCCTTCAGGAGATGAAACTTAGTTTCCCTCCCCTTGAGTGTGGACTGGACTCACTTTCAAATAATAGTATATGGAAAGAGGCTGCTCATGGTGGCTCATACTTTTAATCCCAGCACTTTGGGAGGCTGAGGTGGGTGGATTGCTTCAGCCCAGGAGTTCAAGACTAGCCTTGGCAACATGGTGAAACCCCATTTCTACCAAAAGTACAAAAATTCGCCAGTCTCATAACCTGGTCTCAAAATAAATAAATAGATTAAAATTGAAAAGTAAAACAAGAATATGGAAAGAGAACATTTATTAACTTTACAGTGGAGAAACCTGGTAGACACTACCTTAACCAAGGGATTAACTTCAAAATCACCAGTAATCAGTCATGTTGACATCATATATGCCCTCATATGATATGATATGATATGATGAGAAGGTCATATCACCTCCATGGTTCTCCTTTCCCAAATCCACAATCCCAGTTTAGTCATGAGAGAACCATCAGACAAATCCAAATTGAGGCCAGGTGCAGTGGCTCATGCCTGTAATCCCAGAACTTTGGGAGGCCAGGCCAGTGGATCACCTGAGGTCAGGAGTTCAAAACCAGCCTGACCAACATGGTGAAACCCCATCTCTACTAAAAATGCAAAAATTAGCCAGGTGTGGTGGCATATGCCTGTAATCCCAGCTACTTGGGAGGCTGAGGCAGGAGAATCCCTTGAACCCGGGACACGGAGGTTGCAGTGAGCCAAGATCATGCCATTGCACTCCAACGTGGGCAAAAAAGAAAAAAAAAATTCAAATTGAGGGACATTCTACAAAATACCTGACCAATACTTTTCAAAACTGTCAAGGTCATGACAAATAAGGAAAGACTAAGAAACAGTCACAGATCAAAGGAGACCAAGAAGACATAATAACTAAATGTAATGGGATATACCAGCTGGTGAAATCCAAATAAATCTCTAGTTTAGTTAATAGTAAATTACCAATCTTAAATTATTACTTTTGACAAATGTACTAAGGTAATTTAAGATGATAATATGAGGGGAAACTGGGTGAAGTGGATACAGGAACTCTCTGTACTATCTTTGCAACTTTTCTATAATTATACATTTATAGAAGAATAAATACACATTTATTCCAAAATTTTATGAAGGTAAGCTAACAGAATATATTTAAGAAAACCAATATCCAGAAAATAAATTTTATCCAGAAAAAAATATATACATGTTTATATGTGTGTGTGTATATATATATAATGTATATATATAATGTATATATATAATGTGTGTGTGTGTGTATATATATATATATATAAAATGTATATATATATTTTTGAGAAGGAGTCTCACTCTTTTTGCCCAGGCTGGAGTGCAGTGGCGCAATCTCAGCTCACTGCAACCTCTGCCTCCCAGGTTCAAGCAATTCTCCTGTCTCAGCTTTCCAAGTTGCCGGGATTACAGGCGCACACCACCACGCCCAGCTAATTTTGTATTTTTAGTAGAGATGGGGTTTTACTGCATTGACCAGGCTGGTCTCAAACTCCTGACCTCAAGTTATCTGCCCACCTCAGCCTCCCAAAGTGCTGGGATTACAGGCATGAGCCACTGCGCCTGGCCAAGAAAAAAAAAATTCTTATGTAAGGCGATAAGAAAAAAGATAACCCTGTAGAAACATTGGCAGAAGTCTTGGATAAGCATTTCATTAAAAAAAAGCCATCCAAAATACCAATAAGTTCATGCAAATATTTTTACATTCCTTAGACATCAGAGAAGTGCAAATTGGAAATCACAGTACAGTATCACTACACACTCACTATAATGGCTAAAATTAAATTACAGACAATACCAAGTGTTACTAGGGATGTGGAACAAGTTGAACTCATATGCTTCTAATGAGGGTGTGAATTGGTATAACCACTTTGGAAAACTGCTTGCTTCTATTACAGAGAAACACACCCATACTTTATGATCCAGCAGTTCCAATCCTAGGTATGTATCTGACAGAAACGCAAGCGTGGGCTCAGTGCAGTGGCTCACATCTGTAATCCCAGCACTTTGGGAGGCTGAAGTGGGAGGATTGCTTGAGCTTAGGAATTTGAGACCAGCCTGGGCGACATAGTGAGATCCTGTCTCCATATTTAAGGAAAGAAAGAAAGAGAGAAAAAGAAAGAAAGAAAGAAAGAAAGGAAGGAAGGAAGGAAGGAAGGAAGGAAGGAAGGAAGGAAAGGAAGGAAGGAAAGGAAGAAAGGAAGGATGGAAGGAAGGAAGGACAGACAAGTGTGTTTTTTCACCAAGAGAAATGTACAAGAATATTTATAGCAGCAGTATTTGTAACAGCCCAACCTGGGAAAAGCCCAATGTTCTTCAGCAATAAAATAGGTAGACTGGGCGCGGTGGCTCACGACTGTAATCCCAGCACTTCAGGAGGCCGAGATCTGCGGATCACAAGGTCAGGAGATTGAGACCATCCTGTCTCTACTAAAAATACAAAAAATTAGCCGGGCGTGGTGGCACGCGCCTGTAGTCCCAGCTACTCGGGAGGCTGAGGCAGAGAATTGCTTGAACCCAGGAGGCGGAGGAGGTTGCAGTGAGCTGAGATCGTGCCACTGCACTCCAGCCTGGGCAACAGGGCGAGACTCCGTCTCAGAAAAAAAAAAATTGGTAACGTTTCTGTATTAGTTTCCAATTGCTGCTGTAACAGATTACCACAAATTTAGTGCCATAGAACAACACAAATGTATTATCTTACACTTCTGGAAGTGAGAAGCCTAACGTGTGTTACTGAGCTAATGTCAGAGTGTGGGCAGGGCTGTGTTCCTTCTGAAGACTCCATGGGAGAATCTGTTTGCTTGCCTTTGCCAGCTTCTAGAGGCTGCCTGCATTCCTTGACTTGTGGCTCCTTCCTCTGTCTTCAAAGCCAGCAGCACACAGCGTCTCCAAAGGTCTCTCTCTCACTCTGACCTTCTTCTTCCACTTGTAGGGACCCTTGTGATCGTACTGGGCCCACTCAGATGATCCAGGGTAATCCTCCTTCAAGATCCTTAGTTACATCTGCAAAGTCCCTTTTGCCATAGAAGGTAACATATTTATAGATTCCAGGGATTAGGATGGGGACGAATGTTACTTATTGATTTCTAGTAATATATATACATTATATATAGACGTAGATATATTTTCTGGATATGGTTTTTTGTTGGATATTGGTTTCTGCAAGTATCTTATTCTACTGCATACCTTGCTTTTTAAAAATAATTTTTATTTTGTAATAAATATATATTTACAGAAAAGCTATAAAGATTCAAACATCTTTGGGGGTCATTATTCTGTCTACCACAAGTAGTATATTCGTACCATGGATTGTTATACACGAAGAAAGAACGAACTAAATTACATATGACAACATGAGTGCATCTCACAAACGGTATAAATTACAAAAACTATGTAGCTCAAGTTATATAAAGCCCAAAAACAGGCTAATGTAATCTGTGGCATTAGAAATAAGGATAGTGATTCCCATAGGGGAGGGTAATGACTGAAGAAGACATGGGGGGACGGGGTTTCTGGAGGCTGATCATGTTCTGTTTCTTGACCAGTGTGTTGATTAATGGGTGTGTACAGTTTGTGAGAATTTGTCAAGCTGAGCCTTGTGCATTTTTGCATGTGTGTTATACTTCAATAAAAAGTATATGTGGGCCACGTGCGGTGGCTCATGCCTGTAATCCCAGCATTTTGGGAGGCTGAGGCAGACAGATCCCTTCAGGTCAGGAGTTCGAGACCAGCCTGGCCCACATAGAGAAAACCCGTCTCTACTAAAAATACAAAAACTAGCTGGGCATGGTGGCACATACCTGTAGTCCCAGCTACTCAGGAGGCTGAGGCAGGAGAATTGCTTGAACACAGGAGACAGAGGTTGCGGTGAGCTGAGATGGCACTACTGCACTCCAGCCTGGGTGACAGAGTGAGACTCTGCCTTGAAAAAACAAAAACAAAAACAAAAACAAAAAAACAAATAAACCTGTATGTGGGAAGAAGAACTCCAAGATGGTCCATCAAATTCCTGGCCCGGGTGTACACAAACCTTCTCCCAGTTATTCAAACACTAATCTAGGTGTTGTGAAAGGATTTTGCAGATGTAATTAAGGTCCCAAATCACTTAACTTTAAAACAGAGATTTTTCTGGGAGGGCCTGATCTAATAACATGAGATTTAAATCTGGGTCTAGAGGTCAAAGACTGGGAGTTGGAGATTCAAAGCATGGGAGAGATTTGATATGAGGAAGATATTCCTTTGAGGTGGAGGAGGCCACTTAGCCAGGAATGTAGGTGGCTTTTATGAACAGCCTGTGAGGAAATGGAGACATAAATCCTACAGCTGCAAGCAGTTAAATCGAACCAACAATTGAAATGAACTTGGCTGTGAATTCTTCCCCAGAGCCTCCAGAAAGGAGGCTTCGTTTCAGCCTCCTAAGAGCCTGAGCAGAGAACCCAGCTGGCACTTCTGGCCTGCAGAATTGTAAGCTCATAAATGGGTGTTATTTTAAGCCACTAAATTATGGTGATTTGTTATAAGCAATATAAGACTATAACATTCACAAAAAATAAAGTGGCCATTGAGAAATTTGAGGGACACTCAGTCAAAAACCACCAGTTTTACATTCAGTTCTTTTGCTTGTTAACGTGTCTGCTCACCTAGGAGGAAAGAAGGGGGAAAGGCTCCTGAGAATGTGAGCTCTAGAAACGGAGTCTTCCCAGAGAGACTGGACCACGACTAGCCAGCATTGCCACTCAGGCGAGATTGGCAGTGGCAGGGAGAATGGACCAGACATTCTCTAAGATTCCTTTTCATCTTATAATTCTGTGGCTCACAATATTCTAAAATTCATTCATTCACTCATTGGTTCATTCACTCATCAAATATTTATTGCAAAGCTATCACATGCCGGAAGCTGGTTACATGTAATGTTGTAAAAGTTTTTACAGATGTGATTAAGTTATTAAAAAAACAAAAGCAGAAGAGGTAGAGTATTAATCCTTTTTTTTTTTTCTCTTGAGACACTCTGTCTCGCTCTGTTGCCCAGGCTGGAGTACAGTGGCGAGATCTTGGCTCACTGCAGCCTCTGTCTCCCGGGTTCAAGTGATTCGCCTGCCTCAGCCTCCTGAGTAGTTGGGACTACAGGTGCGTGCCACCACACCTGGCTAATTTTTATATTTTCAGTAGAGATGGAGTTTCACCATGTTGGACAGGCTGGTCTCGAACTCCTGACTCAAGTGATCCGCCCACCTCGGCCTCCCAAAGTGCTGGGATTACAGGCATGAGCCACCACACCCAGCCCCTATTAAATCCATTTCTATAAGAACGTGTGTGTGTGTGTGTGTGTAAGTATGTGGGTGTCATGTATGTACTAAGAGCTGCAAGGATACAAATTCATGCCTGACAGAAATGGGAGATGGGAGATGTTCAGAGGTGGAAGGGAGAGTAGGTTGAGAGGGACATGCACTTATGTACCTGATAACAGAAAACAACTCATATTCAGGCACTGTTCTACCTGCTTTACAGACTAATTTTCACAACAGCCTTATGTGGTAGGTTCTATTATGATGCCCATGTTACAAATGGAGAAACTGAGGCACAGAGCGGTTAAGTAACTTGTCAAGGATCACAAAGCCAGTAAGTGGCAGAGCTGAGATTCAAACCAAAGGAGTACGTTCGAGTCCTGCTTCTTAACCAATGAACTACACTGCCTGTTTCTGGATTGTTTGGGGAAAAAATGTTTTTAACAATGAGTATGCATGCTTCTCAGAATTTAGAAAAAAACTACAAGGTGGCTCAACCCTGTTATTCCAGCCCTTTGGGAGACCAAGGGGGAGGATCGCTTCAGTCCAGGAGTTCTAGACCAGCCTGGGCGACATTGCAAGACCCCACCCCATCTCTATTTTTAAAAATGAGCCCGGGCTTGGTGGCAGGCACCTGTAGTCCTAGCTACTACAGAGGCTGAGGTGGGAGGATCGTTTGAGCCTGGGAGGTCGAGGCCGCAGTGAGCTATGATTGTGCCACTGCACTGCAGCCTGGGTGCCCGAGCAAGACCTTGTCTTAAATCAATCAACCAGTAAAGAAAAAAATCCCAGTTAATTGAAGGCATTTACAATAGGGTTTGTGGAAGTTTGTGAAAGTTCACCAGTTCCTAACACTTCCTCTTTCTCCTCCCCCATCCTTTTTCGAACCCCAGGACTCCCCATCCCCACCTCACCCCAGACACACTGGTGAGGAAGGGGTCGGGGGGCGGGCAGGCTCACCGCCTCCCGCTCCCCAAAGCCAGGACTGTGCAGTTGATCCCAGGAGCGAGCCCGGCGCGGCTCCCTGCCGGCAGCGAAGCGAAACATTTGGACATGGCCCCGATTTTTCGGGTGCGGTTGGCAAGTCCCGGCGTGCGCGAACCAAACCTGCGGTTCCCGGGGCAGCTTTGAGCGGGTCGGGTCGGCTCCATAGGAGAATGGCCCCACCTGCAGGCAGAGAGCTCCGGATAGCTGCCGAGTCACTTTCTCAGCAAAAACGGGCTTTTGCTGTTTCCAGAAGGATCCAAGAGAGGACTTTCAGCTCTGGAATTTTGAACTCAGGATCTGTTTCTCCCTCGCGGAAAGAGGAAGGTGGACGAAGGGCAAGCCCAGGCCGGCAGGGGCTACCGCAGGAAGACGCCCATTCCTGGACTCGGGTTCGCAGGAGCCCCCTTGCTCCCCAGAGCCGGAACTGCGCTGCCTGCCACGCTGTTGGGGACAGAAGGCCTCACAGCCTCCCAGAGTTGGGGGCCGTCCCATCTTCCCAGTACACAGGGGTCACAGCCCCAAATCCAAACCGGAGGAAAGACTCTATACCCCAGAGCTTCCCAGGGGGCAACCTGTGGTTTAAGTGCTTTACGTGCTTTAACTGGTTTTTGTTTTTGTTTTTTTGAGATGGGATCTCGCTCTGTCAGCTAGGCTGGAGTGCAGTGGTGCAATCACAGGGCACTGCAGCCTCAAACTCCTGGGCTCAAGCAATTCTCCCACCTCAGCGTCCCAAGTAGCTGGAACCACAGGTATACATACCCCTCCACCCCCAGGTAGTGGGCGTCTCCCTATGTTGACCAGGCTGGTCTGGAACTCCTGGGCTCAAACAATCCTCCCGCCTCTGCTTCCCGTAGTGCTGGGATTACACACATGAGTCACCCGGGCTGGCCTCATGTCTTAACTCTGGATCCTCACAAGGACCTTACAGAAGTAGGAAAGAGGCCCCAGGAGGCTGGGCTCCCTGACTTGCTCAGGTCACTTGGATAGTCTGGCCTCAGAGCCCAGCTGATATCTACTAAAAGAGACTCCCCAGTCTGCTACAGAAAACAGATAGTTCCCGTCTCTACTAAAAATACAAAAATTAGCTGGGTTTGGTGGCATGTGCCTGTAGTCCTAGCTACTTGGGAGACTGAGGCAGAAGAATCACCTGAGCCCGGGAGGCGGAGGTTGCAGTGAGCCGAGATCGCACCATTGCACTCCAGCCTGAAGACAGAGGGAGACTCCGTGGAAAGAAAGGAGAGGAGAGGGGAGGGGAGGGGAGGGGAGGGGAGGGGGGAAGGAAGGAGAGAAGGAAAGAAAGAGAAAGAGAGAGGAAGGAAGGAAGGAGATAGTAATTCATTGCCTGCACTCCCTGCTTCATAAGTATCAATACCAATTATTTAAATGTGCAGGAAATCCAGTGGAATGAAATCAACACGGTTGTTTTTTATCAGCCCTTCCCCTTAGGATTTGTCAGCTTGCAGCTGGTGGTGCTACTGCATATGGGCTGCCTTTGTATTTTTGTCCATTTCACATCTTCATGCCTGTGAACCTGTTAGGTATTCCTTCCTGCCCACCTTGCAAACTTGATTAACCATCTTTTTTTTTTTTTTTTTTTTTTTGAGACAGAGTCTTGCTCTGTCGCCCAGGCTGGAGTGCAATGGCATGATCTCGGCTCACTGCAAGCTCCGCCTCCCGGGTTGACGCCATTCTCCTGCCTCAGCCTCCCGAGTAGCTGGGACTACAGGTGCCCGCCACCATGCCCGGCTAATTTTTTGTATTTTTGGTAAAGACGGGGTTTCACCATGTTAGCCAGGATGGTCTCAATCTCCTGACCTCATGATCCACCCACCTCGGCCTCCCAAAGTGCTGGGATTACAGGCGTGAGCCACCGCACCCAGCCAATTAACCATCTTTTAAAAGCAGTCTAAATGCTATCTCCTGCCTGAAGCCGTCAGCAGCCCCAGCTAGCAGAAATGCTGTTAGGATACTTGTCTCACTGCATGAAAATTACAATTTTCCTGTCTATCCCCTCCTGGATCCAGAAGTGTTTTTTCCAGAGTGCGACACTTCCCAGAATCCACTGGAGAGCCAGCCCAAAGGGCATATCAGGATGGGACAAATTACATTCTGGAAAAGCTGCCTTGGTGATTCCAATAGTCCTCCCACCCAGGTGAGACCCACTGCCCAGAAGTGGGGTTCCTGGGTTAGCATGATATCTCATCTGTCACCACATCTCAGCATCCAGCAGAGGCCGAGTGCTGGAAAAAGGGTGTGGGAAGAGATTGAGTTCACACGGCTCACCTGCTCATTGCATTAAGAGTATTTCAGAACAGAGTTTTTCAGTGGGGGCAGAGAGCATGCCCCTGCCTCAGGTGAAAGTCTTGGGCATGAGCCTGTCACCTACCAAATCACCATGAGACAGCATGTGACCTTGCGGATGGCCGGGGTTCGGAAGAGGTCCAAGATTGAGTTGGAGGTGCAGACACTTGCAAACTCGCTTTGGATGTAGGAGCTCATCACCTAGGTAAGAAGACTCTGCTCAGGGAAAGCGAGGGAGCTCGGACCCCACATCCCTGCTGGGAACCCCTTCGTCTGTGTGGAGGAGAGCTGGGGTTGAGGTCTTTGGTGAGGTGGCTGGCCCTTGTCTCCGCTCCGTCCAAGGACTGATGGCACTTGAGGGGTGTTGAGAAGTGCCAACACACTGTTTCCAGGGTGTTGAGAAGCTCCAACACGAACTCCAACACTACTGAGGTTCTGCGGTTCTGGAGGGCCTCCCACCCCATTCCTGGTATAGACTCGGAGATTGAGTCAGATAAGAGCAGGGGTTCCAAGTGGTTCTGCCACTTCCTACTGTGTGTTCTCAGGCAAGTTACCCGTCCTGTCCCCACTTCAATTTCCTCTTTGTCAAAAATGAGACATGAAATGAGATTACATACATAAAGCTCTCAGCCTAGTGCCCGGCATGGGGCTTGAGAAATGATGCTTATTGATAATAAATGGTAACTATCTTATAATAAATGGTATTTATAATGGTGCTTTTGTTATTGATTCCCCAGTAATTTTACTGTGTGGTTGCTATTTTAATAATTTTAGTTTATTATTTTATTAAAATTTCAACTGGATGTCAAGGTTAATAGGGTTATTTCCTAATTACAAAGGTGGATTGACTGATGAGCAAAGCAGTTAAATTATTTATCCTAAATCACACAATCATTCAATACCTAAACAACATCTTTCGCACATGAGAACTCTGCCTGTCCTGTTTATTCCCAATGTCTACACCTGGATGGCACGTGAGTCCTGGGAAGTTGCTAAATTCTAGTACAACTGGAGGTTGCCAGCAAGACTGAAGACTGTTCCCACCCTTCCTTCCTCCCAGCTCGCTTACCTCCTTGGTCAGCCTTTCCCCTTCCTCCTTCCTCCCGTTCATTGCAGCCACCTTCTGCAGATTCTGTACAGCTAACTGGGACTTGCCATGCAGGAGGAGCCAGCGGGATGACTCTGGAAGCCACCTGGGACCGAGAGGAGGAAGAAGGATCTGGGGCTGGGTAGAGCTCATTCTATTCCCCAAACCCAATACCCCCTTGTCTACCTTCTTTCAGACCCAAAAAAGATGACCTGTCCTCCTGTCTGTAGCATCAGGAAGTCTGGGGGCCATGCCAGCTTCCCTTTTTTTGCAGTACATCATACAGAGACTCACTGAACAGTATTTAAAGACTACAGAGGACTTGGCCAGGCACGGTGGCTCACGCCTGTAATCCCAGCACTTTGGGAGGCCCAGGAGGGTGGATCACCTGAGGTCAGGAGTTTGAGACCAGCCTGGCCAACATAATGAAACCCCATCTCTACTAAAAATACAAAACAACTAGCCGGGCATGGTGGTGTGTGCCTGTAATCACAGCTACTCAGGAGGAGGCTGAGACAGGAGAATCGCTTGAACCTGGGAGGTGGAGGTTGCAGAGCCGAGATCGCGCCACTGCACTCCAGCCTGGGTAACAGAGGGAAACTCCATCTCAAAACAAAAAAAAAACCAAAAAAAAAAAAACAAAACTACAGAGGACTTAGGATTTCAACAGACCCGTGGCATTTTTTTTTTTTTTTTTTTTTTGGACCAAGTCTCACTCTGTCGCCCAGGCTGGAGCACAGTGGAGCAATCTCGGCTCATTGCAACTTCTGCCTCCCAGATTCAAGTGATTCGCCTACCTCAGCCTCCCGAGTAGCTGGGATTACAAGCACCCACCACCATGCCTGGCTAATTTTATTTTATTTATTTAATTATTTTTTTTGTAGAGATGGGGTTTCACCATGTTGGCCAGGCTGGTCTCGAACTCCTGACCTCAAGTGATCTGCCCACCTCAGCCTCCCAAAGTGCTGGGATTACAGACGTGAGCCACCACACCTATCCCAGACCCGGTTTTGAATCTGGTTCTGACCCCAGCTGTGTGGCCTTGTGTGAGTCATGGGCCCTCTCTGGGCTGTGCTTCATTACCCTCTTATATATGCCCCAGTTATATTCTTATAACTTTATAAGCACTTAGAGTACTTATGAAGTGTTGAGGGATGCGAAGGAGTTGATGAAGGCAAAAGCTCTTGGGACGTTCCAGGGCCCCACACTAATGCAAGGGATTTTACCAGAGCGTCCCAGTAGCCATTCGTGAGGACTTGAGAGCTTGCAGCCTCCATGAACGCCTGCCATCCTTTGTGTCCCCTGTCAAGTCCAGCAAGCCCCGGTCACTGCACACCCCAACCTCTCACAGGGCCAGGTGAAGACTCGGCCACACAGGTGCACCCTCCCCCACCCCACTCTGTTCAGGACATACCAAGAATAGAGGAAAAAGATCAGGAAAGGAGCAGAGATGGCAAACTGCAGGCACCGCCAGGGGCGAATCAGGTAGGCTACCCCAGCCAGGATGAGCTGGCCCAGGGTGAAGGAATACCCCAGCAAAATACCCGCCACAGTCCGGCCCCGTGTGGGCATCCACTCCACAACTGGGGAGAAAACAGTGACATTCAGCGGCATTCAGCTACCCATGTGGTTAATTCACCACACCCCCCCTTATGATTCTGACCACTTAAACTCATTCCAGAGACCCTCTGAGACACAGGCAAAGGTGTCCCTACTGCACTCCAGATAAATTCTAAGTGGATCAAAGAACTCAATAAACAATAAAACCACAACAATGCCAGAAGAAATCATGGTAGATTATTTTATAATCTTAGAGTAGGGAAAGGCTTTTCCAAGAAAGTCACAAAACCCAGAGGCAATAAAAGGGGAGGTTGACAAACTTGGAGTCGTAAAAATAAAAAATGTCCGCATTGGAATAAAACAAAACAAAACACCGTAAGTCAAGCCATAACGTCAACAAAAAATGTAAAAATATAGTTGTAACCCAACTAGCAGATAAAGGACTAATTTTGGGCTGGGCGCGGGGGCTCACTCCTGTAATCCCAGCACGTTGGGAGGCTGAGTCGGGCGGGTCACTTGAGTCAGGTGTTTGAGACAAGCCTGGACAACATGGCGAAACCCCGTCTCTACTAAAAATACAAAAATTAGCCGGGCATGGTGTTGTGTGCCTGTAATCCCAGCTACTCGAGTGGCTGAGGCACAAGAATCGCTTGAACCTGGGAGGCGAAGGTTGCAGTGAGCTGAAATGAATTGGACCACTACACTCCAGCCTGGGCGACAGAGCTAAAGACTCTGTCTCAAAAAATAAAAAAAGAAAGAAAGAAGAAAGAAAGACTAATTTCCCTAATACTGAAAGAGTTTTCACAAATCAATTAGAAAACGGCCAACAAGCTAAAAGGAAAATGGGCAGAGGTGCTCAACCCCATGCAAAGACAGAAAATACTAATTTTTATAAATAGCAAAACTTGGAACAACCTGAATGTCCATCTGTAGGGGACTGGTTAAGTAATGATGACACACCCTTACGAGGCAGCTGTAACAAATTAATGAGGAAGCTTCTTCCCAATGGGCAAGAAGCCTGTGCGTCCAGTCCTTCAGCAAATCCTTCAGAATTAAGCCAGAATCTAAGCTCTCCTCACTGCCTCTGCTGCTGCCACCGTGGCCCAGTTCAACCTGGTCTCTTGCTTGATGACAGCAGCAGCCCCTTAACCGGCCTCCCTGCTTCCGTCCTGGTGTCACATGGCAGCCACATAGATCTTATCAGATCTCAAATCCTAAATCAGATCAGGTCTCTCCCTGGTCAAAATCCTCCGGTGGCTCTTGTCTCATTCAGAGACAAAGCTGAAGTCCTAGAACGCTGGACACAGGGTCCTGCAGAACTGCCCTCCCCGACCTCACCTGTCGCCCACCTCCCAACTCTGCTTCAGCCACAGGGCCCTCCTTGCTCTTCACCCTGGGCACACTTTCCCCTGCAGGGCCTCTGCCTGGCAGTTCCCTCTGCCTGGAATGTTCTACCCCAGAAACCTGCAGGGCTCATTCCCTCAACTCCTTCCAGTTTTGCTCAAAATGACCCCTTTTCAGTGAGTCTTTCCCAAACCACGCTAATTAAAACTGCAGACCCCTCCCCTCCAACCTGGCCATTCTTTGTGGGATTTTTTGTTTGTTTGTTTTGTTGAGGCAGAATCTCACTCCATCACCCAGGCTGGAGTGCAGTGGTGCGATCTCGGCTCACAGCAACCTCCACCTCCCGGGTCAAGCAATTCTCTTGCCTCAGCCTCCCGAGTAGCTGGGATTACAGGCGCCCGCCACCATGCTCGGGCTAATTGTATTTGTAGTAGAGACAGGGTTTCACCATGTTGGCCAGGCTGGTCTCAAACTCCTGACCTCAGGCGATCTGCCCGCCTTGGCCTCCCAAAGTGCTGGGATTACAGGCATGAGTCACTGCGCCTGGCCAACCCGGCCATTCTTATCCCCTTTCCAGGCTTCGGTTTTCCTCTGTAGCACTTACTGTCTTCGAACATACTATACGATTCGTTATGCATGCTGGTGATATCTCGCCTCGCTAGAACATGGACTCCAAGGAGCAGGGCTGTGTTCACCGCAACCTCTAGAGCCTCTCCTGGCACTAGGAGGCTCTCTATCAGGCAGTGGACCAGTGACAGCTTGGTTAAGTGAAAGAATCAAGATACAGAACAGTGTGCGCAGGAACAAACATGAGGGGAGGCATATATGTATGGAGGGTCACCACACTTGTGCGGTGGGACCCGAGGCAGGGCATGGCCTGTGGTGGGAGCTCCAGGGCACTCGATGGAATCTCTACAAAGTCGTCTTTACAGGCGGAGATGTCCCCAGACAGTGCCCGGCCTCTCCAGCCTCAGGAAGTGTTAAGAGGCTGGGCAGTCTCTGATGCGTGTGTATGTGTGTCTGTATGTGTCTGTGTGTGTCTGTATGTGTCTGTGTAGGTGTTAGAGCCCATTCCAGCACGAGGTGGACCTCAGACACCTGTTTCAAGCCATGGCTGGATGCCCACCCTGCAGAGTGAGCTGTGTAGGCTGGGATTGGCTGAGATCCCGCTGTGTGCTGGGAGAGGGAGGGGAGGTCAGGTGTCCTGGTTCTCTGGTCCCAAGATTTCTTCCTGACCCCTGATATAAAAGATCCATCCTGTCTTTGCACAGCTGATGGTGGCAGCAGTTTCCGTGCCCAGTGGTGTCCCCAGGAGCAAGCTAAGTAGTTAAAATGAAACATAGGTAGGTGGCAGGCCTGTGTCCTGGGTGGGCTTCCTTCTGCCCCGTGATGCTTTCTCCTAGGACCACCCAGGGGCTGCCCAGAACCAGCCTAGAGTGAGGACTGAGCCTGCCACTTATCACTTGGGGGCGCAACACTCCAAGCTGGCATCCAGGAGCCAGGTCTCCACCATGAAGCTGAGGAATCACCAGCCTTCATAGAGTCATACAATTTCAGGGCTGGCTGCTGCCCTGGGGACCATCATGGCTCACTCCTCTCCTGTGTCCCAGTGGCCTCTGTGTCCCCACACTAAGCCTGGAGACAATAGGTGCTTAGTAAGTGGTTATTGTTGGCTAATTCACAAATAAAATAAACCTAACCCTCTCAATTTACAGATGAGTACACTAAAGCCCAGACCTGGGAAAGGCCATCCAGGGACTCCCCACCCACAGCCAGCAGGGCCACCACTACCCGGGAGCCCAGGTCCCCCAGGTCCAGAACTCTGGCGGGAGGCTTTGAGTTGAGGTTGCTGGATGAGAATCCCAACAAAACAACATGAGAAAAATGTCCGATGACCCTCGACGTTGCCACCCCCCTGTCCCCCCGCCCCCGCCCTGCTCTTTCAGGAGCCCCCGCCCTTCCTGGCCTCTCCTCGGCTGGACTCACCAGGGAGACGGAGTTGAGGATGATGCCAGAGAAGGTCATGCCCATCAGGAACCGGAAGACGCAATAGGCACTGAAGGAGCTGAAATACGCTGTGGCGGCCCCCGAAGCTGCCAGCTGCAGGTAGGACCAGACCAGGGGGCCCTTGCAGCCCAGCCTGAGTCCAGAGAATGGGCACAGGCATTAGGGTTTTGGGAGGCAGCAGCAGCATCCCCCAAGGAACAAATGGGCAGCCCACGCCTGCCCCTTTCACCCGAGCAGGGGATTATCAAGGCAGTCCCGGGGAAGATGGGGTACCCCGCGAAAGCCACCCTTCCAAAACAGAAACTTGAAACTGCTGGGACCCAGGCTTCGTGGCAGAGGTTGGTCACAGACAGAGGGACATAGTGTAGAAGGAAGCTGGCGAGGAGATTTAGTCCGGGCTCGAGGAAAGGCAGGGATTCTGCAAAGCCCCAGAGGGGCGTGTGGCAGGTGGGGAGAGGTCACCTGAGCACTGCTGTGGCTGGAGGGAGGCCTCGAACCAGAACTCACAGCGGGTGAGCCCTTGGCCAGTCCCTGGTGTGGGAGCAGGAGCCAGGGTGGAGTCATTATGTGGACCAGAGGGTTGCCATGCCACAGAGGGGCCCAAGGACAGGATGGCAGGGTGATCTGCCCTGTTTGCAAATGAGGGTCCAGGGCCAGAGCGCACAGCCTCAACTTGGCCAGCAGGGAAGCAGGCCAAGAAGACAGGCAGCTTTTCTTCTCCACACACTCCATGACCCACTCGCTTGCTCGCCCACTCACTCACCCACCCACTCACTCACTCGCCCACCCACCAACCCACCCACTCACTTACCCACCCACCCACTCACTCACCCACCCACTCACCCACCCACTCACTCACCCACCCACCCACTCACTCACCCACCCACTCACCCACTCACTCACCCACCCACCCACCCACTCACTCACCCACCCACCCACTCACCCATCCACTCACCCACCCACTCACTCATCCACTCACTCACCGACTCACTCGCTCACTCGCTCACTCACCCACTCACCCACCCACTCACTCACCCACCCACGCACTCACTCACCCACCCACGCACTCACTCACCCACCCACTCACCCACCCACCTACTCACTCATTCACCCACCCACTCACTCACTCACTCACCGACTCACTCGCTCACTCATGCACTCACTCACTCACCCACCGAGCCACCCACCCACTCACCCACTCACTCACCCACCCACCCACCCACTCATTCACCCACCCACTCACCCACCCACCCACTCACCCACCCACCCACTCATCCACTCACTCACTGACTCACTTGCTCACTCGCTCGCTCACCCACTCACGCACCCACTCACTCACTCACTCATCCACTCACCCACCCACCCACCCACTCACTTATCCATTCACCCACCCACTCACTCACTCATCCACTCACTCACTGACTCACTCGCTCACCCGCTCGCTCACCCACTCACTCACCCACCCACTCACTCATCCACTCACTCGCTCACTCGCTCGATCACCCACTCATCACCCACCCACTCACTCATCCACTCACTCACTCGCCCACTCACTCATCCGCCCACTCACCCACCCACCCACTCACTCACCCACCCACTCACTCGCCCACTCACTCATCCACCCACTCACTCTCCCACTCACTCACCCACTCACTCATCCGCCCACTCACTCGCTCACCCGCTCACTCGCCCACTCACCCGCTTATCCACCCACTCGCTTGCTCACCCGCTCACTCGCTCGCCCACCCGCTCACTCGCTCGCCCACCCGCTCACTCAGTCACTCACCCGCTCACTCGCTCAGTCACCGGCTCACTCACTCACTCACTAGTCCACTCACTCACTCATCTGCCCACTCACTCGCTCGCCCACTCACTCGCCTGCTCACTCACTCACTCACTCGTTTCTTCATTTCTTCATGCATTCTTTCATTCACTCATTCATTGTGACACAATGTTCATTGATCATTAATCACCTCTAAGTGACAGGCCTGAGTTGAGGGTTGGTGACAAACAAGACATTCTGGATAAGACACAAGCTCACATGTAGAAAGACCAGGGTGTATCATGACACGGTGTGATGAGGGCCTGAGGTGTGTGGCACAGGGAGCCATCTACACTCCAGAGTGTGGGGTGGAGTCCGGGAGGGCCCCCCAAACCTGAACTGAGAGAAGAAGGGCAGAGGAGAAGGGAGAGGGGAGAGAGAGCGAAGAGGAGGAAGGGGAAAGAGGTGCAGAGAGAGAGACGTAGGAGCCAACTTCAGAGCCATGAGCTGGCTGCACATCGTCTGTCAATAGGGGTCAGTTAGGTGCAGTGCTCACACCTGTAATCCCAGCACTTTAGGAGGTAGAGGGAGGAGGATTGCTTGAGCCCAGGAGTTCGAGACCAGCCTGGGCAACATAGTGAGACACCCCCCCCCACCCCCACCCCCCGATCTCTACTAAAAATAATTTTTTTTTTATTAGCTGGGTGCGGTGGTGCGTGCCTGTAGTCCCAGCTACTGGGGAGGCTGAAGCAGGAGGATCACTTGAGCTCAGAAGGTTGAAGCTGCAGAGAGCTATGTTTGTACCACTGCCCTACAGCCTGGGTGACAGAGTGAGACCTCACCTCTAAAAAATAACGGGGAACAAGTTAGGGCCCATTCATACAGTGGGATGTAGTGTAAAGACTAGGAGGAATGGGACAGCTCTTTCTGAAGGAATAGGAGAGGCCTCCAAAGCGAAGAAAAAGCCGGGTGCAGGACCACGTGGGGTGTATGCCAGCATTTGCACAAAAAAAGGATGACCAGGCCTGTCACCTCAGCTACTTGGGAGACAGAGGCAGGAGAACTGCTTGACCGTAGAAGTTTGAGACCAGCCTGGCCAACATAGTGAGACCTCATCTCAAAGAAAAAAATGGGGGCACATGAAGAAGAAAACAAATACAAAACAGGAAAAGAAAAATGGGGGAATGGAACATATACACCCACTTGCTTGACTGCATAGAATCATAAAATGTCTCTGGTAAAAGGCATAGAAAGCAGGCTGCCCTCTGGGGATTACTGCAAGGAGGGGCAGAGCAGGAAAGGGGTGATCCCCGGCAGACTCTTCTGTGCCTTTCGGGATTTGAAACCATGTGAATGTACTATATGTATTATCTGTTTAAAATGCACAAATCAACTGTAACAAAGAAAAATGAATGCAGAGGCCTAGGCTTTCTGGCCCGCACTGGGTGGCTGGGGCCCTTATCCCCACGGGCTCACCTGTCTGCCAAGCTGCCAAACACGGCAGCCCCCACCAGCACCCCGGCCATGTAGACGGACTGCGCCAGGTCTCGGAGAGTGCGGGCCTCACACACCAGATCCCACTGCAGGGAAGACATGGGCGCTTCAGACTGGGCCTCGGCAGCAGCCCCCCCACACACCCAGCCCCTTCTGACCTCCATCACGATGGTGGACGGGAAAACACTGCGGTTATAGACCCAGCCGTCCTTGCAGCCCTCCGTGGCCGCGCCCGGGATGGAGGAGTTGGGGCTCAGCAGGGCCCACTGAGGCTTGGTGAAGCGCCGGCAGGGCTCAGGGGCCCCAAGCTGGTCCAGGGGTATGGTGGCCCTCAGCCAGGCCCCCGAGTCGTTGGTGGAGGCCTCAGTGTGGTTGGCAGGGCCCCGGCAGTGGTGGGGGGGGACAGCGGCCGTGAAGTTCTGCAGGAAGTTGTGGCAGGCCAGCAGGCCGCAGGGCAGCAGCAGCAGGGCTGTGTGGTTGAGCTGGAAGCGGCCCATGCTGCCCAGAGCATCCAGCAGGTCTGTGAAGGCCATGGCCATAGGCCTGACCTGAGGCCCAGTACCCCCGGCTTTATGTAGAGAGGCCGGGAGGGGCCCTGGGAGGGGGAGGAACAGGCCAGGGGTGAGGACTGCAGACATCCTGTGCACCCTGTGTCGGAGGGCTCAGGTTACACCCCATAGGAGGGTTCAGGTGTCCCCACATCTGCAGGGCTCCCCTCCCCCATGCCCTTTCTCTAGCTCTCTCCATCTCTCACCCCGAGGGCTGAGTCACAGCCTACCACCCATATCCGCAGGTCTGGCCGCCCTGCCCACTGCCCTCACCGACAGGACCCCAGCAGTGAATGGAGCACCATCACCTTCCCTTTCCTCCAGAGGACACCGAGGCATGTTCGGGAGCCCCGATTCTGGCTTTGGCACATGGGACACAGTCCCTGTCTCTAGGCTCCAAATCACAGCTGGAGCCTTAAGTGCTGAGAGTTCAGAATAATGGGATGCAGTGTTTACAGCTGCTTACCCTTCCCCCACTTCCCGAGAAAGCAGGGACTTGGCTGCACAGGTGACACGTGGGAAAAAGCCCTTTTAAAATGCCCAAATAGGCCAGGTGCAGTGGCTCATGCCTGTAATCCTGGCACTTTGGGAGGCCAAGGCAGGCTGATCACCTGAGGTCAGGAGTTCTAGACCAGCCTGGCCAACATGGTGAAACCCTCTCTCTACTAAAAATACAAAAGTTAGCCAGGCATGGTGGCGGGCACCTGTAATCCCAGCTGCTTGGGAGGCTGAGGCAGGAGACTCGCTTGAACCCGGGAGGTGGAGGTTACAGTGAGCCGAGATCACGCTACTGCACTCCAGCCTGGGCAACAAGAGAGAAACTCCATCAGAAAGAAAGAAAGGAAGGAAAGAAACAAAGCAAGAAAGCCCAAATAGGGCAGTCAGGAAGAAGCCCTGCTCTTCCCACCTCTACCTCAGTGACTCAGAGTTTATGAGAGGTTAGGGTCCCAGGTCATCCAGACGTGGTGTTCCCATCCCCACATCAAATAAAACCCAATCCAGAGAGCAAGTAAGGGTTTGAGCAAGATGGCAGGGCCCTGCAGACCCTCCTGCCCTCCAGCCCCTCACACACCAGCCCAAGCTGCAGGAAGAGCTGAGCCACTGCCCTCACTGCTGAAGACTCTGAGCCCAACAGGACCTGGACTCCCAGTGAGGAGGTGACAAGGGCAAAACGCAAGCTCAAGATAGCAGTGTGCGGGCAGCCTTCCCCATGGGGCACACAGGGGCCTCCACCTCCATCTCCACCCCAACGCTGGGGCCCACAGCAGCTGACAGCAGCCAACTCCCACCCTCCCCCACCTCGGCCTCTGCTCTGCATTTGCAGCTTCGCCCCATCCCCTCTTCCTTCCCCCAAACCACTCTTATCTCTGGTAAGAAAATCCCAGATCCCAGCAGGCCCTGGAGCGGCTTATGTAAGTGCAGGTGTCTGGGTCACAGGGGCTCCCCACAGAGGGACCTGAAGGCGGCTCTGTGCTCGGGGGAGCTCTCTGGGGGGCCGGGTGTGTGCTAAGTAGAGGTTTGAATTTCAGCCAGAGCCTCACCTCAACGGGCCGAAGTGTGCAAGAAAGGTAGGGGTCAGGCCTCCTGGGCGGCGGGGAGGGCATGTAGGATCAGCAGAGCCATGTGGGACCTCAGCTGTGTGGCCCTGTCCCTGCAGCTAGGGCCCCTCCTTCCCAACCTCCCAGGGCCAGGGGTGGTCTTGCCCAGATACCCAGTACTCCAGTAGGGGTTCAAGCTTCAAGGTCAAGGGGAAGGAGATGGAGGGGTTGGAGGGGAGGGGTGAGCTGAGGCCACGAGCTGCCCCCATGGGCCGGGGCCTGCAGGTGCCCTCCAGGCAGTAGGCTGGGGAGAAACACATCACAGACAGATGTGGGGCCTTTTATTATTTGGGGTTCCTCTATATGGAACACGGGACCTCCCCACCCCAAGCCTAGTGCCTCTGGCACCCCCATAACCAGTACACAAGTCCCTGAAGAGTCCCCTTTAAAATCACTAATATAAAAAAGGAGCGAAGGAGGGAAGGCCGACCGCCCACAGGCTGGGCAGCTCCTGGTCGGCAGCAGGGCCAGGGAAGGACAGAGGGGGCGTTGGCTTCGGCGCAGGAAGGCACAGGCGTTCCCAGCCCCGGGGCCTCCCCGAGCCGGGAGGCGGCTCCACACGCCTGGACTGCAGACTGTGTCGAGCTAGTGGTTATAGTTTATAGTCTGCAGGCAAGGCCAGGCCGGTGGTGCTGAGTGGGTGGCCTCTGAAGTGGGGAGAGGGGACACATCAGGATGCTGGGGAAACCCGGGGCTGTCCCGAGGCAGGAACAAGCGAAAGCTGCCTTCCTGGCTTGGCAATGGGTGGGGCCCAGGGAGTCCATCCCGAGCCCATGGCTGGCACAGGCAGGGGCCACACAGTTCTGCCCGGAGCAGATGAACGATGGTGGCTGGGAGGAGAGGGGACAGGAGGACGAGGCTGCCTCTCTGCTCCAAGGAAGGCACTTGCAGCTGGGGTGGCCTGGTGTGGTGTGGTAGGAGGCGAGGCTTGGCAGACGAGGAGGGAGGGGAGCACGGCAAGGGGGACCGAGTCCCTGCCTCATGCAAACATGGTCAGCTGCAACCACTGCGGGAGAACAGGCAGGTCAGCTGGGGCCGCAGAAATGGCTCCCTGGCTTCTTCCCCACCCAAACCCCAGGTCCAGCCCCCAACTCCACGTCTCAGGAGCCACCTCAGGAACCTCATGGAGGGGTTACTTTCTTACCTCCTCCACCCCTGGGAAACCAGAGTGCTGCTCCCATAGGGGCCTCCAAGGGCCTGGACCTCCCCTCCTGCTCCTTTCCCAGAATCCAGACACCCCCACCCCAGCCTTTCAGGATTCAGGTGGCCCGGGCTTCAGGGTTGGCTCTGAGGCCCAGGCTCATTTCCAGGAAAGGACAGGGAACACTGGCCAGATAAGAAAATTCGATCGCCTGGAACTCTTCCCCAACCATGGGCCCAGGGAGGTTCCCACCTTAAACAAGTCAAAGGTCACAACTCCATCCAGATCTGTGTCCAGAGTTTTGAAAAATCCTGTGTGTTCAAGAAAAGGTGATACAGGGCTGAAAACTCAGTGGGATATTCACGCAGGGCCAGGCCTGGCCCCCTTCCTGCCTGGTCCCTCTCTACCTCCCCACAGTACCGCAAGCTGACACCCCTTGAAGCTGGGAAGCTTCACCCCTTCCTGCTGCCTGAGAAGCCACTGTCAACTCCCTCCCTCCCCGACTCTCCTGGCACTCAGCCAGGGCCCCCCAAACCCAGACCCAGGCCTCTCTGGCACACACCCACAGCACTGGCCTGTATCTGCTAATTCACCCATCTGTCATTCCCCCCAGCTCCTGGGGGACGCGTTTGGGACGGAGCTGGAGGGTGGGAGGCAGTTGGGGACACTCACGGAACATGGTCTCTAGCCGCACCAGGCAGCAAACGAAATTGTCAAAGTCGACCGCCAGGTCGGGCTCCGAGTAGCGGGTGATGATGAGCTCGTACAGCTTCTTGTTGAGCTTGAAGCCTGGTCCAGGAGAGTGAGTGAAGGTCAGTGAGGCGCAGCCCCTGCCCAACAGGATGGGGGAGGGGTTGGGTCCCCAGGAGGGGGCTGGGGCTAGGCAGGGTGCTAGTAACCGTGGGGAAAAGGACAAGATGGCTGTTACCATGTCACCACTAGCACCCCAGGGACAAGGGCCTGGGGCATAGGAGCAGTGGGGCTACCTGTCCTGGGCCCCACAGGTGCCGTCAGCCTTGGAGTCTCACCTGCCGACTCAATGGCCATCCGCATCTCGTAGGCACTCATGCTGCCCGACTTGTCCAGGTCAAACTTCCGGAAGATGGACTGAGGTGGCGGCAGAGGGTGAGGGCCAGGCTGAGTCACCCGGCCCTTCCCACCTGCCCGGCCCGCACCTGCATGACTGAGGTGAGTGGGGACAACCTACCAGGTAATTCCGGATGCGGTTCCACAGGATGTTGAACTCCACCAGGCCCAGCTTCCCATTGCCATCACGCTGGGTGGCCGTTAAGAAGGAAATTCCATCACTTAGACCAGTCATGGGAGAGTGGGCAACTGTGCAGAAGGGGAGATGGCCGCCGAGCCGGCAAGTCGACTTGGGGCTGGGTGAGGAGAAGCAGCAAAAGCCATGTACAGTCAGCCCACAGCCGGGCTTGCCTTATTCTCTGAGCTGGGCTGCAGTGGAGTGGGCTGGGGAGGGGTCAGAAATAGCACCAGCCTCAGGGTCAATGGGGACCCAGGTCTTGCTCCACCTTTCACTTGACACAGGTCTGTGCCTCAGTTTCTCCCTCCCAACCAACAGGAAGACGTCCAGGGAGACATCTGAGCATGGGGCACTGTGTGTCCACACTCCGCATGGCTCTGTCCTGTTCTCTGTGCTGTCCTGGGACAGTTCTCCCAGCACCGATACCTCCACCCAAAACCCCACTCAGGAGACAAAAGCAAACGGAAGGATACATCCATGAGGTTCACCATGCTGCGGCACGACTCTAGGCTGAAGCCCTTGGTCCGCAGGTCTTTGTCTGCAAGAAAAACCAATTCCAACATCTCCACCTAGTGAGCTTCCTGCACCTGCCCCTGCTGGGAGCACTGGGTGGGGCAGAGTCAAGGACGCACAAATCCTGACGAGTGGGTGCAATATCTGGCAGAGGAAGTGGGCAGGATTGTTTGTATCATCAGGAAGTACAAGTAAAGTATTTTAGCAATCAAGCCAAAGTCCCAACAGCCACAATTAGTCCAAAGTAAAAAGAAATGAGTGTGAAACAGAAGAGCGAGAAATTGGGTAGAAAGATGGGGCAGGGCAGGGCTTGCTGTAGGCTAGGAGGGTAAGCAGTGCTTCACTAGCAGAGAAGAGGAGGAGAAAAGCTCTGCTTAAGGAAACCGTGTGGATGGAGGTCAGTGGCAGCAAAGGGGAGGGGAGGGGATGAGAGGCCAGCAGTTGTCTGCCCTGGGGAGTGAAGCCAGTCACGTGGTGTTCCCCAAGCCACTCAGCCTGGCCCAGGAGGCTCTGGGAGGAAAGGTAGACTTTTCTTTGGCACTAAGGTGCTGCTCCTGCTTTTTTTTTTGAGACAGGGTCTTGCTCTGTTGCCCAGGCTGGAGTGCACTGATGTGATCACAGCTCACTGCAGCCTTAACCTCCCTGGTCTCAAGCCATCCTCCCAACTCAGCCTCCTGAGTAGCTGGGACTATAGGTGCATGCCACCACGCCCAGCTAATTTTTGTACTTTTTTGCAGAGACAGGGTCTCTCCATATTGTCCAGGCTGGTGTTGAACTCCTGGGCTGAAGCGACTCCTGCCTCGGCCTCCCAGAGTGTTGGGACTACAGGTGTGAGCCACTGTGCCTGGCCAGGCTGCGCTGCTAATCCCACAAAGGCACAGCACCCGAGCACAGGGATTATCAGGATGGCAGGTCAGGAGGAGGAGTATGGGATGGAAATGGCAGGGAACTGGGCTCAGAAAAACTGGAGGATTCCCCGACTCATGCAGACCAAGGGATGAGGTTCAGCTCAATGTGTGAGCAGGAGCCTGGATTCTGATGTGGAAGAAATGGTGGGGTGGTGGGACAGCCCCGCGGGGACTCACGTTTGCTGATGATCCTATTGAGGATTGTCCGCAACTCCTTCACGCTGATCTCCATGTCCTGGGGAGAGAGAGGAGGTGGCACCTGCCCCAGGAGAGGGCTGCCCCTCACAGGCCCCTCCCAACCTGCCATGCCCCAACCTACCTCCCCTGCCAGCTGCCTGAAGAGGGCCTTGAAGTTCTCGTCAATCTCCTCTTCTGAGAGCACTTGCTGGACCGAGAAGGGGAGAAAGCAGGTAAGAGAGGCCCCGGCCCTGCCCGTGTGGAGGCAGCTGGAGGGAGGGCTGAGGTCACATATCTGCTACAAGTCACTTCGCTTCTCTGAGCCTCACTTTTCTTTTCTTTTCTTTTTGAGATGGAGTTTCACTCTGTCACCCAGGCTGGAGTACAGTGGCGTGATCTCAGCTCACTGCAACCTCCGCCTCCCGGGCTCAAGCCATTCTCCCTGCCTCAGCCTCCTGAGTAGCTGGGATTAAAGGTGCCCACCACCATGCCCGGCTAATTTTTGTATTTTTAGTAGAGACGGGGTTTTGCCATGTTGGCCAGGCTGGTCTCAAACTCCCGACCTCAGGTTATCCGCCCGCCTCAACCTCCCAAAGTGCTAGGATTACAGGCGTGAGCCACTGAGCCCGGCTTGAGTCTCACTTTTCTAATCTGAAAAGGGAATCTCGTTCCTGCCCTGCCCTGCCCCGCCCCATATCCAGCACTCATGTGACCTAAATGAAGGGGATGCTGTTCAGCTCAGTGAGTAAAAGGCAAGAGTTTGGGCCAGGTGCGGTGGCTCACACCTGTAATCCTAGCACTTTGTGAGGCCGAGGTGGGTGGATCACTTGAAGTCAGGAGTTTGAAACCAGCCTGACCAAAATGGCAAAACCCCGTCTCTACTAAAAATACAAAAATTAGCCAGGTGTGGTAACGTGCGCCTGTAATCCCAGCTACTCAGGAGGCTGAGGCAGGAGAATCACCTGAACCCAGGAGACGGAGGTTGCAGTGAGCCGAGATCACGCCATTGCACTCCAGCCTGGGTGACAGAGTGAGACTCTCTCAAAAAAAAAAAAAAAAAAAAGGCAAGAGTTTGGATCCCTACTGTATGGCCTCAGGCAAGTTCCCTAACCTCTGTGAACCTGAATTTCCCATTCAGAGGAGGTATGGTAACAAGACCCGGACAGGGTTGATGTGGGGAGGAAATGAGGTAACACAGGTGAAGTGCTCAGCACAAACCCGCCACCGGGTGAGAGCTCAGGGCCTGTGCCATTAGTATCACAGGTCCTCTGCAAACTGTAAAGTGCTGGGCGGATGAGGGATTAGCACTACTCCTATGGCTTCCACCAGGAGGGGATCTTCCCTGTTAGCAGGAACTCAGGGGACAGGACACCTGGGTCCCCATCACACACCCAGGGGTGAGGAAGAGAGGAGGACGGGGCCTGGTGGGGTGGGACCACGCACCTCATCGGGGAGATTGGCCTGGATCTGGTCATCCAGCTCCCTGCAGAGAGTGGGGAGGAAAGGAGCCAGTCAGAGGGGGACAGCAGAGGGCCTGAGAGGGGAGGCTGGGAGAGGGGAGAGTGGCAGGGGCCAGTCCATGACTCACACAGTCCCAGCACTCTTCTCTGAGAAGAAGCGCAGCACGAAGTCGCCCTCCTTGTTGGGCTCGAAGGTGGAGGGCACCACCACATACTCCCCGGGTGGCAGGCGGAAGCGGGTGCTGACCTCTCGCAGGTTGATGAACTGCTCTGAGCGCGCCCGAGACGCATTGGCCAGGAAGAAGTCACGCTTCAAGTGTACGGCCGGCTGGCCCACCAGCTGGTGGGAGGGAGGAGGGAGCAGGGCTGCAGCTGCCCACTCAGCCCACCCTCAGGGGCCACCCCCAGACCCAGACTCCAGGCTCCTTGTCCTGGCCAAGGGGCTGGAGAGCTGGGGCATGGCTCACTCACAGCCTGTGTGACCCTAACAAGACATTTTGCCTCAGTTTCCTCATCTGTAAAATGTAACAACCCTACTCACTGCAGAGGGTAGAGGAGAGGAGCACCGGATTGCAGATTAGGCATGTGTTTCAATAACACTGTCATTATTATCACTGGGAGCTTTCCCCAGGTCAGGTACTGCAGGGTACTCGGCACCTCATTTGCTGTTCTGCTGTTACACCCATTTTACAGACACAAACACAGGCTCGGAGCTTAAGCAACTGCTCAAGGGTACAGAACTCTCAGCCTGTCTAATGCCCTGCTCCTGACATTGCTGGACCGCCCTAGTTGGCACTTACTTGGTGTAGATGGCAAGGCAGGAAAAGCCTCATGTGTACATGTCAGACAGGGGCTCTGAGGACCAGGGCTCAAATCCAGCTCCCTCACTGACTACCTGTGCTGACCCTCAGGAGAGCAATGTTTGCTCTGCCCACTGAACAGGTGGGGAGAAGCATTTTTCAAGCAGTGAAACAAGGTGACTTCTTAGCTCTCCAGGCCAGGGTGGGTTTGCCACTGGGTTGCTCCCCTCTGGCACCATCAGGGGTGTGTGACTGCAGGTGGGTCATGGTGCCACACCTACCTCCGGAGGGACCTGCAATAGAGAGACAGGGGAAGTCAGAGATGTGTGTTTGTCCCAGGGCGGGGTCACAGTGCATGCTGGGCAGAGGTCTTGAGTTCTTAGACGGGACTGATGGGATAAGGAGGCAGAAGGCAGGGCCCTGGGGACCCAGATCTGGTCCCTGCACCACAGCAGGGCCCCAGGAGGGAGGGCTCAGGCAGGGTCCTCTTGGTCCTGGGAATGCTTGCCCTAGGACTCCATTCTGAGTCAGAGGCTCCAGGCCAGCCCCCGGGGTGGCCAACTGCAATGTTCCAAAGCCCAGGGACAGGAAAGGGCCACCGCAGGCTGCTGCCAGGGGGTTTGGGTGTGGGCCAAGACTGCGACCAGGGAGGTCCAGAAGTTTCTCTCCCTGTCTTGAGGGCAGTGTGTGAAGCAGGGCAGATACAGGGCAAGAGCAAGGAGTTCTAATCCCAGAGCGACTGGCACAGCCTCACCTTGGCCGACAGGCCCTCCCTATCCCCTATCTTTCCCCTGCCAGCTTCTGCTCACAGCTTCCAAGACGGAGGGCTCAGTACTCCCAGGCATCAGCTGAGCCAGCTCCCTCCTCCAAGAGCAGCAGGCCGCCCTCTAAGCGTGAGGTGAATCCCAGAATCTCCCTTCCCTGAGCCAACCCCCTTCCTCTCTTTCGGCCAGAGGGCCTCAGCAGGTGCCTCCTGGAGGCTGAGATTTCCCAGCCCTCAGGATGGTGGGGGGAGTGGAGGGGAATTTGTGGGGAAGGGCATGGTCCCTGGCGCCCCCTGGTGGAAGCCCGCCTGCACTGCGGGTCGGGGGCGCCAGGTCCTCTGCCTGCTCAGTGAGATCCACCGGTGATCCACCCTCCTGACCTCGTAGACCGCGAAGCCAATAGTCTCCATGTCGCGGCCGAAGCGGCGCTCGCGGCGACGGTGCTTCTGCATAAGGGCGAGCACGAAGCTGCAGCCTGACTCGCGGTCCCCGTAGTCGTCCGGGTCATCCGTCTCATCCAGCCGGATCTTGAACTGAGGGTTCACCCAGAAGGTGGCTGCGGGCAGGTGAGGAGGCGGGGATCAGAGGCAGGGCGGGGCAGAGCCAATTGGCCCCCAAGCCTCCTCAGCACGTCCCTGTGCACGCATTCATTCATTCAACAAATATTATTGAGCACCTGGAACATGCAGGGTGATGGGCAGGCTGGGCCAGGCTCGGTCCATGCCCTCACGGCCTGCATTTGGAAACTAGAGGCTTAAGTCTGAGCAAGTCCGTTAGGTTAGCGAGCAGAGCAACTGCAAAAAAAAGCAAGCAGGAGTAGATCAGAGTAGGGGACCTATGCGCTGAGACCCGAAGGGGCTGCCCTGGGAAGCTGCTGAGAAGCAGAAGCCAGGCGGAGGGCACCCCAGAGCAGAGGTGAGGAAGGGCCCCACGCATCTGCGGACAGGGAGCACTTACGGAGGCTCTAGGAAACACGGAGACCCAGGGAGGCCGCAGAGCTCCCAGGAGCCGGCCAGGGACTAGGGCGTGTGGACTGAAGCAAAGGGTAAGAACCCTCCCACAGCTTGCAGCGAGGAGGCATGTGACTGCATTAGGACTCTAAAAGGTGGCTCGAGTGCTGCGTGGACAACAGCTTAGAAGAAGGCAAGAGAAAAAGCAGGGGTCCGACAGGAGGCCACAGCCAGCCAGCAAGGGAAGGCAGGGGCTTGCATTTCTGGCAGTTGGGTGATTTTGCTGCCTAAAGAACCTTCTTGACTAAAACAACCCAGTGCGGGATAGAACGGTAAACTGCAAAACTTATTTTTAAAGGCACTAATAAGCCACTGCATCCCCTGCCCTCCATTGACAATAATAATAATAATAATAAAGATAATAACAACTTGGGTGAGGATGTGGAGGGATGGGAACCTCACAGGATGCCGGTGGGAATGTAAAATGTTGCAGCTGCTCCGAAGAACATTCTGGCACTTTCTCAAAAGGTTAAACACAGAGCTTCATATGACCCAGAAATTCCACTCCAAGCTCTATACCCAAGAGAAATGAAAACGTGTCCATGCAAAGCCTTGTTCATAAGAGTGTGGCAGGGCGCGGTGGCTCACACCTGTAATCCCAGCGCTTTGGGAGGCCCAGGCAGACGGATCACTTGAGGTCAGGAGTTTTGAGACCAGCCTGGACAATATGGTGAAACTCCACCTCTACTAAAAATACAAAAATTAGCTGGGCATGGTGGCCCATGCCTGTAGTCCCAGCTACTTGGGAGGCTGAGGCAGGAGAATCGCTTAAACCTGGGAGGCGGAGGTTGCAGTGAGCTGAGATCGTGCCACAGCACTCCAGCCTGGGCGACAGAGTAAGATTCAGTTTCAAAAACAAACAACCCACAAAACTAGCTGGGCGTGGTGGCACATGCCTGTAATCCCAGCTACTCAGGAGGCTGAGGTAGGAGAATCGCTTGAACCCAGAGGCAGAGGTAGCAGTGAGCCGAGATCGTGCCACTGCACTCCAGCCTGGGCAAGAGAGCAAGATTCCATTTAAAAAAAAAAAGAGAGAATGTTAATGGCTGCATTATTTATAACAGCTGAGTGGATGAAACTACCCAATTATCCATCAACTGAAGAGTGAATATACAAAATATGGAGCCAAACAATGGGATATTATTTGGCAACAAAGAGGAACAACATTCTGATCCATGCTACAACATGGAGGAACCTTGCAAACATTATGCTAAATGAAAAAGGCCAGCCACAAAGGACCATGTATTATATGATCCTGTTCACATGAAATATCCCAGTAGGCAAATCCATAGAGATAAGAAGTAGATTTGTGGTTGCCAGGGCTGCTGGGAGGGCTGGGGAGTCATGGCTAAGGAGTACCTCATTTGTTTTTGGGATAATGAAATGTTCTAAAATTGATGTGGTGATGGTTGCACAACTCTGTGAATATACTTTAAATAGTATATTTAAATTGTATATTTAATAGTATATTTAAATCGTAATATATGGCCAGGTGCAGTGGCTCACACCTGTAATCCCAGCACTTTGGGAGGCTGAGGCAGCTGGATCACCTAAGGTCAGGAGTTTGAGACCAGCCTGGCCAACGTGGTGAAACCCCGTCTGTACTAAAAATGCAAAAATTAGGTGGCCATGGTGGCAGGTGCCTGTAATCCCAGCTACCTGGAAGGCTGAGGTAGGAGAATTGCGTGAACCCAGGAGACAGAGGTTGCAGTGAGCCGAGATCTGGCCACTGCACTCCAGCCTGGGTGACAGAGCGAGACTCCATCTCAATAAACAAACAAACAAACAAATAAATAAATAAATAAAATCGTAATATACTTCAGTACATTTAAATTGTATATTTAATAGTATATTTAAATTGCAACTTTAAATAGGTGACTTGTATGGTATGTGAATTAAGTATCAATAAAGATATTTTTAAAAAATAGAAAGTAGGAACCCTGCAAGGTAAATAATGCTAAAGGGCTTCTGTAGACCCCTGAACCCCAGGGTATAGAAGCAGATGATAAACATCTACCTGAGGTAGAGAATCCAACAGGAAGTTCCTGCAATTAAACTGGAACCCCCGTCAGGAATGTCAGCAATGAAGTATGAAAGAAAATTAGGCTGGGCGCAGTGGCTCACGCCTGTAATCCCAGCACTGTGGGAGGCCGAGGCGGGTGGATCATTTGAGGTCAGGAGTTTGAGACCAGCCTGGCCAACATGGTAAAACCCATTCTCTACTGAAAAAATACAGAAATTAGCCAGGCATGGTGGTGGGCACCTGTAGTCCCACTTACTCGGGAGGATGAGGCAGGAAAATCGCTTGAACCCGGGAGGTGGAGGTTGCAGTGAGCCAAGATCATGCCACTGCACTCCAGCCTGGGCAACAGACCAAGACCGTGTCTCAAAAAAAAAAAAACAAAAACAAAAGCCGGGCGCGGTGGCTCACGCCTGTAATCCCAGCACTTTGGGAGGCCGAGACGGGCGGATCACGAGGTCAGGAGATCGAGACCATCCTGGCTAACACGGTGAAACCCCGTCTCTACTAAAAATACAAAAAAATTAGCCG
The DNA here is from genome assembly GCF_000001405.40 of Homo sapiens. Classification (NCBI taxonomy): domain Eukaryota; kingdom Metazoa; phylum Chordata; class Mammalia; order Primates; family Hominidae; genus Homo; species Homo sapiens. The sequence continues at coordinate 65,201,677 of NC_000011.10, read as the reverse complement.
GGCGTGGTGGCAGGTGCCTGTAGTCCCAGCTACTCGGGAGGCTGAGGCAGGAGAATGGCATGAACCTGGGAGGCGGAGCTTGCAGTGAGCCGAGATCGCGCCACTGCACTCAAGCCTGGGCGACAGAGCGAGACTCCGTCTCAAAAACAAAAAAAAAGAAAGAAAGAAAATTAAACCTCCCTGGAGGGAAGGAAAAAATAACCTCAAGCCAGGCTTCACATGACCTTTCAGTTTTAATTCACACTGCCTGTGAAACCTTAAGAAGATAATTTAGTCTTAAAAGCGTCCTGCACCAGGCACAGTGGCTGATGGACTGTAATCCCAGTGTTTTGGGAGACCGAGGTGGGAGGACTGCTTGAGCCCAGGAGTTCAAGACCAGCCTGGGCAACATAGGGAGACCCCATCACTACAAAAAGTAAGAAAATGAGCCAGACGACCAGGCGTGGTGGCTCACACCTGTAATCTCAGCACTTTGGGAGGCCAAGATGGGCGGATCATGAGGTCAGGAGATCAAGACCATCCTGGCTAACATGGTGAAACCCCATCTCTACTAAAAACACAAAAAATTACCCGGGCGTGGTGGTGGGCACCTGTAGTCCCAGCTACTGGGGAGGCTGAGGCAGGAGAATGGCACGAACCCGGGAGAAGGAGCTTGCAGTGAGCTGAGATTGCGCCACTGCACTCCAGCCTGGGTGACAGAGCCAGACTCCGTCTCAAAAAAAAAAAAAAAAAAAAAAAAAAAAAAGCCAGGCATGGTGGCATGGATCTGTAGTCCCAGGTAAATCAGGAGGCTGAGGTGGGAGGATCACTTGAGCCCAGGAGTTCAACACCAGCCTAGCCAACCTAGCAAGACCCCATCTCTCCAAAAAATGTAAGAAGTTAGCTGGGCGTGTGGTGTGTGTCTCTATCATAGTCCCAGCTACTTGGGAGGATAGTTTGAGCCCAGAAGGCTGAGGCTGCAGTGAGCTATGATTGCACCACTGCACTCCAACCTGGGTGACAGAATGAGACACTGTCTCAAAAAAAGAACAAGGCGGCCGGGCACGGTGGCTCACACCTGTAATCCCAGCACTTTGGGAGACCAAGGTGGGTGGATCACGAGGTCAGGAGTTCAAGACCAGCCTGGCCAAGATGGTGAAACCCTGTCTCTACTAAAAATACAAAAAATTAGTCAGACATAGTGGCACACGCCTGTAATCCCAGCTACTCAGGAGGCTGAGGCAGAGAATTGCTTAAACCTGGGGAGCAGAGGTTGCAGTGAGCCGAGATCACACCATTGCACTCCAGCCTGGGCGACAGAGTGAGAGTCCATCTCCAAAAAAAAAGAACAAAGCTGGGTATGGTGACTCAGACTCACGCCTGTAATCCTAGCACTTTGGGAGGCTGAAGCAGACAGATCGCATGAGTCCTGGAGCTCAAAACTAGCCTGGGCGAGGTGGTAAAACCCCATCTCTACAAAAATTAGCTGGGCATGGTGGTGTGTGCCTGTAGTCCCAGCTACTGGGAAGGCTGAGGTGGAAGGATTCCTTGAGCCTGGGAGGTCGAGGCTGAAGTGAGCTGAGGTTATGCCATTGCACTCCAGCCGGAGCAAGACTGTGTCTCAAAAAATAAGTAAATAAATAAAAAAGAACGAAAAAGGTGTTCTGGATTGGTGGCATTCCAGGTGACTAGCAGAAACACCCCGGAGCAATTTAACTTTATCTGAGGACTCAAAGAACTCTCTCACGGGGCAGAGATCTCACAAGCAAACAAGGCGTGATAACTGAGCAGCAGCCACAGTGGACAAAAACTGACCACTAAGACTTCAGATATTGACCTTATCAGACACAGAATATAAGACTATGCTTACTATGTTTAAAGAAATAGATGAAAAGTTTGAAAATTTGAGCAAAAATGAACAGATTTGAAAAGATCCATTACATCTTCTAGAAACAAAATTTTTAAAATTGAAATTAAGTTCTTGGAAGAAATAACTAACAGATTTGACAGAGCAAAAAAGAAAATTAGTGAACTGAGAAAGGAGCTGAAGGAACAACCCAGAATGCAATCCAGAGACACTAAGAGATGGGAAATCTAAAAGCAAGGTTAAGAGAAAGAGAGGATTGAGTGAGAAGGTCCAGTTTAGATTTTATTAGAATATACAGAGAGTGGGAAGGAGGTGATATTCTCAAAGATCATGACTACAAATTTTCTAGAATTGTTGAAAGGTATCAATTCATAGCCAGGAAGTTCAATACATTCAAGGCAGAATGAAAAGAAATCCATACCTCCACACATCATGGTGAATCGTATAGTATGAAAGAAAAAAAAAATTAAGATTTTTTCCAGAAGGCAAGGTAGACAGACTCCTGGCTCACATAGCAATGATGGAAGCAGAACAGGACTAATAGTGTCTTTGAGAGGCTGAAAATAATGTCAAGCCAGAATTCTATATCCAGAGAACTGTCAAGAATAAGCACACTATAAAGGCATTTTAGACAAACACTGAGAAAGTTTATAACCAACAGACCCTTGCTAAAAAATAAAAATACAAATACAAAAAGGGCCAGGTGTGGTACTTCATGCCTGTAATCTCAGCACTTTGGGAGGCTGAGGAGGGTGGATCACTTGAGGCCAGGTGTTCGAGACTAGCCTGGTCAACATGGTGAAACCCCATCTCTACTAAAAATACAAAAATTAGCTGGATGTGGTGGTGCACACCTAGAATCCCAGCTACTTGGGAGGCTGAGGAAGAAGAATCGCTTGAACTTGGGAGGCAGAGGTTGCGGTGAGTGGAGATCGCGCCACTGCACTCCAGCCTGGGCGACAGAGCGCGACTCCGTCAACTGCCCCCCAACCCTCCCAAAAAAAATTATCTGGGCATGGTGGCATGTGCCTGTAGTCCTAGCTACTTGAGACACTGAGGTGGGAGGCTCACCTGAGACCAGGAGATCAAGCCTGCTCAAAAAGAAAACAAAACAAAGGAAATACAAAAGGATATGTTTCGGGTGGATGGAAAATGATCTCAGATGAAAGGTCTGAGAATGCTGAACAAAAATACTTTTATTTGTGGGTAATCCAAATAACATGGGCTATCTCAAATCATGATGATGTTTAAATTATGGCAGGAAAAAAAAACTTTAGAATTAAAATACTAGCCCACCATAGCATAATATACAAAGGAAAGGGGTGATTCAAGCTGAATTTCTAAGGTTTATGCATTGTTCACGAGGAGGGTAAAGTCATTGATTAGGGCTGGGCACAGTGGCTCACGCCTGTAATCCTAGCACTTTGGGAGGCCGAGGCAGGTGGATGGCTTGAGCTAGGAGTTTGAGACCAGCCTGGGTAACAGAGCAAAACCCCATCTCTACCAAAAAAGTGCAAAAATTAGCCAGGCATGGTGGTGTGCACCTGTAGTACCACTCAGCTACTCGGGAAGCTCAGGTGGGAGGATGGCTTGAGCCCAGGAGGCAGAGGTTGCAGTGAGCTGAGATCACGCCACCACACTCCAGCCTGGGTGACAGAGCCAGACCCTGTCTCAGAGAAAAAAAAAAAAGACACTGATTAACTAACTTTAGTATGTATTAAGCAAACTCTTATGTCTTTCAAACTCACAGAGAAAAAAATTAGTAGAGAGAAAAGCAGGAACTCAACACAAAAGGCAGCATGACAGGAAGACAAGCAGAAAATAAGTAAACACAGTAAGTCAGCTGAAATAAATACAGCATTAATCACTGTGAGTGTAAATGAACTAAACTCTCTAGTCAAAGGACAAAATATTCCTTTGTCTTTTTTTTTTTTTTTTTTTTTCAGATAGAGTTTTGCTCTTTTCACCCAGGCTGGAGTGCAATGGCACAATCTTGGCTCACTGCAACCTCCACCTCCCAGGTTCAAGTGATTCTCCTGCCTCAGTCTCCCTAGTAGCTGGCATTACAGGCACCTACCCACCTTGCCCGGCTAATTTTTGTATTTTTGGTAGAGATGGGGTTCCACCATGTTGGCCAGGCTGGTCTCGAACTCCTGACCTCAGGTGATCCGTCCACCTGGGCCTCCCAAAGTTCTGGGATTACAGGCGTGAGCCACTGTGCCCAGCGTGGACAAAATTTTTCAAACTGGATTACTAAAAAGCTGGCTAGTGCTGTTTACAAGAAAACAAAACATTGGGCTATAGAAAGATTGGACATCAAACAGTATAAAAAGATATATTTTAAAAATTCAACAAAAAAAAACCCTGAATTAGCTATAGAAACATTGGCTGAAATAGACTTGAAAGTAAAAATAATTATTAGAGATGAAGGTGGTCACTAGATTTTAAAAAATGTTTAATTCACTAGGCGCTTATAAGAATTCTAAATGTGATGTACCAAATATCATAGCTCAAAATATATAATGAAAAATAATTGATAGAAATACAGAGAGAAATTGGCAAAGCCATTAGGATGTTATAAGATTTTTATCATCTTTCTTTCTTTCTTTCAGTAATTGATAGATTAAGCAGACAAAACAATAAGTTTGATATAATGGACAATTATAGAACAATCCCCCTAGTACTCAGAGAATAGCGTACTGGCTGAGAGAACAGACTTCAGGATCCCTCTGCCTGGGTTCAAATCCCAGTTTTGCCACTTCATAGATCAGTGACTTCATCAAGTTGCTTAAATCTTTCTGTGCCTCAGTTTCTTTATTATCCCTAAGATAAGGATAATAATAGTTCCTGCCTCATAGGCTCAGTGTGAGTTAAGCTAATTATCATATTTAAAATACTTAGGAGTGCTTCACCTACAGTCACAATTTGTTAGCCAGTCTTTTCAAGAACGAAGGAACCTTTATGAAAATTCATCATACACTGAGCCATAGCACCAGCTTCTGTTCACTTCAAAGCTATGATCTTATGTAGGTCACATTTTTTTACTATGAGAAAATTAAGTTAGAAATTTTTTTATGTTTTAAAAAACATTCTTCTAAAATAACTAGTTTATCGGAAAGAGATGATAATGGTAATGAGAAATTACATAGCATGGCCATGAAAAATGTACATATATTAAAAGAGAGAGCTATCAAATCAATAACCTAACCTTCCACCTTAAGAAACTAGAAAAGGCAGTTAAATAGAAGGAATAAGTTCTAGTATTTGACAGTAAGGCAGGGGAAATTATAGTTAACAGTAGTTTACTGTATATTTCAAAATAGCTAGAAGAATTGTAATGTCTCCAACACAAAGAAAAGATAAATGTTTGAGGCGATGGATCCCAATTACCCTGATTTGATCATTACACATTGTATACGTTATCAAAATATCACATGTACCCCAAAAATATGTCCCACTATGATATATGAAATAAAAAATGGATTTATTAAATTAAAAAAAGAAACTAGAAAATGAACTTTCACTGGTTCTTGGGATTTAAGAAAAAAGAAAATGGGCAAATTGAACCCAAAGCAAGCAGAAGAAAAGAAATAATGAAGATTAAAGTCCAAATACATGAAATAGAGAATAAACAATAAAGAAAAATCAATAAAACCAATAGTTCTTTGAAAAGCTCAACAAAATTGACAATTCTTTACCTGGCCTAAACAGGAGAAAAGACAGAGGACTCAAATTACTAAAATCAGGAATTAAAGAGGGACATCACTACCAGCCTAACAAAAATAAAAAGATTACAAGGAAACACTATAGACAATTATATGATAATAAATTAGATAATATAGACAAAAAGAACAAATTCCTAGAAAGAAACAAAGCACCAAAACTGACCTAGGAAAAATAGAAAATCTAAATAGACCTATAATAATAAAAAGACTGAATCAACAACAACAAAAAACTTCTCACCAAAGAAATGTCCAGGACCAGATGGCTTCGAAATTCCACCAAACATTTAAAGACAAATTAACACCAATCCTCAAACTCTTCTAAATAACTGAAGATGAGGGGACACTTCCTAACTCATCCCAGGAGGCCAGCATTACCTTAAAGCCAGATAAAGACACCACAAGGAAAGAAGATTACAGACCAATATCACTTATGAATATAGATGCAAAAATCCACCCCCTCCCAAAAAAAGCGATGAACCCAACCCAACAGCATATTAAAAGGAATATACACCATGATGAAGTGGGATTTATCCCAGGAATGCAAGGGTAGTTCAACAAAGGAAAGTTGATCAATGTAATATACCACATTAATAGAATGAAGGGGAAAAAAACCTCAAAATGATCATCTCAATTGATGCACAAAAAGCACATCAGTTCATGATTTTAAAAATTCAGAAAATTGGCCGGGCGCGGTGGCTAACACCTGTAATCTCAGCACTTTGGGAGGCTGACGTGGGCAGATCACGAGGTCAGGAGTTTGAGACCAGCCTGACCAACACGGCTGGTCTGAAGGGTGAAACCCTGTCTCTACTAAAACTACAAAAATTAGCTGGGTGTGGCAGTGTGCACCTGTAGTCCCAGCTAGGGACTAAGGGAGGCTGAGGCAGGAGAATCACTTGAACCTGGGAGGCAGAGGTTGCAGTGAGCTGAGATGGCGCCACTGCACTTCAGCCTAGGTGATAGAGCAAGATCCAGACTCAAAAAAAAAAAAAAAAAAAAAAAAAAACCCCAAAAAACTTCAGTGATACCACTTCACACCCACTAGGATGGCTATAATCAAAAAGAAGAGCAATAACTAGTGTTGAAGAGGATGTGGAGAAATCAGAACCCTCACATGTTGTTGGTGGGGATATAAAATGGTGCTGCTGCTTTGGAAAACAATTGGCAGTTCCTCAAAAAATTAAACATGGAATTACCCTATGGCCCAACAATTTCACTCCTAGTTATAGGCCCCAGAGAACTGAAAACATATGTTGAAACGCATGCACATGAATGTTCACAGGAACATTCTCCACATAGCCAAAAACTGGAAATAACACAAATGTCCATCAACTGATGAATGAATCAGCAAAATGTGGTATATCCATATCATGGAAGATTAATCTGCCATAAAAAAGAGATGAAGTACTTCTACACCATAAATGAAGCTTGAAAACATTATGCTAAGGCAAAAAAGTCCAGAATAGGTAAATTTATAGAGACAAAAAGTAGATTCATGGTTGCTAGGGAGAAAGGGATAGAAAGTGATGGCCAATAATTACGGGATTTTCGGGGTGGGGGCGGTGAAGAAATGCTCTGGATAACGGCAATGCTTACACAACGCTGTGGGTACACTAAAAACCACTAAATTTCACACATTAAAAGTGCAAATTTTCTGGTGTGTGAATTATACTCATTCACGATTTTCAAAAACACTATGTATCAAAATTGTGTAACTTAATTAACGATGTACTTAAAAGGAAATTTATCACTTTAGTTGCTTAAATTTTAAAAATCTAAATTAACGAAATAAGCATCTAATTTAAGAAGTCATAAAATAAAGTCAAAAAGTCAATCCAGGCCGAGCGTGGTGGCTCACGCCTATAATCCTAGCACTTTGGGAGCCCACAGCAGGGCGGATCAGTTGAGGTCAGGAATTCAAGACCAGCCTGGCCAACATGGTCAAACCTGGTATCTACTAAAAATACAAAAAAAAAAATTAGTTGGGCATGGTGGCGCATGCCTGTAATTCCAGTTACTTGGGAGGCTGAGGCAAGAGAATCGCTTAAACCCAGGAGGTGGAGGTTGCAGTGAGCCAAGATCGCACCACTCCAGCCGAGGTGACAGAGTGAGACTATCTCAAAAAAAAAAAAAAAAAAAAAAAATCAATCCAAAGAAAGTAGAAGGAATGAGATAATAAACAGTAAAGATTAATGATATATGAAAAAAATACTACCAGGCACTGTGGCACACACGTATAATCCCAGCCACTTGGGAGGCTGAAGTGAGAGGATCACCTGAGCCAGGAATTTAGGCTGCAGTGACCTAGGATCACAGAGGACTAGGATTGTGCCACTGCACTCCAGCCTGGGCAATAGAGCAAGACCCCATCTCTAAATAAATAAGTAAAAATAATAAAAGAAAAAGAAATACTATACAAAGGACCAACAAAGTCAAAAGTCTTTTTTTTTTTTTTTTTTTTTGAGACAGAGTCTCGCTCTATTGCCCGGGCTGGAGTGCAGTGGCGCGACCTCGGCTCACTGCAAGCTCTGTCTCCCAGGTTCACACCATTCTCCTGCCTCAGCCTCCCAAGCAGCTGGGACCACAGGCACCTGCCACTACGCCCGGCTAATTTTTTGTATTTTTAGTAGAGACGGGGTTTCACTGTGTTGGCCAGGATGGTCTCGATCTCCTGAGTGCAGCTGGCCAAAAGTCATTTATTTGTAAAGATTTATATTGACAAACTTCTTGCAGGATTAATAAAGACAAAAGAGACAATGCAAATGAGCAATCCCATGCATAAAAAGGGGACATTATTATACACGAGACATAAGAGTATATTAAGAGGGGGCTGGGTGCAGTGGCTCACGCCTGTAATCCCAGCACTTTGGGAGGCCGAGGCAGGAGGATCACAAGGTCAGATGATCGAGACCATGGTGAAACCCCATCTCTACTAAAAATACAAAAAAAAAAAAAAAAATTAGCCAGGCGTGGTGGTGGGCACCTGTAGTCCCAGCTACTCGGGAGGCTGAGGCAGGAGAATGGCGTGAACCCGGGAGGCAGAGCTTGCAGTAAGCTGAGATGGCACCACTGCACTCCAGCCTGGGCGACAGAGCAAGACTCTGTCTCAAAAAAAAAAAAAAGAGTATATTAAGGATAACTTTGTGCTAATAACTTTGAAAACAGATGCAAAGAATAAATTATTAGAAAATACAACTCAGGGCTGGGCACAGTGGCTCATGCCTGTAATCTCAGCACTTTGGGAGGCCAAGGTGGGAGGATCACTTGAGCCCAGGAATTCGAGATAAGCCTGGGCAACATAGTGAGACCCCCATCTCTATAAAAATAAAAAATTAGCCAATCATAGAGGCTCACACCTGTGTAGTCCCAGCTACTCAGGAGGCTGAGGCAGGATTTGAGCTCAGGAGTTCGAGGTTGCAGTGAGTAACCTCTCTCTAAAAAACCCTGTCTCTCTTAAAAAAAAAAAGAAAGAAAAAGAAAAAGAAAAAACAAAAGAAAATACAACTCATCAAAATTGGCTCAAGAAACAGAAAATCTGAACAATTCTATAACCTTTAACTTTCAATACTGAATATCATTAATCTTCATACAAAGAAAAAAGCAAGCCTGACAGCTTTACAGACAAGTTCTACCAACCATTCAAGCAACAAATCACTCCCATCTTAGGTAAACTCTTCTAGGAAACAGAAAAAGAGAGGATACTTCCCACCTCACTGTACAGGAAGAACATAGCACTGATACCAGTATGGTTAGTATAAGAAAGGAAAATAACAGGCAAACGTCACTCGTGACCATGTTGTTTTTATCTCAAGAATGTAAAGTTGATTTAACGTTAGAAAAGCAACAAATGCAATTTACCATTTTATTTTTTTTAAATGGGGTCATGTTCTGTTGCCCAGGGTGGAGTGCAGTGGCGCAAACATGGCTCACTGTAGCCTCTACCTCCCTGGCTCAAATGATCCTCCCTCCTCAGCCTCCTGAGTGGCTGGGACTACAGGTGTGTGCCACCATACCAGGCTAATTTTTTAAATTTTTTGTAGAGATGAGGTCTCACTGTATTGCCCAAGCTGTTCACAAATTCCTGGGACCATTTTAATAAATAAAAGAAAAAAGCATACTATCATCATAATATAGACAATTCAAAGTATTTAACAATATTAAACTTCATTAGTCTGATAAAAGGTATCCACAAAAAACCTAGATTAGAAAGGTACTTAGTGGTGAAAACTTCCCCTTTAAGAGTGAGGCTTAGTTAATAGGGTTGCTCCTAAAAATAAGAATAAAAAAAAGGGAGGAACAAGAGCAGGAAGCTCTACAGTTCTAGGCAGCATATTAGACAAGAAAAAGTAACAAAAGTTGTAAGAATTAGAAAAGAAGAAACAATCTGTCATTATTTGCAGATGCTATATTCCTAATTAGAAAACCAAAAAGGGCTGGACGCAGTGGCTCACTGTAATCCCAGCACTTTGGGAGGCCAAGGCAGGCAGATCACCTGAGGTCAGGAGTTCGAGACCACCCTGGCCAACATGGTGAAACCCTGTCTCTAATAAAAATACAAAAATTAGCCAGGTGTGGTGCCGCACGCCTGTAATCCCAGCTACTCGGGAAGCTGAGGCACGAGAATCACTTGAACCAGGGAAGCAGAAGTTGTAGTGAGCTAAGATCGTGCCAAAAAATACATACAGATGAATCAGTAAGATTAATTAGTTTTAAAAAATTTGCTGGATATAAAAACTACATCTAAAAGGTCAAATGCATGTTATCGTATGAGCAACAAGATCACTTGGGAGATGTAATTTTAAAGAACATACTATTTATAATAGAAACAAAATTATAGTGTACCTAGCATTAAATCTCAAGAGATGTATAAATTCTTTATGATAAAAAATACAACATTCTATTGAAAGACATTAAAGGCCAAAATAAATGAAGAGATACACCATATCCTTGGATAAGACTTAAAATTATAAAAATGTCAAGTCTCCCCAAATTGGTCTATAGGTTTCATGTAATTCCAAATTAAAATCTCAAAATGGTTTTTCAAAAGACTTGGTAAACTGATTCTAAAATTCATTTGGAAAAACAGAGGTCAAGAACAGCTAAGACAGATGCAGTGGCTCACGCCTGTAATCCCAGCAATTTGGGAGGCTAAGCCAGGTGGATCACTTGAGTTTGAAACCAGCCTGGCCAACATGGTGAAACCCCGTCTCTACTAAAAATACAAACATTAGCTGGATGTGGTGGCGGGCACCTGTAATCACAGCTACTCAGGAGGTTGAGGCAGAAGCATCATCTGAACCCAGGAGGCAGAGGTTGCAGTGAGCCGAGATCGCGCCACTGCACTCCAGCCTGGGCAACAGAGCAAGACTCCGTCTCAAAAAACAAAAACAAAAACAAAAAAAACCAACAACAAAAAAAACAGCTAAGAGACTCTTGAAGAAGGAATTTGCCCTGTCCAACAGCAGGACTTACACATCTGTAGTAATGGATTCAATGTGTTATCGGCAGAGGGATAGACCCAGGGACAGAATGGTGAGTCCAGAAACAGACCAACACATACCTCAGGACTACTTGAGGGCGCTAGTGCTGCTGGGGAGAGACGAGATGATGTATTTCTCAATAAATGGTACAGGGAACGGTGGTTATCTATTTGGGGAAAGACTGAAATTGGATCCCTACAAGGGAGAAGAATGCTTCAAAACAGAGGGCAGGGAGCCGTGCTGAGGATGCAGCACAGGAGGACAGAGCAGCGGCGGATCTGGCAAGGCCAAAGCTTAAGTGACCTTTGAGAGGGTGGTTTTAGCAGCATGGTAGGGATGAAGCTGGACTGGGAAGGGTTAAGCAATGAAGCAGAAGTGAGAAAGGAAATAGGGAGTATGGTAATTCCTGATAAATTGTGCTTTGAAGGAGGGCGGAGAAATGAACAGGGAAGTGGGGTCGAGAGGGTTGCTTTGTGTTAAGACAGAGGACTCTCCGTAATGACACTGGAGAGAGAGGTGACAGATGAAGGAGCAAATGCTTTCAGAGGTGAGGGAGAATGGGATCTGGAGCAGACGTGGGGGTCCCCATGAACAGGGACTGTTCTGCCACTGTCGCAGGTGGGGAGGCGATGAGGACACAGGCACAGGTGCAGAAGGCTGGGGGATTTGGAGGTGGGAACACAAGGTGTCCTGCAGGATGAAGTCTATCTTTTCAGTGAAGTGCAAGGCCAGGCCCGAAGGTGAGAGTAACAGTGGGGAGATATCGAGGTGAGAGTGGAAATGTTACTAACCAGTAGTGGAATTGCTGGGGATTATGGAAAATGCTCATTTGAGATTTGTGGCTAAGAATTTACAGGGAAAATATGGCATCGGTTATGTGATTTCTCTCCTGCCACACTCAATGGTTCCCAAGCCAGTGGAGATGGGTTTTGTGCCAGATGATGGGAGACAGGGGCCAGGGAACTGAAAGTGTTTGTAGGAACAAGATTAAAATGATAGCTCTAACCTAGGTAAGGAGAGAAGGCAAGATGGGAGAGGCAGGATGGTACGCAAGTGATGGGTTCAACGGACTGGCTTGGTCGAAGGGTTGAAGACTAAGGGAGTGGAAAGAGTCGAAGGTGGAGGTCAGAGAGCGGGTGTTTGCAAGACAAGGCAGCTCTGGTGCCCTCATGGTGGGGGCTGAGCTAAGGTAGAGAAAAAGCGTGCTGCAGTGAGAGTGACAAGGAACTGAGAGGCCAGGCTGTGGCCCACATCAGCCACATGGATCTAGAAGCCCAGGGAAAGGTGGCAAGAGAAGGCAAGAAGGGACCTGGCACAGTGGCGCACGCCTGTAATCCCAGCACTTTGGGAGGCCAAGGTGGTCGGATCACCTGAGGTCAGGAGATCGAGACCAGCCTGGCCAACATGGAGAAACCCTGCCTCTACTAAAAATACAAAAATTAGCTGGGTATGGTAGGTGCCTGTAATCCCAGCTACTCGGGAGGCTAAGGCAGGAGAATTGCTTGAATCCGGGAGATGGAGGTTGTAGTCAGCCAAGGCCACGCTACTGCACTCCAGCCTGGGCAACAGAGTGAGACTCTGTCTCAGAAAAAAAAAAGCGAAGGCAGGAGGGAAGGGCCCAGGAAAGGAGTGACAGGCAGGTGGCTGGATGGCCACAAGATCTTTGCCCCTCATGAGCACCCTGGGCTCAGGCCCCAAGACGGTGAGTCAAGCATGCCTCTTTAAAATTTACTAGGACATTTAATATTTTACTCCTCAAAGCAAATTCAAGAGATCAGCCTATATCTTGCAAGTGAGGAAACGGAGGCTCAGTAAGATGACGTGCCTTCTGGAGCCCCTAAGCCAGGAAGCAGCAAGACCCAGAGCCCGCCCCTGTGCACCTGGGTAGTTTCGGCAGCCCCCCGCGGTGCTCCCCCGCCGCCAGGTGCCTTCGTAGAGTGTGGTGTTCCATTTGCGGATGGTCCGGCTCTTGAGGGCGTCGGGTGTGAGGTTGCAGATCTCCAGGCGGGTGAACTCCCGCATGAAGTCTCGGAATGACATCCTGAGGTGGGAGGTACACAGGTGAGGCACAGCCCGTCAGGGCACAGAGCTGATGTGTAGGGGTGGAGAGGTGGGGTAGAAGGGGAGGGGGCGCTCACCAGAACTCCCCGTCCTCCATCTTGACCCGGAGCTGGTCCCGTTCATATGGGTCCACGTTGTTCCACTCTGAGGAGCTGTGAGGAGCAGGGCTCTGCCAGGGCTGGTGGGCACTGACCTGCCTGGCCTCTGTCCCTGGGGCCTGTCTACCCTGGCCTGTCTTCCCCCGGCCCAGCCCAGGTGGCCTCCTCAAGGTCAAGCGCCAAGGTTCCGCTTCTAGGGGGTGGTCTCATCAGGGCCAGTCTGATGCCCTGCACACACCCGACGGCTGGGCACAGGGGCCCGCACGGCCTGAGCTTTGTCAGAGCAGTCCCCCAGACCCAGTCGCGCGAAGATGGGCCCCTCTGCTCAATCCTGAGTCCAGCCTGGCCTGGTAGAGTCCCGAGCAGAAATGTCGGGGCACCTAACAGTTTCCCCAAGGCACTCCAGACAGTGCCCACTGCCCCTCACCTGTCGCTCCAGGCTCCCGTCCACTCCACCTCGCCCCAGGGGTTCCGCATCCGGATCAGGCTCACCACCTGGCCTCGGTAGTTCACCTATTTGCCAGAGCTCCTGTCAGTGCTAGCTTCCAGCAGGCACTTTTTTTTTTTTTCTTTTTTGAGACAGAGTCTTGCTCTGTCACCCAGGCTGGAGTGCAGTGGTGCGATCTCAGCTCACTGCAACCTCCGCCTCCTGGGTTCAAGCAATTCAATTCTCTTGCCTCAGCCTCCCAAATAGCTGGAATTACAGGCACCTGCCACCACACCCAGGTAGTTTTTGTATTTTTAGTAGAGACAGAGTTTCACCATGTTGGCCAGGCTGGTCTCGAACTCCTGACCTCAGGTGATCTGCCCACCTCAGCCTCCCAAAGTGTTGGGATTACAGGTGTGAGCCAGTGCACCTGGCCCATGCACGCACTTTAACACTCCGCCTCCCATACCCTCATCCTCTCCAAGCCCTGCTCAGCACCCAGATGAAGCCTGTCCTCTTGGAATTCACAGCCCAGGCAGGCAGCTGCACACATGAACTACAGTCAGTCAGGGCAGGACATGATAGGCATCTCAGATGGGTGTCCCCAGAAGAGAGATAAGGTGCTGCAGGAGGGGAAAGGAGGAGCCAGCACCTTCCACAGCCCTGGTCAGGTGCCAGAGAGGCAAGGACAGGCCAGGGGGCAGGAACCGCCCTTCAGGGAAGGCCCCACCCAGGGCAGTACCTGCTTGGCCCCGGTCACAGAGTAGGCATGGCCCTTCACCAACTTCTTGAAAGTGATGGCCTCCATGTCTAGAACGCTGGAGATCTGCAGAAAGAGGCACACACTGTGGTCAGTGGCTAGGTCCCCCCGCCCTATCAGATGAGCCCCCAGCACTCAGGGTCTTGGACGTTCCCACTTGCACATACAACAGTTGCTAGGAGAAGCAAGCAGGGACCCCGATCCCACCTATAGACACCCCCACATATAGATGCTGCTCTTTTGGAGAGGGGTAGCCTGGGTACCCCACCAATGCTGCCACTGGGACAGGGGAGCCCAGGCACTCCGCTGACACTGCTACTGGCCAGGGCTGACCAGAACCTGTGCGAACATGCATGTGCACACACACAGCCGTGCACAGCCCACCAGAGCCACACAGCCCTCAGTGGGCCTCACGGAGAAGGACGTGAGGACAGAAGAGTCAGTTAGAAATGGGAATGGGAGCTGGGGTTAGAGCTGCGGATGGCAGTGATACTGGGGTCAAGTCTGGCGTTGAGGACTGGGGAGCGGAGTTGAGTGTGGGAACAGAGGAGCAGGGAAGGGTGGGAATGGAGTGAGTGTGGGATTGAGGCTAGGGATGGGTGGGAACTGAGACCAGGAGATGAAATCTGAGGCTGGTGAACTGGACAGAGGATGGCATGGATTGAGATGACAGGAATGAGGGAAACAGCATGGTAGACGGGAAAACAAGCACAGGAAAGAGCTGAGGTGTGAAGTTTTGGGGGAGGAGTGGGTAGGTGAGGACAGGAGCGACACCAGGCATGGGGGGTGGAAGTGATGGATGAGGCAGGGTATGCATCCAGAGATGAAGCTTAAGTGCAGGACAGGGTCTGGAGCGGAGCCTGGGTGGGGATTTTAGAAAATGTGACAGGTCAGGATACCAGGGTTCCAGGGTACCAAAGCATCGGGGCCGGGCACACTCACGTCTATGGAGCAGCCCAGCAGGGAGCCCCGCTCCAGCGCCTTGAGGATGATCTGGTAGAGGTCACTGGGAGCCTTGCGCAACTCGTACCACTCGGTAACCCCGCCTGTGAAGTCCTCAAAGCCCTCTGAGGTGCTGCCCCCTGACAGGGCCTCGTAGCTGCCATTTACCCTGTGGGCAGCTCCAGGTCAGCACTCTGGCATCAAGCAGGACCCTCTGAGAAGACAGTCATGAGCCCCCACCCCTAGGGGGAGCTGGAAGCTGGAGTTGCCCCCTCAGCCGCTACTCACTTGGCATAGGCCTTCTCAAGCAGGGCGCTCCAGAACTCGTTGCCTTCGGCAGAGTGCACGAACACTAGCTTCCCGTCCTTGATGGGCAGCAGGTCATCCACGACCACGTCCACCCACTCCCCAAATTGCCACAGCTGTGGGGGAGGGGCACGGTGAGTACCTGCTTTGGAATCCCCCGGACCTGAGCTCCATCCTTACCCCTACCTTCCTAGATGCAGGATTCTACATCCCAGATACATACTAGATACACATAGACTAAATCATGTAAATTAGATACATACTAGATGTATACTAGGTCAGGTATACCAGATACATAGTAGATGCATGTATACTAAATCACATATACTAGATACATACTAGATGCATGTGTACCTCTAGATACATGTATGCTACAGATATACTAGATACATGTATCTAGGTATTGAAGGAAATCAAAGTATTTCACCCTGAAATATACTTCTTCAACATATTTTGAGATAGCTGTTCAGAGGGTCTGCAAACAGAAGTAGCCCTGTAATACTGTCTTTTGTGGGGGAGATTTGCATCTGTAGAGAAAATCTGCATTGATGTAGCCAGGCTTTCTCTAAGGCCTTCCCTTGTCAGACTGAGAGCCTGACACCCTTTAAAGGTCTGAACGAAACAATTACCATCTATTCCCTCTGAGGGCTGCTACCTGTGAGGTTTCATCTACATAACAAGACTGCCTTTGCTACCCAGGCCCCCTTTTCTCCCCCTTCCATAGTCTGTCTTGCCACTATAACCTGATTTACCACCAGAAACTGGTTTTGGCCATGTTCGAGCCCCCATTCTTCCTGTAACCTCAGGATGGTATATAGGCTTCTGTACCCATTGTGGGGCTGGGGTGAACACTCTGTGGTTCCCGACCCCACGCTGCAGGCTAATCAATTTGTATGCCATTTCTCCTACTAACCTCCTTTTGTGAGTTGATTTTTCAGTGAACCTTCAGAGGGCTAAGGGGATGCTTTCCTTTGCCTGTACAATGTATACTAGATACCTGCATATTTGCTGTATACTAATACATGCATACCACATATAGACATGTGTATACTTGATATGTACATGTATGCTCGAGACATACTAGCTACATGATCCTGGAAAAGTTATCGCCTCTGAGCCTCAGTTTCCCTATCCATAAAAAGGAGCAGCGGTGCCTTCTTCACGGAAGACTTAAACAAGAGCACAGGCAAAGCCTTTAGGGAGTCACTGAACAAACAGGGTTCCTCCTCAGGCACGGAGAGGTGGAAAAGCTCTGGGGCCTGGGCTTTCCGGAACTAGCCCCCTTTTAGGCCATGGCCCCCTGGCTCTTCCCTCCCTATTCAAGGGGGTTAGGGGCACCTGTGTCATTGGATGAGCAGTGAAAATGTGGCATCCAGATCCTACAACCACAAGATGGGCAGGACTGGTTCTCACAATCACGGGCTTTGTTTCTGAGATGCCACAAAGGCCACGTTTCCCAGGGCAGGGTCGGGGCCGAAGGCGTCTGGGGTCAGAAGCGACCAAGGACTCGAGGTACCATCTGAGGGGTCGGGGCCAGGACAACGGGGGGCGGGGCGGGGTGGAGGCGGCCCTAGGAGCCCAGGTTGCGGAGAGTGTGGGTGGCGGGTACTGAACTGGCCAATCGGAGGCCAGGGAGGAGCGGATTGGAGGAGCGAGGGAAGGGGGCGAGACTGCGCCCCTGCAGACTGGAGCAGGTGGGTGTGGCGCTGGGCCAAAGTGGATCCGCACTGTGGGTTCCGCACCCTGGGTTCCGAGGGCCACCTCCACCCGCGCAAGGCGGGCAAGGACAGAGTAGGGTAAGGGGCTCTCTAACCAGGCAGAAGGAGGGAACACCCAAGAGTCCTTCGGGCAGGGCTGGGGCCTCCAAGGCTGGAGAGTCTCATCCAGGGTTGCTGGGCATGTCCCTCCCAAAGGCAGCTCATTGAGAATTGATTGGTGTGACTTGAAAAATGGGCCCTGGGCACACCGTCAGGAAAAGCTGGTTTACGTAGACTTAATCCCGAGTCTTTCTTTTCTGCTGGGCTCAGTCAGACCTTGCCAAAGCGCAGGAGGAGTTGGGGGATAGGAGGCTTGACACGTGGAGAAGGCCACACGTGCTGATCTGTTTTCCCCAGCGAACACTCCTTTCTCAGATGGGGCAACTGAGACCGACCTCCGGGAGGAGTGGAATTTGTCCCACAGGATATAACACAAAAGTCTTTCTGTTCTTTCAAGCACTTTCCACCTGATACATACAACCACCTAGGAAAACTGCCAGCCGAAATACCTGCCCAGCCCAGTCACTTCACACATGACAGACCCGAGATGGCACTGAGAGGTCAAATACCTGCTAGAGGGAGGGCTGGCCCCACAGGGTGTGGCCCTAACTGCAGGTATTGTGGGTCATCCTTCCGCATCTCCCCCAGTGCCTGCTGCCCCTCCTCCCCAGGGGAGCCCTCACCTGGAAATGGAAGATGCCGGCATAGCCATTCTGGAAGCTCTGGCCGTGCGGAACCACTC
This sequence comes from Homo sapiens, assembly GCF_000001405.40. Classification (NCBI taxonomy): domain Eukaryota; kingdom Metazoa; phylum Chordata; class Mammalia; order Primates; family Hominidae; genus Homo; species Homo sapiens. The sequence continues at coordinate 65,183,533 of NC_000011.10, read as the reverse complement.
GGTGCAGGAGGGTGTCGTTGAGAGTGAGGGAGGCGATGGCCGCCAAGAGCCAGCAGTCCCCTGGGGCAGGAGGGATGCACATTAGCCTGCTCTACCAACCTGCCCCGGGGGGGGAAGCGGGTGCTAGGGAGAATCTGGGGTTCCTTGGCCAGGGTGCCACTTAACTCCCCTCAGCTTGCAGAAAAGACCCAGGAATCTGGGCAAACCAGCCCCAGCGCTGATAGCCAGATCCTGCCTGGGCTTGCAAGAGGGAGGGGTTGGGGCAGAGCCTGAAGGAGCGGGAATGGGGAACTACTGTGGAAAAAATACCCGGGACCCGACGCCCTGGGGGCCTACCCAGTGCTCCCTGGCAGATGTCTGTGCGGGTAGCTCCATCCACAATGAACTGGGGGTTTGACAGCAGTTCCTACGAGAGACCCAGAGTCCTGTTCCTCGGCCAGCCCCTCCCAGAAATTGGCACCAGGCCACCCCAGACCCCATTCCCCACCAGGGACATGGAGTCCCATCCCTACTCCTCATCCAGGATCTGGCTTAGCCGAGTCCCACCCAGGATGGCCCCTCTCACCGTGGGACGCTTCCACTTGATGCCATAGGTCTTGGAGGAATTGGGACCCAGGTCCTTGTAACCCAGGCTCTGGGGTACCGGGGGGAAGGCCTCATCACGGAAGAGGGTCCCACTCTGCAGGCATCGCACCCGCAGCTGCTCATAATCCTGGCCCAGGTACTTGATGGCATTCTCATGGCGGCCCAGGCCCAGCTCCCTGGCCCGCTGCTTCTGCACTTGGGCTGACACCCCAGTGCAGTACACCGGCGTGATGATCTCCTCCGACATCCTGCCGGACAGATGGGCCTGCTCAGAACCCAGGCCTTCCCAAGACTAGAACCTGGGCTCCTGCCTGCAAGCTCTGCTCTCCTGCCCCTGCTTATCCATCCCCAAACCTAGGGTTTCCCTGCCTCACTGCTCCCCTCACAGAAGTAGGGTTCTCAGCCACCTCCCGGTGCTCCCAGTGAATCCAGGAAAGGGATTTCCCAGTTCCCAGGCGTGCCGGCCACCTCTCCTTTCCCGGATCCCATTGTCAGGGGCTTGCAGCTCTGTAGTGAGCCAGCAGGTCAGGTGGGGCAGGGCGGAGCCTCCAGACAGCACAAGGAACTGGGCAGGTGGGACACAGCAGGGAAGGCCTCTTTGATCCTGTTCACAGGCCTGCAACCCCCTCCCCAAACTAACCAAGCTCCTGGTGCACCGGCCCCTTGCCGTGGGCTGAAAACCCCAGACGGTCGGGGTCCCCCTCCTCAGGCCCCCGCAGCAGGCTCGATATCAGAGCTGGTGGGCCCTAGCCCAGCCCCTGGGGACAGCGGTGAGCCAGGCTGGGACAGGCGCCTGGGCTGTGCCGCTCCGCCAGCCCCCACCCCTGCTCCAGGAACGCAGAGGCCCCCGAGAAGGGACCGTGCTGGGGCAGCCCCTCAGCCCAGGAGCAGTGGCCAGGGTCAAGGAATCCCGGCTCGGCTACCCAGCTTCTTACCTGGGGGAGGGGTGTTTGGGGGTCGCTGCAGTCCCTGAGGCTGGCTTCCCGGTGGCAGCTCAGGGCAGGGCCCAACCAGGAAGAGCGCTCCTCCCCGCCCTCCTCCCGCCGCCCCTCCGCCCTCCGCCCTCCCTCTCTCCTTCTCCTCCTCCTCCTCCTGGGGCTCCTACCCCGCTTCCTCTCGGCTCTCCCTTATCTCTCCGGCACGGTCTCTGACTATCTCTTACTCACGGTGTCTCCCCGCCCCTCCCTCCGCAGGCCGGGGGCCAATTCCGCGAGAGGACAAATTAGTAAAAGGCAGAGCAGTCCCCGGGGAGGGGCCAGCGCGGGGGGGGATGGGGGGGCTGGGGCGCGGCGGAAGGGCACCGCGGGGAACGGAGGGGGAGGGCCGGGCAGGGGGTATTTTTAACCAGGGGCAGCAGCTCGAGTTGCAGGGCCGGACGGCCGCACCCCACGCGCGCCCTGGCGGGCATTCCGGGGCGATTGTGCGGCGGCGCCGCCTCCCGCAGCCCCGGGCCCGCCCGGTCCCCAGCTCCCCTCGCTCCGCGCGACCGCAGCTGCTCCCGCCGTTCCCAGCCAGCCCCGGCGCGGGGCCGAGATTACCTCGGGCTGCGGCAGCTGCTCTGAGGAGGGGCCGGGCTGGCAGCGAGCAGACCCCTGCCGGACACTCAGCAAACGGCAGCCTCACCCCGCAGGGCCGCGCCACTCCCCTTCCCCACCCCACCGCCGCGTCCCGGCTCAGCGCTCCCCGGGGAACGCAGGGGGACCGGGCTCGCTGCGTGACCTTGGGTAAGTCCCTGCCCCGTTCGGCCCGACTTTCCGCATGCGTGCATCCTATGGGATGGGGTTGGGCAATTGTGGGAGCCCATCTTTCTCTAACGTTCTGGGGTTTCTTGAACCTGGAAACTTAGAGAGGTGGACATCCCTGTTCTCTCCCCCAGGCTCTCAGCCCACCCACCTGGAAGCGCCCATGTGTCACCTTACCCAGGAGAGGGCGGCAGAGGCTGCGAGCAGGACGGCAGCCCCCTCTCCCCACCCCCAGGACCCTGAGATCCTGCTTCACGGGCTGCAAGAAGTTGGGGGGCCAGGATTCGGCGCGGAGGCCGGGGGTGTGGGTGGGGAGACTGCAGAGACTCCCGAGACCCCCCCAAGTCAGGGCTTTTCGCTGGTCTCGCAGCCCCAGCCCAGCAGCTGCTGCAGTCTTGCATGTTGTGGATGCAAGCATTTTGCTGAGGAAACTGCATAGCGTTCCCAGGACTCTAGGGCCCACGACCCCTCAAAAGTTAAGAGCCGCTGATCTAATCTAACCCCACTTTCACCCTCAGTTAACAAAAGAGGAAAACTGAGGCCTGAGAGGGTGTGACTTGCCTGAAATACCTAACCTGGTGAGTGATGGGTGGAACCAGCTCCTAGGCTTTCTGCGCAGGTGTCCAGGGACAGAGAAGGGTGGTTTAAACTAGAGAGGTGGCAGGCAGAAGTAGATGGATTTGATAACTATTTAGGATACACCATCAAAATTTAACTCAAACTGGATTACACACCTAAATATAAATGGCCAAACCATAAAACTTTTTTTTTTAAAAATGGAGACAATCTTAACAATATTGGGTTTGAAAAGATTTCTTTTTTCTTTTCTAAAGGCAGGGTCTTGCTTTCATTGACCAGGCAGGAGTGCAGTGCCCTGATCACAGCTCACTGTAACTTTAAACTCCTGGGCTCAAGAGATCCTCTCACCTCAGCCTCCTGAGTAGCTGAGACTACAGGCACGTGCCACGACACACAGCTAATTTTTAAATTTTTTGTAGAAATGGGGTCCTGCTGTGTTACTCAGGCTGGTCATGAACTCCTGGGCTCAAGCAGTCCTCCTGCCTGAGCCTCCCAAAGTGCTGGGATTACAGGTGTGAGCTTTGGCACCTGGCCAGATTTCTTAAATATGACACAAAAAGTGTAAATGATAGAAGAAATCAATAAATTGAACTTCATCAAAATAAAACGCTTTTGTTTCTCAAAATGCACGAAACTATTAAAAATGAAAAGATAAGCCATAGACTAGGACGAATATTTGTAAAAATTCTATCTGATGTAGGACTTGTATAAAGAACTTTTACAATTGAATAAAAATCCAATAAAAATGGACAAAACATTTGTTTGTTTTCTGGTGTTTGTTTTTGTTTTTGAGATGGAGTCCCGCTCCATCACCCAGGTTGGAATGCAGTGGCGCGATCCTGGCTCACTGCAACCTCCACCTCCTGGGTTCAAGCAATTCTCCTGCCTCAGCCTCCCCAGTAGCTGGGATTACAGGCGCCCGCCACCACACCAGGCTAATTTTTGTATTTTTAGTAGAGACAGGGTTTCACCATGTTAGCCAAGCTGGTCTCAAACTCCTGACCTCAAGTGATCTGCACGCCTCTGCCTCCCAAGGTGCTGGGATTACAGGGTGAGCCACCGCGCCTGTCAAAAAATGGACAAAACATTTGAACAGACACTTCATCCAAAAAGATCTCTGGATGGCAAATAGGCACATTAAAAAACACTGAGTGCATTACTCTTAGGGAAATGCAAATTAAAGCCACTAGAAGGACTGCTTCTAAAAGAACACCTACTAGAATGGCTAAAAGTTAAGATCAACCATACCAAGTGTTGTTATGTTGTCAAGGATATAGAAGAACTGGAGCTGTCATACACCAAGAGAGGGTAAAATGATCACCACCACTTTGGAAGACAGTTTGGCAATTTCTTTAAAATTTAGCGATACAAAGAAATCAGCCATCAAGCTACAAAAAGACATAGCATAACCTTAAACGCATATTGCTAAGTAAAAGAGGCTGGTATTAAAAAGCTGCATACTGTATGATTCCAATAACTCTATATGACGTTCTAGAAAAGGCAAAACTAGCAATGGTAAAAAGATCAGCAGTTGCCAGGGATTCAGAGGGGTAGGAGAGGGATGGAGCACAGGGCATTTTTAGCACAGCGAAACTATTCTGTATGATACTGTAATGACGGATGCATGACATGCATTTATCCAAACCTGCAGAATGTACAACACTAAGAGTGAACCTTAATGTAAACTATGGACTTGAATTAATAATATTGTGTCAATATTGGTTCATCAGTGATTACAAATATACCACAGGCTGAGCGCAGTGGCTCACCCCTGTAATCCCAGCACTTTAGGAGGCTGAGGTGGGCGGATCACATAAGGTCAGGAGTTCGAGAGACGAGCCTGGCCAATATGGCGAAACCCTGTCTCTACTAAAAAATACAAAAATTAGCTGGACGTGGTGGTGGGCTCCTGTAGTCCCCACTACTAGGGAGGCTGAGGTAGGAGAATCACTTGAACCCAGGAGATGGAGGTTGCAGTGAGCCAAGATCACACCATTGCACTCCAGCCTGGGCGACAAGAGCAAAACTCCGTCTCAAAAAAAAAAAAAAAATAGAACTTAGTCACTGGTTAGATATGGCTCTTGGACACCAGGAGAGACCAAAGACAACTTCAGACCCTGGATCTGGCTTGAGCACCTGAGTAGATTAAAGAGAAGGGGGAATGCACTAAGCTGGAGGGACAGTATGGGATCAGGGTATGGGGTATCTTTGGGATCCCCCTATCCAAGAGGAGATTCCTAGGGGTGAGGAACAGACCTTGTGCTCAAAATAGAGGTACAAATTTGGGAGTCACTAGCCACCAAAAAGCAGAGGCAAGGGGGCTGACACCTTGGTCTTCATATGAAGATGCTTCATATAGATGTCAATTCTCCTTAAATTAATCTCTAAGTGTATCACAATGAAAAATTTTAAGAGTCTTCTGGTGGGAGATAAGGAGGGACTAGAAAAGCTGATTTAAAGGTCATATGGCAAATTAAACAAGTAGGAAACTTCTGAAAATAAAAGACATAATGAGTATAGACTAATCCTACCAGATATTAAAACACAACAAATCTATCATTAAAAGGTAATAATTAAAGAGGGTTACTGACACATAGAGATCAATAGAAGACAGAGAAATTTAGAAACAGATTCAAATACAGGCAGGAATGTAGTAGATGATAAAAGTACCATTTCTAATCTGTTGAGAAAAGATGAGTTAATAAAAGACATTAGGAAGAAAAGGGAGCAATCTGGAAAAAAAGTAAGTTGGATTCATAATTTGTATCTTAGAAAAAATTACAGATGAACTCAATTTATAGGTTTGGAATATGTTGTTCCTAATGAAAAAAACATTTAAAAAGGCTGGGTGTGGTGGCTAACACCTGTAATCCTAGCACTTTGGGAGGCCAAGGTAGATGGATCACCTGAGGTCAGGAGTTCACGACCAGCCCGGCCAATATGGTGAAACCTCGTCTCTACTAAAAATACAAAAAAAAAAAAAAAAAAAGCTGGGCATGGTGGGTGGCAGGCGTTTGTAATCCCAGCTACTCGGGAGGCTGAGGCAGGAGAATTGTTTGAACCCAGGGGGCGGAGGTTGCAGTGAGCCGAGATTGCACCACTTCACTCCAGCCTGAGCAAAAGAGTGAGACTCCGTCTCAAAAAAATAAATAAAAATTTTTTTAAAAATTAAAAAATAAAAACTCTAGGTCTGGTGTGGTATCTCACACCACCTGTAATCCCAGCATTTTCGGAGCCTGAGGTGGGAGGCTCTCTTGAGCCTAGGGGTTCAAGGCCTCAGTGAGCACCGCTGCACTCTAGCCTGGGCAACAAAGCAAGACTCCATCTCTAAAAAATCAATAAAAAATAGGCCAGGCGCGGTGGTTCATGCCTGTAATCCCAGCACTTTGGGAGGCTGAGGCAGGTGGATCACGAGGTCAGGAGATCAAGACCATCCTGGCTAACACGGTGAAACCCCATCTCTACTAAAAATACAAAACGAATTAGCCGGGCGTGGTGGCGGGCGCCTGTAGTCCCAGCCACTTGGGAGGCTGAGGCAGGAGAATGGCGTGAACCCAGGAGGCAGAGCTTGCAGTGAGCCAAGATTGCGCCACTGCACTCCAGCCTCGGCGACAGAGTGAGACAACGTCTCAAAAAAAATAAATAAATAAAAATAAAAATTAAATGTTAACCTTCAATATTTAAACGTACAAAAATGAAAACGAAAATACAGCCAGAAGCTGGCTGGGCACGGTGGCTCATGCCTGTAATCCTAGCACTTTGGGAGGCTGAGGTGGGTGGATCACTTGAGGTCAGGTGTTCAAGACCAGCCTGGCCAACATCGTGAAACCCTATCTCTACTAAATATACAAAAATCAGCTGGGCATGGTGGCACACACCAGCAATCCCAGCTACTTGGGAGACTGAGGCACAAGAATTGCTTGAACCCGGGAGATGGAGGCGGAGGTTGCGGTGAGTGGAGATCGCACCATTGCACTCCAGCCTGGGCAACAAGAGCAAAACTCCATCTCAAAAAAAAAAAAAAAAAAATACAGCCAGGAGCTAAAGGAGAAACTTTTTGTATCATCTCAGTGTGGAAACAGTCTTTTTAACTATGACACAAAACCCAAAAGTCATAAAATTGCATTTTTTACTACATTAAAAATCCATACAGTTATGTCAAAATGATGGACTGAAGAAAACATTTACAATTAACATCTTAAAGGAGTATTTTTCTCCATATACATATATAAAAAATCATGTTCTGGGTGTGGTCGCTCATTCCTATAATCCTAACACTTTGGGAGGCCTAGACAGGAGGATTGATTGAGGCTAGGAGTTTGAGACTAGCCTGGGCAACATAATGAGACCCCATCTATAAAAAAATTAGAAAATTAGCCAGGTGTGGTGGTGCATGCCTGTCATCCCAGCTACTCCAGAGGCTGAGATGGGAGGGTGGCTTGAGCCCAGCAGTTGGAGGCTGCAGTGAGCTATGATTGTGCCACTTCCCTCCAGCCTGGGCAATAGAGCAAGATGCTGTCTCTAAGAATAAAATAAAAGTAAATCCCAGCACTTTGGGAGGCCAAAGTGGGTGGATCGCTTAAGCCCAGGAGTTCGAGATCAGCCTGGACAATACGGTGAGACCCTGTCTGTACCAAAAATACAAAAAGTTAGCTGGGCATGGTGGCCTGTAGTCCCAGCTATCCCAGAGGTCGAGGCTGCAGTGAGCTGTGATCGCACCACTGTATTCCAGCCTGGATGACAAAGCAAGACCCTGTCTCAAAAAAAAAAAGTTCACAAATAAAAGAAGACAAATAGGTCTTAAACATATGACAAGATGTTGAGCTCACTGAAAAGCAAATGTGAATTAAAATTTCACCAAGAGACTGTTTCCCACTTAGCAGTTTGGCAAAGATAAAAATCTGGCACCTCACGGCTGGGTGCGGTGGCTCACGCCTGTAATCCCAGCACTTTGGGAGGCCGAGGCAGGCAGATCACGAGGTCAGGAGGTCAAGATCAGCCTGACCAACATGATGAAACCCCGTTGCTACTAAAAATACAAAAAAAAAATTAGCCGGGCGTGGTGACGCACATCTGTAATCCCAGCTACTCAGGAGGCTGAGGCAGGAGAATCGCTTGAACCAGGGAGGCGGAGGTTGCTGCAAAGCATGGTGAGGCCCAGGTGAAGATCTGGAGGCACTCCTATGATGTCCCACCACCTCCAATGGAGCCCAACCATCCTTTCTATAGCAACATCAGTAAGGATCGCAGGTATGCAGACCTCACAGAAGATCTGCTACCCTCCTGTGAGAGTCTGAAGGACACTATTGCCAGAGCTCTGACCTTCTGGAATGAAGAAATAGTTCCCCAGATCAAGGAGGGGAAACGTGTACTGATTGCAGCCCATGGCAACAGCCTCCGGGGCATTGCCAAGCATCTGGAGGGTCTCTCTGAAGAGGCTATCATGGAGCTGAACCTGCCGACTGGTATTCCCATTGTCTATGAATGGGACAAGAACTTGAAGCCTATCAAGCCCATGCAGTTTCTGGGGGATGAAGAGATGGTACGCAAAGCCATGGAAGCTGTGGCTGCCCAGGGCAAGGCCAAGAAGTGAAGGCCAGCAGGGAGGATACTGTTCCCAGGAGCACCCTCCCTGCCTGTCTTGTCCCTCTGCCCCTCCCACCTGCACATGTCACACTGACCCCATCTGTAGACATCTTGAGTTGTAGCTGCAGATGGGGACCAGTGACTCCCATTTTCATTTTAGCCATTTTGTCTCCTGCACCCACTCCCTTCATACAATCTAGTCAGAATAGCACTTCTAGAGCACAGGTTCTCAGTCCAAGCTGTGGAAAAGCTCCCCTTATCCAACAGAGTTTAAAAGTAGTGACTTGGGTTTTTGCGAGTTGCTTTGTTTACTAAGGACTTGTGGGGAGGAACCATGCTAAGCCATGACCAATGAGGAGAAGCAACAGAGCCTGTCTGTCCCCAGGAGCCAGTCCTCTGCTCGTCTGCAGTCAGGCCACTGCCTGAGGGCTCTAGTCATTCCAGTGGAAGATGAATGTAACCTGCATGGTGATGTGACAACTGTTTCCTCCCTGACGCCAGAGGAGCTGGCTCTAGAAGGTTGGGATCAATCCTGAATTTAGTTATGTGTTACATTTAATTTAAGAAGTATAGTATATATAAATAATACAAAACAATAACCCTTCTGGGGTTTCTCGTGGCGGTTGAAATAGTCCCACATGTAGTCATCAGAAAATAAGCCATTCCTCATACCAATATAGGATCAGCTCCTTGACCTCTGAGGGGCAGGAGTGCTTCCTGGTGTGGGTATTACAATCCCTTCCTGCCTTGTTTCGTGACAGTGAAATGCCTCTTGGTCCTGTCCAAGTATGTCTTTCACTGATTTCTGAATCATGTTCTACTTGCTTGGCCCTGCCACATGGGTCCAGTGTTCATCTGAGCATAACTGTACTAAATCTTTTTCCAGATCAGTATAATAAAGGAGTGATGTGAAAAAAAAAAAAAAGAAAGAAAAAAAGAAATTAACCCTTTTGAGTCCTCATGTCTCTTGGGGGAGGGGGGTTGTTTATTATAATTACAATATTATATTTGACTGTAGCTCAAGGAAGGGATCAAGTCTTATTCCTAAGTAAACCTGGCCCTGAAGGCATTTCTAGACTAAATAAAGAGCTGTCTTCCATTCAAGTTTTGTTTCCCAATATGTTCCTGGCCTTTTTTTTTTTTTTTTTTGAGACAGAGTCTCACTCTGTCGTCCAGGCTGGAGTGCAGTGGCATGATCTCAACTCGCTGTAACCTCCGCCTCCACAGTTCAAGCAATTCTCCCACCTTGGCGTCCCGAGTAGCTGGGATTATAGGCACCTGCCACCATGCCTGGCTAGTTTCTGTATTTTTAGTAGCAAAGGGGTTTCACCATGTTGGCCAGGCTGTTTTTGAACTCCTGACCTCAAGTGATCCACCCGGCTCAGCCTCCCAAAGTGCTGGGATTACAGGTGTGAGCCACCACGTTCGGCTCCCTGGCCCTCTTCTAAGGGCTGCAGATACCTCATCTCATTTAATCCCATCTAGACTGTGTAGATCTCATCATCCATAGGCATGGATAGCACAGAGATGAAACTGAGGCTCAGAATAACTGGCCACCAATGGGAAGGGGCCAAGCTGTTACAGAGCCTGTGCTCACATGTTGTAACCCTGGTAGATACCCCCTCCCCACCCCAACCTTGGGTCAAGGAACCAGGCCAGGACCTAAGCACAGTTGGTGTCCTGTGGACATGAATTTATTAGAGGGGACTGGCACCAGAGTGGGCACAAGCTGCAGGCTGGGAGGAAGGGGCAGGGGTGGGAGCACAGCCAATGGTGTGTCAGTCAGTGGGCCAGCAGGCGTGCTGTTCTTCACCCTGCAGAGCTTCAGTGCCCAGGGCGTGCCGGAGGCTTTGGGAAGACTGGGGAGAGGAAAGAGTGAGGCTCAGAGAAGAAACCTGCCAAGCTCACACGGGAGGGGCAGCACGTCGACCCCAGGCCCATGGCCCTCTCTCTCATATTGTTGGTCCTCACTCCTGCCTCCCAAGCTCCCACACCAGCCCCCAGCTCCTGTCCCATCCTGCACTCACTGCGGAGGGAGTAGGTGCCTGGTTCCAGTTGCATCTGGGGAGGCAAGACGATGAGAAAGTCCCCACCCCAGGCGTTTTTGACCCTTGAGAGATAATTTTGGGAGGGAGGGCGATGACATTCAGAGGTCAGAGAAGGGCACTTGGATGACACAGGCTTAAGCAAGTGGCTGCTGCAGTGCTGGGGCAAACCACAGGGGGAACAGTGGGGCGGCGAGAGGCCAGGGCCCCGGGGAAGGCGAACAGGGACCTGTGGACAGACCCTCTGAACCCCACCATGGTGGGGGCGCCGGTCCCGAGTCCAAGCCCAGTGGAATGGCTCCTTTGCCATGACCTGGGAGGAGCAGAGTGGACAGTAAATGGGGTGGGAACCCCAGCCTTCCCCACACCCCAGGTTGCCTCCCAGCCTCACCTCCTCACAGCACTGGCGGCTCACAACAGCCCGGAAACCCATCCGTGCCCAAAGCTTATCCCTCTGGTGCAGGAATTTCCCCACTCGTAAACACCAATCTTTTCCCAGGGCCCATGGAAAAATCTCACATTTGGGGCCCTCCAGGTCCTCCTCCATGTCGTTTGCAAGGTACCTAGCCACAGAGGCACAAGGTCAGGGAGCAGAGGCCACACATCTGCCCTGTCCCATCTGACACCTCCAGCAAATGCCTCCACTGCCTGCCCCCACCACTCACAGGGCCAAGAACAGGCTGCTGTGGGTATACTCGCTGAGCTTCAGGTGGGCGCGCTGGAAGTAGACCAGCACCATGGCCAGGAGATACTGCAGAGACAGATCGGGGTGGGGGGTTAGTTATTCTCTGAGGAGGAGGGGCTTGCACCCAGGTTCATTTGCACCCAGGGAGGTTTTGCTGCAGGGAAAGAAAGTCAGTAAAATGGTGGGAAGTGGTGTGCAAAGATGAGGGGGTAAGGATGGAAGGTGAGTGGCTCTCCCTACCAGACCAGGGCACTCAATTCCCACCAACTCAACCTGACCCTCAAGAGACCCCCAGCCTGTACTCCCTCACCTTATCTGAAATCTGGAAGCAGGGGTCTTTGGAGAGGAATTCCTGGACAAAACTGTCCTCTGAGGGTAGAGAAGACATGACAGGACGCAGGTTACCACCACCTCCATGGAGAAGAGTGGCATCAGAAGCTCCAAAGCCCAAGCCACCACTGAACCCTCTCTCTCTTTCTCTTTTTCTCCCTTTTTCTCTTTCTCTCTCTCTTTCTTAATATAAATAGAAATGGAGTCTCACTATGTTGACCAGGCTGGTCTTGAACTCCTGGCCTGAAGTGATACTCCCATTTCAGCCTCCCAAAATGTTGGGATTATAGGTATGACTCACGGTGCCTGGCCCTGAATCCAGTTTCTGAGAGGACACCCCTCCCACCTGCCTAAGCTGGGATACCTGAGAGGGAGAGGGTCAGAGGTCTCAGATGTCTGTACAGGCAGGTGAGACCCCACACTTCACATCTGCTTTCACACTTGACCTCACGGCCCCTCCCGTGCCAGCCCTCCAAACTCACCCAGAAGGCTGAGGAAGGCCTGGACCTCCTGGTGCTGGCGAAAACGGAGGAACCCATTGCCCCCACCTTGCCGGCTGCAGCCCCCCAGCTCTACCTGGGTGGTAACTACAGGGGAAGTGGTGGGGTCTTGGGAGTCACTCATCTCATAGGAGATGGAGATGGGGCAGGGTGACCTGTAGAGAAAGGAGGCTCAGGACTTAGCATGTACCCCCGTGATGCTCACAAATCAAGAGGGTGGTGACAGGGGCCAGGACGGTGGAGGGGTGGGTGCAGAGACTTGGGGGCTCAGAACAGAAGGCAGCCGGGATGCAACAAGAGTGGGGAGGCCAGAAAAGAAGCAAAGAGTTGCTATAGGTGAGGGTGTGGCACCCTCACCCTCCTCCTGGCACCCCAGGACAGGCCAGAGTAACAGCAGCAACAAGCACCGCTGAGGGCTTCCTAAGTGCCTGGGGCTGTGCTTAAGGGCCTTATCTTATTCCATCCTGGTAAGGAGGTAAGTTTAACTCAGACCGGTCGTCAAACGAGGAAACTGAAGCTGAGGCCTAACAGCCGGTTAAAAGTGAAGCCCTTGGTCTCCAAAACCCCAAGAGGTTTTTTGGTTTTTGTTTGTTTGTTTTGAGACACAGTCTCTCTCTGTCGCCCAGACTGGAGTGCAGTGGCGCGATCTCGGCTCACTGCAACCTCCGCCTCCCGGGTTCAACTGATTCTCCAGCCTGAGCCTCCCGAGTAGCTGGGATTACAGGCATGCGCCATGCCACCACGCCCGGCTAATTTTTTTTGTATTTTTTTGGTAGAGACAGGGTTTCACCGTGTTGGCCAGGCTGGTCTCACACTCCTGACCTCCCAAAGTGCTGGGATTGCAGGCGTGAGCCACTGCGCCTGGCCAAAAAAAAAGAAAAAAAAAACCCAAGAGTTTAACTGCTCCTCTAGGCCCCAACTCACAACCACCCCCGACCCCTCACCAAAGCAGAGTTGAAAGGGCCACTGATCCCTTACACCGAGGGGAAACTGAGGCCCTCAGGGAGGAATGAAATTAGAAAAATACCTGGATTTAGAGCAAGTTGATGGGGCCACTTCAAACATTTCAAGCTCCCGTCCTAAACCCACCCTCATCCCTGAGAGAGAGAAGCCAACCACGGGGCCGAGGAGAACGTGCGGTCGACCACCCCAGGGCCAATCTGGGCCCCTCCATCTAGGCGCCCGCAAGCAACCCAGCCTCCTCCTGCAGCGAGCCTTACCCGAGCTCAGGAATGGCCCAGAGCATAACACCAACGCCGCCGCGAGTGCGCTTATATAGCCTGAGGGCGGCCCTGCCCAAAGCAGCCCGTCCACCAATCAGGGCCTTCCTGGGGGGCGAGGCTTGGCCTTCACCGCCTGCCTCTCTGCCAGTGAGTCCAGTCGGCACCCAGCTGTGGCTCCCCAGGGTTTGAAAGCCTCTCCAAAGCTTCATCAACTACAAGAGGGGTGAAGGCAGGCCAGCTGGACCCCAGGGCCTAAGGCCCCATAGGACAGGCAGGGAGCTAGGATCCCTGTTCCCCTCTTGACAAATGCAGCGCCAAGGTGCTGAGCCGGGATATGAGACCCGGACTGCGAGGGCCTGGTGGGCGAGTTTTTTTTCATTGATTGTGCCTTGCTAGGGCAGGGTCTCTGGCTCTCTATGGGTGTCTCTGAATCTCCTGGCCTCCTTGAGTCTCTAGGTTTCACTGAGGCCCCCCGAGTCTCTCTTTTGTTTCTTATTTTATTTTTCCCCTCGTAACACAGAACAAGCTGCCTGGGTCTCAGTGGGCCTCTGAGTCTCTCAGTTTCTTGTTGCCTCTGGTGTCTGGATGTCTGTGGATCTCTGGGTCCTTTGTTTTCTCTCTGATCTCTGGTCTCTGGTGTATCTGCTGTTTCATGGTCTCCCCCAGGCCGCCTCCCAGGCTCCCTGAGGCCGTGAAGGCCTTTCTAGACCAGCTGGTCTGCATCAGGCCATCCTGTTTGTGTGTGTGCACGCATTTGAAGTCGGCCTCCCCTAGAAAGGAAGTAGTGAGTGGGGCAGCATCCATAGCCCGTTCACTAAACACCTACTGCTGCCTACTGAGGAGTCTGTGATGGAATCAGCTCACGTGTTCCTCACAGCAAGCCCGTGAAGTTGATGAGAATGATGAGAAGCCTCATTTTGTCAGCGAACAAACAACTAACACACAGAGTTTGGGTTGCTGACCGACAGGCTGAGTAACTTCCTGCCAGCCACTCAGCTGGTAAGTAGAGATAGAGTTCCAGCCTGGCTGCTGGGCCCACACGCTGGGTAGCCTGGCTGTGTGGTCTACAGCTGTTCCTGGACGCTGCCTGCACAGAGAAGGTGTTCCATGAAACCGAATGAATCTCCTAGACCAGCTGTGTTTTCAACTGTTCTCCTCCTCCCCCAGTAATTAAGGTTAGAGATCAGGAAGGTGTACCAAAAAGAAGCCTGGGAGTGGGCTAGTCACTTTAACTTTGGGAGGGCCTTCAGGCTGATTTCCTTCAGTGCCACCCCTGGAGATCTGACACCGATCTCCCACACTGGGGAGAATATTTGTTTTTACTTTTTTTTTTTTTTTTTTTGAGACGGAGTCTCGCTGTGTTGCCCAGGCCGGAGTGCAGTGGCCCAATCCCGGCTCCCTGCAACTTCCACCTCCAGGGCTCAAGCAATTCTCCTGCCTCAGCCTCCCGAGTAGCTGGGACTACAGGCATGTGCCGCCATGCCTGGCAATTTTTTTGTTTTGTTTTGTTCTCCTGACCTCATGATCCACCCGCCTTGGCCTCCCAGAATGCTGGGATTACAGGCATGAGCCACCATGCCCAGCCTTTCTCTTTCACTTTTCAGAATCCCATGATTCACTGGGCTCTTCAATCTGCCCAGATAATCTCCCCATCTCAAGATCCTTAACTTGGCTGGGAGAGGTGGCTTACCCCTGTAATCCCAGCATTGTGGGAGGCAGAGGAGAGCAGATCACCTGAGGTCAGGAGTTCAAGACCAGCCTGGTAAACATGGCAAAACCCCTCCTCTACTAAAAATACAAAAATTAGCGGGGCATGGTGGTGCATGCCTGTAATCCTAACTACTCGGGAGGCTGAGGCAGGAGAATTGCTTGAGCCCTGGGGGTGGAGGTTGCAGTGAGCTGAGATCATGCCATTGCACTCCAGTCTGGGCAACAGAGCAAGACTTGGTCTCAAAAAAAGATCCTTAACCATCTGCAAAGTCTTTTTTGCCATGTGAGATAACATATTCTCAGGTCTGGGAAGTGAAATGTAGCCATCTTTGGGAGTCCATTATTCTGCCTGCTACAATTATCACAGCAAAATTTATTCTATGCTAACTAATATACTATTTATAAAATTTATATTCATGTAAATGTATATATAATTTGTAAAATCATATATTAATATTGCATGCTATAAAGGATACACGTAAAAGGATATAAAAGAATACACATAAAACATAATAACATACTACCAGCTCAAAAAATATATATATGGCCAGGTCCATTGGCTCACGCCTATAATCTCAGCACTTTTTGGAGGCCGAGACAGGAGGATCATTTGAGTTCAGGAGTTAGAGACTAACCTGGGCAATACATCAAGGCCCCATCTCTACCAAAAATAAACTAGCCTGGCATGGTGGCACGTGACTGCAGTCCTATCTACTCAAGAGGCTGAGGTGGGAGGATCACTTGAGCCCAGGAGTTCAAGGCTGCAGTGAGCTATTATCATGCCATTCTACCCAGCCTGGGTGACACAGCAAGACCCTGTCTCTAAAACATGAATAAATAAATAAATAAGAATATTAAAAATTTCAAAATATAAAGATAGAAAAAATAATATGCAATTACTAAAAGAAAGCTGGGATAACTACACTAATATATTAAAACAACTTTAGGCCGGGCGCGGTGGCTTATGCCTGTAATCCCAGCACGTTGGGAGGCCGAGGCAGGTAGATCATTTGAGGTCAGGAGTTCAAGACCAGCCTGGCCAACATGGTGAAATTCCATTTCTACTAAAAATACAAAAATTAGGTGGGTGGTAGTGGCGAATGCCTGTAATCCCAGCTACTTGGGAGGCTGTGGCAGGAGAATCGCTTGAGCCTAGAAGGCAGAGGTTTTGGTGAGCCAAGATTGTACCACTGCACTCCAGCCTGGGTGACAGAGTGAGAACTTGTCTCAAAAAAAAAAAAAAACAAAAAACAAACAAAAAAACACAACTTTGGACAAAAAGCATAACTAGGGAGAAAGAGAATTTATGTAGTGATTTTAAAAATATACAGCCGGATGTGGTGGTGTGCACCTGTAGTGCTGGTCTGGGCAACATAGGGAGATCCTGTCGGTAAGAAGAGGAGGGGAAGGAGGGGAGGGAAAATAAAGGAAAGGAAAGAGGCAGGAAGAGAAAAATAAAAGGAAAAAGGAAGGAGAAGAAAGAAAGAAGGGAGGGAGGGAAGGAAGGAAGAAAAAAAAGTGTATAATTACCTAACCAGAATCCAGGTAAAGAAAAAAATATATAGTAATTTGTTTACTCCTAAAAATAAAGTCAATAAGCAAGAAACCGCATGTGTGTGTGTCTGTGTGTGTGTGTGTGTAAAATCAACAGAACCACACGGAAAAACAAATCACAATCATAATTGTAGATATGATGGCACATGCAAGGCAAAAAAGTTAGCAAAGCAGTAAAAGATATGAAGAATATGATGAAGAAATTTGACCTAGTGGACGAATAAGCTGGCACTGCACCCAACAAAGGCAGGAAAGCACGCACAGAACATCTTCCTAAAAATTAATCAAATGTACCCGGGCGAGGTGGCTCACGCCGATAATCCCAGCACTTTGGGAGGCCGAAGCAGGCGGATCACAAGGTCAGGAGTTAGCGACCAGTCTGGCCAACATAGTGAAACCCCGTTTCTACTGAAAATACAAAAAGCCGGGCGTGGTGGCGGGCGCCTGTAGTCCCAACTACTCAGGTGGGTGAGGCAAGAGAATGGCGTGAACCCGGGAGGCGGAGGTTGCAGTGAGCGGAGGTCGCGCCACTGCTCCAGCCTGGGTAACAGAGCAAGACTCCGTCTCAAAAAAAAAAAAAAAAAAAAAAAAAAAAAAAAAAAAGAAAAAGAAAAAGAAAAAGAAAGAAAGAAAATATTGTCTGTCAAAGTTGGAGGACACAACTAGTAATTCTTAGAGAGGAATTTATGACCTCAAACGCGCGTGTTAGAAAATAAGAAAAGCTGTCACGCTGATGAACTGAACTCCATCTTAAAAAGTCACAAGCCAGCCAGGGGGACTTCCGGGTCCTGAGGCCCAAGGGGCTGCCTGGGTCCCCATCCGCCAACTTTTGCTGTCCACACAGCCCCAGACAACAAGAAAGGAAAAATAAAACGCTGCCAAAACCACAGCGTCGGCATAACTTGAAAGCAGAGAAGGTCCAAACTTCAAGATAAATGTAAATAAAAAGAAAGCGACCATATCCCCGCACGCCGTCGTGCGCTGCGGCCTCTCCCAGGCACGAGGCTTTGTGCCAAGAAAAGCTGGGGAAGGAGGGGAGAAAGGAGTATCGATCCGGGCTGGGGTTGGTCGAGAGCAACTATCAGAAAGACTGCGACATTCTAAAATCTGAAAATACCAAGAAGACGTCCTGGGAAGTCAGAGCTCAGACCTCAGGGAAGGGGCTTACAAGTATGTGCGATAGGAAGGGGAGGTCGTTAAAGTCCACTGATTCCGCGGGAGGGGTAAAAAAAAAAAAAAAAGGGCTAAAATGGGCCAGAAGCATCCGTGGGCAATTGAGTAAGTGAAGTGGGAAAATGCAGAAGGGAGAAATTGAGGGTCCGAAGAGAACCAAGCAATGGGAGAACACAAAACCCTACCCACCCCCACACCGAAACAAACAAATAAAAAGCTTCTAAACCATCTGAACTTTGCTATATTGACCTAACAGTGTGCTATTGAGCTAGGAATCTTGTAAACCATCCAATACCACAAAAACGAATAGAAAGAAGATGAATAGATCCGTATGGAGCTGATATTTTAAAAAATCTGAAAACAAAATAACACACACCAACCAAGAAAAATTCCCCTGGAAAAAAAAAAAACCACGTTTCCAAAGAAACAAAATATTTACAAAAAATGATCATATCTTAGGTCACAAAGAAATCATCAGTACCTTAAAAAAAGTAGAAATATACAAACAATATTCTCTGAGCACAGTGTAATAAAATGAGACATCATTATTATTATTATTTTTGAGACGGAGTCTCTCTCTGTCGCCAGGCTGGAGTGCAGTGGTGCAATCTCGGCTCACTGCAACATCAGCCTCCGGGATTCAAGTGATCCTCCTGCCTCAGCCTCCCGAGTAGCTGGGACTACAGGTGGGCCCCACCACACCCAGCTAATATTTTATATTTTTAGTAGAGATGGGGTTTCACCATGTTGGCCAGGATGGTCTCGATCTGTTGACCTTGTGATCCACCTGCCTCAGCCTCCCAAAGTGCTGGCTTACAGGTGTGAGCCACCATGCCCGGTGAAAATTATTATTATTAACAAAGACAAACACAGCCTGGCACAGTGGCTCACACCTGCAATCCCAGCACTTTGAGATGCCAAGATGGGAGAATTGCTTGAGCCCAGAAGTTCAAGACCAGCCTAGGCAACATAGAGAGATCCTGTCTCTATAAAACAAAACAAAACACACACACACACACACACACACACACACACACACACACACACACACACCAAAAAACCTAGCTGGGCATGGTGGATCACTTGAGCCTGAGAGGCAGAGGTTGCAGTGAGCCATGTTCGGGACACTGCACTCCAGCCTGGACAACAGAGCAAGAATCTGTCTTGGAAAAAAAAAAAAGACAAACCACTAGTTACCTTGTTTCAGGGGGAAAAAAGGGAGAAAGACAAATATAACAAATATATGACAAAGGGGAGGGAACCATAGGAATAAGATATTTTAAAAAATTTAAATACACCACCAATTTCCAAAATGGTGGTGTAAGGAGCTCAGCAGACCCATTCCCCAACAAAACAACCATTTAACTAGAAAAATTTATTTATTTATTTACTTTTGAGACGCAGTCTCACTCTGTCTCCAGGCTGGAGTGCAGTGGCGTGATCTCGGCTCACTGCAACATCCGACTCGTGGGTTCAAGTGATTCTCCTGCCTCAGCCTCCCGAGTGGCTGGGATTACAGGCACGCGCCACCACATCCAGCTAATTTTTCTATTTTTTTAGTAGAGACAGGGTTTCACCATACTGGCCAGGCTAGTCTCGAACTCCCGACCTCGTGATCCGCCTGCCTCGGCCTTCCAAAGTGCTGGGATTACAGATGTGAGCCACCCCGCACCCGGCCAGAAAAATTTATTTTAAGAACCCAATCATTTCAAATCTGTAAATTATCCTAAAGGCACATACAGCAAATGGGGAAGCATATTCTCTGACTGAACATGAGCAAAAACATAAACTCACTGAAGTGCAGTAGCCAGTCTGCAGGCCACACACGTATCTACTAGTAAAGATAAAAATCTGGAACTTAAGCACAAACTTTGACCAATAAGTGGTTTATGGTCATTTTGACCATAAGTGAGTTGTGCTGACCGGGGGTGACCCCTAGAGAGCCAAGCTAAAAGATTTTTTTTTTTTTTTGAGACAAGGTATTGCTATATCACCCAGGCTGGAGTGCAATGGCATGATTATAGCTCTCTGCTACCTTGAACTCTTAGGCTCAAGCTATCCTCCTGCTTCAACCCCAGAAATGCTGGGATTACAAGCATGAGCCACCAGGCCCAGTTGTTAGATTTTTTTAAAAGAAAAAAAATCAGAAAACAGACATTCCAGGCTACACACTGCAAGGAAAATACACTTCACAAAGTTAATTCAGTCAAGTCACTAAACCAAAAAAGAAATGGCCAACCAAACAGTAACAACATTGACTCCTAAGAGAGGGCTGGCATCCAGAGTTTCTACAGTGTATTATCTAAAATGTACATTTTGGCCCAGAGTGGTGGCTCTCGCCTGTAATCCCAGCACTTTGAGAGGCCAAGGCGGGGGCAGATCACCTAAGGTCAGGAGTTTGAGACCAGCCTGGCCAATATAGTGAAACCCTGTCTCTACTAAAAATACAACAATTAGCTGGGCGTGGTGGTGCACGCCTGTAATCCCAGCTACTTGGGAGGCTGAGGCAGGAGAATCCCTTGACCCCGGGAGGCAGAGGTTGCAGTGAGCCAAGATCATGCCACAGCACTGTAGCCTGGCGACAGAGAGACTCGCTGTCTCAAAAAACAAACAAACAAAAAAAGTACATTGTAATAAAAACATTAGATTCATTTAAGTATATTTCTAAATGCACTCCCATATTTATTGCAGTACTATTCACAATAGCCAAAATATGAGATCAACCTAAGTGTCCATCAGTGGATAAATAGGTAAAGAAAATGTGGTATATATACACAATGGAATATTGTTCACCCATAAAAGGAACAAAATTCTGTCATTCTCAACAACATGGATGAAACTGGATAAAAGTACATATTATTTGTTTATTTATTTATTTATTTATTTATTTTTGAGAGGGGTGTCTCATTCTGTTGCCCAGGCTAGAGTGCGGTGGCACGATCTCAGCTCACTGCAACCTCCGCCTCCCAGGTTCAAGCGATTCTCCTGCCTCAGCCTCCTGAGTAGCTTGGATTATGGGCATGTGCCACCACACCTGGCTAATTTTTTTGTATTTTTACTAGAAATGGGGTTTCACCATGTTGACCAGGCTGGTCTCGAACTCCTGACCTCAGGTGATCTGCCTGCCTTGGCCTCCCAAAGTGCTGGGATTACAGGCGTGTGCCACCGCGCTCGGCCTAAAAGTACATTTTTTCAACAAAAATTATGACATGCAAACAAAAAGGAAAGTCTGGTCCATCCACAGGAAAAGAGAATGCAGCCATAGACATCGCTTTTGAACGGGCCCAGATATTGGACTTAGCACATAGTGCCTTCACAGCAGCCATTACAAATATGTTCACAGAAAAGTGACAAGAGGAAATAAGTAAACAAATAAATACATTATTCTAAGAGTTTTATAGTTTTAGTTCTTACATTTTAGGTCTATGATCTATTGTGAGATTGGTTTGGTTGTGTTTTTTGCATAGCGTGAGCTAGGTGGCTAACTTCATTCTTTTGCCTGTGGATATCCAGTTGTCCTACTATTCTTTCCCCATTAAAAGGTCTTGGCACCCTTATAGAAAATCAGTTAACCAGAAATGTATAGGTTTATTTCTGGACTCTCAATTCTATTCTATTCATCTATTTGTCTATCATGCCAGTAGCACATAGTCTTAATTATTGTAGCTTTGTAGTAAGTTTAAAATTGGAGGCCAGGCGTGGTGGCTCACGCCTGTAATTCCAGCACTTTAGGAGGCTGAGGCAGGCACTTGAGGTCAGGCATTTGAGCCTGGACAACACGGTGAAACCCCATCTCTACAAAAAATACAAAAATCAGCTGGGTGTGTTGGCACACGCCTGTAATCCCTGCTTCTTGGGAGGCTGAGGCAGGAGAATCTCTTGAACCCAGGAGGCAGAGGCTGCAGTGAATGGAGATCATGCCACTGCACTCCAGCCTGGGTGACAGAGTGAGGCTCCATCTCAAATAAAGAATAAATAAATAAATAAAATAGGGACACGTGAAGGCTGTCAGACTGAAGACCCTGCTGATGTTACAGTTCAAGTTCAAAGGCCTCTGCTGGCAGAATTCTCTCTTGCTTGGAGGAGGTCTTTTTTTCTTTTCTTTTCTTTTCTTTTTTTTTTTTGAGACGGAGTCTCGCTCTCTCGCCAGGCTGGAGTGCAGTGGCGCAATCTCAGCTCACTGCAAGCTCCGACTCCCAGGTTCAAGCCGTTCTCCTGCCTCAGCCTCCGGAGTAGCTGGGATTACAGGTATGCGCCACCATGCCCCGCTAATTTTTGTATTTTTTTTTTAGTAGAGACGGGGTTTCACTATGTTGGCCAGGATGGTCTCAATCTCTTGATCGCATGATCTGCCCGCCTTGGCCTCCCAAAGTGCTGGGATTACAGGCGTGAGCCACCGCGCCCGGCTGAGGTCAGTCTTTTCTTCTATTCAGAACCTCAACTGATTGAACAGAGTCCTCCAACATTATGGAAGGCAATCTGCTTTACTCCAAGTTGACCAATTTAAATGTCACTCTTATCCAAAACCGCCATCACCACAGCATCCAGAATAATGTTTGACCACAAATGTGGGCACTGTGGCCCAGCCAAATAAACACATAAAATTAATCATCAAAATAACTTATGATTTTCACCACTGAATAATATCCTATTGTATGGATATACCACAGTTTTATTATCCACTCTTCTATTGAAGGACATTTTGGTTGCTTCCTGTTTGGGGAGAGTATGAAAAAGCTATTATACATATTTGTGCAGGGGTTTGGAGGTAGACATAAGTTTTCAACTCAATTAGATAAATATCTATGAATTTTCAACTCAATTGGGTAAATATCTACGATCTAGCAATTGCTGGATCATATGGTGATAATCTATTTCATGTCATATGAAGCTGCCAAATCGTCTTGCAAAGTGAGTGTACAATTTTGCATTTTCACCAGCAATGAATGAAGGTTGCTGTTGCTCCACATCCTCATCAGCACTTGGTGTTGCCAGTATTTTGCATTTTAACTGTTTTGATAGATGTGCAGTGGCACCTCACTGTTGCTTTGATTTGCAATTCCCTAATGTCATATGACATTGAGCATCTTTTCGTATGCTTTCTCATTTTTATTTCATATTTCTCCAAATACTTCTCTGCCTTCCTCTCTCTCTTCATACCTTCTGTTACTCCAACAGCCAACAGCCATGTAAATGAGCCGCCTGGGAAGGGGATCCTCCAGCCCCACACAAGCCATCAGAAGACAGTAGCCCTGGCCAGAGACAAAAAGCAAACACCCTGGAAGATTGATCCTGTGTCTCCTTGGATGGTATGGGAACTGTTGATAACATCCAGCCCAGGAGTTTACCTGAGGGCTGAACCAGGTGACGTCAGGCAGATAAAACTCTTGTTTTGTAAACTCGAGAAACTTCTCATTCATACCCTTATTGTTGTGTGGAGTGAAAACATATGAAGATATGAATTTGGAAGAGCTGGAGGATCATGTAGACGAATTTGATGAGGAGGATGAACATGCCATTGAAATGTACAGACAGCAGAGACTGGCTGAGTGGAAAGCAACTAAACTGAATAATAAATTTGGAGAAGTTTTGATGATCTCAGGAAAGGATTATGTTCAAGAAGTTACCTACCGGCCGGGCACAGTGGCTCACACCTGTAATCCTAGCATTTTAGGAAGCTGAGGCAGGTGGATCACCTGAGGTCAGGAGTTCGAGACTAGCCTGGCCAACATGGCAAAACTCCGTCTCTACTAAAAATACAAAAATTAGACGGGCATGGTGGCGCATGCCTGTAAGCCCAGCTACTTGGGAGGCTGAGGCAGGAGAATCATTTGAAACTGGGAGGCGGAGGTTGCGGTGAGCTGAGATCACGCCATCGCACTGCAGCCTGGGCAACAAGAGCGAAGAAACTTGGTCTCAAAACAAACAAACAAACAAAAAATTAGCCAGGCTTGGTGGTGCTTGCCTGTAATCCTAGCTACTGGGGAAGCTGAGGCATGAGAATTGCTTGAACCTGGGAGGCGGAGGTTGCAGTGAGCCGAGATTGCACCACTGCACTCCAGCCTGGGCAACAGAGAGAGATTCAGTCAAAAAAAAAAAAATTCCATTCTGTAATAAAAGGAATCTAGACTCTTTGGAGAAATAGTTCATTTCAGGGCTGGGGCAGAGATAATATGAGTCTGGAACATCATGTAGTGACAGAAAGTAAGGAAGTACTCTCACAAAGTCATGGAGACACTTCAAAAGGACACAAGAGTCAACTTGAAGGAGCTCCCAAGGGCCAAATCTGGGATAATTTGAGCAACAAAATAAGTAATGATAGCAATAAATTATTACCCACAGGATAAAATAACTATCCATGAGTTTATACTGATATATGTAAATAACTGAGAGAGAAGTGACAACTCCTCTGCACAGTAGAATTTAAATAAATGTAGGAGAAGTAATGGAAATAGAAAATCACCACTAGACAAACACCGCAGTAATAATTGTTGCAGGCCCCAATCATTCATTGGTGGATGCTAAAATTAGTGGGTGAAAGTATGATGCGAAAGAAGATATTTGCATACACTCAAGGTGCACCTCACAACGTTTACTAATCACAAACGGTGCTATGGTTTGAATGTTTATGTTTCTGTCTCCTCCAAAATTCATTTTGAAACTAATTGCCCATGTGATAGTATCAAGATGTGGGGCCTTATTTTTTATTTTTTTTTTTTTTGAGACAAGGTCTTGCTCTGTCTTCCAGGCTGGAGTGAAGTGGAGCAATCTCTGCTTACTGCAACCTCCCCATCCCGGGATCAAGAGATCCTCCTACCTCAGCCTCCCAAGTAGCTGGGACCACAGGCGTGTACCACCATGCATGGCTAATGGGATAAACCTCTTATAAAAGAGGCTTCATGCATTGTTCTGCCCCTTTTTTTGCCCTTCTGTTCCTCTGCTTTGTGAGGACACAGAGTTTGTCCCCTTTGGAGGATGCAGCAACAAGGTGCCATCTTAGAAGCAGAGAGCAGCCCCCACCAGAAACCAAACATGCCAGCACCTTGATCGTGGATCTCAAGCCTCCAGAACTGTGACAAATAAGTTTCTATTGCTGCCGGGTGCAGTGGCTCACGCCTGTAATCCCAGCACTTTGGGAGGCTGAGGCGGGCGGATTATGAGGTCAGGAGTTCGAGAGCAGACTGGCCAACGTGGTGAAACCCTGTCTCTACCAAAAATACAAAAATTAGCCAGGCGTGGTGGCACACGCCTGTAATCCCAGCTACTTGGGAAGCTGAGGCAGGAGAATCGCTTGAACCCAGGAGGTGGAGATTGCAGTGAGCTGAGATTGTGCCATTGCACTCCAGCCTGGGCAACAAGAGCAAAACTCCATCTCAAAAAAAAAAAAAAAAAAAAAAAGCTTCTATTGTTTATAAATGACCCAACCTTGGGTATTTTGTTATAGCAGCAGAAACAGACTAAAATAAAGGGGAAAAGACTAAATTGACAGTGGAGAAACCTGGGAGATACCACATGATCAAAGTTAGTATCACCAGTATTATAAGGCATGTCAACATCATGTGCCAGGTACTATGAGGCTCTGAGAACGGCACAATTCACTGCCCTGGTATTCTTGTCGAAAATGAATAACTTCAGACTAAACATTACAAACATCACATAAACACAAAATAATTGAGGGATGTTCCACGAATTAATTAGCCGGTACTCTTCAAAAGTGACAAATACGTGGAAGAAGAAGAAACCAGAGGCCAGGTGCAGGGGCTCACGCCTCCAAACCCAGGATTTTGGGAGGGCGAGGCAGGCGGATCGCTTGAACCCAGGAGTTTGAGACCAGCCTGGACTCCTGGACAACATAGCGAAACCCCATCTCTATAAAAAATTAAAAAATTAGCCAAGTGTTGTGGCACGTGCCTGTAGTCCCAGTTACTTGGGAGGCTGAGGTAGGAGGATCGCCTGAGCCCAGGGAGGTTGAGGCTGCAGTGAGCTGTGATCAGGCCACTGCACTCCAGGATGGGCAACAGAGTGAGACCCTGTCTCAGAAAAAAGAAAGAAAGAAACCTGAGAAGTTGTCCCAGAGTGGAAGAGACTAAGGAGACATGATGCCTGTGGCAGACAGCCTCCAAGGTGGCCCCTGAATCAGCCTGGGATTCATGTAATTGGGTTGACCTGTACACCAATAGGATATGGTGGAAACGCTGCAGTGTGGTTTCTGAGGCTAGGCCATCAAAAAGTTTGCAGCTTCCTTACTTTCTCTGAGAAATCTGCTACGTTCTCTGGGAAAAGCCAGCTTCCTGTCATAAGGCCATTTAGGCAACACTGTGGAGAAGCCCGCCTGGCAAGACACTGAAGCTCCTGCTGCTGTGTGGGGCACCATTTTGCCTTTTTTTTTTTTTTTTTGAGACAAGAGTCTCTGTTGCCCTGGCTGGAGTGCAATGGCACAATCTCAGCCCACAGTAACCTCCACCTCCCAGGTGCAAGCAATTCTCCTGCCTCAGCCTCCCCAGTAGCTGGGATTACAGGTGTGCACCACCATGCCTGGATAACTTTTGTATTTTTAGCAGAGACAGGGTTTCACAATGTTGGCCAGGCTGATCTCGAACTCCTGGCCTCAAGTGATCTGCCCACTTAGGCCTCCAGTAGTTCTGGAATTTCAGGCGTGAACCACTGCGCCCAGCCTTGGGGCACCATCTTGAAAGCAGATCTAGTCCTAGTGAAGCCTTCAGATGACCCCAGCCTGGCTGGCCTCATGACTGCTACCTAGTCAGAGACCCTGACAGACCCAGCTAAGCAGCTCCCAAATTCCCAACCCACAGAAACCAGGAGATAAGAAATGTTTGTTGTTTGAAGCTGCTACATTTTGGGGTAATTGTTACACAAGAATGAATGACCAATAGAGCAATTACACAAAATCCAGAATCCTGGATTGGAATCTAGACCAGGAAAAGGACATTAGTGGGACCACTGACACAATTAAAATAAGGTCTGGGCCAGGCACGGTGGCTCACGCCTGTAATCCTAGCACTTTGGGAGGCTGAGGCGGGTGGATTACCTGAGGTCAGGAGTTCAAGACCAGCCTGACCAATATGGTGAAACCCCATCTCTACTAAACATACAAAAAAAATTAGCTGGGTGTGGTGGCATGTGCCTGTAGTCCCAGCAACTTGGGAGGCTGAGACAGGAGAATTCCTTGAACCCAGGAGGCGGAGGTTGCAGTGAGCCGAGATCACGCACTGCACTGGGCAACAGAGCAGGACTCTGTCTCAAAATAATAAATAAATAAATAAATAAGGTCTGTAAAGTTAGCTAATAATATTATATCAATTCTCAATTTCCTGGTTTCAATAACTGTCATATGGTTGTGTAAGATGTTAGCATTAAGAGAAGTGTGGTGGAAACTATACAGGAACTCTCTGCACTGTTTTTGCAACTTTTTATTAAGCCTAAACTTATTTCAAAATAAATATCTTTTAAAAAAAGAATGGCAAAATATACCTAATGAAAGTAGAAGGAATTAAATAATAAAGATGAGAACAGAAATTAACAAAATTGAAAACACAATGGAATTAGAAAAGTCAAAATTTGGTTCTTTGATAAACCAATAAAACTGACAAACCTCTGGCAAGATTGATTCAGAATAATTTTTAAAAGAGAAAGCACAAATTAATAGTAACAAGAATGAAAAAGGATATATAACTCCTTTTTAGATGTTAGATAATAAAAATATGAGTATATCATGAACAACTTTATGCCAACTTTAATTTTTTTTAATTTTTTATCTTTTGAGATGGAGTCTCGCTCTGTTGCCCAGGCTGGAGTGCAGTGGTGCGATCTCGGCTCACTGCAAGCTCCGCCTCCTGGGTTCACGCCATTCTCCTGCCTCAGCCTCCCAAGTAGCTGGGACTACAGGCACACACCACGACACCCAGCAAATTTTTTTGTATTTTATTTTTAGTAGAGATGGGGTTTCACTGTGTTAGCCAGGATGGTCTGGATCTCCTGACCTCATGATCCGCCCACCTCAGCCTCCCAAAGTGCTGGGATTACAAGGGTGAGCCACCATGCCCGGCCTGCCAAGTTTTATATTTATATTTTATGTAAGGAATACATATTAATTTAATACAAGTCAAACACCCCTAATCTGAAAATCTAAAATCTAAACTGCTCCAAAATCCAAACTTTTTAAGCACTGACATGACATATATAAAATTACCTTCAGGCTATGTGTATAAGGTGTATATGAAACATAAATGAATTTTGTGTTTAGACTTGGGTTCATTCCCAAGAAATCTCATTATATATGCAAGCATTCAAAAAAAAAATCTGAAACATATCTGGTCCCAAGCATTTCAGATGAGGGATACTCAACCTGTATATTCAAAAAGTTTGTAGAAAAATTGAATTAAAAGATAAAAATAAAAAAATATAGGCCGGGCGCAGTGGCTCACGCCTGTAATCCTAGCACTTTGGGAAGCCGAGGCGGGTGGATCACAAGGTCAGGAGCTCAAGACCAGCCTGGCCAAAACTATATATATAGTTTTATATACTAAAAATATAAAAATTAGCTGGGCACAGTGGCAGGCGCCTGTAATCCCAGCTACTCAGGAGGCTGAGGCAGGAGAATTGCTTGAACTCAGAGGACAGAGGTTCCAGTGAGCTGAGATGGTGCCACTGCACTCCAGCCTGGGTGACAGAGTGAGACTCCGTCTCAAAAAAATAAATAAATAAATAAAAATAAAATAAAAATAAAAATAAATAAACTTTGATTCTCAACATAACCTCCAACAAGATTAAGACACTTTTGTGAGCAATGGTATCATTGGGTCCATCTCTTTAGAAATGAGGATCCTGGGAATTTAACCATGTCAACACAGTTTTTTTATATTAACTAAAGAAAAATGGGTGCCCTCGGCTGGGCATGATGGGTCACACCTGTAATCCCGGCACTTTGGAAGGCCAAGGGGGGGAGGATCACTTGAGGTCAGGAGTTCAAGACCAGCCTGGCCAACATGGTGAAACCCCATCTCTACTAAAAATGCAAAATATTAGCCGGGTGTGGTGGCGTGTGCCTGTAGTCCCAGCTATTCAGGAGGCTAAGGAAGGAGAATCACCTGAACTGGGGAGGCAGAGGTTGCAGTGAGCCAAGATCGTGCCGCGGCATTCCAGCATGCGTGATGGAGCGAGACTCCATCTCAGAAAAAAAAAAAAAAAGAAAAGAAAAATAGGTGCCCTTTAAAGATTTTTTTTTTTTTCCAGGCCAGGAGCGGTGGCTCACGCCTGTAATCCCAGCACTTTAGGAGGCCAAGGCGGGCGGATCACGAGGTCAGGAGACCGACACCATCCTGGCCAACACAGTGAAACCCTGTCTCTACTAAAAATATAAAAAATTAGCCAGACGTGGTGGTGGGCGCCTGTAGTCCCAGCTACTTGGGAGGCTGAGGCAGGAGAATGGTGTGAACCCAGGAGGTGGAGCTTGCAATGAGCCGAGATCGCACCACTGCACTCCAGCCTGGGCAACAGAGCGAGACTCCGTCTCAAAAAGAAAAAAGAAAAAATTTAAATTTGTAATAGAGACAGGGTCTCACTTTGTCCACCAGGCTGGTCTTGAACTCCTGGGCTTAAGTGATCCTTCCACCTTGGCCTCTCAAACTGTTGGGATTACAGGCGTGAGCCACCACACCCGGCCCCAGACATGTTATAACAAGTTAGTATGAGTTTATTTTGGTACCAAAAATTTTTGAAATTCATGCATTGTTTTTTCATAAGATGCATTTTCCATGAGCTTTTTGAAGAGCCCTTTTATATTTAGATGTATATAAAAATGAACAAGACCTTATAGAAAAATATAGTGTACCAAAACTAAAACAAATAGAAATAGAAACCCTGATTAGTCCTATAACATTAAACAAATTGAATAAGTAGACAAAGTCTTACCACAAAGAAAACTCCAGGCCTATATGGCTCCACCAGTAAGATTAACCAAACATTGAAAAAACAAATAATTCTATCTTGTATAAATTCTTCCAGAGTATTGAAGAAAAGAAGGACCTCCCCTCCACATGTCACAAGGGTAGTGTTCTTGACATGAAAACCTAATGGAGACTGCATGAGAAAGAAATACTGCAGGCTCATAAACACAGATGGAAAAATCCTAAGCAAATTATTAGCAAAATGAATTTGGTAATATATAGGAAGAGAACGCAGTGTGCCAAAGCTGGATTTATTCTAAAAATGCAAGGTTAGAGATGAGAAAACTGATGAATCTGATTTGCCCCCTTAACAGATTACAGGAGAAAATTGAACAATCTCAAGGATTGCAGAGAGTGCATCTTGCCATGTGCAGTGAACTAGACCCCACAAGTGCATATCACACCATGTAGTAGGGGACTTGAGGCAAGGAGCAGCAGGAGAGGCAGTGGCTGCGCAGAAAGTCCTTTGGGCCAGTTGTTGAGAGAGCATCTCGAGTTTGGGAGCCTTATCTGGAATGTGTCAGCTTTGCCCTAAATAAATAAAAATTACCCCACACTTTGTGGTTTAAATGAAAAAAAAAATGTATTATCTCACAGTTTCTGTAGATCAGGAATGTGGGAGCATTAACTTGGAGGTTCTGCCTCACAGTCTCTCGTGAGGTTTGCAGTCAAGATACTGGCCAGGGCTACCGTCTTCTGAGGGTTTGTGTGGGGCTGGAGGATCGCCTTCCCAGGTGGTTCACTTACACGGCTATTGGCTGGGGGGCCTCAGTTCCTCACCATGTGAACCTGTCCACAGGGCTGCTGAGTGTCTCATGACATGGCAGCTGGCTTCCCCAGAGCAAGAGATCCAAGAGACAGTGCAGACAGGAAGCCAAAGTGTGTTTGTGCCAGCTCTCCTAGGTCTCTCACCATCACTTTCATTGATTCTATTCTTTAGAAGTGAGTCACTAAGTCCAGTTTACATTCGCGGGAGGGGAGCGAGGTTCCATGTCTTGAAAGGAGGAGTATCAGGCCAGGCGCGGTGGCTCACACCTGTAATCCCAACACTTTGGGAGGCCAAGGCGGGCAGATCATGAGGTCAGGAGTTCAAGACCAGCCTGACCAACATGGTGAAACCCCATCTCTACTAAAAATACAAAAATCAGCCAGGCATGGTGGCACGCACCTGTAATCCTAGCTACTCAGGAGGCTGAGGCAGGAGAATCACTTGAATCTGGGAGGCAGAGGTTGCAGTGAGCCGAGATCGTGCCACTGCACTCCAGCCTGGGTGACAGAGCGAGACTCTGTCTAAAAAAGAAAGAAAGAAAGAAAGAAAGAAAGAGAGAGAGAAAGAAAGAGAGAGAGAAAGAAAGGAGGAGCATCTAGAATGCATGGACATTCCTAAAACCACCTCACCTGGGAGACTCAAGCCCTGGTTGAACCATCCTACTTGGTGCCTGTACTGGAATAAGAGGAAATCAGACAGCCAGAGGATTGTTTCACTTTCAACTCAGCTACAAAACTCCTTGGCCATTCATGTTCCCTGGCAATCACACTGCAGATGTCTAGAAACTTCGCATTTCCACTTTTTTTCTTACAAAAATGTCATTCAGAATCACATTTCCACTTTCTGAGGTAACTAATCACACCCTCTCCTCTCTCTGCAAAGCTCCAACATGACTTCTTTCCCTTTTTCTTTTTCTTTCTTTGCTTTGAGACAGGGTTTCACTGTCACCGAGGCTGTTTAGTGCAGTGGCTTGATCTCTGCTCACTGCAACCTCTGCCTCCTGGGCTCAAGCCATCCTCCCACCTCAGCCTCCTGAATAACTTGGACCACAGGTGCGTGCCACCAAGCCCAGCTAATTTTTTGTAGAGACAGGGTTTCGCCATGTTGCCCAGGCTGGTCTTGAACTCCTGGGCTCAAGCAATCTACCCCCCTTGGCCTCCCAAAATGCTGGGATTACAGGTGTGAGCCACTGCGCCCAGCCTCTTTCCCTTTTTCTTCTCCTCTATTTTACCTGAATCTGCACCTGTACACACTTTCTCTGCCTCCTCTCCTACTAGAATGGAACAGCCATCTTTCTCCTCCTTTCTTTTTTATTTTTATTTTTTTATACAGATAGGGTCTCACTATGTTGCCCAGGCTGGTCTCAAACTCCTGGGATCAGGTGATCCTCCCACCTCAGCCTCCCAAAGTGCTAGAATCATAGGCATGAGCCACCATGCCCAACCTCTCTCTTCCTTTCAAAGCTTCTGGGTCCTCCTCTTCTGCTCGACTCCTCTTCCTTCTTGATTTCTCAAAGTCATCACTTCTCTACACTTCTCTACGTGCTTCCTGGTTTATTTTTTGTCTTTAGTATTCTGTAAGCTTCATAAGGGAAGGGACTTTTTTCTATTTCATTTGCTAATACATTCATGACACTTAGAACAAGACCTGGTTCAAGGTGGGCACTGGATAAATACTTGGGTGAATAATAGAGTGAATGAATGGGAAGAGGGAAACTCCACCCATTCTAGCTGGAAGGAAAAATGAGGAGGCAGGAGGAGCAGGTGTGAGCGGTAGGAGAAAAGGTATGTGCCCTGAATTTCCTGCACTGGGCAGGAGTCTCATGAGGGTAGGTGTCTTTTTGCTCACCCTGGAATCCCAGCACCCAGCCCTGCACCTGGCACATACTGTGTGCTGATTGCCCAATCTGTACCTTAGTGCCCCAGCCCCTTTCTTTGTACTAGTCTTGGGTGATCCATGTTGCCCATGGATCTGTCCCCAGCCTGCCCCTCTATCCTACTTCCCTTTCTCAGATGCTCAGGCCAGCCTGAATTGAGTCCTAATGTGGCCTCACTGCCTGGCTGCCCGTGCCCTGGCAGAGGGAGGGGACATCAGCCTCCTGTCCCTGCTCTGCCCTCCGAGGACACCCAGACTCGAGACAACTGCCTAGGGTGGCAGCCTGCCAAGGGGCCTGAGGTGGCTGTTCCCTGGCTTTGCACAGAAACTGTTGGGAATGACTCAGCCCCGAGACACTGCTTCAATAGGAGGAAGAAGTCACCACAGGCCCTCACTGGAGGTGCAGCGCAGTGTCAGAGAAGTAGATAGAGTGCCTCCCGGCCACACGCCAGCAGGGTGACTCTGGCTGACTTTCTTAGCCTCTTCGAACATCTGTTTTCTTTTCTTATTTTTCTTCCTTTCTGTAACCTCAAGAATATCTGTTTTCTCAGTAATAAAATGACTAGTTGCCATGGGGATGAGAAAATGGACCTGTTACAAAGCGCGGGGGTTGAGAGAAGGGCCATGGGGCCACCCTGTCTGGGCTTAAGTCTTTTTTTTTTTTTTTTTTGAGAAGGAATCTCGCTCCGTCACCCAGGCTGGAGTGCAGTAGCGCAGTCTTGGCTCACTGCAACCTCCGTCTCCTGGATTCAAGCAATTCTCATGCCTCAGCCTTCCGAGTAGCTGGGACTACAGGCACCCACCCCCAATGCCTGGCTAATTTTTGTATTTTTAGTAGAGATGGGATTTCACCATGTTGCCCAGGCTGGTCTCGAACTCCCGACCTCAGGTGATCCCCCCACCCTTGCCCTCTCAAAGTGCCGGGATTACAGGCGTGAGGCACCGCACCCGACCTGGGCTTAAATCTTGACTTTGTCTTTCCCTATTAGTTGGGCAAACCTCAGGCAAGTTACTTAATCTCTCTGAGCCTCAGTTTCTTCATCTATGAAACCGATATGATAATAGTACCTGACTCAGGATTGACATAAAGGTTAAAACTGTAACTGCCCAACATTTATTATTCTCAGCCCTGCCCTGAAGGATGTCACAGACACAGAAGTGATTACAATGCAGGGTCATAGGGGCTGTGTTCACACAGGGACAAATGCTGTAGGCACCATGTGGTGGGGAGAGACTCACTCAGGTTCATGGCTGATGCTGGAAATGTGTAAGGGTGTGCACTAAGAATTTTCCAGACAAAGAAGAAAGGGAAAAGCATGCTACTTTATATAGGTTTGAGCAAAAGTGAAGATAGCTAGGCTGAAGAGGCAAGCAGAGTTTGGGGAATGAGACAAGTTAAGTTTGACCACAATACAAAGTGCATGATGAGGGCCGGGTAAGGTGGCTCATGCCTGTAGTCCCAGACTTTGGGAGGCTGAGGTGGGTGGATCACCTGAGGTCAGGAGTTCGAGACCAGCCTGGCCAACATATGAAATCCCATCTCTACTAAAAATACAAAAATTAACTGGGCATGGTGGCAGGTGCCTGTAATCCCAGCTACTCAGGAGGCTGAGGCAGGAGAATTGCTTAAACCCAGGAGGCGGAAGTTGTTGTAAGTCGAGATCACACCACTGCACTCTAGCGTGGTCGACAAGAGTGAGACTCCGTCTCAAAAATAAATAAATAACAAAGTGCATGATGAGGATTTGGTGGGGTTAGGAGGCAGGCTGGAAGCATATCATGCAGAAATCCAAATGCCCCCTTAGAAAGGCCTTTGTCAGATTAGCAAGCTCACACTTGTCACTGAGCATCTGTCTCAGCCTTCTCCCAGCTGGCTGCCTGGACCACAGAGGCTGGAACGGTAAAAAAAAAAAAAAAAAAAAAAAAAAAAAAAAAAAAAAAACCACACAAAACTTGAGTTACATATATTCCTTCTGGTTTTTTTTTTTTTTTTAAAAGACTGAGTTTCACTCTTGCTCCCCAGGCTGGGGTGCAGTGGTGTGATCTCGGCTCACTGCAATCTCTGTCTCCTGGGTTCAAGTGATTCTCCTGCCTCAGCCCCCCAAGTAGCTGGGATTACAGGCATGTGCCACCATGCCTGGCTAGTTTTTTATTTTTAGTAAAGATGGGGTTTCTTCATGTTGGTCAGGCTGGTCTTGAACTCCCGACTTCAGGTGATCCGCCCCCTTGGCCTCCCAAAGTGCAGGGATTATAGGTGAGAGCAACCGCACCCAGCCTCCTTCCACAGTTTCAATCATGTGAGACTTACATTTGGAACTAAGTGGAGTCGAGGGAGACAGGTAGCAGCCCTCGGGCACTCCTTCTGCTGGTGTGGTTCCAGCAGGGATAGTAAGGCTGGGCCCACTGCACTGTGGAGCTTTCCAGATTCTGGGCTTGCAGTTAGTGTCTCACCTGAGCAGCTGAGTATGCACTGCCTGTGACAATGCCACTCCAAGTAGATCTGCCAGGGACCCTTCCCAGGAAATTATTTATAACAATTCCAGCAGAGATGGCTTCTCATCCTCCTTGAAGCTACTGGACTCTGAGCCCCTGATTCTGCCACAGCTCATCACTCTAGACCTGTCAGGCTTAACACAATTCACTTATCCAACCATTCAATCATCCATCATCCACTTAGCCAATCCAGTCTTTTTTTTTTTTTTTTTTTTTTTTTTTTTTTTTTTTTTTTTTTTTTTTTGAGACAGAGTCTAACTCTGTCAGCCAGGCTGGAGTGCAGTGGCGCTATCTTGGCTCACTGCAACCTCGACTTCCTGGGTTCAAGTGATTCTTCTGCCTCAGCCTCCTGAGTAGCTGGGATTACAGGCACGCATCACCATACCTGGCTAATTTTTATATTTCTAGTAGATATGGGGTTTCATCCTGTTGGCCAGGCTGGTCTTGAACTCCTGACCTCACTCAGATGATCCACCTGCCTCGGCCTCCCAAAGTGCTGGGATTACAGGCGTGAGCCACCACGCTCAGCCCAATCATTTGTTGACTCACTTCTTCAACACTCCCTGAGTTCTTATTCTGTGGCAGGCCCTGGGTCTGGGGCCAAGAACAGGGAGTCAAATTAGATTAGGGCTGTGAAACAAGCCACTCTCAAACCTAGAGGCTTATGACAATACCAATCATTTATTTTCTTACCATTATGCAATTTGGGCAAGGCCTGGTTGAGACAGCTCTTCTTGTGCCTCCAGCTCCATCCTTGGAGCTGGAGGACCCTTCAAAGATGGTGCACTCCAATGGCTGGCAAGTTGATGCTGGCTAGAGCTATTTATTTATTTATTTATTTATTTATTTATTTATTTATTTAAATTCCCCCAGCCAATTGGATGGTAGGGCTAGAGCTTTTTATTCCCTATTTTTTTCATTTTTAAACTTTATCTCCCTTTAGGGGTACACTGTTCCTGGAGGTACTGCAATGCTAGGTAAATGTGTGGAGTGGGTGGGGCAAGCTCCTATTCCATCTCTTAGTTCCAAAAATCTATTTAATATAGATTGTGTCCTCGAATAGAGGACATATCAGATATTAAACTGATAAGAACAGATACTACACTTGATCTTACCCAAAAGGCTGAGAATGGAGCTTTGATTCTCCTCTACATGGGCCTCCCCACAGGACTGCTTGGGCTTCCTCACAGCATGGTGGCTGAATTCCAAGAGAAGAAAACAGAAGCTGCCAGTTCTGTTTTAAAGGGTAAGCCCAGAATTGGGCACAGCTTCATTTCCACCATATTCTACTGGTTCAAAGCAAGTCATAGGCCAAGTCCAGAATTAAGGGGGTGGAGAAGTAAACCCCACCTTTCCATGAGGGACGGGATAAGGAATTTATGAGCATTTATAATCCACAAACCTAACTAGGAGTGCAGTTTCATGCTGCTTGGATTGAGGAATTGACTGGTTGGATAACTGACTGGGTTTGATTAACACAAACTAAGGATTATTTCTCATTATATCTGTTTCCACATGGTGGACCTTTTCTGGAGTAACTAACACTGCAGAAAAGTGGCCTTGTCCCACTTTCTCTCACTCACCCCTCCCAAGAAGTAGAAAAGAGAGTTTTCTTGGTGAAGTTGTTAGAAGCAACTATGTATGGGACCCAAAGTGAGGTAGGAGGCAGGTCTCAATTCTGGAGGTGGGGCTGGGACACCAGACCAAATTGAGGACTTGCTAAAACAGGGATGGGGTGGAGGCAGCTTTCCATAAGACACACCCACCAGTGTGCCATGTCAGTTTACCATTGCCATGGTAACACCTGGAAGTTACTGCCTCTTTCTGTGTTAATGACCAAACGACTCAGAAGTTACCACCTTATTTTTAGAAATTTCTGCATAATCTTCTCCTTAATTTGCATATAATTAAAAGTGGGTATAAATATGACTGCAGAACTACCTCTGAGCTGCTACTCGGGGTAGCCCTGGTGTGCAAGGAACAGTACATCTGCTGCTGCTGTGCACTGCCACTTCACTAAAAGTGTCTGTCTAACAGCACTGGCTCACCCTGGAATTATTTCCTGGACAAAGCCAAGAACCCTCCCGGGCTAAGCCCCAATTTGGGGGCTTGCCTACCCTACATCAAAAGAAGGAGAAACCTTTGGGAGCAGAGTGGGTAAGTCTGTGCAGCTCTGGGACGGGTACAGGGACTTCAAATGCATTTTCTCAACAACTCTATTGGTTACAGAAGTAACATTTTTATCTCTATCCTATGTGTCTGTTTTTCAGATGGTACTAAACTTGGTCAGGGAAAGACAGGGTGTTACATTGTATGCCCTGTAAAAACCCTTGCTCTAAATCTGTCACATACTTGGCACTCAAGAAAAACATGTTAAATGTTAACTAAAAGAATGTTGACATCAGGTGTGAGAGGTTTTCTTCTTCTTCCTTTTTTTTTTTTTGAGATGGAGTCTCGCTCTGTCGCCCAGGCTGGAGTGCAATGGTGCAATCTCGGCTCACTGCAACCTCCACATCCTGGGTTCAAGCTATTCTCCTGCTTCAGCCTGCCAAGTAGCTGGGACTACAGGCCGGCACCACCATGCCCAGCTAATTTTTGTATTTTTAGTGGAGACGGGGTTTCACCATGTTGGCCAGGGTGGTCTCGATCTCCTGACCTCGTGATCCGCCCGCTTCAGCCTCCCAAAGTGCTGGGATTACAGGAATGAGCCACCGCGCCCAGCCGGGAGATTCTTCAAGCAGTCATTATATCAACAGACACAGATGTTTCCCTTTCTTCATATGACGAAGCTCAGGGATCCAAACTTATTCGTAAAGCTAAAGAGACACCATTGGTACCCGTTGGAATAGCAGGTTTTGCAGCACTTGTTACATATGGATTATACAAATTGAAGAGCAGGGGAAATACGCAAATGTCCCTTCATCTGATCCACATGCGTGTGGCAGCCCAAGGCTTTGTTGTAGGAGCAATGACTATTGGTATGGGCTATTCCATGTATCGAGAATTCTGGGCAAAACCTAAGCCCTAGAAGAAGAGATGCTGTCTTGGTCTTGTTGGAGGAGCTTGCTTTAGTTAGACATCTCATTATTGAAGTTATGTGTTATTGTGGAAAATAAACTATTTGAGTGGGTTTAGATGGTAACACAGCATTTTGAATATTGGCTTCCTTTCTTGCAGGCTTGATTTGCCTGGTGACTTAATTACTAGTGACTAGTTTACTAACTAGGTCATTCAAGGAAATCAAGTTAGCATAAAAGAAACATGTCACCTAAATGCACTAGATGGTGTTGAAATGTCCACCTTCTTCAATTGTGAAGATGAACTTAAGTTCTAAAGGATATAACAAGCCAACCCTGAAGTACTCCCAGTTTGCTGCAGGATCTCACATGTTTCGGATGTTATATAAGAGTCCTATTTGCCCTAGTTAATTTAACTTTTTTTCTGCCTGTCTTGTGGACTGGCTGGCTCTTTCAGAACTCTGTCTAAAAAGTGCATGGA
Source organism: Homo sapiens (assembly GCF_000001405.40). Classification (NCBI taxonomy): domain Eukaryota; kingdom Metazoa; phylum Chordata; class Mammalia; order Primates; family Hominidae; genus Homo; species Homo sapiens. The sequence goes on along the minus strand of NC_000011.10, from coordinate 65,145,220 downwards.
ATAAAACTTGTAAAGCTTCCCACAACTGACAGTATCTATGTGTGTGTGTTTAAACCAAATCTAGAAAGCTTACATTATAGCTGCATAGTAGTGGTATTTATTAAAGAATCACAGTTGTGAACATGAGAATAACTTATGGATTCTAGTTTAGTTATTTTGTAATTGCAGAATTATATTTTTGCTGCTGTTATATCTGAATAATTTTTAAATGTCATCTTGAGATAGAAATATGTATTTAAGCACTCATGCAAAGGTAAATGAGCACCTTTTATTTTATTTTTTTTGAGACGGAGTCACGCTCTGTCACCAGGCTGGAGTGCAGTGGTGTGATCTCAGCTCACTGCAACCTCCATCTCCCGGGTTCAAGCACTTCTCCTGTCTCAGCCTCCTGAGTAGCTGGGACTACAGGTGCACACCACCATCCTTGGCTAATTTTTATATTTTTAATAAAGACAGGGTTTCGCCATGTTGTCCAGGATGGTCTCGATCTTGACCTCGTGATCCGCTGGGCCTCAGCCACTCAAAGTGCTGGGATTACGGGCATGAGCTACCGTGCCCAGCCCAATGAGCACTTTTTAAATGTGTGCATTGCTTATTTTTTCCATAAGAATTACAAACATTAAACTAATCAAATTACCTATAATGGAATTGATTAATGACTTATGAGCAAGCTGGTTTGGCCAGACAGTATACCCAAACTTTTATAAACTATAGAATGTTATTACATTTGTGAAATTTTCTTGTCTAACCTGAATTTACATTTCATGGTGATAACATGGTATATGTACTGTTGTTAAAGTAAGTGACCATCTCAAAAAAAAAAAAAAAAAAGAACGTCAACATCAATTCTGACAGGACAGGAATTTGGACAATGTAGCTTTTACTCATTCATTCTTCCACTAATGCATTCATTCAGCAGACAGTCAAATAACCTGCAATTAGCTTGTGGATCTCTCTACCATGAGACTGAAAGCTCCATGAGGTCAGGGAATGTATTTTGTTCTCCACAATGTCCTCAGAACCTGGCCTGGGGCCTGAACACAGTAGGCCCTCAGTAAATGTTTGTTAATTAAAGGAATGAGATCAGAGGCAAGGGAAGTCCAAAGGCAGTCTAGATAGACCAACAAACTGACCTCATGTGTGGTCAGTCCCACATTCAATGCACACTTCTTGGTGAGGGGGTCATTCAGGGAAAGTTGGAGGGTCTGGCCTTCCAGGCTGGGAGTACCTGGAGTGTTCCACCATGGAAGAGAGAGAATAGTTCCTCATTTTCTCTTTCATGGAGGGAGAATGTGAGAATCCAGATGTTGTTGTCAAAAATGTTGAAAAACTTTTAAGCCGAACGCAGCAGCTCATGACTGTAATCTCAACACTTTGCAAGGCCAAGGCAGGTGGATCGCGTGAGCCAAGGAGTTTGAGACCAGCCAGGGTAACATGGCAAAACCCCATATCTACAAAAAATACAAAAATTAGCCAGGCACAGTGGCGCATGCCTGTAGTCCCAGCTACTCTGCAGGGCTGAGGTGGGAAGATCACTTGAACCCAGGAGTTTGAGGCTGCAGCGAGCCCTGATCATGCCACTGCATTCCAGCAGCTTGGGTGATAGAGCAAGACACTGTCTCAAAAAAAAAAAAAAAAAAAAGCCTGGGCATGGTGGCTCACACCTGTAATCCCAGCACTTTGGGAGGCCGAGGCGGGTGGATCACGAGGTCAAGAGATGGAGACCATCCTGGCCAACATGGTGACCATCCTGGCCAACATGGTGAAACCCTGTCTCTACTAAAAATACAAAAAATTAGCTGTGTGTGGTGGCAGGCGCCTGTAGTCCCAGCTACTTGGGAGGCTGAGGCAGGAGAATCGCTTGAACCCAGGAGGTGGAGGTTACAGTGAGCCGAGGTCACGCCACTGTACTCCAGCCTGGGCGGCAGAGCAAGACTCCATCTCAAAAATAAAATAAAATTTTAAAATACTTATCAATTCATGTTTTCTGTTGTGTCTTAGGTCAGTTTTAGTGCATCTTTTATTTTCTAGGAAATTGTCTATTTCTCCTAAATTTTCAAATTTATTGCCATAAAATTGCACCTACTGCATGCTCATTATTTTTAAATTTCTGCTGTGTCTGTTTATTGCTGTTTTCATTCATTATATTGTCTGCTTGTGCAAACCTTATTTTCTTGACCAGTCTCTCTGGAGATTTGTCATTCTTATTAGTTTATTCAAAGAGCCAGCTTTCAACTTTGTGTATTCTATTTTAGCTTTATCTATTTTCTTTTTTCTTTTCTTTTTTTTTTTTTTAGACAGAGTCTCGCATTGTTGCCCAGGCTGGAGTACAATGGCGCGATCTCAGGTCACTGCAACCTCTGCCTCCCAGATTCAAGTGATTCTCCTGCCTCAGCCTTCCAAGTAGATGGGATTACAGGTGCCCCCCCACCACGCCCAGCTAATTTTTTGTATTTTTAGTAGAGACAGGGTTTCACCATGTTGGCCAGGCTCTTCTCAAACTCCTGATCTCATGATTCGCCTGCCTCAGGCTCCTAAAGTGCTGGGATTACAGGCGTGAGCCATTGCGCCTGTCCTCTATTTTCTTAATTTCTATTTTGTCTTTGTTACTTCCTTACCTATTTTATTGATGTAATTAACATACCACAATTCATTATTTTAAAGTGTACAATTCAGCCAGGTGTGGTGGCTCACATTTGAATCCCAGCATTTTGGGAGGTTGAGGCGGAAGGATCACTTGAGGTCAGGAGTTCAAAACCAGCCTGGGCAACAGAGTGAGACTCTGTCTCTACTAAAAATAAAAAAGTTAGCCAGGCATGATGGCATTTGCCTGTAATGTCAGCCACTTGGGAGGCTGAGGTGGCAGGATCACTTGACCCCAGGAGTTCCAGGCTGCAGTGAGCCATGATCGCGCCACTGCACTACAGCTTTCGCAACAGAGCGAGACTGTGTCTCAAAATAAATAAAGTGTACAATTCGGTCATTTTTAGTATACTCACAAAATTGTGCAAGCATAGCCACTATCTCCTCAGGAACATTTTTATCACTCCTCAAATAATAAACCCCATACCAATTAGCAGTCAGGCCCCATTCCTCACGCCACCAGCCCTTGGCAACCACTAACTACTTCTGTCTGTATGGACTTGTCTATTCTGGACATGTAACGTAAGTGCAGTGATATGAATGCTTTTTTCACTGAGCACAGGGTTTTCAAGGTTCATCAATGTTGTAGCATGAAGCAGTACTTCCTTCCTGTTTATGGCTAAATAATACTCCATTGTGTGGGTACATTACATTTTGTTTAGCCATTCATGGACATTTGGGTTGTTTGTACTTTTTGGCTATTATGAATAATGCTGCTACGAATGTTCTTGTACAAGTGTTTGTATGACCAGATGCTTTCAGTTCTCTTGAACATATACCTAGAAGTAGAATTTCTGGGTCATATGGTAATTTTATGTTTAATTTACTGAAGAACTGCCAAACTGTTTTCCAAAGCATTTACACTATTTTACATTCCCACCAGAAACACATAAGGGTGCCAATTTCTCCACATCTTGCCAACACTTGTTATTGTTGGTCTTTTTTTTATCACAATGATTTTAGTGGGTATGAAATCATCTCTCTATGGTTTTGATTTACATCTCCATAATGACCAGTGATGTTTAACATATTTTTTTGTGCTTATTAACCATTTTCTTTTCTTTTTCTTTCTTTTAGAGATAGGGTCTCTCTCTGTCACTCTGGCTGGAGTGCAGTGGCATGATCTTAGGATCATAGCTCACTGCAGCCTTGAACTCCTGGGCTTGAGCAATCCTCCCACCACAGCCTCTTGAGTAGCTGAGACTACAGCCACCACACCTGGATAATTTATTTTTTGTAGGAGGGGGGTCTCACTATGTTGCCAAGGCTGAGAGGATTGCTTGAGCTCAGGAGTTGGAGACCAGCCTGCGCAACATGGCAAGACTCTGACTCTACAAAAAATACAGTAAACAAACGAACAAATAAAAATTTAAAAGACAGACCTAACCATTCTCTCCCTAATGGATATGTGGTTCTATTGTCTTGTTTCACTATTTCAAACAATGCTGTGGCAATCATCCTTGGACTTAAAATCTTTGGGGTCATGTACAAGCTCTTCAACAAGATAGATTCCTGAAAGGGGAAAATCCAGGTCAAAATGTAAGTTTGCTTTCAACAACTTTTATGTCAACTTAACTGAGATATAATTGTATGTTAATACAATAAGATTTGCCAGTTTTAACATACAATAAGATTAGTCACTTACACAATTTGGTGTGCTTTAACAAACATGTATAAGTCAGGTAATTACCACCACTACCATGATATAGAGAATGTTTCCACTATCCAAAAAGTTTGCTTGTGCCATAGAGCAATCTGTCCTCTCCCCTAGCCTCTGTCCCTGGCAACTACTTGAGATGCTCTCTGTCACTAGTTCTATGAACATATATTTGCATTTATCTTGGGTAACTTAAGAACGGAATTGCTGGGTCATATGGTAAATGTATACTTAACTTTATAAGAAATTACCGAACCTTTTTTCAATATGGCTATACCGTTTTGTATTCCCACCTGCAATCTAAGATAATTCTAGGTGTTCCACATCATTACCACCACTTTGTATGACATCTTTTTAATTTAACTATTCTAGTACTAATAGTATGGCATTGCTTTCAATGAATTTATCTAATAATGATGGTGTTGAGCACATTTTATGGGATTATTCTCATCTGAATACCTTTGATTAAATGTCTGCTCAAAATGTTGGCCCATTTTGTATTAGCTTTTCATTTTTTTATTAGTAAGTTATAATATGTATTCTCAATATGAGTCCTTTGTCAGATATACGCTTGGCAAATATTTTCTCCCAATTTTTCTCCCTTTAACTGTCATTTGAACAGATAAAGTGTTTAGTTAGGATTAAATCCAATTTATCAATTTGTTTCTTTGATAGTTTATGCTATTTGTATCCTATTTAAGACATTTTTGCCTAACCCAACATTACTAAGATTTTTTTGTTTTCTTCTAGAGATATTACAGTTTTATGTTTTACATTTAGACCTACGGTTCATTTCAAGTTAAGTGTTGTATACGATGCAAGGTAGGGAATGAGGTTTTTTGTTTTCATATGGATATCCAATTATTTCAGCACTTTTGTTGAAAAATCATCTTTCGGCCGGGCATGGTGGCTCATGCCTGTAATCCCAGCAATTTGGGAGACTGAGGCAGGCGAATCACCTGAGGTCAGGAGTTCGAGATCAGCCTGACAAACATGGTGAAACCCCGTTTCTACTAAAAATACAAAAATTAGCCGGGTGTGGTGACACGCGCCTGTAATCCCAGCTACTTGGGAGGCTGAGGCAGGAGAAATGCTTGAACCCCAGGAGGTGGAGGTTTCAGTGAGCCAAAATCACACCACTGCACTCCAGCCTGGGTGACAGAGCAAGACTCTGTCTCAAAAAAAAAAAAAAAAAGAAAGAAAAATCATCTTTCACCATTGAATTGCCTTGTTACCTATATTGAAAATCAATATATTGCGGGGCGCGGTAGCTCACGCCTGTAATTCCAGCACTTTGGGAGGCCGAGGCAGGCAGATCATGAGGTCAGGAGATTGAGACCATCCTGGCTAATACGGTGAAACCCCGTCTCTACTAAAAATACAAAAAATTTGCCAGGCGTGGTGGTGGGCGCCTGTAGTCCCAGCTACTCGGGAGGCTGAGGCAGGAGAATGGCGAGAACTCGGGAGGCGGAGCTTGCAGTGAGCGGAGATGGTTCCACTGCACTCCAGCCTAGGCGACAGAGCGAGATTCCGTCTCAAAAAAAAAAAAGAAAATGAATATAAATGTTATTCTATTTCCGGACTGCATTCTGTTTCACTAACCTACATGTGTATCTTTACACCAAAAACCACACTGTCTTAATCACTGTAGCTTTATAGTAGTCTTTTTTATTTTTTTTTTTTGAGACAGAGTCTCATTTTATCACCCAGGCTAGAGTGCAATGGTGGGATCTTGGCTCACTGCAACCTCTGCCCCCAGGGTTCAAGTGATTCTTCTGCCTCACCCTCCCGCGTAGCTAGGATTAGAGGTGCGTAGCTGGCATTACAGGCGCGCACCAACACGCCCAGCGAATTTTTGTATTTTTAGTAGAGACAGGGTTTTACCATGTTGGCCAGGCTGGTCTCAAACTCTTGACCTCAGGTGATCCGCCCACATCAGCCTCCCAAAATGCTGGGATTATAGGCATGAGCCACTACGCCCAGCCTATAATAAGTCTTAAAATCAGGTAGTATAAGTTCTCCAACTTTGTTTATACTTTGCAAGGTTGTCTTGGATATTATAGGTCTTTTGAATTTTCACATATTTTAGAATCAGCATCAATTTTTTAAAAATGCCTACTGAGATTTTGATTGGAATGGCATTAACCCTATAAATCAATTTGGGGGAAATTGACATCATAGGAGTATGGAGTGCTCTGATCCATGGATATAGTATATCTCTCCATTTATTGGATCTTTACTTTCAGCAATGTTTTATACTTTTCAGTGTACAGGTCTTGCACATCTTTGATTATATTTTATTATTAAACATTTGCTTTTTTTTTTGAGATGGAGTTTCATTCTTTCACCCAGGCTGGAGTGCAGTGGCGCAATCTCAGCTCGCTGCAACCTCTGTCTTCTGGTTTCAAGTGATTCTCCTGCCTCAGCCTCCTGAGTAGCTGGGATTACAGGCGCATGCCACCACGCCCGGCTAGTTTTGTGTTTTGTTTTGTTTTGTTTTGTTTTGTTTTGTTTTTTGAGATGGAGTCTTGCTCTGTCACTGAGGCTGGAGTATAGTGGTGCGGTCTCGGCTCACTGCCAGCTCTGCCTCCTGGATTCACGCCATTCTCCTGCCTCAGCCTCCCAAGTAGCTGGGACTACAGGCGCCTGCCACCATGCCCGGCTAATTTTTTTGGTATTTTTAGTAGAGACGGGGTTTCACCGTGTTAGCAAGGATGGTCTCGATCTCTTGACCTCATGATCCGCCCGCCTCAGCCTCCCAAAGTGCTGGGATTATAGGCATGAGCCACCACGCCCGGCCACGCCTGGCTAGTTTTGTATTTTTAGTAGAGAAGGGGTTTCACCGTGTTGGCCAGGCTGGTCTCAAACTCCTGACCTCAAGTGATCTGCCCGCCTCAGCCTCCCAAAGTGCTGGGATTACAGGCGTGAGCCACCGTGACTGGCCAAACATTTGATTTTTTGAAGCTATGTAAATAGTATTTTGAAATTTTCAATTTCTGATTGCTTATTGTTAGTACTTAGAAGTACAACTGCTTTTTGTCGAGGCATGGTGGCTCATGCCTGTAATCCCAATACTTTGGGAGGCCAAGTCAGGAGGATCGCTTGAGCCCAGGAGTTCAAAAGCAGCCTGGGCCTGATAGCAAGACCTTGTAGCTACAAAAAAAATTCTTTTTAATTAGCCTGCCATGATGGCATGCACTCCACCCCAGCCTGAGGAAGTAGGCAATGCTTTTTGTGATATTTGAGGAGAAAGACGTTCCTGGGAGAAGGAAAGACATATGCAAAAGGTGATGGGCCTGCCTGGGGCATGGTAGGGATGGTACACCTGAGACCCCACAACTGGGCATTATGCCTGAAGGGCAGAGTGTGGGAGGGAAGGCAAGACGTGAGCTCAGGTGTCAGGAGATCTCTCTGGCCGTTCTATGGAAAACGGATGAGGAGGAAAGCACAGGAAAGGGGACTGTTGCATTTTCCCAGGCATGAGATGATGATGGTCTGGACTAGGACACTGGCAGTGAAAATGGCAAGGAAAGAATGAATTCTAGAGACACTCAGGAGGTAGAACCCACAGGATGTCCTCTCTTGCCTATTGCACCGCAAGAGCCTCCTAACTGGTTTCCCTGCTCCCACACTTGCCTTCCTCCCCACTACAGATTATTCCAACACAGGAGCTGGAGTGACTTTTTTTTTTTTTTTTTTAGTTTTTTTTGAGACTGAGTCTCGCTCTGTTGCCCAGGCTGGAGTGCAGTGGCACGATCTCAGCTCACTGCAAGCTCCGCCTCCCAGGTTCACGCCATTCTCCTGCATCAGCCTCCGGAGTAGCTGGGACTACAGACGCCCGCCACCAAGCTCGGCCAATTTTTGTGTTTTTTTATCAGAGACGGGGTTTCACCGTGTTAGCCACGATGGTCTCGATCTCCTCACCTCGTGATCCAACCGCCTTGGCATCCCAAAGTGCTGGGATTACAGGGTCAGCCACCACACCCAGCCTGGAGTGACTTTATTACACCTAAGTCAGAGCATGTCACACCTCTGCTCAGCACCCTCCAATGACTTCTCACGTCACTCAGAGGAAAAGCCAAGGTCCCTGTGATGGCCAATGCGATCTTGCCCTGGCCTCTTTCCTACGCACCCTTCACTAGTTCCACTATAGCCACACTCATCTCCTTCAACAAAGCAGCACTGCTCCACCTTTATTGAGCTGTAACTCTTTACCCAGACATCCACTTGGCTCATAACCTCACTTCCTTTAAGTCTTTGCTCAAATGTCACCTTCTCAAGGAAGCTTACCCGATTATCCTCGCTGATACTGCAACCAGCTTCAAGTACCCCACCACATCCTGATCCCCTTTATTCTGTTCTACTTTTTTCCTATAGCACTGATCATCTTCCAGCGTATTAGATTTTTCACTTATGTCTGTGGTTTGCTGTCACATCTACTAGGATAAGCTCCACAAAGGTAGAGATCTTTATTTTGTTCACTGACATCCTAAGTCCCTAGAACAGGAGACACTTGATCCATATTTGTAGACTAACTGAATAAATGACTTAATTACCAGTTTGGATGTGGGGGCAGATAGTGAGCATGATGCCCGTTTCCGGAGCTGGGGTGCAGACAGTGTCTAGGGACACTGAACTGTTTTAAAAGCAGGATAGATCCCGGCTGGAGACCACACAAGGAAATCATCAGCACCTGGGTCAGGGGCTGGACTGGAGCAGAGGAAATCATGCAGGAAAAGTAAAGAGAAGGACATCAGGTAAAGAGAAGAGGACACATGCATAGCCAGAGAGAAAAGAGGAGCAGAGGCATGTGGATCACAGAAGCTTAGGGAGGAGACTTTCAAGAAGGGGAGAGAGGTTGAGTCAAGCAAGGGCTGAAAGCCAACCATTGGATGCAGTCACTAGAAAGTTACAGATAGGCAAGGTGTTGTGGCTCACGCCTGTAATCCCAACACCTTGTGGGGCTGAGGTGGGAGGATCGCTTGAGCCCGGGAGGTCGAGGCTGCAATGAGCCCTGATGGCGCCAATGCACTCCAGCCTGGGCGACAGAGCAAGACCCTGTCGCAAAAATTAATAAATAAATAAATAAAAAGAAAAGGGGGAAAAAAAGTTATACGTGGCCTTACGGGGAAGCCAACTCTGACTGGTTATAAGCTGAAACTGTCAAGTCAACAGGTGGCAGGGAAGATGGCTGAGACCAACAGCACAGAGATTTAGAGGCAGACAGACCTGGCGCCAATCCTAGGACAGGTTTTGGTAAGCCTTTGAATTTCAATTGCCCCACGTTTCGGGGGAGGGGGTAGCACCCCCTAGCTCATAAACCTTAGTGATTGATGATTAAATGAGATGACGGAGGAAAACGCAAGGCACAAAGTGGATGCATTAGCTCCATTTTGTTAATCAGCAGGCTTAGTTGGCTGCGACCCAGACACGAACTAAAATACAGTGCAGCCCAGGACCAGTGGGGGTCTTGCTTATGGCTCAGAGCTGAACAACACATGGGCAGCAAAATCAGACACTGAGATGCGGGCAGGCCTGCGACGCTGAAGTCAATTCCTTTGAACAAACAGAACACTTCCGTCCCAAGATTAGCAGGAATTAATCTCCCAGTCTCGGGTACACCTGGTTGTCCCTCCCTGTCCTGGCGCGGCAAACGTTCCCGGAGGCCAGCCAGGGATCACTCGCCCAAGGACTGAGCTTTCCCTACTCTCAGCCAACTGGAGCGGGACCAGGGCCTAGGCAACGCAGCTGTCCGCCCCTAACAACCACTCACCTGCTTTCCCCTTTCTATAGGCCAGCAAAGGTACATTCTTTTTCTTATTGGGCCGCGTAACTTATCGCAACCAATCAGTGGCAGCCACGGGACCCAACTCACTCCCACACAACTTGTGGGGGTGATCATGGAGAAGACAAATTTTTGTTTTCCGCATCCAGTTCTCTCAGAGAGCACCGTATTTGTCAAACTGTTGTGACTCTCCCTAAATGTTTAAGAAAACATTTCATTCCCCTCAGGCTTGTATAGTCTGTCCCTGGCCTACTCCCCGCTCCAGGTGGTACAGCCCGCAAGCGGCTCCCCTTCCCAGCTGCTCGCGGGGCCGAGTCCCCCAGTCCGAGGAGGCCACTCAGCGCAGGAGCCATACCATCTGTGACTAATAAATAATAGGGGGACCTCCGACTCCCCCCTGTTGCCTTATTACCTTCCGACCACCTCTCGGACCTCTTGCCCAGCCCTTCCCCGTAGACATCACCCCAGATACGGTGGTGACACCATTGCTATGGGCCCACGTAGGGCGCAGTGCGAGCCAGGGCAGGACGCACTTGGTACGACCCACGCCGCGCCCCGCGCCGCCGGAAGTGAGGTGTCTGACCCCCGAAGTTCCGGTTCGCAGGGGGTGGGGAGTGTTGTTAACCGGAGGGGCAGCCGCAGTCGCGCGGATTGAGCGGGCTCGCGGCGCTGGGTTCCTGGTGAGTGGGGCGAAGTCTGGCCCGAGTTGTGGTTGGGGTCGGGACCCGAACCTTCCCCTTGAGGTCTCCGGAGTCGGCACGCCCCTCAGCCCCGCCGCACGCTTTCGGCCTGTCAGCTGGCCGGAGACCTCAGACGCCGGTGCGGCCGCTTTGCTCAAGCCTGGGCCCTGCCTGCGACGCCCGCAACTCCTGGTGCTCACAGGTGCGCGGCCGCGAGGGCGACCCGGCTCCTCCCGTCCCGCTGCTGCTCTCTCCCGTCCCGCTGTTTTTGTGGTGCTCTGAGTTGACACTACTCCGGGGGTCGGGGGACCCCAGGATTCCAGGCTGACGTTCCCCGCCCGCTCCCGCAGGGCGGGCGTCCGAACTGCCCACCCTAACACAGCTGTCACCGGCGCTGTCGCCTGCCCAGCCTGCTATCCTCTGTGCCTTGGCTGCTCTCAGCCCTGGCTGCGCATTCCCGCCCCTGGAGCAGATTTCTGCTGTTGCCTCCCACCCCATCTTCTCCACCGGAGGGTCAGCGGTGCAGCTCCCCCTCCTCCAACATTGCAGCTTTTCCTCATCACCTCCCTAGAGGAGGCGGCTTGGCAGGCAGCGTGGAAAGAGCCCTAGATTTGAAGCAAGACTGACCCAGGTTCCAGGCCTTGCGTCAGTGTGATCACTTAACCCCTTCGAGTCTAATTTGTAAAATGGGGTAGCGTAAGCTATTCTTTGTCTGATGATTTCGAGGGCGAAATGTGATTTCCCCCCCACTTTCTCCTATGAATTGAGGCTGTGCCAGGCACCGGGCTATTTTGCACAGCACGAGCATCACATAAGTTATTTTCTTGCCCCATGCAGGTCTCCGGGCCAGGGCAATGTTCCGCACGGCAGTGATGATGGCGGCCAGCCTGGCGCTGACCGGGGCTGTGGTGGCTCACGCCTACTACCTCAAACACCAGTTCTACCCCACTGTGGTGTACCTGACCAAGTCCAGCCCCAGCATGGCAGTGAGTTCAGGGCTCAGGGAGGGAGGAACTCCCTGGGAGGGAAGGAGGAGTCTGCCTGGGCAAGGGGCGGGGCTAGAGGTCAGGTAAGTAGGGAAGTAGCCGCCAGCTGCCTAACTTTGAATAAACTGTGATGAGGATGTGGAGGATCCTGCATGATGAGTCCCAAGGAGAGGAAAGCAGAAAGTGACCTCAAACCACAGCCTCTCCCCACTCCTAGGTCCTGTACATCCAGGCCTTTGTCCTTGTCTTCCTTCTGGGCAAGGTGATGGGCAAGGTGTTCTTTGGGCAACTGAGGGCAGCAGAGATGGAGGTAAGATGTCGGCTGCCCCAAAGGTGAGGGCAGGGTGCTGGGAAAGAATGTTTGGTATCCACATTATTCCCTGCCTGGCCCCCAGCACCTTCTGGAACGTTCCTGGTACGCCGTCACAGAGACTTGTCTGGCCTTCACCGTTTTTCGGGATGACTTCAGCCCCCGCTTTGTTGCACTCTTCACTCTTCTTCTCTTCCTCAAATGTTTCCACTGGCTGGCTGAGGACCGTGTGGACTTTGTGAGTCAAGGCAGGGAGTTCTGGAGCAGGTGGAAGCCAGGGAGTAGCCAGCGGGCAGGCTTAAGGAGCAGGGAGGGCTAGGTTGAGGGTGTGGGGTGAGCCCCAGGCCTCCTGACAGGCCTCTTCTGTGCTCTGCCTCAGATGGAACGCAGCCCCAACATCTCCTGGCTCTTTCACTGCCGCATTGTCTGTGAGTGAGATTCAGGGGAGGGGAAGGGAGGACTGGAACGTGAACCGTGGACCTGTACTCCAGAGCACAGGCTACCCCCCACAGCTGTACAGGAAAGATAATTTAGGAAGTTAATTTGCATAGTCTCTGTGCTGTTCCACTCTAGGGCTTCTCAACTGCCTGGGCCCTCAGCCCTTTGCCTTCTCACCTGCAGCCTGGGCAGCCCCAACAACTCCCCCTCCCCCAGGAAGTTCCCAGAGGGCCAGGTTCAGTGGAGTGTGCCCACCTGACTAGATCGCTGGGGCCATGGTGGGCTTGAGGGTGGGGCTGTCCTAGAGCATTAAACAGCTGTTGGGCCCTGGGCTGACCCCCCCACCCTGCATGTGTGGGGGTCCCCACAGCTCTTATGTTCCTCCTGGGCATCCTGGACTTCCTCTTCGTCAGCCACGCCTATCACAGCATCCTGACCCGTGGGGCCTCTGTGCAGCTGGTGTTTGGCTTTGAGGTAAAACTGGCTTGGGAGGTTGAGAGGACAAGCCCGAGGTGACCCCACATGTGCCTTGAATAACCCAACAGACCCTTCCTCAGCACCTGCTATGTGGCCAACCTGTGCTGGCCACCAAGGGGCAGTGATCAGATATGGCTCCTGCCCTCCACACGCTCACTCCTAGGTGACTGGGGAGACGCACAAAGAGGCTAGGACAGAGGAGGAGCCCCAACCTGGGGCTCAGGAGAGGGTTCCTGGAGGCTCGTGCCGGAGCTAGCTGGTAATGGACAGGAGAGGATTAGTTCCATGGACAACTGGAGGCGTGTCCCTGGCAGAGAGAGAATGTGTTCAGTGACAACAGCTCATATTTGTTGAGTGCGAATTTCACACCAGGCCCTATGCTGAGCTCCTGACCTGCATCTCTTATTCAGCAAGACAATACTGTTATAAAGGAACAGTTAATTATGTCATTTTATAGATAAGTAAACTGAGGTTCACTGAGTTGCCAAAAGTCACAGCTAGTAAGTGGAGGGGCTAGGAGGACCCTGGGTGTGTCTAGAGCCTGTGATTGTACCACTGCACCTGCTGTGCAGAGGCCTTGGGGAGCAATGTGGGTGCAGCAAGGGGGAGCTATGTGTTTACATCCCCCTCGTCCCCCTCTCCCTTCAGTATGCCATCCTGATGACGATGGTGCTCACCATCTTCATCAAGTATGTGCTGCACTCCGTGGACCTCCAGAGTGAGAACCCCTGGGACAACAAGGCTGTGTACATGCTCTACACAGAGCTGTTTACAGGTGAGAGGGGCCTGGGCCTCTCCTGATCTGGACCAGCATCCTCCACTCTGCCTCCTGGCCCTGTGACCTGCTGCTTTCTGCATCCCCTCCCCTCAGGCTTCATCAAGGTTCTGCTGTACATGGCCTTCATGACCATCATGATCAAGGTGCACACCTTCCCACTCTTTGCCATCCGGCCCATGTACCTGGCCATGAGGTGAGCCCGGCCCTGTCCCCCGATCCTCCTGACCTGATCCCGTCCCTTCTCCTGCTTTCACTGACTGTCCTTTCAGACAGTTCAAGAAAGCTGTGACAGATGCCATCATGTCTCGCCGAGCCATCCGCAACATGAACACCCTGTAAGTAGGCTTGTCATGGCTGCTGTCCCAAGCTCGGTCCTGGGTCCCTCTGCTTCCAGCTCTGGACCTGATACAGCCCCTGTCATCCTAACCAGGTATCCAGATGCCACCCCAGAGGAGCTCCAGGCAATGGACAATGTCTGCATCATCTGCCGAGAAGAGATGGTGACTGGTGCCAAGAGACTGCCCTGCAACCACATTTTCCATACCAGGTGGGAGGGGCCCTGGGGAGCCTGCACAGCAGGGCACAGGCCCCAGAAGGCAGGCCCCTAGGGACCTGCTGACCTCTGCCTGGCCTTGACCCGCAGCTGCCTGCGCTCCTGGTTCCAGCGGCAGCAGACCTGCCCCACCTGCCGTATGGATGTCCTTCGTGCATCGCTGCCAGCGCAGTCACCACCACCCCCGGAGCCTGCGGATCAGGGGCCACCCCCTGCCCCCCACCCCCCACCACTCTTGCCTCAGCCCCCCAACTGTGAGTATCCCCTTGTCTGGCCACCCGGCATACCACTGGATACTTGCCCTGGGCTGGATGTGGAAGATGCTGGGAAATTGGAGAGTCCCTGCCCTCCAGAATCTCAGTCTGGGCCAGGGAGGGATTAAAAGATGAGAAATAGATGCTTGCAGTCAGTGTGACCAGTGCTGGGCTGAGGGCCTGTGGGAATAGGACAGAGCTCTCAATAGCCAGGCCCCCTGCCTGGGAGTTGGGTCTGTGTCCATTTGGCCCTTTCCTTACCTCCGTCTTCTCTCTGCAGTCCCCCAGGGCCTCCTGCCTCCTTTTCCTCCAGGCATGTTCCCACTGTGGCCCCCCATGGGCCCCTTTCCACCTGTCCCGCCTCCCCCCAGCTCAGGAGAGGCTGTGGCTCCTCCATCCACCAGTGCAGGTGAGCCTTTGGGTACTGTGACAGCCAGGGGGCGGCAGGGATGGAACACTCACTGACTTCGTTCCTGCTCTTCAGCAGCCCTTTCTCGGCCCAGTGGAGCAGCTACAACCACAGCTGCTGGCACCAGTGCTACTGCTGCTTCTGCCACAGCATCTGGCCCAGGCTCTGGCTCTGCCCCAGAGGCTGGCCCTGCCCCTGGTTTCCCCTTCCCTCCTCCCTGGATGGGTATGCCCCTGCCTCCACCCTTTGGTAAGCTGGGCCACTCTCTGGGTTCTTCTTGGGGGTGAGGTTGGTGTCTGGCCCCAGCAGCCCAGACTGAGCCTCTCTCTCTCCAGCCTTCCCCCCAATGCCTGTGCCCCCTGCGGGCTTTGCTGGGCTGACCCCAGAGGAGCTACGAGCTCTGGAGGGCCATGAGCGGCAGCACCTGGAGGCCCGGCTGCAGAGCCTGCGTAACATCCACACACTGCTGGACGCCGCCATGCTGCAGATCAACCAGTACCTCACCGTGCTGGCCTCCTTGGGGTGTGTCTGTACAGGGGAAGCAGAGTGGGTTTGGTGGGTCAGGAGTGGAGCTGCCAAGAGGTCCCCAGCAGTGGTTCTTGGCCTTTGACACCTGCCAATTCAGGCTGCCTATCTACAGGCCCACCAAGGGTCTCCAGGAGTTCTTGGTAACTCCTGGTGCCTTTATTTCCCACTCCAGAAAGCATGTCTGGATCTAAGTAGGAGTGATGTTTATTCGAGAGCTGACTTTAGATCTTATTCCTTTATATTTTTCTAAAGTCAAATTATTCAGAATTTGCAGTGCTTTAGTTCATCACATGATATTCTTCTGAGATGTGGTGACACTTAGATTGGCAATTGCTGCCCCCAAACTGAGGGAGCGAATAATAGGAAGTCACTTGGAGCCATCCTGGCTCAAGTTCAAGCGCTGGTCCCATCACTCATTTTTGACCTCTCATTATTTGAATAAAGGGGTCTTAATTCATATTCATAAGTGATGTGTACTGCCAGATACACACCTATAATCAGCACTTTGGAAGGCTGAGGCAGGAGGATTGTTTGAGCCTAGGAATTTGAGGGTGCAGTGAGCTATGATTGTGCCACTAAATTCCAGCTTTGGTGACAGAGCCGAGACGCTGTCTTTTAAAAAAGTGACATGTACATAATGCCTGGCATCTAGCAGTGACAGCACAGGCTTGGAGAGGAACTTGAGTCCAAGGCTCGAGCACTGTGGCTTATTGAGTGAGTCCCCTATAAGGTGCCTGACTCCCCAGGGTGGAGACTGCAGGGTAAGAGTGAACAGGTCAACAGTCCCTGCCTGCAAGCACCTTACAGCTAAGGGATAGAATCATTTGGCCCTTGAGTCCAGTCACCCTGTCTGAGTTCATTCAGCATGTTCACTTGTGTTTGCCAGGCACTGGGGCCACAAGGGCACATCATTCTATACTCTGTTCTGCAAGGCTCACCAAGGGCAGGAGAATCTGCCCAACCTTGGATGCCAAGGCCAGGCCCGCCTCTCGTCCCTTCTCTTCCCAGGCCCCCCCGGCCTGCCACTTCAGTCAACTCCACTGAGGAGACTGCCACTACAGTTGTTGCTGCTGCCTCCTCCACCAGCATCCCTAGCTCAGAGGCCACGACCCCAACCCCAGGAGCCTCCCCACCAGCCCCTGAAATGGAAAGGCCTCCAGGTAGGTGTGATTGGCCTCCAGCCGGGGGAGCAGGGAACTTCTCTAGGTTCCACTTCCAGTCTCTCTGTCCCCAGCTCCTGAGTCAGTGGGCACAGAGGAGATGCCTGAGGATGGAGAGCCCGATGCAGCAGAGCTCCGCCGGCGCCGCCTGCAGAAGCTGGAGTCTCCTGTTGCCCACTGACACTGCCCCAGCCCAGCCCCAGCCTCTGCTCTTTTGAGCAGCCCTCGCTGGAACATGTCCTGCCACCAAGTGCCAGCTCCCTCTCTGTCTGCACCAGGGAGTAGTACCCCCAGCTCTGAGAAAGAGGCGGCATCCCCTAGGCCAAGTGGAAAGAGGCTGGGGTTCCCATTTGACTCCAGTCCCAGGCAGCCATGGGGATCTCGGGTCAGTTCCAGCCTTCCTCTCCAACTCTTCAGCCCTGTGTTCTGCTGGGGCCATGAAGGCAGAAGGTTTAGCCTCTGAGAAGCCCTCTTCTTCCCCCACCCCTTTCCAGGAGAAGGGGCTGCCCCTCCAAGCCCTACTTGTATGTGCGGAGTCACACTGCAGTGCCGAACAGTATTAGCTCCCGTTCCCAAGTGTGGACTCCAGAGGGGCTGGAGGCAAGCTATGAACTTGCTCGCTGGCCCACCCCTAAGACTGGTACCCATTTCCTTTTCTTACCCTGATCTCCCCAGAAGCCTCTTGTGGTGGTGGCTGTGCCCCCTATGCCCTGTGGCATTTCTGCGTCTTACTGGCAACCACACAACTCAGGGAAAGGAATGCCTGGGAGTGGGGGTGCAGGCGGGCAGCACTGAGGGACCCTGCCCCGCCCCTCCCCCCAGGCCCCTTTCCTCTGCAGCTTCTCAAGTGAGACTGACCTGTCTCACCCAGCAGCCACTGCCCAGCCGCACTCCAGGCAAGGGCCAGTGCGCCTGCTCCTGACCACTGCAATCCCAGCGCCCAAGGAAGGCCACTTCTCAACTGGCAGAACTTCTGAAGTTTAGAATTGGAATTACTTCCTTACTAGTGTCTTTTGGCTTAAATTTTGTCTTTTGAAGTTGAATGCTTAATCCCGGGAAAGAGGAACAGGAGTGCCAGACTCCTGGTCTTTCCAGTTTAGAAAAGGCTCTGTGCCAAGGAGGGACCACAGGAGCTGGGACCTGCCTGCCCCTGTCTTTTCCCCTTGGTTTTGTGTTACAAGAGTTGTTGGAGACAGTTTCAGATGATTATTTAATTTGTAAATATTGTACAAATTTTAATAGCTTAAATTGTATATACAGCCAAATAAAAACTTGCATTAACAATTGGTGGGGTTTGTGTCACAGAATCGATCAAATCAGTGTCGGGCTCCTTGCTGTGGCTGTACACTTGAAAATGGAATGGAATCTCCAGGAGTGAGGGTTTCCATGGAAGCCAGCACTATCCTTGGGGACACCACTGACCATTAACAGATTAGGAAGATGTGCCCATTTTACACACAGAGAAGCAGCCCAGAGTTCAGTGCCCTGCTTCAGGGCAGAGACCAAGTTGGGGAGTCAGGAACTGAAAGCTGTCTTAGCCAGTTTGGGGGCAGGGTGGGGTCTCAGGCCTTTGGCCCCTGTGACTCCAAGTATAAGGCATATATGAAGGCTAGTGAGCTGGGGTTGGGATGGGATGGCAGGGTGAAAGGTCAGCATATTCCTGCCTGCAAACCCCTCCCCAGCCTTGATTGCAGGTCAGAAGGCTGCAGGGGGATGTCCCTATGCTGGCTGTGAGTTCCCAGCCACTCCCTTGTGGTCAGGCCAGCAAGTCTGGTCTGCAATGGAACAGTGACCAAGAACGTGCCTCCTACCTCTCTATCAGAGCCCGGGGCTAACGTGGGCACTCTGTGCCCCAGTGCCAGCACTGTACTTTGAACAGAAGATCTCCAAGACCCATGCCCGAGTCATCTGTGTTCTCCATCACCTGCACCAAACAAGATCTGGCCTAGAGCAAAGGCTTGGGGGTATTTGCAACAGTGAGCTTCGGAGGGCCAAGGAAACAAAGTGCCCAGTGGCTCTGCCCTGTGCTACCTTCCCCTAAACTGGGGTTGGGCTACTGCTTCCACCAAATAACAACTAGAATTTGAATTGCTGAGCCCAAGGAAAGAAAAACAAAACAGGCCAAGGTGGACCAGGCACATGGCTCATGCCTATAATCCCAACGCTTTGGGAGGCCAAGGTGGGCGGATCACTTCGAGTCAGGAGTTTGAGACCAGCCTGGCCAACATGGTGAAACCCCATCTCTACTAAAAATACAAAAATTAGCAGGCTGTGGTGGTGGGCGCCTGTAATCCCAGCTACTCAAGAGGCTGAGGCAGGAGAATCCCTTGATCCCAGAGGTGGAAGTTGCAGTGAGCCAAGATCATGCCACTGCACTCCACCCTGGGCAACAGAGTGAGACTCCGTCTCAAAAAACAAAAAAGAACAGGCCAAGATAGGAGGGAGAGAAAGCTGCTGACGCCCCCCATTAGCCTGGTGATCCCTATTTGGTCTCCCACATTAGGCACTCTCCCCCAGCATGTACATAGAGTTGTTTTCTCCTTTATGCAAGCAAGGCCTGACCCCAAAGTCCTTTAGCCCTAGTTTCTGTATCCCCTGTCTCAGGGGCTCCAACACCCACCTCCCTCCTCCTGAGGCCCCCTAGACTTGATCCACAGGGCATGCTGACAAGCAGGCTGCTCGGCTGGGCCTCAGAAGCCTTTCTCCAAGAGCCAGGCTTTAAGCTCCTGGTCAAAGTAGCCCTTGATCCGTAGGGTACCTGTCACCTCATTGACCTGGGTGACAGGTGTCTTCCCCAGCAGCGGGCTCAGAAAATCTTCCACGTCTTTCTGCAGGGCCTGGGGAAAGATGACAAATCAGGTCAGGCCAAGAGTCCCTTCCCTTAAAAAGACTCCTGTCCCTTCAGCCCTGAAAGGGTCAGGCCCAGTCCCAGACCCACCCACCCACTTACCCAGATGTCCCCTTCCACTTTCCGGATCACAGTCATCTGCCGGTTGCCATGCGTGATGTCCTTGTAGACGGGGATGTTGTGCATCCGAGAGCGTCGTACAAAGTAAGGCAGGTTGGGTGGGGGGTCTGCAACAGGGAAAGACACTGTTAAATCAACTCTTCCTACGTGCCATCCCACCTCAGCCAAGGCCCTTGCTCTCAGTCTGCAGAGGGCCAGTGCACCCAGCTGGACCAAGCCACCTCCAGACTTTAGGTCAGGGGGTCTCCTCTTTCCTTCAGCTTGGAGTCAGGACCAAATTGTTCACCCTGGTACCCTAAGGCCCCACACAGGGCCTGGCACTAAGTAGGTGCTCAAGAAAAAATGAAATCAGGGACATGCCTCCCTGGATCTTTGGGTCCCCCTCTAGGCCAACCCTTGCCCTCCTCCACTGGGTCAGGGAGGCCGAAATCAATCTCTGGAACAAAGAGATTGGGATTTGCAAGCACTGAGCACCTACCATATGCTGGGCTCTGCACTAAGGGCTCTATGTACTGAGCAGATTATCTCCATTTTGCTAAAACAGGTTGGGTCAAGCTAAGTGACTAATTCAAGATAACATCAACAGTAAATAAAGCCAAATTCAAACCCAGAACTGCCTGACTCCAAGCTGTGTTCTTAATTACAGTACATAGTCTGCTGGGGGGAAAGAAGGTCCAAGCTCTTGGGTTTTCTCTCTGTTGTTTACTTTCCCCCATATGGGGAAGACCTGATCTCAATAGTGTGGATGGATGAGTACCAGTGAACAACAGAAGGCTCCACTCCTCGGCTCTTCCTTGGGCATGAGACAGATGTAACCCAGAGGGATTGCAAAATGAGTCCTGAACCCACTGGAGAGTCCAGAGCCTCATGGGGGAGGCCAACCTCTGGGGAGGAGGTGATGCTCCGTGAAGCTTTCAAATCATCCCTAACCACCCAGCTCACCTCTGGGAGGCTGCCAGCCACTAGGGGTAGGATAATGTTCATGCTTTGGGGGATCTGGGATCCTGGTAGCCGGTAACAGGCGCTCCACAAACTGATATTCATCCACAGACTCCACAAACCTGGGGTAATCTGGAGGGCCCTGGGTCTGGCTCTGAAGCAAAACAAAAATCCCATTTCTCCATTAGCCTACCCAACACAGGATGGCATAACTTCAGTAAGTAGAGAATGGAAACATTACAGGCAGAGAGAATGACATAAATAAAAGGCTGGGCGACGGTGTGAAAGCTATCAGAATCAAAATGGAGTGAGTCACTTGGGTTAAAAATCCCAACAAATAGAGCTAGGGAGGGCCACGAAGAGAGAGTTCTTGGGCACAAATACTTAATAACAAGAACTACCACAAAAGACTGCAAAAACCACAGCCTTGCACAAAGGCCACTTCAACCTTACACAAAAAAATATTTCTGGCTGGGCAAGGTGGCTCACGCCTGTAATCCCAGCACCTTGGAGGCTGAGGCAGGAGGATCATCTAAGGTCAGGAGTTCAACACCAGCCTGGCCAACATGGCGAAACCCCATCTCTACTGAAAATACAAAAATTAGCCGGGCATGGTGGTGCATGCCTGTAATCCCAGCTACTTGGGAGGCTGAGGCAGGAGAATTGCTTGAACCCAGGAGGTGGAGGTTGCAGTGAGCTAAGATCGCACCATTGCACTCCAGCCTCGGTGACAGAGCGACGAGACTCTCTCAAACAAAACAAAACAAAACAAATTCCTGCATGGCCATCTGTCCAACAACTGCCTGTCCAATCTTGAACTGGCACCACCCATGTTATTCATCCTTGTAGCCAAGGATAACTGTCTCAAAACAATTATGTAATACTCATTTTTCCTTTCCTTTATTTATTTTTATTATTTTTTTAGATAGAGTCTCACTCTGTCACCTAGGCTGGAGTGCAGTGGTGTGATCTCGGCTCACTGCAACCTCCGCCTCCCAAGTTCAAGCAAGTCTCCTACCTCAGCCTCCCAAGTAGCTGGGACTACAGGCACACGCCATCACACCCGGCTAATTTTTGTATTTTTTCTAGAGACGGGTTTCACCATGTTGGCCAGGCTTGTCTCAAACTCCTGACTCCAGGTGATCTACGCGCCTTGGCCTCCCAAAGTGCTGGGATTACAGGCGTGAGCCACCGTGCCTGGCCCATTTTTCTGTTAAAAACCTTTGTCTTCTTTTACCTCCCTGATAAGCACATAGTCTATACCCATTCCCGAATAAATATCCTTTTCTTTTAGAGTCTGTTATTTAGGTTGACATAAGATAGCACCAGTCTTTGGTTTTCCATGGTGCAGGGTACAGATGGGATGGAAAGGAGGCTCAGGTACTCTGAATGGTCTGCCTCTCAGGATTTCTGTGGGATGCAAAAGAGTATATGTACACTTCTGAAAAGTCAATCAAGCCTTTAGAAACTTAAGGCTTAACTTTCTGTCTCGGTTTTAGAAATAGATATTATTATATTGGCAGCGTGGCCTTGTTTGTACCTCCATGATTGCCTGGCTGGCCTTGCTAACCTAATCACATCTGTGACGGGATATAGTGATGTTTAATCTTATGATTGCCTTAAGAATTAAGGCAATCAGACGGGTTCGGCGGCTCATGCCTGTAATCCCAGCACTTTGGGAGGCCGAGGCGGGCGGATCACGAGGTCAGAAGATCCAGTCCATCCTGGCTAACAAGGTGAAACCCCGTCTCTACTAAAAATACAAAAAATTAGCCGGGCATGGTGGCGGGAGCCTGTAGTCCCAGCTACTCGGGAGGCTGAGGCAGGAGGATGGCGTGAATCTGGGAGGCGGAGCTTGCAGTGGGCCGAGATCGCGCCACTGCCCTCCAGCCTGGGCGACAGAGCGAGACTCCGTCTCAAAAAAAAAAAAAAAAAGAATTAAGGCAATCATAATTCCCCACGCACACTCATATGCTAGGACCCCGCCCCTTACCTGAAACGTTGTGGCTTATATAGACACTGCCAGGCACTGTGTTAAGTGCTCCCAAAGAGCACCCCAGTCTACCATTTTCCCTCTCGATTCTATATGTACACTCGGGACAAGTTCTCCTGATCGAAAACGGCAAAACTAAGGCCCCAAGTAGGAATGCCTTAGTTTTCGGGGTTAACAATGATTAACACTGAGCCTCACACCCACGCGATGCCCTCAGCTCCTCGCTCAGCGCTCTCACCAACAGCCGTAGCCCGCAGCCCCGCTGGACACCGGTTCTCCATCCCCGCAGCGTAGCCCGGAACATGGTAGCTGCCATCTTTACCTGCTACGCCAGCCTTCTGTGCGCGCAACTGTCTGGTCCCGCCCCGTCCTGCGCGAGCTGCCTGCCCAGGCAGGTTCGCCGGTGCGAGCGTAAAGGGGCGGAGCTAGGACTGCCTTGGGCGGTACAAATAGCAGGGAACCGCGCGGTCGCTCAGCAGTGACGTGACACGCAGCCCACGGTCTGTACTGACGCGCCCTCGCTTCTTCCTCTTTCTCGACTCCATCTTCGCGGTAGCTGGGACCGCCGTTCAGGTAAGAATGGGGCCTTGGCTGGATCCGAAGGGCTTGTAGCAGGTTGGCTGCGGGGTCAGAAGGCGCGGGGGGAACCGAAGAACGGGGCCTGCTCCGTGGCCCTGCTCCAGTCCCTATCCGAACTCCTTGGGAGGCCTGGCCTTCCCCACGTGAGCCGCCGCGACCACCATCCCGTCGCGATCGTTTCTGGACCGCTTTCCACTCCCAAATCTCCTTTATCCCAGAGCATTTCTTGGCTTCTCTTACAAGCCGTCTTTTCTTTACTCAGTCGCCAATATGCAGCTCTTTGTCCGCGCCCAGGAGCTACACACCTTCGAGGTGACCGGCCAGGAAACGGTCGCCCAGATCAAGGTAAGGCTGCTTGGTGCGCCCTGGGTTCCATTTTCTTGTGCTCTTCACTCTCGCGGCCCGAGGGAACGCTTACGAGCCTTATCTTTCCCTGTAGGCTCATGTAGCCTCACTGGAGGGCATTGCCCCGGAAGATCAAGTCGTGCTCCTGGCAGGCGCGCCCCTGGAGGATGAGGCCACTCTGGGCCAGTGCGGGGTGGAGGCCCTGACTACCCTGGAAGTAGCAGGCCGCATGCTTGGAGGTGAGTGAGAGAGGAATGTTCTTTGAAGTACCGGTAAGCGTCTAGTGAGTGTGGGGTGCATAGTCCTGACAGCTGAGTGTCACACCTATGGTAATAGAGTACTTCTCACTGTCTTCAGTTCAGAGTGATTCTTCCTGTTTACATCCCTCATGTTGAACACAGACGTCCATGGGAGACTGAGCCAGAGTGTAGTTGTATTTCAGTCACATCACGAGATCCTAGTCTGGTTATCAGCTTCCACACTAAAATTAGGTCAGACCAGGGCCCCCAAAGTGCTCTATAAAATTAGAAGCTGGAAGATCCTGAAATGAAACTTAAGATTTCAAGGTCAAATATCTGCAACTTTGTTCTCATTACCTATTGGGCGCAGCTTCTCTTTAAAGGCTTGAATTGAGAAAAGAGGGGTTCTGCTGGGTGGCACCTTCTTGCTCTTACCTGCTGGTGCCTTCCTTTCCCACTACAGGTAAAGTCCATGGTTCCCTGGCCCGTGCTGGAAAAGTGAGAGGTCAGACTCCTAAGGTGAGTGAGAGTATTAGTGGTCATGGTGTTAGGACTTTTTTTCCTTTCACAGCTAAACCAAGTCCCTGGGCTCTTACTCGGTTTGCCTTCTCCCTCCCTGGAGATGAGCCTGAGGGAAGGGATGCTAGGTGTGGAAGACAGGAACCAGGGCCTGATTAACCTTCCCTTCTCCAGGTGGCCAAACAGGAGAAGAAGAAGAAGAAGACAGGTCGGGCTAAGCGGCGGATGCAGTACAACCGGCGCTTTGTCAACGTTGTGCCCACCTTTGGCAAGAAGAAGGGCCCCAATGCCAACTCTTAAGTCTTTTGTAATTCTGGCTTTCTCTAATAAAAAAGCCACTTAGTTCAGTCATCGCATTGTTTCATCTTTACTTGCAAGGCCTCAGGGAGAGGTGTGCTTCTCGGGTTGGTGGTATGTCCCCTAGGAGAACAGTGAGGCAGAAAAGGCAGAAGCCTTTGGTATGGGGGGAAGAAATGGTAAACTACAAGAGAAATTTCCTGTGAAGAAACAGCTACAGATCCTGGGGGGCTTCAGATGTAAAATTGGGGTTATTCCCTATCCTAAGTAACTTGATCAGTCCCCCCAGGTCATTCTTTTTCATCTTCTAAACAGAGAAGGTAGCAGGAATCACTGTGGTGAGAGGTTTGTTATGGAGGCAGCAATAGAAGGGATGGGTGGGGGAAGAGGTTTGTATAGAAGGTGAACCTGGCCGTTCCCTGAACTTGGTACCAGCTGTGGCCTTAGAGTCCAGGGCAGGAATCTGGTCTGCCTTGGTTTTAGAAGTAAATATTATGTTGGGAGCATGGCCTCGTTTGTACCTCTGTGACTGCCTGGCCGGACTTGGTAACCTAATCACATCTGTGATTGGATATAGTGAGGTTTCAGTGTTCCCAAAAGTTGGGTTACCTCTGGGGCTGATTCAGGGTTCTCTTCTGGCAACTGAGCCTCCCAGCACTTCTGAACCCCACTTACTCATTCAGCTAAAGTTTCTGGACCTGCCAGTTCTTGAGAAATAGCATCCAACAGGGTAAAGCCCTTGGGCTGTGGACTTTGACTGCCTGAGTTTGGACCTTCTTTTTCTTCCTACTCCATTTACTGGGTGGCTGGCCTTTGAACTAACTACTAATTTAATCTCTGCCATCTCCAGGGCTGCTGTGAGGGTTAAAGGATGTAAATCAACATCTGGCTTACAGTGAGTGTGTGAATCTTGGCTATTTTTGTCTCTGTGGTGTTAAAGACATGGTTTCTGCCTTCCAGCAGTTTAGAAAGGGGGAGGATGTGGACAGATACAATAGCATCCCAGAGAGGGCCTCTTTTTTTGTTTTTCTTTTTTCTTTATTTTATTTTATTGAGACAGAGTCTCGCACTGTCGCCAGGCTGGAGTGCAGTGGCACAATCCGAGCTCACTGCAACCTCAGCCTCCCGGGTTCACGCCATTCTCCTGCCTCAGCCCCCTGAGTAGCTGGGACTACAGGCATGTGCCACCACGCCCAGCTAATTTTTGTATTTTTAGTAGACATGGGGTTTCCCCATGTTGGCCAGGATGGTCTCGATCTCTTGACCTCGTGATCGCCCACCTCGGCCTCCCAAAGTACTGGGATTACAGCCATGAGCCACAGTGCCCGGCCTTTTCTTTTTTGTTTTTGAGACAAGGTCTCTCTCATCCAGGCTGGAGTGCAGTTGCACAATCATGGCTCACTGCAGCCGCCAACTCCTGGGCCCAGGTGATCCTACTCAGCCTCCAAAGTAGCTGAGGACTACAGGCATGCACCGCCACACCTGGCTAATTTTTTGTACTTTTTTGTAGAGACAGGGTTTTGCTATGTTGCCCAGGCTGGTCTTGAACTGGGCTCAAGTGATCCGCCCACCTTGGCCTCCCAAAGTGCTGAGATTACAGGTGTCAGCCGCTGTGCCCAGCCGAGAGGTCCTGTTTAAATGACGTGAGTGAGACCTGAGATGAACCAGTCAAGTGATCAGGTAGGGGAATATTTCAAGCCTAGAGGACTGTGTGAAGATGGGGAAGAGGTGATGTCTAGGGCTGGGGGCGGGCAGATCCTGCAAGGCCTTGTCAGCCATAGAGAGGAGTTTGGGTTTGAGTCCAAGTGCAATGGAGGGTCGCAGAAGGGTTTTGAGTAACAGATGGATCTCATCTGACTTGTGATCTAATTTCTCTGGCAGGTTTTTCTGGAGGGCTGGCAAGAAAGTTAGGAAAAACACTTAATGTGTTGTCATCCACATGAGGGGTCAGGAAGCTTAGACCACCAGTAGTAGCAGGGATGCAAAGAACACTCACAGTTTGGTTCATCACACCCCCCACTCCACCACAAGAGTGAGCTCTATTAGAACAGGGACCCCCGGCTCCCTTTGATGTGCATTGTGTTCTTGGCACCTAGAATGGGGCCTGCACTTAATAAGATGGATGAATAGTGGTATTTAATGAGAAGATACTTAATGAAAAGAAGAGGCAGTTTTGGAGGAAAAAAATCATAGGAGCTCAGATATTTCTTAAATGCTGCTTTCTATTTATCTTTTTGAGGTGGAGTTTCTCTCTGTGGCCCAGGCTCGCAGGCTGGAGAGCGGTGGCGCGATCTCGGCTAACTGCAGCCTCCACCTCCCGGGTTCAAGCGATTCCCCTGCCTCAGCCTCAGGAGTAGCTGGGACTACAAGCACCCGTCCCCCACGCCCGGCTAATTTTGTATTCTTAGTAGAGACGGGGTTTCTCCATGTTGGTCAGGCTGGTCTCAAACTCCTGACCTCAGGTCATCTGCCCGCCTCGGCCTCCCAAAATGCTGGGATTACCGGCGTGACCCACCGTACCTGGCCCTAACTGTCCTTTTATTTGTCTGTGTCCCCTAGTGCATTTTATTTGTCTGTGTCCAGCGCAGGGATGCATCGCCTCCCGTAGGCTTGGCACAATTAGTGGCCCAGAGTAGGTGCCTAGTAAAGATGGATTTATGCCACAGCACATTGTAGTGCTAAAAAGAGGGTTTTCTCTTTAGATGATCGGGCCACGTTTTGGTGTGACCACTAGGGGGAGACGTGGCACCGGCGAAGCGCTCGCCAGACCCATTTTTTCGCTCCTTGCGTCATCGCATAGGGCGGGGCTCGTACCTGACGCCCGGCTTCTGGGCCTGCTCTCGCCCTACTAGGGAAAGGGGTGGGGCTTGGCTTTCGGGCGTGGGCGGAAATTGCCGAGAATCCTCGGAAGCTTTGCGAAAACACAGCGCGCCGTCGGCCGCGCTGCGAACCGGAAGTAATCGAAGAAGCCCCGGAAGTTTCGAACTACCACCGGCGTGCGTTCGCAGGTAGATCGCGGTGCCAGTTGCCATGGAGCCGGCCGGGCCCTGTGGCTTCTGCCCGGCGGGGGAGGTCCAGCCAGCGCGTTACACCTGCCCTCGCTGTAATGCGCCCTACTGCTCGCTGCGCTGCTACCGGACGCATGGCACCTGCGCAGAAAACTTCTACCGTGACCAGGTGCTGGGAGAGCTCCGCGGTTGCAGCGCTCCTCCCAGCCGCCTAGCAAGCGCCCTACGCCGGCTGCGTCAGCAACGCGAGACCGAGGACGAGCCTGGGGAAGCAGGCCTCAGCTCCGGCCCGGCGCCCGGCGGCCTATCGGGACTCTGGGAGCGGCTGGCGCCGGGCGAAAAAGCTGCCTTCGAGCGGCTGCTGAGCCGCGGTGAGGCCGGGCGGCTGCTGCCTCCATGGCGGCCGTGGTGGTGGAACCGCGGAGCCGGACCGCAGCTTCTGGAGGAGCTGGATAATGCCCCGGGTAGTGACGCCGCGGAGCTGGAGCTCGCCCCTGCGAGGACCCCGCCGGATTCTGTGAAAGATGCCTCCGCCGCGGAGCCCGCGGCCGCCGAGCGGGTTCTTGGAGATGTCCCGGGGGCCTGCACGCCCGTCGTACCCACCCGCATCCCCGCGATAGTCAGCCTGAGCCGCGGCCCAGTCTCGCCGCTCGTGCGCTTCCAGCTGCCCAATGTGCTGTTCGCCTACGCGCATACTCTCGCCCTGTATCACGGCGGTGACGACGCGCTGCTCTCTGACTTCTGTGCCACACTGCTCGGCGTTTCCGGAGCCCTGGGTGCCCAGCAAGTCTTCGCCTCTGCGGAAGAAGCCCTGCAGGCGGCAGCCCACGTGCTGGAAGCAGGCGAGCACCCGCCGGGGCCCCTGGGCACACGAGGGGCTATGCACGAGGTCGCCCGCATCCTGCTGGGCGAGGGCCCGACCAACCAGAAAGGCTACACGCTGGCAGCACTGGGGGACCTGGCACAGACCCTGGGCCGTGCCCGGAAACAGGCCGTGGCTAGAGAAGAGCGAGATCATCTTTACCGGGCCCGGAAAAAGTGCCAGTTCCTCCTGGCCTGGACCAACGAAAATGAGGCGGCCCTCACACCCCTGGCCCTAGACTGCGCCAGGGCTCACCAAGCCCATGCTGTGGTAGCCGAGGAGGTGGCCGCCCTCACTGGGGAGCTGGAGCGGCTTTGGGGAGGCCCCGTGCCACCTGCCCCAAGAACTCTCATTGAGGAGCTCCCTAGCTGAACGGGTTACCCTGGTCATTAATAAAGCTGTGACTGGTCAGCCCTGTTGCTTGTTTCTGAGGGATAGCTATTGTCCCACCAGACCCCAGATTCCTGGGCCCACAAGCCACTGCTCAGCTTCTCCCTGATCAGTGCTGACCCAGCCAGTCCTAGGGGAGAGAAGTGCACCAAGGGTTCCCAGTGTTTATCCAAAGGAGGAAGAGCATCTCCGATTTTGGTCACTGGTTTCATTTTTTTCCTTGCTCTAAACCACCTCTTCTCTGAGGTTGTTCATCCTCAGGGCTGGGTGGGGTGCAAGCCCTTGAGTCCCAAGTGTGTCGAGGCTCCTGGTCCTGGGTGTGCTGGTGGATGAGTGGGCACATGCCCCCACCTGGGGTGGTGGAGCCGCTTCAGTAGATGTAGGGCATGATGCGGTAAGGCACACGCCGGCAGTACTCCTGCCAGGCCAGGCCGTACTTCTGCAGGCACTGCCGCTCATCCCGGGCCTCACGGTGCACCAGCAGCGCGGTGAAGTAGAGGAGGTAGAAGTAGGGCAGCAGGTGTGACACCCCTGTAGAGAAGGAGGCTCTGTGACCACCCTGCCGGCCCCTCCACCCCGCAGTTCACAAACGTTTCCACACCTCATGGCTCATGTGGGCATCGGGGCTCAGCAGCAAAAGCGCCAGGGTCTGCAGCAAAGCACACGGTACTAGGTTGGCACAGAGGTGTGCCCCAGCCACACACTGGGTCCACCCCCAGCTCTCTGACTACTCTCACTGGTGCATACCCAAAGTAGGCATCCTGTGGTCGCTGAGCCACCTCTTCCCCTCACATGTCCCTACCCATATCCACATGGGCCACTCACCGCAGGGCAAGGACCAAGCCAGAGCCATGATGAGGTCTCCAAGATAGTTGGGATGGCGGACCATACCCCACCACCCAGACACCAGCAGTTTCCGCCCTGTGGCTGTAGAGATGGTCTCAAGCCCTGGGGAAAGACAGCAGGGTGGAGAGTTCCCAGGAAGCCCAGCTGCCCCACCTCACCCATGGCCCTAGAGAACCAGCTCACCAGCCACTCTGGGGTCAGAAGGATTCTTTCGGAAAGTGTTTTTCTGGGAATTCGCCCCACGGAAGATGTAGTAACCAGTAGCTGGTGAGAGAGTGTGAACCGGTGGTCAAGGTCAAGGGTTGCAGCCTCCTGCCTGACCCCGAACATCTGCCCAACTTGTCTGCAGCCCAGACTCTGCCTGGACCCCCAGGACCCTGCCCTGGCTTTAGAGAACCCTGGGGGTTAGCACCTATGTGGTGGTGCGTGTAAACAGAGCATGAATCAAAGGGATAGGGGGAAGATGGGCCCAGCCTGCTGCCCCTTCCTGACTGACCATTGATGAGGCAGATGACAGAGGCCATGGGCAACCCCAGGGGCTGCGGGTGGTGCAGCAGGAACTGGGCCTGCAGGCTGTAGGTGAAGGGCACCCAGGCCATGTCCCCAAACGCCAGCATGAAGCCAAACCCGTCATGTGTGATATCCATGGTGGTGAGGACGGCCTCCTGCAGGGACAAGACCCAGACACACTGGCTTAGTCCCTATGCGGCCCTCAGACACCCACCCTCGTCCAGTCCAGCCTCACCTCGTGCCAGAGGGCATCACCCACGTAGAGCAACTGGAAGCCATTGACCAGCCACATGGCCAGTGAGGGACTGCCTCGAAGCTCTGCCTCCTTCATCAACAGGGCCAGGTTGATGAGGACCTGGGGAGAGGGAACAAGGCAATAGTCTCCACAGAAGTGGCAGCCTTGGGCAGAGCAGTGGCCAGCCTCTGCCCTTCTCAACTGTCAGTTACACTCCAGCTCTTAAGTGGATCCAGGCCCTAGACCCAAGGACAGAGACTGTGGACAGGGAGGTGCCCGCAGCCTGTTTCTTCTTGCCTTGTCTGTCCTAAGCCCTTTCGGGCTAAGGCTTCAGTGCTCAAACAGACCTGTTTTCAGATCTCAGCATCATCACTTGGGCAGGTTGCTTGCCCTCTCCACAGCCTACTTTCCCCCACCCCTGTGTGAAAAATGGGGATAATCATGGGCCTGTCATGACTCAATGGCATCATCGTGTTTGAAGCCCTCCATAGCGTCCCTGGCAAGTGGTACGTGCTCAGTGTGGCTAGCCGGAGCAAGCCTGTGCTGGGCGCCTGCATTTGACACTGAGCTCTGTTCTATCATAAAGATTACCTCTTCTAATCTTCCCAGTAATCTTAGGAGAAAGCTTTAATTTTATCACATCTCAAAGATGAGGAAGTGTCCTCAGATGTGCCTGTCATCAGGCCAGGACCCAGACCCAGGGTGGGCACCTGGCACTCCTGCCTCGGGTAAGATAATTTCCAGGGCAACAGGAGAGGCCTTGCCCAAGAGTTTCTTTGGGTAATCTTGGCCACAGAACCAGAGATCACAGTTGGAATGTTGTCAAGGCCACTAGTGACGGGTAGGTTGCTAACCCCAGCGATCAATTTCAGGTTCTGCACTGCCTTGACCATCAAGCAGCATGCGGTCACTCCCTGGAAATAGATTCTGTGCTTGACTGCTGTTGAGAATTGCACGTGCTCTCCTAACGTCATCCCTGACATGCTGTATATATTTTACTTATTTTTTTCTGTCTTTCCCACCAGAATGTAGGCTCTCTGCAGCAAAGATGCTTTTTTGCCTCTAACTTTATTTTTGTCTCCCAGTACCTAGGCACAGGTGGATTGAACAAATGTTTGTGGAATATGAATGGTTAATGACTCGCATCTGCACAGTTTTGGCCCTGCCCTGCCCAAGCGCTGCTCACCCACCCTAACCCTCCCCCTGGCCTGAGGCCAGCTCAGTCAAGCCCAACATACCCAGCCGATGAGGCCGGGTCGCAGTTCACAGAAATATTTGAAGTCGAAGAAACAGATACGAGGGTTGAGCTCTCGTCCCAGAAAAAAGTCGTAAATCGGATTGCCTGGAGAATATTGGAGAGTGAATGTACAGGCAGACGCCCCAATCTGCCTCCGTCTCCACCCCAGGACCCCTCTCACCTGAGTTCCCCCCAGGTGCCAGGGCCGAAACTGGGGCTACCTGCGCCTTCATGTAGAGAAAGAGGCTGAAGATGAAAGCGGTGAGGGTGGCGACAAACGCCAAGGGCAGGAGCATTTCCGGGAGCGCCCCCAGAGGCAGCCCCGCTGACATCCCCAGCCCCACCAACAGGGCTGTCAGCACCAGGGCCTGGAAGCCTGAACCACAGCGCACAGTGAGCCCTGGGGCTGCGCGCCTCCACATCCCCACCCCGCAAACACACGCAGAGCCCAAAACTCAGGGGGGCCACAGACCCTGCCCCAAGCATTAGGCTGCCACCCTGGCCTTCAGAGGATCACCCCAGCCACTGCTGTGGTGCACGGAGTAGCAGTAAATGGGGTAAGGCTGTGGGGACGAGGGGCATAGGGAGAGCCCCC
Source organism: Homo sapiens (assembly GCF_000001405.40). NCBI lineage: Eukaryota > Metazoa > Chordata > Mammalia > Primates > Hominidae > Homo > Homo sapiens. Next base: position 65,113,000 of record NC_000011.10, on the reverse strand, counting down.
GGCGTCTGTCCTGGGCGTAACAGAGGCACACAAAGGAGCCTGGGGTGGGGGCCAATCTCCGTGGACCTCCCCGCTAGGCCTGGAGCTCCACCCCCGGCCGCTTAACTCCAGCGCGAGGGCCCGTCCCCTAGGCACCGTTAATAGGATAGCGCAGGCGACTCTTGTCCTTCAATTCCTGCCCCTCGGCCACCTGCGGGTCCAAGGGGGCTCTGATAAGGCCCGGGGCGTCCTTTCCCTCGCCGAGCCCATTCGCTTCCCTCCCCCGAGCGTCCGCGAGCGGGGCCCGCACCTTGCGCGCCGGCAGTAGGTAGAGCGCCGCCTGCAGGCCGAGCCAGGCGAGCCACAGCAGCAGCGCCCGTGGGCTCCACAGCACCTCCAGCCCCGGCAGGGACGCGGGTGGACCCAGCAGGCGCGCGGGGCCCGAACGGGCCGCCAGGAGCAGGTGGAACATGGTGGCGGGCAGCAGCAGTAGCAGAGCCGCGGCGCCTGCGGGAAGGGCCATCACGTCGGGCGTCCGCCCCTAGCCCCCCAGCTCCCCGCCGGCCCGCACGGGCGCCCTGACGTCTCTGCGGGACCCTCTCGGCATTCCCAGAGTGCGCCTCCGCACCCCGTCCTCAGCCCTCGGCCCCCAGGCACCCCGCTGCCTCCCAGTTCCCTTCCCAGGCGTCCATCTTAGTCCCCCGCCCCCAGGCCCCTCGAAGACCCTCCTCCTGCTCCCAGTCGACACCATAAATCCCCGTTCTGCAGCCCCCAGAACCGGCCCCTCCTCAGCTCTCCCTCTCCAGACACCCTTCGCTGCAAACCCCCGGGTCCCTCTGCCTCCGACACCCCCAAAGCCTTCCATCCTCAGATCTCGCCCCCGCTCTTAGTTCACCCGCTCCAGCTCTCCTTCGCTTAGCCTTTGCCCCAGGTCCCATCTCTCTGCCCCATTACCCAGGGGCCCTCCGAATTCCAGCGGGGCCCGGGGGCCCTGAGTGGGGGCCATGGTCTCCGCTCCGCCGGAGAGAGAGGGCGCTCACAATAGTCAGTCAAGGAAACACTGTCCGCCCCATTTCCCAGGAGATGGACTCGGCCGCGCGGAGGATCCGGCCCCGCGGCGCCTGCACCTGCCTGGACACGGAACGCAGACAAGGACCGCTCTCGTCCCAGGGTTTTTAAGTGGAACCGCCCCCTGCCCATGCTGGGCCCAGCACACCAGCCAATCGGCGCTCGGGGGCGGACCCGACGCGGGCGCCTCAGAAGCCTCAGCTTCAAAACCCCGCCCCCGGAAAGGCCCGCCCAGCAAGCGAGAGGAGGAGGCCACACATGTTTATTAGGCCGGTCCTGACACCTGCCTGCGGGGAAGGACCACCGAGACCAGATCCTGGGTGCCATGGGGTGCAGGGACAGACCGGTGCATGGCAGCGGCTGCGCCTAGCCGCGCTCGCAGATGACCTCAACCACACTGGGCTCCATGGGCACAGGGTCTGGGCAGCGCAGGGCAGCAGAGGCCACCACTTCGTCCAGCAGCAAGTGCACGAGTTCTTCGTCGGCCACAAAACGCCACAGGTAGAGCTGCAGAAAGTGGCAGTCCACTTGCACCTGCTGCAGCCCGAAGCGCCCAAAGGTGCGCAGCCGCACACACTCCAGCAGCGTCTTCAGGCTGATCTTGATGATGCCGGTCAGCACCGACACCTGCAGGCAGGGACACAGGGATGCAGCTTGGGGACTGCAGGTGTGTGTGGGGGACACCCAAGTTCCAAGCAGGGGCCCGGGAGACATACGATGGAAGTAGCTGGGATGAGGCAGAAAGTCTCCGGGGCCAGATAAGAAGGGAGGGATACAATATTAGCGCCGTCATCTGGAGGGCAGGGGACAGGTAGGGCCCAGCAATCAGAGGCATCCCTGAGCTTGGAGTGAGGCGGGGCAGGGACCATGGGTGAACAGAAAACCCTGGGGAGGACCCAAGACTACTGTGGGGATAAGGACAAGGGCAAACAGTAATCCCAGGTCAGCACCCAGACTCAGGCTGGGCATACACCAAGACTGGGACAAGGGCTGTGGGATTTGGAGGCAGGGCACTCTGTACTACCTAAAAACAGCCCTAGAGACAGAGACTGGAGGGTCAGGGTCACCCCCAGTTGGTCACAGAGTCCTGGGGCTCCTTGGGCAGGTGTGGGGCTGCTCCAGCCAACCCTCCCCGGGATCCCTGGAAGTCTGAGTCACGTTGGAAGTCGGACCTTGTTGAACTCCACAGGGCTGAACACATCAATACGTTCAGAGAATAGCTTCTGGATATTGCTCAAGAGGTTGGTGTCCATCGGGGCACTGGATTGGGGAAGACAAGGAATCAGAGCCCGCCCTGCACCCTCGCCCTCTTTTGTCCCTTCCCCCTGGGGCTCCCCTGACCAGCCAGACCTGGGGGTATAGCTGGGGGCGTAGCGGCCCTGCTGCCGAGAGCTGCTGTACACGGAGAAAGTCCTCTTGCTGGAGTCGCTGCTCTGGGCCTTGCGAACACCCTCTTCGTACAGGAGCCCCACCTGGTGGTAAAAAGAGGTACTGCAAGGAGGCCCGAGTCAGGGGAAACCACCAGCCCATCGGTGCTGAGGATGCCCTAAGTCAGCTACTCAAGCATCACAAGGATCACAGGGTAATCACCGCGGGGCCCGCTATTTAGTAGGTACATGGTCGCTATTTATAGAACCAGTGGAGTGGGGCAAAGGCAGGATACAAGAGTTGGTCTGAGGTCTAATCTTCAGCACCAGCACCAACCCTGCCCTGACTTCCTGGGTAACCCTGAGCCTCTGCTTCTCCACAGGTAAAATAGGGGCGAAGATGTCATAATCCTGGGCTGAGAAGGAACAAGACCGTGGACATAGGCACTCCCCAGCCCGTTTGGTCTTCATCCTTGGAGACTTGTTCCCCTGGGGTTCCCTCACGGACGCCCTGGCTACAGAACTGGCCCCGTGAGAAGCCCAGATACACATGTCCCCTCCTCCAGGCAGGGACTGCCAGTGATCCTCTGCTGCCCCAGCCCCTCTTGAAGGGACAGTACCCCCAGCCTGCGTCAGGGCTACCCCGGCCAGCCTGGGCAGCACCTGCACGTCGATGGCGGTGGTATCCTCCACCACCCGCTTCATGACGGCCCGCACATTCCGGGGCTCCAGAGTGCTGAGCCAGTCGCGAGTCTCCACGCTCTTGCGCAGCATCTGTGATATGACCAGGCCCTGCACCTTCACGTAGTGGGTCAGCAGCCGCCGCGCCGTTTCCCTGGCCTCTGCACACAGCGTGCTCACGGGCGTCACTGGGAACTGATCCTGAGCCAAGGAGGCAGAGGACAGAGGGAGTGGGTATGGTGGGGGCAGCTCAGGGGCCACTGCCAACCAGGAGCTGGGCACAGATTGGGCAAGGTGGAGGCTGGGGTACACACAGGCAGCTGGTCTGGGGTCTGGCCATGAGGGCACTGTCCAGCCATCTGCATTCCCAGCAACACCATTCCCTGCCCGGCTAGGAGCTAGTGCTTCACCTGCACCAGAAACTGTTCATCAGTGAGAGTGAGGATGTAGGAGATGGTGGCCGTCTCGTAGTCCAGGCAGAGGCGGGAGAGCAGCAGGAGCAGGGCAGGTGGTGTGGCACCCCCCTTCTCCCCAGGGCTGTCGCAGAAGCTCTGAGCCGTCTGGCACATAGAGTGGACGAAGCCCACGATGAGGCCCTCACGGACACCCTGACTGCAGAACTCACCCTGCAAGAGAAGGTGCCCAGGTCCACAGCAGGTCCCCTCTTCCAGGTAAGGCTGTTAATGACCCTCTGCTGGGGCTCTAAGTGCCCCAGCCCCCTCTGCAAGGGACAGCATCATCCTACATTCTAAGTACCCCGGAGCAGCTTCCCTGAGTGGGGGCAGAGAAAGCCAACACTGGGGACCCCACCATGCCCTGCTTCTCAGCCCAGCTGCAGATGCCCTGAGCCTTCCCCACCCCCCAGACCGTGCATAAGAACCTGAAACCACACCCAGAGTGCCTGGTTTCCCCAGTTTCCCAAGCACTGGCATAAAAGGTTTTGGAGGGTCAACCAGCAGGTTGAACAAGGAACACCCAAGAGGAGGCGTACCCGGAAGTAGGGCTTGTTGGAGAAGGACACCTCTTTGGCGGTGAAAAGGTGCACTGCTGCCAGAGAGGCCTTAATGTGGCTCAGGATGGAGCTGGCCACATTGGCCAGCAACTCGGCCAGGCCAGGGCCCTCCTTCCCAGCCACGCGAGGTGCTGCCAGCGCCTGGCGGACGTCTGTCAGGCAGCCCAGGAAGGCCGCCCGGAGACCCTGCAGGTGGTGGCCCAGGCGCTCGCGGGCCACTCGTTCCACGATCTCCGTGGCAGCGTCTGCGAGCCCGGCAGCGGCCAGCAGGGCCCCGGGAGCCCGCAAGCGCCGGTGGAAGCGGTCCAGCGCCCGCACCAGCAGTGAGTTGTCACCACCACCCTGCTCCTGCGCCAGCCGCCGCTCCACCAGCGCAAAATAGCGGCTGCCCAGCTGCCGGGCGAAGGCCGCCAGCTTCTCGGCACCTGCTGGGCCCTGGGCCGCAAACAGCTCCTGGTAGGCCGCCGCCACCTGGCAGAGGCCGCCCACGAAGCCACTGCCTCCATGGTCGGTGAACTCTAACACGTCGGGAGCCGGAGGTGAGGGCCCCAGCTCGGCCTCCAGGTTTCTCAGCTCCTTCTCCAGCCGGCCGCGGGCGTGCGCCAGGAACTCCTCGCACAGCTCCTCCGCAGGCTCGCCCAGGGCCAGCAGCAGCTCCACGCACTCTGCCTGCTCCGGGGCGCCTGAGCCGCCCTCCCTGCACGAGGGAGAGGTAGTGAAGGGCAGGGCCGGGGCTGCCGGTGGATGGGGCAGGAGCAGGAAAGCAAAGCACACACAGGGCAGGGGGACAGCTCCAGGAGGGCCCAGGAGCCGGGCACAGATGGGGCTCGGGGCTGGCGGGAGCGCTGGGGTCAGGGCAGAGGGGCCACACCTAAAGCGCTGCCGCAGCTGCTGGGCCAGGCGGGCCGTGATGACCTGGCAGTCGTCCTGGATGGCGCGGAACGAGGGCAGGTGTTGGTACTGCTGCAGCACGGCCTGCGCGCGGCCCTGGTAGCGCACCGCCTGCCCATAGGCGCCCAGTTCCACGCACTTGGTGAGGCGCGAGGGCAGCTCAAAGAGGAACTGCAGCTTCCGCAGCAGCGCGTGGACCCCTGGGGGACGGAGGGTGACGTTAGCCCCAGAGCCCCAGGAAAGGCCCACTGCAGGCCCTGCCCGGCAGCGCCCACCTGCCAGCTTGGTGATGCGCTCGTGGCGGTCCTGCAGCGTGGCGCTGATGCGAGCGCTGAAGTCGGTGATCACTGCCATGTTGGTGGCCAGCCGGTCCATCTCATCCTCCATCTTCCGGAAATCGTTCTTCATCTTCCGGATGGTGTCTAGGAGGGCAGGGGCGGGGAAAAGGGGAGAGCAGGTGACTGCAGGGCGGGCGCAACCTCAGCTCCTTCTCACCCACCCCTTCACAGACGCCCCAGCTTGCTCCAGGGGCGCATGGATGATTCCAGAGAAAGGACTGCGAGGGCGTGGGTCACAGCGCACATGGGGGCGGGGGAGGGGGTTTATGTTCCCAAAGCAGGCGTTACTCACATACTCCCCGTAACCCCCTAACCCTGGTGCCCAGGAGAGCCGGCCCTCAGAATTAGTCCAGATCCGAAGCAGGCCGCAGGTGCTTAGCCAGCTGCCACCACTGTGCCTCAACTGCTCCATCAGACCACAAGCAGCCAAGGCAGGGACCGCTGGCTCCCAAGCGCATCTGCGTGTCCAGCGCACTGCCTGGATGAGGCAATACATTCTTGTTGACCCTCATCTCCTTTCCAGACCTCCCAAAGCCTTTCACATGCTTTCCGGAACATGGGCTGTCTTCTCTGAAGGGCCCTTTCCCTTTGGTCCTGATAGAATCCTGCCTAGGGAGGCTGTTTTTCCTTTCACACACCAGGTGCCTGGGAGCCTGGTCCCTTCATGCTTCTAAATCATGCCTAGATCTCCTCTCTTCAAAACCCCGGCTTCTAGGAAGACCATGCCATCAAGCCACAACCCTCCTCTTTGCTGTCTCTACTGTCCTCTGACACTCCTCTCAGTTCCCCATCACTGCCTCTTCTCCTCCTCCTGTCACCTCCTTGTGCACATCCACATGGATGAGCCTTCCAATGTTCCTGACTGTTCACTGACGGCCTCAATTCAATTCCACCTATTCTTTTTTTTTTTTTTTGAGACTGAGTCTCGCTCTGTCGCCCAGACTGGAGTGCAGTGGCACGACCTCTGCTCACTGCAAACTCCAATTCCCAGGTTCACACCATTCTCCTGCCTCAGCCTCCCAAGTAGCTGGGACTACAGGTGCCTGCCACCACACCCAGCTAATTTTTTGTATTTTTAGTAGAGATGGAGTTTCACCATGTTAGCCAGGATGGTCTTGATCTCCTGACCTCATGATCCGCCCACCTTGGCCTCCCAAAGTGCTGGGATTACAGGCATGAGCCACCGCACCCGACGAGGTCTGATGGTTTTATAAGGGGCTCTCCCTGCTTCGCTTAACACTTCTCCTTCCTGCTGCCTTGTGAAGAAGATGCCTTGCTTCTCTTTCACCTTCTGCCATGATTGTAAGTTTCCTGAGGCCTCCCCAGCCATGCTGTGAACTGTGAGTCAATTAAACCTCTTTCCTTTATAAGTTACCTAGTCTCGGGCAGTTCTTTACAGCAGTATGAACCTGGATTAATATACCTAGTAATCAATCCATTACCAAGTCATGGAAGGTCTACCTGCAACATTTTCTTTGTAAGCCACTATCATCTCTTGTCCAACAACTGCCAACATTTCCCAACTAATTTCCCTAATTCCATTGAACATACCAACAATGTTCATAAAGAAAGGCGAAGAGGATAAGACAGAAATGTGTATCTGTAACAGGAGATATTTTGGTTTTGTTTTGTTTGAGAAAGAGTCTCACTCTGTCACCCAGGCTGGAGTGCAGTGGCGCGATCTCAGCTCTGGAGGCTCCTGGAGGGTGGCACGCCCGGGGAGGGCATGGAAACTCCATGCTCCTTCTCCTACACCTCGCCCTATGCACCTGCTCATCTGTACCCTTTGTAACATCCTTTGTAATAAACTGGTAAATGTGTTATCCTGAGCTCTGTGAGCCACTCCAGCAAACTGAGCCCAAAGAGGGAGTTATGGAAACCCCTACCTGGAGCCAGTTGGTCAGAAATTCTGGAGGCCTGAGGCCCTGACCTGCAGCTAGTGCCTGAAAGTGGGGAGGCAGATTTGGGACTGAACTAGTGCCTGAAGGGAGGCAGGCTTGGGGACTCAGCCCTCAACTCATGGAATCTGATGCTATCTCTGGGTAAATAGTGTTGGAATTAAATCAGAGGACACCCAGCGGGTGTCTGCTGCTTGGTGTGTGGGGAAGAAACCCAACACATTTGGTCACAGAACTCTTCTGTGGTCATGATTGTGGTGATGTGAGAGCATAGGAAGCACACAGTTTGCATTTTTCCCAAACAATGCCATAAAATATATACAAACCTTTCCATATGGTAGATCACAAAGAAAAAAACCTCATTCTTTTTTTTTTTTTGAGACAGGGTCTCCCTCCGTCGCCCAGGCTGCAGTGCAGTGGCGCGATCTCAGCTCACTGCAACCTCCACCTCCTGGGTTCAAGCGATTCTCCTGCCTCAGCCCCGAGTAGCTGGGATTACAGGCACGTGCCACCATGCCTGGCTAATTTTTGTACTTTTAGTAGAGAGGGTTTCACCATGTTGGCCAGACTGGTCTCTGACCTCAAGTGATCCACCCGCCTCGGCCTCCCAAAGTGCTGGGATTACAGGCGGGAGCCACCGTGCCCAGTCGAAAAAACCTCATTGTTAACCAATTATGAGGTCAGAAAAGGAAATCAAAACTGAAATTGCAGCATGGGTAAAATACCAAGAAAACACTAAATTGGTAAGGGCTTGGTGAATTCTATGGATGAAATGGATAATTTGCTACAAAAATAGGATTTACCAAAATGGATTGCAAAAAACAAGAAAACAGAAACAGAAAAACTAGAGAATGTTGTGAAAGAAAGGTCCTACTCCCCTTTCCCCTCCACACAAAGGCATCTGGCCCAGATGTCCAGGGGTGTTGCGGCGGCTTGAAGGACAGCGCCTTCCAATTCTCTGTGTAAACACTGCCCCAGCAGAGAAACGAGAACAGCTCTCACACAAACTTGATGGAACAAACATAACACTGTTATGAAAACATAACAGAAATACCTCACATATACACATTCATATCTCTTATGAATGGAGATGCAAGGATGAATTAAATAAACAAATGGAGATGCACAAATAAGCAAACAAAATCCAGCAGCATATTAAAATAATAATTGATAAACACAAAAGGGTTTTTGTTTCATGAATGCCAGGATGACTCAAAATTAGAGGATCTCATAATAATTTGCCATGTTAATAGATATTTCAACATCTATTCTTGATTTTTAAAAAACTCTCAATAACATATGAGCAGCTAAATATTTCCCTGACCTCCAAAACTCAGTATCATGTTTACCGAGGCAGTGCTAGAAGCACTCCAATTAAAGTCAAAACATGGCAAGGACAACCTTGATTGCCAATGTTATCTACATTGTTCTGGGGCATTAGCCAACTCAGCTAGAGTCACGAGATGTATTATGGAGATACACAAATTGGAAAGGAGGGAGAAGTATCACTATTTGCAGATGATATAATCAAATAAATAGGCCAGCCACGGTAGCTCATGCCTGTAATCCCAGCACTTTGGGAGGCCGAGGCAGGCAGATCACTTGACGTCAGGAGTTTGAGACCAGCCTGGCCAACATGGTAAAACCCTGTCTCTAGTAAAAATACAAAAAGTAGTTGGGCGTGGTGGCAGGTGCCTGTAATCCTAGCTACTGGGAAGGCTGAGGCAGGAGAATCGCTTGAACCCTGGAGGCACAAGTTGTAGTGAGCTGAGATTGTGCCACTGCACTCTAACCTGAGTAATAGAGCAACACTCTGTCTCAAATAATAATAATTGAATAAATAGAAAGCCCTAAAAAAAAAAAACAAAAAAAAACACCCTGTAAACGTTACTATAAACAATAAGAGATACCACTTTTCACTTCTCAGATTGTCAAAGATTGAAAGAGGTATTCTCTTCTTTGCTGGTGGTTATGCAAACTGATCAGCATTTACAAAGAAGAATCTGGAAATATCTAACTGCAATCACTTGTGAGCCTTCACACACCCACACCTGGTCTGTGTGTGGCTCTGGGACTGTAGGAATGTTCTCCAAGCAACACTGGGAATCTACCCCACTTGGGGAGACAGCTGGAAGGGTGAGTAAGGAGAAAAGCATTGATGTCAATTTGACAAGAAACAAACAGAAACAAAAAATGCAGGAAAAAAATATTAGAGAAAATATAAGAGAAAGAACTGTCTGAGACAAAGAATCTACAGGGCTCACATCTGTAGAGCTATTAAGGGATTTTTTAAAAAATTACATGGAAAGGTAGATTACGTATCAGCAAAATGGACTTTTCATTTTAACAACACAGTCCACAAGAAAGGATCATTTAGCCCTCTTAGAGATGATTTCATAGAAAGGAAGGTTACTAAGGAATAAAATCACATGATGTGAAACATCTATATTACTTTTGGGACCATAGGGACCATTGCCTGCATTTTGTTGGGGAAATCATAATTATTTTGAGTTTCTTTGCTTGAGATAGGGTCTTGCTCTGTCTACAGGCATGGTGATGCACACTTATAATCCCAGCTACTCAGGAGGCTAAGGCAGGAGAATCACCTTAACTGGGGAGGCGGAGGTTACAGTGAGCCAAGATGGCATGCAGTGGTGCAAACACAGCTTACTGCAGCCTTGAACTCTGGGGCTCAAGTGATCCTCCTACCTTAGCTTCTGAAGTAGCTGGGACTACACACAAGCGCCATCACACCCGGCTAATTTTTTAATTTTTGTTTAAATTTTGTGTAGAGATGGGGTCTCTCTATGTTGCCCAGGCTGGTCTCAAACTTCTGGGCTCAAGCAATGCTCCCACTTCAGCCTCCCAAAGTGCTGGGAGCACAGGAGTGAGCCACTGTGCCTGGCAAGAAAATTTTTCTTGCCAATTCATAGATGGTGAACTAAAGGACATAGCAAAGGCAGCGCTATGCAGTGAAAAACAATAAAAGCAGAGCCGAGGCTGAGGTTCGTAAAGGGATCATGGGCTACTGATCTAAGGGAGACAGACAGAGGCTTGGCAGTTGATGAGGCATTTGGTCTTCACCCAGTGAATTACTGGTTTTGTTTACAGGCCATGTGACACAATCTCCTTCCAGGTCTGCCAAAAGCTACCATGAAAAGAGCAGACTCTTTTGGTAGTGGGTGTTTGAGCCCATGACACTTAGGGGCTACCTCAAGAAGGAAGCTTGAATCCAACTTCTAAAGGGTAAAATCCAAACACTAAGTTGTTAGGAAAATAGAGTAAAAGAAAACCCAACAGTGCTGTGTGCTGTCATTGTCGCTGCCTTCCCAGCCATGGAGCCATTACACTGGAGATAAAAGTTGTACCATATCCAAAAACAACAGTGAAAGCATCCACACCATTCAGTCACAAAGACTACACTGTTTATCTTTGCATTTCAAGCTTGTTAAGAAAAGCAGGCTGGGCACAGTGGCTCACGCCTGTAACCCCAGCACTTTGGGAGGCCAAGGCAGGTGGATCACCTGAGGTCACCTGCCTGACCAACATGGTGAAATCCCGTCTCTACTGAAAATACAATAATTAGCCAAGTGTGGTGGCAGGTGCCTGTAATCCCAGGTACTTGGAAGCCTAAGACAGGAGAATCACTTGAACCCCGGAGGCGGAGGTTGCAGTGAGCCGATTGGGCCACTGCACTCTAGCCTGGATGACAGAGCAAGACTCTGTCTCAAAAAAAAAAAAAAAAAAAAGCTTGTTAAGAAAAGCAGTTTGTAACCAGGGAGAGTGAAAGCCATCTGGATGCGAGGATGTTGGCTACCTTGGGAGGGGACTGGGTGGTAACTGGTAGGAGGCTCAGGGGGCTTTGCTGGTTATGCTGTTTCCCGACCTGGATGCTGATTATGTGACTGTGCTCCCTTTGTGAAATCCATGGAGCTGTCCACTTATGTGCACTTTTCTGTATGTCTGTTAATTTTCTTTTTTTTTTTTTTTTTTTTTTTTTTTTTGAGACAAGGTCTGGCTCTGTCACCCAGGCTGGAGTGCAGTGACACAATCTTGGCTTACTGCAACCTCTGCCTCCCAGGTACAAGCCTTCCACCTCAGCTTCCTGAGCAGCTCGGACTACAGGGACACAACACCACACCCAGCTAATTTTTGTATTTTTTGTAGAGACAGGTATAACCTGTTGGCCAGGATGGTCTCGAACTCCTGAGCTCAAGCAATCTGCCTGCCTCTGCCTCACAAAGTGTTGGGATTATAGGTATGAGCCATAATCCCACCTGGGCTCTGTTAATTTTCAGTGAAATGTACTGTCAAAGACTGCTTTGTCTTTGCCTAGAGAAAAGAATTAGGAGAGGCTTTTCCCTGTATAATGTTTGAGATCTTTCTAATTTTGACACAAGTAAATGCATTATTACATAATGAAACTCAATGTCTAGGTGAGAGGTTGGCAAACTACAGCCTGCAGGCCAAATCTGGCTCAATGCCTGGTTTTCTTTTTAATTGGGATATAATTGACATACCAATTCAGTGGTTTTTAATATGTTTAATATATTCACAAGGTTGTACAACCAACCTCACTACGTAATTCCAGAACATTTCATCATCCCCTAAAGAAACCCTGTAACCCTTGGCAGTCATTCCTTATTCCCCCACTCCTAGAACTTGGCAACCATTAATCTAGTTTCTGTCTCTATGGATTTGTCTATTCGCTACAGAATACATTTAACAGAAATGGAATCATAGGCATATGAAACATTAGCATGTTTCCAAGGTTAATCTATGTTGTAGCCTGTGTCAGTATGTTATATCTATTTTTATGGCTGAATAATATTCCACTGTGTGGATATTTGTTTATATTCATTCAATTGATGGCCATTTGGATTGCTTCCACCTTGTGGCTATTATAAAAAGTGCTGCTATTGGCCAGGCATGGTGGCTCTTGCCTGTAATCCCAGTACTTTGGGAAGCCGAGGCAAGCGGATCACTTGAGGTCAGGAGTTCAAGACCAGCCTGGCCAACAAGGTGGAATCCCGTCTCTAGTAAATATACAAAAAATAAAAATAAAAAAATTAGGCGGGTGTGATGGTGCACACCTATAATCCCAGCTACTCAGGAGGCTGAGGCAGGAGAATCGCTTGAACTGGGGAGGCGGAGGTTACAGTGAGCCAAGATGGCACCACTGCACTCTAGCCTGGGTGACAGAGCTAGACTCCATCTCAAAAAAAAAAAAAAAAAAAAAAACACTGCTATGAACACTTGTGTACATGTTTTTATGTGAACATGTTTTCAATTCTCTTTGGTATATTCCTAGGAGTAAAATTGCCGATCATATGGTAATCTTGTGTGTGGTTTTGAAGAATGGTCAAACTGTCTTCCACACTGGGTGCAGCATTTTGTGGTTTGGATTTGCATTTCCCTAAGACCTAATGATGCTGAGCATATTTATATGTGCTTTTCGGCCACTTGTATGTTTTCTCTGGAGAAGTGTCTATTCAAATCCTTTGCCCATTTTAAATTAGGGTTATTTGTCTTTTTAGCCCTGAGCTAAAAAACGTTCTTTTTATGTTCTGAACACTAGATTTTTATTAGATAACTAACTTGCAAATATTTTCTCCCATTCTGTGGGCTGTCCTTTTATTATTATTTATTATTATTATTATTTTTGAGACGGAGTCTCGCTCTGTTGCCCAGGCTGGAGTGCAGTGGCGCGATCTCGACTCACTGCAACCTCCGCCTCCTGGGTTCAAGCGATTCTCCTGCCTCAGCCTCCTGAGTAGCTGGGACTACAGATGCCTGCCACCATGCCTGACTAATTTTTGTATTTTTAGTAGAGATGGGGTTTCACCATATTGGCCAGCCTGGTCTCAAATGCCTGACCTCAGATGATCCACCCGTCTCGGCCTCTCAGAGTGCTAAGATTATAGGCATAAGCCACCGCACCTGGCCTTTTTATTTATTTATTTATTTTTTGAGACTAGGTCTTGCTCTGTCACCCAGGCTAGAGTGCAATGGTGAGATTATAGCTCACTGCAATCTCCAGCTCCTGGGCTCATGTGATCCACCCACCTTAGCCTCCCCAAGTAGCTGGGTTTATTCTAACAAGTGTGTGCCACCATACCCAGCTATTTTTTTTTTTCTAGATATCGGGTCTCACTATGTTGCACAGGCTGGTCTCAAACTCCTGGGCTCAAGTGATCCTCCCACCTCAGCCTTCCAAAGTGCAGGGATTACAGGCATGAGCCACTGTGCTCAGCCCCATCCATTCCTGCCAGTGCAGCTGGAGGAATCTATTCAAACCAGAAATCTGAGCACATCACTCATTTGTTTTAGCTCTCTGTGGATAAAAGCCAAATCCCTAATACATTCTGGAAGGTTTCTAGTTAAACTGCACATCTACTATCTGCCTGGCTCTGCCCACATTCTGCTTCCCCTCCTGCTACCATAGATGAGCTCCCGGCCCTTTGCTGAGGCCGATGCCTCCATCCCTGCTCTGTTCCACCCCCCTCCTTCCTGAGGACCTAGTTCCTTTCTCATTTTTCTCTCTCTCTTGCCCAATCAACACACACTCCATGCTACATTACTTTCCTGAGTGTCTCGCCCAAGTCTATCAAATCTATGTCTTGAAACACCTTCCTCACGCAACCTCCACCTCCTGGGTTCAAGCAATTCTCCTGCCTCAGCCTCATGAGTAGCTTGGACTACAGGCATGCACCACCTTGCCCAGCTAATTTTTGTATTTTTAGTAGAGACAGGGTTTCACCATGTTGGCCAGGCTGGTCTTGAACTCCTAGCCTCAAGTGATCCACCCACCTCAGCCTCCCAAAGTGCTGGGATCACGGGTGAGAACCCCATGCCCGGCCCCTCACTTAAGCTTCTAAGACATCAATGCTCCTGGTTATCCTCACACTTTTCCAAACGTTTGTTCCTTTTGTGGGATGTACAAAAAGAGCTAAGTCTCAAAATATTATTATACACATTCCAACAAATGGAAAATGTAATCTTATTAAATTCCTGTGAGAAATATCCCAGCACAGAAACTATGATTTCTTGCCATTTTGATGCTGGTATTAGCTAACAGAAAGGTGCCTACTCATGGAATCTGCTTCAAATCAGATAAAAGAACAATGTGTATAGGTTACCACACCCACCACTGTGACACGAGAGTAAGACATCAGAATGCAACCCCACAGATGCTCCCAGAACATTCCACAGGCTGCAGGTAAACCCTTTGGATCTGGCTCCTGGACTTACTACACGTGGGTGTACAATTACTACAAAAGTCTGAGTAGTACATCTCCTCAAAACAGCACAGAAGCTAGTGTGGAAAACAGTGGAACACTGTCTGGCACTAGAGAATAAAGAGGACAGAAGAAAAAAAAAGCCTCGACATGATCTTTGTGTCCCCTAATATCATACATCTTCTCTCTTTGCTTAGTTAAGGAGGGAAGGAAGGGAGAAAGAAAGGGAGGGACAAGACCACCTATTCTTCCCTGGAGCAGAAAAGAAAGCTATCAATAATAAGAGAAACTACACCTTACTGAGGTTTCCTTGATGTCAGGGATTCTTCTTCTTATTATTTTTTTTTTCAGACAGAGTCTTGCTCTGCTGCCTAGGCTGGAGTGCAGTGACGTGATCTTGGCTCACCGCAGCCTCCACCTCCCAGGTTCAAGTGATTCTCCCACTCAGCCTCCTGAGTAGCTGGGATTACAGGTGCCTGCCACCACACCCAGCTAATTTTTTTATTTTTAGTAGAGATGGGGTTTCACCATATTGGCCAGGCTGGTCTCGAACTCCTGACCTCAGGTGATCCACCTGCCTCGGCCTCCCAAAGTGCTGGGATTACAGGCATGAGCCACTGTGCCCAGCCTAGTGTCTGGGATGCTTCTTCAGATAGATACTTTCTTTTTTTTGAGACAGGGTCTTGCTCTGTTGCCCAAGTTGAAGTGAAGTGGTACAAGCACAGCTCACTGCAGCCTCGACCTCCCAGGCTCATGTGATCCTCCCTCCTCAGTCTCCTGAGTAGCTGGGACTACAGGCATACGCCATCTTGTCCAGCTAATTTTTATTTTTTATTTTTTTGTAGAGATGGAGTCCCACTATATTTCCCAGGTCAATCTTAAACTCTTAGGCTCAAGTGATCCTCCCACTTCAGCCTCCCAAAGTGCTGGGATTACAGGCATGAGCCACCATGCCTGGCCTTTTAAGTGCTTCAGATAAATACATTTCATTTTAAAATTTCATTTTGGGCTGGGCCAGGGACTCACACCCGTAATCCCAGTGCTTTGGTAGGATCCAGAAGGATCACATGAGCCTGGGATGTCGAGGCTGCAGTGAGCCATGATCATGCTACTGCCCTCCAGCCTGGGAGACAGAACAAGACATTGTCTCTAAAAAATAAACAACTAATCTCCTTTTGTCTTTTCTCTCCTTTGGTACTTAAGACAACCCTCTGAGAGTAGCTATTATCTCTATAGTAGTCTGACAACGAAGGCTCAAAGGAAAGGAGGTGAGAATGGAATAATGTCAGGACAAGACTGGAATCTGAGTCTCCCCCCTCTAAATCCCTTGCTGGTTTTCCCAACACAGGTGGGAGAATGGGGGCTGTGAGACTTTGGAGGGTGTGTCCCCGTGGGGATCACCTGTGGCTGAGATGAACTTGTTGTAGTTCTCATAGACCAGGGTCTGCATGTCGCTGTCTAGAGCCCGGATCTGCCGCACCATGTCCGTCTCACTGTCCATCAACTGGGCCAGAGGGCACTCTCTACGCAGCTGAAGAAGTTGGGTGGTTAGTGTTCGGGTCAGGAGGCATTCATGTCCCCCAGCCTTGCCTGCAGCTGATAGGCTTTCAGGGCAAGAAATCTCTGATCCCCACCCACCCCGCAAACCCCCGCCGGCTGTCAGGAATCCCAGGCAGGGGGCCCTAAGTGGCCTAGCTCAGGGGTTACTAGGTTCAACCGTGTTTGGTGTTTGTCAGCATTTGAAATCCTGGGGCTCGGCCTAAGCCCAGCCCCGCGCCTGTCAACGCTTGGGCCACGCCCCCAATTCCGGGCCTATCACATCAGCCCAGAAGACCTCAGATGCCGCATCACCTCAGGCCAGTCCAGTCCTACTCACATCCCCTCAGACGCCTCAGCTGCTCGTACTCCCTGGCCGAGGTTCGTCCTCTTATGAACACCTGCTCTCCTGAACCTCACAAAAAGTCGGAGGCATGATCTGGGGGAGCAATATAGCAGGGGCCTGGTTCCCTTCCCCCCTCCCCGCACCCCCCCACTCCCCGTGCGCACACACCTTGTCTAGGTAAACTTCCGGGTCGAAGTGCGCCCCGTTCAGATCAGTCGGGTCCAGGGGGTCGGGCCCCGCGGGGCGTCCCGCCGCCTCCCCTTCCGAGAGGCCGTAGTAAAGCTTCAGCATCCCGTGCGCCTTCCGCCGACGCTCCGGAGCCTCCCCCTCGGGCCCTTCTGGGGAGTCCCCAGGTCCAGACCCCGGGCTAGGCCCGGCGGCAGCTGCCGCCGCCATCGTTCCAACTGCAGCCCACGGGCGTGAGGCTGGAAAGGAAGGGGACGGGGAGGAGGCACTTCCGGGAGCCATAAAGTTGTTGTTGAAACGAGGCAGTCCTTCAGGTGAAACGTCCCCCTGCAGCCCTAGGTCCTTCGAGACTAGAGTTCCCCCGCACCTGTCTTCCCCGGGTGCAAAGGTTCCGGGAGAGCCCTGAATTCCCCCAGTTTCCTGGGTGGAAGCATTTTGTGGAACTGCCTGGGGTTGCTGCTGTCCCAGAAGGGGGACGGGTAGTGGCTCCCCAACCTGCACTCTCGCAGGCAAGGGGCCCACGGAATATGTGCCCAGATGCAATGGACGGATGCGGGACGTGAGGCCAGAGTAGAGTGTTCCTGGGATCCTGCCACTGGCAGTGGCTCAGTTTATCCCATTCCTAAAATTGGGGTACATACTTCACAGGGGGGCTACGAGGATTAAATGCATGTACACTATTCTGTACCACGCCTCTAGCGCAGTTCTTCTTAGGGCCTGGTCCTCTGACGTGCATCAGAATTGCCTTCAGGACTATCTGTGGCGCATTGTAAGTCTCTGCGCTGAGCTGCGCCGGGCACTCCCGTAATCCCAGCACTGGGGAGGTCGAGGCGGGTGGATCGCTTGAGCCCAGGAGTTCGAGACCAGCCTGGGCAAAATGGCGAAACTCCGTCTCTATAAAAAAAAAATACAGGCCAGGCGCGGTGGCACACGCCTGTAATCCCAGCACTTAGGGAGGCCGGGGGGGTGGGGGCGCGGATCACAAGGTCAGGAGTTGGAGACCAGCCTGGCCAATATGGTGAAACACCCGTCTCTACTAAAAATACAAAAATTAGCCGGGTGTGGTAGCGCGCGCCTGTAGTCCCAGCTACTCGGAGACTGAGGCAGAAGAATCGCTTGAACCCGGTAGGCAGAGGTTGCAGTGAGCCTAGATCTCGCCACTGCACTCCAGCCTGGATGACAGAGCGAGACTCTGTCTCAAAAAAAACAAAACAAAAATTAGCCAGGATGATGGCGCACGCCTGTGGTCCCAGCTACTCGGGAGGCTGAGGTGGGGGAACTGCTTGAGCTGCGATGGTGCCACTGCACTCCAGCCTGGGCAACAAAGCAAGAAAAAAAAAAAAAGACTCTGGGATTCTCTCAGATCTAGCTTCTTTTTAGAAAGTTCCCAAGTAGTTCTGATACACACTCACATTTAAGAACCCCTAAGGCCGGGCACAGTGGCTCACGCCTGTAATCCCAGCACTTTGGAAGGCAGAGGTGGGAGAATTGATTGAGCCCAGGAGGTCAATACTGGCCTGGACAACGTAGTGAGACCCGCCCCCTATTATTGAAAAAAAAAGGACAGACTCAGCAGAGCTTAAGTGACTGATGGAATGTGCTGAGTGAAGGGTTAGGTGGAAATGTGGAGGATAACTCTCAGGGTTCTCTTTTCCTTTTTTTTTGAGACTGGGTTTTGCTCTTCATCCAGGCTGGAGTGCAGTGGTGCTATCTTTGGCTCACTCCAACCTTGACCTCCCCTCCCACCTCAGCCTCCTGAGCTGCTCTCCCAGGGTTCTGACTTGGACAAAAGTGCAGCTGTGCACAAAGGTGAAGAGCTCATGAAGACAGGGAACGATCTGGAGTTCAGATTAGGACACAGAGTTGGAATGGAGGAAAAAGAGAAAAAGACTTTCTTCATCAAAGTGGCCCTTGAAACATTACTTATGAAGGGCTGTTGGAGGAAGGTTGGAATGGAAAAACTCACTGGTTTACTTGTTCTTTGCCAGGGATCCTGCAGGCCAAACACAGCTCACCACCTGTTTTCATATGGTCTGTGAGCTAGAATGGTTTTCTCATTTGTAAATGGTTGGGAAAAAAATAACATTTCATGACACCTGAAAATCATATGCAATTCATATCCCATTTTCCGTAACTCTTATTGGAACACAGTCACGCCCATTTTTTAACATATGATCTATGGCTGCTTAGTTGAGGCTAGGCACGGTGGCTCATGCCTGTAATCCCAGCACTTTGGGAGGCCAAAGCAGGCAGATTACCCGAGGTCAGGAGTTCGAGACCAGCCTGGCTAACATGGTGAAACCCCATCTCTACTAAAAATACAAAAACTTAGCCGGGCCTGGTGGCGGGCGCCTGTAGTCCCAGCTACTTGGGAGGCTGAGGCAGGAGAATCGCTTGAACCCAGGAGGCAGAGGTTGCAGTGAGTCAAGATCATGCCATTGCACTCCAGCCTGGGTGACAAGAGCAAAACTCCATCTCAAAAACAAACAAAAAAAAACCCCAAACAAACAACAACAAAAAAAACACAGAGCAGAGTTGAGTAGCTACCACAGAGACTGCATGGTCCTCCAAACCTAAAATATTTACTATTTTACGGGAAAAGTTTGCTGACCTCTGAATCAATGGGATGTCTAGAAACCATTTAAAATACTTGATTTCAGCCTATGAAGCTATAATCTTAAGAAAATGAAAAAGGGTATAGATTGAGGTCTACTCCAAGAAGTCTATAAACATTTTTAAAAGTTGGAGAATAGTGTTAAGACAAATCATCCAGGCAGGGCGTGGTGGCTTACGCCTATAATCTCAGCAATTTGGGAGGCCAAGGTGGGCATATCACCTGAGGTTGGGAGTCCAAGACCAGCCTGACCAACATGGAGAAACCCAGTCTCTACTAAAAATACAAAATTAGGCTGGGCGCAGTGACTCACGCCTGTAATCCCAGCACTTTGGGAGGCCAAGGTGGGTGGATCACCTGAGGTCGGGAGTTCGAGACCAGCCTGACCAACATGGAGAAACCCCCGTCTCTACTAAAAATACAAGATTAGCTGGGCTTGGTGGCGCATGCCTGTAATCCCAGCTACTCGGGAGGCTAAGGCAGGAGAATTGCTTGAACCCGGGAGGCCGAGGTTGCGGTGAGCTGAGATTGTGGCATTGCACTCCAGCCTGGGCAACAAGAGCAAAACTCCGTCTCAAAAAAAAAAAAAAAAAAAAAAAGGAAAAATCCAAAAATTGGAAGTCCAAGAGTGTAGTGTGTCCTCTCATTGTCACACTGGGGCATCGTTTCAGAAGCCCTCCCAAGGATTATTTACCCACAAGAATACACAGTTGTTTGATTTTGCTATTCACTAGTAAGGTAAATAGACTGAAATTACAAGGAGATATTGTCCAGGAGAGATGAAAGACATGTATATCCAGTAGAAAAACTAACCTCAAAGGGTATAATTTTTGTCATGTAGGACATCCATTGCATTTTGCATCTAACCTAGTAATCATATGCTAACATTCTTCTTTATTGTATTTTATTTTATTTGAGACTTGCTCTGTCACCCAGGCTGAAGTACAATGGCGCGATCTCAGCTCACTGCAACCTCTGCCTCCTAGGTTCAAGTGATTCTCCTGCCTCAGCCTCCCGAGTAGCTGAGATTACAGGTGCACACCACCATGCCCAGCTAGTTTTTTTGTATTTTTAGTAGAGACAGGGTTTCACTATGTTAGCCAGGCTGGTCTCGAACTCCTGACCTCAGGTGATCCGCCCACCTCGGCCTCCCAAAGTGCTAGGATTACAGGCATGAGCCACTGCACCTGGCCTAACGTTCCTCTTTAAATGCTCGTCCTGTCCAGTTCCTCATGTGCATTACCACCTTACCAAGCGGAAATCCCCTCACTGATGAGTTAAAGATCTTTTTTTTTTTTTTTTTTTTTTTGAGACAAGGTCTCACTATGCCCCCAGGCCGGACTGCAAAGATGCAAGCAGGGCTCGAATTCCTGGGCTCAAATGACCCTCCCGCCTCAGCCTCCCAAGTAGGGGGTACTACAGGCAAGGGCCACCACAACCAGCTAATTTTATTTTTTTTTAATTTTTAGTAGTGAGGAGGTTTCACTATGTTGCCCAGGCTGGTCTCAAACTCCTGAGCTCAAGTGATCCTCTCAGGCTCACTTTGGGAGCTCAGCCTCCCAAAGTGCTGGGATTACAGGCATGAGCCACCGCACCCGGCCTAATAAATCTTTGTTACGTGTTCATTCTATATTTAGACGTAGGTTTTAACTTTTTGAAAAGTACACTTTGACAAAACATATGATTTTTAAAAATGCTTTAAACTTATGCATGTATATGTACATCTAGATGTATGAAGTTACCGTTACATAAAGAAGGGACCTAAAAGATGCCAAGTCACCAAACTGGGGAAGGGGGTACTTCAGTGGTGGGGATGCAGCAGGGAGACTGTTACATTTTCCTCTGCATGCTTGTGTATTATGCAAATATTTTACAAGAACATATTCATATATACATACATACATATATGTGTGTGTATATATATATATATATATTTTTTTTTTTTTTTTTTTCTTGAGATGGAGTTTTGATCTTGTTGCCCAGGCTGCAGTGCAATGGCACAATCTCGGCTCACCGCAACCTCCACCTCCTAGGTTCAAGCGATTCTCCTGCCTCAGCCTCCCGAGTAGCTGGGATTACAGGCATGCGCCTCCATGCCCGGCTAATTTTGTTTTTGTTCTTGTTTTTTTTTGAGACACAGTCTTGGTCTGTCGCCCAGGCTGGAGTGCAGTGGCTCGATCTTGGCTCAGTGTAACCTCTGCCTCCTGGGTTCAAGTGATTCTCCTGCCTCAGCCTCCCAAGTAGCTGGGATTACAGGCATGCACCACCATACCCAGCTAATTTTTGTATTTTAGTAGAGACGGGGTTTCACCATGTTGGTCAGGCTGGTCTTGAACTCCCAACCTCGTGATCCGCCCGCCTCAGCCTCCCAAAGTGCTGGGATTACAAGCGTGAGCCACTGCGCCCAGCTTAATTTTATATTTTTAGTAGAGACAGGGTTTCTCCATGTTGTTCAGACTGGTCTCAAACTCCCGTCCTCAGGTCATTTGCCTGCCTCAGCCTCCCAAAGTGCTGGGATTACAGGTGTGAGCCACCGCACCCAGCCCATATTCATATATTACATGTATATAATTTTTAAAAATTAGGAGCTAGGGGTAGGCACAGTGGCTCACACCTCTAATCCCAGTACTTTGGGAGGCCAAAGAGAGTGGATCACCTGAGGTCAGGAGTTCAAGAGCAGCCTGGCCAACATAGTGAAATACCATGTCTACTGAAAATACAAAAATTAGCTGGGTATGGTGGCAGGCGCCTGTAATCCTGGCTACTTGGGAGACTGAGGCATGAGAATCACTTGAACCCGGGAGGCGGAGGTTGCAGTGGGCCGAGATCATGCCACTGCACTCCAGTCTGCGCGATAGAGTGAGACTCTGTCTCAAAAATAAAATAAAATTAGGAGCTAGGAACTTTAATGTATAAAAGTTCATTTGTATTCAAATGAGGACTGAGGTCCAAACAATTGTTTCAACAGTGGGACCACAGCTGGGCCTTGGGGCATTACCCCTTTCATGTGGTTAGGATGGGGCTCTGAAGAACTATTGTGCTTGTCTGGAGACTGGGCAGCAAGCACAGATGGTGGGTGCAGGCTCTAATCCCACTGCTGGGAGGCAGCCTGTGGGTCTTGGGCTGACCTGGGACCTAACTTTTGGGGCAAACAGTTGGGCAGGAGGCAGTGGGGTGGCTGAGTTCGAAATCAAGTCCTCTCCTCCTCCCTCCTCTTCTCCTGCTTCAATCCCTGGGAGCTTTCATGTCACTCCACACCATTTCTGGCTGTTTTATTGGCATATTTTGTTGACGGCCCTGGAGTTCTCACCTTTTTCTTTTCTTTTCTTTTTTTCTCTGTCACCCAGCTTGGAGTACAGTGGCATGATCATAGTTCACTGCAGCCTGGGACTCCTGGGGTCCAGCAATCCTCCCATCTCAGCCTCCTGAGTAGCTGGGACTAAAGGCACACACCACCACACTCAGCAAATTTTTTTTTTTTTTTTTTTAGAGATGGGGTCTTGCTGGCCAGGAGCGGTGGCTCACACCTGTAATCCCAGCACTTTGGGAGGCCAAGGCAGGCGGATCACCTGAGGTTGGGAGTTCAAGACCAGCCTGACCAACATGGAGAAACCCTGTCTCTACTAAAAATACAAAATTAGCTGTGCGTGGTGGCACATGCCTGTAATCCTACTTGGGAGGCTGAGGTAGGAGAATCGCTTGAATCCAGGAGGCGGAGGTTGCGGTGAGCCGAGATCGCGCCATCGCACTCCAGCCTGGGCAACAAGAGTGAAACTACATCTCAAAAAAGAGAGAGATGGGGTCTTGCTGTCTCCCAAGCTGGTCTTGAACTCCTGGCCCAAGACAGTCCTCCCACCTGGGCCTCTGAAAGTGCTGGGGTTGCAGGTGTGAGCTACCGCACCCAGCCTAGTTCTCATCTCTCACATGCATGGAGGAGATTTCTTCCTCCTGGCTTGCATGTGACCCTGCTCACTCAGCACAGCCTCAGGTAGTATCGGATCTTCGTTTCAGTATTGACTCTCTCCCTCACTGGCTATAACAGCTTGAGGAAGACCATCCTCCCTCTGCCTCAGACTCAAGTGTCAAATAGGACTTATGCCACCAGCCCCAGCTGTCTCATGGGACTCTTAGACTGACAGAGGTGAAAATGCTCCAAGCACCTGAAGGTGGCGGAGCAGAAAGCTGACCAGCATCAGGTCCTGTAAGAACATCTTGGGAGAGAATGGAAAAGCCAGGTGCCTTCTGGGCCACACCTGGGAAGGGCACGGGGAAGGTCCCGGGACAGCTCTGAAGAATCTGTTGATCCTTCCCTTCTCGTAATTCCTCTCCACCAGAGGGTAGAGCAAATACAGGCCTCCCCTCACCTGGGAATGCCTTCCAGCTATGCAGCTGGGTCCTCATCTCTCATCTGCCTAAGACTTGCTGTAAATCTAGACCACGCCCCTCAACTTTTCTGAGCCCCAGTTCTTCATCTGTAGACTGTGTTCACACTGCCTCCGTTTTGGGAAACTTGAGACATGCATAAAAGCGTCTAGAGTGAGTATGGGATAACTAGGGCTGCTGCCCCTTCGCCATTGCCATGGGCCCCCACTGATCTCACAATTCAAAGCACCCCTACCACCCGTGAGGCACTCCTGTGTTGGCTGGAATCAGCCTGTGTTCTAGAATCTTGTCCCCTCCACTGTCCTCCTGGTTCTAGAATCCCACTGCTATTCCATACCAGGCACTTTAGAACCAGAGACTCTGCTGCTTTTCCTGGGCAGGGCCTGCTTGCTCCAGCTCTCAAGTCTGACTTGCATCTACACTGCGGGCAAGATGTGGCTGCAAGACCGCATCGCCACGTTCTTCTTCCCAAAAGGCATGATGCTCACCACGGCTGCGCTGATGCTCTTCTTCTTACACCTGGGCATCTTCATCAGAGACGTGCACAACTTCTGCATCACCTACCACTATGACCACATGAGCTTTCACTACACGGTCGTCCTGATGGTAGGCTCAGGGCAGGGACGCAAGGGCTGGCTGTGGGAGACCCGAGGGGCTGATGGAAACCCCACTGTTGTGCGAGGGGGCCACTCTCCCACTGGATGGGCCTACAGTTCTCCCAGGTGATCAGCATCTGCTGGGCTGCCATGGGGTCACTCTATGCTGAGATGACAGAAAACAAGTACGTCTGCTTCTCCGCCCTGACCATCCTGAGTGAGTGGCAGGAGTGGGAGGGTGCAAGAGGGAGCGGGGAGCTTTGGAACCCTGAGATGTGGCAAGGAGTAGCCAGGGAAGGGTACTGGGGCTCATGGGGGGCTCTGTCCCCCGCCCAGTGCTCAACGGAGCCATGTTCTTCAACCGCCTGTCCTTGGAGTTTCTGGCCATCGAGTACCGGGAGGAGCACCACTGAGGCCTGGGGAGTCGGAACAGGGCTAAGGAGGGGGAAGCAAAAGGCTGCCTCGGGTGTTTTAATAAAGTTGTTGTTTATTTCCACCTGCCAGCTCCTTCATGGGGCGAGGGGTCGGAGGCTGGAGACCCGGGAGGAAAGCAAGTCAAGACAAATGCTTGACCCACGGGGACTCCAGGCCTGGCCTGCAGCCACTCTGGTGGACTTGGCTTTGGGTCTGGGGTCTTAGTGTCTTAGGCTTGAGGGAGAGGGGCAGTGAAGAGGTGCCCTCAGCCTCCCCATTACCCCGCCTCTCCTCCACAGAACCCACATCCTAGGCTGGCCTAGCCACAAGCAAGGGGGCTCAGGAGGGGCCCACGCGGATGTGAGGGTTCATGAGTGGGTCCAGGTTGGGATCGCTGTCAGCTGCGGCCCGGCCTAGGCGAGACATGAGGGCAAGGAGGGCCAGGAAGCCCAGCAGTCCCAAGAGTAGCAGCAGCCCCGCCCGCTGGAGCAGGGTCAGCGGCCGCTTCCGAGACCCAGCCCGGCTCCTGGGGGGATGAGGGGAAAATCAGGTCAGGCCCCAGTCCCTGGTGGCCCCCGCGGCTGGAGAGAAGCCCTGGTCACCACCCATTCCTGAGCCTCCATCTCCTCGTCTGTGCCTCAGGGATGATCACTCCTGCACCTGCCACCATAGGGCGTTATTGTGCAGCTCAAACCAGCTGAGGCGCACGACTGTATTCTGGAAACCACAGTGTGTCAGACGTCGGGGAGAATTACAAAGATTAGGGGGTGTCAGATCGGGAAGGGGCCTCAAAGAGCCTGAGTTCAAACCTCCTGTGTAGGAGGCATAGAGACAGTCCCAGAGAGAAGCAAAACACAGCTTCTGCTGCACAGCCAAGGCCTCTCTGCACAGCCCCAGCACCAGGTACTGTTACTCCCCAGAACAAGCCCCTTTTGTCATGAAACCATCCCTTCCAGGACCTCTGGCTCCCATTCCCTCTCCACCCCTTCCTGGCATTCCGCCCTGCCTGACCCTGTGTACCTTAGCAGCCGGGCCAGCCAACCCAAGGCCGGCCGACGTCGGTACTTGTCATCGTCACAGTCTCCATGGAGGCCTGGTGTCCGGTCATCATCCCGCGTATCATACACCTTCCTAGGGGCTACAGGGTGGAGCCACTAGCATCAATAGACTCAGGAAAACTGGCCGCTTTGGGGAGGGCTAGGGGGATCACCTGCTCTCCTCAGTCTGACAGAACATCTCAGAATTGTGAGGAGGTAATGGCTGTGCCTGGATTAAGGAAAGGTTCCTCCGGGTGGGTCTCTGGATCCTCAAGCTCCCCCTATACAAACCATTCCACCCTCTTCCTATCCTTCTGCGGCCTGGATAACTCCCAGGCTCACCGTGAGTCAAGGGCTCAGGATTGCCCATGTGGATCACTGTGTGCTGCTCGGGCCGGCCTGGGGAAGCTGGGGGCCGGGGGGCCTGGCTGTAGAAGGCTGGGGCAGCAGAGGCGCTGTCTACCTCCTCTGGTCCAGGGGTACTGCTGGCTGTGGGTGGAAAGAGAGCCGTCAGCAGAAGCAGTGCATAGAGCTCAGGGGTAGAGCATGTGACTGCAGACCAAGGGAGCTGTCAGCAGAGCAGGGAGGCTAAAGCCCAAACAGTCGGTGGAAGCCACCACTTACCATTAAAACTAGACCAGTCAGAGAAGTCAGACGTGTTGAGGGGCTCGGGCTCTGGGCTCACCACCTCATCGATCTGGAGGAAGGAATCTGGGTCACCAGGCTGCCTAGTATTGTCCCCACCCACCCATCTGACTCAGGTGGGGCCCAGGGCAGATAGATGGTCAGACAGACGAGGGACTCTCACCAGAGGGAGGCCCAGTCCTGCCCGGGCCCAGTTGACTGTGGCCAGCTTCTCTCTCAGTGCGGAGGCCACGGGGCCAGCCAGGTTGGTTGGGGGGAAGATGGGGCCATTGCAGCTGGGGCACTGATAGCCGGCAGGTGCCGTGTTTCGGGGTAGCTGGGCAGCACGTTCATTGAGGCAGGCCCAGTGAAAGAGATCTTAGGGCCCATGAGACAGGGGAGAAGAGACATGAGGAAGAAGACACTTAGGGCTCCTAGCCTAGCAATAGTCCCCAGACCATTGCAGGACATATGGACACATGTGTGTGTGCCAGAGCCTTCTCCTCCCCGTCCTGTTCCCTAAAATGTCAGTCTTCTTGGCTACCACCATCTAAGTCCAGGCAGGTGCTACCAAGCTGTCCAGCTCACAGGGGTAAGTTTGGGTAGGAAGAAAACGCCACCTCCCCTTTCAGTCCTTTCAATGAGTCCTCTCTGGGCCTGCACTCATCATATTCTTTGGGCTAATGGCTAATAATGAACAGTTTCAGAAAAGGTTCCTCGATACACACACAGGCACACATATACATGTACACATCCCTGGGCACAAATGTACATGTCCTTATAAGCACATAATCAAACACAAGTGGCATTCCCTATATCTACACTATGGGTACAGGAGCCCTCACACATACACATCTATACACTCACAGGTTTGCTAACAGGCACCCTCAACCATGCATTCTCTTGCACTCCCACAACACACCTGTGTTCATATGTTCACATACATACATTTACCCATTCATTCACCCCAAGTACAGATCAACACACTAACACTCATTTAAACACACAATGTACATTAAGTGCCTGCAAGTACACACATGCACTCACAAGGAGAAACACATATGGAGCTGACTCTTGCATGAGCTCCTTCAAAAACTGGAGCTAAGGCTCTTACCCCAGATTCAGGTCAAAGTCATGACACATATGTCTGCTGACTTCTTTTAGCTAACTTTAATGTGGGAAACTCACTTCCTCTCTGTTTAGCCTTGGAATCAGTGGTGGATCCTGAATATCTGAAAGCAACATGCCGGTCTGGCTAGCTAATAGTCACGGCCACCAGCATACCCGTAAGCTTGACTGGTTCTCGCTGAAACCTCCAGATTGGCAGGGCTTAATTTTTAGGAAAGAGGAACTAGGAGCTTTAATTTTTAGGAAAGACAGTGAGGCCTAGAAAGGAAGAATAACTTGCCTGAACTTACACAGCAGGTAAGGAACTTTAACAGGACTAGAATCTGGGCTCTGAGACTCGGGGGACTCACTGTCCTGCTGCTTGAGGAGGGCCTGGAAACCAGTCACCAAGCTGGCCCCTGAGGCTGGCCTGATCCCCCCGAGGTGCCAAGGCCTCACCATAGCAGACAAGGCGGGTCGTCTCTCGGCTGGCCAGGGGTATGTTGCACAGGCGGCAATTGGGGTTGTAGTCGCTATCTTGGAGCCATTGCAGGTAGGACTGGACGATGCACTGGAGTGGGAGAGAGATGTCACAACTGGTGCTGGGGCTGCTCGGCCTATCACCCCAAGGTCCGACTGTCTCTTTTTCTCTAGCCACAGAGGAGACTCATCCTTTCGTTTGTTTAATCAATAAATATTTATTGAGCACATACTGTGCACCAGACTCTCTCTTGGGAACGGGGGATATATCAGTGAACAAAATAAATCAAGTCCTTGCCCTTGTGGGGCTTACATTCTAGCGCGGGGCCCCTCATGGATTTGGAGGAAGCCAATACCGCCTTGCCCACCCAGTGCCCTGCTCAGTCGCTCCCCTGAAGGCCCCACCTTGGCGTGATTGGCTACCAGGCAGTGCTCGCAGACGTTGACCCGATGTTCGAAGCAGAACAGGTTGGTCACCTTTCTCTTGGGGCACTTACAAAGCCCCATGATCGATCCTGGGAAAGGGGCATGAGTTGGTAGGAAGTCAGGTTCTGGTGGCCACCACTACGCTCTCACCAGCCCAGTTTCCACTCTTAACTCCCCCAGACACCTCTCATATTCGCCCCGATCTCAGATTCCTGCCCACTGTCCCTCCTTATGCGGAGAAACACCCCCTGCATAAATCCCGCCTCCGGCGACCCCTCAATCCTTCTGGATCCCGCCCCCGGCCAGGCCCCTCCATCAGAGGCTCCCCGATACTACCGGCCCCGCCCCCAAGACCTCTCCTGAGCCCCACCCCCTCCAAGTCCCGCCCCTTCTCTACAGACCCCAGTCTCTGTGTTTACTGATCGGCCGCTGCACTGGTTCCGAAGGGCGGTAGCGATGGCTCGAGGCGCGGAAGGGCAGGGACCACTCTCCCCAGGGCTCCTGCGCCTCTCCCTTCAGCCCCGGCCGCCCCGATTATCCCTCCGCTGCCACGTCTCTTCCGGGTGCGGCGCGCGCTGATGACGCCATCGCGCCCCTGGGCCACGCCTCCGCTGCCGCTAGAGGTGAAGACGGGTGGAAAAGACTCGGGGTTCCGAGGGCCGCAGACCGCTAGCCCTACGTCACTTCCGCTTCCTTTCCCGCAGGGCGGGTAATTCGAACGTTTTTTGCAGCGAGTGGCCTTCCCGGTTGGCGCGCGCCCGGGGCGGCGGCGCTGGAGGAGCTCGAGACGGAGCCTAAGTTATGTCTGGGAGGCGAACGCGGTCCGGAGGAGCCGCTCAGCGCTCCGGTGAGCGGAGGGCGCGCGGGAGACGTGAGGTCGAGCCGTTTGGGGGACGCAGTCCGGTGAAAGATGGCCTCTTCCCTCCCGCTGCCGCCGCCGGAGGAGGCGCCCTTAAAAGGGCTTGTTTGGGAATCTTCTCGCTGTCTCTAGAACCTGTTCTCTGGACTCTAAGGTCTAGAGTCCTCCTCTACCACTTAACTTTTTTCTCTTTCCAGGGCCAAGGGCCCCATCTCCTACTAAGCCTCTGCGGAGGTCCCAGCGGAAATCAGGCTCTGAACTCCCGAGCATCCTCCCTGAAATCTGGCCGAAGGTGAGCCCCAGATTTCTCACTTCCTCCCCTTGTGGCCCCTCACCTAATGTTGAGCTCACGTTCATCCCTCTTCTCCAGACACCCAGTGCGGCTGCAGTCAGAAAGCCCATCGTCTTAAAGAGGATCGTGGCCCATGCTGTAGAGGTAAAGGCTAAGGAGAGTGTTGTGGGTGGTTAGGCGGGCAAAACTGGGGACCAGCTATGTGATCAATTGGTATTGTCCCCCGCAGGTCCCAGCTGTCCAATCACCTCGCAGGAGCCCTAGGGTGAGTTCACTTTCATCTACTTAATTAAGTAGAATCTGGGTCACTCTAGAGCTGGACAGCACACATTGGCTCCTCACATCTGCCCAGGGAGCTGTTTTGCAGTACTGCAAAAACAGTTTGCCTGTGGGCACCTGCATGCATTGCCAGTCTTGATTACTCCCTGAAGACTTAATACACTTAACTTTTTATGCCTTGTGTATTTCTACCATTTTCCTGGAACTTCCTTTAAAAGCTGAGCTATGTCTTAACTCCACGTACTGCCTTTCTAATCCATTATGCCTTCAGCTTTCATGTATGGGTGTTCTGAGATAAGTCATGTGTATGACATTTTTACAGTTTTAGCAGAAGTTATTATCAAAGGATGTTTCATTAATAGACAATCTGAAGACATACTGACTGAGAAATGTGAACTCCTTTGAAGAGCTGATAGGGCTTAGAGTCAACTGGGGAGAAAGACCAATGACAAGTGATAGCAACGTTGTGTACTGGGACTGCAATAAGGAATACTAGATGCTATGATGGTAGCTAACCCAGACCATGTGGCTCAGGGAATGTTTCGTGGAAGAAGAAACATTTGAACTGAGTCTTTAAAGACAAGTAGAGGCCGGGTGCAGTGGCTCACGCTTGTGATCCTAGCATTTTGGGAGGCTGAGGCGGGCAGATCACTTGTGGTCAAGAGTTTAAGACCAGCCTGGCCAACGTGGTGAAACCCTGTGTCTACTAAAAATACAAAATTAGCCAGGCATGGTGGCACGTGCCTATAGTCCCAGCTACTCAGGAGGCTGAGGCAGGAGAATCGCTTAAACCCAGGAGGCGGAGGTTGCAGTGGGCCGAGATCACGCCCCTGCACTCCAGCCTGGGTGACAAAGCGAGACTCCATCTCAAAAAAAAAAAAAAAAAAAAAGACAAGTAGGTTTGTTCCAGGTCAAAGAAGCCATGTTTGCAGAGATTGGGAATTTAAAGAAAAATCAAGGTTCGGGGAATAGCAATTTGTTTAGTGTCTGCAGCAGACCTCAGCAGGGGAGGAAGCACCCTAAGGCAGAGCAGATCCTGATGAGGCACAAAAGCCACACTCATGGCTTGGGCATCATTCTTGGGTCTGTGGGCAGCCTTTGGAGAGTTCTGGGTAAGGTAGTGACCGAGTCAAGTTTGAGTGTTTTAAGAAAGACCCCTCTGGGGGCTGTGGGGAGAATGGTTTTGAGAAGGGCTACCCTGGGGCTCCAAGACCAGTGGAATGACGTGAAGTCCAGGAATTCTGAAGCATGAAGCCAAGGGCGTGAGCTAAAGCCAGGATGATATACAGTACTGGGTTCAGAGGGAATTGCCCCCCAGTGGCCTTCCCTGACCACCCTTACCCTATTGCTGTCACATTTCTCTATGTAATTCTCTTAGGCCTTACCAGTTCTAAAGATAGGGTCTTGTTCTGCCACCCAGGCTGGAGTGCAGTGGCGAGATTTCGGCTCACTGCAGATCTTCCCTCCTCAGCCTCTCAAGTAGCTGGGACTATAGTCACATGCCACCATGCCTGGCTAATTTTTTGATGTTTTCTCTAATTTTTTTTATAGAGATGAGGGTTCACTATGTTGCCCAGGCCGGTCTTGAACTCCTGGGCTCAAGTGATCCTCCCACCTTGGCCTCCTAAAGTGTTGGGATTACAGGCATGAGCCACTGTGCCTGGTCCTTATCAGTTCTTATAGTGTATTTTCTTGCATGTTTGATGTCTTTCTCTCCCCCCTCTAAGAACACAGGCACCTTGAGGGTAGGGACTTCTGCCTTTCCTAGTAGCCACTCATTCTTGTTGATTGACTGAGATTCATGGTACATCGAGCAGGATAAAGTTGCCAGGACCTGGGTGACTGCTTGGCTATAGAGAATGAGGAAGTCGTAGTCAGCAGTGACCACCAATTTGTTCAGCTTCCCTGTGTTTTTTTTTTTTGAGATGGAGTCTCGCACTGTCACCCAGGCTGGAGTGCAGTGGCGCAATCTCGGCTCACTGCAACCTCCGCCTCCCAGGTTCAACCGATTCTCCTGCCTCAGCCTCCCAAGTAGCTGGGCTTACAGGCACCTGCTACCACACCTGGCTAATTTTTTTTGTATTTTCAGTAGAGATGGGGTTTCACTATGTTGGCCAGGCTGGTCTCAAACTCCTGACCTCAGGTGATCCACCCACCTCAGCCTCCCAAAGTGCTGGGATTATAGGTGTGAACCACCATATCTGGCCACCCATTATCTCTTGAACTTCATCTTCAGTTTCTTCCTCTTGCCTTCACTTCAGCCACACTGGCCTCCTTGTTGTTTGACCCTGACTAGTACACTGTGGCCTCAGGGTTGTTGCACCTTCTGTTCCCACTGCCTAGAACTTGGCCATGAGTCACTCCCACACCTCCTTCAAGTTGTAGCTTGAATGTCACCTCAGTGAGGGATGTATTGACCTTTATCTTTTTGCAATTCTAACCTGCCCCAAGCACTCTCTCCTGTTCTGTTTTCCTGTAGTGCTTGATACTGCTAACATAATACTGAATTTTCTTACCTGTTTTTCTCTTAGAATGGGGCAGGGGTTTTCTCTGTTTTATTCCCTGCTGTGTTCCCAGTGCCTGGCACAGGACAGGTGACTGATAAATACTTATGGACTGAGTGGACATTTAGGACAATCCTCATCAGCTGTGTGGCAGATGGACCACAGCAGGCAAGGGTGGAAACAGGGAGAGAAATCAGAAGGTCGCTGGGACCAGCCTGGGCAACAAAGGGAGACCTCCCCTACTCTACAAAGAAACTAAAAAAAAATCAGCCAGACAGAGTGTCACATGCCTGTAGTCCCGGCTACTCAGAGGCTGAGGTAGGAGGATTGCGTGAGCCCTGGAGGCTGAGGCTTCAGTGAGCCATGATCGTGCCACTGCACTCCAGCCTGGGCAACAGAGTTGAGACCGTTTATCTGGAAACAAAACAAAAAACGTTGCTGAGCTGGTCTAGAAGACACCTAATGAGGGCTTGAGTTGGTCAGAGGAGAGGCTGGATGCTGGGCACATTTTGGAAACAAGCGACAGCACCAGCAGATGGGGGCAAGTCCATTTGTGTCACAAAAGCAGACTCCTTGGAAGCAATGGTGGGTTGTTTTCTTCTCTCCATGTCTCTTTCAGGGTCTGATTTGTCCCTTCCTTAAAAAAAGTGTGTGTTGGCCGGGCATGGTGGCTCACGCCTGTAATCCCAGCACTTTGGGAGGCCGAGGCGGGCGGATCACGAGGTCAGGAAATCGAGACCCTCCTGGCTAACACGGTGAAACCCCGTCTCTACTAAAAATACAAAAAATTAGCCGGGCGAGGTGGCGGGCGCCTGTAGTCCCAGCTACTCGGAAGGCTGAGGCAGGAGAATGGCGTGAACCCGGGAGGCGGAGCTTGCAGTGAGCCGAGATCATGCCACTGCACTCCAGCCTGGGCGAGAGAGCAAGACTCCGTCTCAAAAAAAAAAAAAAAAAGTGTGTGTCCTGTGGGTCTTTCCACCCTGAATCTTCTCGGGCTTTTCTGGAAGTAAGCAGTCCAGCTAAGTATTGAGGGCATCCCCTCTTCTGTCCTGGTGCAGATTTCCTTTTTCTTGGAGAAAGAAAACGAGCCCCCTGGCAGGGAGCTTACTAAGGAGGACCTTTTCAAGACACACAGCGTCCCTGCCACCCCCACCAGCACTCCTGTGCCGAACCCTGAGGCCGAGTCCAGCTCCAAGGAAGGAGAGCTGGACGCCAGAGACTTGGAAATGTCTAAGAAAGTCAGGCGTTCCTACAGCCGGCTGGAGACCCTGGGCTCTGCCTCTACCTCCACCCCAGGCCGCCGGTCCTGCTTTGGCTTCGAGGGGCTGCTGGGGGCAGAAGACTTGTCCGGAGTCTCGCCAGTGGTGTGCTCCAAACTCACCGAGGTCCCCAGGGTTTGTGCAAAGCCCTGGGCCCCAGACATGACTCTCCCTGGAATCTCCCCACCACCCGAGAAACAGAAACGTAAGAAGAAGAAAATGCCAGAGATCTTGGTGAGTGAGAGGCAGGGGTTTTTCTCTGCCGTGTGCTCTGGGAGACGTGCAGGGCTGGGGCTCTGGCTCTTTTGGGGGATAGGCAGCACCTGCAGGGTGTGGGTGAGATGCTCCAGCCACCATGTTCCCTTCTCACTCACCTGCTCCTCATTTCTCTTCCCTCAGAAAACGGAGCTGGATGAGTGGGCTGCGGCCATGAATGCCGAGTTTGAAGCTGCTGAGCAGTTTGATCTCCTGGTTGAATGAGATGCAGTGGGGGGTGCACCTGGCCAGACTCTCCCTCCTGTCCTGTACATAGCCACCTCCCTGTGGAGAGGACACTTAGGGTCCCCTCCCCTGGTCTTGTTACCTGTGTGTGTGCTGGTGCTGCGCATGAGGACTGTCTGCCTTTGAGGGCTTGGGCAGCAGCGGCAGCCATCTTGGTTTTAGGAAATGGGGCCGCCTGGCCCAGCCACTCACTGGTGTCCTGTCTCTTGTCGTCCTGTCCTTCCTATCTCCCCAAAGTACCATAGCCAGTTTCCAGATGGGCCACAGACTGGGGAGGAGAATCAGTGGCCCAGCCAGAAGTTAAAGGGCTGAGGGTTGAGGTGAGAGGCACCTCTGCTCTTGTTGGGAGGGGTGGCTGCTTGGAAATAGGCCCAGGGGCTCTGCCAGCCTCGGCCTCTCCCTCCTGAGTTGCCTTCTGTTGGTGGCTTTCTTCTTGAACCCACCTGTGTAAAGAGGTTTTCAGTTCCGTGGGTTTCCCCTTTGATTCTGTAAATAGTCCCAGAGAGAATTCGTGGGCTGAGGGCAATTCTGTCTTGGAGGAAGAAGCTGGACATTCAGCCTGTGGAGTCTGAGTTTTGAAGGATGTAGGGAGCCTTAGTTGGGTCTCAGACCATAAGTGTGTACTACACAGAAGCTGTGTTTTCTAGTTCTGGTCTGCTGTTGAGATGTTTGGTAAATGCCAGGTTGATAGGGCGCTGGCTGCTTGGAGCAAAGGGTGCATTTCAGGGTGTGGCCACCAGGTGCTGTGAGTTTCTGTGGCTCATGGCCTCTGGGCTGGTCCCTTGCACAGGGCCCACGCTGGAGTCTTACCACTCTGCTGCAGGGGTGGAAGGTGGCCCCTCTTGTCACCCATACCCATTTCTTACAAAATAAGTTACACCGAGTCTACTTGGCCCTAGAAGAGAAAGTTGAAGAGTCCCAGACCTACTAGCATTTTGCAACTATGCTTGTAAAGTCCTCGGAAAGTTTCCTCGCGTACCAGACAGCGGCGGGGGCTGATAGCAATTTTAGTTTTTGGCCTCCCTATCCTCTCACATGAGAACACTGCCTGGATGCATCTCATGATCTCTGGAGAATTTCCCCATCTTTCTCTTCTTTCCATCGTGTGGATTCAATAGTGTGGATTTGAAGGCTGCCCTGCCCCCGACTCTCCTGCCGCACCCCTGGCCATTGTACCTTTTGATGTTTAGAAGTTCGTGGAAGTAGACGCTGAGGTGTGCAGAGGAGCTGGTGGATAACAGAGAATGCCAGGGAAGATGAGTGCTGGGTCAGGGTACTTGGATGAAACGGTGCAGGCCAGGCGGGCCCTAATAAAACCCTCTGCCAGGTCTGGGAGTCCCAGGCCATCTGCTCAACGCTCTGTGGTTTGTCAGACCTGCAAGCAAGCCCCCTGCTGGGGAAGCCTAGGTGTCCTTGAGCTGAACCGCACTGAAGAACTCTTGTCCTCACTGGCTGATGCAGCAGAACTCTTGGGAAATGTCTTAGTCCTGCAGAATCAGGAGTCACCAGATGATGCAGAGTTGAGATCATCATTGCAAAGTTCTCTGTTCCTGAGGAACTAAATTTAAGGAAAAAATGGGATTTTGTTTTAGAGTTGGAAAAAAAGCCTGATTAAAGAGTTTCTGCCTGTTCATGGACTGTGTTTCTTTTATTGAGTCAAAGGCAGAGCCGAAGGTAAGGCCAGGCCTCCAGTGGGCTGCATCACTGGGGTTGTCCCTTTGTCCAGGCGCTCCCAGCCCCGCTTCCCCGCATTCGCCCCATGGTAGATCACTGTGCCCCACACACTTTTTTTTTTCTTTGAGACAGAGTCTAGCTCTGTCTCCCAGGCTGGAGTCCAGTGGCGTGATCTCAGTTGACTGCAACCTCTGCCTCCCAGGTTCAAGCGATTCTCCTGCCTCAGCCTCCCAAGTAGCTGGGGTTACAGGTGCCCACCACCACGCCTGGCTAATTTTTATATTTTTATTAGAGATGAGGTTTCACCATGTTGGCCAGGCTGGTCTTGAACTCTGACCTCAAGTGATCTGCCCTCCTCGGCCTCCCAAAGTGTTGGGATTACAGGCGTGAGCCACTGCGCCTGGCCTGTCCTGCCCCGTGTCTTGTTTATTTCTGTCCAGTCCCCAGTCTGCTCCTCTTCTAGGAGGAAGAAAGTCGGGTCTGGGGTGAGAGTGCTAAGAGCTCCCCCAGTGCCCACGGGAGATGCCTGGGAAGCAAACACCCTCCCGAGTCCAGCCCTCGTTCCCCATTCCCTTTCAGGCTCCTTTGAAGGAGCCCGAGTTGCTCACTCCATGGTCCAGACTGGACACTGTGTAGCAGCAGGTGCTGTGGGACCCTGGGGAGCTGATCAAAGATGCTGATGCCTGGAAATTCTCCCACTTGGCCTTAGGTAAGGCTAGGACCCTACAGGCAGGTGGCACAGACCAGCCTCCCATCCCATCCTCCACACTTGTACTTGCCTCCTAGTCATCCAAACAAATCAAAGCCATTAAGTTCTCCACAGACTTAATCCGCTTTGACCTCCTTCCCCCACCCAGAGGAGATGGGTCCCCTCTTCAAGGCTAGCCTTTCCACTTTGGTTTTTGATCCAATTATCTTGTCTCTGAAACCTTCCTCTTCTTTTTCTTCCAAGTCCTAAATGGCTTTTATTTGCTTTGTTGTTAAAAAATGACAACCAGGCTGGGCACAGTGGCTGACACCTGTAATCCCAGCACTTTGGGAAGCTGAGGCAGGAGGATCACTTGAGCTCAGGAGTTCAAGACCAGCCTGGGCAACATAGGGAGATCCTGACTACAAAAAATGTAAAAAAAATAAATGGGCGTGGTGGCACATATCTGCAGTCCAGCTACTCAGGAGGCTGAGGTGGGAGGATCACCTGAGCCTGGGAGGTCGGGGCTACAGTGAGCCATGGTGACGCCATTGCACTCCAGTCTGGGCAACAGAGTAAAGACCCTGTTTCAAAAGACAAAAAAGACAACCAAAAGTCGACCAGCATCTGTCGTTAGCTACCACCATTTTAAGCTTGAAGGAACGTTCCAAGTTGCTCTTTACTTTGAATTTATTCCCAATGCCCTCGTCACTCTCTTTAACAGCTCAGACAAAGGTAACCAGTGATGTCCTAATATCCAACATACTAAGCTCGGGCCTCTGCCAGGACACCCTCTTTGGGGCTGTGGCACTGCCAGCTCCTTTTTCTTGGCTTTTCCTGAAATGTCTGGATACCAGGCCTCAGTCCTGGACCCTCTTTCCCACCTGCCTGCTCTTGCCGGGTAGCCTCGCTCTCTGGACTGCCTCCTTGCTCAAGACTTGTCCATCTTTATCTCCAACCTAAAACTGTCCTGAGCTACAAATCAGAATCTAGAACTGCCTTTCAGGAAGTCATCTGAAGCTCTGCTCATCCAGCAGCTTGCCTACTCCTGTGTTCTCTGTGCCATTAGCAGAGCCACCAGCTGACACAGTCACACGGGCCAGGAACCCAGGACCAGCTCCTTCTTCCTTCACCCCATGTGGCCAGCCCCATCCCCCTCAACATCCCCCCCACCCCACAGCCACTAGACAATTGCACTAGCCTCCTGTGGGTCATTCCCTTGGGCTGCTGTATCTCCACACTGTCTGCACTGCAGCTAGAACACATTTCCTAAAACACACAATATGATCCTGTTTCTCCCCTCCTTAATTTTTTATTTTTATTTTTGAGATGGAGTTTCACTTTTGTTGCCCAGGCTAGAGTGCAGTGGTGCAATCTCGGCTGACTGCAACCTCCACCTCCTGGGTTCAAGTGATTCTCCTGCCTCAGCCTCCCAAGTAGCTAGGATTACAGGTGCCCACTGCCACACCCGGCTAATTTTTCTATTTTTAGTAGAGACGGGGTTTCGTTATGTTGGCCAAGCTGGTCTCTAATTTCTGACCTCAGGTGGTCCGCCCAACTCAGCCTCCCAAAGTGCTGGGGTTATAGGCGTGAATCACCGTGGCTG
The DNA here is from genome assembly GCF_000001405.40 of Homo sapiens. Taxonomy (NCBI): domain Eukaryota; kingdom Metazoa; phylum Chordata; class Mammalia; order Primates; family Hominidae; genus Homo; species Homo sapiens. The sequence goes on along the minus strand of NC_000011.10, from coordinate 65,075,117 downwards.
GCACGCCGGGCCTATTTCTCCCCTCCTTAAAACCCTTTTTTTTTTTTTTTTTTTTGAGACGGAGTTTCACTCTTGTCACCCAGGCTGGAGTGCAATGGCACGATCTCGGCTCACCACAACCTCCACCTCCCGAGTTCAAGCGATTCTCCTGCCTCAGCCTCCTGAGTAGCTGGAATTACAGGCATGTGCCACCACGCCCAGCTAATTTTGTATTTTTAGTAAGAGACGGGGTTTCTCCATGTTGGTCAGACTGGTCTTGAACTCCCGACCTCAGGTGATCCACCCTCCTTGGCCTCCTAAAGTGCTGGGATTAGAGGTGTGAGCCACCATGCCCAGCCAAAACCCCTGCCAATTTTTTTTTTTTTTTTTTTTTTTTTTTGAGACAAGGTCTGGCTCCGTCGCCCAGGCTGGACTGCAGTATTGTGATCTGGGCTCACTGCAACCTCCACTTCCCAGACTCAAGCCATCCTTCCACCTCAGCTGCCCAAGTAGCTGAGACTACAGGCACGTGTCACCATGCCTGGCCTTTAAAACCTTTTAATACAATTTCACACCTGAGTGTAATAAGACCAGAGAAAGTTGAAAGCAGGCATTGGAATAGATTTGTACACCAAGTTCCTAGCAGCATTATTCAACAATAACCAAAAAGCTGGAAACAACACAAATGTCTACCAGCAGCTGAATGGATAAAGTGTGACCTATCAATACAGTGGAATATTATTCAGCCTTAAAAAGGAGGAAATTGGGCCAGGCGCGGTGGCTCACACTTGTAATCCCAGCATTTTGGGAGGCCAAGGTTGGTGGGTCACTTGAGGTCAGGAGTTCAAGACCAGCCTGGCCAACATGGTGAAACCCCATCTCTACTAACAATAGAAAAATTAGGTGGGCGTGGTGGCGGGTGCCTGTAATCCCAGCTACTTGGGTGGCTGAGGCAGGAGAATGGCTTGAACCCAGGAGGTGGAAGTTGCAGTGAGCCGATATTGTGCCACTGCACTCCAGCCGAAACAGAAACCTCTGCTGACTTCCCATGCTCCGTGCAGCAGTGGAATGAATGGTCGCTGGTGCCTGGCTGCCCAGTAGCGTCTCAGCCTCCAGGCATGTGCTGTCTGCAGGACCCCAGCCACTCAGTGGGAGTGAATATCCCAGATGCTTGCTCTCCCTGATCCCGGCAACCAGGACCTAAACTGATCAGATTCTCCACCTTGAGTGATGGGTGTGAGGAGGGATGAAGGCACCGCCTGTCCAGCAGTGTCTGGTGTGGGGAATGCGTGTTTGTCCATCTGCAGGCCCTCCCCTGTCCTAGTTCTGGCAGTCGGCGCCCTACAGTGCCTGCCCTTTGAAGTCTCTTCTTCCCGTGAGTTCTGTGACTCCCCAGCATCCTCCCAATAAACTCCTTTTTGCTCAAATCAGCCAACATTGTTTCCTGTTTGCACCCCAGAACCCTGGCTGGTCTAGGGGGCTCCTGACACCTTAGTGGGGCTCATGAGGACTCCAGGCCGAGGCTGGTGTCCAGGCTTCAGCCCACAGACCCACCGCAGGCTGCGAGCTGCTTGGAGGTCCCTGCCTCTGAACCTTTGCTCTCTGCCTCTCGTGTCTTTCCCCACTCCTGCGTCACCTGGGGAGCCCCGCGTCATTAAGTCTGGCTCACGCGTCACCCCTGCTCAGCCTTTCCTCCCCACCTGCCCCACCCTGGTGAAAGCAAAGAGCACAGGTTCTGCAATCCAACTGGGTTTGAATCCTGGCTCTGCCAGCTTCTAGCTGTGTGATCCCAGGCAAATGATAATAATTAGACTCTGATGTGCCTCAGTTTCCTTAACAGTAAAATGAGGACAATAATAATACCTATGCCACAGTGTTTAAAAATGAGATAGTCGGCCGGGCGCGGTGGCTCACACCTGTAATCCCAGCACTTTGGGAGGCTGAGGTGGTTGGATTACTTGAGGTCAGGAGTTCAAGACCAGCCTGGCCAAGATGGTGAAACCTCGTCTCTACTAAAAATACAAAAATTAGCCGGGCATGGTGGCGGGCACCTGTAATCCCAGCTACTCGGGAGGCTGAGGCAGGAGAATCACTTGAACCCTGGCGGGTGGAGGTTGCAGTGAGCCAAGATCATGCCACTTCACTCCAGCCTGGGTGAAAGAGAGAAACTCCATCTCAAAAAAAAAAAAAAAAAAAAAAAGAATGAAATAATACAAGTAAAGCACTTGGTGCATGGTAAGTGCTCAATGAACAATTTTCAAGTAGAACTGACCATTCCCTCCCTTTTTAAGTCTCAGAAGTCCACACAGACCTCCATCATAGCACCTTCAAGCTCCATTCTGTCTGCTCTGCACACACGTTTACACAGTAGCTGTGTAAACTCCAGCTCAGGCTGGAGGCAAGGTTGTATTTGTCTCTGTCCCCCCAGTGTCCAGGCACATCATGGAGTAAGTGGATGTGGTGGTTTCCCACCAGCCTGGGCAGGTGTGCCCCTCCAGTGGGAGCTGGGGACAGGGGCTTCAGAGAGCCTCTGAGTGCCTGGTAGGAGGGGCACAGGTGGAGTCAGGAGTGATGGCACCTGGCACCCTGCCTCAGTCATGAGCCTCCCACAGCACAAATTCTAGTCCCACCAGTGTGCATGTGAGGTCTGAAGCCAGCCCCATGGCTCACACCTGTCCCCATTTCTTGGAGAGTGGACTTCACCCTCCCTCTCCACAGGGCAGTTCCCCACACAGCCTATGGACCCCTCCCTCCTCGCCTGGGTCCTCAGCCCGGTAGCTCACCACCCTTTCAGATGAGGCTTTGGCTCAGGCCTGGTGGTTCTCCCAACACATGGGCCTAGACCAGGCTGCCTTCCCCTCTCCACAGTGTGGCTGACAGGTTGGCAGGCTCCCTGACAGCCACCTGCTTGGGTATCAGTCCACCCACATCTGAGACTCTTCTTGAGCCATGGTTTTCTCTTCTGAAAAGTGAGGCCAATTCCATCTCTCTAACGGAGTTGGTCAGGAGGTTGATGTCATATGCAAAGCAGCCAGCAGAGTTCCTCATCACTGATGGCTAGTAGCATTTTACCCAGCCTGTGATTAACCCCTCAAAGGAGGAGATTCATTTTTGTACCTTCTCAACATTCAGGGAAGGGCCTTCAACAAAGTTAGGGCTCAGTCAATATTTGTGGAGTTGAATACCCATTTCACAGGCTAGGAGGCTGAGCCCGATTTCCTGCAGCTGCCCCACCTATGAGCAGCAGAGCAGGACTGAAATCCAGGTCCTGAGCTATCTTCTGTCCAAGTCTGAATTAAGCATCTGTCTGTGCTTGGCTGGTGGGACCCTGAGAGGACCCCAGTCCTGTCTGTCTGTCTATCTGCTCATCCTCCTCACGTACCAACTGGTAACCGTGGAGCTTTTCATGCCTCCCAGTGTCCTCTGATGGGCACCAACATGTGGCCATAGTGTTAGAGTTGCTAGATTTAGCAAAAAATACAAGATGCCCACTTAAGCCTGAATCTTAGATAAACAACACAATTTTTAAAGAGTAAGAGTGCCCTTGCCTGCAATCCCAGCACTTTGGGAGGCCGAGGCAGGCGGATCACCAGGTTAGGGGTTCGAGACCAGCCTGACCAACATGGTGAAACCCCGTCTCTACTAAAAATACAAAAATTAGCTACTCAGGAGGCTGAGGCAGGAGAATTGCCTGAACATGGAAGGCAGAGGTTGCAGTGATCCGAGATCGCACCACTACACTCCAGCCTGGGCAACAAAGCGAGACTGTCCCCAGGAAAAAAAAAAAAAAGGAATAACTGTTTCCCAAATCAGAGAAATAATAGATAGTTTTCTAGTACAAGTATGTTCCATGCCACATATGGGGTATGCATATGTGGGTTGAAAATCCAAAATCCCGGCCGAGCACGGTGGCTCACACCTATAATCTCAGCACTTTGGGAGGCCAAGGCGGGCAGATCATGAGGTCAGGAGATCGAGACCATCCTGGCTAACACGGTGAAACCCCGTCTCTACTAAAAAATACAAAAAATTAGCCGGGTGTGGTGGCGGGCACCTGTAGTCCCAGCTACTCGGGAGGCTGAGGCAGGAGAATGGCGTGAACCTGGGAGGCAGAGCTTGCAGTGAGCCAAGATTGCACCACTGCACTCCAGCCTGGGCAACAGAGCGAGACTCTGTCTCAAAAAAAAAAAAAAAGAAAAGAAAATCCAAAATCCCAAACTGTGAGCACTGCCCTGACATTCACTGTAGCATTTTGGATTCTGGATTTTCAGATAATGCTAATATTCCAAAATCCTAAGAAATCTGAAATCCAAAACACTTCTAGATAGGCATTTTGGAGAAGAAATTCTCAACCTGCCTGGGTTCAGTGGCTTATGCCTGAAATCCCAGCACTTTGGGAGAGGAGGAGGCAGGAGAATCACTTGAGCCCAGGAGTTCGAGACCAGTCTGGGCAACATGGTGAAACCCTGTCTCTACAAAAAATACACAAATTAGCTGGGTGTGGTGCCAGGCCTGCAGTTGTAGCTACTCAGGAGGCTGAAGTGGAAGAATCATCTGAGCCTGGGAAGTCGAGGCTGCAGTGAGCCATGAGGGTGCCACTGCACTCCAGCCTGGGCGACAAAGTGAGACCCTGTCTCAAAAGTAAATAAAGTCTCAAAAAAAAATTCATCGTTTATCTGAGATCCCAATTTAACCTGGCATTCTGTGTTTTATTTGGCAACCCTACGTGGGTACACTGGTACCCAGCCCATACCACCGTTAAGACCCACTTTTGTGGTGTGACAGGGTCTCATGCACACCTTCTCCAGGATTAACAGAGTTTAGACACTTGTCACATGCAGCAGTTGGTGGCTTGCCTCTCTTCCTCACTTCCAGGGCCCTTGGCATCCTGGCCCCAGTGTCTACGCCTTCCACTCACCCTCTGAACTATGGCCAAACAGCCCACATAACAGACACACAAAGATCCCTATGCCTCCTCGTCCCCTGTGGGCTACAGCCCAGGCCCTGTCTTGGGCCCTTCGCAGGACCCCACGGCTCTTGCTTACACCATTCCCTCTTCTGGTCTCCCCTGCGTCCTTGTTTGAGACCCGGCGGCACATCCTGTGTGCAGTCTCTCTGGAGCTCCGAAGCAGAATGCATGGCTCCCTCCTCTTGCAGCCAGGGCTCGCTGTACAAACCTCTGTGTGGCTCATCCCCCCGCACTGTGGTCAGCTGCAAACCTGAGGCCTCCCTCATCTTCCGGAAACTTCTGCGCAGAACCAGGTTGTGTCCATCTATATGTTCCCAAGGCCTACGCCACAGGCAATGTTTACAGGGACCAGTAAGCGCATGAGTGAATTGTATCCTACCATGTGAAGAAGTCTTTGTTTCCTTACCACTTCTTATATTTGGGCCTTTTAGGCCCCTTCCAGTTTTTCTTCATGGTGTAAATCAGCTACTGTGGTCGTCCATGTGAATTACTTTTATTTGGAGTTGTTTCTTTAAGCCGTTTCCAAAGTGAGGTTCTCAGAGGCATGACTCTCCATCGTTCTGTGGATCTTGTTATACGCAGCCAGGTTCTCCTGGTGACAGAGCTACCTATTCTCCAGCAGCCATACCACGCTGGAGCTCTGGGACTTTCCAGGGTTACGGGGCCCTCTGCAGAGCTGTCGGTTTATGTCACGTGGTCAGGAATTGTGTAATTTTAGGCTGCCTAGAAAGGTACAATATAACACAGCCACAAGCCCAGGCCACAAGCCCCCTGCCACAAGTCCATGGGGATCTAGAGGCGCAGGTGGACTCAGTGTGAAGAAGGACCATGTCTGTGGTTACTTGGCCAGTAGATGCACAAGATTCTGAAAAATACCGGGGTGAAAAATAGCCACAATTCTATTAACTTCAGCTTTTTTTTTTTTTTTTTTTTTGAGAGTCTCGCTCTGAAGCCCAGGCTGGAGTGCAGTGATGCAAACACACCTGAGTGTAGCCTCAACCTTCCAGGCTCAAGTGATTCTCCCACCTCGGCCTCCCAAGTGGCTGAGACTACAGGCACACGCCACGATGCCCAGCCAATTTTTTAATTTTTTGCAGAGATGGGGTCTTGGTGTGTTGCCCAGGTTGGTCTCTAACTCCTGGGCTCAAGCGATCCTCCCGCCTTGGCCTCCAAAAGTGCTGGGATTACAGGCGTGAGCCACTGCACTCAGCCTCAAAATATTTTTAGCATGTAGTTTGGCAGGACTGCCAGATAAAATACAGGACACCTAGTTAAATTTGAATTTCAAATGAACAGTGAATTGTTTTTTAGTGTAAGTATATCCCAAACATTGTGTGAGACAGATACTGAAAAAGTATCCATTTTCAGCTGAAATTCAGATTTCACTGGGCCTATATTGTATTTACTAAATCTGGCAACTTTCACTTTGAGGGGGTCTGGCTTGCTGGACAGAGCTGGTGATAGACGCTCGCCAGGCTGGAAGCCGCCCCCTAAAAACCAGACCAGGCTAGAAATGGCATAGCGGGGATGGTAGATGTGAGTGACTAGCAGGCTTCTGTCTCTCTCAGTCTCTTAGGGGCAGACAAAGAGCCCACTCCAAGCTGGCCAACAAGCCAGTGGTGCAGCCTGTTGAGGAGCAAGAACCCAAGGGCCCTCAGGCTTCCGAGGAGCGGAACTTGGAGGTGATGGGAAACCCCAGGGCCTCCTAAGGCAGTGGGCAGGGGAGGCAGGAGAGCTGGAGAAATTCTTCCTGTATCTGAATGGAGGCCTGAACCCCCGTCGTCACACCCAGCTTCCAGCTGTCAGGGCGTCCAGGCCCAGCTCCTGGGTTCAGGGCTGAGGAATGGGTGCAGGGGAGTTCAGCGCTGGAGGGCCTCCTGGACAGGTCCCATTCATACCTCCTACCAGGCTTTCCCTACAGGGTGGGGGATACAGACGATGGGGCCCCTGAAAGACAGGGAGATGGCAAGGATGGGGGGTGTGGGAGGACCCAGGCTCTTGGGTGAGCAGCCGTGACCCTCTCCAGTCACCTTGGCGCTTTCTCTGCAAAGCCACCTTCCTCAGAACAACTGGAACCCACCGTCACGTTCCTGTTTACACTCCTGAACACCTCTGAGCCCACTGAGCCAAAAGACCCTGAATCGTAAGGCTGCATGAGAGAGAGAGAGAGAGAGAGAGTGCCCATGCAGGCACATGCAGGCACGCACAAAACTGGGGGAGGTGGATGGTGTTTCTCCCCACCCCACACCCAGAAACATTCAAACCTGGGCTAGGACTCAGTCCTGGCCCGTGCAGAGAGGAGGCCCAGAGAGGCCTGCTGAAGCCGGGGCCTTTGGCTGGGCACCCCCACACCACCCACCCACTTCCCTCATCCCCTAGACCCTCTGGCCTGACCTTCACTACCCACTTGCTCCAGGGACTCGGAGATCCAGGAGTACCAGTTCTTAGATCAGGAGGACTGGGGCCCCCAGCGGACCTCAAAGGAGATCAGGCAGTTGCAGAATGACTGCATGAGGTGATCTGGGCGGGCAGATGGGAGCGGGTAGGGTGACAGGGCTTCCCCCGACCAAGGCCAGGCCTGGCTTTCAGGTCAGGGCCCACGTGGCTGGTGAACGGGCATTCAGGAACCCCCACCTTTAATTGTCCAAGAACTTGAGGAGCGTTCAGTCTGGGGGAGGGGCTTGTTCTCTGGATGTCGGGCTCTGGAGCTGGGGTCCACACAATCCCATGGCCGCTCGCCCCTCTCAGGTAATGCTGGGGTCAGAGCCCCATCTGTCAGCAAAGGTCCTGAGGTGGGGGCAGGGCATGACGGAGGCTTCCAGGCCATAGACCTGAGTGATCAGCTCTCCCATTCATACACAGCTGACCTGGAGCGCCTAGGCAGGGCTGGTTCCAGCATTGGCCCTGTCACTGGCCTGGAGCCACAGAGAATCCTGTTGCAACCCTGCCTACAGCCCAAAGGAGCGGCTAGCCCTATACCACCCACCCCTTCCAAGGGGAGCCTCAGAGGGTTTCTAGCCCACCCACAGAAGCAGCCTGCCCTGCTCTTGCAAAGGAAGACAAAAAGCATAATTAGTCTCTCTCTCGGTCCCCTGCTACCAATCACTCAGGGAGAACAATTCCCATCCCACCTGTGGTTTTGCCGGGACAGGAAGACTGGGCTCTTACTGAAACACTGGTCCCAGGTGGCTATAGGACCAGGTGGCTGAAGCAGGAGGTGGGAGGGGTGGGGAGTGCTGCCTGGAACAAAAGCCTGGCTGAGGTGGGAGGGGTCTGTTTTTCAACCCTAGGCTTCGGGAGTCACTGAACACCACCCAAGTGCACAACCTGGCCCTGGGGGAGAAGCTGCAGAACCTGGTAAGACCCTGAGCCAGGACCCCATTTCTTTGTCTTGCCTCCTCCCTGCCTCCCAGCCCAGCTCTCCTAGAGGGGCTTCGGGTTGTCCTGCATGGCTGGCTACCCACCTCGAGCCCTGCAACCCTTTGTCCAGCCCACCTTATTGTATAAGAGCCTGAAGGAGGGAGCCCAGGCCATCCAGGAGGAGGCCCAGGCCATCCAGGATGAAGTGAAGGCCCTGCAGGAGGAAAGCCAGGCCCTGCCGGAGGTGGCTCTGCTCAGGTGTGCGGGCAGCCATGGCAGCGGGGAGGGAAGAGGCGGCTGCCCCATGCTGCTCACTCGAGCTGTCTCTGCCTGCAGTGACCCAAACCCCCGGAAGGCAGGTCTCCTCTTCAAGCTGCCTGACCTGCCCCACGACCACAGAGACCAGGGTCAGGCCTGGCCAGGCCCCAGGCCAGAGGTCGGACACCTCCTCGGGAGGCCGCTCCTTCAGCCAGCTCCTCCCTAGATCCCAGAAATAAACTTGGAAGCTAAGCTTCAGCTTCACCAAGTGTCTGTGGGCCCTGGGCTCAGGTGGGGAGCAGGAGGTCACCACGTCCACACTGAGCTCAGCCCCTCAGCCACCCTCTGACATCACCCCCACTCCCTCAGCTCACCCATTCTGCATCTACCCCTCCCCGACATGGCCCTGCCCTCCCCCGACCCCTCACAGAAGGTTCCAGGCCTGGTTGTTGTCAGCCTGGAGATGAGAGCTCAAGGGCGATGTTCCCAAGATAAGCACTGGGGTGAGGCCAGAAAGGGGCCGCAGTCCCTCCCCGGAGGATCTGGGTACCTGCTCTAACTCCAAAGTGCAGAAGGATACTGGGGTGTAGGCGGGGGAGGGATAGGGGAAGAGCCACTAACCATCTGGTGACCTTGGAAAAGTCCCTTCCCCTTTGTAAGTCATGGGGTTGGGGGGCAGAGAGAGGTGGTGGCAACTCCCCAAGGGCCCGCATCCTATACCCCTCAGGCCTGGAGATACATATCGATTTTGAGTTTCACCTCCAACCCAGGAGCCCTCTGGCCCAGGGCCTCCTGGGAGCCCCCAACCCCCCTCCACCAATGGGGTTGCAAAAAAGAATACAAAAAACTGACACGTATATAGTCAAGGGGGAGAAAGCAAGGAATCCTGATAGAAGATTGCTAAATTACATACAAAATTGGTTAATATTCTAAAGGGCATTTATTTTTAAAATCCCATAACCCGGGCTGGTCACAGTGGCTCACACCTGTAATCCCAGCACTTTGGGAGCCCGAGGTGGGCAGATCACCTGAGGTCAGGAGTTTGAGACCAGTGTGGCCAACATGGGAAAACCTGGTCTCTACTAAAAATACAAAAAGTAGCCAGGTGTGGTGGCACGTGCCTGTAATCCCAGCTACTTGGGAGGCTGAGGCACGAGAATCACTTGAATCTGGGAGGCTGAGGTTTCAGCGCACCAAGGTGGCACCACTGTACTCCAGCCTGGACGACAGAGCAAGACACTATCTCAAAAAAAAATTTTTTTTTTAATTTAAAATAAAATAAAAAGTCCCATAACTCTAAGGCTTGTATTATTCACTGGGCAGAAATCATTTTGCATCTTAATCAGTTTTCTGTAAAGTAACCTCTAACTTTACAGCATCTAGGTCTAATGGATGGTAAAAGATCCACCATGCAGAATTCCTTCGTTAATCCTCGTGTGACACGGAACGGGCTGGGGATGATCATTTTGCCTTATGTTCACTGTAGGGAGACAACAGCCAAGAGGATGGAAATTCAGGTTTGTGGCTTCTCCCCAGGCCTGGTTTGACTTACACCAGACTCCTAGGGATCAGGCCTGGGCAAAGTAACTGATGAAGTGCTTGATTAGTGACTATTTGATTCTGCCCCAGCTTCAGGCTGAATTGAGCTGAGCTAACATCTCTTTTCTTCATATTTTTACATTTTATTTTTATAAATAGAGACAGGGTCTTGCTATATTACTCAGGCTGGTCTCAAACTCCTGGGCTCAAAGAATCCTCCCGCCTCAGCCTGCCAACATGCTGGGATTACAGGCATTAGCTACCGCTCCCAGACTAACATCTCTGACTTAGCAGCCCACCCCTTCTGAGACTCTACCCTCCTCACCCGATGGCTGTAGGGATCCCAGACCTCCCCAACCACCTACTTCCTGACCTGTCCTTGACCAGGGGCCCTGCTGTACAAACAGCTGTCTTGCAATTTTCCCAAAGGGAATCATAGGGTACTGAGGTTGATGGTAGTTGGATCAACAGCTAAATCAATTACCCATTTAAGGACTTCTGTCAATAAGATGCAGTCATCAGCATGGTCCCATTTGATGTTTCCTTTAAAAGGACACAGAGAGAGACTAATTATGCTTTTTTTTTTTTTTTTTTTGCGACAGAGTCTTGTTCTGTCGCCCACGCTACAGTGCAGTGGCGCAATCTCAGCTCACTGCAACCTCTGCCTCCTGGCTTCATGCCATTCTCCTGCCTCAGCCTCCCGAGTAGCTGGGACTACAGGCACCCGCCACCATGCCTGGCTAGTTTTTTATATTTTTAGTAGAGACGGGGTTTCACCGTGTTAGCCAGGGTGGTCTCGATCTCCTGACCTTGTGATACACCTGCCTCGGCCTCCCAAAGTGCTGGGATTACAGGTGTGAGCCACTGCACCCGGCTAATTATGCTTTTATTTAATTATGTCTCAGCCTGGGACAGCGCTCGAATAAGGTTACATGAATACTGCTTGGCTGCAGGAAATGGAGTCTATTACGGAGCCCCCTCCCCAACCAGCTCCAAACCACAGAAGTGCTTATAGATTCGAATGCATCCTGGCCATGGTTCTGCAGCTCAGGGATCCTTCACTGGCTGTCCTGAGGTCAGTCCCTGCAGCCACTCCTGTTGACACTGCATCCAAGCAGTCCCAGCCCAGCCCAGAGGTTCCTGTCAAGGAAGGTCCCACAGCAAAGCTGCGTGGGCCCCAGGGTGTTACCTGGTCCTTTCATTCACACACATTTCTCCCAGTCAAAGGAGGCTACCATGTGAGTCACAAGCTGTGCCCACACCTCCTGGGCCTCTGTCATCAAGGCACTGGGCTTGGGTTAGCAAATCAGCCTCCTCTGTCTGGCTGGCACCATTTCTCTAGTGAGGGGCAGAATGGGATGCCTCTCTCCTGCCTAGTGATGGCAGGTGGGATAGCTTCGTGAATGTGCAGGCGCTGCATTCTACTCTCAGCTCCACCCCTTGCTGTCTGGTGTGACCTTGACTGAGTGCCTGGACACACATCTTCATCTGTAACATGGGGTTCCACTGTGTCCACCTCGGAGGATGAATGATTTTGTGTGGACTTGGTGCATTCCATGTGTTGGCGACTGTTATCTGATCTCCAGTGGATCTACCCTGGCCCCCAAACTGGCTTTGCAGGCCCAGTGGGAGCAGCTCTGAGTACCAGTGTTCCCAGCAGGCTCCCTTCCCCACTAAAGGGCCTGGTATTCCTGCCCAAGAGGGTGGCCAGACCCTGCAGCCTGGCAGGGCCTTCCTCCATCCTGCAACGTCATCCTTTGGGAACACCCAGCACTGAAAGTCTGTTAGATCCCATCCCCATCTTGTGAGGGCACCTGCGCCTGTTACGCAGGTGTCCTATGCATGGCTGCCTTGGCAGTCTGGTGGGGCTTACCCAGAGGGGATCTGCTTCCCAGGGGTCTCGTGCCCACCTTTTACATCTCTTATTGCTCTGAACACCCCTTGGACAGAAGACAGCTGGAGCAGGAGTGTTGAGTTGCTGTGCTGGCGTAGGTCAGCTTTGCCTCCAATCTACAAATACTTGTTGAGTGCCTCATAGGTGCCGGGCACTGCTCTGGACTCTGGGGCTTCGGCAGTGAATAAAACAAAGATGTCTGCCCTGGTAGAACTTACGCTCTGGGAGGGGCAGCAAGAAATAATGAACAAGTAACATGAGGATAGATGCAATGGAGAAAAATGAAGCCACAGAGGAAGAGGAAGCCTGAGGGAGGGGGAGGAATGCAATTTTATTTTATTTATGTATTTTTAAACATGGATTCTCACTATGTTGCCCAGGCTGGTCTTGAACTTCTGGACTCAAGCGATCTTCCTGCCTCAGCCTCCCAAAGTGTTGGGATTATAGGTATGAGCCACTGCACCCAGCCAGGAATGCAATTTCAGATAGAGTAGTCAGGGAAGAGCTCATTGAGAAGTGACATTTGAGCAAAGACACAAAGGACCTGAGGGAAGGAGCCCTGTGGACAGCTGGGGAGCAGGGTTCTAGGGAGCGGGAGCTGCCAACACAAAGGCACTGAGTCAGGAGTGTGCCTGGTAGGCTCAGGGGACAGTAGCAGGCCAGAGCTACAGGAGCCGTGAGTGAGGAGGACAGGGAGGGGACCGGGTCTGAGACATGAAGGGCTCTATGGCCACTGTCATGACTGTTACTCTGAGTGTAAAGGGAGACTTGGAGGGCTGTGAGCACGGTCGTGACATGGCGGACCTGGGTTTCACAAAGATGAGTCTGACTGCTATGTAGAGAAAAAAACTAGAGGGGACAAGAATACAATCAGAGAGGCCAGTTAAGAGGCCACTGCAGGCTGGGCACGGTGGCTCTCGCCTGTAATCCCAGCACTTTGGGAGGCCAAGGCGGGCGGATCACCTGAGGTTGGGAGTTTGAGACCAGCCTGACCAACATGGAGAAACCCTATCTTTACTAAAAACACAAAATTAGCTGGGCATGGTGGCGCATGCCTGTGATCCCGGCTACTCAGGAGGCTGAGGCAGGAGAATCACTTGAACCTGGGAGGCAGAGGTTGCGGTGAGCCGAGATCGCGCCATTGCACTCCAGCCTGGGCAACAAAAGCGAAACTCTGTCTCAAAAAAAAAAAAAAAAAAAAAAATTAGGCAGCTGGAAATACAAGAGTTCGGGGATGGGTTAGATTGGAGACATATACTTGCGGGTTTCTGGTCTATATTTAGTCATTTGTATTGGTTCTCCATTTTGCTGTGGTTTTTTTTGTTTTTTTTTTTTTTTTTTCTTGAGACGGAGTCTCACTCTGTCACCCAGGCTGGAGTGCAGTGGCGCTATCTCGGCTCACTGCAAGCTCTGCCTCCCAGGTTCACGCCATTCTCCTGCCTCAGCCTCCAGAGTAGCTGGGACTACAGGTGCCCGCCACCACGCCCGGCTAATTTTTTTGTATTTTGAGTAGAGACGGGCTTTCACCATGTTAGCCAGGATGGTCTTGATCTCCTCACCTCATGATCCGCACGTCTCCGCCTCCCAAAGTGCTGGGATTATAGGCGTGAGCCACCGCGCCTGGCCTATTTTGCTCGGTTATAATCACTCCAAAACCTAGTAGCCCAAAACCATAAACATGTATTATCTCACACAGTGTCCACAGGTTAAGAATCTGAAAGTGGCTTGGTTGGGTGGTACTGGCTGAGGGACTCTCGTGAGGCTGCAGTCAAGATTCCAGCAGGGGCCGCTGTATTCTGACGGCTTGGCTGGTGCTGGAGGACCCATTTCCAAGTTGGTTTATTCACAGGGCTGGCAAGTTAGTGCTGAATGTTGGCAGGAGGCTTTAGCGCCTCACCATGAGGCCTGTCCACAGGGCTGCTTGAGTGTCTTCACAACATGGTGTCCGGGAGGCCACGTGACTCTGCAGGCACATCCAGGGGCAAGGGTGCAGGCGCAGAAGAAGCAGAAAGTGAGTCAGAAGTAACCAGAATGGTGTTTTCCCAGTGGATGTGACCAAAGCAGAGAGGATTGGGGGTTAAGAGGGCTTCCAGGGCCTCAAACTGGGCAAGGTGAGTACACGTGGGAGGTGAAGGAGGGTGGGACGGAGGCAAGTGTGTGGGGCAGGTGGAGAGTGGGGAGGGAGCCAGCAGCAGTGCATTGCTGGTCCTGGAGGATTGAAGACCCCTTGGACCCAGAGCCATTGGGAGAATAAGGCAGGAAAATGAAAGGTGTTCATGTGCTCTAACTACCGTAAGTTATTTCTAGGAACTCCCACAATCCAGAATGTTCTGGGAGGGGCCATACCACCCACACAGCAAAGATGAAGGAAAGAAAATTGACTAAGTTAACGTCTGGTGCCTACAGCCATGTAGACACCAGTGGATTCCAACAGCCTGAGTGGATCTCTTGGGTGTCACACACACAGCTGTTTACACACTCTCCAACACAAACCACAGTCCCAGGTGTTATCACTCAGATGTCACACACTTTTGTCCAGGCGTCCTGTTTGTGACTTCACATGATTGAGGGGTTAAATCCTTCCAGGAGTGGGTGGGGTAGGACCATGGGGTTGCTGCCTCAGTCCCTCAACTTATCAGCTGACCTTGGCATCCCACTCCCCACCTGGTGGTGACTGTCCTGTGTCCTCATAAGGAAGGTGTATGCTCCCTGCACCGATGGGCTTCTGATAAGATCCAAGGTCATATTCTGGGCGTCGATAATCACGTTGCCAAGAACTGTGGCTTCCTGGTGCACCTCCCTGAAGTCACTGATCACATGACATCCCTTCCCAGCCACCCCTAGTCCTCCCATGCTGAACCTCCTCACCAGCAGCACAAGAGATGGTGGTGCCAGCAAAATGGGGTTGTGAGCAGGAAGGAGGCTGCTCTGAGAGGGGTCTGTGAAATCACACACACACACATGCACGTGCACACACACACACACACACACACACGCTCTGCCCTGATCCAGCCCCCAAGCTCTGCAGGCATCTTTGAGCCCATCCATGGGCTGCAACCTGCGAGGCAGAGTCAAGGCAGGATAGGCCATGGGAGGGTGGGAGAAGTCCCAGCTCAAGTCCCTAGGGACCCCCCCAGCCCCTCCTGGCTCTCCGTGAGGTCTGGAAGAGGCTCAGTATGTGTATGGCATACTTGGGGTCTCACTTCCCTCTCAGCCCTTGCAAATGCTGGAACACCTTTTCAGCCTTGGAGGACCCCCTCAGATGTTCCCTCCTAGTCAGAACTCCTCACTCTTTCACTGGGAGCATGGTGATCCTCCCTCTACAGGGCACTTACCACATGGCTGAACCTAAAGCCTGTCTGCCTCGCCTGCTGGATTTTGCTTCCCCACAGCCTTGCATGGCTCTAGTATAGCACAGAATGAACAGTGCTTGCATGTATAAAGGAAGGAATGAATAAGTGAATGGAGGGATGGGTGGATGGATAAATAGGAGGGTGGATGACGGAGTCCAGGCAGAGCCAGGGGATAGAAGAGGAAGTCACCTCGCCAGGGAGGCATGGGCTTCCCCTGCTGCCTCCTCTGGGACAGCCTCCCTTCCCAGGACTCCCATTCCTCGTATCGCTGGGCTCCCTTCAGGATAGACACAGAGAGTTCTTCTGGGTCCTCCTTCTTCCTTTAGCTCTAGGCCTTACATTTTCCAGAGTCAGATGAGGGATGAGTAGTTAAAATTGATGAGCTCCCACTACATGTCAGACACTGCACTAGCTATTTCTACAGATGCCATATTGTTTAATGAAAATGACACCATAGCCGGCACGGTGGCTCACTCCTGTCATCCCAGCACTTTGGGAGGCTGAGGCGGGTGATCACCTGAGATCAGGAGTTTGAGACCAGCCTGGCCAACATGGTGAAACCCCATCTCTACTAAAAATACAAAAATTAGCTGGACATGGTGGTGCACACCCGTAATCCCAGCTACTCGGGAGGCCGATGCAGGAGAATCACTTGAGCCCGGGAGGTGGAGGTTGCAGTGAGCCGAGATCACACCACTGGACTCCAGCCTGGGTGTCAGTGGAAGACACAGTCTAGAAAAAAAAAAAAGAAAACAGGTGTAGAGAAGCTGAGTGGATTGCCCAAGGTCACACAGCTTACGTCCAGCAAGAAGGGGGATCTCAACTCAAAATCTGCTCAGGCAGGTAGGGCTGGGTATGCTGTAGATCGGCTGCCTTGGAGGGAGGCAGAGGCAGTGAGGGTGGGCAGTGGGCACGGCCCTGCTGTGAACACAGGAGCTCTGAGTTCCAGCCCTGGCTTGGCCTCTGTTTTCCTGGGACACCCTGGATGAGCCCCTTCCCTCTCGGCTTCAGTGTCCCTGGGTGACCTTGCTGCCCTTGGAGAGCCATTCCAGGCAAATGGTGCAGGATGTGGTGGATGTGGATGGCTCCTGGCTCTCACTGCGGGATGTTCCCTCACTCTCCCTGCCAGCTGGGGGTCAAAGGGCAGTGCCACCCATGGGGTAATGTTTAACCAGGCACAACACCCCCTCTATAGGGAATAACCTATAGACCAGTCCTACCCCAGCTGGCCAAGAGTCCGCAGGATGCAGTGGACGAAGGTGTTGGGGCTGGGGCTGGGGGCTGCTGCCCTCTTGGGGCTGGGGATCATCCTCGGCCACTTTGCCATCCCCAAAAAAGCCAACTCACTGGCCCCCCAGGACCTGGACCTGGAGATCCTGGAGACCGTCATGGGGCAGCTGGATGCCCACAGGATCCGGGAGAACCTCAGGTGAGAAGTGGGGCCATCTGCTCCTCCGTTTGCCAGAGGCCCCCTCCCTGATGCTGGCCCTGCCCCTCCCTCTGCCCACCCTGCAGAGAACTCTCCAGGGAGCCACACCTGGCCTCCAGCCCTCGGGATGAGGACCTGGTGCAGCTGCTGCTGCAGCGCTGGAAGGACCCAGAGTCAGGCCTGGACTCGGCCGAGGCCTCCACGTACGAAGTGCTGCTGTCCTTCCCTAGCCAGGAGCAGCCCAACGTCGTGGACATCGGTGAGGTCCTGCCCAGTCTTGGGAATGCCCGGGGGTGGGGAGCTGCTGGGCCCAGCCATGATACTGCCACCCCTCCAACAGTGGGCCCCACTGGGGGCATCATCCACTCCTGCCACCGGACTGAGGAGAACGTGACCGGGGAGCAAGGGGGGCCAGATGTGGTACAACCCTATGCTGCCTATGCTCCTTCTGGAACCCCACAGGTGGGCCCAGAACCCCCCCTACTGCTCTGGCCCAGCTCCCTTGGTTCCACCCAGGGTTCTCCCCACCCTGACCCAGGGAACGTGCCTCAACTGGGGCACAGCGCGCCCTCCGGAATTTACTCACCGGGACACTCCATCGCTGCTCCTTTCCTCCATCAGTCATTCAACAAACACTAGTGGCTCTGCTCAAGGCCAGGTCTGTTACAGGGCACCCAGACATGGAGGAAATGAGGGGTGACTGTTCTTGGGGAGCTTACAAGCTCTGGGTGAGGTGGGGGAACAGAATCTAAATTCTCCCTCCTGCCATGCAAACTTCCACCCCCCTTCCCCACCCACACTTCGCTGGGCCCAGCTCTAAGGATCACCCCCTCTTGGGACTAGGGCCTCCTCGTCTATGCCAACCGGGGCGCGGAAGAAGACTTTAAGGAGCTACAGACTCAGGGCATCAAACTTGAAGGCACCATTGCCCTGACTCGATATGGGGGTGTAGGGCGTGGGGCCAAGGTGAGTGGCAGTCCCCCAGTGCAGGAGGCCTCGGTGAGGAAGGGGCTGGGCAGTGGACTGGAGGAAGTGAGGGGAAGGGGAAGGAGAAGAGGCAGTGTTGAGTGGGGAACCAAGCCCCAGGGTGGGGCAGGAAAGGCAAGGTGTTTTCGGGTTGTCCCACCAATGGGCTGTGTGGCCTCGGATGCCTCCCTGACCCTCTCTGAGCTGTAGGAAATAAAGGGGTTGAGTACAATTTTCAGGTTTGGTATTCCAGAAGTCTAAGTCCTCCTGTGAAATAGTTTTGAATATTCAACTTAAGTCCCTCCTGTTGGCCCTCTCCCTGCCATTTCTTTTCCATCAAAAATTCTGACTAGGGGCCGGGCGCTGTGGCTCACGCCTATAATCCCAGCACTTTGGGAGGCCGAAGTGGGCAGATCACCTGAGGTCAGGAGATCAAGGCCAGCCTGGCCAACATGGTGAAACTCCATCTCTACTCAAAATACAAAATTAGCCACACATGGTGGTGCATGCCTGTAATCCCAGCTACTGGGGAGGCTCAGGCAGATGAACTGCTTGAACCTGGGAGGCAGAGATGGTAGTGAGCTGAGATTGCACCACTGCACTCTCCAGCCTGGGAGACATCGAGACTCTGATTTAAAAAAAAAAAAAAAAAAAAAAAGGCTGGGCATGGGCGTGGTGGCTCACGCTTGTAATCCTAGCACTTTGCGGGGCCAAGGCAGGCGGATTGCCTGAGTTCAGGAGTTCAAGACCAGCCTGGGCAACACGGTGAAACCCCATCTCTACTAAAATACAAAAAAACAAAAATTAGCTGGGTGTGGCAGCGTGCACCTGTAGTCCTAGCTACTCAGGAGGCTGAGGCAGGAGAATTGCTTGAACCCAGGAGGTGGAGGTTGCAGTGAGCCAAGATTGTGCCACTGCACTCCAGCCTGGGTGACAGAGCGAGACTCCATCTCTAAAAACAAAAAACAAACAAACAAACAAAATTAATATAAAAAGAGTAGAATGAGAGAGGGGAAGGGATAGTTGGTATTTAATGGGGACCGAGTTTCGGATTTGTCAGATGAAGAGTTCTAGAGATGAATGGTGGTGATGTTGCACAATATGGATGTACTGAATGCCACTGAACTGCATACTCCACATGCTAAGTTTATGTTATGTGTATTTTACCACAATTTTTTTAAAAGTGGGCTGGACGCGGTGGCTCATGCCTGTAATCCCAGCACTTTCGGAGGCCAAGGCAGGTGGATTACCTGAGGTCAGGAGTTCGAGACCAGCCTGGCCAACATGGTGAAACCCTGTCTCTACTAAAAATACAAAAAATAGCCGCTCATGGTGGCAGGCACCTGTAATCCCAGCTACTCAGAGGTTGAGGCAGCAGAATCACTTGAACCCAGGAGGCAGAGGTTGCAGTGAGCCGAGATCATGCCATTGCACTCCAGCCTGGGGGACAAGAGCAAGACCTCATCTCAAAAAAAAAAAAAAAAAGGTGTCCATAATAAGAGCTGGGAAAAGAGAAAGAAAGAAGGAAGGTGGAGAGAAAGGAAGGAAGAAAAGAAAGGGAAAAAAGGAAAAGAAAAAGAAAGGGGAACAAGCAGTGTAGAAATACACAGATTATTAATTAACCATCACCACTACCCATTTCCAGAACCTTTTCATCATTTCAAACAGAAACTTTATTTAACAATAACTCCCCAGGTCCCTGCCCCAGCCCCTATTCTATTTTCTGTAACCTCAATTCTACTTTCTGTCTCTATGAATTTGCCTATTCTAGGTACCTCGCATAAGTGAAAGTATAAGATATTTGTCTTTTTATGTCTGGCTTATTTCACTTAACATAACATCTTCAAGGCTCATTGATGTATCAGAACTTTCTTTCTTTTTAGGCTGAATAATATTCCATTGTTTTTTGTTTGTTTGTTTGTTGGGGTTTTTTTGAGACAGAGTCTTGCTCTGTCACCTAGGCTGGAGTGCAGTGGCATGATCTCAGCTCACTGCAACCTCCACCTCCCAGGTTCAGGCGATTCTCGTGCCTCAGCCTCCCAAATAGCTGGGACTACAGGTGTGTACCACCACACCTGGCTAATTTCTGTATTTTTAGTAGAGACAAGGTTTCACCATGTTGGCCAGGCTGGTCTTGACCTCAGGTGATCTACCTGCTGGTCTTGACCTCAGGTGATCCCACCTCAGGTGATCTGCCTGCCTCAGCCTCCCAAAGTGTTGGGATTACAGGCGTGAGCCACCCCACCCGGCCTCCATTGTATGTTACAGCCCACATTTGGTTTAGCCATTCATCTGTTGATGGACACTTGGGCTATTTCCTCCTTTTGGCCGTTGAGGATAATGCTGCTGTGGACATGAGTACACAACTGTGTTATTTTATGCAGCTTCATGGTATTCCACTGTAGGATGTCCCTGTTATTCAACCAGACTCCACTGATAGGCACGGGCTTGGCTGTGCCGAACTGGCCTTTACTGTTGCAAGAGGCACTGCCATAAATGACTTGTGCAAACGTCATCTTGCCCATGGAAGATTGGTCTATCCTGGCTTCCACAGTCGAGGAAGGAGGAAGAGGAATAGGACATATCTGGTCCCGGTCCCTCCCTTACACACAGCCTCCTCTGCCCACTGCAGGCTGTGAACGCTGCCAAGCACGGGGTAGCTGGGGTGCTGGTGTACACAGACCCTGCCGACATCAACGATGGGCTGAGCTCACCCGACGAAACCTTTCCCAACTCCTGGTACCTGCCCCCCTCAGGAGTGGAGCGAGGCTCCTACTACGAGTATTTTGGGGACCCTCTGACTCCCTACCTTCCAGCCGTCCCCTCTTCCTTCCGCGTGGACCTTGCCAATGTCTCCGGATTTCCCCCAATTCCTACACAGCCCATTGGCTTCCAGGATGCAAGAGACCTGCTCTGGTGAGTTTGTGCCCTGGGGTGTCCTGCCCAGCCCCAGTGGCCTCCAGACTTCAAGCCCCACACTCACATTTACCCTGAAGGGCCTCTTCCTCCTCCCCAGTAACCTCAACGGAACTTTGGCCCCAGCCACCTGGCAGGGAGCACTGGGCTGCCACTACAGGTTGGGTCCCGGCTTCCGGCCTGACGGAGACTTCCCAGCAGACAGGTGAGATGCAGCCAGACCAGGTCTCCCTCAGTTGCCCTCTCCCCCAACTCGCCTCTCCCCTTCCCTTGTGATGATGTTCCCTCTTTCCACTTCAAAGCCTGACCTTTTTCCCTTTCCTCTCTCTCCCAGACCCTCTCCTGACCCCAAAATATGTCTTGTTTTTGGGGAAGCCCGTGAAACAGCTGCTGCTGTTTCCTGTGGGGATTCCCCTGCCCCTCCCACCTCATCTTGACGTCTGTAACTCACGACTCCCTCTCTTGAAGATGCCAAGCTCCTTCCCAAATCAGGGCCCCTGCCACTCCCAACCTGCACCAACCTCCCTCCCTACAGCACCCACTGGCCTCCAGGTGCCCTCTCCTCCCAGGCCCCTTCACCCAGCTGTTCCTGTCCTCCTGGTCTGTCTCACTCAGGAGAGGGAGGCCCCACGAGAACCAGGTCCACATCTGTCACCGTCATTGCCCAGAGACTAGTCAGGGACTAAGTACCCAATAAGTACCTACCCAGCGAGTAGGCAGGAGAGCCTGGCTCCAGCCTTGCTGCCTCTCTTGGTACTTCGGGGCCAATGAATGGCCTTGCCACGTCACTTTCCAGCTCCGGGCCTCAGTGTCTCCTGCACTGGGTCGGGGGCAGTGGGCAAGGCCAAGAGTCTTCTCACACCCTTCACCCTCCCCAGCCAGGTGAATGTGAGCGTCTACAACCGCCTGGAGCTGAGGAACTCTTCCAACGTCCTGGGCATCATCCGTGGGGCTGTGGAGCCTGGTGAGCCCTCCTCTTGCTGCCTGCACCCCAGGCCCCTGCTCTGCTCTGGATGCCGCTGTCCTCATCCAGCCCTGCCCTTGCCACCACCCAGCCCAGCTCCCCCTGCCCACCTCTCCCTCTCCTCTGGTTCTCTGCCCCTTTTCCTCTGGCCAGATCGCTACGTGCTGTATGGGAACCACCGAGACAGCTGGGTGCACGGGGCTGTGGACCCCAGCAGTGGCACCGCCGTCCTCCTGGAGCTCTCCCGTGTCCTGGGGACCCTGCTGAAGAAGGGTGAGGCGGCCCCCTCCCCTGGACCAGGGACCTTCGCCCCCGGAGGTCCCCTTCCTGTTCCACCTCCTCTCCCTCACACTGCAGTGCTCCTTGTGCCATGCCTGAGGGCCCTGGGGGCAGACATGCATGACACCAGCCTTGGCCTGCAGCAGCCCAGTGTGGTACAGGGAATAGACTGTGGGTTGATTCATGTGCCGCTTCCAAGTGCCTCCCGTGTGCCTGGATGGAGCAAGGCCCGATGCTGCTGTGAAGCAGGCAGCGCCCA
Source organism: Homo sapiens (assembly GCF_000001405.40). Classification (NCBI taxonomy): domain Eukaryota; kingdom Metazoa; phylum Chordata; class Mammalia; order Primates; family Hominidae; genus Homo; species Homo sapiens. The sequence continues at coordinate 65,052,952 of NC_000011.10, read as the reverse complement.
GGCTCTGCCCTCCGGGAACTTTAGCTCAGCTGGGTCAGGGACGGCAGCCGATTGTTAACTCTGATGTCTCTAATGTCTTGTGTGCCTTTGACATGGCAGGCCAGGTTGGGACAAGTCTCTCAGTGGAGGCAGCACTTCAGCGTTTCAGTGCTTCAGGGAAGGAGAGGAGGGCAAGGAGGTGGCAGCCAGAAAGGAGGTGGACAGGGCTGGGCGAGGTGGCAGAGCAGGCAGGGCCAGGCCAGGCTGAGGAGTTTGGAGTTCAGTCCAAGGGTTGTGGGAAGCCGGTGAAGGATTTCACGCAGGAGAGGGACATGATAGAGTCCTCATGTTAAACGGCTCCTGGCCAGGCACAGTGGCTCACGCCTGTAATCCCAGCACTCTGGGAGGCCGAGGCAGGCAGATCACGAGGTCAGGAGTTCGAGACCAGCCTGGCCAACATGGTGAAACCCCGTCTCTACTAAAAATACAAAAATTAGCAGGGCATGGTGGTGTGCACCTGTAGTCCCTGCTACTTGGGAGGCTGAGGCAGGAGAATCATTTGAACCTGGGAGGCAGAGGTTGCAGTGAGCTGAGATCGCGCCACTGCACTCCAGCCGGGAGAATGGAGCAAGACCCCGTCTAAAAAAAAAAAGCGGGGAGCAGGGGAAGGGCACTCCACATAGGGGGGCCAGGCAGACGCTTGTCATTCCAGGGCTGGAGATGCTGTGGGGCTTGGACCAGGATGGAGGGCAGTGGGGCAGGGACAGGCTGCTGGGCCCGGGTCTGCTGGCTCCAGGGGCAAGAGGGAGGACAAGTCGAGGGCTGTGGTCTAAGCGACTCGACATTAGTGCCATTTAAGAAAAATAACTGGGTGGATCTAGGACAGATCTAGAAGGAAGATGTGAATCTGGGTCTTCCCATATTAATTTCTTGTTTTAGTTTTAGTTATTTATTTTTATAGAGATGGGGTCTCGCTGTGTTGCCTAAGCTGGTCTTGAACTCCAGGACTCAAGTGATCCACAGGCATTGAGTTTCCACGCCAGGCCCTCTTTCGTTAGTTTTAAAAATTCATGGTAAAATATACATAACAAAATTGACCAGTTTTACGTTTGTAAGTATTTGATTCAGTGGCATTAAGTACATTTCTAAAGTTGTGCAACCATCACTGCCATTGGCTCCAGAACTTCTTCATCTTCCCTTACATATAATATCCCAGAGTGCTAAGCATGGCATTTGAACCGATACCCACTCAACTGTAATTGCACACAAACACGCCACTGCTGTCAAACTCCATCCCCCCCCTTGTATGATATGATGTCGCAGTTCAGAAATGAGACCTGAAGTCTGGCCACAGTGGTTCATGCCTGTTATCCCTGCACTTTCGAAGGCTGAGGTGGGCGGATTGCTTGAGCCCAGGAGTTCGAGACCAACCTTGTGAGACCTTGTCTTTACAAAAAATAAACATAAAAAAATAGCCAGGCGTGGTGACATGTGCCTGTGGTTCCAGCTACTTCGGAGGCTGTGTGGGAGGAACACTTGAGCCTGGGAGGTTGAGGCTGCAGTAAGCCGTGATCACACTACTGCACTCCAGCCTGGGCAACAGAAAAGGACCCTGTCTCAAAAAAAAAAAAAAAAAAAAAAAAAAAAAAAAAAAAAAAGAAAGAAAGAAAGGAGAGAGAGACTTGAGAGATGACTTGGGGAGTTGGTAGCAAAACAGTCTGTGAAACCACAGGTGTTGCTGAGATCAGCTCAGAAGCCAGGGGTGGAGGGAGTGGACAAGCTTGTGGAGAGAGGCTGGGCTTTCGACTTTACCCTTATGGGTAGCGCAGAAATTCCCATATTTTTTTGTTTGTCAAAGTGTTGTATGTTGAAATAATTTCAGACTTACAGAGATGTAAAAATAGTACAAAGAAGCCTCTTATACAGACACTCCTAATATTAATGTTTCATCACGTTTGCTTTCTATCTCTGTATAATATATGGGCCAGGCACGGTGACTCATGCCAATAATCCCAGCACGTTGGGAGGCAGAGGCAGGAGGATCGCTTGAGCCCAAGAGTTTAAGACCAGCCTGGGGAACATACCGAGACCCCTGTCTCTACAAAAAATAGGGGAAAAAAGCCTTGGCTATTTATAATATAACTATATATGTTTTTGTCTGAAGTATTATTATTATTATTATTTTGAGACACAGTCTTGCTCTGTGACCCAGGCTGGAGTGCAGTGGCGCAATCTGGCTCACTGCAACCTCTGCCCTCCAGGTTCAAGCCATTCTCCTGCCTCAGCCTCCTGAGTAGCTGGGATTACAGGCATGCGCCACCACGCCTGGCTAATTTTTGTATTTTCAGTAGAGATGGGGTTTTACCGTGTTGGCCAGGCTGGTGTCGAACTCCTGACCTCAGGTGATCCACCCGCTCTGGCCTTCCAAAGTGCTGGGATTACAGGTGTGAGCCAATGTGCCCAGCCAATTTTCCACAACTTTTTTTTTTAATTATTTAGACAGAGTCTCGCTCTGTCGCCCAGGTTGGAGTGCAGTGGCGCCATCTCGGCTCACTGCAAGCTCTGCCTCCTAGGTCTGCACCATTCTTCTGCCTCACCCTCCCGAGTAGCTGGGACTACAGGCACCCGCCACCACGCCTGGCTAATTTTTTGTATTTTTAGTAGAGATGGGGTTTCACCTTGTTAGCCAGGATGGTCTCAATCTCCTGACCTCGTGATCCGCCCACCTCAGCCTCCCAAAGTGCTGGGATTACAGGCGTGAGTCACCGCGCCAGCCCCCACAACTTTTAAATGCTTCCAGCTGGGTGTCGTGGCTCATGCCTGTAATCCCAGCACTTTGGAAGGCCGGGGTGGGTGGATCACCTGAGGTCAGGAGTTCAACACCAGCCTGGCCAACGTGGTAAAACCCCATCTCTACTGAAAATACAAAAATTAGCTGGGCGTGGTGGTGGGTGCCTGTAATCCCAGCTACTCGGGAGGCTGAGGCAGGAGAATCGCTTGAACCTGGGGGGCAGAGGTTGCAGTGAGCTGATTGCGCCACTGCACTCCAGCCTGGTTGATGAGAGTGAGACTCCATCTCAAAAAAAAGAAAAAAATATTTTTTGAGACAGGGTCTCACTCTGTTGCCCAGCCTGGAGTGCAGTGGTGCAGTCAGCTCACTGCTTGCTCGACCTCCTGGGCTCAAGCGATCCTCCTGCCTCAGCTTCCTGATTAGCTGGGACTACAGGTGTGTGCGCCACCAAGCCCTGATACTTTTTTACTTTTTGTAGAGACAAGGTCTTGCTGTGTTACTGAGGCTGGTCTCGAACTCTTGGGCTTAAGTGATCCTCCTTGCCTCAGCCTCCCAAAGTGTTGGGATTACAGGCGTGAGCCACTGTGCCCAGTGATGACCTTGATAGCAAAATAATTTTTTGGCCCAAGCTCCAATCCAGGATCACACTAGTGATCTGGTTACTAGTTTCCTTTAGTCTATAATAATTGTTTAGCTGTTCTTTGTCTTTCATGATCCTGCTATTATTATCCTATTATTTTGTCAAATAACCCTCAATTTGGGTTTGGCTCATTTGATTTAGATTATACATTTTTGGCAGAAAAAATTGTAAAAATGTATAATTGCAAGCGTGTAATCACATCACACTGAAAAATTCTTCATTTGCTGGTTGCGGTGGCTCACACCTGTAATCCCAGCACTTTGGGAGGCTGAAGTGGGTGGATCACTTGAGCTCAGGAGTTCAAGACTGGCCTGGGCAACATGGACAAACCCCATCTCTACCAAAAATACAGTAATCAGCCAGGCGCGGTGGTGTGTGCCTGTGGTCCCAGCTACTTGGGAGGTTGAGGTGAGAGGATCGCCGGACCCCAGGAAGTTGAGGGTGTGGGGAGCCGAGATCGCACCACTGCACTCCAACCTGGGCCACAGAGTGAGACTCAGTCCCTCAGGCTGGATGCAGTGGCACGATCTCAGCTCACTGCAACCTCTACCTCCCAGGCTCAAGCGATTCTCCTGCCTGAACCCGGGAGGCAGAGCATCCTGCAACCTGGCTTCCACCTCCAGTCCCTATACCCACAGTGTGGAGCCAAATATCTGGATTTGAAACTGGCTCTGCTGCCTACCAGCCGTGTGACCCTGGGAAAGTCATTTAGCTTCTCTCAGCTTCTTCAACTGTGAAATGGAAATAATAATAGTATCTCCCTCAAGGCATTGTTGTAGGGATTGGTTCCACGTGGATAATGCCCTAACAGGAAATGTTCCTGTGTTATCACCAAGTGAAGATGGCTATGGAGTTTGGCCTGGAGGCGGGGGTTGAGGGTGGAGGGTCGGAAGTCTTCCCAGAGCATGCCCACAGAGAGAGAGGGGCAGTAGGCATTCTGGTAGAAGGGACCACCCGACCCTTCAGGGGGCTTGGAGTTGGGGTCAGTGTTTGGTGCGGGAGCCTCCTGGAAGGCCTGGCTGCAGGGTGCCAGGACATCCTGTCACCAGCTGCCCCGCCTTTTCCCGCTCTCCCCTCCTCACGTCAGCAGCCTTTCTCCTAAGGCACCCTAGGATCAGGAGGACCCTGTCCTCCAACCCTCTATCCCCCATTCCCAGGCACCTGGCGTCCTCGCAGATCAATCGTGTTTGCGAGCTGGGGGGCTGAGGAGTTTGGGCTCATTGGCTCCACGGAATTCACAGAAGTGAGTGGCCCTACAGGGTAGGGGATCGAAAGGGGTTCCCAGGACAGAACGGCGCGGGGCTGACGTCGCCCCTCGCACCCGCAGGAGTTCTTCAACAAGCTGCAGGAGCGCACGGTGGCCTACATCAACGTGGACATCTCGGTGTTTGGTATGTGGGTGGTGGGGCAGGAAAGGGGAGGAGACGGCGGGACGACTGGGTGGGTAAAAGAAGGGGCTGGGGCCCAAATAGTCTTTCTCCCCTCCTCCCACAGCCAACGCTACCCTTAGGGTGCAGGGGACGCCCCCTGTCCAGAGCGTCGTCTTCTCTGCAACCAAAGAGGTGGAAGGGGGCAGGCCGGGCGGGGCTGAACTAGCTGGGGCGGGCCGCGTGCGGCGGACGGGGCCGCTACGGGTGGGCGGGGCTGGGGAGTGGTACTCTCTAGATCTGCTGGGGCTGGACTGAGGCTGGGGCAAGCCTCGTAAGGACTGGACCACGGGTGGGCAGGAGACCGGTGGAGAACCCGCCCTGTTGTTGGGGCTGGGGAGGGCCGCGCACCGAGACTAAATTCTCCTTCCGGCCAGATCCGCTCACCAGGCCCTGGCGACCTGAGCATCTACGACAACTGGATCCGGTACTTCAACCGCAGCAGCCCGGTGTACGGCCTGGTCCCCAGGTAAGCCCAGGGACAGAAGGGGGCCCGGAGCGAGGCGGTCCGGCCCAGCGCTCTTTATCCCGGCCCCCTTCCTTCCCGCAGCTTGGGTTCTCTGGGTGCTGGCAGCGACTATGCACCCTTCGTTCACTTCCTGGGCATCTCCTCCATGGACATTGCCTATACCTATGACCGGGTGAGCAGGCGCCCCTCCGTCCCTGCCTCGGTACCTTGCTGCATGCGCCCCCTCCTCTCTTTGTGGCTGTTCTCATACAGACTGAACCCTGCACCTTTACTCATTGCTACCTCTGCCAAGTTTCTTAAAAAAAAACACACACACACACAGAAATACACACACACGTTTTATATAGACGAAGTCCTGCTTTGTTGCCAGGCTGGTCTTGAACTCCTGGGCTCAAACCATCCTCCCGCCTCAGCCTCCTAAAGTGCTGAGATTACAGGTGTGAGCCTTGGTGCCCGGCCTCTGCCAAGTTTAACCTTTTCAAGCACCTCTTTATGCTCATCTATGTTATTTTATCAAATGTAAGATACTACTGATTATAAGATGTGCCGTTATGTTATGCAATATTCAGGAAAGGAAAAAAAACCACCGCTTCCAACCAGTTGTAAGATGGCATTGCCTGTGAGAAGCATTCTGTTTCCAAAGATCTTAAAATGTAGGGGCGGGGGTGGGAGGGGGGAAGTTAATCTCAGCATCGATTAACTCAGACCATTGGCGTGAGCGTTGGCATGAAGGTAAAAACAAGACAAGGGGTGCAGAGTGCCCAGCTGGCACCTCCCTGTTTGATGCTCCAAAAAGTATGTTCTCCACCTCACAGCCACAGCGATTCTTGGTAGTAGAGCTGGGATTTGAATCTATCTGACCCCAAAGCCCCAGGTTCTTCTCCTTTCTGTGAAACTGGAAACTGGCACCAGACCCAGCTCTTCCACTAATTAGCTATGTGATATCAGCAGGTTAACCTCTCTGAGCTTCAGTTTCCTTTTCTGTGGGAATTCTAGAAGCCACCTCACAGACATGGCCAAGATTCAGTGGAGATAATGCCCACATTTTGCAGCTCACTGGAGGTACACCTTCTCCCACTTCCCATCCCAAGCCTGTCACCTCTGGGCTTTGTTCCCCCAGAGCAAGACTTCAGCCAGGATCTACCCCACCTACCACACAGCCTTTGACACCTTTGACTATGTGGACAAGTTTTTGGACCCGGGTGAGGAGGGAGACAAGGGGCATCCTGAGACCAGGACAGGAGAGGCTGAAGACTGAGCCCTGGCCTTGTCACCTTGCCGCAGGCTTCAGCAGCCATCAGGCTGTGGCCCGGACAGCGGGGAGTGTGATTCTCCGGCTCAGTGACAGCTTCTTCCTGCCCCTCAAAGTCAGTGACTACAGTGAGACACTCCGCAGCTTCCTGCAGGCAGCCCAGCAAGATCTTGGGGCCCTGCTGGAGCAGCACAGCATCAGCCTGGGTATGCACAGCCCTGACCCTGAGGTATGGGGAGCCCTGCACCCCCATGACTGAGCCACTGCTTGTTCCTCACAGGGCCTCTGGTGACTGCAGTGGAGAAGTTTGAGGCAGAAGCTGCAGCCTTGGGCCAACGCATATCAACACTGCAGAAGGGCAGCCCTGAGTGAGCAAGGGCAGCGGGCAGGGGCTGGGAGGGCAGCACCCAGGGCAGGATACCAGGCTGGTAGCTGGGCTGCTGGCTCCAGGGTGACTGGCAGTTCCTGCCTCCCCACCAGCCCCCTGCAGGTCCGGATGCTCAATGACCAGTTGATGCTCTTGGAACGGACCTTTCTGAACCCTAGAGCCTTCCCAGAGGAACGCTACTACAGGTGAGTCTGTCCCAGAGTCCTGGGAGGTGCCTCCAGGTGGGGCCGGACAATGGCTCCCCACCTGAGACGAGGTGGTCAGCTTCTCTGCCCTTTAGAGTGCAACCCAGCCCCTGAAGAAGATGGGAATGTAAGGCTCAGGGAGGGGAGGAAAGTTGCTTGAGGGTCCCTCTGGGAGCTAGGACTGGAACCCACATTTCCTCCCCCGACCGCCACTGCTGTAAGAGCTCCCTGGCCTTCAGAGACAAGTGGACGGGGGTGCTTTTCTGCCTCGCTGCGTACAGGAGCTGAGCCAGTTCTAGGCCCAGGCTTCTCTTTCCTGGCCCCTGACTGACTGACCCTGATCCTGTCCCATTTCTCTTGTCAGCCATGTGCTCTGGGCACCTCGCACGGGCTCCGTAGTCACATTCCCGGGCCTATCCAATGCCTGCTCCAGGGCCAGGGACACAGCTTCTGGATCTGAAGCTTGGGCTGAGGTCCAGAGACAGCTCAGCATTGTGGTGACAGCCCTGGAGGGTGCGGCAGCCACCCTGAGGCCTGTGGCTGACCTCTGACCCCAGCCCTCTTTCTTCAGCCCTCCCTTTACTCCAACCCTCTCCTGCCTGCTTTCCTGAGATGTCCTGGTCTTCCTTGGTGCCAGAAGAGGGCACTACCACAGGACCCTCTCAAGCTTCTCAGGCAACAGCTTGAGGTCCCTGAGGGGAGTGGCAAGCCCTAATGCAACTCACCCTCATCCTGGTGCTTAGGTGGCAGAGGGTGGGCAGCAGGGGACAGGGATGGGATGGCAAAACCACCAACTGCCCTTGGTGGCAGGTGGGTGGAGATGGGATGCGTGCCAACCTCAGATGCCAACTCAGGTCATCAAGGCCAAGGACCAGTGGCGAAAGTGAGTCTTGGGGTACCTTAGGCCTTGGCTAGTCTGCGTTCCTCTCCCTGCATGCTGTGTATCCTAACTCCCTACAACAGCCCCTCAAATAAATCACATCTAGTGACTGGTACCAACAAAACAAGTTCCTTTTATTACCTGGAAACCATGGAAAAAGAAACCTAAGTGCTCTGGCCCAGTCCTGGGGCTCTGGGAGGCTCACGCTCCCTCCTCAGGCTGGGGACCCAGGTCTGTCCGTGCCCTCATCTTCCTCCTCTGCCATGACCACCTCCTCCAGGGTACGTCCTCGAAGTTTGCTCTCCACTAACACCTTGCACGTACTGGCAGGCGGTAGCCCTTCCTCCACGTAGCGACCCCTCAGGAACACAACTCTCTCCTCTCCGTCCAAGGGCAGCCCGTGGGCCTGGCACAGGTCCCGTGCTTCCCTGAGTCCATCCAGGGCCAAGAGGTTGACCATGAAGCCCAGAGGCAAGGTCTGGCCCTTGGGGGTGCTAAAGGCACGAGCGAAGCGGGCCAGGGCTTCCCGGCGGGCATGGCCCACATGGCACTGCACAGCGCAACTTGGCAGGTAGGGCAGGGTCTGGAGCAGACGGAACAGGCGGGCAGCATTGCCCTCTCGGAAGGCAGCATCTACCGCCAAGGCCTTGCGGAGGGGCGGGCAGGCGCGCAGGGCAGCAGGCAGCTGTAGAACCTCATGCAGGGCTTCCACCGAGCCTGTGAGAGCGGGAAGCCAGAATGAGGACGCCTGGTCCTTACAGGATCAGGCTCATCTCCCCTCCCAACACCCTGTCCTTCCTCTCTCCTCGACCACGCCCCTTCTCTAGGCCTAGCCCAACTTCCCTCTCCCCTCTAAGGGCCAGCCTTTGGCTCCTTCCCCAACCTATATTTGAATGAGTGGCCTCAGGCTCTTGACTTCCTGCAGTCCAGATCCTTACTTACAACACTGAAGTGGGCAGGGTTTACGGATTTGGGAAGCTGGCCCAGATAATTGAATGATTCGCCTGAGAGTGTCCTAGGGCGGGTATGTAGTTGAGCCTGACCCCAGTCCAAGTTTTCGGACTTGGATTTCCCACTACCCTGGCTTCCCTGTACCCACAGTTTTGGAAGCCAACTCTGCCCCACTTTCCCCTGACCACCTGGGAAGGCCCCTTCCTTCAGGAGACTCTGCCCTTGCTTCCCTTCTGGAAGAGTCTCAGACACTGGAACCTTGGCCCTCATTTGTAAACTGGGGCTTCTGACCAATAAGTAGGTTGTGAAGTCAACAGCATTTTGTTAAAATTGTATAGGGCAGGGCCTTTTTTTTTTTTTTTTTTTTTTTTTTTTGAGACAGACTTGCTTTGTCACCCAGGCTGAAGTATAGTGGCTCTTGGCTCACTGCAATCTCCACTACCTCCCAGGTTCAGGTGATTCCCCTGCATCAGCCTCCTGAGTAGCTGGGATTACGGGTATGCACCACCACACCCAGCTAATTTCTGCATTTTTAGTAGAGAGGGCCCAGCCAGAACAGAGCTTATTTGGGCACAGTGGCTCATGCCTGTAATCCCAGCACTTTGGGAGGCCAACGCGGTAGGATCACTTTAGCCCAGGAGTTTGAGAGCAACCTGGTCAACATGGCAAGACTCCAATCCCTATATAAAAATAAATTTTAAAAAATTAAAAGAAAAGAAAATCATGGTCCTGCCACTACTACTGTTAACCAGTGCTGTGTCAACAGGCAAGTCACCTCACCACCCTGGGCTTCGATTTCTTCCCCCACTAGACCAGGGATAATTACCATGCCTTCTTCAGAGGAACAGTGTGGACAAAAATAAACCATTCACTGGGCATGATGGCCACACCCGGCTACTTGGGAGGGTGGGGCAGGAGGATCACTTGAGCCCAGGAATTCGAGTGGCAACATGCGAGATCCCATCTCTACAAAAAAAATTTTTTTAAGTTAGCCGGGTGTGATTGCATACATCTGTGGTCCCAGCTACTTGGAAGGCTGAGGCAGAAGGATCCCTTGAGCCCACGAGGTTGAGGCTGCAGTGAACTATAATTAAGCCACTGTACTCCAGCCTGGGCAAGAGTGAGACCCTGTCTCAAAAAACACAAACAGGCCGGGTGCAGTGACTCACGCCTGTAATCCCAGCACTTTGGGAGGCAGAGGTGAGCTATCATTTTGAGGTCAGGAGTTCGAGACCAGCATGGCCAACATGGTGTTGGCCTGTCTCTACTAAATATCCAAACACTAGCCGGGTGTGGTGGTGCACGCCTGTAGTCCCAGCTCTTTGGGAGGCTGACGCAGGCGAATAGCCTGAACCCGGGAGGCGGAGGTTGCAGTTAGGCAAGATCATGCCACCGCACTCCAGCCTGGGCGACAGAGCTAGACTCTGTCTCAAAAACAAAGAAAGAAACAAATAATAAGAGTTTATTGGAATGCATCGCCCATAGAAAGTATCTCTAATGCCTTAAACTTCTGTCTCAGGTATATTCGTGGGCATATGTGTTCTTGTTTGCTTGGTAACCCTGACTGGGCGGGGAGGTTAAAAGAGTTTGAAAATCAGCCGGGCGCGGTGGCTCACGCCTGTAATCCCAGCACTTTGTGAGGCCAAGGTGGGCGGATCACGAGGTCAGGAGTTCGAGACCAGCCTGACCAACATGGTGAAACCCCCGTCTCTACTAAATACAAAAATTAGCTGGGTGTGGTGGCGCGCGCCTGTGATCCCAGCTACTCAGGAGGCTGAGGCAGAAGAATCGCTTGACCCAGGGAGGCGGAGGTTGCAGTGAGCCGAGATCGCGCCACTGCACTCCAGCCTGGGCGACAGAGCGAGACTCAAAAAAAAAAAAGTTTGAAAATCACTATTTAGACCAATTCTCCCTTTCCACCCTTGCCCCCTCCACTTTTATTCCTGAGACAACTAAGACCCAGAGATGGGCCCGAGGTCCCACGTCGGGGCTCGGTGGATCTTGTGCTGTCCTGGGAGGGGGCTAATGGTGAGATGTTAAAGCTAATCCTTCCTTTCCCTACCTCCACTGTCATGGTGGGCTCCTGTCCCCACGCTCTGCCCAGCCGCCAGGATCCCGACTCACCCAGGTTATAGAGCAGAAAGAGGCCCTGGAAGGCGGGTTGGCGGGGGTGCGGCCCGGCGCCCCGCGCGTAGCAGCGCCGCAGCGAGCCGAAGCCCTCCTGCACCTGGGCCTGCAGCAGCACCGGGTCCGCGGGTCCCCGCGCCGCGTCGGGCCCGAGCCGCGCCACTACGGTCAGCAGCGTGGCCAGCGCCGCCTCCAGCACCACAGCTGCCTCGGCGTCGCCCGCTCCCTGCAGCGCCAGGTCCAGGAGCACAGCTCGCAAGCGGTCTGCCACGAAGCTGGCCACCTCGGCGCGGGCGATGTCGGCGCTCTCCGCCACCTCACCGGCCAGGTAGCGCACGGTGGCCAGCAGCACGGAGGGCGGACGCAACTGGCTGGGCGGGGGCCGGGGCTTGCCGGCGGCGGGTCGGCTGTACTCCTTCACCGCGCGCTGCGGATCCGCGCGGGGCGGGTCCTGGCGGCAACCCGGCACCACCTCCAAGCGGTGCAGGCGGTGCTCCCTTTCGCGCTGGGCGCGCTCGGCGGCCGGGCACATGTCCGGGCAGGTGCCCACGGGCAGCTCGCAGCCGGGCATGAGGGGGCTGCGGGGAGACGGTGGGCGCTCAGCATCCCGGGGACGGCAGTGCTGCGGGAAGGCACGCGAGGCCGGCCGGGGGGTGGGGAGCGGCGGGTCGGGGCGGGGCTGAACCTGTCTGGGCCCGCCTTCCCGCCATGATCCCCGGCCTTCGGGCCGCCCATCGAGCCACCTCTGTCCTCTCACCCAGTCCAGTCGAGTTGGCCTCCCGAGATGCACTGCGTTGTAGTCCAGCTACGCCTCTGCGGCTCCGCGCGCTCTAGGGCGGCTAACGGCCCCCATCGAGCGCCAAGTTCAGCTTCGCGCGCTCCCCTTAGTGTTTTTAACGTGTAGCCCGGGCCGCTCCCATGATACACCGGTGTAGTCCCTGCCGCAACCAACCGCTTTGTGGTGAGGCGGGGCGGGGCGGGGCTGAGGCCACGCCTTCCAGCCCGCTGAGCAATCAGGATTTGGCTTTGGGGCCTCTGAGACAAGTACCCGGGCTTTGGGTTCCTCTCCTTCGTCCCTTCCACCCAATAAACCGGCTCCATCGGCTTGTCCTCTATTTCCCTGAGACTATGCTCCCTATTTTCTAGCTCAGGGGCCAGCAAATGTTTTCTGCAAAGGGCCAGGTTGTAAATGTTTTGGGATTTGCAGGCGGCAAAGACTCAACTCTGCAACTGTTTCAACTGCCAGTGTAGCGCGAAAGCAGCTATCACAATACTAAATGAATTAGCCTGGTTGTGTTCCAACAAATTTTATTTATGGACTCTTAAATTTCATATAATTTTCACTTGTCACATATAAATTTCACCTGTCATTGTCACAGAATATTATTTTGATTTTTTTAATCATTAAAAAAAGTAAAAACCACTCTCACAGCCCTTACATTAAAAAGGAGGTGGGCCAGATTTGGCTGCAGGTGGGAGTTTGCAGACCCCAGTTCTAGAGGGGTAAACTAATGGTTTAATGACCACAGCTGCTGCTCACACATCAAGACAGACAGACATGGGCCGGGCGTAGTGACTCATGCCTGTAATCTCAGCACTTTGGGAGACTGAGGCGGGTGGATCACTTGAGGTCAGGAGTTCGAGACCAGCCTGGCCAACATGGTGTAACCCCGTCCCTACTGAAAATACAAAATATTAGCTGGGCGTGGTGGCATGTGCCTGCAATCTCAGCTACTGGGGAGGCTGAGACAGGAGAACTGCTTGAACCTGGGAGGTGGAGGTTGCAGTGAGCCGCGATCCCACCACTGCACTCCAGTCTGGGCGACACAGCGAGACTCCAACTCAAAAAAACCCCAAAAAGACAGGCAGGGTCAGAAGTGTGAGTCCTTGATTCCAAGGTGGCAGGTGTAATCAGGGAGCTAAGAATTCATTATTTTTCTCATTCTTGGTCCAGTTACCTACAGAAATGGCTCCTGTAATTACAAGACCAGGAGGTAGGGCCAGGCCCTGGGGAGAGGAGAAGGGGCTGGCAGTGCAGGAGCGAGAGTCCCAGGGAATGGCCCACTCCCTGTTAGGGTGGGAGTTGAGACAGGTGCAGGCGCAGGATCTCCTCTGCCCGCTTCAGGTACTCAGCTGCCTTCTTCTTCACACCTTCCTGGCGGGCAGGCAACGGGTCACCTGTGGAGAGAGAATGCTCAGCTGAGGCACCTGGGCACCACTGGCCTGGTCAGAACCCCTGGTCGGGTCCTTTACAATTCGCAGAGCATCACCATGTGCTTTTCCCTCCTCTCTGGGGCCCAGCATCCATTCTCCTCAGTCTACAAATAAGAAAACTGAGGCCATGCTGGGCGCGGTGGCTCACGCCTGTAATCCCAGCACTTTGGGAGGCCGAGGTGGGTGGATCACGAGGTCAGGGGTTCGAGACCAGCCTGACCAACATGGTGAAAGCCCATCTCTACTAAAACTACAAAAATTCGCTGGGCGTGGTGGCACGTGCCTGTAATCCCAGCTACTCAGGAGGCTGAGGCAGGAGAATGGCTTGAACCTGGGAGGTGGAGGTTGCAGTGAGCCAAGATTGTGCCACTGCACTCCAGCCTGGGCGACAGAGCGAGACTCTGTCTCAAAAAATAAAAATAAATAAATAAAAATAAATAAAAAATAAAAATTCAAAAATTAGCCAGGCATGGTGGTGGGCGCCTGTAATCCCAGCTAGTCGGGAGGCTGAGGCAGTAGAATCACTTGAACCTGGGGGGCGGAGGTTGCAGTGAGCCGAGATTGTGCACTCCAGCCTGCAACAAGAGCAAGACTCTGTCTCAAAAAAAAAAAAAAAAAAAGAGGAAGAAGAAAACTGAGGCCACAAGAGGTTAAAAACAACAACAACAAAAAAACAGAAACAAAAATCTGCCCAGGTTACACAGCTGGTCAGTGAGGAGTAAAAGGGCTCCTGATCCGTGATTTGCTTGTTTTTTTGCTCCCTTCATCACTGCCCCACCTGGGACCCAGGCCTGACCCTCCACCCTCAGTCCCTACTCACTGGGGACTCCCTGAAGCAAGACGTGCACGCCGTCTCGATAGCCCTGGAGTGCAGCAGCGTAAGCGCCTGCCTTCTCATCCCGCAGGGCCTGGGTGATGAGCTCTGTGGCCTGGCTTAGGTAGGCAGGGGTGGGCCCTCCTTCCCCATCCTCTTCCTCCTCCTGCCCTCCTGGCTCCCAGGGTTCCTGGTCCAGCCTTGCAGACTCCACCTCCATCGTTGCCAGCTCAGCCACATGGGTGGGGCTGGGGGCTGCGCCTTCTGCAGTTAGAAAGGGAGGACTCGGACCAGACTGGCCCTTCCTTTCCCAGGCCCTCTGCCCAACCCCAAGACTTCTTTTGTCCATCAGGGTATCAGCCTGTCCCCAGTAGAGGGGACCAATGCCAGAGCAATCCAGAAGTCGTCTGTGGATCAAAAACTAGCCATGAGCTATTTGATCGATAGGGTTCATGTGCTTCTGTAAAAACAGCCTTACCTTCCTAATTATGTCTTTAGGTACACACTCTAGTTTGTAAGCTCTGGGTCACTGGTCCTATTTCCCTCTTGACTCCAGTTGACCTAGAAATCCAAAAATCCCCTCCAGAAAGTTTCCCTGAAGGATGCTAGGCCACCACCACCAGGCTGAGGGTAGAAATGCTCCAAGACTTGGAATAATCTTAGAATAGGAGACTTAGAGAATCTCAGGGGTTTTCTGAAGCCTTGCAGTTTCAGCTGAGGCCCCCAAATGTAAAGACAGTGAGTGACAGGTGTCCTCACATTTCCCAGGTAAAGGCTCATTATATCCCCCTGGACTGGCTAAAAGGGGGTCGGACATCCTACCTGCAGCTTACACACGAGGCGACTGGAAATCTGGTGCACCTTTGGTGAAAAGGCCTCTGAGGGGAAGGTGCGGGGGCAGGAAGCATCATGATACCCTATCATCCTGGAGAGGGAAAAAGTGGGTGCCTCTCTAACCCCATCCCTGTGAGTTCCATGAGAGCCCTGAGAAGTCCGGGCCTCCTGCAGGAGGGAGAAGGCACCTCCTGGCTGGGCCTACAGCCCTCCATGTATTGCTCAGGGAGCAGAGAGCAGAAGAGTACCTGGGACACCTGCACACTCGAGTTAAGGAGTTTGCTGTGAAGAAGGGAGACACAGGTGCCCACTCCTTGCCTCGAGAATTCTGGTGGTGAGAGGCTTGTTGGAGGTGCCCACCATGGCAGGGTAGGGAAATAAGGCAGTGTCTGAGCACACTGCAGTTCCAGGCTTTGGGGACTTTTCCCATGGGCTGAGTGAATGTCTCATTGGAGCTGTCTGTGAAGGGTCTTGAAAAGATCCTGGCTGGACACAGTCACTCATGCCTATGATCCAGCACTTTGGGAGGCTGAGGTGGGAGGACTACTTGAGTCCAGGAGCTTGAGACCAGCCTGGGCAACATAGTGAGATCTCATCTCTACAAAAAATCAAAAACTTAGCTGGGCATGATGGTGCATGCCTGTGGTCCTGTCCCAGCTATTTGGGAGGCTGAGGTGGGAGGATCGCTTAAGCCTAGGAGTTGGAGGCTGCAGTGAGCCGTGATCGCACCACTGCCCTCTAGCCTGGTGACAGAGCCAGACTCTGTCTCAAAAAATAAATAAAAAAAAATAAAAAAATTAAAAAGGAGAGGAAAAAAAATAGAAAAGCTCCTGCCCAGGCAGCTAGCTGCCCAGCAGGGACTCAGCTGGCACAAGGACAGAGCACTTGGATGCCTGCCACCCAGAGGCCAGGCATAACAGCCCTGTGACACCAACATTGCCTTTCCCTCCCATTCCTTCTTCCCACTCCCCAACCCTGGAGAGGCAGGAGCAGGAACGGGAGGAGGCAGAACAAGAAAAGTGAAAGAGGCAGGGCATTTTGGCTCACGCCCGTAATCTCAGCACTCTGGGAGGCGGAGGCAGGTGGATCACTTGAGTGTCAGGAGTTTGAGACCAGCCTGACCAAAATGGTGCGACCCTGTCTCTACTCAAAATACAAAAATTAGCCAGGCGTGGTGGCGCGCGCCTGTAGTCCCAGCCACTCAGGAGGCTGAGGCAGGAGAATCGCTTGAATCCGGGAGGCGGAGGTGGGAGTGAGCTGAGATCGCGCCACTGCACTCCAGCCTCGGCAATCCAGAGCAAGACTCGATCTCAAAAAAAAAAACGGGCCAAGCGCGGTGGCTCACATCCGTAATCCCAGCACTTTCAGAGGCTGAGGCGGGCGCACCACCTGAGGTCGGGAGTTTGAGACCAGCCTGACCAACATGGAAAAATCCCATCTCGACTAAAAATACAAAATTAGCAGGCACCGTGGTGCGCGCCTGTAGTCGCAGCTACTCAGGAGGCTGAGGCAGGAGAATCGCTTGGACCTGGGAGGTTGCAGTGAGCAGAGATTGCGCCACTGTACTCCAGACTGGGCGACAAAGTGAGACTCTGTCTCAAAAAAAGAAAAAGAATAACAGACATGGACTCTTGCTATATTGCCCAGGCTGGTCTTGAATTCCTGGGCTCAAGCAATCTTCCTGCCTCAGCCTCCCAAAGTGTCGAGATTACAGGTGTGAGCCAATGTGCCAGGCGTTGGCAAATTTTAGAATGAAAAACTCCAGTGTCTCAGAGCTTGGGACTGTCGAGTCCCAGGATCTCACAGCAAGAAGGTGCCCAGGACCCTGACCTCCATTGGGGGGGCCCTTCTACCTCCAGCATCCCCAAATGCCAGTGGCTCCAGGCCCCCAGAGGGATTTCCCTTTGCAGCTGCCCTTTGAGCTGAGAACTCACTCCCATTGACCAGCAGGCCTCTTGCCTTCAGGATCTGCAGCCAGACCCTGGCCAGTCAGGAAATCCCACCAAGAGCTTGCAGGGAAGGAACTAAAATGTCCCAGAGCAGTGTGACCCGGCTCTTTCCAAAGCCTTCTCAGTGAGATGGCCCCAACATGGGAAGTGCCTCCTTTCCTTCCTCGTGGCTATTTGTTGCACAGGTGCATCCAGCACACCACACCACGTGCCCTGGCACAGGGCTTCTAATTCTCATTGAAGCTGCTATTGGCCCACAGGGCAGCACTGCTGAGGAGACGTCTCTCCCTGATCTGCGCAGGCACTGAGCAGGCTAGTGGGGCTCTGCCCTCCTCCCTGTCCCAAGGACGTCCTGCCCTGGCTCCTTCCCGGCTGTCCCAGCTCATTACCTTCCTTGGAGAAGGGGTCGAAGAGGGCAAGCTCAGCCTCGGTGAGGGGGCCTCGGGCAGGGGAACCAGATGCCTCCTCGGTGCTCTCACAGTTAAAGAGGAGATCCAGGGCCTCCTGGGCAGGGCTGGATGGTGGGGGGTCCACTGAGGAAGAGATAAGTGGGGTCATGAATACCTGCGTTTATTTCTCAGCTTTCAAAATAGAATTACTCTCTCCTTAAACCCTTGCAGCAACCATGGGCATAGACAAGCCTGTTATTAGGGTTTGTGCTCATTTTACAGATCAAGAAACTGTAGCACAGAGAAGGAAAAGGACCTGCCCAAAGTTCCTCAGCCAGTTAAGTGATAGACCTGGGACACACACACATTTCTCAGTAAGATCACTGAGGAGGGAGTGTGGCCGCCCTCCCCACTCTGCACCCTCCAGCCCTGGTTCCCTCCTCCCACCCCGATGTACCTGGCACCTCCAATTCCTCGAGGCCCCTCCTTTCTGCAGGGAGCAGTTGGGATAGCCGGGGGTCATCAGGGGGCGGGGTGGGGATCAGAGGGGGTGGCAGGATGTGTAGGTCCCTGGACACCTCCAAGGGTCGGGTCACCTCCCCACCCTGCAGGACAGAAAGATCAGACATGGGGAGTCATGGGGTGCAATCTGGTGGGTGGGTAAGTGGCCCAAGTTCTGGGAAGGTGGAAGGTGCACATACCCGGAAGAACTCCTTGAGCTGGGGGCTGTTGTTGAGCGCAGGTATGTGCACAGTGAAGCGAAGCAGGTCCTCTGCCCCCTTTCGCCGCTCCTCGATCACTGAGGCTTCAAACCGGCCTACGGCCCCCAGGACAAGGAACAGGGGAGAGTGGCGGTGACCCACAGGGGCTTCTGCCCCAAGGCCACTTTTCCTGGTCCTGCCTGAGATGCTCTGAGCAACTCACTGCCCTCCTACCCATTCTCCCAGCAATCTGCCCTGGTTCCTCCTGGGGTGAGGTAGGGGCTTCCAGGAGGGATCAATTTCCCTATTCATTCATTTGCCAGATGTTTACTGAGCACCTACTATATGCTAGACTCAGAAGGTGAACAGGGGAGGAACCAGTCTCTGCCCTTGTGAATATCATATCCTACCCAGGGGGAGCTAGGCAGTTAACAAGAAACAAAAGCATTTCTGATGGCTTTGATCTAATGAGAAAAGTAAGGCTCAGAGAGGGAAAGTGACTTGCCCAAGGTCACAAAGCAAGGAGCCCCCGTTTATTTTTTGAGAAAAGGACTGGCTGTGTTACCCAGGCTGGTGTGCAGTGGCACGATCTCAGCTCACTGCAACCTCTGCCTCCTGGGATCAAGCCGCCCTCCCGCCTCAGCCTCCCAAGTAGCTGGGACTATAGGTGCACACAATCATGCCTGGCTAATTTTTGTATTTTTTGTAGAGATGGGGTTTTACCATGTTGCCCAGGCTGGTCTTGAACTCCTGAGCTCAAGTGATTACCTTGCCTTGGCTTCCCAAAGCACTGAGATTACAGGTGCGAGCCACAGTTTCACTGCTCTGTCCTAGGTATTTTGCAGAGCAGGCTAACTCTGGTCCAGTTACTGTGCGGCCAGTCTGTGGTACTTCCCCACTGGCCTGGCATAACCTGACAGCAGCAATCCTTTACCTTGCTTCAAAAGAACATCTCGGCCAGGTGCGGTGGCTCACACCTATAATCCCAGCGTTTTAGGAGGCCGAGGCAGGTGGATCACTTGAGGTTAGGAGTTCGAGACCAGCCTGGCCAACATGGTGAAACCCTGTCTCTACTAAAAATAAAAAAAAATTAGGTGTGGTGGCGCACACTACTTGGGTGGCTACTTGGCTATTTGGGAGGCTGAGGCAGGAGAATCGCTCAAACCTGGGAGGCAGAGTTTGCAGTGAGCTGATATCATGCCACTGGACTCCAGCCTGGGTGACAGAGTGAGACTCTGTCTCAAAAAACAAAAACAAAAACCAATAACAAAAAAGAACATCTCACATGAGTATGCAGACCCAAGCAACTGGTCAGCACTGTCTAATACAGATATGAGCTACATATGCAATTTTAAATTTTCTAGCAGCTAGATTAAATAATAGGAAAAAAGAAACAATTTTTTTTTTTTTTTTTTTTTTGAGACGGAGTCTCACTCTGTCGCCTGGGCTGGAGTGCAATGGCACACTCTTGGCTCACTGCAACCTCTGCCTCCCAGGTTCAAGCGATTCTCCTTCCTCAGCTTCCTGAGTAGCTGAGATTACAAGCACTTGCCACTACACTCAGCTAATTATTTGTATTTTTAGTAGGGACGGGGTTTCACCACGTTGGCCAGGCTGGTCTCAAACTCCTGATCTCGTGATTCGCTTGCCTCGGCCTCCCAAAGTGCTGGGATTACAGGTGTGAGCCATCACACCTAGCCACAAGTTAATTTTAATATTTTATTTAACCCAATATATCCCAAATATTCTCATTGCAACATGTAATCAATATACTAAGTATTGAGATGGGCCGGGTGCAGTGTCTCACGCCTGTAATCCCAGCACTTTGGGAAGCCAAGGCGGGCAGGTCAGCTGAGGTCAGGAGTTCAAGACCAGCCTGGCCAATATGATGAAACTCTGTCTCTACTAAAAATACAAAAATTAGCCAGGCGTGGTGGTGCACACCTGTTATCCCAGCTACTGGGGAGACTGATGCAAGAGAATCCCTTGAACCTGGAAGGTGGAGGTTGCAGTGAGCCAAGACAGCGCCACTGTACTCCAGCCTGGGTGACAAAGTGAGGCTGTCAACAACAACAAAAAAGAAAAAGGAAAATAAAATGGAGCTGATAAAGACAGGATTTTTTTTCCTTTGAGATGGAGTTTTGCCTTGGCCTCCCAAAGTGCTAGGATTACAGGCGTGAGCCACACGCCTGGCCCAACAGGAATGTTAAAAGGTGAAATACACAGTAAGGGTTAGGCTACTCTGAGCCTCAGTTTCCCCATCTGTCAAATGAGGTCATCTCTAAGGGCCCTTCCAAACATGACTCTGCCCAGGGTTTCAGGCCCTCTCTATCCAGCCCCCACTGGCGGAGGTCCCCTTTTGCCCAATGCTCCCTCCATCTTTGGCCCGAGTGCCCCAATCTAACACTCACCAAACACCTGGGCCCGGGGGAAAGCAGGGAACTCCTCGAGGCGGCGGAAGAGGTTGCGGTGGGTGTAGGCCAGGTCTCCATGCAGCTTGCGGAAGTCGCTGTACCGCTTCCAGACCACCACCTATGAGGTACATGAGACTTGCCCAGAACCAGCAATGGTGGGAGGCAGCCGCCCCCATGCCTAGCCTGCCCCCAGGGGGCGTGAGGATCAGGAAGCAGCTGCAGCAGCCCCTCGCCCAGGGACAGGGAGGAAGGAGGGCCGATGTCCAAGCAGAGTTACCAGCTGCCCCTTGACAGTTTCCAGATCTGGAACTGCAGAACAGTCCCTCTTCCTCCCAGGAGCCTCACCTCTTTGACATCCTCTGGGTCCTTCTTTGAGATGAACTGAGAAAGAAAGGCAAGAGCTGGTTGAGACCAGAGACTGCCATCTGACACCCTCTCACCCTGTAATGCCCCAGGTGCCTCCTAGTCCCCCTCACGGGGCAGTAGCCTTTGGCCATTGGCCTCTGGCATCAAGGCACCCTGGCTTTAAGCCTTCGCGTGTAATTTTAGCAACTTTTCCTACTATGTACCTCAGTTTCTCCATCTATCAAATAGGAGGACCCCTAAAGGCCCATTTGGACTGCTCCAACCTCAGCCCAACTTTTTTTTTTTTGAGATGGAGTCTCGCTCTGTCGCCCAGGCTGGAGTGCAGTGGTACACTCTCGGCTCACTGCCACCTCTGCCTTCAGGGTTCAAGCGATTTTCCTACCTCAGCCTCCCAAGAAGCTACAGACATGCACCACCACGCTTGCTAATGTTTGTATTTTTAGTAGAGATGGGGTTTCCCCATGTTGGCCAAGCTGGTCTGGAACTCATGACCTCAAGTGATCCGCCCGCCTCAGCCTCCCAAAGTGCTGGGATTACAGGCGTGAGCACCCGGCCATCAGCCCAATTTTTATCCCAGTTCCTTGAACAGACCAAGTCCCTCCATCTACTTCTGAAACCAAAGAACCCCAAGCCTCCAAAGAAGGGAGGTTCTGCCTCAGGAACCTCCTTCCCTGCGGGAGAAGATCCTGCGCTTCAGCGCCCTGGACACAGAAGAAACCATCACTGGAGTTGAAGTCCCTGGAAGGGCAGACTTGGGTCTGAGGTGAAAACAAGATTCAGTTTTCATCGTTATGTTCATAATAATTTTAAAATAATGTCCTATGGTTTGGGGTACTTGACAGTTTAATAACATCTCCTATGCCAGGCACGGTGGCTCACACCTGTAATGCCAGCACTTTAGGGGGCCCAGGTGGGCAGAGCACTTAAGTCCAGGAGTTTGAGGCCAGCCTGGGCAACATAGTGACACCCAGTATCTGCAAAAAATACAAAAAATTAGCTGGGTGTGGTGGCGTGACACACCTGTAGTCCCAGCTACTTAGAAGGCTGAGGTGGGAGGATCACTTGAGCATGTTAAGCAGAGGTTGCAGTGAGCTGAGATTGCACCACTGCACTCCAGCCTGGAGAGAGTGAGACCCTGTCTCTCACACACTAAATAAATAAATAAAAACATCTATTTCTTATCCTAGATCCCACTGAGGCAGACATAATTGACATGCCCACTTAAGAGATGAGGAAATGGAGGCTCTGAGAGGTGTGGCCATAGTAGACCACACACTAAGTAAGAAAGATGGCTGGGACTAAAACCCTGGACTTTGCTTTTGACAACAGAGACTTGCCTAAAATATTCTGGTAAAAGAAACTATTTAAAAGCCATTGAGTGGCCAGGTGTGGTGTCTCATGCCTGTAATCCCAGCACTTTGGGAGGCCGAGGTGGGAGAATCACTTGAGGTCAGGAGTTCGAGACCAGCCTGGCCAACCAACATGGTGAAATCCTGTCTCTACTAAAAATACAAAAATTAGCCAGGCGTGGTGGCAAGTGCCTGTAGTCCCAGCTACTCAGGAGGCTGAGGCAGGAGAATCACTTGAACCCAGGAGGCAGAGGTTGCAGTGAGCTGAGATCATGCCACTGCACTCCAGCCTGGCAACACAGTGAGACTCCATCTCAAAAAAAAAAAAAAAATTATAGGCCAGGTACGGTGGGTCATGGTGGCCTGTAATCCTAACACTTTGGAAGGCCAAAATGGGAGGATTGCTTGAGGCCAGGAGTTTGAGACCAGCCTGGGCAACATGGCAAAACTCTGTCTCTACAAAAAAAAAAATTTTTTTTTGAGATGGAGTCTCACTCTGTCACCAGGCTGGAGTGCAGTGGTGTGATCTCGGCTCACTGCAACCTCTGCCTCCCGGGTTCAAGCAATTCTCCTGCCTCAGCCTCCCGAGTAGCTGGGACTACAGGTGAGCGCCACCATGCCCAGCTACGTTTTGTACTTTTAGTAGAGACGGGGTTTCACCATGTTGGCCAGAATGGTCTCGATCTCTTGACCTCATGATCCACCCGCCTTGGCCTCCCAAAGTGCTGGGATTACAGGCGTGCGCCACCACGCCCAGCCTCTACAAAAAATTTAAAAATTGAGCTAGGCGTAGTGGTACATGCTTGTAGTCCCAGCTACTCAGGAGGCTGAGGCAAGAGGATGGATTGAATGCAGGAACTTGAGGCTGCAGTAAGACGTGAATCATGCCACTGCACACCAGCGTGGGTGACAGAGCAAGACCCCGTCGCAAATAAAATAAAATAAAATAAAAATATAGGCCAGGCGCGGTGGTTCACACCTGTAATTCCAGCACTTGGGAAGGCCGAGGTGGGAGGATAACTTGAGGTCAGGAGTTCGAGACCAGCCTGGCCAACACAGTGAAATCCCGTCTCTACTAAAAACACAAAAAGTAGCCGGGTGTGGTGGCACACGCCTATAATCCCAGCTACTCAGGAGGCTGAAGCAGGAGAACTGCATGAACCCAGGAGGTGGAGGCTACAGTGAGCTGAGATCACACCACTGTACTCCAGCCTGGGCGACAGAGCAAGACTCCGTCTCAAAAAATATATACATACATATATTTATATATTATGTGCTTTATATTTTATATTTATTATATATAATACATTGTATTATATAATATGTATAAAAATATATCAAAGTAATGCATGTTGCTTGGTTTAAAAAGCCAATGGGAGGCCGGGTGTGGTGGCTCACACCTGTAATCCCAGCACTTTGGGAGGCCAAGGCGGGTGGATCATGAGGTCAAGAGATCGAGACCATTCTGGCCAACATGGTGAAACCCCATCTCTGCCAAAAAATACGAATATTAGCTGGGCATGGTGACGCGTGCCTGTAGTCCCAGCTACCTGGGAGGTTGAGGTGGGAGAATCTGAACCCGGGCGACGGAAGTTTGCAGTGAGCTGAGATCGAGTCACTTCACTCCAGTCTGGGCGACAGTGAGACTCTGTCTCAAAAACAAAACAAAACAACGACACAAAAAAGCCACTGGGAAGACTTATTTTTATTTATTTATTTATTTATTTATTTATTTATATTTTTGAGACGGAGTCTCGCTCTGTCTCCCAGGCTGGAGTGCAGTGGCACAATCTCGGCTCACTGCAAGCTCCACCTCCCGGGTTCACTCCATTCTTCTACCTCAGCCTCCCGAGTACCTGGGACTACAGGTGCACGCTGCCACGCCCGTAAGTTTTTGTATTTTTAGTAGAGATGGGGTTTCACCATGGTAGCCAGGATGGTCTCGATCTCCTGACCTCGTGATCCGCCCGCCTCGGCCTCCCAAAGTGCTGGGATTACAGGCGTGAGCCACCGCGCCCGGCCACCACTGGGAAGACTTATAATAAAAGGTTACAGTTCCTTGCCACATCCTCCCCACCCCAGCCCCACCTCCAGTCTATCTTCCCAGGGACAATCTATTTATTTGCTTTTTTTTTTTTTTTTTTTAAAGTTGTGTGTGTGTCTGTATTTTAATATTGATCCGGGGTCTCACTATGTTGCCCAGGCTCGTCTTGAGCTCCTGAGCTCAAGCAATCTGCTGCCTCAGCCTCCCAAAGTGCTGGGATTTACAGGCATGAGCCACTGAGCCCGGCCTTATTTGCATTATTTTTAGGCATGGAAAAGACGTAAACGGTTTGGGGAAAGCATATTTTAAATAGCTAAGATTCTGCACTTAGATCACTTTGGAAGTGTCCTTATGTGCCTGCTTTGCTTTTAGAGTTAACTAATGCACCAGCTTAATAGTCGCCTGGTTGAAAATTCTAAAAGTACAAAAAATTTACAGTAAAAAGTCTTCCCCTAACTCCTGTCCCCAGTGACACAGTTCCTCTCCCTGGGGACCTTCCTTGTTACCAGTTCTTGTTATCATTCTACAGGTGTCCTGTTTTACTGTTTCATTTTTAATTATTGTCATGGTTTCCTCCATGTCTCTCTATAAATTGTGCTTATGATGTTGTTATCGCTTCATATATCAACTCTAGCCTATCTATCTTCCTGCTGT
The DNA here is from genome assembly GCF_000001405.40 of Homo sapiens. NCBI lineage: Eukaryota > Metazoa > Chordata > Mammalia > Primates > Hominidae > Homo > Homo sapiens. Next base: position 65,028,135 of record NC_000011.10, on the reverse strand, counting down.
GACCTTGATATGGCGACTTACTCCTTAAGTCCTTCTGAACTGCATCAATTTTTTTCAACCACTGATCAGTATTATTTTTTGAAAAATTAAAAATGGTTAAACTCGTTAAAGGGAGTTTATGTAACATCAAACAAACCAATAAACAAAACTTACTCTACGAGAATGGAGTACTAATATTTGGATTAAACCAGAGTTTTCATGTTAATTTAGAGAAATTCACAGCCTGATGCCCAGACACTACACTCCGGGCGTGGGCATACACGCCTTGCCTGTCCGGGAACGGCCGTCAACGCCCTTTTAAAAAAGACAGCGCCCACCCAGGACCCCGCCCCCTGGTGGTTAAAGATGTAAACTAAGCCTCGTACTGCAACCTCCCCTTAAAGGGGAAACCCATTTCTGTCGTCTAAAAAGGGAGCAGTGGCTGCACCGCCTTTCCTTAAGGTAAAACTCGGCGCCCCTCTAGTTAAAAGGGTAAAGTACGCGCTGGGCCCCACCTCACCTGCGCGGTTACTTTGTACTCGGTGTAGCCCTTGGGGTGAGTCCTGGGGTCCGACACTGTGTAGTGCCGCAGGAAGTCATCCTTCGCCTGGCGGGACATGAAACCGAGCTGGAGCGGAGCGGAGCGCCGGCCTCCACCTCCTCGCCGTCCCCACCCCTCCGGCCCAGCCTCCGCCCGCCGCCGCCTCGCCAGGCCTGCGCTCTTCTTCCTCTGGCCTAGGGATTTTGTCGCAAGTGACAGCGCTGTTCCGATCCCGGGTGCGCGGCCAAGGGAGCGTCTGAAAAGTTCCTTCTCTGTGGTGAAGCGTAAACCCAGGTCACTGGAAAGATTGGTTGGGAAGGCTGGGATCACTCGTCTCATTTCTGCCGGGTGATCAAGCCCACCCTATCCAAGCGTAAACCCTTGTCACAGACTTCCAAACGACTTCTCCCCGCTTCCTAAATCCCTGCTTTCGTTCATCCACCCAACTCTTATTGTGTCCAGTATGTACAGGACAACGTCAAATTATTTCCCTGTCTCCCTCCACAGGATTCCCTAATTCATGTTTTCTGGAAAGTAGAGGAAGCAAAGAAGGTTGGAGAAGCAGGATGGTGTCATGGGCTCTGAGTCACGACTCTTACTAGCTGTAGGAGTTTCCCTTAACTACTCAGCCTCAGTTTCTCATCTGTAGAATGGAGATGTTTATAATAGAATCTGTGTAGGGCAGTGGAGCTTTTTTGCGATGGGTTTGCTGCCAGAACACAGGTGTCGTGAAAACCACCGTTAAATCAAAGCCAAAATGGGGGTTTGGCGCGGTGGTTCACGCCTGTAATCCCAGCATTTTGGGCAGTGGAGGCAGGTGGATCACTTGAGGTCAGGAGTTCAAGACCAGCCTGGCCAACATGGTGAAACCCCGTTTCTACTAAAAATACAAAAATTAGCTGGGCGTGGTGGCGCACGCCTGTAATTCCAGCTACTCCAGGGGCTGAGCTGGCTGATGGCTTCAGCCCAGGAGGTTGAGGCTGCAGTGAGCTGCAATCACACCACTGCACTCCAGCCTGGGCAACAGAGTGAGACTCCATCTCAAAAGAAAGGGAGCAGGGGAGGGAAAAGACTCAGCTCAACATCATCATCTGATTTGGGCAAGTCCAGCACTACTGGCCATCTGATCTACAAGTGTGGTGGGATCCACAAAAGAACCATCGACAATTTTGAGGAAGCTGCTGAGATGGGAAAGGGCTCCTTCAAGCATACCTGGGTCTTGGGTAAGCTGAAAGTTGAACGTGAGAGTGGTATCACCACTGATACCTCCCTGCTGGCAATTGAGACCAGCAAGTACTATGTGACCATCCTCAATGGCCCAGGATGCAGAGACTTTATCAAAAACCTGACCTCAGGCTAATTGTGCTGTCCTGATTGTTGCTGCTGGTGTTGATGAATTTGAAGCTGGTAATTCCAAGAATGGGCAGACGCGTGAGCACACCCTTCTGTCTTACACGCTGGGTGTGAAACTAATTGTTGGTGTTAACAAAATGGATCCCAATGAGCCACCCTAAAGAGGAGAGATGGGGGCCGGGCGTGGTGGCTCACGCCTGTAATCCCAGCAGTTTGGGAGGCAGAGGTGGGTGGATTAGGAAGTCAGGAGTTCAAGACCAGCCTGACCAAGATGGTGAAACCCCGTCTCTACTAAAAATACAAAAATTAGCTGGGCATGGTGGCGGGTGCCTGTAATCCCAGCTACTTGGGAGGCTGAGGCAGAGAATTGCCTGAAACCAGGAGGCAGAGGTTGCAGTGAGCTGAGATCGTGCCACTGCACTCCAGCCTGGGAGACAGAGGACAGAGTGAGACTCCGTCTCAAAAAAAAAAAAAAAAAAAAAAGGAGAGATGGGAGAAATCATTAAGGAAATCAGCACCTACATTAAGAAATTGGCTACAACTCTGACATAGTAGTATTTGTGCCAATATCTGGTTGGAGTGGTCACAACAGGCGGGAGCCAAGAGCTCACATGCCTTGGCTCAAGGGATGGAAAGTCACCTGTAAAGATGGCGATGCTGTGGAACCACGCTGCTCGGAAGCTCTAGATCACATCCTACCACCAACTCACAAGCTCTTGGTTCTGCCCCTCCAGACGTCCACAAAATTGGTGGTATTGGTACTGTCAGTGTGGGCCACGTGGAGACTGGTGTTCCCAAACCTGGCATGGGTTTTGAGACCTTTGCTCCAGTCAGTGTTAGAATTGAAGCAAAAATCTGTTGAAATGCAGCATGAAGTTGGTAGGCTTACATACAACACATAGTATTTACTGCAGAGGAAGCATTGTGAATAGCCACTCTTGTTCCTGGAATTCAGGTGTACAGGTGCGGTGCCTTGGTCTTCAGAAAGAAGCAAAGCCTGGCATGGGGCTCATGCCTGTAATCCCAGCACTTTGGGAAGCCAAGGCGGGAGGATCACTTGAGGCCAGGAGTTCAAGACCAGCCTGGGCAACAGGCTGCCTCTGATTTCATGAGAAATTTAAAAATTAGCTGGGGGCCAGGTGCAGTGGCTCATGCCTGTAATCCCAGCACTTTGGGAGGCCAAGTCGGGCGGATTACTTGATATCAGGAGTTCAAGACCAGCCTGGCCAACATGATGAAACCCCATCTCTACTAAAAATACAAAAATTAGCCAGGTGTGGTGTCGGGTGCCTATAATCCCAGCTACTCGGGAGAATGGGGCAGGAGAGTTGCTTGAACCCGGCAGGCAGAGATTGCACTTAACCTTCTGGAGGAAATGTCATCCAGGAGCCAGTCAATGCCAGGCAGTGGGTTCTCCCCAGCAGTGGGGCTGCAGCCCTTGACGTACCAGTGGTGGCTGCAGAGAGTCCAGATGCAGGGCTTGGGAGAACAAAGGTGCTGGTGGTGGCCAGTGACCGCAGACCCTTCCCTCCCTGCTCAAGGGTCAGCCCATCCAGGAAGCCTCCCCGGCCCCTGGGAGAGCTTATCTGTTCCCCGGGGCACCTGAGCTCTCTGTACAGTGCCACGCCAGTGCCACCCCTTAGTGTCCCATATAAGAGAGGATCCTGATAGGCGGCACTGCATAGGGCTGTCCCTAACTGTATTGCTGAATGGAATGGGTAGTACTTAGAACAGTGTAGGGAAAAGAGAGATCAGACTGTTACTGTATCTATGTAGAAAGGGAAGATAGAAGAAATTTCATCTTGACCTGTACCCTGAACAATTGCTTTGCCCTGAGATGCTGTTAATCTGTAACTTTGCCCCAGCCACTTTGCCCCAACCCCTTTGCCCCAACCTTGAGCTCACAAAAACATGTGTTGTATGGAATGAAGGTGTTTTTTTTTTTTTTTTTTGAGATGGAGTCTCGCTCTGTCGCCCAGGCTGGAGTGCAGTGGCGCCATCTCGGCTCACTGCAAGCTCCGCCTCCTGGGTTCATGCCATTCTCCTGCCTCAGCCTCCCGAGTAGCTGGGACTATAGGCGCCCACCACCACACCTGGCTAATTTTTTGTATTTTTAGTAGAGACGGGGTTTCACCGTGTTAGCCAGGATGGTCTCAATCTCCTGACCTCATGATTCGCCTGCCTCGGCCTCCCAAAGTGCTGAGATTACAGGCGTGAGCCACCACGCCCGGCCTTGGAATCAAGGTTTAAGGTCTAGGGCTGTGCAGGACGTGCCTTGTTAACAAAATGTTTACAGGCAGTATGCTTGGTAAAAGTCATCGCCATTCTCTAGTCTCAATAAACCAGGGGCACAATGCACTGTGGAAAGCTGCAGGGACCTCTGTCCTGGAAAGCCGGATATTGTCCAAGGTTTCTCCCCATGTGAGAGTCTGAAATATGGCCTCGTGGGATGAGAAAGACCTGACCGTCCCCCAGCCCGATACCCATAAAGGGTCTGTGCTGACGTGGGTTAGTAAAAGAGGAAAGCCTCTTGCACTTGAGATAGAGGAAGGCCACTATCTCCTGCCTGCACCTGGGAACTGAATGTCTCGGTATAAAACCAGATTGTACATTTGTTCAATTCTGAGATAGGAGAAAAACCGCCCTATGGTGGGAGGCAAGACATGTTGGCAGCAATGCTGCCTTGTTATTCTTTATTCCACTGAGATGTTTGGGCAGAGAGAAACATAAATCTGGCCTACGTGCACATCCAGGCATAGTACCTCCCCTTGAACTTAATTATGACACAGATTCTTTTGCTCACGTTTTTTTGCTGACCTTCTCCCTATTATCACCCTGCTCTCCTACCACATTCTTCTTGCTGAGATAGTGAAAGTAATAATCAATAAAAACTGAAGAAACTAAGAGACCGGTCCCAGTGTGGGTCCTTGGTATGCTGAGCGCCGGTCCCCTGGGCCCACTTTTCTTTCTCTATACTTTGTGTCCTATTTCTTTTCTCAGTCTCTCGTCCCACCTGACGAGATATACCCACAGGTGTGGAGGGACAGGCCACCCCTTCACACAGAACCCTGCAGAGTAAGCAGCTGCTAGGACCCTGTGCCATGAAAACATCTGCCAGTTTTGCCACTTGGATTGGACCCCTGGGGTGGCCTCATTTCCTATCCTTTCCCAACCTGGCACTGCTTCTGAGTTCCTGTAGCCTTCAGGGAAGGCCTCAGTTACCCCTGCCTGATGTGGCCCCCCTCCCACCCTCTGGCTGCACTCTCTCCTACACATGACTCTATGCACCTCCCCATTTCCCAAGAGCCATTGCTTTTTTTTTTTGAGACAGAGTCTCGCTCTGTCACCCAGGCTGGAGTGCAGTGGCGCAATCTCGGCTCACTGCCAGCTCCGTCTTCCCGGGTTCACGCCATTCTCCTGCCTCAGCCTCCCGAGTAGCTGGGACTACAGGCGCCCGCCACCACGCCCGGATAATTTTTTGTATTTTTAGTAGAGACGGGGTTTCACCGTGTTAGCCAGGATGGTCTTGATCTCCTGACTTCATGATCCGCCCATCTTGGCCTCCCAAAGTGCTGGGATTACAGGTGAGCCACCGCGCCCAGCCGGAGCCCTTGCTCATCATGCCTGTCCTGTGATCCCCTCTGCCTGAATCTGTGCTGGCCTTGTACAGCTGTTCAGGTTGTCCACTGCACATGGGTTCCTGGCTGCAACAGAGAATTGGGAGCTGAATTTCAGCCCATGTTCCATGCAAAAAGTTGGAGCCCTGGTCTGCAGCTGTGTCTGTTTTTCTAATTCATACCTATGAGAGTTGGATTTCCCCTGGTGAACTGTCTTCCCCTTCCTCTACCTAGAAAACTACTCGCGCTTTACTCCCAGCTTTAATGTGACCTCCTTTAGGAAGCCTGCAGATGGAATCAGTTGCACCGTGTCCCATGCTTCTATAACTTTTTCTGCATCCCTTTGACATAGCCACAGTTCACCATCGACTCCAATGATCCATTCCTTTCTGTCCCCTGCTAGATTGAGGGTCCCAGGTGGTCTCTAACGCTGTTGAATCAACAAATGACTCAGCCAGGAATCGGGGCAAGGAGCGGTTTATTTCACAACTGAGTGAAGGATGAGGCCCACAGCCTCGGTAGCAGCAGTAGCAGCTCCTCCCCGCCCAGCCCTCTCTTCTTGGTATGGTAGCCAAAGGCCAGGTCAGGAGCCAGAGAGACAGCCAGGGCACAGCCCTCCCGCCATGGGAGCCGGGTGGCCACAGAGCAGCAGCGGGCAGCAGTAGCAGCAGCAGGCTGGGGTGGAGGAGGGGGAGTGTTAGTTTGGCCGGCTGACTCCCAACCCCCCATGGGTAGTGTTTGGTGAAGGTTGAGGGACCTGGACTGCTAGGTGGGGGGCATCTGGAGTGGTTCAGTCAGCTGTGAAAATGCGGCTGGAAATGTCATCCAGGAGCCAGTCGATGCCCGGCAGCAGGTTCTCCCCGGTGACGGCGCTGCAGCCCTGGATGCACCAGTGGTGGCTGCGGATGGAGTCCAGCTCCAGGACCTGGGAGGACAAAGGTGCTGATGGTGGTGGCCAGTGACTGCAGACCCTGCCTGCCGTCAGCCCCTTCCCTCCCCAGCCCAGAGGAACTCCACGCCTTCCTCAAGGCCCTGCTCCATGTCATCCCATCCAGGAAGCCCCGCCGGTCCCAGGGAGAGTTTGTCAGACCCCAGGGGCACCTGGGCTCTCTGTCCAGTTCCATGCCAGTGCTGCCCCTTAGTGATGTAAATGCAGCATGGGCTCCTGAGCATCCACCAGGATCCGGGCATCGTGCTAGGAGCCCCACACACCCTCTCTCACTCATTCTCCTCAAGCCCTCATGAGCCAGGGATTGTGTCGACCATTTCACCAAGGAGGAAACCAAAGTTCAGAGAGGTTAAGCAACCTGCCTAGGGGAACATAGCTCATAAGTGGCAGAGCCAAGATTTTAACCCTGCTCTTTCTCACTGTGGTGCTTGAGCACTAGAATCATGGTTAAAATGTGGGCTCTGGGGTCAGACACAGGCTTCCTGTCTATTTAGTGGCTGTGTGACCTGGGACAAGTTACCTAACCTCTGTGAGCCTGCTTCACCATCTGTAAAATAATAGTTCTCACCTCATGAGGTGGTTGTGAGAATGAAATGAGTTAATCCATGCAAGGAGCAGAGCATACTGAAAGCACTGACTTGTGCTGGCTACCGTTAGCCTGTGAACAACACATGCGCAGCTCTGCCTTCCCCAGGCTGTGGGCCACCCCATGCCTTATTAATCACTGGATCCCCAGTGCCCTGCATAGGTCCTGCCACCTAGCAGGGCTAGGCTAATAAATGCTTTTCTTATTATTATTTTACTTCTTTCTTTTTTTTTTTTTTTTTGAGACGAAGTCTCACTCTTTTCCCACAGGCTAGAGTACAATGGCGCAATCTTGGCTCACTGCAACCTCCACGTCCTGGGTTCAAGCGATTCTCCTGTCTCAGCCTCCTGAGTAGCTGGGCTTACAGGCGCACGCCACTGCACCCAGCTAATTTTTGTATTTTTAGTACAGACGGGGTTTCATCATGTTGGTCAGGCTGGTCTCGAACTCCTGACCTCAGGTGATCCACTCGCCTTGGCCTCCCAAAGTGCTGGTATTACAGGCGTGAGCCACTGCACCCAGCCTTTTTGGTTATTTTTAATAAATGCTTTTAAAATAAATAAATGTATGCCCCTTTCCCTCAGCGAGCCTGTCCCGGGGCCTGGACTCACCTCGCGGATGGCGTTAGAGGACAGTGCTCCAGGCAGGTCCTGCTTATTAGCAAAGATGAGGAGGGTTGCTCCGGCCAGGCGCTGGGGGAGAAAAGATAGAGGGGTGGGGTGGGGACTCAGAGGACAGCCTGACCCCTCCTCTAATGGCCCAGAGCATCTGGGGTGAAGGATCGACCTGGAAGATCAAGGTGAGGCCCCGTGGTGGTGGGAGAGGCCCAGGAGTGAGTTTGTGGACGTAGCCATCAAGGCTGGCCCACATGAATGGAGCAGCCCTGGGCCAGGGTTCTGGTTCCAGCCAACCACCACCCAGGGGACACCGCTGTCCCCATGCTCCAGCTTCCTCTTCCATGAACAGGGAGGGGTGTTGCATAAGATGATCCCTGAGCTCTCCGTGGTTCTAGACTGCTCCAATCTGATGACCAGACATGCACAGAGGATGTGAACTCTCCCTCTTCTGGGTTCACACAGCCCTTTAACCGTTCCACTCCCGACAGGCCTCACTGTCCACCTCTGATTCTAGTTGTTTCCACATATGTGTCTGTGATTGGGAGAGATGTGGGTGGACGGGTCTAACCCTTGGGCCTTGACCTGCCTTGACCAGCATTTGACGGCCCTGATCTCATCTGACCTGCTCCACCCACATAGGAGATGTGTGCGGTGTGCCCAGGACAGTCCCCACTCTGCCTGCAGAATCCCCCCTTTCACTCTCACAAGTGTCCTCATTTTCAACTAAATGCAATTTTGTAGCCTGAATCAAACATTGGAACACAAAAAGTATATTAGTGGAAAAACGTGAAATTCAAATAAAATCTGTAATTAAGATAATAGTAATTCACCAGTGTTGATTTATTAGTTTGGACAGGCCACGGTTAGGTAAGATGGGGAAGCAAGGTAAAGGGTATATGGGGGACCTCTGACCTCTGTACTATCTTTGCAAGTGTCCTTCTTTTTTTTTTTTGAGACGGAGTCTCACTCTGTTGCCCAGGCTGGAGTGCAGTGGCACAATCTCGGCTCACTGCAAGCTCCGCCTCCCAGGTTCACGCCATTTTCCTGCCTCAGCCTCCTGAGTAGCTGGGACTACAGGCGCCCGCCACCATGCCTGGCTAATTTTTTGTATTTTTAGTAGACACGGGGTTTCACCATGTTAGCCAGGACGGTCTCGATCTCCTGACCTCGTGATCCGCCCGCTTCAGCCTCCCAAAGTGCTGGGATTACAGGCGTGAGCCACCGCACCTGGCCCCTTCCTTTTTTTTTTTTTTTGAGACAGGGTCTTGCTCTGTCGCCCAGGAGGCTGGAGTGCAGTGGCACGATCACAGCTCACTGCAGCCTCAACCTCCTGGGCTCAACTGATCCTCCTGTCTGAGCCTCCAGAGTAGCTAGGACTATAGGTGCGTGCCACCACCCCCAGCTGAGGTCACACAGCAAAGAGTCAGACTCTTGAGCCAGGCTCCATGGCCTCTCGAAGCTTCATACTGGCCTTGGGTTATCCTCCCTAAAGCCCAGTGATGTGGGTGTCATCATCACCATTTCAAGGCATAGAAACTGATGCTCAGGGTAGTGACGTAGTAACACCACAGGGACGTTAACTCAATCTCAGTCCACAGCATGTGTCCTGCCTCTGGCACCATGGGCCTCCCATGGTGGGGGCCCAGAGAAGGAAGGGATCCTGCCTCTGGTTTCCCTCTGGGGCCACGGGCCCCTCTGGGCATCTGCTGAGAAGGCAGCCACACGTCCATACATGTACACAAAGGGTAGGAGCTGCCCACCTCCTCCACCAGCAGGCTCTGGAGCTCCCGCTGGCAGTCCTGCATGCGCTGGCGGTCTGCGCTGTCCACTACCCAGATGAGGCCATCGGTGCTCTCAAAGTAGTTCCGCCAGTAGGACCGCAGGGACTTCTGGCCACCCACATCCCAGATGTTCAGCTTGAATCTGGGCAAGGAGCGGGTGACAGGAGGGTCAGCTGGGCCCCTCTCCCACCTTCCCTGCCCTGCTCTGGGCTGGCCCTCCCATGGGGCCCCTGCTCACCCTCGGTGCTCCAGGGTCTTGATGTTGAAGCCCAGCGTTGGGGAGATGGTGTCGATGTCCTCCCCATTGAACTTCTTCAGGATGGTTGTCTTTCCAGCATTGTCCAGGCCACTGGGGCGCAGCAGGTTAAGGAGAAGTCCCTGTTCTCTGCCAGGTGGTGACATTGTTGCAGAGCCCCTTAGGGGACTCATTATTTCCCACCATGTATCAAACTGAGTTGAGCACATGCCTGACCATAATCGGCCCACAATAAATATGAAAGTATCAAATTATAAATATCATCTCTACTGACCAAAGGCTCCTTAATTTGTTGAACACCTACTATGTGCCAGACCCTCTTCTGGGTGCTAGAGGACAAAGCCCTGCCCTTAGGAAGCTTACACTCTAGCGGGAAGACAGTCAATAAAGTACAAACAAATGAGAAAAGAAGGCCCTGCCAGATCCCGGCTAGCGCCATCAACACAACAGAGAGGCTTTCCAAGAGGGCCATCGGAGGAGGCTCTTTCAGCTCAGGTGCCGGGGAAGGCCTCTCTGAGGTGTCTGGAGCTGAGACCCAAAATACAAGGAGCAAGCTTTTTGAAGAACTAAGGTAAGAACAAATATCTGGAGGCAGCCACCCTCATTTGTTTCTGGAATATTCCAGACCTGCTACTGCACAGTGCAAATTAATGGGTGTGCTTACCTGTGGAAGGAACCACCCTCCTCTATCTTCCCAACACTGCAGCTCAGTTGGGCATGGTGGGGTGGGCGGGTCCTGGACTCGACCACCTTTCCCTGCTCATCGGAGCTGGGGCAAATGACCTAGGCCCAGGAGAGGGGTGAGGAGGGCATTTCCCCTGAGGCCCAGCCTTAGCCCCTGGAACCTAGCCGCTGATGACCCCCTGCCCCCAAGCCATCATCCATGTTTCCTTCCCCTCTTGATCATTCCCACTGGCTGATGAGCTTGCCGTTCTTTCTCCCACCTTAAAAAGAGCAAATAGGCCGGGCGCGGTGGCTCACACCTGTAATCCCAGCACTTTGGGAGGCCAAGGTGGGTGGATCATCTGAGGTCAGGAGTTCGAAACCAGCCTGACCAACAAGGTGAAACCCCATCTCTACTAAAACTACAAAAATCAGCCAGGCGTGGTGGCGGGCCCCTATAGTCCCAGCTACTCGGGAGGCTGAGACAGGAGAATTGCTTGAACCCGGCAGGCAGAGGTTGCAATGAGCCGAGATCACACCACTGTACTCCAGCCTGGGCGACTCAGCGAGACCCCGTCTGATTAAAAAAAAAAAAAGAGCAAACAAAGCCCTTGATCTCTCTGCCCCATCTAGTTATTCATTTATATCTTTCCTTTTACAGGAAATCTCAAAATAGTTGTTTGTGCTCACCCCCATTTCTGCCTTCTTGCTCTTTCAAGAACACACTCCCATCAGGCTTTTGCTGCTGCTGTGGCCAAAACTGTCCTTACCAAGGTCAGTCCCCAAAGACCTCCCTGTGGCCCTCTAGTGCTGGGACAGCGCTCAGTCATCTTCTGTTCCCCACTCAGCACCTGATGGAGTGGCTCACCCTCCTCCCCAGCACATGCGCTGCCCTTGGCACTGGGACACACCCTCACCTGGTTCTGCTCCTCACCTGACTTCATCCTGGTACAACCGGGTTCTCTTCTCTGGCCACGCTCATCCCTGGGTGACCTCATCCAGGATCACAGCTTCAAATACCATCTCTATCCTGATAACACCCAAATGTGCACCTCCCACACACTGGACCTCAGTGCCTACATCCAGCTGCCTGCCTGACACTTCTGGGCTGTCTCGGAGGCATCTCACATGGCACACACAGGCACACACAGGGTTCTCATCTCCACCCTGAACCTGCTCCTCCCCCAGTCCTCTCCATCTCAGCAAATGGTTCCTCACCCTTCTAATTGCTCAGGCCAGAAACTTCCATGACCTCACTACTTCCATCCTGGTCCAAGCCACCATCCTATCTCGCCTGCGTCACTGCAGTGGCCTAACTGGTCTGCGATTCCTTCTCTCCACTGCACTTCTCACTGAAAGGGAAAACCAAAAACCAAAAGGCCCTAGGTGAGGGGGTTCCCAGTCAACGCTCCTCCTCCCCACTCCAGCCATACTGCCCTCCTCACCAGTCCTCTGAACACGCCAGTTAGTCCTCCCAGGGCCTCTGACTTGCTGTTCCCTTTGCTTTAAAGTTTCCCCCCCCCCCGAATTGCTATATGGTTCAACCCTCGCCTCCCTCATGTACTCAATTGTCATTTTTTTTTTTTTTAACAGAGTTTCGCTCTTGTCACCCAGGCTGGACTGCAATGGCGTGATCTCAGCTCACTGCAGTCTCCGCCTCCCGGGTTCTGGCAATTCTCTTGCCTCAGCCTCCCAGGTAGCTGGGATTAAAGGTGTCCACCACCACATCCAGCTAATTTTTGTATTTTCAGTAGAGACGGGATTTCACCATGTTGGCCAGACTGGTCTCAAAACTCCTGACATCAGGCGATCCATCCGCCCCGGCCTTTCAAAGTGCTGGGATTACAGGCATGAGCCACTGCGCCCTGCCATCATACAGTGGCCTTCTTTGACCACCCTAAATTGCATTATTCTCCATACCTATATACGTAGTGGGAGTTCATCCTGGAGCAGTATAAGGCCCTGTTCCCCAGAAGCATGGTCCAAAGCATGGCCCATATATATATAGTATGTATGGAGAATATATATATGTATAAATAGAGACAGAGTCTCACTATGTTGCCCAGGCTGGTCTCAAACACCTGGGCTCAAGCGAACCTCCCACCTCAGCCTCCCAAAGTGCTAGGGTTACAGGTGTGTGCCACCGCACCCAGCCTCTATTACATATTTTACTTACTTCCTGTGTTATCATCTTTCTACCCGCGGGCAACCCCCCCGCCACACACACACACACGCATTACAGAATTTCCATGAAGGTAAGATTTTTTAGTTTTATTACCCTGGGCACTAGGACAGTGTCTAGCACATATTAGGCACTCAATATTTATCAAATGAGTGAACTGTATGCTTTTCTTAGAGCTCTTTAAAGCAGACATGCGGCCCGGCGCAGTGGCTCACGCCCATAATCCCAACAGTTTGGGAGGCCAAGGCGGGTGGATCACTTGAGGTCAGGAATTCGAGAACAGCCTGACCAACAAGGTGAAACCCCGTCTCTACTAACAATATTTAAAAAAATAGCCGGGCGTGGTGGCGGGCACCTGTAATCCCAGCTACTTGGGAGGCTGAGGCAGGAGAATTGCTTGAACTCGGGGGGCGGAGGTTGCAGCGAGCTGAGATTGTGCCACTGCACTCCAGCCTGGGCAACAAGAGCGAAACTCCGTCTCAAACAAAACAAAATAAAACAGACATGGGCCGGACTCCGTGGCTCATGCCTATATTCCCAGAGTTTTGGGAGGCTGAGGCAGGAGGATCACTTAAGCCTAGAAGCTGGAGGCTGCGGTGAGCCTTGATTGTGCCACTGCACTCCAGCCAGGGCAACAGAGCAAGACCCTGTCTCAAAAAACAAAACAGTCATGATGTGATTATTAAGTTATATGTGCACGTAAGCGTCTTATCTCCCCAGCCATTCCCCCGCGGAGCCTGGCACAGAGCTGGGGGAACAGGTGCGGGCGCCTAACTGGACTCAGAAGGCGCACAGGGCGCACGGGACACTCGGGCCCACACACACACATCCTCAGCCGCAGGGACAACCACGGGCCGCGTAACACCAAAGAGACGGACTGTTGGATCCACGCTCGAAAGGATCCGCGGAGCCCACACGCGCCACCCGCCACCCCGCACGCCCCCGGGATTCGGAGCTCGAGGGCGGGGCCGGGGCCTGGAACCCTCGGGCCCGGGGGAGGAGATCAGAGCCGGGAGGGCAGCGGCCCCACGCTTGGGCCAGGCCGCCGGGTGGTGGCGTCCGAGTTATCTCCGGGACCCACCACCCCTGACACTCGGGCCGCCTAGCCCCGCCGCTGCGCCTGCAGGACCGCTTCTGCGGCCCTCGGAGCTGGCCCCTGCCCCAGTCCTGGGGTGCGGCTCCTCCCGGCCCGACGGGGCGATTGATGGGGCCCGCGTGGTGACGCCAGGGGCAGTTGGGACGCGCCGGCCGCCGCGTTCCGCTCCCGACAGGGGGCGCCCGGCACCGCCTGCCCGGCTGGACCCCGCCACCCTCGCGGTTCCGGCGTCCGGTAGGATACAGCATGAGCAGTCGCAGCTCCCGCTCTTTCTGCTTCATCTTCTTCAGAATGGTCAGGAGCCCCATGGTCCCCGGAGCCCCCTCCCGGCCGCCGTTTCTTCCCAGTCCCGGGACCCCGCTCCCGGTTCCTGTTGGCTATCACGCTCGCCGACGGCATAGTCGATTGGCCGGACGCTCGTTTGGTCCCGCCCTTGCCGCACGTGACCGCGAGGTCGCCCGCGCAGCTGCTGCGAGGGTCCCTCTAGCGGCGCGGGGGGTTTCTGTGCTGCCGCCCGCCCTGACGCTGCGCCTCCCGAGGGCTGAGGCTGGGGGAGCAAGGGCGACTCCCCCACCCTTTCCCCTGCCGGACTGGGGCTCTTGGCCGGAGCGGAAACCTTGAAGTTCCTGAGTTGCATCTTGGCTGCGTCTGACCTGAGAGTCAGAACCCAGGGCCCCCAGGTACGGACGAACTCATCCTGGGGCCAGTGTAGGCCCCCGTTCCCAGCAACACAGTCCAAATCCTGCTCATCTGGGCCCTCGGCATCATCCTCTGACAGAGCGGAAAGTTGGGCCTCCCCCTACCCGGCTCCGGTGGCTCTCAGTTCAGGGCGGCGGTGCCCCCTGGAGGCCGTTCGGAAACATGCGGGGCGTCCCTGGGTTCCAATGACGGAATTGCAGTCCCGCCCCAAAGGCTGCCCCCACCCAGAGGCCCAGCGTTTCCCTGTTCAGAAGCACAGTTCCTACTTTTGCAGATGGAAAAACTGAGGCCCAGATGGTGCTTAGCACAGTGGCTGGCATGTAGTAGGTGCTCAATAAATATTTGTTGTTGAATGAATGGCTTTGTCCAAGAGTTTCATTCTTTACTTTAGCGCTCAAGAAGTCCAGAAGAAGTGAGGAAATAGGTCAAGGACCAAGCCCTTTTGTAAACTCAGGAGACAGCCTTATTGCTGCAGGTAAGTGTGGATAGGCAGCACGGAAGAGCCTCTCTCATGCTTGGGAAAGAGCTGTCAGCACCAGCTGAGGACAATAGCTAACTCCTGTGTAACTGTTTGCAACGCACTTCACGTGTTCAGCTTCATCCTCCCTGCAACCCTGAGAGGTTTATATTCTTTTCGTAGCTATGATAATGGAATCCAGAGTGTTTAAGGAGCATGGGTGAGATTCAAACTCAGGTCTAGTAAATGGTAAAGCACAATGTCTTCATGCCTCCATGAAGTTTGCCTAGAGAGAGGTCTGGAAGAAGCTGGAGCTTCCCATCTTGCAGAAAGGGGCTTGTGGTCAGAGGAGGGCTGAACAGATAGGCTGCCTGAGTGGGACCCTTCGGTCAGCACCATTTACCCTCCATCACACACACACAAGGAAGAAAGTGAGCATATCGCCTACCCAGAGGCTTCGAAATGCAGCTAAGATCAAAATGGGAAATGCTGGCCGGGCGCCATGGCTCACGCCTGTAAACCCAGCACTTTGGGAGGCCGAGGCAGGTGGATCACGAGGTCAGGAGTTCAAGACCAGCCTGGCCAACATGGTGAAACCCCGTCTCTACTAAGAATACAAAAAATTAGCTGGGCGTGGTGGCGGCACCTGTAATCCCAGCTATTCGGGAGGCTGAGGCAGAGAATTGCTTGAACCCAGGAGACGGAGGTTGCAGTGAGCCGAGATTGTGCCACTGCACTCCAGACTGGGTGACAGAGTGAGACTCCGTCTCAAAAAAAAAAAAAAAAAAAAAAAAGAAATGTCTAGAGGTAGGAGCCTGCCATCCTGCTTCTAGGAGCCTGCACCACAGACATTCTGGCACTGCACAGGAACAACGAAGTTCACTGTGGCATGGTTTGGAACAGCAAGAAATTGGAAAAAACCTAAGTGCCTCCAGTGAGGGCAGGTTACCTGAGCCGGGGTAGGTGCATGTGAATTCATGAAGCCCTTAAAACAGTGAAGTGGGCCAGGCGCAGTGGCTCATGTCTAATCCCAGCACTTTGGAAGGCAGAGGTGAGTGGATTGCTTGAGCCCAGGAGTTCAAGACCAGCCTGGCCAACTTAGGGAGACTCCCATCTCTATAAAAAATACAAAAATTAGCCAGACATGCTCACTTCAACCCAGGAGGCGAAGGTTGCAGTGAGCTGAAATTGTGCCACTGCACTCCAGCCTGGGCGAAATTGTCTGTCTCAAAAAAAAAAAAAAAAATTAGGTGTAGTGGTGCACATCGGTAGTTCCAGCTACCTAGGAGGCCAAGGTGGGAACCAGGGAGGATAAGGCTGCAGTGAGCCGTGATCATGCCACTGCACTCTAGCTTTCATGACAGAGTTAGACCGTCTCAAAGAAACAGAAAACAGTGAGGTGGAGCTGTAAGATACCAGTGTGGAAAGATGTCCGCGCCATATTAAATGAAAAACAAAAACAAAAATTCAGTCCTCTTTTAGTTTTAAAAATAATATTAACTGGAAATATGCCCACTTAGCAATGTTTTTTAATCTATGAGATGCATTCCATTAAGGAAGTGGATTGTAAAATTAGTGTCACAAATAGGTTGAACTGTATGAAATTGCCCATATTTGACAGTTTTGATACACAGATGTATTTCAAATGGTTCAACCTAGTAGCATTAACAAAAATGAAATAGAATGAACAGAACTGAAAACATTACTACCTTTACCCACGTAGTAAAGCTAAGTAGCGTTTGGTGAAACATTTGTTTTAGATATTTATACAGATATGTGTACTTCTCACTGTGAATCACAGTCACAAAAGTTTGAAAATCAGGGCAATGAAGTTTGGGAGAACATAAAATTATTACCTTGGGTGTGTCTATATTTTCTTTTTTTCTTTGAGACAGAGTCTGGCTCTGTCACCCAGGATGGAGTGCAGTGGCACAATCCTGGCTCACTGCAACCTCTGCCTCCCAGGTTCAAGCTATTCTCCTGCCTCAGCCTCCTGAGTAGCTGGGATTACAGGCATGAGCCACCATGCGCGGCTAATTTTTATATTTTCAGTAAAGACAGGGTTTCACCATGTTGGCCAGCTGGTCACAAACTCCTGGCCTCAAGAGATTTGCCTTCCTCAGCCTCCCAAAGGGCTGGGATTACAGGTGTGAGCCACCGCACCCAGCCTCGGATTGTTTTATTTCCTACCAGTAGCATTGAAAGAACTTGTTCAAATGTCTGGCTTAAAGTCTTGCCTGTCCATGCTGTTGTTCCCAGGGGCCACATGGTAGAATTTCAGTGAATATAAATTAAAAAAATAAAAATAAA
Source organism: Homo sapiens (assembly GCF_000001405.40). Taxonomy (NCBI): domain Eukaryota; kingdom Metazoa; phylum Chordata; class Mammalia; order Primates; family Hominidae; genus Homo; species Homo sapiens. The sequence continues at coordinate 65,011,049 of NC_000011.10, read as the reverse complement.
CAACATCCAAGCTCTGTGAAAAAGGGGGAGTTCAGGAAGTAACTATGTTTAGCTTTTTTTTTTTTTTTTTTGAGACAGAGTCTTGCTCTGTCGCCCAGGCTGGGGTGCAGTGGCGCAATCTCAGCTCACTGCAAGCTCCGCCTCCCGGGTTCACACCATTCTCCTGCCTCAGCCTCCCGAGTAGCTGGGACTAAAGATGCCCGCCACTATGCCTGGCTAAGTTTTTGTATTTTTAGTAGAGACGGGGTTTCACCGCGTTAGCCAGGATGGTCTCGATCTCCTGACCTCGTGATCCGCCAGCCTTGGACTCCCAAAGTGCTGGGATTACAGGCGTGAGCCACCGCGCCCGGCCAACTATGTTTAACTTTTTAAACATATTTTAGAGACAGGGTCTCACTCTGTCACCCAGGCTGGAGTGCAGTGGCACAATCATGGCTCACTGCAGCCTCAAGCAGTCCTCCCACGTCAGTCTCCTGAGTAGCTGGGACTACAGGTGCATGCCATCAAGCCCGGCTAATTTTTTAAATTTTTTGTAGAGACGAGGGTCTCGCTGTGTTACCCGGGCTGGTCTTGAACTCCTGTGCTTAGGTGATCCTCTCACCTCAGACTTCCAAAGTGCTGGGATTACAGGCATGAGCCACCCCACTTGGCCTGTGTTTAACTTTTGAAGAACTGACTGTAGCTAGAAATTGGGTGGAGAGGCATTTAAAGACAAGTAAGGGGCCTCATTACGAGCTGTGTTTTCATTTGCCTCATGGAAAGGAGGAGAGCTCTTTTTTTTTCTTTTTTTTTTTTTTGAGACGAAGTTTTGCTCTTGTTGCCCAGGTTGGAGTGCAATGGCAAAATCTCGGCTCACTGCAACCTCCATCTCCCAGGTTCAAGCGATTCTCCTGCCTCAGCCTCCCAAGTAACTGGGATTACAGGTGTGCACCACCACACCTGGCTAATTGTGTATTTTTAGTAGAGACGGGGTTTCACCATGTTTGTCAGGCTGGTCTCAAACTCCTGACCTCAAGTCATCCACCTCGGCCTCCCAAAGTGCTGAGATTACAGGCAAGAGCCAATGCACCTGGCTTTTTTTCTTTCTTTTTTTTTTACTTTCAAGCAGAGGAGCAGAAGAGCACTCTTAAATAAAATCTTTGGGAAATACCTTTGGAAGAAAACTAGGAAAGAAGATGTATAGAGCTGTAGTTATATATAATTGTGAATATGAATATATATATATATTTTTTTTTCACAAGAAAGAATCGTGAAATTAAAATACCCAAATCGTGACATCTGTGAAACCTGCTTTTGAAGGGGAAACTTCTTAGGGCCGAGTAAGTGGCTTGTAACTTGAGGATAGAGATCTACAGCCTTTTAACAAGGCATGTTTACCCAACGTCTAGAAAGAAAAATTTGGCATTATTATTATTTTTAAGACAGGGTCTCACATTATTATTATTATTATTATTATTATTATTATTATTTTTGAGACAGGTTCTCACTCTATCACCCAGGCTGAAGTGAAGTGGCACAATCACGGCTCACTGCAGCCTTGATTTCCCTGGGCTCAGGTGATCCTCCCATCTCAGCCATCTGAGTAGCTGGGACTAAAGTTCTGTGCCACCACACGCAGCTAATTTTTGTATTTTTTGTAGAGACTGGGTTTTGCCGTGTTGCCCAGACTGATCTCAAACTCTGGGCCCCAAGCAATCCTCCCATCTTGACCTCCCAAAGTACTGGGATTACAGGCATGACCCACTGTGCCGGGCCTGAAAATTTGGCATTATAGTTTTAATTTTAAAAAGTAAATCATTTTAATCAGCCATTATATTTCATGGATTACCTTTATAATAATAAGAAAAGTAACAGAATTCTATATTCTGGAACCAGAAGGAAAAAAGGCCAGGGGAGAAGACTCTGCTTAAATTAGAACTGCTGGCCATTAAGCATTAGCAAGGAGTATACCCAAGTATTTTATTTATTTATTTATTTATTTATTTATTTATTTATCTAAATATTTATTTTTAAGTTTGCTCTAGACACACAGTTTCTGTGTGTGTGTGTGTGTGTGTGTTTTTTTTTTTTTTTTTGAGACAGGGTCTCGTTCTGTCATCTAGGCTGAAGTGCAGTGGCATGATCACAGCTCACTGCAGCCTCGTCCTCCCAGGCTCACATGATCCTCCCACCTCACCATCCCAAGTAGCTGGGACCACAGGCACATGCCACCATGCCCAGCTATTTTTTTTTATTTTTAATTTTTTTTTTCTTAAATAATGATGAGGCTGGGCACGGTGGCTCACGCCTGTAATCCCAGTGCTTTGGGAGGCCGAGCTGGGTGGATCACTTGAGGCCAAGAGTTTGAGACCAGCCTGGCCAACATGGCAAAACCTCATCTCTACTAAAAATACAAAAAATTGGCCGGGTGTGGTCACGCACACCTGTAGTCCCAGCTACTTGGGAGGCTGAGGCACGAGAATCACTTGAACCCTGGGGGTGGTGGGCGGCAGCGGAGGTTGCAGTGAGCCGAGATTGCGCCACTGCACTCCAGCCTGTATGAGACAGAATGAGACTGTCTCAAAAGAAAATTAAGAAAAAGAAGGAGCAAGTTATGATTGTGTTCATGTGTGAGAAGCAGCACTTATATCTGGTGTAAATTGCTCCAGATTTCTTACACTTATAAAGGAGTCTCACGAAGAGATGGGAAATTGGGTTCTCTGGATTCTTAGTTTTCCTGTTTAACCCTTCACTGTCATTTGTTGCCCTCTGTGGACTTGCCTTATTTTTCTGCAGTGTTGCAGCAAGTGAAGTATTCTTCATGCAGCTGCTCATGAAACCTTCACCGGGAGGCGGCAGATATCTGTGTTAGAGGAGTCTCTTTCCCTTATAGATGATCTAAGTTAAATTACTACCAAGTCTAGAGTGCACCAGCTTCAGACATGAGGCCCAAACGATGTCATTGGGAGTCAGACTCTTCCTCTATCTGCTGTCCTCCGGGCTGGCTACATTCTCAGGCAGAACCCGCTCATGGGAGTAGGACGGCCACCAGAAACACCAGCTTAGTATCACCCCAGGGGGGCACATCCCCAGACCCTGTCACTTTCCCAGTAACTCCAACAAAACTCCCAGGCCTGTCCTTCCTTGGTCTGGCTTGGGTCATGTGCCTATTCCTGACATCAATCACTGTGACCAGGTGAGATTGGCAAGGCCAGGACCCCAGGCCCATGCTGGAGTGCAGGGTTTGGGTCACCTTGTTGCCCAGGCTAACCTCAAAATCCTAGGTTTAAGTGATCTCCCCACCTTGGCCTCCCAAAGCATTGGGATTACAGGCGTGAGCCACCATGTCTGGCCTATTTAATTCTTTTAACCTACATTGTTTATATTAGATTGTTTATAATAAAGTTACAGTTTTAATGAGAAGACAGAAAACCTGTTTTCCCTCTCTGATAAGACAATCTAGGATGCCAGTCTTATTTTTTGGACCACATGCCTGTGACAGAGGCACCAGCAAGCACGTGCTGGCAGCTTACCCAAGTGTAGGTTTTGTCCTACTAATTAATAAGCAAAGAACTGGAAGCACAGAGATGGCAACTGCATACAGACCATAGTTCTGCCCTCCCACTGCTAATCTTCCGGCAGGTTTTTTTTTTTTTTCTAGACAGTCTCACTCTGTCACCCAGGCTGGAGTGCAGTGGCGCAATCTTGGCTCACCGCAACCTCCACCTACCGGGTTCAAGCGATTCTCCTGCCTCAGCCTCCCGAGTAGCTGGGATTACAGGCATGCACCACCATGCCTGGCTAATTTTTGTATTTTTAGAAGAGATAGGGTTTCACCATGTTGGCCAGGCTGGTCTTGAACTCCTGGGTTCAAGTGATCCACCCAGCTCGGCCTCCCAAAGTGCTGGGATTACAGGCGTGAGCTGCTGTGCTCAGCCTATGTAGGTTTTACATATCCAAAGGCAGCCAGGTCCTCAGTGCTGGTCAGTGATGATTCAGTGGGTGTGTACATCCTGCATGCCACTGCTGCATGCCTCATAAGACAAGTCAGAGTGTTCAAGCATCTGCATTACAGGTCTTAGCCCAGCTGCCTGTGTGGGAGGCAGCAGAGGCATCCTCTCCAACTCCAGATGACAAAAGGAGGTGTTATTCACCACGCAAAGGCACATGACATCTGCAAGCTTTTCCAGAACCTTAGGAGGTAGAAAGGACTTGAAAATCTGAGATCTTCCAACAGCCATGTGCTCGTACACCTCACCTGTTGCCTGTGGCCCCTCAGGAGCAAAGCTGTGCTAGATGCTTCTTGCCTCCATGGGGCCAGGCCTGGTGAATGAACGCAGGAGCGCAGCTGCTGCCCCTGGTTGCCCGTGTCCTGCTGTGCCCTCACTCCGGAACCTAAGAGGCAGGTACCACTCTTCTCTCCGCATGACAGACCCCCCCACCCACTCACCTGGATCGCTGCAGCAGCCTCCTGACCGGCTTCCCTGCTCCCCTGCTCCAAGGCACAGGGACCCTTTTTTATTTAATTAATTAATTATTTATTTATTGAGACAGAGTCTTACTCTGTCACCCAGGCTGGAGTGCAGTGACGTGATCTTGGCTCACTGCAACCTCCGCCTCTTGGGTTCAAATGATTCTTGTGCCGCAGCTTCCAGAGTAGCTGGGACTACAGGCATGAGCCACCATGTCTGGCTAATTTTTGTATTTTTAGTAGAGATGGGGTTTCATCATGTTGGCCAGGCTGGTCTCGAATTCCTGACCTCAGGTGATCCACCTACCTCGGCCTCCCAAAGTGCTGGGATTACAGGCATGAGCCACTGCGCCTGGCCAACCTTTTTATTTTTTATTTTTATTTGTTATCATTATTATTATTATTTTGAGATGGAATCTCACTCTGTCACCTAGGCTGGAGTGCAGTGGCGTGATCTCGACTCACTGCAACCTCTGCCTTCTGGGTTCAAGCGATTCTTCTGCCTCAGCCTCCCGAGTAGCTGGGATTACAGGCATCCACCACCATACCCAGCTAATTTTTGTGTTTTTAGTAGAGACAGGGTTTCGCCATGTTGGCCAGGCTGGTCTCGAACTCCTGACCTCTGGTGATCTGCTCACATCTGCCTCCCAAAGTGCTGGGATTACAGGTGTGAGCTACCATGCCCAGCCTATTTATTTATTTTGAGACAGAGTCTTGCTCAGTGGTGCAATCTCGGCTCACTGCAGCCACTACCTCCTGGGTTCAAGTGATCCTCCCACCTCAGCCTTCCAAGCATGCACCACTACGTCCGGCTAATTTTTGTATTTTTTACAGAGGTGGGTTTTCATCATGTTGGCCAGGCTGGTCTCGAACTCCTGACCTCAAGTGATCCTTCTGCCTCGGCCTCCCAAAGTGCTGGGATTACAGGTGTGAGCCACCAAGCCCGACCAGGGACCCTTTTAACCTATGCATCAGATCATGTTCTCCTCTGCTCAGAGCTCTCTGGTGCTCTCTGTATCTTTCAGAGTAAAAGCCCAAGGTTCTCACTGGCCTATGAGCCCCTGCATGAATGGCCCGTGGCCTCCACCCCAATCTCTTGCTCCCTGGACCCTGCCAGTCCCAGGAGTCCACTACACCACTCTGCCCCCCGACCCCAGCCGGTACCTCACTGTCACGGCTCTCTCGTCTTTAATTCTTTGCTCAAAAGTCCAATGTCAGAAACAATTTTTTTTTGTTCAAATATCTCAACGAGGCTCAGTCTGACCCCGCTATTTACATGTGAAATCCCCTACCCCACACTCCCCATGGCCCTTACCTAGCTCTCTTTTCCCCTTGGTACCTGTGGACTCCCACCAGACTAGATAATTCACTTAATGTAATTATCGTCTCCCTGCTCCTCCCTAGGATGGAAATTTCACAAGGGCAGGATTTGGATCTTTTTTTAAAAAACAGATGTCTCCCAGCACCTAGAGCAGGGCCTGCCACATAAGAGATGCTCAGGAAATAGTTGCTGCGTGATAGAAATAAGGATAGAGGTTTGTGAATTGCTTTCTAGCTGCTCACACGGACAGGAAGCAGCAGGGCTTCACCAGCCTTGTTCTTACCATCAGGTTTCTCAGCCCCCCAAACTGAGGCAGACCCGGCTCCCGCTCTCTGAGATCCCCACAGATTCCAACTCCCACACCAGGCCCAAATCAAAAAAGGCATCTTGGCTGGGCACGGTGGCTCATGCCTGTAATCCCAGCACTTTGGGAAGCTGAGGCAGGTGGATTACCTGAGGTCAGGAGTTTGAGACCACCCTGACCAACATGGCGAAACCCCATCTCTACTAAAAATACAAAAACTAGCTGGGTGTGGTGCAGGGCATGGTGCTGGGCACCTGTAATCCTAGCTACTCGGGAGGCTGAGGCAGAAGAATTGCTTGAACTCGGGAGACAGGGGTTACAGTGAGCTGAGATTGCGCCACTGCACTCCAGCCAGGGCAACAGAGCGAGACTCTGTCTCAAAAAAAAAAGGGCATCTCATAGGTACTGCTTCCTGACGGGTGGTGGGAAGGGAAGACTGAGCCCTGTAGTGGAAGGCAGATGGCAGTGCTGGGGGAGGCACCCAGGTCTCTGTCTGCAGCACCAGCCTCGGTTCATTGCTAGTCCCTTGTTTAGAAAAAGGCCTCCCAAGAGGCACAGGCAGGCCCCGGCCTCCAGCACAGCAAGAAGGACCCTGAGAAGTCATTGTCAAGTTCCTTCATTTTATTTTATTTATTTTGAGACAGGGTCTCACTCTGTTGCCCAGGCTGGAGTGCAGTGATGTGATCTCAGTTCACTGCAACCTCTGCCTCCCAGGCTCAAGTGATCCTCCCACCTCAGCCTCCTGAGTAGCTGGTACTACAGGCTCATGCCACCATGCCCAGCTAATTTTTGTTTTCGTTTTTGGGTTTGTTTGTTTGTTTGTTTGTTTGGTAGAGATGGGGTCTTGCTGTGTTGCCCAGGTTGGTCTCGAACTCCTGGGCTCAAGTAATCCTCCTGCCTTGGCTTCCCAAAATGCTGGGATTATAGGTGTGAGCCACGGGGCACCTGCTTAAGTTCCTTCATTTTACACATGAGGAAACAGGTCCAGAGAGGGCACAAGGCTGTCTGAGACCTCGAAGCTTGGTGAACGTGAGCTGCAGGTGAACTCAGTTCTCCAGAGGACCCCATCCCCAGACTTTCTTCTAGATGGGGCCCCCTTTCCAGCTCCTGGGACCCTGGTCTGGGGCCTCTGGGAATCAGTCCTGCTCCTGCAGACCAGCAACAGGTACAAATGCTCCCTGCCGTCTAAGGGTGTCCTGTGCCCCTGTTATTTCCACTCCAGGCCCCGAGATGTTTTCTGGATCAGCGAGGAATAAGATGAGAAAAGAACATGGAGGCTGCAGCAGAACCTGGGTCTGCCTGTTTCTGCCGCCTCCTTGTACTTGGCCAGTTCCCCTCTTCTTGCCAGGCCTCAGTTTCCCCAGTTGCAAAACAAACTGGAGAATCTCTGGAGTCCTCTGGCTGTGACTGACTGCTGACTTGCATGGCAAAAGCTCTCCTGCACCCTTGGTGCTATCCTTGGTGCTATCCTTGGTGCTGGTTCTGCCAAGGGCAGCACTGCCTTGTCTGTTGCATTTTGAGTCGCTAGCTAGTCTGGGTTGGGCTTCATTTCCCACCCCACTGCACACCAGCCAGCCCTCCAGTCCCTTGCTCCGTGAGCTCGGCTGGCCAGTTCCCGGCACCAGCCTCCACATGAGGCCCTCCCGTCTTTAGGGGTAACTAGGACAAGAGCGAGGGACTTATCCTTTCTGAGGTCACTGGTGACCACTTTCCATACTTTGTTTCAGTCATCATGGCAGCCCTGGCAAAGTGAGGGAATTATCACCATTTTACAGACAAGGACAATGAGAACCCAGAGAAACCAAGGGCCTTGTCCAAGCTCACACAGTAGCAGGACAGAGCGAGGATTTGAACCCTGGTCTTTCCGGGGCTTGAACCGCCTGGGAAAATCTAGGAGCTATGGTTGCAACTGCCATTTGCAAACAAACAAAGCCCTGGGATGCTCTCAGACTCTTCAGAGCTCAGCTGTTTATAATTTATACTGCCTTCCCATTTCCAGAAGTTCCAGACCGCTTCCCAGAAAGATGTGTAAGTACATTAAAGGAATGGCAGAGACTCAGAAGCTCAAGGCATTGGAGGTGGCAAAGGGCCAGCAGGACTGGGGGTTGGGGAGGGGAGTGAGCGTGGGAAGGTGCACCGAGGACCGGGCAGTGAAGAGCCCCATAGAGCCCAGGGGAAGTCACTTAGTTCCTGGGAGGCCCAGCTAGTTGCAGACTCCAACTTTTTTCATTTTTATTTTTTGACACAGAGTATCTCTCTGTTGTCCAGGCTGGAGTGCAATGGCGCAATCTCGGCTCACTGCAACTTCCGCCTCCCAGGTTCAGCGAATCTCCTGCCTCAACCTCCTGAGTAGCTGGGAATACAGGTGTGTGCCACCATGCCTGGCTAATTTTTGTATTTTTAGTAGAGACAGGGTTTCACCAGGTAGGCCAGGCTGGTCTCGAACTCTTAATTTGCCAACCTCAGCCTCCCGAAGTCCTGGGATTACAGGTGTGAGCCACCGTGCCCTGCCCAGACTCCATCTTTAATGAGCGCTGAAATGTGGTATGCACAATGTGCTGAAAGCAAAAGTCTGTTCTTCTCTCCCCACGCCCTGGGGAGTCTCCATGATGTGGCTTCCCCTGTCCCTGCCCAGCATTCAGTACATCTGGAATCATCCTTTGGCAAGCCCTTGCTTTCCTGTCCACGGGTCCTTGACTGCTGGGACCTTCCTCCGCATCTTGAGCAGTGTGAAATAATGGACAGGAAGAGTGCCGGGCTTAGTATCAGAGATACGGGGGAATTGGAGTCCATCTACCTGGGGAGGTGACCAGAGCCCGGGACGTGCTGCTGAGTGGCAGCTTCCTCATGTCGGAAGCTGAGCTGAGGTTGTGGGATCAGCTGGCATCTACTCACCCTTCTTTTGCCAACAGTACCCCGATGCCCTGGGGAACTGCCCCTTCTTCACCCCTAGTCCTTATGGTTTAGATGGGGCTCACCCCAACCCTGGGCTCCAGGATGGGCTTGAGGCCCTGCCCTTGCCAATCTCACCTGGTCACAGTGATTGATGTCAGGAATAGGCACATGACCCAAGCCAGACCAAGGAAGGCCAGGCCTGGGACTTTTGTTGGAGCTACTGGGAAAGTGGGAGGGGCTGGGGATGTGCCTGCCCTGGGTTGCTGTGAAGCTGGTGTTTCTGGTGGCCATCCTACTCCCATGACCGGGCTCTGCCTGAGAATGTAGCCAGCCTGGAGGACAGCAAATAGAGTAAGAGTTTGACTCCTGATGACATCGTTTGGGCCTCGTGTCTGAAGCTGGTGCACTCTAGACTTGGTAGTAACTTAACTTAGATCATCTAATAAGGGAGAGAGACTCCTCTAACACAGATATCTGCTGCCTCCTGGTGAAGGTTTCATGAGCAGCTGCATGGAGAATACTTCACTTACGGCCGGGTGCAGTGGCTGATGCATGTAATCCCAGCATTTTGGGAGGCTGAGGCGGGAGGATCATGAGGTCAGGAGTTCAAGAACAGCCTGGCCAACATGGTGAAACCCTGTCTCTACTAAAAATACAAAAATTAGCTGGGCGTGGTGTTGCATATCTGTAATCCCAGCTACTCAGGAGGCTGAGGCAGGATAATTGCTTGAACCCAGGAGGCGGAGTTTGCAGTGAGGCAAGATCGCGCCACTGTACTCCAGCCTGGGTGACAAGAGCAAAATCCTGTCTCAAAAAAAAAAAAAAAAGGCTGGGTGCGGTGGCTTACGCCTGTAATCCCAGCACTTTGGGAGGCCGAGGCAGGTGGATCACTTGAGGCCAGGAGTTGGAGACTAGCCTGGCCAATGTGGAGAAACCCCGTCTCTGCTAAAAATACAAAAATTTTGCTGGGTGTGGTGGTGCCTGCCTATAGTCCCAGCTACTTAGGAGGCTGAGCCAGGAGAATCGCTTGAACCCAGGAGGCAGAGATTGCAGTGAGCTGAGATCCCACCACTGCACTTTAGCCTGGGTACAGAGCAAGACTCCATCGAAAGAAAGAAAGAAAGAAAGAAAGAAAGAAAGAAAGAGAGAGAGAGAGAGAAAGGAGGGAGGGAGGGAGGGAAACACAAGCCTGTTGTTACGTGAATAAAAATTAATCAGATATGTATTGAGTGCCTTTGTTAAGTTTAACAGATGTTTATGTGACTTAACTGTGGGCTGTGCACTGTTCTAAGCCCTTTACATAAATTACTTAAATCCTTCTATTATTATCCCCATTGGCCAGGCACGGTGGCTCACGCCTATAATCCCAGCACTTTGGGAGGCCAAGGCTGGCGGATCACCTAAGGTTGAGACCAGCCAGGCCAACATGGTGAAACCCCGTCTCTACTAAAAATGCAAAAATTAGCTGGGCATGGTGGCACACACCTGTAATCCCAGCTACTTGGGAGGCTGAGGCAGGAGAATCACTTGAACCTGGGAGGCGGAGGTTGCAGTGAGCCGAGATCGCACCACCGCACTCCAGCCTGGGAGACAGAGCAAGACTCTGTCTCAAAACAAAAAACAAAAAACAGGCCGCGTGCAATGGCTCACGCCTGTAATCCCAGCACTTTGGGAGGCTGAGGCTGGCAGATCACTTGAGGTCAGGAGTTCGAGATCAGCCTGGCCAACATGGTGAAACCCCATCTCTACTAAAAATACAAAAAATTAGGTGGGTGTGGTGGCGTACACCTGTAATTCCAGCTACTTGGGAGGCTGAGGCAGGTGAATCACTGGAACCCTGGAGACAGAGGTTGCAGTGAGCCAAGATTGTGCCACTGTACTCTAGCCTGGGTGACAGAGTGGGACTCCGTCTCAAAAAAAAAAAAAAAAAGGGACAGGGCTTCAGGGCATTCTGGCTTCTCCCAAAACAGTGGTGTGACTTTCTCTTCCCTATAATTCAGTTTATTCATTGGTGAAATGATGAAGTTGGTTGGGGGGAGCCCACCAGGAACCCAGGGCAGGTCCTATGGGAATGAGTGAAAAGTTTCTTTCCTCAGGAAAGTTTTGGGGTTCCTGGGTGGCAAGCTGCCTGCTGGACTTTAATTAATTAATTCATTAATTGAGCATCTATTACGTGAAGGCAGTGTTTGAAGCACTGGGGATCCTTCAAAGAACCAGTCCTGCCATGTAGGAGCTCATTGGTAGCTGTGGTATTTGGGAGGCCTCCAACCCTCCACCCACTGGGGCTGCTGGCTCTGGACTAATGGACCAGGCCTTTCCAAGCAGAGTGTGGAGCAGGACTGAGGCCTAGAAGAGAGAGGTTGTGTTCTCCCTGCAGCTCTGCCCCTCCCGTGGAGTGACCTTGCCCCTCTGGGCATTAGTTTCCTCACCCTCTTTTATGAACTGAAAGTTTGTGTTCCCCCCCCAAACTCACACACTGAAGTGCCAACCCTTGGTAAGATGGTATTTGGAGGTGGGGCCTTCAGGAGGTAATTAGGCTTAGATAAGGTTGTGAGGGTGGGACCCTACAATGGGATGAGTGTCTTTATAAGAAGGCAGAGAGACCGTGTGAGAATACGGCAAGAGTGCCACCATCTTCCAGCCAGGAAGAGGCCTTGCCAGGAGCCAAACCTACCAGCACCTTGCTCTTGGATTTCTCAGCCCTCAGAACTGCGAGAAATAAAAGGCTGTCATTAAGCCACTCAGTTTCTGGTATTGCATTATAGCAGCCTGAGCTGACTGAGACACCGTCTAAGGCGAGGTCAGATTGGATGGTCCCACCAGCCTGGGAGAAGTCTCCCACAGCCATTCCTAGTTAAACATTACCCACCCTACCTCCCTCCCTCCCTGCCACTCCCTCTCCCAGCTGCCTCCTCAGGGAGCCATAAACGCTGCCTTCTTTGGTCTTCTCCCAGGGCTGTGGTGTTCTGGGAAGAGCTACACCTGCTGTCTCACCTCTGCCAGAAGCCAGGGTCTGGAGAAGAAAGACTGGGGGTCTGGGGCAGGGGCTGGGATCTGGAGTGGGACACTCAGGCCTAGCCCCTCCACACACACACACACACACACAAGCACACACGGGTGTTTCTTCGTAGTCACATCATGCACAAGGTGCCTGCAGATCCTCCCAGGGGAGCTCATGGGCTGGCTTAATGAGCCCTTCAGGTGCCTGCCTCAGGCAAGACGCCCCAGCCTTCCTGGTTTCCAGGAAACAATAATTCAGAGAAACAGGGATGGCCTCACTGCGTGGGGCATCCCACTTCCGCCTCTGCTCCCAGGCCCCTCAGAAGCTAGGAGGGCAAGGCCCAGCTCTTATGCCCAATCTCACCCACCCAGGCATTTTAAATTAGGAGCCTGCATTAATAATCTTAGAATCCAGAATATGACACCACAAATTTCAGGAGGGGGAATCCTTGCCACATAGTACTTTACAATATCCCAAGAGCTTTCTTCTCATCTCATTCTTTCCCATCTTCAAAACAACTGTCAAATAGGTATCATTTCTTTGTGATCACCAGCATATCTTTGAAGACACTGAGGCTCCAGGTGATAAACTGGGTGAGTGGAGTGCCAGGATGGAGAGTCAAGTCTTTTGTCTCTGAAACCCAGACTTGTTTTATGCCTGGTTCTAGGGATAGCAGGGGACTGCACTCTCCACACCTCTGCCCATAACAGGCATCACTAATCGATCATGGTGTGGCAGACATTGCTAATCAACTGCAGTACTCTTTTTTACTAAGCTCAGAGGTGTCCATGAACTCTTTAAAACAACATTCCAGCCACCATCACCTATCAGAAGATCATATCTGTATTTGCCATTCTTGTGATACCACATCATCAGCCATGAGCCCTCAGGTCTCAGGTACAACTCCAAGATGCTCTAGTCACCAGACCATAGGACTCTACATACTGCATGCATGCTGTTCTTGGACAGGAATTACTGGCCCCTCTGGCCCCCAAACAGATGCCCCATCCAAGTGTCCCTCTTAGAGATACAACAAGCATGCAGGTATGCCCGGGGCTTCAGGGTTTGCTAGGTCTTTATTTTTTAATTTTTAATTAATTAATTTTTTTGAAACAAGGTCTTGCTCTATTGCCCAGGCTGGAGTGCAGTGGCAAGATTATAGCTCACTGCAGCCTTGAACTCCTGGGCTCAAGTGATCCTCTCATCTCAGCCTCCTGAGTAACTGGGAATACAGGTGTGTGCCACCATGCCCAGTTATTTTTTTTATTTTTAATATAGATAAGGTCTTGCTATGTTGCCCAGGCTGGTCTCAAACTCCTGAGCTCAAGTAATCCTCCTGCCTTGGCCTCCCAGAGTACTTGGATTACAGGCATGAACCACTGCATCTGGCCTAACAAAATTGTTTTTATCCCCACTTTACAGATTTGGAAACAGAAACACAGATGAAATTACGAACCCAAGTCACATAGCTTGGAAGCTGGGCTCCTAACCACTGGACATCAATCTTTCCACTGCTTCATGGTCTGTTGTATGAAAACAGTAATGTATCCATCTGTTCTATCCAACAGCCATTGCTTAATTTTGCAGACATGCTTCCATAGTGGTCTCAGAAGGTTTGGGGGTGGTTGTATTATCTGGCTTAGTTCCTGCAATGAGCCTGGGAGTGGGTAGTTGTACCATCCTCCAGATGAGAAAACTAGGGCTCAGAGAAGGAGAGTCACTTTCTGAAAGTTGGACAGCTCCAATGTGTGCTGTGATCCAGAGTTCCCCCAATTCCAGAGCTCAAGGGCTCTCTCTACCCCACATGAGCATCGGTCCCCACTGGCTTCTTCTCTCATCTCAGTCCCTGGCCGCCTGTCCTCCCTCCCCTAGAACACCCTCCTCATACCTGGCCTTTGGTCTTCCCTCCTCTCCACCCTCCACCATCCTCTTTCCAGAGAAGGGGCCCAACCGGAAGGCCAGTTCATGTTAGGAAATTCTAGCCACGTGAGCAAGCCTGAGCCAGGGATTCTGAGCAGCTGGTGGCTTTAGGAGAAACTGAAACTTGGCCCTCTGGGGGCGGAGTGGCCACTGGGGATTTAAAGAGCTGCCACTTCCTTAGGCCTCCAGAGGGCACTGGGAAGTCACAGCTGCTGAGGGACCACTCTGCTCCCCCGCCTAAGCCATGCACCTCTGTGGGGGCAATGGGCTGCTGACCCAGACAGTGAGTACAGGGGATTGGGGATCGGGGATGAGAAGGGGAGCTGGGATCCCGTCCTCAGTGCCCAGGCAGTGAGGGCTGCAGTCGGGAGCTCCTAGTCCCAGCTCTATACTCTGAGCAGTGTGACAGAGGGCTCTGCATGCCCCTCTCTGGGTCTCACTTTCCTCCCCCGAAGTCGGGATTGGATTGGAATGAGTTGTTTCCAGCTCTCACATTGCAGATCCAGCCTTCGGTTTAGAACTTGGCCTCTGTGTACTTGCTCTCTCCTAACGTACCTGGTCCCCCCTCACTACACTCACAGCAGCCTTTCCTTCCTTCTCCAAATAACCCAGGCCGGCTCATGCCTGTAATCCCAGCCCCTTGGGAGTCTGAGGCCGGCAGATAACATGAGGTTAGGAGTTCAAGATCAGCCTGGCCAACATGGCGAAACCCCGTCTCTACTAGAAATACAAAAATTAGCCAGGTGTGGCAGGGCACGTCTGTAGTCTCAGCTACTCGAGAGGCTGAGGCAGGAAAGTTGCTTGAACCCGGGAGATGGAGGTTGCAGTAAGCTGAGCTCATGTCACTGCACTCCAGCCTGGGTGACAGAGAGAGACTCTGTCTCAATAAAATAAAATAGGCCGGGCTCAGTGGCTCACACCTGTAATCCCAGCACTTTGGGAGGCTGAGGCGGGCAGATCACCTGAGGTCAGGAGATCGAGACCATCCTGGCCAACATGGTGAAACCCCGTCTCTATTAAAAATAGAAAAATTAGCTGGGCGTGGTGGAGGCACATGCCTGTAATCCCAGCTTCTCAGGAGGCTGAGGCAGGAGAATCACTTGAACCTGGGAGGCGGAGGTCGCAGTGAGCCAAGATCACGCCACTGCACTCCAGCCTGGGCGACAGAGACTCTGTCTCAATAAAATAAAATAAAATAAAATAAAGTAAAATAATAAATAAATTCCCTGGGCCATGGTTTCCCTTGGAGGCTCTGCTTATCTCACAGGAGCCCCCTTCACTCACCGTGGGTCCTGTCTCAGCCTTTAGTTTCTTGGTGCCCCAGTGTCTACAGTGAGCCCGCTGTGGACATGGCCCAAGGGAGCATATGGAGCAGGAGCCTAGGAGCATTCAGAATCTGCAGCCAGGGCGGCCAGGGCCTTGCCTGAGGTCCTTACCCTCAAAACACATACCCCAGAGAGACTTGGGGGCGGGGGCTGGGCTGTGAGCTCTCCAACAGTCCCTCTTGCTCTGACTTTGCAGAGCTCTGGACATTTGGGTAAAATATTTTATCTAAGTTTCATTGATCCCAGGGTACAAGGTGGTCACAACCTTTGAGTCCACTCTTCCACCGGAATAAACCCTTCATTCATTCATCCTTCGCTACCACCCCACTACAATGTGAGCAATTTCAGGGCAGGGATTTGTGTGTATTTTGTTTGCTATCATGTCCCTCTAGCTTACTGCCTGGAACATAGTAGGTGCTTATACATGTTTGTTGAGTAAGTGAATATCTGCTTTGGGCTTGAGCTGGGCATGAGCACAGAGAACCACATCTGCCCTCATGGAGCTCACAGTTAGGAAAGTTCACACCTTGGTGTGGAAATCATGGCAATGAGAAGAATGGAAGCTGAGCTTTATGGCACGCCGGCTCTGGGCTGCCTGCCGCATGGGCTTTAACCCTCTGCTGTGGTGCTTCCATTGCAGGGATGGGGCGATTGGGTTCAAGAATATGGGGCTCGGCTGGGCACGGTGGCTCACACCTGTAATCCCAGCACTTTGGGAGGCCGAGGCTGGTGAATCACCTGAGGTCAGGAGTTCAAGACCAGTTTGAGATGAGCCTGGCCAACATGAGGAAACCCCATCTCTACTAAAAATACAAAAATTGGCCAGGAATGGTGGCAGGTGCCTGTAGTCCCAGCTACTTGGGAGGCCGAGGCAGGAGAATTGCTTGAACCCGGGAGTCAGAGTTTGCAGTGAGCCAAGATAGAGCCGCTGCACTACTCCAGCCTGGGCAACAGAGTGAGACTCTGTCTCAAAAAAAAAGGAAAAAAGAATGTGGGGTTTGAAGTTGGCTCTGTCTGAGTTTGAATCTCAGGCTTCCCATCTTCCCTGCTTGCCCTCCCACCCTCCACATGAGCGGTGAGCAGGACACAGGGGTGAGGCTGGCGTTCCAACAAGGTGTGCAGTGCCTGCTATAGGGGGTGTGGGTGCCAAGGGAGCTTCTGGGAGATAAAAGACCCTTGGGAACTTGACTCAAGGGGAAAGACTTGGCTTTACAAATGGCGGGCCAGGACGGAGGGCACAAGGCCTGGCTGGGCCCCCTGAGTCCTCTGCCTCATGCCCCACAGGACCCCAAGGAGCAACAAAGGCAGCTGAAGAAGCAGAAGAACCGGGCAGCCGCCCAGCGAAGCCGGCAGAAGCACACAGACAAGGCAGACGCCCTGCACCAGGTGTGGACAACCCCTAACCCCTTTCCTTGTCTCTGGCTCCACTTACTGGCCCAGCCACCTCTTCTCCATCCCACCTTTGAGCAGACCTCCCCCAAACTCCTGTATTTTTCTAGGTCACCTGAGTTTGGGATGAGAAAAGGATCCTGTGGCTGACATTTGGAAAGTTCTGGGTGTTGAGTACAAACCATGTGCCAGGTACACACCAGGCTCCAGGGACACAAAGGGTCATCCTCAGCCCAGCCGTGTCCTAAGGTGTCCGCAGTCTAGGGGAAGGAAGACAGGAAGTGGAGGCAAATAGGGAGACCCCAACACAATGGCCAGCTGAGACACTGGTTAAAATGCAGATTCCAGGCTGGGCACTGTGGCTCACACCTGTAATCCTAGCACTTTGGGAGGCTGAGGCTGGAGGATTGTTTGAGCCCAGGAGTTCAAGACCAGCCTGGGCAATATAGTGAGACTCTGTCTCTACAAAAATTAAAAAATAGTTAGCTGGGCGTGATGGTGCACACCTGTAGTCCCAGCTACTCAGGAAACTGAGGCAGGAGGATCGCTTGAGCCCAGAAGTTCAAGGCTGCAGTGAGCCATGATTGTACCACTGCATCCAACCTGGGCAACAGATTGAGACCCTGTCTATAGAAAAAAAAAAGTGGATTATTCTTCCTCTGCCAGGTCCCACCTCATGAGGCCAGGTGGGCCCAGGGACCTGCACGGTGATTTGTGATTAATCACCTGGGGGTCAGAATTCAGGAGGTGACCAAGACCATACTGTGAGAACTCTGGTTCAGGGTTAAAATGGGCAGGGTTTCCAGTCCCAGTTGCAAGTTGCTTCCTTTACTGAGCTTCATGCTCATCTGAAAATACCATAAACAGTGGCTTAAACAATAGACATTTATTTCTCACAGTTTTGGAGGCTGGGAAGTCCAAGATCAAGGTGCCAGCCAATTCAGTTCCAGATGAGGGTGCTCTTCCTGACTTGTAAGTGGCTGCCTTCTCGCTGTGTGCTCATGGCCTCTCAGTGCATGTGAGAGGACAGAGTGATCTCTTTCCCTTCCTCTCCTTTTTGGGATTTTTGTTGTTGTTGTCATTTTTGAGACAGAGTCTCACTCTGTTGCCCAGACTGGAGTGCAGTGGCGCCACTTGGCTCACTACAACCTCTACCTCCTGGGTTCAAGTGATCCTCCTGCCTCAGCCTCCTGAGTAGCTAGGATTACAGGCATGCGCCACTACGCCCACCTAATTTTTGTATTTTTAGCAGAGACGGGGTTTCACCATGTTGGCCAGGCTGGTCTCAAACTCCTGGCTTTAAGTGATCTGCCCGCCTCAGCCTCCCAAAGTGCTGGGATTACAGGCGTGAACCACTGCACCTGGCCCCCTCCTTTTGTTTTAATTTTTTATTCATTTATTATTTATTTATTCTTTCTTTTTTATTTCTTCATATTCTTTATTTTTTAATAGTGATGGGGGTCTTGCTATGTTGCCCAGGCTTGTCTTGAACTCCTGGGCTCAAGCAATCCTCCCACCTCCACGTCCCAAAGTGCTGGGATTACAGGCGTGAGCCACCATGCCTGGCCTCTTCCTTTTTTTTTTTTGAGAGGGTCTTACTCTGTTGTCCAGGCTAGAGTGCAGTCCACGATCCTGGCTCACTGCAACCTCAGCTTCCCAGGCTCAAGCGATCCTCTCCACCTCAGTCTCCCGAGTAGCTGAGACTACAGGCATGCACCATCACACTTGGCTAACTTTTGTATTTTTTGTAGAGACAGAGTTTCTCCATGTAGCCCAGGCTGGTCTTGAACTCCTGGACTCAATTGATCCACCTACCTCGGCCTCCCAAAGTGCTGGGATTACAGGCTTGAGCCACCGCTCCCAGCCTCCTTCCCTCTTCTTATAAGGCCACCAATCCTATCAGATTAGAACCCGATCCTCTATCCTAGGACCTCATTTAATCTAAATTACCTTCTAAGAGCCTTATCTCTAAATGCAATCACATCGGGGGTTATGGCTTCAACACATAAATTTTGGAGGGAACACAATAGAGTCCATAGCACATAGGTAGTGGCATTGAGTGGTCTAAAGAGGAGATGAGCCAGGCGCGGTGGCTCACGCCTATAATCCCAGCACTTTGGGAGGCTGAGGTGGGTGGATTACTTGTTGGCCAGGAGTTCGAGACCAGCCTGGCCAACGTGGTAAAACCCCATCTCTACTAAAAATACAAAAATTAGCCAAGCATTGTAGCTAATTAGGCAGCCCCAGTAGCTGGGATTACAGGGATGTGGTAGCTAATTAGCCAATCCCAGTAGCTGAGGCAGGAGAATTGCTTGAACCTGGGAGGTGGAGGTTGCAGTGAGCTGAGGTCGTGCCACTGCACTTCAGCCTGGGAGACAGAGAGAGACTCTGTCTCAAAAACAACAACAACAACAACAAAAAAAGGCGATGAAGCCTGAGCTTAAGGACAAATGGGCGTTTTCCCAGAGGATGAAGGTAAGAAAACGCATTGCGGACAAATGACACAGTGCTGGCACAGGCGTGGGGAGCAGCACCCTGTAGACCAGGTGAGAGTGAGGACTGGTACTCAGAATGGTGCCTAGGAGACCCACGCATCCGTTTATTCCTTCCTTCTGGAAATGCTTATTGAGCGTCTCCCGTGTGCCAGGCACATTTCTAAGCACTGGATATAGAGCTGTAGACACAGTAGACAAACGCCCACCCCAGCCCCACCCACAGGGCTCATATTCTCCTGGGGAAGCCAGACCCACAAACAAAAAGTCCCTAGAGTGGTCAGGATGTCAGATGGTGTTAAATCCTGTTGGGAAAACTAAAGCAGAGAAGAGGGAAGGGATGAAATTGAAATTGTTACTCCTTGAGCCTCCTGAAGGTGGCAAACGAATGAATAAATGAATGAGTGAGTGACTCCGTTCCTGGAGGTGAGTTGAAGCCTTTGGAGAATTTAGGTGAAGGGTGGCCTAATGATACATTTTAGAAATGTCCATCATTCCGGCCAGGCACATTGGCTCACGCCTGCAATCCCAGCACTTTGGGAGGCCAAGGCTGGCGGATCACGAGGTCAGGAGTTCGAGACCAGCCTGACCAACATGGTGAAACCCCATCTCTAGTAAAAATACAAAAATTAGCTGGGCATGGTTGTGCATACCTGTAGTCCCAGCTACTCGGGAGGCTGAGGCAGGAGAATCGTTTGAACCTGGGAGGCAGAGGTTGCAGTGAGCCGAGATTATGCCATTGCACTCCAGCCTGGGCGACAGAGCAAAACTCTGTCTCAAAAAAAAAAAAAAAAAAAAATTCATCATTCCACATGTAGAAACCAGCGTGGCAATGGGGCTGGTGGCTTTCAGGCTGAGTCCAGGGCCGGGCGCGGTGGCTCACGCCTGTAATCCCAGAACTTTGGGAGGCCGAGGCAGGCAGATCACGAGGTCAGGAGATCGAGACCATCCTGGCTAACATGGTGAAACCCCGTCTCTACTAAAAATACAAAATATTAGCCAGGCGTGGTGGCGGGCGCCTGTGGTCCCAGCTACTCAGGAGGCTGAGGCAGGAGAATGGTGTGAACCTGGGAGCTTGAGCTTGCAGTGAGCCGAGATCGAGCCACTGCACTCCAGCCTGGGCGACAGAGCCAGACTCCATCTCAAAAAAAAGAACTTTGAGTCCAGGGCCAAAACCACATTTTTATGCAAAACACCTTTGCAACTTCTTCTTTCAAAGTGTCCAGAAAAGGGGGTGGGGGACTGAAGGAAGTCGTTCAATTTATTCAGCCCTGTGAGATGTGGATATAAAATTCTTTCTGCATTTTTACCATTACTGTCATCATAAATGGTTATTTAGAACTGCACATTGATTGTGTCTCAGGGGTTCTCAGAACCGGCGTTCAGCAGAACAGAACTTAATAAATGCTGATTCAGGGATGCAGAATCGAACACACTCATGCTGTCAACCTGTAAAACAATCCCCTGAATCCTCCCACAGTGCTCGTAGGGGCGAGTTCTGGGCCCTCAAAAGGGCAGTGGCAATAAGCAATCTAGGACAGAATGACATCAAGGTTGCCACGGGAAGGCCCTGTTGGGATTTGCACAGAGAAGGGCGGCGGAAGGGTGTCCAGGCAGAGGAAACAGGAAATGTGGCCGGGAAGCAGAGTTCATGTGAGGGTCAGGAAGGGAGGGGAGCAAGAAAGAAGGCGAGAGAGAGGAGACCGGAGGTCTGAGCTGCAGCCACTACACAGGCCTGGAATTCTACCACAGGGAATTTGGTGGGTGCCTCTAAAGGGCTTTAACCTGCAATTAATGACATGGTTGCTGAATGGCTCCTGTGGGCAAGAGAATAGGTGGTTTGGGGGACACACGGGTTGGAGGCCCGTGCATATCCCAGGTGAGAAATGGCACCGGCTCAGGGCACTAGTGGTGGGATGACAGCAGGCGGATCTGAGCCCCCTTCAGAGGGTGGGACAGGGGAGACTTGGTAGGTGGTTATGAAGGGCTGGCCAGAGAGTGGCCAAGAGACCCCACTTGGCTATTCCAATGGTGGTGGCATCTTTCTCCTGAAGTTGAGGACCCTGGAAGGGGCTAAGGCTCATGCGGGGCCCCTGACACTGGCTGAGGTTCCCCTCCCCGCCCATCTGCTTCTCTGCAGCAGCACGAGTCTCTGGAAAAAGACAACCTCGCCCTGCGGAAGGAGATCCAGTCCCTGCAGGCCGAGCTGGCGTGGTGGAGCCGGACCCTGCACGTGCATGAGCGCCTGTGCCCCATGGATTGTGCCTCCTGCTCAGCTCCAGGGCTCCTGGGCTGCTGGGACCAGGCTGAGGGGCTCCTGGGCCCTGGCCCACAGGGACAACATGGCTGCCGGGAGCAGCTGGAGCTGTTCCAGACCCCGGGTTCCTGTTACCCAGCTCAGCCGCTCTCTCCAGGTCCACAGCCTCATGATTCTCCCAGCCTCCTCCAGTGCCCCCTGCCCTCACTGTCCCTTGGCCCCGCTGTGGTTGCTGAACCTCCTGTCCAGCTGTCCCCCAGCCCTCTCCTGTTTGCCTCGCACACTGGTTCCAGCCTGCAGGGGTCTTCCTCTAAGCTCAGTGCCCTCCAGCCCAGCCTCACGGCCCAAACTGCCCCTCCACAGCCCCTCGAGCTGGAGCATCCCACCAGAGGGAAGCTGGGGTCCTCTCCCGACAACCCTTCCTCTGCCCTGGGGCTTGCACGTCTGCAGAGCAGGGAGCACAAACCTGCTCTCTCAGCAGCCACTTGGCAAGGGCTGGTTGTGGATCCCAGCCCTCACCCTCTCCTGGCCTTTCCTCTGCTCTCCTCTGCTCAAGTCCACTTCTAACCTGGTCTTCGGAGCTGGGTTGGCCCCTTCTTTGGGCTCAGGAAGCAGCCTTAGCACACGGGCCTCTCCTCCCTCACTACTGGGTGCTGCCCTGCGTGGCTGACCAGCTGGCCCAGGATTTCACAGTCGAAAAGGAAGCCACCACTGATGCCTCCCACTGTGACAGGCCCTGTCACCACCAATATCTTATTTCAACCTCACAGTTGACCTGAGAAATCGAGATTATCACTCCACTTTTTCAGACAAGGAAACTGAGGCTCAGGGAAGCCAAGTGACAAGTCCAAGGTCACGAAGACTTTCTTGGAGCCCGAAACACCACCCTCTGCTCCTCCTTCTCCTGTCCTGGCCCAGGCATCCTAGGGGCTGAAATCCTGGAAACCGTGGGCTGGTGTGAGAAGGTTTGCATGCTCAGAGCAGAGAAGGGCTCTCCCCACTGCTTCGTGATTCCAGGGCCAGAGCCATGCAGTCCCAGAAACCCCAACCTAGCTGGGGCAGGTCCAGAGTCCAAGCCCTGGTGGGTAGAGGCCAAGCAGAAGCCCTGAAGTGGACTCTTGCTTCCCCTAGTAGTGTTTTCAGTGCCAAGAAGCTGAAACTGTGAGCTGGAGTTGGGGAGAGGTCTGGAAGAGGACCATCTGGGATTTCTACAGCCTGGGTACCCATAGCCACACCAAGGCTTCTGGGAGATTCTGCAGGGTCAGCTTTCCAGGCTGTTCCCAAATAGCTCCCTGCCTCCCCACTGCCCCTAAAGCCACAGCAGAAGAGCCATTCATCTCATAAACAAAAAGGAAGAGGAAAGAATGAGGAAGGACCCTGTGCAAGGTTATTTGCAGGCAGGGATGGGCTTGTACCTGACAGCACCCACCCCTGTGTGGCCCCCAGGCCCTCATCACCCTCAGACCCCTCCTAAGCAGTTCCCTCATTGCTCTTTGGACTAGGCTGACAGCAGGAAGAGCAGGGCCCATGACCGGGTGGAAGTTCAGTTTTGGTGTCTGCTTCAAGAGGGGGTTTTACACTCTGATTCCAGGACAAGCACTCTGAGGCGGGTGGGGGAGAGAAACCCTGGCTCTTCACCCAGGTTTCACACACATGTAAATGAAACACTATGTTAGTATCTAACACACTCCTGGATACAGAACACAAGTCTTGGCACATATGTGATGGAAATAAAGTGTTTTGCAATCTTTTCTGCTTTGCCTAGTTACTTAAACCTCTCTTTGTAACCTACAGAGTCTTTGAAAAAAGAGAGAATAACAGAGATGGGCAACCCCTCATGAACCAGCTAATTAATCTCCCTCCAATACTACAGATGAGGAAACTGAGGCTCAGAGATGAGACGGACTTGCGCAGGTGTATTAGTCAGTGTTCTCTAGAGAAATAGAACCAATAGAGTGTGTGTGTGTGTGTGTGTGTGTGTGTGTGAAGACAGAGAGATTTTTTTTTTAATGTTGTTTTTTTTTTGAGATGGAGTTTCACTCTTGTCACCCAGGCTGGA
Source organism: Homo sapiens (assembly GCF_000001405.40). Taxonomy (NCBI): domain Eukaryota; kingdom Metazoa; phylum Chordata; class Mammalia; order Primates; family Hominidae; genus Homo; species Homo sapiens. Next base: position 64,987,636 of record NC_000011.10, on the reverse strand, counting down.
GTGCAATGGTGCAATCTCGGCTCACTGCAACCTTCGCCTCCCGGGCTCAAGTGATTCTCCTGCCTCAGCCTCCCAAGTAGTGGGGATTACAGGTGCCCACCACCACACCCAGCTAATTTTTTCCTTTTTTTGAGACAGAATCTCGCTCTGTCGCCCAGGCTGGAGTGCAGTGGTGCAATCTCGGCTCACTGCAAGCTCCGCCTCCCGGGTTCACGCCATTCTCCTGACTCAGTCTCCTGGACTACAGGCGCCTGCCACCATGCCCGGCTAATTTTTTTTTTTTTTTTTTTTTTGTATTTTTAGTAGAGACAGGGTTTCACCATGTTAGCCAGGATGGTCTCGATCTCCTGACATTGTGATCTGCCTGCCTCGGCCTCCCAAAGTGCTGGGATTACAGGCATGAGCCACCACACCCAGCCTCACGCCCAGCTAATTTTTGTATTTTTAGTAGAGATGGGGTTCCACCATGTTGGCCAGGCTGGTCTCGAACTCTTGACCTCAAGTGATCTGCCCGCCTTGTCCTCCCAAAGTGCTGGGATTACAGGCGTGAACCACCACGCCCTGCCAAGGGAGACTTATTTTAAGAAATTGGCTCATGTGATGATGGAGGTTGGCAAGTCCAAATTCTTCAGGGTGAATTGTCAGGCTGGAGCCCCAGGAAAGTGCTGCTGTTGCAGTTCAAGTCCAAAGGCCACCAGCTGCAGAACTTACTCTAGCTTGGAAAAGGTTAGTCTTTTTGTTCTATTCAGGCCTTCAGTCGATTAGATGAGGCCCACCTACATTATGGAGGGCAACCTGCTTTATTCAAAGCCCACCAACTTCAATGTTGATCTCGTCCAAAAACACATTCACAGAAACATTCAGAATAATGTTTGACCACATATCTGGGCACTGTGGCCCAGCCAAGAGGACACATACAAGTAACCATTGTGCCAGGTTCACATAGCAAAGGGAAGTCACAGGGCTGTGGATGGCAGCAGAGCCATGGTCACCAGCGATTCAGGGAAAGCAAACAGGTGGGAGGGAAGCGAAGGTGCTGTTGGTTAGAGGTGGGCTGGAGTCTGGGACAGGATTCAACATACTCTGGGCACGAGGACTCAGTGGAGGATGAGGACAGCATGGTCGTGCTGTATCTGTATACCCTAAAGTATAGTAGGCTCTGTGCTATTTTACTTGGATTAACTCAATGATGCCTCTAGTAACTCTGTGACGTATGCTTCTCAACCCCACTGTTCAGAAGAGGAAACTGTCTTTGAGCTAGAGCTGTAAGAAAGAGAGAGAAAGGGAAACTGAGGTCCAGAGGTAGTAAGTAATAAGTCCAAGGTCACATAGCTAGGAAACTATATAGACTTGGTTCAACAATCAGGAGCCCTTAGCTGCAGGCAACCCAGCCTTCAACCTTCCTGGATTCTCATTGCAGGCCCAGACTTCAGGGGCAGCACATGCTAATAGATATGACCCAAGAAGGTAAAACTCTACCCCACCCTCAAACAAATAGATGGGAGTGATTCAATTAATGCTGGTACACTCATGTGATGGACTACTGAAAAGCTGAATAAAGAATGCTTGGCCAGGCGCGGTGGCTCACGCCTATAATCCCAGCACTTTGGAAGGCCAAGGCAGGCGATCATGAGGTCAGGAGTTCAAGACCAGCCTGGCCAACATGGTGAAACCCTGTCTCTAATAAAAATACAAAAATTAGCTGGGCATTGTGGCGGGTGCCTATAATCCCAGGTACTCGGGAGGCTGAGGCAGGAGAATTGCTTGAACCCGGGAGGCAGAGGTTGCAGTGAGCCGAGATCACACCACTGCACTCCAGCCTGGGCGATGGAGCAACACTCCGTCTTGGGCGGAAAAACAAGTTACTTGGGTGGCTGAGGTGGGAGGATTGCTTGAGCCAGGGAGGTCGAGGCTGCAGTGAGACATGATCGAGCCACTGCACTCCAGTCTGGATGACAGAGTGAGATCCTGCCTCAAAAAAAAAAAAAAAATAGAGAATTCAAGGGAAGGGTCTCTCAGGAGGTGTCATTCAGGATGAGACCTGACAAGATGAGAATGACAAGAGAGAGTCAGCCATGCAAAGATCTAGGGAAAGAACATGCCACTCAGAGGCAATACCATGTGTAAAAACTCCGGGTCTGGAAAAAGCGCTAAACGTAGGCTGGGCACGGTGGCTCACACCTATAATCCCAGCACTTTGGGAGGCCGAGGCGGGCGGATCACAAGGTCAGGAGATTGAGACCATCCTGGCTAACACGGTGAAACCCTGTCTCTACTAAAAATACAAAAAATTAGCCGGGCGTGGTGGCAGGCGCCTGTAGTCCCAGCTACTCAGGAGGCTGAGGCAGGAGAATGGTGTGAACCCGGGAGGTGGAGCTTGCAGTGAGCCGAGATGGCGCCACTGCACTCCAGCCTGGGCAACAGAGCGAGACTCCGCCTCAAAAAAAAAAAGAAAAAGCACTAAACATGTTAGAGGAACAGAAAGGAGTAGGCCAGCTGGGCGCAGTGGTGCACACCTCTAATCCCGGCACTTTGGGAGGCCGAGGTGGCTTGAGCCCATGAGTTTGAGACCAGCCTGGGCAACAAAGCAAGACCTTGTCTCTACTAAAAATTCAAAGAATTAGCTGGGCGTGGTGGCATGCACCTGTAGTCCCAGCTATTCGAGAGGCTGAGATGGGAGAATTGCTTGAGCCCAGGAAGTCAAGGCTACAGTGAGCCATGATCATGCCCCTGCACACTGGGTGACAGAGCAAGACTTGTCTCAAAAAAAAAAAGAAGAAGAAGAAGAGAAAAGAAAGGAGGAGGAGAATCAGGGAAGAGAAAAGGAAAGATGAAGTCTGAGAAGAGGCCAGAAAAATTGTGTAAGCCATGAGAAGGATGTGAGATTCTTCCTGTGTGAGTGGGAGAATTTTTTTTTTTTTTTGAGATGGAGTCTCGCTCTGTTGCCCAGGCTGGAGTACAGTGGTGCGATCTCAGCTCACTGCAAGCTCTGCCTCCCGGGTTCACGCCATTCTCCTGCCTCAGCCTCCCAAGTAGCTGGGACTACAGGCGCCTGCCACCACACACAGCTAATTTTTTGTATTTTTAGTAGAGACAGGGTTTCACCGTGTTAGCCAGGATGGTCTCGATCTCCTGACCTCGTGATCTGCCCGCCTCAGCCTCCCAAAGTGCTGGGATTACAGGCGTGAGCCACCACACCCAGCCGTGAGTGGGAGAATTTTAAACAGAGATGTACACTGATTTTTTTTTTTTTGAGACGGAGTCTTGCTCTGTTGCCCAGGCTGGAGTGCAGTGCACGATATTGGCTCACTGCAATCTCTGCCTCCTGGGTTCAAGAGATTCTCCTGCCTCAGCCTCCTGAGTAGCTGGGATTACAGGTGCCTGCCACCGCGCACAGCTAATTTTTTATATTTTTGGTAGGGACAGGGTTTCACCATGTCGGCCAGGCTGGTCTCGAACTCCTGACCTCAATTGATCCAGCCACCTCAGCCTTCCAAAGTGCTGGGATTACGGGCGTGAGCCACCGTGCCCAGCCTCTGATTTTTAAATTCATTTAAAATATATTCAGCTCCTCTTTTCAAACACTATCCTAGGCATTTGGGATAAAGAAGAGAACAAAACAGACAAAAATGCTTATATTTAATAGGGAAGCTGGGTCAAGAGGGGTAAGACAAGAAAAGAGGAATTGAGAGGGTCAGGGTGGAGAAGGTACAATTTAAAATAGGGTGGTCGCCCAGGCGCGGTGGCTCATGCCTGTAATCCCAGCACTTTGGGAGGCTGAGGTGGGAGGATCACTTGAGGTCAAGAGTTCGAGACTAGCCTGGCCAACATGGCAAAACACCGTCTCTACTAAAAATACAAAAATTAGCCAGGTGTGGTGGCAGGAACCTGTGATCCCAGCTACTCAGGAGGCAGAGGCACAAGAATCACTTGAACCTGGGAGGTGGAGGTTGCAGTAAGCCGAGATCGCGCCAGTGCACTCCAGCCTGGGTGACAGAGCGAGACTCAGTCTCAATAAAATAAATAAAATAAAATAAAATAAAATAAAATAAAATAAAATAAAATAAAATAAAATATAAAATAAAATATAAAATAAAATATAAAATAAAATATAAAATAAAATAAAATAAAATAAAATAAAATAAAATAAAATAAAATAAAATGAGTGGTCAACGTCAGTTCAATAGGAAGAGAGTATTTGAAGCCAGGTGTAGTGGCTTCAAATCCAAGCACTTTGGGAGGCTGAGGTGGTCAGATCACTAGAGGCCAGGAGTTCAAGACCAGCCTGGCCAACATGGCAAAACTCAAACTCCTTCTCTACTAAGAATACACACACACAAAAAGAAAATTAGCAGCTGGGCACAGAGGCTCACGCCTGTAATCCCAGCACTTTGGGAGGCCAAGGTGGGCGGATCACCTGAGGTCAGGAGTTCCAGACCAGACTGGCCAACATGAAACCCCATCTCTACTAAAAATACAAAAAAAATTAGCTGGGCATGGTGGAACATGCCTGTAATCCCAGCTACTTGGGAGGCTGAAGCAGGAGAATTGCTTGAACCCAGGAGGCAGAGGTTGCGGTGAGCTGAGATCATGCTATTGCACTCCAGCCTGGGCAACAGAGCAAGACTCCATCTCAAAAACAAAAGAAAGAAAGAAAAGAAAAAAGAAAATTAGCAGGGCATGGTGGCGCATGCCTGTAGTCCCCACTACTTGGGAGGCTGAGGCACAAGCATCTCTGGAACCCAGAAGGTGGAGGTTGCAGTGAGCAGAGATCACGCCACTGCACTCCACCCTGGGTGACAGAGTGAGACTCCGTCTCAAAAAAAAAAAAAAAAGGCAGAGGACATTTGAGCAAGGTCTTGAAGAAGGCAGTGAATTAGCCAGGTGGAGATGAGTTCCAGGCAGAGGAAACAGCCAGTGCCGAGGCCTGGGGGCAGGTGTGAGCCTGAAACATTTGAGCCAGGGGGCTGGTGTGGCTGGAGGGAGGGAATGAAGGAGGGTCAGAGATGGTCAGTTGGTCAGGGATAAGGTCAGAGAGGTAACCAAGGGCCAGATCATACAGACCACTGCAAGGGCATTGCCTTTTTTCCATGAATCAGGGAGCCCGACATTTAAAAAAGATCAGATTGTTCAGGGGTGTGAATGGAAGCAGTGAGGTGGTAAGAAGAGGTCAGCCCATCTGACAAGGGATTAATAACCAGAATATATAAGGAGCCCAAACAACTCTCTAGGAAAAGATCTAATAATCTTTTTTGAAAAATTTTTCTTCCTATTTTCTTGAAAGAAACCTAATAATCTGATTTAAAAATGGGCAACAATTCTGGGCACAGTGGCTCACACCTGTAATCTCAGAACTTTGGGACGCTGATGCAGGCAGATCACTTGAAGTCAGGAATTTGAGACCAGTCTGGCCAACATGGCGAAATCCTGTCTCTACTAAAAATACAACAATTAGCCAGGTGTGGTGGCAGGTGCCTGTAATCCCAGCACTTTGAGAGGCATGTGTCTATAATCCCAGCTATTCGGGAGGCTGAGGCACGAGAATTGCATGAACCCAGGAGGTGGAGGTTGCAGTGAGCTCGGATCATGCCACTGCACTCCAGCCTGGGTGACAGAGCAAGACTTCATCTCAAAAAAAATAAAAATAAAAATAAATCAAAAAAAAAGGTGGGGGGAGGCAAAAGATTCCAGTAGACATTTCTCAAAAGAAGATAAACAAATGGCAAATAGACATATGAAAAGGTGCTAACATCATTAATCATCAGAGTAATGCTAATGAAAACTACAATGAGATATCATCGCACTCCAGTTCAAATGGCTTATACCCAAAAACAGTCAGTAACAAACGCTGGCGAGGATGTGGAAGAAAGGGAACCCTTGAACACTGTTGGTGGGAATGTAAATTAGTACAACCACTATGGAGAACAGTTTGGAGGTTCCCCAAAAAACTAAAAATAGAGCTACCATATGATCCAGCACTCCCACTGCTGGGTATAGATCCAAAAGAAAGGAAATGAGTATATCGAAGAAATATCTGACTCCCATGTTGCAGCACTGTTCACAATAGCCAAGATGCGGAACCAACCTGTGTCCATCAACAGAAGAATGGATAAGGAAAATGTGGTACATATACACAATGGAGTACTGTTCAGCTATAAAAAGAATGAGATTCTGTCGTTTGCAACATGGATGGAACTGAAGATCATTATGTTAGGTGAAATAAGTCAGGCACAGAAAGATAAAAATCACATGTTTTCACTTATTTGTGGGATCTAAAATTCAAAATAATTGAACTAATGGAGATAGAGAGTAGAAGGATGATTACCAAAGGCTAGGAAGAGGATTGGGGGTGGGTGGGGGGAGGTGGGGATGATTAACAGATACAAAAAAAAAGTAGAAAGAATGAATAAGACCTACTATTTGATGGCATATAATAGGGTGACTATAGTCAATAATCATGTAATTGTCACTTGGAAATAATTAAAAGAGTGTAATTGTATTGTTTGTAACACCAAGGATAAATGCTTAAGGGGTGGATACCTCATTCTCCATGATGTGATTATTGTGCCTTGCATGCTTGTATTCAAAACATCTCATGCATGCCTACTGTGTATTCACAAAACTTAAAAACTGACAGAAAAGAAGTGGTCGGATTCAGGGTGTGCTTTACAGATACAGCTGATGGGATATGCTCATGGACTGAGTGTGGTGAAAGGGAGGAAGGAAGGATGACTGAGATTTGGGACCTGAGCAATTGATGGTTGGTGGTGCCAAAAACCAAGAAAGGCTGGAAGAGGGGCAGTTTGGGGTTTGGTGGTGGGGATCAGGAGCCCTATTTTGGCCATGTTAAATTTGGGATACCTATTTGACATCCAACTGGTTTAAATAAGAGTCTGGAGTCTGGGAAATGTCAGGACTGGATAAATAAATTTGGAAGCCATCAGTAGGTTGGTGGACAATGAGAGATGGGCAAGATGACCTCTGAGGGCCTTTGCAGCCTGTGTTTTCTTGTGCACCCAGAGCTCTCAGCCTGATAGTCTTTCCCTTATCACTCCTTCATGCCCAGAATTTGCCCCCATCCTTCCTTTTTGTTTTTCTGAGATGGAGTCTCGCTGTCGCCCAGGCTGGAGTGCAGTGGCGCGATCTCGGCTCACTGCAGGCTCTGTCCCCCTGAGTTCACGCCATTCTCCTGCCTCAGCCTCCTGAGTAGCTGGGACTACAGGCGCCCGCCACCTCGCCCGGCTAATTTTTTCTATTTTTAGTAGAGACGGGGTTTCACCGTGTTAGCCAGGATGGTCTCGATTTCCTGACCTAGTGATCCACCCGCCTTGGCCTCCCAAAGTGCTGGGATTACAGGCGTGAACCACCGCGCCCGGCCCCATCCTTCCTTTTCAAATGCTCCTTTCTCCAGGAAGCCTCCTGTAATCTTCCAAGATAAAAGTGACCTGCAGGCCCAGCGCGTTGGCTCATACCTGTAATCCCAGCACTTTGAGGGGCCAAAGCAGGCGGATCATCTGAGGTTGGGAGTTCAAGACCAGCCTGACCAACATGGAGAAACCCCGTCTCTACTAAAAATACAAAATTAGCCGGGCATGGTGATGCATGCCTGTAATCCCAGCTACTCGGGAGGTTGAGGCAGGAGAATCGCTTGAACCCAGGAGGCAGAGGTTGTGGTGAGCCAAGACCATGCCATTGTACTCCAGCCTGGGCAACAAGAGCAAAAATCCGTCTCAAAAAAAAAAAAAAAAAAAGTGACCTGCTTTCCTCTCCATGCCCGTCCTGTGCTTTTCTGTCATCTTCCTTTTTGTGTGACTGTGTCTTGCTACCCTCTTCCCTCCCTCAATGATAGCAACCAGTGTGGCACATAATGATTATGATTATTATTATTACTGAGACAGGGAGGCCCAGGCTGGAGTGTAATGGCACAAACACAACTCACTGCAGCCTTGACCTCCCAGGCTCAAGTGATTCTCCCTTCTCGGCCTCCCAATGTACCAGATTCTCAGGCGTGAGTCACACCTGGCCGACACATAATGAATACTTTTATTTTTTAATTTTTTACTTTTTAAAATTTTTGTTAGAGATGGGGTCTTGCTATGTTGACCAGGCTGGTCTCGAGCTCCTGGCCTCAAACGATTCTCCCATCTCGGCCTCCCAAAGTTCTGTGGTTACAGCCATGAGCCACTGTGTCCGGCCAATGAGTAGTTTTAAAAAGCCTATGCTGGCCGGGTGCGGTGGCTCACGCCTGTAATCCCAGCACTTTGGGAGGCCGAGGTGGGCAGATCACGAGGTCAGGAGATCGAGACCATCCTGGCTAACACGGTGAAACCCCGTCTCTACTAAAAATACAAAAAAAATTAGCCGGGCGTGGTGGCAGGCGCCTGTAGTCCCAGCTACTCAGGAGGCTGAGGCAGGAGAATGGCGTGAACCCCAGGGGATGGAGCCTGCAGTGAGCCAAGATCGTGCCACTGCACTCCAGCCTGGGCGACAGCGAGACTCTGTTTCAAAAAAAAAAAAAAAAAAAAAAAAAGCCTATGCTTTCGGAGGCAGTGGAGCATAGCGGTTAGTGGTGAAACAGCTTAGGCTCCAGGGCCAGACAGGATTAGGTTCAAATCTCAGCTCTATTATTTCCTCATTCAACTTCAAGACTGAGCTTTCTCATCTGGAAAATGGAGATTTAAAAAGGTACCCACCTACAGTCCACCCAACATATATGTGTGTGTGTATATACACAAATATATGAATGTATAATGTAGATAGGTGATATGGTTTGGTTGTGTCCCCACCCAAATCTCAACTTGAATTGTATCTCCCAGAATTCTCGCGTGTTGTGGGAGGGACCCAGGGAAAGGTAATTCAATCATGGGGGTCTATCTTTCCCGTGCTATTCTCGTGACAGTGAGTAAGTCTCACGAGATCTGATGCGTTTATCAGGGGTTTCTTCTTTTGCGTCTTCCTCATTTTTCTCTTGCTGCTGTCATGTAAGAAGTGTCTTTTGCCTCCCGCCATGCTGAGGCCTCCCCAGCCATGTGGAACTGTAAGTCCAATTAAACCTCTTTTTCTTCCCAGTTTCAGGTATGTCTTTGTCAGCAGTGTGAAAACGAACTAATACGATAGGTATAATAGAAAAGTATATGTTCAGCCAGGCATGGTGGCTCACACTTGTAATCCCAACACTTTGGGAAGCCAGGTGAGAGGATGGCTTAAGCCCAAGAGTTCAAGACCAGCCTGGGCGACAGAGCGAGACTCTGTCTCAAAAAAGAAAAAGAAAATTCACTGAGCTACACATTTATGATCTGTGGTGGGTTTTTGTTTTGTTTTGTTTTGTTTTTTGAGACAGGGTCTGGCTCTGTCGCCCAGGCTGGAGCGTAGCGGTGGGATCTCGGCTCACTGCAAGCTCCGCCTCCCAGGTTCACGACATTCTCCTGCCTCAGCCTCCCGAGTAGCTGGGACTACTGGCGCCCGCCACCACGCCCGGCTAATTTTTTGTATTTTTAGTAGAGACGGGGTTTCACCGTGTTAGCCAGGACGGTCTCGATCTCCTGACCTCGTGATCCGCCCGCCTCGGCCTCCCAAAGTGCTGGGATTATAGGCGTGAGCCACCACGCCCAGCCTGACCTGTGGTTTTTTCTATTATGTCTGGTTACTTTGGAAAAAGGGGGTTGCGTGTAAGGAGTAGCTCACAGTCCCTGGCATATAGTAAGTGTTCAGTAAGTGTTAACTACTCCAAGTGAATGAAAAAACTCATGACTTGCCCCCAAGTGAAATCCATTAAAAATCAGAACCATGGACAGATCAGAGCCTGTGCTCAGGGAGGGTTGAAGGAAAAACCTCAGGTCTGATATGGGGGACCTGAGGCAAGAAGGAATCTGAGAACTTTCCTCTTGGATTAGTGGTTCAGTGCCTTCTGGGGGCATTCCCATCCTGCAGGAGAGAGACTATTCCTTGGGGACTGTAAGTGTCTTTGTGTTCCTGCAGAAATGCATGCCATTTTAAAAGGTCTACAGCCCCGTTTTTCAAAGCAGAGAATGCTGAAGTCTCTCCAGAGAGGCCAGTCCTGCCTCCACTACATCCGACAGCGTACCCAGGCCCTTGCAAGCTTTCCTCCTTGTGTCTTGGCTTCTGTTTATCTGGTGAGGGGGCGGACAGGGAAGAGACTCCAGTCAGGGTAAAAATAACCTAGGACAGATCTCTCAATCATGCCAAGACTCCTGAGTCTGACTCCCTGGGGTGGGCCTGGACCCAGTGTCTACAACAGTTTTCATGGACGATTCTTGGGAACACTTGAGCCTCTAACAGCTTGGTCTTTTGAGTTAGATTCAAACACAAAACATAGCCAAAGAGAGCTCTTCTGAAGGATCTCTGTGGTTGGGGAGGGGACTCCCGGGTTAGTGGTTCACCTCCTTGCTGGGGTCCTCTGCTTCTGTCCTGTGACAGCCACCAACCGCAGGAATCGGCTCGTGTTACTAAAACTGCAAAAAGGCCTTCAAGGTCTGGGCTGAGCCTGGAAGGATTTGGAGGCCTCTTTGAGCAAACCTATCCCACCCCATCACCTCTTCAATCTCCACAAGGCTCATACCTGGATGGTCAATGGGTTTCACAGCCTTACTGTGAGTCAGACACCCAACACACAGAGAGGGAGTGGTAAACTGAAGACTGAATTACACTACCCTAAGGGTGGGGGCAGATCCCCCTGTCCCTACCCCCAGGGTTGCCTCTCTGAGTCAAGTCATTTCAATTCCCCATGGCCCCGTCAGACCAGTCTCTGGCTGGTCAGATTTTCTGAGCTGAGGCCCGTTGCCTGGCAGGTAATTGACCTGGGAAGCCCAAAGGGAGGTGGTAGGGGTTGGGGAGCCCCAGGTGCTGCAGGAAATGGAGCTGTTGATTAAGTGGCTCCTTCCCTCAGCCTTGGAGGCTGGGAAGCTGCACAGGCCCAAGAAGCAGCAGCAGCTCTCTAAGGAACAAGACCTGGTTCTGACCCTCTTGGGGAGATCATGGGTCTGCAGAGCATTTCCCTAAGAGCTTCAGGGGCTGGCTGTTAATGGGGGCCCTATTCCCAGCACTCAATTCTTCCTCAGTAGGTGCTAGGCTTCTTCCTAGGACAGGATTTGTTTTGTTCTCTGGGGCTCTCAGACTGAACTGCTTAGGGGGAGGAAAGCCAGTTACAGAATGTGACAATGTGACCAGGGCCCCTCTGAGAAGCCTTTCTGGGAGTCCCTGGGAGAAAGGGACCAGGAGAGGGCCGGGCATGGTAGCTCACACCTGTAATCCCAGCACTTTGGGAGGCCGAGGCAGGCGGATCACCTGAGATCAGGAGTTCCAGACCAGCCTGGCCAACATGGTGAACACCCGTCTCTACTAAAAATACAAAAATTAGCCGGGTGTGGTGGTGCACACTTGTAATCCCAGCTACTTGGGAGGCTGAGGCAGGAGAACTGCTTGAACCCAGGAGGCAGAGGTTGCAGTGAGTCGAGATTGTACCACTGCTCTCCAGCCTGGGCAACAGCGAGACTCCATCTCAAATAAATAAATAAATAGCCCAGGCACAGTGGCTCACGCTTGTAATCCCAGCACTTTGGGAGGCCGAGGTGGGTGGATCACCAAAGGTCAGGAGTTAAAGACCAGCCTGGCCAACACGGCAAAACCCCATCTCTACTAAAAATACAAAAAAAATTAGATAGGCCTGGTGGTGGGTACCTGTAATCTCAGCTACTTGGGAGGCTGAGGCAGGAGAGTTGCTTGAACCCAGGAGGCAGAGGGTGCAGTGAGCCGAGATCGTGCCATTGCACTCCAGCCTGGGCGACACTGGAACGACACTCTGTCTCAAAAATAAATAAATTAATTAAAATAAATAAAGGGACCAGGAGAGGGTAAAGTAATCCTGCCTCCAAGTCAAAGGAGTGGGACAGTAGTCAAGACCAAGGACATCCCTTGAAGGGTCAGGTGGTCAGATGGTTGTGATAAAGCACAGGATTCATGGTCCCTTGAGAGTGTCCCCGCCAGAGCTTGATTCTCAGAAGCACTTGAACTATACCCACAGCCACATGTAAAGAATGTTTCATCCAAAGTTTATCTGAGTATGGTCCCTTCTACCAGCAGCAGCAGCACCTGGGAACTTACTTGTTCAAAAGGCAAATTCTCAGACCCCCAGATCTACTAAATCAGAAACTTGGGGGCTCGGTCCAGCAATCTACAAGCCCTCTAGGTAGTTCTGATGCATGCCCACGTTTGAGAACTAATACTGGTGTAATCTGACAGGACTCCAGAGCTGGATTGCCCAGTAAACTTCCTTCATTTGAAAATTCATCAACATTCATCAAACATGGGTTAGCACCTTCTATGTGCTAGATCCCTTGTCAAGCCACATAAGAAGCCCAAAGTGGCCGGGTGCGGTGCCTCACACCTGTAATCCCACTACTTCAGGAGGCCAAGGCGGGCAGATCACGAGGTCAGGAGATCGAGACCATCCTGGCTAACACGGTGAAACCCCGTCTCTACTAAAAATACAAAAAATTAGCCAGGTGTCGTGGTGGATGCCTGTAGTCCCAGCTACTCAGGAGGCTGAGGCAGGAGAATGGCGTGAACCCGGGAGGCAGAGCTTGCAGTGAGCCGTGATCGCACCGCTGCACTCCAGCCTGGGCGACAGAGGGAGACTCCGTCTCAAAAAAAAAAAAAAAAAAAAAAAGCCCAAAGTGGTGTAAATTGCAGTTCCCACCCTCCAAGCAGACTGGCCAGTCAATACAAGGAAAGGCAAAAAAAAAAAAGGGACCTGATCTTCTGGCTAGGGGGATTACAGAGGGCTTCTCAGAGGAGGTGGCATTTGGGCTGGGCCTTGAAGGATAAGTAAGAATAAGCAGGCAGAAAATGAAAATGAAAATGAAAATGAAGAAGCCAGGTTCCAGGAACTTTTTTTTTGCGGGGGGACTCGATGTGTCCCCCAGGCCAGACTGCAGTGGCATGATCACAGCTCACTGCAGCCTTGGACCCCTGGGCTCAAGCAATCCTCCCCCTCAGCCTCCTGAGTAACTGGGAATACAGGCATGCACTTCTATGTCTGGCTATTTTTTTTATTTTTTTGTGGAGATGGAGTCTTACTATGTTGCCCAGGCGAGTCTTGAACTCCTGGCCTCAAGAGATCCTCCTGTCTCCCAACGTGTTGGGATTACAGGTGTGAACCATCACGCCTGGCCTCAGGAACATATTTCTGAGACCAAAATCCAACTTTTAAGAGCATCTTATTGCTGTAGGGATAAATTCAAGTACCTCAAGTACCTCAGCACAAGCTTCTTCGTAGTCTAGCCCCTGTGTCTCCCCTCAACCATATCTCCTGCCACTCCACACCTGTTTCTTTCTTTTTCTTTTCTTTCTTTCTTTCTTTTTTTTTTTTTTTTTTTGAGATGAAGTTTCACATTTTTTGCCCGGGCTGGAGTGCAATGGTGCAGTCTCAGCTCACTGCAACCTCCACCCCCCGATTTCAAGTGATTCTCCTGCCTCAGCCTCCAAGTAGCTGGGATTAAGGTGCATGCCACCTTGCCTGGCTGATTTTGTGGTGTGTTTTTTGTTTGTTTTAGTAGAGACAGGGTCTCACCATGTTGGCCAGGCTGGTCTCAAACTCCTGACCTCAGGTGATCTGCCCGCCTCCGCCTCCCAAAGTGCTGGGATTACAGGTGTGAGCCACTGCACACGGCCACCTGTTTCTTATAGTTAAGTAACACTGAACTTCTTGGAGACAGACACACACACAGCATGCTATTTTTTGTTGCCAGGCTTTTGCCATGTGCTGGCTGGCTTGACAGATCTGGTATATGTGCTTTGAATTCTGTTGTCATCTGCGAGCGTTGCTGTTGAAATGTTCCAGTATGGCAGGCTAAGTCTGAATCCATACGAGTCTCTTTAGCACTGTAAATTGTTTCTGAGTTAGGGTATAGGTTTATTAATTCTCAAGAATCCCAAGGGCCCATAAAAAGGTGCTCAACGTTATTAGTCGTTAGGGAAATGCAAATTAAATCTATAACTAGATACCACTACACATCTATTAGGATGGCAAAAAATTTTTAACTGAAAATATCAAGTGCTGGCAAGGATGCAGAGCAATTCTCACACTCTGCTGACGGGAGTGCAGAATGGTACAGCCACTCTGGAAAACTGCTTCGCAGTTTCTTTCTTTCTTTTTTTTTTTTTGAGATGGAGCCTCACTCTGTAGCCCAGGCTGGAGTGCACTGGAGTGATCTCAGCTCACTGCAACCTCTGCCTCCCAGGTTCAAGCAATTCTCCTGCCTCAGCCTCCAGAGTAGCTGGGATTACAGGCACGTGGCCACCATGCCCAACTCTAATTTTCGTATTTTTAGTAGAGACGTAGTTTCACCATGTTGCCCAGGCTGGTCTTGAACTCCTGACCTCGTGATTTGCCTGCCTTGGCCTCCCAAAGTGCTGGGATTACAGATGTGAGCCACCGCGCCCAGGCCCCCACTCCCCCCGATTTTTTTTTCTTTTTTGAGACGGAGTTTTGCTCTTGTTGCCCAGGCTGGAGTGCAATGGTGTGATCTCAGCTCACTGCAAGCTCTGCCTCCCGGGTTCAAGAGATTCTTGTGCTTCAGCCTCCCGAGTTGCAGGGATTACAGGTGTGCCCCACCGTGCCTGGCTAATCTTGTTTTTGCTTTGTTTTGTTTGAGACGGAGTCTTGCTCTGTCGCCCAGGCTAGAGTCCAGTGGCGCAATCTCGCAAACTCGGCTCACTGCAAGCTCCGCCTACCGAGTTCACGCCATTCTCCTGCCTCAGCCTCCTGAGTAGCTGGGACTACAGGCGCCCGCCACCACGGCTAGTTTTTTGTATTTTTTGTTATTTTTAGTAGAGACGGGGTTTCACCGTGTTAGCCAGGATGGTCTGGATCTCCTGACCTCGTGATCTGCCCTCCTCGGCCTCCCAAAGTGCTGGGATTACAGGAGTGAGCCACCGCGCCTGGCTAAGCTTGTATTTTTACAAAATAGAGATGGGGTTTCACCACATTGGCCAGGTTGGTCTCAAACTCCTGACCTTAGGTTATCCACCCACCTTGGCCTCCCAAAGTGCTGGAATTACAGGCATGAGCCACCGCGCCCGGCCCTGTCTCTACTTTTAAAAATAAGATTTAAGGAAAAAAAGTGGGAGTGCGTGTGTGTGTGTGTATGTGTGTGTAACAGGTCTCGCTTGGTCGCCCCGGCTGGAGTGCAGTGGCGCGATCTCGGCTCACTGCAGCCTCGGCCTCCTGAGCTCAAGCGATCCTAAATTTGGGGCATTAATGCCTGCCGCAGAGCATATCGCCGAGGAATAAAGGAAGGTACCCTGCATAACGCCTAGCACACAGTAAGGACTCTGCAGTCGCTAGTTCCCGACGACACCACGCTAAAGCAGGCGCGAAATAAACAATGGGCTGGTAAATCCAGGAGGGACCTGAAGGCGCCAAGGCGTCCTCTCGGTGTCGACAATGAAATGCGCACGCGCAGACCGCGGCCAGGCCTTGGAGCTGCGCCCGAAGGGGCGGTGGGAAGCGCACTTGCGCGTGCGCAGAAGGCCTGGTGGGTGCGCGGCACGAGCCCCGAAGTTGCTTAGGAGCTGGCGAGCCAGTCCCTCAAAACGACTTCGTTCGAGGTTGGCGCCCGCCTTTTTCAGAGAGCACTTCTTAGTGGGTATTCCGTCCGGGGCCACTTTTCTGAGGCCGAAGGACCCCTAGTCAGTGTGTGAGACATAGCCTGGCCGAGCCTGGGAACCACCTGGGGCTGAGGTAACGGCACACGACGGCCCGGGCCCTCGGGAAGTTGTCTTTGCGTTTCTGTTTATTTCTGAGGGAAGTTTCCGGGCCGGGCTCCACCCTCCGCCGCCGAAGTGCAGTCCCCCCTGCCCCCTGAGGTCCCTTTCTCAGCGCCGGGCTCTCGGGACACCCAGCAAGCTCGCCCAGGGTGCAGGCCGTGCCACTGCAGGGCTCCCACGGGGAGGCCGCGGGACCGGAGCGCGGGTCGCAGGCCGGGAGCGTGCGAGGTAGACCGGGGGGCTCCAGGCCTCTGTCCCCTCCTTCGGGCGAGTGACCGGCACACAGTACGGGGACCCTGCTGTCGTCCGCCGACTCCAGAGACTGCCCTTTCCCCACTCCACACCCAGCGCTTCACCCTCCTCCTCCTCCTCCTTCCCCGCCCCCCCGCAACTTCCTCCGTCCTTTTTTTTTTTTTTTTTTTTGAGGCGGGGTCTCGCTCTGTCGCCCAGGCTGGAGTTCAGTGGGGGCGATATTGACTCACTGCAACCTCCGCCTCCTGGGTTCAAGCGATTCTCCTGCCTCAGCCTCCTGAGTAGCTGGGATTACAGGCATGCGCCGCCACTCCTGGCTAATTTTTGTATTTTTGTAGAGATGGGGTTTCACCATGTTGGCCAGGCTGGTCTTGAACTCCTGACCTCAAGTGATCCACCCGCCTCTGCCTCCCAGAGTGCTGGGATTGCAGGTGCCCGCCACCATACCCGGCTAATTTTGGTGTTTTTAGTAGAGACGGTTTCACCATGTTGGCCAGACTGATCTCGAACTCCTGATTTCAGGATATCCACCCGCCTCGGCATCCCAAAGTGCTGGGATTACAGGTGTGAGCCGCTTTGCCCGGCCACACCCCACCTTCTTACCACAGACTTTCCCCAGGAACTAAAGTGCTCCTCTGGTCTATACCCACCCTCCAACCCCAGCCTAGCTGTTGCCATGAAAACAAGATTTTTTCCACTGAAACATTTCCTGTCACATCATGTCTTGATTTGAATGAGTTTCTGGCTTTCAAATGCCCGATTGCACCTTGCAAGTAAATATGAGTCATGGCACTGAGATCTCTGTGCCACTCCCCAGAGCCTTGATTGAATCTTGGCATCTGGGCAAGTGGGCAGAAAGATGCCAGCAGGTATACTTTGCCGAACATCCTTTTCTTTTTCTTTCTTCTTTTTTTCTTTTTTTTAAGACAGTGTGGGCCAGGCACGGTGGCTCATGCCTGTAATCCCAGCACTTTGGGAGGCTGAGGCAGGTGGATCACAAGGTCAGGAGATGGAGATTATCCTGGCCAACATGGTGAAACCTGGTCTCTACTAAAAATACAAAGATCAGCCGGGTGTGGTGGCAGGCTCCTGTAGTCCCAGCTACTTGGGAGGCTGAGGCAGGAGAATCGCTTGAACCCAGGAGGTGGAGGTTGCAGTGAGCCAAGATCGCACCATTGCACTCCAGCCTGGGCAACAGAACAAGACTCCGTCTCAAAAAAAAAAAAAAAAAAAAAAAGACGGAGTCTTGCTCTTGTCCCCCAGGCTGGAGTGCAATGGTGAGATTTGGGCTCACTGCAACCTCTGCCTGCTGGGTTCAAGCGATGCTCCTGCCTCAGCCTCTCAAGTAGCTGGGATTACAGGTGTCTGCCACCACACCTGGCTAATTTTGTATTTTTAGTAGAGATGGGGTTTCACCATGTTGGCCAAGCTGGTCTCGAACTCCTGACCTCAGGTGATCCACCCACTTTGGCCTCCCAAAGTGCTGGGATTACAGGCAAGTGTCACTGCGCCTGGCCCATCCTTCACTTTTTTGAACTCTAGTTCCTTCATGTATGTATCTGCAGGTAGGAAGCCAGTTTCCAGCAGTCTTATCTAGAATCTCTCTTTGGCTATCTCATTGGCATCTCAAACTTCAGCATCTCCAGATACAGACTCAACATCTTGCCTTCAAAAATTTACTTTCCAAGGCTCCTGTTTTCAGAAAATGGTGCTTTTACCTCTTCAGTTAGTTGCTCAAGCAACCAGGAGTCATCGCTCTCCCTCACCTTATCAAGTCACCAGGTCATTACTGAGGGAGGAGAATCGCTTGAACCCGGGAGGCAGAGGTTGCAGTGAGCCAAGATCGCACCACTGCACTCCAGCCTGGGCAACAGAGTAAGACTCCGTCTCAAAAAAAAAAAAGACAGAGTCTTGCCTGCCTCAGCTTCCTGAGTACCATCTTCCAAATCAGTTCACCTTTTGTCATCTTCACTTTTATCACTGTAGACCTGGCTACTGTCAGCTTCTGCCTTGAGCCGCAGGAGGCTCCTAGCTGGTCTCCTTTCATCTGTTCTTGTTCCGGGTTGTTTCCCACATTGCAGCCAGGAGGGATTTTTTTTTTTTTTTAAGTCACAGCCATCTGGTCATGTCGTTTTTTTTTTTTATTATACCCTTCAGTGCCTTCTGATTGCTCTGACAACAGATTCCACAATCTGTAACCTGGCTTATAAGGAAGGCCCTCATCCCTTCTCTATAATTTCTTCCTGGATGATCTCATCATCTATTCCAGTAGTTTCACATACCATCTAAACACTGGTGACTCAAATGTATATTTCCGTTCTGATTTCTGTCCCTTACACACTAGGAGACTGCCTCCTCGGTATATCCACTTGGATGTCTCATAGGCCTCTTAGACTTAAAACACAACTACTAATTTTCACTGCTCCCTCCCACCCCAAATCTCTTTCCCTAGAATTATTCCCCATCTCAGTAGAGTATGTACCATTGTCTACCTAATTGCAAAGGCAAAAAAATCTGAGAGCCATCCTTGATTCCCACATCTAGTCCGTTAGTTAGTCTAAAGTATATCTCAAATCTAACTATTTATTAATTTCTAAAATCCCAAGTCCAAATCAGCAGCATCTTTCTCCTGGACGACTACAGAAGCTTCTTAACTGGTCTCCCTATTTCTCCTCCTGTCCCCTTACAGTTCATCTTCCTTTCAGTCACCAGATATTTAGATATTTTGGACCAAGCTTGGTGGCTCATTCTTGTTTTTTTTTTTTTTGAGACAGAGTCTCGCTCTGTGGCCCAGGCTGGAGTGTAGTGGTGCGATCTCGGCTCACTGCGAGCTCCACCTCCTGGGTTCGTGCCATTCTCCCACCTCAGCCTCCTGAGTAGCTGGGACTACAGGCACCCGCCACCACGCCCAGCTAATTTTTTTTTATTTTTAGTAGAGATGGGGTTTCACCATTCACAGGATGGTCTCGATCTCCTGACCTCATGATCCGCCCGCCTCAGCCTCCCAAAGTGCTGGGATTACAGGCGTGAGCCACCATGCCTGGCCTGATGGCTCATGCTTGTAATCCCAGCATTTAGGGAAGCCGAGGTGGGCAGATCACTTGAGCTCCGGAGTTCGAGACCAGCATGGGCAACATAGTGAAACCCCATCTCTGCAAAAATTAGCTGGGTATAGTGGTGGGCACCTGTAGTCCCAGCTACTTGGGAGGCTGAGGTGGGAGGATTGCTTGAGCCTGGGAGGTTGAGGCTGCCCTGAGCTGTGATTGTGTCGCTATACTCCAGCCTGGGCGCCAGAGAGAAATCCTGTCTCTAAAATAAAATTAGAATAGATATTTAGATATTTATAAAGCATATATCAAATCAGTTATCTCCCCTTTATAAAATCCTTGGCATAAAATCTGGACTTTTTACAATGGCCTACAAGCCTTACACGATCTGGTCCCTGCCTAACACTCCATCTTCATCTCCCTCCTCTCTCTCTTCATTCTCAATGTTCTAGCCACATTGACCTTTCTGTCCATTAAACTCATCACAGACATCTGCACTTGCTGATTTTTCTGCTTGGAATGCTTTTCCCCGTGATCGTTGCTCCTTTCCATGAAGGCCTCAAGTCAGTTGTGATTTATTCTGAAAGGCCATCACTGGCCATACTAGCTAAAGCAGCCTTCTAGTCATCCTAAATAAAACCACATATTATTTTCTTGATGCTATTTAGAGTACCTCAATTTATATTTGTTTATTTATTTATATGTTGAATGTTGCTCTCCACACCTCCTGAAATGTAAGCCCTTAAAGACGAGGGATCATGTCTCTCTTGTTACTTACCATATTAGTGCCCAGAACAGTGCCTGATACACTGTAGGGTCTCAGATATGTGCTGACTGACTCACTTATCTGTATAGTCTCACCTTGTAGCATTGTCTTTCTTGCCCACTGTGTTCGGGTTACTGTACTTCTCTCTTTTGAAAGTGCCATGCTTTTTCTCAACTGAGTACTCTTGTACCTGCTATTTCCTCTACCCACCCCAGACCCACCATCCATTCTCCATTTGTGCCTCACTAGCTCATATTCTTCCTTTAGAAATTAGTCACTTACTTAGAATGGGCTTCCCTGACATGTTACGGGGAAACCAGCACTTTGTTTCTTTTTCCTTTTCTTTTCTTTTTCTTTTTCTTTTTTCTTTTTCTTTTTTGAGACAGAGTTTCGCTCTTGTTGCCCAAGCTGGAGTGCAATGGTATCATCTCGGCTCATTGCACCCTCTGCTTCCTGAGTTCAAGTGATTCTCCTGCCTCAGCCTCCAGAGTAGCTGGGATTACAGGCGCCACCACCACGCCCGGTTAATTTTTATATTCTAGTAGAGGCGGGCTTTCACCACGTTGGCCAGGTTCGTCTCGAACTCCTGACCTCAAGTGATCTGCCCGACTCAGCCTCCCAAAGTGCTGGGATTACAGGTATGAGCCACAGCACCTGGCCTTTTTCTTTTTTTTATATGATACAGACGAGGGCTCACTGTGTTGCCCGGGCTGGTCTCGAACTCCTGGGCTCAAGTAGTCCTGCCTCAGCCTCTGAAAGTGGGATTACAGGCATGAGCCACAACACCTGGCCAAGTATATCTTTCTATAAACCTAGCAAGTACATTTCTTTTTCTTTCTTTTTTTTTTTTTTTTTTGAGACAGTCATTCTGTCGCTCAGGCTGGAGTGCAATGGTGTGTTCTCAGCTCACTACAACCTCCATCTCCCGGGTTCAAGTGATTCTCCTGCCTCAGCCCCCTGAGTAGCTGGAATTACAGGCACCTGCCACCATGCCCAGCTAGTTTTTGTATTTTTAGTAGGGACTGGGTTTCACCATGTTGGTCAGGCTGGTCTCGAACTCCTGACCTCAAGTGATCCGCCTGCCTTGGCCTCCCAGAGTGCTGGGATTACAAGGCGTGAGCTACTGCACGCCTGGCCACGAGTACAATTCTTATCTCCTTAATATCTCACCAGAATTGGATTAAGGTTAGTAAAATTTGCCCTCTTTATATAAAAAGTCCTTTTCTTTTTTCTTTTCTTTTCTTTTTTTGAGATGGAGTCTCACTCTGTGTTGCCCAGGCCGGATTGCAGTGGTAGAATCTTGGCTCACTGCAACCTCCGCCTCCTGGGTTCAAGCAATTCTCCTACCTCAGCCTCCCGAGTATCTGGGACTACAGGCTTCCACCACAATGCCTGGCTAATTTTTGTATTTTTAGTAGAGACAGAGTTTCACCATGTTGGCCAGGCTGGTCTTGAACTCCTGATCTCAGGTGATCCTCCTGCCTTGGACTCCCAGAGTGCTAAGATTACAGGGGTGAGCCACTGTGCCTGGCTGTATCAATTGTTAAAATTGCTTTCTTTCTTTCCAGCTAAGGATATTTTCTCCATCATTTGCCCTTCTGAAACTACTGCTGCTGCTGCTTTTTTTTTTTTTTTTTTTTCATTTTTAATCTTCTTCCTTACATGTACTGCTTCTGGGCAGCTCACCCAATGGTGTAATCAAAAAAATAAAATGTCCTTCCTTGCTTGCAGTTTTACATCCAAGTGCTTTTTGGGTTCCTGCGGTTGGTAGGATATTTTAGAGTGCTGCAGTGAATTCAGCATGATGTGAATTCTTTTTTTTTTTTTTTTGAGACAGAGTCTCGCTCTGTTGCCCAGGCTGGAATGCAGTGGCGTAGTCTCGGCTCACTGCAAGCTCTGCCTCCCGGGTTCACGCCATTCTCCTGCCTCAGCCTCCTGAGTAGCTGGGACTACAGGCGCCTGCCACCACGCCTGGCTAATTTTTTGTATTTTTAGTAGAGATGGGGTTTCACCGTGTTAGCCAGGATAGTATCGATCTCCTGACCTCGTGATCAGCCCGCCTCGGCCTCCCAAAGTGCTGGGATTACAGGCATGAGCCACTGTGCCCAGCCGCATGATGTGAATTCTAAGGGACAGGTTAATTTTCATGTAACAAGCCACAACTACTGGACAGGGTGGTGAGGTGAGACGCTATTGCATTTCCAGAATAAGGAGCACATCCTGGACCTTTTGGCCAAAGGTCGTTTTTCATTAGCTCTTAGGATGGTTAAGGTGAAAGGGGAAGATGCATTTTTGTGCAAAGAGTAACTTAAGAGTAACTTAAGTGCAAAGAGTAACAAAGAGAAACTAAGTTAACTTAAGAGGTTAATTTAGACTCCTTTCTGGTTTATTGAGTTACCCACTGAGGTCTTTTGATCTCACTTCAGAACAGCTTCCTAATTCTCTGTTAGGTTTAGTTATCCCCCCTACCCCCAAACAAGGTTTAGTTATTCCTCCTACTCCCACCAAACAAAACAAAACTAAGTTTGACACAGTTCTAAGGGCAAATCCATTCCTGCACAAGTGGCATTTTAAAGGTTGTGTCTTACCAGAAAGGGCAGGAAGAAACCTATGAGAAAACAGAATGATGTCAATAAACATGGAAGTATTCTGGGTAGTCTTATGTCATTAGTCTCTTCCTGTTCCATATTTTAACACTTATAAAAAAGACTTTATCCAGTAATCTGTGTACTAAGTACTAGAAAAAACAATTATACATGCATTATTTCACTAATCATCCTAATCACCATGCAAGGTGAGAAAACTGAGAATAATAGAGCTTTATGACAAGCAAATGTGGATGTAACCCTTTATGTCCAAAATTATAATTCTAAGAAGCTTTAATCAAAAAGCTTACATTAGGCCGGGTGCAGTGGCTCACACCTGTAATGCCAGCACTTTGGGAGGGCAAGGTGGGTGGATCTCTTGAGCTCAGGAGTTTGAGACCAGCCTGGCAACATAGCGAAACCCCATATCTACAGAAAATACAAAAATTAGCCAGGTGTGGTGGTGGGTGCCTGTAGTACAAGCTACTCGAGACGCCGAGGCATGAGAATTGCTTGAACCTCAGAGGCAGAGGTTACGGTGAGCCGACATCATACTGCAGCATGGGTGACAGAGTGAGACTCTGTCTCAAAAAAAAAAAAAAATTAAATTTTGCTTTGATGTTTTTGTATCCAGAATGAATTGCCTTTGTCACGCAGAGTGGTGAGCGCGACCAGGGTTACAGTTTGGTAAAATGACTGACCGAGTGATATGTTGTAATGAAAAACGTGTGTGCCAAAGAAGTCAACAATCTTGAGGGGCTAATCTTGGATTATGTAACTTTGTGGAAGTCATTTCCTTCTTTGGAGAAGTCACTTCCCTATCATCCCCCACCAAAATGGAAGGCATCTCCAGCTATAGGCGTTCATGAGTCTCTAGTTGGACATACAGGCTGAATCTACTTCAGCAAAGGTGGACAGACCTCTGAGACCAGCCAAGGACTTTTGAAAGTGAAAGGAGGCTGGGTGCGGTGGCTCACGCCTGTAATCCCAGCACTTTGGGAGGCTGAGGCAGGGAGATCACCTGAGGTCCGGAGTTCAAGACCAGGCTGGCCAACATGGTGAAACCCTGTCTCTACTAAAAAAAAATACAAAATTTAGGTGTGATGGTGCATGCCTGTAATCCCAGCTACGTGGGAGGCTGAGACAGGAGAATCACTTGAACCTGGGAGGCAAAGGTTGCAGTGAGCTGAGATCATGCTACTGCACTCCAGCTTGGGCAACAGAGTGAGACTCCGTCTCAAAAACAATGTGGAAGGAGCAGCTAGTCATCTGTCCTCAATCTCATTTCTAAAACACAGGTGTTGGATTCATAGCATCAGATTTTCATATTATATTTTGTTACCCACACTCATTAATGGTCTTGAGATGGGGTCTTGCTCTGTTGCCCAGGCTGGAGTGCAGTGGCGCAATCTTGGTTCATCGCAGCCTCCACCTCCCCGGGTTCAAGCGATTCTCTTGCCTCAGTCTCCCAAGTAGCTGGGATTACAGGTGCCCACCACCATGTCCAGCTAATTTTTGTATTTTTAGTAAAGACAGGGTTTCACCATGTTGGCCAGCCTGGTCTCAAACTCCCGACCTCAGGTGATCCACCTGCTGCAGCCTCCCAAAGTGCTGAGATTACAGTCGTGAGCCACTGCGCCCAGCCCAGTCAATGTATTTTGAATAAGTGCTTATGGAAGCTCTTTTATTTCTCAACACTGTGAAAGACTTTATCAGTTGTCACCAGACATATTTAGTAGCAGAGTGCTAAATCATAAGCTCCTTCTGCCTCAGTAGTCAATATTATTATCCTCATATAGCATTTGGCCCTGCTTCAGGTTCTATGCACTGATCCAGATGTTTATGTGAAGCAAATTACCAAAACCTTGAAAAATAATTTTCCTTCAAACATCAGTCCCTATGTGTCATTTACATCTAATTCTTGGGTATTTTCAAGGAAAAGTTCTTGGTTGGAATTTGTCAGATTTTGCATTGGGATTAAAGCTAATCAGTTTTGCACGTATGTGCTGTCTCAAGAATTGATTTCCTGGAAAGTAGTGCTCTCTTGAATTTGCTTTTTTTTGTTTGTTTTTTTGAGATGGACTCTCACTCTGTCCCCCATGCTGGAGTGCAGTGGCACGATCTTGGCTCACTGCAACCTCCGCAACCTGGGTTCAAGCAATTTTCATGTTTTAGCCTCCCGAGTAGCTGGGATTGCAGGTGCCCCCCACCACGCCCGGCCAATTTTTGTATTTTTAGTAGAGGCGGGGTTTCGCCACATTGGCCAGACTGGTCTCAAACTCCTGACCTCGGGTGGTCTGCCCACCTGAGCCTCCTAAAGTGCTGAGATTACAGGCGTGAGCTACCATGCCTGGCCTTGAATTTGCTTTTCTAGTGAAGCATTAGGGAGAAACTCTTCAAATCTATCGTAAGTGCTAACGTTTATATAATACTCTGGAATTTACAAAGTAGCTACTTACAGCATTATCTCATTTAATCCCCACATTCCAGGGGTCGTTGGAATCCCCATTTGTAGACATAGAAACTAGGAAATGAAGAAGTTAAGTGACTTGCTCAGGGACTAATGACTAATAGAGGCAGAAGCAGGACTCAAGCCTTGGTCCTCCAATTCCAAATCTTATGTCTTTTGCACTATCCCATACTGCCTGTAAGTTTTCTTCCTTTGTTTTAAAGCCATGATTTGTGGTCACCTAAAAATGCGTGGAGAGTCTGACCCTTCATAAGCAAGATCTCATCAACTTAATAATAGTTACTGGGACGTAATATCACCATGGCCACAGTACTCAATGTTGGAAAATAACCCTGTGAAATATTTGAACCATTACTCCTATGTGGTTGTTTGGGATACACTGTCTAATCTTTATTTTCAAATGAGGTAATTAGTGTATGGTGTTTGTTTCTGAATCGGGCAGCCAGCAATTAACAGGAACAGGCCCTAGCTAGAAGAGGGCTGTTTTTTCTTCTTTCAGACAGCCAGCTGTGGTACAACACATGAAATTTCCTCTTCGGACTGTCATTTCCAGCAAATGTCCTTCATTTCCTTTGCTCTGATGCCCCATCCCTCTGTTAGGGGTGGGGCGGGAGGCAAGTTATTGCATCCTAGTAGAATCCCCTGGCCAGATGGCAGTGGTTCATGCCTGTAATGCAGCACTTTGGGAGGCCAAGGCAGGAGGATCACTTGAGGCCAGGAGTTCAAGACTAGCCTGGGCAACATAGTGAGACCCTGTCTCCAAAAATTTTAAAAATTAGCTGGGCATGGTGGTATGCATCTGTAGTCCTAGCTACTCTGGAGGCTAAGGTGGGAGGATCCCTTGAGCCTAGGAGTTTGGCGCTGCAGTGAGCTATGGGTATACCACTGTACTCCAGCCTGGATGGCAGAGCAAGACCCTGTCTCTTAAAAAAAAAAAAAGAAAAGAAAAAAAAAGAGCCAGGCGCAGTGGCTCATGCCTGTAATCCCAGCACTTTGGGAGGCCGAGGCGGGCGGATCACAAGGCCAGGAGATCGAGACCATCCTGGCTAACACGGTGAAACCCCGTCTCTACTAAAAATACAAAAAAATTAGCCGGGCTTGGTGGCGGGCGCCTGTAGTCCCAGCTACTCTGGAGGCTGAGGCAGGAGAATGGCGTGAACCTGGGAGGTGGAGCTTGCAGTGAGCAGAGATCACGCCACTGCACTCCAGCCTGGGAGACAGAGCAAGACTCCGTCTCAAAAAAAAAAAAAAAAAAAAAAAAAATTGCCGGGCACAGTGGGTCATGCCTGTAATCCCAGCACTTTGGGAGGACGAAGCAGGCAGATCACCTGAGGTCAGGACTTCAAGACCAGTCTGGCCAACATGGTGAAGCCCGTCTCCACTAAAAATACAAAAATTAGCTGGGCGTGGTGGTGTATGCTTGTAGTCCCTGCTACTCGGGAGGCTGAGGCAGGAGGATCACTTGAACCTGGGAGGCAGAAGTTGCAGTGAGCCGAGATCATGCCACTGCACTCCAGCCTGGGTGACAGAGTGAGACCCTGACTCAAAAAAAAAAAAACCACAAAAACAAAAAAATAATCCTTGGAAGAATTAAGAGTTAAATTTCTGTGGCAGCAATGTAAGTCTAACCAGGTGGGCTCACCGCCTACTGAGAAGAGTCATCTAGCACTAAAACATCAAAACTAGCCTGGGTTCCTGCCATGCCTTTGGTATGGGGCATCAGTTTTTTCTCAGGATATGATCAGTATTTCCCCTCCGGGGACTTTGCAGTTGGCACAACTATTTCTTTTCATTTTTGACTGCAATTCTAGTCTAAATAGTCTCATGGGCTCTGGCTCCACTCATGTCATTCTAATCTCAGGCAGCCAAGATCAGATACTGGGGTATCTCTTTACTGGCAGCCCCAGACTTGAACTTTGGAAATTGTGGGAAATTCCATTCTTCGGGCACGTAGAACTTGTGACTCTACCATGGAAGAGTTTCTACCATAGAAAATTTTTCCCTGCTGAGTAGAAATGGCATCAGAATAATATGGAGAAAAGCATAATGAAAATAGTCCTTTATGTGTATATGATATTTTACTGCTTAAAAAGTGATTTTATGTTTATTGTCTTGTTTTTTCCTCCTTATAACCCCAGGAAGCAGACTGGCAGAGTGGTTAAAGAATATCAATTCTGGATCTGTATTGCCTTAGTTTAAATTCAAATTCCAACATTCATAGCTATGGGCAGTTTAATTCATTCCTCAGTGCCTCAGTTTCCTCACCTATCAAATTTAGACTTATAGGCTTGTTGTGAGGATTAAGTGAGATTAAACTTAGAATAGGGCATGGCAAAAGTTGTTATTGAGAGTTGTTATTGTGTAAGTAAGAAAACCAAGGCTCAGAAATTAGGGACATTGGACTGAGATTCAAACTCAGATTCTCTTTATTTTGGGCCCATTCTGTCGACTGCATCTCAGCTGCCTCTGAAACCAATACCATGTAATTTTTATACTTGTACTGATGTATATAACTAGTTTTGATCCTTAGGAACTCTGGATCTCCTCTAATTATTTATTTTTATTTTTTCCATCTCTCCCCTTAACTCCCCACAGAGACGACCTTAAGTGGACAGAGATTCTAGAACAGGAGAAATAAAACAGTAAGTGCTAGGGGTATAGTAGGCACTCTTGGAACACAGGGAAGCCTCACAAGTGGGGGAAAGGAAGAGTAATTGATAGATCTGGAAAATAAGCCATTCCTTGGTGCCACTCAAAAACATGAGTGTACATCCTTATTTGCTACATTGGTTGTGGCAGGAAGTTGTAGTAATACCTTAATTTCATCTAAAATTGATAGCAAACGTCCTCCTAATTGGCTTGTAATTGGTGTATCCTTTGGATTGTGTCATTATTTAACTTGAGCCCTCTCTGTATCCACTGAGATTCCAGTGGAAGTGGGGATGGTAGAGAAGAACAGATTCAAGAGATACTTGGGAGAAACATTTAATTCTAACAAAGACTCTGAGTCATCAGGGCGGATACTAGTATCATTAGTCTTCTGGAAGAGAAATGATTTGCATAAGGTCATAAATGATCAAACTTGAATTCTGGGCTTTTGACTGCAAGCATAAAGGTTATCCCAACACACTGTATTCTCCCCATGCAGGTAGGAGAATGTTCCAAGTGATGATCCTGGTACGTAGGCAGTAGTGCTTAGTGTTGGACATTTTACTCATGAAGAGATGTTACAGATTGGGCAGGTTCCCTTTCCTGTAAATAAGGAACAATCGTTAGCTTTTTAGTAATTCTCTTTCTATTTTATTTAGGCTATCGTTTGGGAGCAATGAGTTTAAAACCCTTTACCTACCCGTTTCCAGAGACGAGGTTTCTTCATGCAGGACCCAATGTGTATAAATTCAAAATCAGATATGGGAAGAGTATCAGGTAATTTCAAAGGTAGGAGGGTAGCCTATGCAAACACCAGTTAGTGCTAGTGCATTCCCACAGGTCACCTCTTCTTTACCTTCACCCAGTTCAGGAGACTGGTAAAGTAGCATCTTGCAGGACTGTCTTTCCCAGGAATTTTATATTCAGTATATATATTATTCATATGAGTTTCTAAATGAGGGACAACTTTTTTTTTTTTTTTTTTTTTGAAGAGAAGCAGATCTCGCTATGTTGTCCAGGCTAGTCTCAAACCCCTGTCCTCAAGCAGTCCTCTCACCTCTGCCTCCCCAAGTGTTGGGATTATAGGTGTGAGGCACCACACCCAGCCTAGGACAACATATCTTTGAAGCAGTGTTTCTCAAAATTTTACATCTCAGGGCTGGGCATAGTGGCTCAAACCTATAATCCCAGCACTTTGGGAGGCCAAGGTGGATGGATCACTTGAGGTCAGGAGTTCAAGACCAGCCTGGCCAACATGGTGAAACCCCATCTCTACTAAAAATACAAAAATTAGCCAGGCATGGTGGTAGGAGGCTGAGGCAGGAGAATTGCTTGAACCTGGGAGATGGAGGTTGCAGTGAGCTGAGATTGTGCCACTGTACTCCAGCCTGGGCCACAGAGTGAGACTCCATCTCAAAATATATATATATTTTTTCATCTCGACTCCCTTGCAATTTTTCTTTCTTTTTTTTTTTTTTTTTTTCTCCCAAGACAGGGTTTCACATGTAGTGGTGTGATCACTGCAGCCTTGACCTGCTGGGCTCAAGGGATCCTCCCACCTCAGCTTCCAGAGAAGCTAGGACTACAGGCATAGTGCCACCACACCAGGCTAATTTTAAAATTTTTTTTGTAGAAATGAAGTCTCACTGTGTTGCTCAGGCTGGTCTCAAACTCCTGGGCCCAAGGGATCCTCCCTCTTTAGCTTTCCAAAGTGTTGGAATTCCAGGCATGAGCCACCAGCACCCACCTTGCACTCTTTAAAATTATTAAGGACCCTAAAGAGCTTTTGATTAATCTGTCAATATTTGTCATAAAAATTAAAGCAAAAATTTGGCCAGGCACAGTGGCTCACGCCTGTAATCCCAGCACTTTGGGAGGCCGAGGTGGGGCGGGGGGGTGAATCATGAGGTCAGGAGTTCGAGACCAGCCTGGCCAACATGGTGAAACCCCGTCTCTACCAAAAATAAAAAAAAATAGCTGAGCATAGTGGCAGGCACCTGTGATCCCAGCTAACCAGGAGGCTGAGGCAGGAAAATTGCTTGAACTCGGGAGACGGAGGTTGCAGTGAGCCGGGATGGTCCCACTGCACTCCAGCCCAAGCAACAGTGTGAAACTCTGTCTTAAAAAAAAAAAATCACAGCAAAAATTTAAAGCAGTGTGTTTATTAATTTAAGAATAATATATGCAACAAATACGGTATTATTAAAGTTATATTTAGTGAGCCAGGCAAGATGGCTCATGCCTGTAATCCCAGCTATTCAGGAGGCTGAGGCAGGAGAATCGCTTGAACCCGGGAGGTGGAGGTTGCAGTAAGCCGAGATCTTGCCACTGCACTGCATTTGATCAAACCCAGCATCTCACCTTTTCATGATAAAAACAGCTGGGTTCAGTGGCTCACATCTGTAATACCAGCACTTTGGGAGGCCAAGTCAGGCAGATCGCCTGAAGTCAGGAGTTCAAGAGCAGCCTGGTCAACATGGTGAAACCCTGTCTCTACTAAAAATAAAAAAATTAGCTGAGCATGGTGGTGCAGACCTGTAGTCCCAGCTACTCGGGAGGCTGAGACAGGAGAATCAGTTCAACCTGGGAGGCAGAGGCTGCAGTGAGCAGATCGCGCCGCTGCACTCCAGCCTGTGCAACAGAGTGAGACTGTCTCAAAAAAGCAAAACAAAACAATAAACTAGAAATCGAAGGGAACTTTTGGCTAGGTGCAGTGGCTCACTCTTGTAATCCCAGCACTTTGGGAGGCTCAAGTGGGAGGATTGCTTGAGCGTAGGAGTTTGAGATCAGCCTGGGCAACAAAGTGAGACCCCATCTCTACAAAAAATAAAAGAAATTAGCTGGACATGGTGGTTTGCACCTGTGATCCCAGCTGCTTGGAAGGCTAAGGCAGGAGGAATCGGTTGGCCCCAGGGAGTTGAGGCTGCAGGTAGCCATGACTGCACCACTGTACTCCAGCCTGGGGAACAGAGTGAGACCTTGTCTCAACTTCAAAAAGAGAGAAAAAAAAAATCAGGCCAGGCGCGGTGGCTCACGCCTGTAATCCCAGCACTTTGGGAGGCCGAGGCAGGCGGATCTTCTGAGGTCAGGAGTTTGAGACCAGTCTGGCCAACATGGTGAAACCCCATCTCTACTAAAAATATAAAAATTAGCGAGGCGTGATGGCGGGTGCATGTAATCCCAGCTACTTGGGAGGCTGAGGCAGGAGAATCGCTTGAACCCGGGAGGCGGAGGTTGCAGTGAGCGGAGATTGCGCTATTGCACTCCAGCCTGGGCAACAAGAGCGAAACAACATCTCAAAAAAAAAAAAAAAAAAAACAGCTTATATGTATTTGTAGTTTGGAAAGGTAGGACTATATTAGTAGCCCTCTCAGATCATTGTGGATATTCTTTGACCCTGTGACAAAACTGGACAAATCGTAGTTTGGGTTTGTTTTTTTTTTAATGGTAGTTATTTTTAAGATTAGTTGCAATGTGGAATCTGAAATTATGTCATGAACTTTTTGAACTCTGTTACATTAAAATCCACTGGTCTTTGTTGTTCTTTGAATGAATATTTGACCTAGGATGATTTTTGTTTTTGTTTTGTTTTGAGACCGTGTTTCACTCTTGTCACCCAAGCTGGAGTGCAATGGTGCGATCTTGGCTCACTGCAACCTCCACCTCCCGGGTTGAAGTGATTCTCCTACTGCAACCTCCCAAGTAACTGGAATTACAGGCGCCCGCCACCACGTCCAGCTAATTTTTTGTATTTTTATTTTTATTTATTTATTTATTTATTTGAGATGG
The DNA here is from genome assembly GCF_000001405.40 of Homo sapiens. NCBI lineage: Eukaryota > Metazoa > Chordata > Mammalia > Primates > Hominidae > Homo > Homo sapiens. The sequence continues at coordinate 64,956,292 of NC_000011.10, read as the reverse complement.
AGTTTCATTCTTGTTGCCCGGGCTGGAGTGCAATGGTGCAATCTCAGCTCACCAAAACCTCTGCCTCCCGGTTCAAGCAATTCTCCTGCCTCAGCCTCCCAAGTAGCTAGGATTACAGGCATGCACCACCATGCCCAGCTAATTTTTTATTTTTAGTAGAGATGGGGTTTCTCCATGTTGATCAGGCTGGTTTCAAACTCCCGACCTCAGGTAATCCACCCACCTCGGCCTCCCAAAGTGCTGGGATTACAGGCGTAAGCCACCGCACCGGGCCTTTTTTGTATTTTTAGTAGAGACAGGGTTTCACCACGTTGGCCAGGCTGGTCTCGAACTCCTGACCTCAGGTGATCCACCTGCCTTGGCCTCCCAAAGCGCCGGGATTAACAGGCGTGAGCCACTGCGCCTGGCCTGACCTAGGATGATTTTGTAACATGATGTGTTTCACTGGTCATTTGGAATATTTTGGTTCACTGAATTATGCACATCCTCCAAATATTGATACATTTCATTATACAGTATCGAAAAATATTTGTTAATATCACCACAGTCTTAAAAGTGTTGACGTATTTGGAAACTGTCAAACTCAAAATGGTGGACGGAAATTTTCCAAAATTTAAATTTTCACTTGAAAGCCCAAAATTTATTGTTGACAACAAGTATTGTCAGTTCTTTTCCTTGAGTTGACATGCCTATTTTATTGATTTTTAAGAAAGTGTCTGTCAAACTTCCAAGTATGAATAACAACCATAGTTTGTCTGTTAGCTGATCATTCAAGTAAAATATTCCATGAAGAAAAGCAGACAGTTCAGTTTGCAGCTTAAACAGTCACACAAGTGAGTTTCCCTAAAATAACTATCATATTTTGGTATGCAGCAGAAGCGCTTTATGCATACTTCGTGTTTTATCACATAACATTTAAAGAGACATGTAGTTAAAGATTGAGATTTTATAAAATGATTGCTTTTTTTTTCTGCTTCCTCAAGGATATTCAGTGAAACTGGATTTTTTTTTTTTCCTATGCAGCAGTAAAGATTTCTTTGACTGATAGTACAGCCTAGTGCAACTGGCTAGATTTGTTTTAAGGCATTGGCAATTTTGCCCACCATTGCTTTTGCAATCATGGTTACAAATATTAACACAGTGAGAAAGGCAAATAATACCTTAGTATTATTATGAAAATAGTTTTACCCTTGAAGACCCATTGAAAGGGTCCCCAAAGCACACTTAAAGTACAACTGTTGTAACCAATGATTAACTTTCACAGTGGGAATTTCAGGTCTTGGCAGGTTGAGAAGTCATTTTATACCAATGTTCAGACCACGCCACCTAGGTGATCACTTCTTCCCCATGAGCACTGGGTCAGCTTACACAGTTTTACTTATGTCATGTTTCTTTAGCTCAGTGGAAGTGTTATTTTTGCCCTAGTAGAGTCTACTCTCTCCAGAGCTTTCCTTCATGTCTTACTTGTCTCTTGTCTGTTTACCTTCTAGAGGAGAAGAGATAGAAAATAAGGAAGTCATCACCCAGGAGCTGGAGGTAGGGAAAGAAGCATACGACTTCTGGAAAAGTTACTCTTTAAGGATGCATCCACATTCAGGTTTTAATTATTTCCTACAAACTGAGTCACAACCTCCACTTGATAACTTGGCTTCCTCCTGCTACATCTCCTTTGCAAAGGAACTTTATGTTTTTCCATGGGAATTTAAAGCCTGTATTCTTTCTCAGTTTTCCTAGTTGAAATGTCAGCACCTTTGAGGCTGAGAGCTTTTTGTTTTCACCAGTTTCCAGCCTTGGGCAGCTCTCTTTTGTTGCAGCTGGCATAGAGAAAGATTCCGGAGGACTGCCTCCTTCCAGGGCTCTGGGAAACCTCACCATCCCAACCACTGCCTGGTACTTGACGTTCAGGAAACTCGACTGTAAATACACAGACAAGGCTGCTGTGTCTTCATTTAAATTGGCAACATTTGCAATTGCCTTATTCCGACTTCATTTTCATTCCTTTCTACCCGGTTCCTCTAGCTTTAGGTTTTCCTACAGAAGAAGACTGAGCAGGTGATCAACTTTACAAATTGGTGGAAGCAATGGACAAGGAGTTAGAGTTCTGGGGGTTGGCCCTGGATTCCAGTCCTGGCATAGCCACCACTTAGCTGTGTGACCGTTGGCAAATCATATATCAACTTGGATCTTAATTGCCTCATTTGGAAAATGAGAGGTCTAAACTAGCTTTTCCTCTTCTGACTTCACAATTCGGTAATTTGTGACTATTGTGATTTCTTAAGACATATGCCTCCACATTTCAAAGCAATTAAATACACTTAAACACAAAACTCTGTGAAACCAAAACTGAGTCATACCCTTAAGAAGGTACCTCTTTGGCTAAGTGTTAAAAGATACATTAGGATCTTGCAGGACCCTCAAGGATATCATTATGAATAAGTTATTTTAACATAGGACCAAGAAAATGTTCTACCTGGTTTTTTGTTTGTTTGTTTGTTTGTTTTTTGAGATGGAGTTTCGCTCTGTCACCAGGCTGGAGTGCAGTGGCACGATTTTGGCTCACTGCAACCTCCATCTCCCAAGTTCCAGCGATTCTCCTGCCTCAGCCTCCCAAGCAGCTGGGACTACCGATGTGCACCACCACGCCCAGCTAATTTTTGTATTTTTAGTAGAGACGGGGTTTCATCATGTTGGCCAGGATGGTCTCGATCTCTTGACCTCGTGATCCACCAGCCTCGGCCTCCCAAAGTGTTGGGATTACAGGTGTGAGCCACTGCACCCGGCCATTCTACCTATTTTAATTATGAGCAGAGCAGGCTTTATTTCACTTTGCTTCAGTTAACCTGAGCAGTGAAAAGCTCACGGAAGCATAACAGAGAGGAGGGAACACAGACTTTAGAGCCAGTCAAACCTGGATTTGAAGTCTCCATACTAGGATAGTGTCTAGCTTCTAATTATAATAGCTAATATTTATTGAGTAATTACTATGAGAAGTGTTCTGCCATTCACAGTTTGACTTCGGGCAAAGTACCTACCCTCCCTGAGTCTGTTTCCTTACCTGTCAAATGAGGTTAATAAAGAAGGCCTGTTTCAAGACTGAGGATTAGAAATAGATGTCTGCAATGCCTGCCACACAGTAGCTCAATAATTAGTAGCTCGAGAGTATTTACATTCAACGTATGTCATATTTCCAAGGTGCATTTGATATGCATATGCATCTTTCTCTTATGCTCACTAGTTTGGGGTCAGATGTTATCATTCTCTTTTCTTCATTTAGAAAACACTTACTGAGGCTGGGCGCTGTGGCTCACACCTTTAATCCCAGCACTTTGGGAGGCCGAGGCAGGTGGATCACCTGAGGTCAGGAGTTTAAGACCAGACTGGCCAACATGGCGAAACCCCGTCTCTACTAAAAATACAAAAATTAGCTGGGTGTGGTGGCACGTACCTGTAGTCCAAGCTACTCAGGAGGCTGAGGCAGGAGAATTGCTTGAACCTGGGAGGCGGAGGTTGCAGTGAGCCGAGATCGCACCACTGCACTCCAGCCTGGGCAACAGAGTGAGACTCCATCTCAAAAACAAAAAAAGAAAACATTTACTGAGAAGCAGGCTAGCCTAGGGGTTAAGACTAGGAGCTCTGGAACCCTGCTGCCTTGGTTCAGATCTTGGCCCTGCTATTTCTAGTTATGTAACCTAGACTACATTTTTTCACCTCTCTTTGTCTGTTTCCCCGTCTGTAAAATGGGAATAACAGAATTGCCTCACAGGGTTTTTGTGAGAGTTAAATTAATTAATATGTATAAAAACACAGCCGGGCTCTGTGGCTCACGCCTGTAATCCCAGCACTTTGGGAGGTCAAGGCGGGTGGATCACCTGAGGTCAGGAGTTTGTGACCAGCCTGGCCAACATAGTGAAACCCCATCTCTACCAAAAATACAAAAGTTAGCCAGGTGTGGTGGCAGGCACCTGTAATCCCAGCTACTTGGGAGGCTGAGGCAGGAGAATCGCTTGAACCCTGGAGGCAGAGGTTGCAGTGAGCGGAGACCAAGCCATTGCACTCCAGACTCCAGCCTGGGCAAGAAGAACAAAACTTCATCTCAAAAAAAAAGGCCGGGCGTGGTCGCTCATGCCTGTAATCCTAGCACTTTGGGAGGCCAAGGTGGGCAGATTGCCTGAGCTCAGGGATTTGAGACCTGCCTGGACAACATGGCGAAACCCCATCTCTACTAAAAATACAAAAAATTAGCTGGGCGTGGTGGTGTGTGCCTATAATCCTAGCTACTTGGGAGGTTGAGGCACAGCACTGCTTGAACCCAGGAGGTGGAGGTTGCAGTGAGCCAAGATTGTGCGGCTGCACTCCAGCCTGGGTGACACAACGAGATTCTGTCTCAAAAAAACAAAAAACAGTAACACTTCCCATAGTAATTACTCAATAAATATTAGCCAGTATAATTATAAGCTAGACACTGTGCTACTATGGAGAATACAAAGATAAACAAGACACAATATCTTTTTTTTTTTTTTTTTTTTTTGAGACAAGGTTTTGCTCTGTTGCCTAGGCTACAGGGCAGTGATGCAATCATAGCTCACTGCAGCCTCGACCTCCCAGGTTCAGGTGACCCTCCCACCTCAGCCTCACAAGTAGCTGGGACTACTGGCGTGTGCCACCACACCCAACTCATTTTTGTATTTTTTGTAGAGATGGAGTATTGCCATGTTGCCCAGGCCAGTCTTGAACTCCCGGGCTCAAGCAGTCCACCTGCCTTGGCCTCGCAGAGTGCTGGGATGACAGGCATGAGCCACTGCGCTGGCCACAGTTTCTATCTTCTTTGAACACAAACATGAGAACACTGAAGCTTAGGGTGAAATGACAAGGCTGGGATTGAAATTGAGACTTTTTTCCCCACAGAAATTTAGTAGTCTTTATGATGCCAAATTAATTAGTATAGACTAATAAGCATATAGCTTAATTAGGGACTAATCGATTAAAATTTAAAGTGAGTGAAAAAAAGGTTTGACTTAAACAAAAGCAAAATACTGTATATCAGTTAATACCAGTATTATTCATTCATTCAATGTACATTTAGTGAGGACTTGTTATGCATTATTCATGATGGTAGACACCATAGAAGGGATACTAAGATAAGTCAGGTGTATATTCTACTTCAAGTAGATCTCCCAGTAAGGAATATAAAACATTTGTATGTGGAATGTAGTAAAGACTCCAGGCTAACTACTGTGAAGTTTGATACTAACAATTATAACTTGGTAAATCAGGGAAAGATTTCTGGAGGAGATGCCTTTTGAACTATGCCTGAAAGGATAGGTCGGATTTGGACAAGTGCTGATGGGTGGAAAGGGCATTTCAGGAAGAGAAATTCCCTTTCTATGCAAAAGCATAGAAATGGAGAAGCGGGCTGGGTGCAGTGGCTCATGCCTGTAATCCCAGCACTTTGGGAGACCGAGGAGGGCAGAGCACTTGAGCCCAGGAGTTCAAGACCATCCTGGGCAACATGGTGAAACCACATCTCTACAAAAAATAAAAAAATTAGATGGGTGTGGTGGTGCACGCCTGTAGTCCCAGTTACTGGGGAGGCTGAGGTGGGAAGATCACTTGAGCCCAGGAGGCAGAGATTGCAGTGAGCAGAGATCATGCAACTGCCCTTCAGCCTGGGCCACAAAGCACGACTCTCTCAAAAAAAGAAAGAAAGAAAGAAAAAGAAATGGAGAATCAGAACACGTGTTAAAGGAACAGCAAATAGTTCAGTTTTGATAGTGTATAGGGTATGTGAGTAGCAGTGACAAATATAAACAAAGACTGGCTGAGACTCAACAGTGTTAAAGTCATTTCAAATATGTTTTTCAGGATTCTGTCCGCGTGGTCTTGGGAAACTTGGACAATCTTCAGCCCTTTGCTACAGAACACTTCATTGTATTTCCCTGTATCCTTTTTTTTTTTTTTTTTTTGAGATGGAGTCTTGCTCTGTCACCCAGGCTGGAGTGCAATGGCATGATCTTGGCTCACTGCAACCTCAGCCTCCCAGGTTCAAGCGATTCTCTTGCCTCAGCCTCTCCAGTAGCTGGGATTACAGGCACATGCCACCACACCCGGCTAATTTTGGTATTTTTAGTAGAGGCGCTATTTCACCATGTTGGCCAGGCTGGTCTTGAACTCCTGACCTCAGGTGATCCACCCGCCTCGGCCTCCCAAAGTGCTGGGATTACAGCCATGAGCCACTGCGCCCAGCCTATCCTTTCTTTTCTGGCTGGAAATGAGCTACAGCTCACATTTTAGACTCAAATGGACGTAGCAAAACCATAGGCAGTTTGGAGGGTAGGTCAGGGGAAGGAGAGAGAGTCTCATCCCTAAAATAGTACTTAGGAATGCATACTGGCATCTTTCCTTACTCCTTAGCACCATTTTCCAGATAAAAGCAAATGGGAGAGAGTTTCCCACCTGAAATTCAAACATGGGGAAATTATCTTGATCCCCTACCCATTTGTTTTTACTCTATATGTGGAGATGAAATGGTTCCATGAAAACCTGTCACCTGGTAAGTGGAATGATGTGAATGTGGATGGCAGAGAAGAAAATGGTTTAGCTGTGCCAGCTAGGTATCGCGAAAGGGGCTACCAGATTAGGCTCCAGCCATACAGTGCACAGGTCAGGATCATGTGCTCCAGGCCAGACTGACCGGTTCAAATACTGGTGGTCCTGCCACTTAATGGCTGTGTGAAGTTAGATAAATTAATCTTTCTATGCCTCCCTTGTGAAATGGTGAAGAATAATATTACTACCTATATCATTGAGTTGTTAAAAGGATTAAATAGTAGTAGATGAAAAGTACAAAGCCTGACTTAATCACTGAATGAAAGATAACTATTATATAAACCCTTCCATTAGAGAGAATTCTATGATTTTCACTTTAGAGCTATCTTAAAGGTATCTCCCAATTTTATTTTTATTTAGACAGGGTCTCACTCTGTCACCCAGGCTGGAGTACAGTGGTGTGATCATAGTTCACTGTAACCTCTAACTCCTGGGCTCAAGTGATCCTCCTGCCTCAGCTTCCCAAGTAGCTAGGACTATAGGTGTGTGCGACCATCCCCGGCTAATTTTTTTTTTTTTTTTTTTAGTAGAGACAGGGGTCTGACTATATTGCACCGTTGGGTCTCAAACTCCTGGGCTCAAGCGATCCTCCCACCTCGGCCTCCCAAAACACTGGGATTACAGGCATGAGCCACTGTGCCTAGCCCAAATTTTTATTCTCTGAAGGCCATGGGTGTTTTTGTTGATTGAGGGACAAGTAAACACCTACCCTTTTGATTTGAAAAGGGGTGCAGGCTGGGCATGGTGGCTTATGCCTGTAATCCCAGTACTTTGGGAGGCCGAGGCAAGAGGATCACTTGAGGCCAGGAGTTCAAGACCAGCCTGACCAACGTGGTGAAACCCCATTTCTACTAAAAATAAATTTAGCCAGGCGTGGTGGTGTGCGCCTCTAATCCCAGCTACTCAGGAAGCTGAAACAGAAGAATCGCTTGAACCCGGGAGGCAGAGATTGCAGTGAGCTGAGATCACGCCCCTGCACTCCAGCCTGGGCGGCAGAGCAAGATGCCATCTGAAAAAAAAAAAAAAAAAAAAAAAAAAAAAAAAAAATATATATATATATATATATATATATATATATATATATGATGTAGCCCGACATGGTGGTGGTGCATGCCTGTAGTCCCAGCTACTCTGGAGGCTGAGGGAGGAGAATTGCTTGAACCTGGGAGGCAGAGGTTCTGGTGAGCCAAGATCACACCACTGCACTTCTGCCTGGGCAACAGAGCTAGCTCTGTCTCAAAAAAGAAAGAAAAGAAAAGGGGTGCAAAGGCCTTGCCTCAAAATATCTCCCCTTTTCATTTGTCACAGGTAGCTGAAGTTCTACCTTTTTTCTTTTTTAGTAAGGATCGTCCCCTCCCTTTTCAAACCCTTTCTAGCTTGTAGATTACAATCATTCTGAAACAGGGGAGGAAGAGAGTTTGAAGACACTATTTTTAGGGAAAATAGTACCAGGTAGAAGGGAGAAGGGCACATGAGGAGTCTTTGTCTGGGGTCAGTTCCAAGAAATAAATAGTAGCCAGAAGTCCAGGTAAAACAGCATCGTGGCTAGGCCTGGTGGCTCACTTTGGGAGGCCAAGGCAGGTGGATCACCTGAGGTCAGGAGTTTGAGACCAACCTGGCCAACGTGGTGAAACCCCTCTCTCTACTAAAAATACAAAAATTAGCCAGGTGTGGTGGCATGTGCCTGTAGTCCCAGCTACTCGGGAGGCTGAGGGAGGAGAATCGCTTGAACTCAAGAGGCGGAGGTTGCAGTGAGCCGAGATCGCACCACTGCACTCCAGTCTGGGTGACAGAGAGAGACTTAATCTCCAAAAAAAAAAAAAAAAAAGTCTTAAATCTATTATGACACTCAAATTTCCTATTGTAGGGAAACCAATAAGTGACAGTCCTCTTGGGTTGGTAAGTTTGCCTTTTCTGTACAAAATGAAAATTGCCTTTATCACCTTCTTTTTTCCAAAAAGTCCTGCTCTTGCCTCTTCCCCTTACTTTGCCCTCAGTTGCTGCCCAGGTCCAGTCAGAATTGTAAACATAAGACCATATTTTCCCCCTTGGCTAGATTTCTGAGACCATGTCTCTAACAGAATGTCTATTCTTACTTGCAAAGCTGGTGTTAAAAGTTGCCTTTGGCAGTTTAAGGATGGGGAGTTTTCTTCACTGTGCCTTCATGAACTGTGAGCAACTCTGGAAAGGAGGAGTCACAGGCATCTGCTTCCTCCTGAAGGTCCCAGTTGAGAAGAAAGCAGTAGGAGCTGTGATGAGGAAACGAAAACACATGGACGAGCCCAGCTCCCCCAGCAGGCCAGGGCTGGACAGGTCAGTGGTGTGGGGAGAGAGGCTCGCTCCTGCGTCCTAGTTAGGCTTTGCCAGCTATTACTGTTGGTTGATCCTGTCCTTGGGCGAGTCACTTTCTTTTGCAGGACTTCATCAGTATCTGCCTATTACAGTGGGTGGACTAAGGAAAGGGAGCAAGTTAATATTTACAATATAATTTGAACACAGTCCCTTTTTCAGCAAAGTACGATTTTTCTTTTCAAGATGAAGGCTAAGAAGAAATACAGTCCGATCTAAACAATTGAATTCAGCACATTCAATAATACTTACTATGTTAATATCACCAGAAGGCACAGGACTTATGAAGTCTCAGAATATTTACAAAAACATAGGGAAACTCTTGAAGGAGTAAGAACAAATAAAATATAATTCTATTTTACCCAGTGAGCAGTTAGCTTTTGGAACCTTAAGAGGCAGTCCAGACTAAAATATAAATGTTTGCAAGAGGGTATGTATCAATCATTGGGTGGGGTGCTGTGATATTAGGGGGAATGTTGAGTACATCCCTAACATATTTTTATTGTGGAGGCTACTTATGTTCTTCTTTCAATTCTCTATCAGGAACAAAATGAGTCAGTAAGACAATTCAGTCATTCTTATTAGCACCCTAGAAAGCTAATAAGAATGCTGCTGGAATAATCCAAGGTGTGGTTTGTTCCCTAGCCCAAGATGCTTCCACCCTAGGCCCACAGAGAACAGCTACCCTTTTCCTGGGACTCTGTGGACCCCTAGACATACAGGAGAAATAAGGTAGACCACTAGGAAGCTGACCCCATGCTCTCCAGATGCACATGTAGGTGAAGAGGTAGGGAGCTCCTTTCCAAGCCAGGTGGAATGTGAGGGTACTTGGAGGTATGAAGCTTTGCTTTGTTCCATTCGACTGAATTTTCCATGCAAATGAGGTCTCAGATCTTCCCTTTCTCTGGGTTTTGATGCACAGTCAAGTATTTCAAAATCTGATACCTGCTGTCAATCACATTTTCACTTTCTCAAACCCCAGATCCCTAAGTGTCTCAAACTGGGATTCTGCTGTGAAGTAAAGCAGCACCCAAAGAAAATTTGGCCACCCAATTTATTCTGCCAGCCAGGAGTAGTATAACAATAGCCAACCTGCTGAAATATTCATTTGGGCCACATTTGCTTGAATGTAGTGATATTGCCTCTGCCAGTAACATTTCCTGCATATTTTCCCCCCACCTCAGGGCCAAGATAGGGACTTCCAGCCAAGGCCCCAGCAAAAAGAAGCCCCCTGTGGAAACCAGGAGAGTAAGTACTAAAATGGAGCCTTAGTACTAAAATGGAGCCTTCAAGGCTATTAGCTATTCCTGTTCTGTTACAAGTCAGGATTCCGGTTACCAGCACATCTTGGTTTTTCGTGCAGATTGAATTGACTGAACTCATTCTTGGGTTTCACTGTCTGCAGAATAACATTCAACTATTATGCCCTTGCCACAACGCATCCCAAAGTGGCTGCATAATACACGCATCGATGAATTTTTTTGTTAAAAAGTCCTCTCTTTGCCTGGTACGGTGGCTCATGCCTGTAATCCCAGCATTTTGGGAGGCTGAGGCAGGCGGATCACCTGAAGTCAGGAGTTCAAGACCAGGCTGGCCAACCTGGTGAGACCCAGTCTCTACTAAAAATACAAAAAATTAGCCAAGTGTGGTGGTGGGCACCTGTAATCCCAGCTACTCGGGAGGCTGAGGCAGGAGAATCACTTGAACCCAGGAGGCGGAGGTTGCAGTGAGCTGAGTTCGTGCCACTGCACTCCAGCCTGGGCAACAGAGTGAGACTCCATCTTAAAAAAAAGAAATCCTCTCTTCTCAGCTTAAAAAGCTACCTGTACTCTGTAGTTGAAATAAGAAAATATGTCTGTATAGAATTGAGGTGGGATCCAGTATAGAATTTTCCCTTTAGGAAACTTTTTGCCTTCATCTACACTGGGGTCTGAGTCTAGGAACATCTAGTTTTTGTTTTTTTGTTTGTTTGTTTGTTTTGAGACACAGTCTCGCTCTGTCGCCCAGGCTGGAGTGCAGTGGTGCGATCTCGGCTCACTGCAAGCTCTGCCTCCTGGGTTCACGCCATTCTCCTGCCTCAGCCTCCCGAGTAGCTGGGACTACAGGCGTGTGCTACCACGCCTGGCTAATTTTTTGTATTTTTTAGTAGAGACGGGGTTTCACCGTGTTAGCCAGGATGGTCTCGATCTCCTGACCTCGTGATCCACCCGCCTCGGCCTCCCAAAGTGCTGGGATTACAGGCGTGAGCCACCGAGCCCAGCCGGAACATCTAGTTTTAACAAATGAGCTAGGCATGTATCAGCACTGATAACTGGTAAGAGAAAACTTCTAGAGCAGTGAAGGGCTGGCCCCTGATGGAATTAGATTTCATTTATGGGGTATGTTTCCCATTTAGATATTCATATATCTGATACCCCTCCTCCATTTCAGGACTTCTTTTCTATATATTCTCTAAAATAGTGACCTTTTTCTTTTCCTCCCCTCTTTAAATAGCTGTTAGCTGGTATCCATGCCTTAAAGATCCTTCCTTTTTTTCTCTATGTCTCCAAAGTTGCTGTGACCCTAAGTATCCAAACACAAACAACTCACTTTCTTCACCTTCCCAGGACTCATAACATGAGCAGTTATCGAGTAAACATTTACATGTGCATTCATTCAACAAATTTTTTTTTCATTTTTGAGACAGGGTCACACTCTGTTGCCCAGGCTGGAGTGCAGTGGTGCAATCTCAGCTCACTGCAACCTCCACCTCTCAAGCTCAAGTGATCCTCTCATTTCAGCCTCTGGAGTAGCTAGGACTACTGGCGTGTGTCATCACACCTGGCTAATTTTTGTATTTTTTGTAGAGATGGGGTTTTGCCATGTTGCCCAGAATGCATTCAACAAATTTTCATTGAGTGTCTACTATGTGCCAAGTACCAGGGATACACCAACAGTGTACAGTTAGGCAGACAATTACTGATAGATGTGCCATGTGCAGGGGTAGAAGGAAGCACAGGATACAAAGGGAGCATAAAGTGGCCAGGAGGGAAGGATTCTCAGAGTAGCTTAAAGTCCAGTGCTGAGAAATGTTACTGGAGAAGTCCGAATGGACTGTATCATGAAAAGCCTTGAGACTACCTTCAAGATCACAGGAATTCTGTAAAACATTTTTAAGTAGAAAACTGAAGTTATTTTCATTTCTAAAGGATTGTTCTGTCTCCTGCTCACAAGGCATTGTGTTGGGTGCTGGGGCACACACAAACATATGTAAACCCTGATTTCTTTTTTCTAGGAGCTTGTAATTTAGTTGGGGAAGGAGTGTATCCTTGGGGATTTATACCTCTGCCTCTGTGTGCAGGGGCAGAGTCCAGGGCCCCAGTTGTGCTGTGGCCAGCTGGCCCACTGAGTGATTTTGGGCAGATAGTCAACCCCTTCTATGCCTCCCATCCTTTAGGGGGTAAGAAAAAGAAATGAGAAAGTACATGAGGAGTACTTGAAGCTCTGGAGAACAAAGACACTTTATACAACCAAGATAATTACTATTAAAGGAACATTTTCCTCGCTCTCTACCCTTTGTATCTTCCTATTCTTAGTTTGACACATCATCTCCCTCAAGAACAGTACCCACAGCTTCTTACTCAACATAATTACCTTTTCAACCTGATTCTGGCTTTAGAAAAAACTCTAGTAAAAGGAACATGTTTATTGATTTTGACTCAAGGCCTAAAGACATTCACCATCATGGACCCTGTTCCCAGGAAGATGATTTCTCCTAAATTAAGGTGATCACAGTGACTCTCAGTGTAAGTCACTTGAGCTGGAAAAATTGAATTTGCTCCTATGGTCCATTGCTTAATATGTTCTGCCCCCTTTGCAGGGAGTTAGGGTGTAGGATCACAGTCACTGTGCATGTGCGTGTCTGAACACATTGGGAGCCTGTGTGGCGAAAGCTTAGAAGAATATAACACGTACCTCTGTTTCATAAGAAGTGTTTAGGGACAATGGGAAGGAAGAGAAAACCCCCTTGCCTTTGTTACTTCAGGTCCCAGATCTAGAGATCCAGACTTTGGAAGGATAAAAAATGGGAGGGAGCAGATGAATGGCCCAGAAATGAAACAGAGTAACTGCACGTCGCATTTTGTTGTTGTTGTTGTTTTGCTATATCTGTTCGAACTGCACTTGTAAACAGATCTGGTCCTGAACATACGGAGGACAGTCTTGCATCAGGTTTTCAGAGTATTATGTTCTGATGGAGGTCCCAGATGATACCTTCAGTCTGAATTCCAGCTATAATGTTTTCTCTCTCTTATGACTTTTTCTTGAGAAGACATCTCTCAAGATTTTGGGAGATCACAAAAAGGCTACAGTGTCTTGTGAGGAGACTTTTCCCTGGTTCAGCGGTAGGCTGTACCTCTGTCCCAGGGCCTTTGCCCTCCTGTTCCTCCTCCCACCCTTAATAGATGCTTTCATTAGGGCTACTGTATGCAGCAGAATTAAAGCCCCAAACCATAGTTTCATTAAATTTGTAAGAATCATTCCCTCAAACCAGAAACCAGAGCTTGGCCCTCTAAATTCCATCTCCACTCTCTATAGAAAAGGTAAGAATGGTCTTCTTCCTCCCCAGAGTTCCCTGTTGCTTTTATAGGAATATGACTTCGGTGGCTGCCCATGTGGTCTGGGATTTGAGCGGTTTGTGAGGAGGCTTAGTTCAGAGATATCTGCCATTCTAACCCGAAGTTTATTCTTAGGATGGGGGCTAGTCCTAGCTTTTCTAGAGACTTGCCATGCCTCTGCCTCCCAGAACCTACCTTTATAGTCTGCAGCCCCTTGCTGTAGAACTCTTCGCCATGGGAGCTAAGCTATGAGGACGCAAAGGCTTAAGAATGATACAATGGACTTTGGGGACTTGGGGGAAAGGGTGGGAAGGGGGTGAGGGATAAAAGACTATACATTGGGTATAGTGTACACTACTTGGATGATGGGTGCACCAAAATCTCAGAAATCACTATTAAAAAAACTCATTCATGTAACCAGACACCACTCACTCCCCAAAAACCTATTGAAATAAAAAATAAATTCTAAAAAACGGGAAAAAAATTCACAGAACTGCACACCCAAAAGAAAAAAAAAAGAACTCTTCACCAGCAAAACAGCTTGAGGAGCTCCATCACTGCTGGGTAAAGCCCCTAGGTTCTGACTGGGTGAAGAGAGTAGTAGCCAGTGGCAGAGATTCCCAAAGAAAATATAATAACCATATTTCTGATTATCAGGGTGTTTACTGGAAAATGTTGTGGGCCTGGAATCAGGTTGTAAAATGTCCTCTTCAGAGTACAAAGAAATTTCTATAAAGCAGCAGCACATGGAGAAATAATAAGATTGTGTTATATTGTGTTGCTAATGCCACAGTCATGTTTCTACCATGCCTGGCTCTAGCCATGCTGATCCTATTTATTCTTTAATGGCACTGTACCCTCATACATCATGTCCCTGTCTGGAATGCCCTGCTGTGACTGACCATCTCCTCACCCCCGTCATGACAACATCCCACTCATCCATCAAGGCTCCATTCAAATATCACTTCCCCTGTGAAGCCTTCCTTGACTAACACCACCTGCTCCATTAACGTCCTTTCAGCAACCACAGCACTCTATATGGATTCGTTGGGTGGTCTTATCACACTCTTTGTTTTTCTTTTTCTTTTTTTCGAGATGGAGTCTCACTCTCTCGCCCCAGGCTGGAATGCAATGGCGCGACCTTGGCTCACTCTGCCTCCTGGGTTCAAGCGATTCTCCTGCCTCAGCCTCCTGAGTAGCTGAGATTACAGGTGCCTGCCACCACGCCCGGCTGATTTTTTGTATTTTTAGTAGAGACAGGGTTTGACCATGTTGGCCAGGCTGGTCTCGAACTGCTGACCTCGGATGATCCATCTGCCTTGGCCTCCCAAATTGCTGGGATTACAGGCATGAGTCACCATGCCCGGCCATCACACTGTCTTGACTTAGTTTATGTCCATTTTGCTCCATAGATTATACATTTCTCCAAGGTAAATTTAAGGTCCTCCTGATTTCTGAAACCTCAGTGTTCTGTCCTTGGTAATAGTAGGTACTCAGTAACATGGGATGATAAGTTAAACCCAGCTTGATTTATTCTTGGCTCTTAAATCTTATGGTTTTAGAGGGACAGTAGTTTGGATGTTGAAATGAAAAAACGACAGTCCTGGCTGGGCACGGTGGCTCACGCCTATAATTCCAGCATTTTGGGAGGCCGAGGCAGGCAGATCATGAGGTCAGGAGATCGAGACCATCCTGGCTAACACGGTGAAACCCTGTCTCTACTAAAAATACAAAAAATTAGCCGGGCATGGTGGCGGGCGCCTGTAGTCCCAGCTACTCAGGAGGCTGAGGGAGGAGAATGGCGTGAACCGGAGAGGCAGAGCTTGCAGTGAGCTGAGATGGCGCCACTGCACTCCAGCCTGGGTGACAGAGCGAGATTCAGTCTCAAAAAAAAAAAAAAAAAAAAAGAAAGAAAAAAAGAAAAGAAAAAAGGACAGTCCTATGGAAAGAAATGGAAAGAAATATAGAACCTGTCTAGGCAGTCAGAAGCCAGGCCCCAGTGCTGATATGAAATCAGTTCACCAGCAAATAGCATTCAGATTGCCATGCAGTGTAGGAGGAAAGTTTAAGGCTTTTCTTGGTCTTCTTTTTAACAGAATAGGGAAAGAAAAACCCAACAAGGATTGCAGGAGACTCTGGCCTCTGATATCACTGATGTCCAGAAACAAGGTAGGTCCTGGGAAATTTCCATTTATTCTCCTTTAATAATCACCCTTTCCCTTGTAGTTCTCTGATATGTAGAGCAGCACAGAGCTGAGTCTGGGTGCCCTCAGTGGGTAATGTGCCTTGCTCCCGTGGAGGTGCTTGTTAGCCATCCTCTGGTCTGGGGGCCTGTCCTAGAGTAATAGAAGCCCCCCAGCTCCCAGAAGGAGTGAAGGGAGGTAGGGCATGCCCTTCCTCTGCTTCTGATAGTGAAGTTATGCTCTCACTATTTCAAAACATTTCCGAGTGAGGTGATAAACTTTATAGAAATGTTGAGAGGGTTGTGTTTCCCTTTTCTGTACTGTTGGAGAATGATCTCTTCCCTTTGAGGCATTAGAGTTAATATTGAAGTTGCAAATGGATGCTTTGCAAGGGCTGGGAATGCATGTCAAGCTATTGCCCTCCCTACTTGCTGATCTTTTACCCAGCATGAGGATTCAGTGTGGACTGCAGTTATCACAGAAACAGGGATGTAGGCCAGTGAGTCCTTCAACAACTTGTCATTTTATGTGAAGACATACCAGCCAGAGTGCATGGCTGGAACTTGAGCTGTGTAAATATCCCAGGAGCTTGACTGAAAATACTCTGAGGTCAGAATAGCATCTTACTGAGCTGAGATGAAATTGGGAAGGTCAGAACAAACAATTCATCTGGCTTTAAAGAACTCTTGGCGTGAGACTGCCTCTGGCTCATACTGGGTGTTTGGCCTTCTACTCACATGAAAACGGCCTATGGACAAACATCTTGCTCCTGCCTGATTGTTTTCCTTACAGATTCTGAGTGGGGACACAGCCTGCCAGGGCGAATTGTCCCACCCCTGCAGCACAACTCACCTCCACCTAAGGAGCGAGCAGCCACCGGCTTCTTTGGGTTTCTAAGGTAAGACAGCTTCTGTCCGGCATCAGACTCGAGATCCAGCTCAGAGCGGCTCATTGAGTCTTTCAGGGAAATTAGAATAGAAAAGAAAGCAGATTACTTACAGAGGCTTCTCACTTATGTCTAGGATAGATGATGGAAATGAGATTAAGAACAAAAGCCCTAATTGTGCATTTAATAAAGACTGTGTTTTACTTATTTTTACACAACCCACCTCCACCCTGATGTGTCCAGGATAAAGCCAAGCCCCATAAACATTAACTTGGGCCAGGCCGGGTGGCTCATGCCTATGATCCCAGCACTTTGGGAGGCCAAGGCGGGTGGATCACTTGAGGTCAGGAGTTCAAGACCAGCCTGGCCAACATGGTGAAGCCCATCTCTACTAAAAATACAAAATTAGCCGGGCATGGTGCTACATGCCTGTGATACCAGCTACTTGGGAGGGAGGCTGAGGCAGGAGAATCGCTTGAACCTGGGAGGTGGAGGTGAGGCTGAGGCAGGAGAATCTCTTGAACCTGAGAGGTAGAGGTTGCAGTGAGCCGAGATTAAAAAAATAAAATAAAATAAAATTAGCCGGATGTGGTGGAATGTTCTGTAATCCCAGCTACTGGGGGTGCTGAGGCAGGAGAATCACTTTAACCTGGGAGGCAGAGGTTGCAGTGAGCTGAGATCGTGCCATTGCACTCCAGCCTGGACAACAGAGCAAGACTCTGTCTCAAAAAAACCAACCAAACAAAAACATTAACTTGAACAAAGTCTATTCTTAGTTTACTTGAGCCATTCAGATGATTTGGTTACCAAACATTTCCATTCTCCCCTCTGAATCTAGGTTGTGTTTGCAAAGGACAGTTAGCAAATGTCTCTCTCTGTCTCTCTCTCTCTCTGCCATCCCATTGCAATTCTGTTTCTTTATTTCCCCCTCCTGAGTATAATCTAATTTGGGTACCTTTTCAAATGCTATTCAGTCTTGAATTTCCATTCAATGGTTCCCCAGAGCAAAAATGCCCTAGCTAGTGAAGCACTAATGGGAAATGGGGAGAAGGGAAGGAGACCTCATAGAGTCTCAGCCTACTCTGTTCTCATTCTTGCAGCTCTCTCTTCCCGTTTCGATATTTCTTCAGGAAGAGCAGCCACTCTTGAGCCTTCCAAATGCAGCGCTGGAAAGAGGATCATCTCTTGTAGTGACTCCTCCCGAGCCATTCTTCCTCCAACTCTATCCTTTTCTTATGACACTTCAGTCGTGGGGAATGAGGTCCCCATGCTGAGTCCTCTGTGGTTTTATCGTGTCCTTTGCCCCTTTATAATAGATTTTTTCCCCCAATTTAAAACATTAAGAATGGAACTTTCTAAAATGTTCATGTCCTGAGGGCCGGTTTAGGCCTTTTGTCTTCGGCACTTAGGATCCTAATGACAATAAATTATTTATGAAGAGTTATTGATTGAATTTAGTGGAATAGAGTAAAAGAGAACAAATGCTTCCCTCAAGATACAGAGAAAATGCATGAAACTTCCCTAGGTCTACCTGGTTACTATTCACAGGATCACTTTGGGTAGGTGAGTTTGTGCCAGAGGTTAGGGAATGGGGTCTTTCAAGACTCACTGTCCTGAGCCCTGCTCACCCAAGAGACCTCTTCCCCAGTTCCAGTTTGGCCCCAAATGGTTGCCTCTCCATAGACAAAATGTTTCCCACCTCTCTATCCCTTTAACTGTTTGACAGTAATGCAGATTCGTTTATCAGATTAACTGGAAGTCAATCCAGGTTGGCACCCCTGGAGAAGGCCTGGCCACCTGAGCTGCCTTCAACTAAAGGACTGATCTGTAATAGACACTTTAGCCTCATGTGGCCGTGGAGAACCAAAATGATCTATGGAAATGTAGGGAAACTCATTTTAGCTCACAACAAAGGAGTCACTTTTTACCTGTTAGAGATGTCCAATATTAGAATGGGCTACCTCATAAGGTAATGAGCCTTGTCACCCAAATGCTTTAAACAGAAGCCATCATCTGTCACATGCCAGAGGGTGCCCCTCAAGAGTGGGAGAGCAGGGGCTGAACTGCTGAGTTCCCGCTGCGTCCTGTTGCTATGCTGCCTGCACCCTTGGTGGGGAGAAGAGAAGAGGTGGACTGCTGCGGAGGACCTGGCAAACAAGGACCCAGGTCTTGAGGGGATGGGGGCTGATGGGGAAACCGTAGGGTGTGGGAATTTAAGGATTAGTGACATTAGTAACATCACTTCCTCTCAAATTGCGTTTACAGCCTTTACTCGACTGTCCCAAACATGGCCTGTTTTACAAAGCTGCTAAGAAGCACAGCTCCAAATCTGGAGCTGTGAGTGCCCGCCCTGACTCTGACTAGCTTACAGTGAAGCTTTGGGAAGTTGTTTTCCGCTGAGCTCTTATTTTCTCATCCAGAAAATGAGGGGGTAGGATTTGGTGAGTTATAAAGTGCCTTCTAGCTCTAGCAGTCTGTGACTGGCCCTGCTCTTTCTGAGCAGATCAGTGAGGCAATGACCCCAAAGCGGGGCTGCCCAGAATCACCACAGGCTTCCTTTGGCTCTCCACCTTGCCCCAACCCCTCTGGCCACTGCTGCCTGGGGGTCTTTCTCCAGCTTGCCACATTCTTGCTCAAGTGTAGTTTAGCACCATGGATGGACAGCAGATTTGAATTTGAAATCAGCCCTAACATTAACTAGCTGGGTGACTTTTAGTAACTTTCTTTCTTTGAGCCTTAGTTGCCTCATCTATAAAACCAGAGTTGGACAAATAGATCAGCTTTGCTGGGGTTGATAACTTCAGGCCCTTTCAGGAGTCAGGTCCCTGTTATTCCAGGGCTAGGGGAGCACTCCAGCTCAGAACGTTACTCTGTAGCACAGGATGCGAATCATCCACTGATACCGTGGCCATGCAACTCTGAAACAGACAGCAACCCCCAAACCCCCGGCCCTGCCACCAAGCACATCTCAGGAGACCTCCACTGGTATAATTTCCCTTGTCCCTAAGAATCTCCTTCCCCAATCCCTTTCCTTTGCAGTTAGAAAAAGGCAAGCAGGACTGAGTTTAGTGGTTTTAAAATTAGGGGTGTGGCCAGGCACAGTGTCTCATGCCTGTAATTCTAGCACTTTGGGAGGCCTAAGCAGGCGGATCACTTGAGCTTAGCAGTTCAAGACCACCATGGGCAACATGGCAAAATCCTGTCTCTACAAAAAAATACAAAAGTTAGCTGGTCATAGTGGTGTGCCTGTGGTCCCAGCTACTCAGGAGGCTAAGGGGGAGGATGGCTTGAGTCTGGGAGGCTGGGAGGTGGAGGTTGCAGTGAGCCGAGATAACACCACCACACTCCAGCCTAGGTGACAGAGCCAGACCCTCTCAAAATAATAGTAATAAATAATAATAAAGTTAGGGGTGATCAGGCCCTGAACAGGGAAATGTTCTGTCCAAGGTCACAGAGCAAAGAGAACCCAGGTGTCCACAACTCAGCCAAGAGTCTTGACCCCTGTGTCGTCAGCTGCACACACGCTGCACACTCCACCAGCTCCTAGGCTTCTCTCCACATCTGACTTATCGAGGCCTGGGCTGTGGGTAGCTTTTTGGACAGAAAGAAGCAGAAAGCAGCAGGAGCTGCTCTCCGAGGACCGCACCTCAAAGAGCAAGATCCCCCAGGTGGGATCGCTCTGAGGCTTCAGGCAGGGGAGGCTGGTTTGAAAGCCGATCTCCAAGAGGGCGTGGCTCCAAAATGCTGGCAAATAAAAGCCTGGAGAGCCAGCACCAAGCTGGAGACCAGCAGGAGGCACAGGAAAACTGCAAGCCGCTCTGTTCCTGGGCCTCGGAAGTGGTGAGCTCGCTGAGGCAGGAGGAGCTCTGGGGAGGGTCTGGGAATGTGGACGAGGGCCCTGCAGGCCAAGATGGGGCAGATGGAGGGAGGAAGATGTTTGCGCTCCAGATGGCGAAGAAAATTCCAGGGAAGGGAGAATCACTGCACAGAGGGCTGACACACAGGTCCTTTCCAGAGACAGCTGCTCACACTCACACCCATACACACACACACACACACACAAAGGCAGATACAGGGAAAAGGCAGCACCATTCAGGCACACCTCACCTGTCAGACCAGCCAGCCCTGGCTCACTCACCTGGAATGCAGTATTTAAAGAACTCGCCATCCCACCTGCACACCCACGTAGAGACATCTCCCCACTGTGTTTCAGATGCCTATGGCGTCCCCTCAAACCCTGGTCCTCTATCTGCTGGTCCTGGCAGTCACTGAAGCCTGGGGCCAGGAGGCAGTCATCCCAGGCTGCCACTTGCACCGTGAGTACCTCTGGGACCGGAGGGCTAGGAGCAGTGGAGGTTCTGGGTGGGAGCAAAGAGCTGAGTGGACGGTGGGGCAGGCAGCACCCTAAAGGGCCCCACACTGAGGCACAGGCAACGGGAGCTGGGGCGAGGCAAACCTTGGCAGAGGCGCCGTCTACTGCTTGCCTATCTCCTTCTAGCCTTCAATGTGACAGTGCGAAGTGACCGCCAAGGCACCTGCCAGGGCTCCCACGTGGCACAGGCCTGTGTGGGCCACTGTGAGTCCAGCGCCTTCCCTTCTCGGTACTCTGTGCTGGTGGCCAGTGGTTACCGACACAACATCACCTCCGTCTCTCAGTGCTGCACCATCAGTGGCCTGAAGAAGGTGAGGAGGGCCCGGGCCCGGTGGATGGACGCTGGGGTCGCGGGAAGACCAGAGAGATGGAGATCCTAGACAGCCCTGAGAAAGGGGACTGCAGCACGGACTCCCCTCTCCCGCAGGTCAAAGTACAGCTGCAGTGTGTGGGGAGCCGGAGGGAGGAGCTCGAGATCTTCACGGCCAGGGCCTGCCAGTGTGACATGTGTCGCCTCTCTCGCTACTAGCCCATCCTCTCCCCTCCTTCCTCCCCTGGGTCACAGGGCTTGACGTTCTGGTGGGGGAAACCTGTGTTCAAGATTCAAAAACTGGAAGGAGCTCCAGCCCTGATGGTTACTTGCTATGGAATTTTTTTAAATAAGGGGAGGGTTGTTCCAGCTTTGATCCTTTGTAAGATTTTGTGACTGTCACCTGAGAAGAGGGGAGTTTCTGCTTCTTCCCTGCCTCTGCCTGGCCCTTCTAAACCAATCTTTCATCATTTTACTTCCCTCTTTGCCCTTACCCCTAAATAAAGCAAGCAGTTCTTGAATTTCTCTCTTTATTAAGTCTACCCCCAGCCACGGAAAGAGGAGTAGACCATGATTACTGTGAACCCCCCCTTACCCCAGGACACTGTGAATCTCTTCTTGCCTGTGCCCTCCCCCTCCCCCTGCCCAATAAATAAAAAGGGGACAAGGAAGTACACAGCGAGGGAAGGGAGGAGTGTGCACCCAGGACAGTGTCTGTGTAGAGGGTGAGCTGGGCGAGAATAAATAGACCATGGACCCCATGGTGGGGATAAGGAAGGACCTCGCATTGGCCAAGGCAGGGGCAGGCGAGGCGCTGAGTGCCCTTGCCCAAGGCCAGGAGCAGAGGGTGGGAGCCCGCCTGCAGCTGGAGCCTAGCTTTGCGGGGCAGGGGAAGATCCCTGATGGCAGCTTCCTGGTCAAGCTTGCCCTTGTCAAGTCCTGCCACGAGGGGCTGAGCATTCTGTTGCCAAGACCACCATTGCCTCTCCTCGTCTCCCCCCAGTGAAAGCTGGGCTGGGCAGGGAGTCCTCAGAAGCCACTCTGGCAAGGCCAGGGGTAGGTGTGTTTCTCTCTGGGCCCCTGGACAGGAGAAGGGATAGAGGGACTGACAGCTCTGGGTTTAGCTTTTCCCCTTCTGAGGTGCTGTCTAGCTCTGACCCCCACTGGCGGCCACCTGGGGTGTAAGCCGCTGGAGGGGGGCCTCCTTGGCCCCCTGGGTCCCCTGTAGCCGGCGTAGCCGCAGCTCCTCCAGACCTTGCCATAACTCCTGACGCTCCTGGGCCTTCTGCTGCTCCCTGGGGAGAGAGGGTGAGGCAGCTCCCTTTCCTGGGGCCCCCCACAGTCCAGACTCCCTCACAGTCCAGACTCCCTCACTACCACCCCACCGGCAAAGGGAAGGCATGGAACCATTTTTGTTCTGTGACTCCATAAAAACCCTCTACTGAGGGAAGAGAGCAGAGGACAGACAGATCCCAGCCTGCAGTCACAGAGAAGATGACGGGTGGGGCCTGAGTGGTTCTGGCTTCTGTAGGAAGCTACAGGGAGTCAGAACAAGTCTGAGCTACTCGAAGAATGACGGGAGGATACAGGGGCAGACAGTCAGGCATAGGATGGCAGGAGCATGGACAGTCTTGCAGCATCTGATCAGACAGAGTTTGGGGTAGTCCTCGGGTTCCCTCCAGCCATGGGGGTCTGACTCCTCCCTGCTCTTCTCCCTTCCCCCACGCCCAGCCCCCAACACTCACTGCTGCTTTTCCAGCTTGTAGGAGGCTGTGAGCTCATCAAACAGCTTCCCATTCATCTCCATGAAGGTCTTGAGCACATTGTAGATCAGTGATACGATGGTTCTTGGCAGTGTCAAGGAGGGATGAGGAGATGAAACAGCTTTGGTTTGCCCACCTCTCCCTTTCCCTGCCCTTCACATACAGCATTCCACCTGAACACAAGCACTGCCCACTTTCCTGTCCTTTTCACCACCCCTGGGCCATCTTTTGATGCTTTCTCTGATATTCTCCAGCTAGGAGTAACCCTGGGGTCGGGTCTGGACTGGCTGGCCCTGGTCCCAGTTTCTGTGAGTTAGGTCATGGCCTGGCACTCACTGGTTCCAGTGCTCCTTGGAGACTTGGTAGAGGGTCCCAAACACAGCAGGCAGCACAGTGTGGCAGTTGTCCTCAATGAGGCTTAGGATATACTCATTGTTCCAGAAATACAGAGCCCGCTCTGCAACCTGGGGCAGACAAGATGGCAGAGTGATTAACTGGCAGTGGCTTCTCTCTGTGTGCAAGGTCTGGTGTCCATCACTACCTCAACGCCCAGGCCCCCTGACCTTCACACACCCCACCTTCAGGGCTTATCTGAGCCCTGGAGGAAGCAACAGTGTTGAAGGGAAAAGAGTTCTAGATACGGAATCCAATGCTGCGGGGTGAATCCTAACCACTACAGACTCTACTATGCCATGTGACCTTGGGAGAGGCATTTAACCTCCCAGCCTCAGTTTTCTCATCTGTAAAATGGGCTAATAATACCTATCTCAACAGGATGTTATAAGAATCAAATGAGATACTAGACTTTTAGGTGTTTAATGAACCGAAGTGCCAGAATCACTGTGAGGAAGACTTGACTTCCACTGGGTTATGGCCCATAAGAACGGGAGGAAGTCTGCACATGCTTGCAGCAGAACATGAGTTAGTTAGCTGGGTTGGTGCGGGGAAGCCTGGCTGCATCCCAAAGCGAGTCTAATGAAATCTAAGGCCACTAGCAAAAGGGGAAAAGTGATAACAGTCCTCCATCACATTCTGGATCACACTTCAGTTTACCAAACATGTTTACACTCACAATCTCTTCCATCCTTATCCCCACCCTGTGAAGAGGTTGTTGGCCCATTTTACAGCTGCGGAAGCTTAATCAGAATCAGAGTGGTGCAGTGATTTGCTCAAGGCCCCTCAGCCAGTGGAAGGCAGGTCCGAGGCTTCACCCTAGGTCTCCTGACCCTAAGTCCAGCATCTCCCCATTACCAGACCCGGGATTGGAGGAGAAACTGAGGGCAAAGGGAGCTTTATTAGGTCAGCTACCCAACCTTTCCAGGCCAGCCCTGCTCCCATCCCCGCCTGTCCTGCCTCATACCTGGAAATGGGGGCTGGAAACACAGCGAGCCACCTGCTTAAAAAGGGGCTCCTGGATCTTCACAAACTGGGAGGGCTCGATGACATCAAGAATCTCTTCCATCTCCCCCAGAAACATCACCTGGGTGGGTTGGGGAGGGGAGTAGGGACAGAGGGGCAGCAGCTCACATCTCCCCCTACACATACACACACCTGACTGCCTTCTAGAGGCCGAGCCCTCCCAGCCTCCCTCTGGCGGGCATCAAAGCCCTTCTTCATACCTCCTTCTGGGTGCAGGTTTTTGGCCAGTATTTGAGCAGCCCCCGGATCACCTGTGGGAGATGAGACAGGAGTCACGCCTGCAGAGGTGAGAGGCTGCCTTAGCCCCCAGAGGTACTCACGTGCTCTGTCAGAGTGGCATCCTTCTCCAGGAACTGCACCACACAGTATGCCAGCTGCAGGGGGTGACAGGTGGAGGGAAGGAAGACAGGTCAGGAAGGCACCAGGCGCCAAGGACTTGCTGTCCAGGACAGAATGCCAAATACTGCTCACCCACGGCCTGTTACTTTCTTATTCACCAAGCATTTATCACCTGCCTAGGATGTACCAGGCATCACATTCAGTGTGCTGGGAATACAACTCTGATCTCGCGGGGAGTGGGGACAGTCAACAAACTCATCTTTATAAATTTTGCAAAAGGTTCCATAATATGGCTAGTGTGGTGGCTCACGCCTGTAATCCAAGCACTTTGGGAGGCCGAGGCAGCAGAATCACTTGAGCCTGGGAGTTTGAGACCAGCCTAGGTAACATAGCAAGACACTGTCTCTACAAAAAAAAAATTTTTTTTAATTAGCCAGGCATGTGGCACATACATCTGTGGTCCCAGCTACTCGGGAGGCTGAGAAGGGAGGACTGCTTGAGCCCAGCAGGTAGAGGCTTCAGTGAGCCATGTTCATACCACTGCTCTCCAGCTGAGGCAACAGAGTACGGTTTTGTCTCAAAAAAAAAAATTGTGTATCAAAATCTCCCATAATAGATTTGTGTATCCAAATATTTGGGAATATAGATGGAGAAGAATGTAATTCTGCCAAGGGAGGGTAGAGAAGAAAAGCCTGGCTTCACAGAGCTGATATCTGAGGTTAGCCTTAAAGCGCCAGTGGGAATTTTCTAAGGTAGATGGAACAGAATTATAAAGACAAAGAAGGTGAGATAGGATCCCTGGAGGATCTGACCTCCAGGACCCACTGGCTGCCCTGACTGTCTGGAGCTCCTGCTGCAGCAGGGACAGGCCTGGGCCTCACCTGGGCATGGAAGACAGACAGCGACTTGACAGAGTGCAGGGGGATCAGGACGCGAACCAGGAACTGCTTGTGCTCCGTCTTCAGGGGCAGCGCAAAGCCATTGATGATGCTGAGGAGGAGGCAGAAGAGAGGAAGAGGGCTCAGGTGACCTGGCCCCAGTCCCTCCTTCCAGAATCCTGAGCTCCAGCTGAGGCCCAGGGAGAATCACCTTCCTAGGATCTCCAGCAGCTCAGCCACACCATTGAAGTGCTCGAATTCATAGATGAACCTGCAAGAGAAGAACGCAGGTGGGCTCAAAGCAAGCAGGGTAGGCCCAGTGCCCCCTTAGGCATCCTGCCTGCCCACCCTCACCTGCACGGCACGCTCATCCAACTCTCCCCCAACCCAGAGGCTGCGCTCCCTTCCCAACATCCCAAACCAGGCCCCATTGAGATCCCCGCCCCCCCACACTGAAATGCCCTTCTCAGCCCAGCCACCTCTGCCACTGAGTCCCAAGCTCAAGGCTCTCTTGCCAGTCAACCAAGAGAATGACAAACACTTAGCACATCTACTCCGTACCATGTAAGTCTCAGAATTATCCAGGGAGATGGGGCTTAAGAAATCCATCACATGGATGAAGAAATCAAGACTCAGCGGTTAAATAAAACAACCCCAATGTTAATAGGCAGGGAATCTAATGAACTCCAAGGTGCAGGAGGACAGGGATCATGGCTCACCCATTTTGTAGCTAATAACAACTAATGTTTCAGAGTCCCGGCCTCAGTCCAGGAGCTATGCTGAGTGCTTTGCAGGCAAGGCCCCATGTCACCTCGATAATGGTCCCTGAGTTAGTACAAGCAGCATCCCCATTTTTATCTTATCTTTGAGATGGAATCTCGCTCTGTCGCCCAGGCAGGAGTGCAGTGGCGCAATCTTGGCTCACTGCAACCTCCACCTCCCAGGCTCAAGCGATTCTCCTGCCTCAGCCTCCTGAGTAGCTGGGATTGCAGGTGTTTACCACCACACTCAGCTAATTTTTGTATTTTTAGTAGAGACGGAGTTTCACCACGTTGGCCAGGCTGATCTTGAACTCCTGATCTCAAGTGATCTGCCCACCTCCAACTCCCAAAGTGCTGGGATTACAGGCATGAGCCACTGCACCCAGCCAGCATTCCCATTTTAAAGACGAGCAAACTAGGAGAGAGCTTAAGTAATTTGCCAAAGTTCACCCAAACGTTGGAACCAAACTCAAATGTAGGCCATACAGCTTCAGAGCCATGGTCTCAACTACAAGGCCACGTGAGCCTTGATGCCCAGTGGGTGCTGGTGCTCAGTGCATGTTTGCAGAAAGAATCTCTCTCTGGGTCCTTATGGCCTGGCATGATAAGGGTCAAATGATTTAGCTCCTAGGCCCCTGGACTGACCCAGTCCCTGCAAACCATTTCATCTCTCTTGGCCTCTACTTTCTCATCTGTAAAATGGAAATAAATACCCATTCTCTGTCAACTTCACAGGCTTTGTATAATCAATATGTAATACGTTACTGAGAAAGGGCTTGGAAAACAGAAGTTCTACAAGGGCCCCTGCAGCCCAGGAGCCTTTGCTGCAGTCTTCTTTTTTTTTGTTTTCTTTTCTTTTTTTTTTTGAGACACAGTCTCCCCGTTGCCCAGGCTGGAGTGCAGTGGCATGATCTCGGCTCACTGTAAACTCCACCTCCTGGGTTCATCCGTCTCGCTCTGTCGCCCAGGCCGGACTGCGGACTGCAGTGGCGCAGTCTCGGCTCACTGCAAGCTCCGCTTCCCGGGTTCACGCCATTCTCCTGCCTCAGCCTCCCGAGTAGCTGGGACTACAGGCGCCCGCCACCGCGCCCGGCTAATTTTTTGTATTTTTAGTAGAGACGGGGTTTCACCTGGGTTCAAGTAATTCTTGTCTCAGCGTCCCAAGTAGCTGGAATTACAGGTGCCCACCACCATGCCTGGCTAATGTTTGTATTTTTATTAGAGACGGGGTTTCACCATGTTGGCCAGGTTGGTCTCAAACTCCTCACCTTAGGTGATCCACCCACCTCGGCCTCCCAAAGTGCTGGGATTACAGGTGTGAGCCACCGCACATGGCCTTTGCCGCAGTCTTCTAACAGCCCTCTCACCCTCCCCAGGTCTCTGCTGGGCAGGCAGCAGCCACTCACCGGAGGAAGATGTGGTTGCACTGTTTGCGGATGTAGGCCCGGAGACCCAGGAACTTGCCATAGACCCGGTGCAGGATGGTCTTGAGGTACTCACGCTCCCGGGGATCCTCACTATCAAATAGCTCCAGGAGCTGTGGGAACCAGAGTCAGGGTCAGGGTCAGGGTCAGGGGAAAGGTCCACCCCAGGTTGCTTCCATCCTATCCCTGGCCCCTCAGAGAGCCTGCCCCTGCCTTGTGGTACCACCCAGCCTGGGCTCCCCACTTCACCATCAGGACAAACTTTTGATCCACATATCTCTTGGCCACGGAGGGCTGGAAGTCTGGGCTCTCCAAGAAACGCAGGAAAAACTCATATACCAGCTGGGGGAGGGGGACAGACAAAAAGGTGAGTTCAGTAACAGCCTCACCCACTCATTCCACCCTATGGCCCTCATCCAACTGTCTAGGGGCTAAGGAGGCCCTCTCCCCATGCCTTGGATCTCTTCTGAAACTTGGATCTCTGTCTTCCCCAACCCTTCAGACCTGCAGGTGTGGCCACGAAGGCTCAAGATTGGGCTCATCCTCTTCAGGGTCAAATTCAGGGTTCTCACTGGGCGGCAGAGTCCGGAAGATATTCACTGAGATCTGAGTGGCAGAGTTGGGGTTCATTAAGGAAAAGCCCTTGAAGACAGAAGCCAGGGAGTCTCTCATTCAAAGCTTTTTTTTTTTTTTTCTTTCCCAAGACAGGGTCTCGCTCTGTTGCCCAAGCTGGAGCGCAGTGGTACAATCTCGACTCACTGCAACCTCAACCTCCCAGGCAGGCTCAAGCGATCCTCCCACCTCAGCCTTCTGAGTAGCTGGACTACAGTAGCACACCACTATGCCCGGCAAATTTTTAAATTTTTGTAGTGATGCGGTCTCACTGTCAGGCTGGTCTTGAACCCCTTGCCTCAAGTGATCCTCTCGCCTTGGCCCAAAGTGCTGGGATTACAGATGAGAGCTGCTGCTCCCGGCCCTCATTCAAAGTTCTAATGGGTTGATTTCAGCATCTGCCCCAGCAAGCAGTTCATTCCTTGGGCAATCATCACCTGAACGCCTAGTTCGTGCAAGCCCTGGGCCAGGGGCTGGGAACCCAGGGGTGAATGGGACACATCCCTGCCTTCTAGGCAGGTGCAATCCAGTGGGGAGAACAAGGCTAGAAGCTGTGAGGTCTACGGGCAGGAAAAGGGAGATTTCCAGCTTGGTTATTGACAGCGGCTTCTTGGCAGAGGCGGCACCTGAGCCAGGCCATGGATGGTATGGGGTGTGGGGCAGGGCACTCCAGGTCTCAGGCAAGCATAAGCAAAGGTGTGGACGTGGGGCAGGCCCGGAGGCATTCAGTGGGTGTTGGGCAGCAGCAGGTCGGGGGGAAGGAAGACGTGGACTGAGGCCAAGCCGATGAGTACAGGGTTATTCTCCACGCAGGGGTCCTGCGGACAGGAAACGGGGCTCACACGCCCTCTCGGCCGGCCCTCGGAGCCTGGGTGGCAGGTGCTCACCATGCGGATGATGTCTGGGTAGACGGGCTCGATGAGGACACCCCGGGTGCTCCCCACACACTCCACCAGCTCGTTGAGGGCTGCCCGCTTCACCTCCTTCCCCTTGAGGTCGGCCACACAGTCCAAGAAGTCAAACATCACCCCACACTGGGCCAGCTTCCGGCTCAGCAGCTCGTGCAGCTCGGAAGCCGGCACATCTGGGGAGGAGAGGGCATCCTGGGCCTGGGCCCCAGCTCCCCCAGCTGCCCCAGCTGTGGGTGGGGCAGACCCTCCTAATCTCCACGGCTGCCTCTGCTGCCCCCAGGCCCCATGCTCTTGTGCCATCTCCTGCTCCTTGCAGACAGCAAACAACTACTGTCCCTTCCTCCATTCCTGGGGGTTGAGGGTTGCTTTTCTTCCTCCTAATCCAGGCTCAGAGAGTATGATGGCCTGAGTTTTAAAGCAAGATCACAAATCCTGGATGCAGCAGCTTTCCACAGGTGCCCCAAACAGCTGCTGCCTCCCTCTCAGGTGGCACCCTGTTCTAAGGGCCAGAAATGGGGAGGGGTTCAGGGCCAAGGATCTCTACGGTGTCCTCAGGCTTGGCCAGTCTGGCCCTATGGCCCAAGGCTGGGGAAGGGACCTATGTGGTGATCCCAGGGAACCCTGCCAAGCGCCTGCTCCAGGGATCTGGCAGCTGGCTGGGCTGATAGTGGCCCCCTGGAACCCAGGCTATGGGCCCCACCCTTGGCCTTGGTCTGCCCCTAGGGTGGCACCACCTTCGGATGTCCCACCTCTAAGGATGACAGGCCAGTCAGGCCATGTGTCAGCAGAGAGGGCTGGAGGGCTGGGGTCAGTTCTGATGGCGGAGAACCTAGCCTGGAGGGGTATCCAAACTCTCTCTCTTGGCAGCTGCCCGCTGCCTCCCACCCCTCCCCATGGCCCTGCTGGTCCCCTCGGGGGTTCGGTTCCCCCAGTGGCCAGCAGCCAGCTCACCTTTGAGCAGGGGCAGCGGTGTGAGCTCTTGCTGGTTGCTCTGATAGCGGAACTGAGAGGAGCTGTGGGAGCGGCGGGGCCGGGCTCTGCGGAGGGAACGGCGGGAGAAGCCGTCCACCTTGTCGGGTGGGGGCACAGGCGACAGCCCGGGGGAGGAGGGGCTAGTGGGGGTGCTTGCAGGGGGCAGCTTCGTCTCCATGGCGGTCAGGCGGCAGGGCAAGCTTTCAGAGCCCCGGGGGTTCTCTCTGGGCCTGGGAGGTGCTGGGTGAGACTGGACAGACTAACTTGGTCCCATCCTGTCCGGCCTTTGGGGGGGGGGCACAACCACAGTCCTGGGCCCCCCCCCAGGGCCTCCTGCAACTGCCCAGTCCTGGGGGGCAGACAGGGTAGAAAGGAGGATGGCTCAGGCCTCAGATCCTTCCTGGGGGTCCCGAAGAGTCCAGTTAGGGTTCCCACCCTGGCTCTTTTGAAAACGAAGTCAGGCAGAAAGATCAGCAAGAAAGAGACAGAGAAAGCCCATCAGTTCCTCAGGAGAGCCGGGAGGCTGCGTGGAGTGCCCAGGTCTTTTCCCTCCTATCCTTGCCCAGACCCTAAAATAGGGGTGCAGCCCCCTCCCATCCTGGACATGTCCCTCCCTTCTCTCAGACAGAAAGCCTCCAAAACAACCCCTCCCAGAATAGGGCCTATCCCCCAAGCCAGCCCCGACTCAGAATGGAGCCCCGATCGTCATCCCTGCCCCTTTCAGAATGGAACGCATCGCTGCTCCACTAATCCCGGCCACTTGGGACAACCCCAAGACTGGAGGTGCTGTCCCGATGCCACCCCGCTCCTAGAACCTGGCACCCTCCCCCACCTCAGCTCCTCCTTCCTGGCCCCCCAAACCTCATGGGGTGGGGGACACTCACTTCTCGAAAACCTAGACTTCGGTCGCCAACCCCCGGGGGCTGCCCGTAGGGAGGGCGACGGCCGTTCAGGGCCCCTTCGCAGCGGTTCCGCTCGGGGCGCTGGGGCTGGGCGGCGGCGCTCCTGGGTTCTCTCCCGGGCTCCGGGGGGGCGGCTAGAGCATGCCCCCAACTCAGCCCCGGGCCGGGACTGGGCGCTCGGCGGGCTCTGCACCGGCCGTCGCAGCGCGCGGATCTCCGCTGAAGTCCTGGGACTCCGACCCAACGCGGTGCAGCGCAACGGGAGCCCCGGCTCGGCTCCGTGCGCACCGGCACCCGCCGCCCAGCTGCTCAGGATGACATCAAGTCACCTCCCCCCACCCGGCCCGCACCTCCCCGCGGGCTGAAAGGGGGGGCTGCGTCAGGAAGGCCCGGGGCCGCTGGGAGATGTAGTCCCCGCGCCGTTTAAAGTGAGCTGCCAGACCAAAGGGGACACCCCTGAGGGCAGACTCGGGGGTGAAGGCCGAAGCTTTTGAAGCCAGAGAGCAGAGTGGGATGGGCTCTAGCCGGGGGCGGGAAGCCTGGATTCTAGAAGGGAGGCTGCATAGGGAAAGAGGAGGGCTTAGGAGTTTGCACCAGGAAAGTAGGGTGATGCCAGGACACTGACAGGAAGGAGTCGCAGCAAGCTACGCTAGGCCCACAGATTTGGCCTGGGCCTTCTATGCCCTAGGCCATCCCCCCAGGAACCTCACCCTTACCCCAGAACCACCAGACACTTCAGAAACCCCTTGGAAACCAGCACTGGACTAGTTAAAAGTCTGCGATGAGTCAGTGCTTGCTGGGAGGGGTGTGGTGCACCCAAGCCTGCTGGGAGATGCAGTCCATCCTCAGGCCTGCAGTCCCCCTCCCGTCCCTTGCTGTCTATGGTGACATCATGGTCTCCAGTTTAAAGGGCCAGTCTTGGAGTGGCAAAGCCCGAGAGGAGGAGGTTTTCTCCTTGAGCTGCCACCTCATCCCAGGCAGCCTGGCCTTCCCGGATGGACCTTTCAGCCCCCCTGGACCCTAAGATGTGCTGGGTGGGTCAGTGTCTCTTGCTCAAAATCCTGCTGCTGGCATGCAAGGCACAGGTGGGAGTCCAGGAGTTTGGCATGCTAACCAAAAGTTCCCAGCCTGCAGTCCTGGGCCCCCGTCCTAGGATCCTGGACCCCAACACTCTTTATAGCCCTGAACTCCATCCCGCTACACTGCTGTGAAATCTCCACCCTGAAATGTTGCCTGGATGAGCAGCTGGTCCATGGTGAGCAGTAGGAAAGGGTGATGAGACCAGATAATGAGGTCGGGGAGGGGACTAGGGGCCTTTTCAGAGTCTGCCCCATCTTGCTTTGGGTCTTGGTGACCACTCAGTGCTCCAGCGGAACCACCCAGCCATCCTCCCGGTTGCAGAGGAAGCCTGGGTGCGCAAGAGGTGTCCGCCTACCAAAGCAACAGAAGGCAGAGGCCTGCACCGAGGGCCGCAGTTCACCAGGCTGGGGTCCAGGACTCCGGCACTGGAGACCCAGCAAGTGCTCTGCTTGCTCAGGAACCTCCGGCAGGCCTTGCCCATCCGGCCCTTGGTGTCCCTGTCTGTCCAATGGGAATCCATGATCTCCCTCCTTGCCCACCTCCCAGGCTCTTCTGCATCCCTGAACAAGCTGAGGGAGGGCAGGCCCACAGAGCCTCTGCAGCCAGGCAAGGACCCCAAGGCCTAGAGAGGAGAAGCGCCTTGCCCAGTGTCACACAGCGTGTCATCAAAAGTTGGGGCCAGGGGCCAGGCTTCCACCTCCCAGCTGGCTACAGCCCATCTCCACAAGCCCCCTGGGTACCAGTGCCCTGGTCTCAAGGCTAGACTGACCACAGAGGACTGGTGTTTTATATAAAGGAAGTGCTAAGGCCAGGTGTGATGGCTCATACCTGTAATCTCAATACTTTGGGAGGCTGAGGTGGGAAGATCACATAAGCCCAGGAGTTAGAGGCTGCAGTAAGCTGTGATTGTGCTGTCGCATTCCAGCCTGGGTGACAGAGACCCTGTCTCAAAAACAAAACAAAAAACAGAGATGTTCCATTTGAGAAATGGGGCACTGAAGAGTAGAGGAGAGGGATAAGACTCTTGGAAGAAAAAAAAAACTTTTTTTTTTTTTTGAGATGGAGTCTCGCTCTGTTGCCCAGGCTGGAGTGCAGTGGCACAAACTCGGCTCACTGCAAGCTCCGCCTCCTGGGTTCACACCATTCTCCTGCCTCAGCCTCCCGAATAGCTGGGACTTCAGGCGCCCACCACCAAGCCCAGCTAGTTTTTTTGTATTTTTAGTAGAGACGGGGTTTCACCGTGTTAGCCAGGATGGTCTCGATCTCCTGACCTCGTGATCCGCCCACCTCGGCCTCCCAAAGTGCTGGGATTACAGGCGTGAGCCACTGTGCCCGGCTGAAAAAAAAGACTTCTGAAGTGGTGGCATTTGAACTGGGTCTCAAAATAGGCACAGTGTCACTTGGAGGATGCAAGATTGAACATTTTTTGTTTGTTTGTTTTTTGAGACAGAGTCTCACTCTGTCACCCAGGCTTGAGTGCAGTGGCACCATCTCAGCTCACTGCTGCAACCTCCACCTCCCAGGCCCAAGCAATCCTCCTGCCTCAGCCTCCCAAGTAGCTGGAACCACAGATGCACGCCATCATGCCAGGCTAATTTTTGTTTTTTTTGGTAGAGACAGGGTTTCGCCATGTTGCGCAGGCTGGTCTCAAACTCCTGAGCTCAAGCGATCCATTCGCCTCAGCCTCCTAAATGCTGGGATTACAGGAGTGAGCCATTGCACCCGGCTTTATTTTATTTTTTTATTTTTTTTTTGCAGTGGCGCGATCCTGGCTCACTGCAACCTCTGCCTCCTGGGCTCAAGCAATCCTCCCACCTCAGCCTCAGTCCCGAGTAACTGGGACCTCAGGCGCATGCCACCACTCCTGGCTAATTTTTTGTATTCTTTGTAGAGACAGGGTTTTGCTATGTTGCCCAGACTGGTCTCTAACTCAAGTGATCCTCTCGCCTTGGCCTCCCAAAGTGCTGGGACTACAGGTGTGAGCCACCATGTGTGGCTTTTACCACAATTTAAACGAAATGCATCACGTTGTGTTATATGCAACGAAAGATGTATGTTCAAAACAAAAAAAAGTCACCAATTTCAGTTGTACAATCCAACAGTATTGTATTTATAGATGAAGTTCCATGTATTTATAGATGAAGTTTGCTTTTTCAGGTGTGTTCCAGATCCCCCTGTTCTCCTGGCTGCCCCTGAGCTACCTGGAGGAGCTCCTCTGGCCTGGACACCCAGTTCCCTGCCAGCTGCCTGGGATCTCCTCCCTCCAGCTCCACCCATCCTTGAGGGATGGCCTCTCTTCCTCCATGAAAGCCCTTCCCTCTGATAAAACCCAAGCTCTCCACCCAGGACAGAGTCAAAAGCCGCAGCCCCCGGGCCACCTCTGTGATCCCTTTCTCACCCCAGAGGGTGGGCCATCCCTGGGGGGAGGGAGATACTCCTTCAGGGCCCCTGAGGTCTGAAGCACACAGTTTGCCTGATGAGTTTTCACCTAATCTAAGGTGGGAAGGATGCCCCCCGGCCTGGGCAAAGCCTGGCCCTCCCCATTTTCTCTCTATGGGGAGGAATCCTGACCCCAAACTTCCCCTGACCTCTTGACTGGAATCCAGTTGTCCAGTAGAAGAAGCCCCTAAATGCAGTGCCCAGGGCCAGTGTATTTGTTAGAACTGCTGGACCTAGGCCAGGTGCAGGGGCTCATGCCTGTAATCTCAGCACTTTGGGAGGCAGAGGCAGGTGGATTGCTTGAGCCCAAGAGTTCAAGACCAGCCTGGGCCACATAGTGAAACTCCATCTCTACAAAAAATAGAAAAATTAGCTGGGCATGGTGGCACGAGCCTATAGTCCCAGCTACTCGGGGAGGCTGAGGTGGGAGGATTGCTTGAGCCCGGGAGGCAGAGGTTGCAGTGAACTGTGATCATGCCCCTGTACTCCAGCCTGAGCAAGAATGAGGTACTGGCTCAAAAAAAAAATTACATATATATATATATATAGAACTGCTGGACCGAAGGCTGGGCGCAGTGGCTCACACCTGTAATCCCAGCACTTTGGGAGGCCGAGGCGGGCAGATCATGAGGTCAAAACTTCGAGACCAACCTGACCAACACGGTGAAACCCCATCTCTACTAAAAACAGAAAAATTAGCCAGGCGTGGTGGTGCACGCCTGTAATTCCAGCTACTCAGGAAGCTGAGGCAGGAGAATCACTTGAACCCAGGAGGCAGAAGTTGCAGCAAGCTGAGATCGCGCCACTGCACTCCAGGCTGGGAGACAGAGCGAGACTCCGTCTCAAAAAAAAAAAAAATAACTGCTGGACCTAAAGTGGGGCTTGGGACTTCGTTGCAGAATGTCCCATGGGGTTCCCAACACCCCATTTCCTCCCAAGAGAATATCGTCCCCTTTACTGTGCGAGGATTTTTTGCTCACTCCTTTAGCTCCTACTCCGAGGCTAGGTTGGAGAATGACTGTCTCTGGAGTTGGTTTTCTACAGAGCTTGTCTGGGGAAGTATCTTTGTGTCCTCTCAGTCCTGTCTAATCTTCTGCTGTGGTACACACATGGCACTGGGAACTGGGGCTCAGGAATGGACCTGCAGGCACCAACCCCTAAGAGACGGATGTGCCCACCAGTTCAGTTACAACAGACAGATGTGAGTGCAGCCTGACCCTGGGGTCTCCCTCACTGGAGGAGAGCAAACTCCCAGAGTGGCTCCAGGGGCCTAGAAAGGATAACTTTTCTTGGACCAAGAGAATATCCCCTTCTATCCCCACCACCTTTGGAAGGAGGAGAAGTGGTGTTTTTTCTTTTTTCTTTCCTTTTTTTGTTTTTGAGGTGGAGTCTTCTCTGTCACCCAGGCTGGAGTGCAGTGGTGCAATCTCAGCTCACGGCAACCTCTGCCCCCCGGGATCAAGTGACTCTGGCCACCTCAGCCTCCCAAAAATGCTGGGATTACACGTGTAAGCCACTGTTCCAAGCCTCTTTTTTCTTTTTATGATTTCTGAATCTTAATGCTTTTTCATTCATTCGCTCCACAGCATTTAGGCACGTAGCCTTGGTCTCCTCTCCCTTAAGAATGGGGATATTAATAGAACCTCCCTCATGAGCATATGGTGAACAGCAGAGCAGATGAGATCGTGCACGTAAAGTAACAAGCCCAAGGCCTAGGACATCACACAGGCTTAATTCATGGTGGCAATTATATTTACTATTAATTTTTTTTTTAGACAAGATCTCCGTCTGTCACCGAGGCCGGAGTGCAGTGGTGCATTCATAGCTTCACTGCAACTTCAAACTCCTGGGCTCAAATGACCAAAGGCACACACCACCACGCCCGGCTAATTTTTTGAAACATTTTTTTTTTTTTGTAGACACAGGGATTCAGCTATGTTGCCCAGGCTGGTCTCAAACTCCTGGGCTCAAGCGATCCTTCTGCCTCAGCCTCCCAAAGTGCTGGGATTACAGGAGTGAGCAACCCAACCCGGTATATTATTATTAATGTAATAATCAGTTGGTGAGCACAGTACTGCCCCCAGCCTGCCATGGAAGAAGGCAGAGCTCTAGATTCCTTCCACAAGCAGTTTCTTCTTTTTTTTTTTTTGAGACAGAATCTCGCTCTGTCAGCCAGGCTGGAGTGCAGTGGCACAAACTTGGCTCACCACAAGCTCCGCCTCCCAGGTTCACACCATTCTCCTGCCTCAGCCTCCCGAGTAGCTGGGACTACAGGCGCCCGCCATCACACTCTGCTAATTTTTTAAATATTTTTTAGTAGAGATGGGGTTTCACTGTGTTAGCCAGGGTGGTCTCGATTTCCTGACCTCATGATCCACCCGCCTTGGCCTCCCAAAGTGCTGGGATTACAGGCATGAGCCACCGTGCCTGGCCCATAAGCACTTTCTGAATGGCTGTCCTATCAGCCTGCCTCCCTGAATGGAGCCTGCTCCTTCCAGGTAATGAACTATCTCCACTTACTAACCCAACCCCAGTTACATAGGATAAAACTGAGGGTCACAAGAGGAGAAGAAACCACCCATGGGTGGGACTGGAATACAGGTCCCTGCCCGGTGGGCCAGGGCGGTTGCCCTTGCTTCAGGCTGAGTTTTGGCATTAGAATGTAAGAGTCCAGCTCCCAAGTAAGATTAAAATAGAAACACAGGCTAGGTGGGGTAGCTCACACCTGTAATCCCAGCTACTCAGGAATTCCTTGAACCCAGGAGCCAGAGGTTGCGTGAGAGGAGACTGCACCACTGCACTCCAGCCTGGGCAACAGAGCAAGACTCTGTCTCAAAAAAAATAAATAAAATAGAAACATAGGCCGGGCACGGTGGCTCGTGCCTGTAATCCCAACACTTTGGGAGGCCAAGGCAGGCTGATCACCTAAGGTCAGGAGTTCGAGACCAGCCTGCCCAACACGGTAATTAGCTGGGTGCGGTGGTGCATGCCTGTAATCCCAGCTACTCTGGGAGGCCAAGGCAGCAGAATCATTTGAACCCAGGAGGCAGAGGTTGCAGTGAGCCAAGATTGTGCCACTGCACTCCAGCCTAGGTGACAGAGAGAGTCTGTCTCAAAAAGAAAAGAAAAGAAACATAATTACCTATGGCTGTTCCTGAAGTCGCCCATGATGTAAGAGGTTTTGTGTGGCTGCCCCCTACAGAGCAGCGGTTGGCAAACTTTTTCTGTGAAGGGCCAGAAAATAAATATTTTAGGCTTTGCAGGCCTCTGTCTCAAGTACTGAATTCTGCTCTTGTAGCAAGAAAGCAGCCCGGGGCAGAACTTAAGCAAATGAGCAAGACTGTGTGACACTAAAACGTTATGTATAAACACTGGAATGTGAATTTCATATGATTTTTCACATGCCATGAAAAGTTCATTCTTCTTTTGATTTTTCCCCTAACCATTTAAAAGACATAAAAACCATACTTAGCTCAAAGGCCGTACAAAAACAATGCCCCCCTGCTTAAAGGAGGCAGAATCCATTCTTTGATTTTAGGACTAGAGATATGAAAAGCTATTATTATTTCAGAGAGGTGCCTAAGGCCTGACCGACGGCAGAGAGAAGGGAGGGTCAGTTAATCTCCCTCTGAGCATTCCGGGGTGAGGAGGGGAAAAAAGACCTTCCTTGGTGATGGATTCAGAGCCCTTATTTATTTTTGTTTGTTTTTGAGGCAGGGTCTTTCTCGTATCTTAATCTGTTTTCTTACCTGTAAAGCGGTGGCAATAATCCCTACCTTGAGCGATTATTAAGAGGGCTCAATGAGATAAAGGATGGTAAAAGATTTTGCAAAATGCGAATGTTTACTCACTTAATTGTTTCCACAGATGCGCGCTTAAGATCGCGCACTGAGTTTACTCCTCTGGGGAAGGCTTCTACGAAGTTTGATGGGACACTGTCCCTTTAAATCCTCCCCAACCACTTAAAGTGGTTGGACGAATCAGCACATGCGCATTCCTTTGAGGGGCCGGCACCTGGAGCAACAGCCTTCCCAGAGCCTGTAGAGGGGAGGTTAAAGGTCCTCCCACACAGTACTTTACGCAAGCGTAAATCATGATTGAGAGCCCTATATCATGCAGAGAGCCCAGTCCCTTTTTCGCGCCCGAAGGCTCCGCCCCGCGCAGCCAATCAGTAGGCCTCGCCCTTTGCAATAGCCAATGACAGTGAGCGTAGGGGGCGTGGCTGGGCGTCCGGAGGCGCGGCCTGGCGCCTAGAGAAGCGGCGGGGCGAGCCGGGGGCTCTAGTGAACAGCGGAGCCGGACGGGGATCGCCGGCGGGCGGCAAGCGGAGGCGGCCCAGGCCCGGCGGTCTCCGAGATGTCACGATGGCTGTGGCCATGGTCAAACTGTGTGAAAGAGCGGGTCTGCCGCTACTTGCTGCACCACTACTTAGGTCACTTCTTCCAAGAGCACCTCAGCCTGGACCAGCTCAGCCTCGATCTGTACAAGGGCAGCGTTGCCCTGCGAGACATCCACCTGGAAATCTGGGTGAGGAGCCAGGCCCGAGTCCAGGAAGGTGCGGAGGGTGGGAGCGCAGCGACCTGAGGCTCCCTGCGGCAGGATCGGGCTGGGGGATCAGGCACCGGGCGTAGAGAGGCCAGGGGAATCTTGCCCTCTCCAGGCGTCAGAGGCACCCCGGCTGGCCTCTTCAGTTCCTTACCAGAGCCAGAAACTGAGCGGGAAGGGGTTTCTGTCTCCACGGGAGGAGAAACTGAGGCTGGAGAGGGCAAGATCACCTGTCTGGAGAATGCAAGACAAACTCGTCGAGTTTGGGGGCTGAGTTAAGGAGGTTGGCTCTCGGGCTGAGGAGGGGCTGGGGAGGGAGCGTAGGAACTGAGCTGGGCCAGGGCAGTGACAGACTTGGGCCTGCGCAGCTGGTGGGGGAAGCTGGTAGGGGTCCGGAGCCCTGGCGAGGACACCTGTGGATCATGTGCCCTGACCTCTTGACCCCACGGTCCTGAGCCCGTAGGTGGGATCAACAAACCACCGGATGTGTATGTCAACAACCGCGTCAGTACGTCAGTACCAGTGTTGATCAACACCTCGTGTGCCTGGGTCGCTGCCTACTTCCTGCTTTTGGGAGAGTGGGATGGGCCAAGTGGGTGTCTAGGGAGGGACTGGATGGCCCCCACCTACATCTCCCACCGACCCCCCCGGCTCAGTGTCCCTGCCTGGAGGGAGGCCCTGGAGGAAAGGTGGGGAGATCTGGCTTCAAGCCGGGAGGAGGCCAAGGGAGATGCTAGGG
The DNA here is from genome assembly GCF_000001405.40 of Homo sapiens. Taxonomy (NCBI): domain Eukaryota; kingdom Metazoa; phylum Chordata; class Mammalia; order Primates; family Hominidae; genus Homo; species Homo sapiens. The sequence goes on along the minus strand of NC_000011.10, from coordinate 64,916,207 downwards.
AGGCCAAGAGGTGTAAGGTCAGAGGCTTGAGGCTGGGAACGGTGAGGAGCCCTGACTCACAGCTCAGCTGACCTGGGGAGCTTTGAAGGAGCCACCAATTAGAGGCGCGTCCTGGTCGATCCACCAGGTCCAGAGCAGCAGGGGTGGGCATGGAGGCAGGGACTTCTCAGTTTTGTGGCTGGACTCAGGGGGCTGCTAATCTGGGCAGAAGAGCTAGGCTTTGGGGGTAGGCCAGGCCCTGGTGAGCAAATGTGGGGTAGGATAATCGTGGGCCCTGAACTGGGGGCACCCCCCAGTGGCCTGCTGTCTGTGAATTCTGGTGTAGGAAGCCCTCTCTGACCTCTAACCTTAGCCTCAGCCTCTAAGGCCGTCTCTAGGCTGCCCCTTTTTTATTTTTATAGAGACAGGATTTCGCTATGTTGCCCAGGCTAGCCTTGAACCCCTGAAGGGATCCTCCCACCTCAGCCTCCCAAAGTGCTGAGATTATAGGCATGAACCACCATACCCAGCCCTAGGCTTCCCCTTTTTACTTTCAGCTCCAGAAAACGCCCCTACTCCTGTTCCCTGCCCTCTTGTTGGGGATTGAATTGGCTTCTCTAGGGCCCTGGTGGAATGCAGGCGCTTTCTTGATAACCAGCCCCTCCTCCCTCCCAGCTCAGCCTGCAGGCCCCGCCTTGAAGGCCCCCAAAGAAACTGAGTATCTGGGGCCTCTGAAGTGGCATGAAAAGAAAGAGGCCCGCATCCCAGTCTCAGTCCCTGTTGTATACTGGGTGACTAGATTAGTCCTGTCTCTAGGCCTCAGTTTCCCGAGCTGTGGGTCTCTGGGTGAGGAATTTGGACTCCCATCTGCTCTGCCATGTGCTTTTTTATTCTTGGATCCAACCAGTTTACTGAGGCCCTTTCTGGGTGGCACCTGGGGTGACGGGGGAGGCAGGTGGGGTACAGCCCTCCAGGAGCTTCCAGGTTGGCAGGGGTACAACTCCAGCATGGACATTTTAGCCAGGGGCTCAGCCTTGTGCCTCACAGAGAGGCACAGCTACACTAGGTGTTTGGGGTTGGTGGTGGGGGGGGGGGGTCCCATCTGGCATTAGGTCAGCCCCTCTCTTGGACACTGTCCCTTTGAACTCTGCTCATCCAGGGTGAACATGGGTATTCTGGACTCTGCCATACATGTGCCCATGTTGTCCTGTGCCTGCAACACACCACCTTCTACCAGCGCCTATCCCCCCTCCCTTTATTCTTCAGCTTGCCCCTCCTCTGACGGCCCAGGCTGGGTTAGGCGTCTTCCCCACGGCCCCCCCACCAGCCCCCTCACCACCCCCAAGCACCTGCTCACCTCTTGAGTTTCATCCTAGTTGCTCTGAGTCCCTGGCTGGAGCCTAGCTTGGCTGGGGAATGAAGACATTTTATTTACCCATCTAGTCTCAGTGTCAGCATGTAGAAAGTGCTCGGTAAATATTATCTTGAATTAAGTGGTGAGGGAAACATCTGCTCTGGCTTGAAGGATTAGGCACCTTTGGGTGACGGGGTAGGGGGGCTGGCCTGTAGTAGGGGACAGCATGAGCATAGGTGGGACCTTGTAGATAACACGTGGAGGGACAGGGCAAGCCAAGGGTGCTCTCCAAGGCACTATGGCCAGATAAGGCTGTGCCAGCCTGTGGGATTTGGGGTTTCCCTGAGCTGGTTTTGTCTCTTGCTTGCTCCCAGTCTGTGAACGAGGTGCTGGAGTCAATGGAGTCACCGCTGGAGCTGGTGGAAGGCTTCGTGGGCTCCATCGAGGTGGCCGTGCCCTGGGCTGCTCTGCTCACCGACCACTGCACAGTGCGCGTGTCCGGCCTCCAGCTCACCTTGCAGCCCCGCCGGGGTCCAGGTGAGGGCAGGGCGAGGCTGGGGGCAGGCAAGTGGGGAGAGTGGGCTGGGGCGTCCAGGACCTGACTGGGCCTGCCTGCCTTGAGACCCTGTTTCTCCCTACAGCGCCAGGGGCTGCCGACTCACAGAGCTGGGCCTCATGCATGACCACAAGCCTGCAGCTGGCCCAGGAGTGTCTGCGGGATGGGCTACCGGAGCCCTCTGAGCCACCACAGCCCCTGGAGGGGCTGGAGATGTTTGCCCAGACCATTGAGACTGGTGAGCAGGCCCCTCCTGGCCGCCCTGTCTCCTGCCCTTCAGTGGCACACAGAACAGGGGCTCCAGACAACGGCACGGCCACCCTGGTGCCCAGATGGGAAATTCTGCCTCCCCTTTGCTGCTCTACCTGACCTGAGACCCCTCCCCAACTCCTCAGTGCTTCGGAGGATCAAAGTGACCTTCCTGGACACTGTCGTGAGGGTGGAGCACTCTCCGGGTGATGGGGAACGTGGTGTGGCCGTCGAGGTCCGTGTGCAGAGGTAAGGGCAGGCCGATCTGGGGTGGACTGGTGTGAAGATGGGGAGTGGGGGCTGCTGGATGGTCCCCACCCGCAGCCTAGGTTCCTGGGAAGAGGCAGGGTGGATCTGGATGGGCCTCGGTGGTGGTAGGGTTGGGGAGGTGGGCTGCATCGTGAGCCCGGACTGGTGTCCAGAGGCCAGGTGATACAGGCCCAGAGTGGCCGAGGCCCCAAGAACCAAGTTAGATGCTGAGGGTCTGAGGAGCAAGGGCTGGCCTGAGCCTCCGGGCTGGACATGGTGGTTCAGGACGGCCTAGGTGTGATGGGGCAGCTCTGCAGGCTAGGCTCCCTGACCCCGTGCCCCTAGAGCAGAGCACTGTGTGGAGAGAGGGGCTCCAGGCCTGGGGTGGCCAGGGCACGGGCTGACCCTACACTCTCCAGACTGGAGTACTGTGATGAGGCAGTGCGGGACCCAAGCCAGGCGCCGCCGGTGGACGTGCATCAGCCGCCTGCCTTCCTGCACAAGCTGCTGCAGCTGGCAGGGGTCCGCCTGCACTACGAGGAGCTCCCGGCACAGGTGAGCGGGCTCTGATTCCCACAGCCCCTGTCTCCTCTCCCTTGAGCCCATTGAGCCCCTCCCATCCTTTCTGACCATCTCTGACTCCATTTTCTCAACCTTTCCCTCTTGTATCCTCCCGTCTCCCAGGAAGAGCCTCCAGAGCCCCCCTTGCAGATCGGCAGCTGCTCAGGGTACATGGAGCTGATGGTGAAGTTGAAGCAAAATGAGGCCTTCCCTGGCCCCAAGGTGGGTCCCCAGGCCCCTGGGGAGGGGGTGAGTACCCCATCTCAAGACTCCTCCTCCTCAGCAAGGCTGATTATCTACAGCCCACAGTGGGGATGTCAAGTGCGGGATTTACTTCCTTCTTGGCAGCTAAAGAAACTGAGGCTGTAGGCCAGGCACAGGGTTCACACCTGTAATCCCAGCACTTTGGGAGGCCAAGGTGGGTGGATCATCTGAGGTCAGGAGTTCGAGACCAGCCTGGCCAACATGGTGAAACCCCGTCTCTACTAAAAATACAAAATTAGCCAGGCGTGGTGGCACATGCCTGTAATCCCAGCTTCTTGGGAGGCTGAGGCGGGAGAATCGCTTGAACCCAGGAGGCAGAGGTTGCAGTGAGCCAAGATTGCACCACTGCACTGCAGCCTGGGCAACAAGAGTGAAACTCCATCTCAAAAAGAAGAAAAAAAGAAACTGAGGCTGAGAGGTCAAGTTGTGGCCTGGTTCATAGAGCTAGTTGGTAACAGAGTTTAGTTTGGTAGCCAGCATCCTGCTTTCCCAGGGCGAGGGCAGGCGGGTGGTAGCTCTTAGAGGAGCTGGGTGGTGGGCCTAGGCTCCATGGCTGCCTCCTTGGCCCCCAGTTGGAGGTGGCGGGACAGCTGGGCTCCCTGCACCTGCTCCTGACCCCGAGGCAGCTCCAGCAACTTCAGGAACTGCTCAGCGCCGTGAGCCTTACAGGTGAGGCCCCTGGGTGGCATGGGGGTGGGGTGGCTGGGAGGGCCAGCCAGCCCAGACTGAAGTCTCCTCCCCTGCAGACCACGAGGGCCTGGCTGACAAGCTGAACAAGAGCCGCCCGCTAGGTGCCGAAGACCTGTGGCTGATTGAGCAGGACCTGAACCAGCAGCTGCAGGCAGGGGCAGTGGCTGAGCCCCTCAGCCCAGACCCCCTTACCAACCCCCTTCTCAACCTGGATAACACTGGTGGGTGTGGGGTCAGACCGTGGTTGGAGGGGCAGCTAGTGTGGGTGCAGCAGCCTAGGGGCTGGGGTCGGCTGTCCCTGACACTCCTCACTTCACCCACAGACCTCTTCTTCTCCATGGCTGGCCTCACAAGCAGTGTGGCCTCAGCCCTCTCTGAGCTCTCCCTCTCCGATGTAGACCTGGCCTCCTCTGTGCGCAGCGACATGGCCTCCCGCCGGCTCTCTGCCCAGGCCCACCCAGCTGGTGAGTTGGAGCACCCTGGGGGTACTCCAGGGACAGGAAGGACTGGAAGAGGCCTTAGTGCCGTGGGCTGTCAGAGGCACACAGGAAATCCCCAGCGATGCCTGGATATCTACCATCTGTGACTTGGTTCCCTGGGGACCAAACAAGGTGGGAGCTGGTGATAGAGTGGACAGAGCCTAGGTTTTTCAGTCATTGATCTTAGTCAAGCACTTGAACTCTCTGAGACTCAGCTTCCTCTTCCATAGGAAGAGAAGGGTGAGATCAGCCTTTGCCAGGCTGTATATCTGGGTTCATGTTTATTGAGAGCTTATTGTGTGTGGGTGCTAGGCTGGGTGCTTTATCACATCCTGTCCTTCCAGCACCCTGAGGAGGGTTCAGTTGAGCCTGGGCAGAAGGCCTGGTCTACTGGAGGCACCAGTGTCACCCCTGCCTGACCAAGCCTTCTGCCAGAGCCACATGGTGGGGCAGACCTGGCCTCCCAACCCCCAGCCTGGTGGCAAACTATTGCTCCACCTGGGGTACCCGGAATCTGTTGGGAGCCCCTGCTGAAGCCTCTGTCCCCTCAGGCAAGATGGCCCCCAACCCCCTCCTGGACACCATGCGCCCTGACTCGCTGCTGAAGATGACCTTGGGGGGTGTGACCCTGACCTTGCTTCAGACGTCTGCCCCATCTTCCGGACCACCTGACCTCGCCACGCACTTTTTCACCGAGTTTGATGCCACCAAGGATGGGCCCTTCGGTTCCCGAGACTTCCATCACCTTCGACCACGCTTCCAGAGGGCCTGTCCCTGTAGCCATGTTCGGTATAAGCCCGAGGCCAGGGCCTGAGGAGAGACCATCAGAGCCCCCTAAGTGCACCTTCTGACGCCTGTCCTCTTCCCCGCAGGCTAACGGGCACAGCCGTGCAGCTGTCCTGGGAGCTGCGGACGGGCAGTCGGGGCCGGCGGACAACCAGCATGGAAGTGCACTTCGGGCAGCTGGAGGTGCTGGAGTGTCTGTGGCCCCGGGGCACCTCTGAGCCTGAGTACACGGAGGTGAGGGCAGAGGCAGAATGTGTACGAGGCGGGGTCTGGAGGTTTGGGTGGCTGTGGGGCCAGGCCTGACCCTGTGTGCCTCCCGGGTCCCATCCCAGATCCTGACCTTTCCTGGTACGCTGGGCTCCCAGGCCTCAGCTCGGCCCTGCGCCCATCTGCGCCACACACAGATCCTGCGCCGTGTGCCTAAGGTAACCCACCCGCTCCAGGCCACCAGGCTGTCCCCATGGCGTGTTGACCCCACCCTGGCCTCTGCCAGGGCCTCCTCTGCTGCCCAGCCCTGTCCCTCTTCCCCTGTGCTCCACATCTCTCCATGCTGGGGCCCTCAAATACCTGCCTGGCCCTTCCTATGCCAGTCTCTGAGCCTGGTCATGCCCTTGCCCTATCTCAATATGGCCCCCTGGCTGGCCTCTGTTGCTAAGAGTGGCGCATGTCGGGTGGCTTTTATAAGTAAACAAGCACATTGTGCGCGTCGGGCAAAGGTGGGGCAGGCCTTCTTAGTGCTCTCGTGGCCCCTGCCCCAGCTCTTCTCCCACTACCAGAGAGGGCCTTCCTGTCCCACCCGCTGAGTACCACTCAGCCCTCACTGACCTGAACGCCCTCGCCCTCAGAGCCGACCCCGGCGCTCAGTTGCCTGCCATTGCCACTCAGAACTGGCCCTGGACCTGGCCAACTTCCAGGCGGACGTGGAGCTGGGGGCCCTGGACCGGCTGGCCGCCCTACTGCGCCTGGCCACCGTACCTGCTGAGCCTCCAGCCGGCCTGCTGGTGAGAGGCCCCTGCCAGGGCCAGGCCGGGGGTGGGTGCAGGGCCTGGGTCCTTCGGCTCTTGGTCACAGTGGGAGGGGCTCCGACGGCTGCTCTGACCCCCAATCCTCCTGCAGACAGAGCCCCTGCCGGCGATGGAGCAGCAGACGGTATTTCGGCTCTCTGCACCCCGGGCCACGCTGCGGCTGCGCTTCCCCATTGCCGACCTGCGGCCTGAGCCGGACCCCTGGGCGGGCCAGGCCGTGCGGGCTGAGCAGCTTCGGCTGGAGCTGAGTGAGCCCCAGTTCCGGTCAGAGCTTAGCAGTGGGCCTGGTCCCCCAGTCCCCACCCACCTGGAACTCACCTGCTCCGACCTACATGGTGAGAGCCCCCGAGTGACAGAACTTGGGGCAAGAGGCCTGGCTTCTGGGAGAGATGGGCTTGGGGCTATGGAAGGGGCCCAGTCACAACCCGAGCAGTCCCTGGCCCAGGCCTTTACCAGCTCTTGGGGTCCCAGCACTGCCTGTCCCCGGCCTCCTCACCGACAAGTAGGGTGGACCCTTTGTCTCTGGCTTTCTCTGCCCACCAAGGTGTGTGTGGAGTCGGGGGCACAGCTCTGAGCCGACCTGGGCATTGGGGAAGAAATAGGAAAAGGCAGCAGTGATGACCCCCCTAATTCCCCATCCCCCTCCAGGTATCTATGAAGATGGAGGGAAGCCACCTGTCCCTTGCCTGCGTGTCTCCAAAGCCCTGGACCCCAAGAGCACTGGGCGCAAGTACTTCCTGCCCCAGTAAGTAGGGGCTCTGGACTGGGCCCAGGAGAGGAGGGTTCTGCTGGGGGTGGCAGGGGGCCAGTTTGGAACTGGGTGCCGGGGGCCCTGCAGGCCAGTAACAGGCCTGTGCCCCGGCAGGGTAGTGGTGACTGTGAACCCCCAGTCCAGCAGCACACAGTGGGAGGTGGCCCCGGAGAAGGGAGAGGAACTGGAGCTGTCAGTGGAGAGTCCCTGTGAGCTGCGGGAACCTGAGCCCTCGCCCTTCTCCTCTAAGAGGACCATGTATGAGACAGAGGAGGTGAGACTTGGCCCCACCTCTTCCCAGGACCCCCTCCCGCCCACCGCCCGGGTTCCTGCCGTAGGAGCCACCTGTGTGGCTGTGGGCCAGGGCAGCACGACCACCTGGGGTGGGCATGAGCTGACCCAACACCAGTGAGGATTTCGGCTCTTCCATTCTTTCCAGCCAGTCAGAGAGTCTTTCTGAAACGGCACTGGTGAGGGCAGGCCCCTGGGGAGCATGGGTCCTCGATTGGAAAGATCAGGTCCTGCCCCACCTGACCCGTGGATCAGCACTGTACACTTAGAAAGGCAGTTAAGGGCCAGGCTCTGCCACTTGGTGACTGTGTCATCACCCTGGGGAGTTATCTGACCTTGAAGAGTTACCTATAGATGAGTTTCTTCCCCTGGAAAATGGGCACCATGACCTGTCTTTCTCTCTTTTTTTTTCTTTTTTTTTTGAGATAGAGTTTTGCTGTGTCGCCGAGGCTGGAGTGCAGTGGCATGATCTCGGCTCACCGCAACCTCCGCCTCCCAGGCTCAAGCGATTCTCCTGCCTCAGCCTCCTGAGTAGCCGGGATTACAGGCGCGTGCCACCACGCCCGGCTAATTTTTATATTTTTAGTAGAGACGGGGTTTCATCATGTTGGCCAGACTGGCCTCTAACTCCTGACCTCAAATGATCACCCACCTCAGCCTCCCAAAGTGCTGGGATTATAGGCATGAGCCACCGCACCTGGCCTAATTTTGTATTTTTAGTAGAGACAGGGTTTCACCGTGTTGGCCAGGCTGGTCTCGAACTCCTGACCTCAAGTGATCTGCCCTCCTCACTCTCCCAAAGTGCTAGGATTACAGGCGTGAGCCACCGCGCCCAGCCTAACCATAACCTGTGTCACAGGCCTGTTGTGAGGATGAAAGAAGTTAACATACCTGAAGCCCTTAGAACAGCACAGGTGTGCCATCAGCACTGTATCTGTACGGCTATCATGCATCCCCAGTAGAGAAGGGCTCCTATGAATGAATGAATGATGAACGACAGGAGGGCAGGACTGAGACCAGAGACAGGCCCCAGCCAGCGTCTCTAAGATGACTCTCCTGCTCTTTCCACCTCACCCTGTCCAGATGGTGATCCCTGGAGACCCTGAGGAGATGAGGACGTTCCAGAGCCGGACCCTGGCACTGTCCCGCTGCAGCCTGGAAGTGATCCTGCCCAGTGTCCACATCTTTCTGCCCAGCAAGGAGGTCTACGAGAGCATCTACAACAGGTGGAGACCCGGGGCCAGCAGGGCGGGACTGGACACTGGGTGGGCCTGGCCTCCCTTACCTGCTGTCCACCCGCCTATCTCAGGATCAACAACGACCTGCTCATGTGGGAGCCTGCAGATCTGCTTCCCACCCCCGACCCCGCCGCCCAGCCCTCGGGCTTCCCCGGCCCCTCAGGCTTCTGGCACGACAGCTTTAAGATGTGCAAGTCAGCCTTCAAGCTGGGTATGAGAGGTGCTAACGCTGGGCTAGAGGGAGGACCCCCAGGTCTGGGAAGGGCCAGGCTAGCCCTTCGCGGTCTCCTTCCCAGCCAACTGCTTTGATCTCACCCCAGACTCGGACTCGGATGACGAGGATGCCCACTTCTTCTCAGTGGGGGCATCAGGTGGCCCACAGGCCGCTGCCCCTGAGGCCCCAAGTCTTCACTTGCAGAGCACCTTCTCTACACTGGTGACAGTGCTGAAGGGGCGGATCACAGCCCTCTGTGAGACCAAGGTGAGTGCAGCCCCGGGCAGGCGGGCCCCAAACTTCAGAGCTCCCATTGGCGGCAGAGCAAGACCAGCGCGAGCAGCTCCAGGTCAAGAATGTGGAGAGCAGGAGGCCTGAGTGGGCAGCGCCAGCCCACCCACGCCAGCCTGCCCACCCTGTCACAGCCCATCAGCTCCTTCTGACCCCCTGCTGTATGTAAAGCACCATGCTAGGGGTCGGGATGGGCATGGAGCACCCACTGTTCCCACTCCGAGCGGGCAGACCCGGCAGAGATTATTTTTCTCCTGGCAAAAGAGGCAAGTGCCATCCAGGGCCTCCAGCAGCGTCCATGGTGGAAACTGGAGCTGACCCCCTTAGGCCAGGGCTCCAGGAGCCGCCAACCCCCAGAGGGCTTGAGGGTTGCTGAGTGCAGCTGGGGAAGCCAGGCTGTGTGCTCCTTCTGCAGGATGAGGGTGGGAAGCGGCTGGAGGCTGTGCACGGGGAGCTGGTGCTGGACATGGAGCACGGTACCCTCTTCAGCGTCTCCCAGTACTGTGGCCAGCCAGGACTTGGCTACTTCTGTCTGGAAGCTGAAAAGGCAACACTCTACCACCGAGGTGTGAGGCCTGGGGGCAGGTCACCACTGGGGTCCAGGGTTGGGGGTGGAGGGCTTTCAGGACGGATGTGGGCCCTGGGTGGAGTGGGTAGCCAGTTGGCTTGGCAGGGGGCTCATGAGACCCCTCCCCAGCGGCCGTGGATGACTACCCGCTGCCCAGTCACCTGGACCTTCCCAGTTTCGCTCCCCCGGCTCAGCTGGCCCCAACCATCTACCCATCGGAGGAAGGGGTGACCGAGCGGGGAGCCTCGGGCCGCAAGGGCCAGGGCCGGGGACCCCACATGTTGTCCACTGCTGTGCGCATCCACCTGGACCCCCACAAGAATGTGAAGGTATGGGCTTGCCTACCATCCACCCCTCCTGCTAGCCTGGGCTGCAGCCCCGGTGTGCGGTGGGACCCCAGTGCGCGGTGAGGCCCCAGTGCACGGTGGGGCTGGCCTCCCCACTGCCCTGACTGCGCCCCCACCCTCAGGAGTTCCTGGTGACACTGCGGTTGCACAAAGCCACCTTGCGCCACTACATGGCCCTGCCCGAGCAGAGCTGGCATTCCCAGGTGAGCGTGGGTGGTGGGAAGCCACATGGCCCAGTGACTCTGGACTTCTGTTTTGGGCAAGCAGGTCTCTAGGTGGGAGGAGGCCGGTGGGAGGAACATGGACTGGGCCACAGCTGACCTTGTCCGGAGCTCCTGGGCAAGGGGTGTGGCAGACAGCTAGTGGGCAGAAGGTGAGGTGCCAGGCAGGGGCCAGGACAGGGAGGGGTTAGAGGAGGGAGGACACCACCTGATCCTCACTGCTTCCTCCTGCCCTGGCCTCTGAAGTTGTTGGAGTTCCTAGACGTGCTGGATGACCCTGTGCTGGGCTACCTGCCCCCGACGGTCATCACCATCCTGCACACACACCTGTTCTCCTGCTCTGTGGACTATAGGTACCAGGCTGGGTGGGCCAGGGGCTGGGGACGGGGATGGGCTCTCAGGTGTAAGGAGCCGGCCCCAGCCCGAGTATCACCCCCAGGCCACTCTACCTCCCAGTGCGTGTCCTCATCACCGCGGAGACCTTCACTCTCTCCAGCAACATCATCATGGACACCTCCACCTTCCTGCTCAGGTATGCAGGCCGCCCCACACTGGGCCATCCCACCCTCGCCGGGCCGAAGCTGCCTGCCAGCTGTGTGTCCTCTGGTGCTCTCGGTCTTAATGTACACCCGGGTGATAGTCTCATTCTCAGGAATGTGGATTGTTTCCGCCTTTCTAGAGGGCAGTTGGAGCCTCCTGATGAGACCCTTATAAGCATTTGTGCTCTCTGACCTGTAATCTCATGTCTGAGGGTTGTCCTAGGATATGCGAATAAGAGAGGTGGGATTTAATGCTTATGGAGTATAAGTTAAAACAGCCAAAACGTATCAGTTAAATCACAAGCCTCACAACCTGAGCAAATAAGCATGGCCCACCTAGTAGGTAGAAAACCATGCAGGGATTAAGGTGAAGCTGAAGAATCCCTTCAAAATATAAGAAGATGGAGGGTGCGGTGGCTCACACCTGTAATCCCAGCACTTTGGGAGGCTGAGGCAGGCAGATCACAAGGTCAGGAGTTCGAGACCAGCCTGGCCAATATGGTGAAACCCCGTCTCTACTAAAAATACAAAAATGAGCCGGGGGTGGTGGCAGGCGCCTGTAGTCCCAGCTACTTGGGAGGCTGAGGCAGGAGAATCACTTGAATCTGGGAGGCGGAGGTTACGGTGAGCGAAGATTGCGCCACTGCACTCCAGCCTGGGTGACAGAGCGAGACTCCGTCTCAAATAAATACATAGATAGATAGATAGATAGATAGATAGATAGATAGATAGATAGATAAAAAATATAGAAAGATGCCACAGTACAGTGTTTACTCAAATAACATTGGATACAGGACTGCGTACGTTTTAAAATCAGTTTATGAAGGGGTGTTTATATGTCTCGGCGTGCAGCTGCAGAGAAAGTTTGGAAGGAGATGTGTATGGTGGTTTTCTCAGAATTAGGGATTAGGAATGATGAATGATTTTTATTTTCTTTATTCTAAAATATCTTAAAGGAGTTTTCATTATGTTACCCTTAAAATAAAGACTTTTTTATTTATTTTTTTTTTTTGAGACAGAGTCTCGCTCTGTCAGCAGGCTGGAGTGCAGTGGCGCAATCTCAGCCGACTGCAACCTCTGCCTCCTGGGTTCAAGCGATTCTCCTGCCTCAGCCTCCCAAGTAGCTGGGACAACAGGCACCCACCACCACACCCAGCTAAGTTTTGTATTTTTAGTAGAGACAGGGTTTCACCTTGTTGGTCAGGCTGGTCTCGAACTCCTGACCTCGTGATCCGCCTGCCTTGGCCTCCAAAAGTGCTGGGATTATAGGCATGAGCCACCATGCCCAGCCCTTATTATTATTTCTTTTTGAGATGGAGTCTCACTCTGTCGCCCAGGCTAGAGTGCAGTGGTGTGATCTAGGCTCGCTGCAACCCCTGCCTCCCTAGTTCAAGAGATTCTCCTGCCTCAGCCTTCCAAGTAGCTGGGATTACAGGCACCCGCCACCATGCTCGGCTAATATTTGTATTTTTAGTAGACATGGGGTTTCACCACGTTGGCCAGGCTGGTCTCAAACTCCTGATATCAGGTGATCCGCCTGCCTCAGCCTCTCCAAGTGCTGGGATTACAGGCGTGAGCCACCGCGCCAGCCAAAAATAAGGACTTATTTTAGAAGAACCACAAATGCAGCAGGGAGAAAAATGGACACCCCTTCCCAGGACTGTCATGAGGCCCCATTGAGGTGTCGGAACTGCAGGCACTTTGAGAGCTGCAAGTGCTGCCCGCTTCCCACTGCCTGCTGTCTGGGCCTTCTCCCCATTGTGCAGGCAGGAACGCTGAGGCTGGAGGGGCCTGTCCATACCACCTCCTGTGGGCTTGGGACCCCTCTGCTCGGCTCCCGTGGAGCTGCCCCCTGCAGCGGTGCCCGGGCCCTTCTCAGCCCTGTTCCCCCCCAGGTTCATCCTCGATGACTCCGCCTTGTACCTGTCCGACAAGTGTGAGGTGGAGACCCTGGACCTGCGGCGAGGTGGGCAGGGCCGGGACTGGGCTCCCTCCCCTCTGAGGGACCACCGCCCCGGCCACACCCAGAGCAGCCAGGTGTCTCCCCGCAGCTGCTGGCCGGGTCCTTAGCTCCCACACGTAGCCCGCACAGCAGGGACTACACCTGGATCAACCGGATCCTTCCCCCAGGTGCTGGGGCCGGGGCCGGGTGGAAGGGGGCCACAGGACCTTTCTCTCGCCTCTGCTGCAGATTATGTCTGTGTTTTGGATGTTGACCTCTTGGAACTTGTGATTAAAACCTGGAAAGGGAGCACCGAGGGCAAACTGGTGAGTGAGGCTGTCACTCTGGCTCCTGGAGCCACAGCAGGTGCAGGGGCCAAGGGAGTCTTCAGGGGCTGCTGCTCCCTCACGTGCCTGGGCTCCGGACACAGTTCATGCCTGCCCTTCCTGGGCTGCAGTTAGCGCCCCTCCTGCAAAGGGCCATAGTACAGCCCTGGTGGGGGTGTCCCTTGATGCTGGCTGAATGAATGAATGGGTTTCAGCCCTGCCACCAGAGGACGCGGCAGCCAGGGCACCAGCGAGGCCCTGGGAATCAGCCACCTTTGTAGGTCCCCGGATTCATCTCCTGTAAGATGGAGATAACCTGCCCTGCCTCGCTAGGCATGCAGAGCCCTTCACGGGGAGTGGGGTAGGGTGGGTGGGCACACTCCTGCTTCCTTGGATGGCCCTGGGCCAAGCCCCTTTCACCCTCTGGGTGAACAGTTTGTTCATCTGTTCAGTGGAGTTACTGGGCAGGTCATCCACTCCAGGAGAGACCATCCCTGTTCTGCCTGTGGCAGGATCAGAACTGCGGTGCCCTCCCAGCGAGCGGGTGGGGCCAGCAGGCAGTGGCCCCTGTGTTCACATAGCTGCTCCCCCCACCCCGCCCCTGCAGAGCCAGCCACTATTCGAGCTGCGCTGCTCCAACAATGTGGTACACGTGCACAGCTGTGCCGACTCCTGTGCCCTGCTGGTCAACCTGCTCCAGTACGTAATGAGCACAGGCGATCTGCACCCCCCACCCCGGCCCCCCAGCCCCACGGAGATCGCCGGCCAGAAGGTACAGGTGAGGCCTGGCCACACAGGCTACCAGAGCTCGGCCAGGCCCCTCCCCTGCCATGGCCCTCGGGCCTGGGGTTGGGGGAGCTCTGTCCTGTCTCACTCATTGCTCCTCCCCTGCCTGGCCCAGCTCTCGGAGAGTCCTGCCTCTCTGCCCTCGTGCCCCCCAGTGGAGACGGCCCTCATCAACCAGCGTGACCTGGCCGACGCCCTCCTGGACACCGAGCGCAGCCTACGGGAGCTGGCCCAGCCTTCAGGTGAAGTGGGGGTGCTGTGGGGACAGCAGACACAGTCAGGCACCCACTGTGGGCGCCTCTCCAAACTGGCCTCTCTCCTATAGGTGGCCACCTCCCTCAGGCGTCGCCCATCTCCGTCTACCTATTCCCAGGTGAACGGAGTGGGGCCCCACCCCCTTCACCACCTGTCGGGGGCCCTGCTGGCAGCTTAGGGTCATGCTCAGAGGAGAAGGAAGATGAAAGGGAAGAGGAGGGCGATGGAGACACCCTGGACAGTGATGAGTTCTGCATCCTTGATGCTCCCGGCCTGGGCATCCCGGTGCGTGGTGGGAGGGATGGACCAGTTTGCCGTCCAGGCAGGTGTGTTTGGAGCGGGGACGGAACACTCAGGGGTGGTTGCCTGGCCATCTGGAGCTCCCGTGGTGAGAGAAGCAGGCAGGAGGTGGTTGCCATCACCTCGGGGGTGGTGCTAGGTCTGTGCCACCCTAGGGAGGCAGCCCTGATGCTGGGCTTTGATGGAGTAGGGGGATTTCCAGAGGAAGAGGAGGCCTGGTGTTTTGGGCAGAGGGACTGGGAAATTCAAGGGATGGAGGAAGAGGAGAGGGCAGTTAGCAAGAGGGATGGAGAACCATGTGGCTGCAAGGGCCAGTGGGAATGTCTGAACTCACCCAGGTCTTAGGAGGCAGGGCTGGCAGGAGCCTGGCATTCTCAGGCTCCTCTTGGACAGACCACTCAGGCATAGACTCGGGTGATAGCAACCCAGGAGTGTCATCTTTCATCAAAAACAGGGAGGAGGCCAAGCATGGTAGGTTACGCCTGTAATCCCAGCAATTTGGGAGGTCAAGGTGGGAGAATTGCTTGAGTCCAGCAATGAGAGATTAGCCTGAGCAACATAGTGAGACCCCGTCTCTACAAAAAATAAAAATAAAATTAGCCAGATATGGTGGCACATGTCTGCAGTCCCTGCTACTCAGGAGGCTGAGAATGGAGGATCGCTTGAGCCTAGGAGGCAGAGGTTGCAGTGAACTGTGATTGTGCCACTGCACTCCAGCCTGGGTGACCGAACATGACCCGACCCTGTCTATAAAAAAAAAAAAATGAAAAAGAAGTGAGGCCAGGTTGCTGGGGCTGGGGGCAGCTGGGCTGGATCGAACATCTGTGTCACACGTCTACCTGGCCTCCCTGCAGCCCCGAGATGGGGAGCCTGTGGTGACACAGCTGCATCCCGGCCCCATCGTTGTGAGGGACGGTTACTTCTCACGGCCGATCGGCAGCACGGACTTGCTGCGGGCACCTGCCCATTTCCCAGTGCCCAGCACTCGGGTGGTGCTACGTGAGGTCTCCCTCGTCTGGCACCTCTATGGGGGCCGAGACTTTGGCCCCCACCCCGGCCACAGGTGAGGAGGAGCGGGTGCAGGTGGCAGCTGGTGAAGGTTGGGGCTCAGGCTGGTCCAGGTCTGACTTTCAGCAGCTGGAGACCTTGAGCCCCATCCACCCCAGGTGGGCCTCAGTTTCCTCATCCTTCCTTATCCCGCCTGCCTTCCAGGACTGGGGCTAGCGGGGGTCTCTTGTCCCAGGCTAAAAGGCCCGCTGAGGACGGGGAGGGAATGGGGTTCCTCTGAGTCAGCTTGGCCCCTGTCCCTCTTCCCAGGGCAAGAACTGGCCTCTCAGGTCCCAGGAGCTCCCCTTCCCGCTGCTCTGGCCCCAACCGGCCCCAGAACTCATGGCGCACGCAGGGGGGCAGCGGGCGGCAGCACCATGTCCTCATGGAGATCCAGCTGAGCAAGGTGAGTGGGGTGGCGAGTGCCTACTACACGTGTGTGTCATAGAACAACGGGCCTTGTTCTCGATGTCACGTGTAGCAATGACTAATGCAGAGGAAAACCCCTGCCTTTGTAGTGGAGGAAGCCAGGCAGGGACCAAGATGTATCGAGTGTGTCCGATGGTGAAGAGCGCTCAGGGGAGAGTCTGCAGGGGTGGAGGAGACAGGTGTGCTGGGGAGGGTCTGGAAAGTCCTCTTCTGAAGGCACCATTTGAACAAAGACCTGAACAAGTGGGGATGTGAGCCAGGAAGAGTTTTCAGGCAGAGAGGACAGCGTGAAAGCCGCAAATTGGGGCCAGGCATGGTGGCTTATGCCTGTAATCCCAGCACTTTGGAAGGCCGAAGAGAGCAGATCACCTGAGCTCAGGAGTTTGAGACCAGCCTGGGCAACATGGCGAAACCCCATTTCTACCAAAAAAAAAAAAAAAAAAAATTAACCATTTGCAGTGGTGTGTGCCTATAGTCCCAGCTACTCAGGAGGCTGAGGCAGGAGAGTTGTTTGAGCCCAAGAGGCAGAGGTTGCAGTGAGTTGAGATCGCCCTATTGCATTCCAGCCTGGGCAACAGAGTAAGACTCTGTTTCAAAAAAAAAAAAAAATGCTGGAAGCTGGAAGCATCCTGACATTTCCAGGAGCAGCAGAGCCTGTGCATAACCAGCGACCCAGAATGTTTCTTTTGAGTCTTACAAGAGACGAACCCCTCAGGGCTTTTGAGGAGAGGCCTCTGTGGGGTGGGGCTCTGCAGCAATCAGGGAGGGCTAGTGAGCAGGTTCAGGAGAGCCTAGATGGGGGCTGGCCACAGGTTCAGCTGCGGATGGGGTGTGTGAGATACAGAGAGTGGTACAGAGGGTTCAAGGTTTGGGCCTGGGAAATTGCCTGGGGCAGGGGGGTCCCACTTGCTCAGAGTGAGCCAGGCCAGTGCTGGGCTTCCCAAGGAGCCGCTAGAGGCAAAGGGCAGAGGGGCCTCAGGCTGCTCGGGTTGGTGGGCTGTGCTGCAAGAACCTGCGGGAGATGAGTGTCAGAGCAGGGGGCCAGGGGCCTCTCTGAGACCTGATGGCCAGCCAGCGGGTGTGCAGGAAGAGGGGGAAGGAAGGCTCTCCACGGAGAGGGGCTACGAGAGCAAAGTCCTGAAGGCAAAACAGGCCTGGACTCCTTGAGGGGCAGAGACCAGTGCAGCTGGCATGGGAAGCAAGAGCAGGGTCAGGTCTGGAGGGAGAGGCAGGTCCCTGCTGGGCATAGAATAGAGAAGGGGTAGGGGCCGGGCATGGTGGCTCATGCCTGTAGTCCCAGCACTTTGGGAGGACGAGGCAGGCAGATCACTTGAGGCCAGGAGTTCGAGACCAGCCTGGCCAACGTTGTGAAACCCTGTCTCTACTAAAATTAGCTGGGTGTGGTGGCACATGCCTGCAATCCCAGCTACTGGGGAAGCTGAGGCAGGAGAATCGCTTGAACCCGAGAGGCAGAGGTTGCAGTGAGCCGAGATCACGCCACTGCACTCCAACCTGGGCGACAGAGTGAGACTCTGTCTCAAAAAAAGAATAGAGAAGGGGTCTGGGGCCAGCCCTTCCCTCCCTCTTGGGGCCCTGCTTACCTGGCCAGGCCTCTGTCCACCCCACAGGTAAGCTTCCAGCACGAGGTGTACCCAGCGGAGCCAGCCACAGGCCCTGCGGCCCCCAGCCAGGAGCTGGAGGAGCGACCGCTGTCCCGTCAGGTGTTCATCGTGCAGGAGCTGGAGGTCCGAGACCGGCTCGCCTCCTCCCAGATCAACAAGTTCCTGTACCTACACACGAGTGAGCGGATGCCGCGACGTGCCCACTCTAACATGGTATGAGCGACCTGCACCATCCACCCTGGGGCAGGGCACCAGACCGTTGGGGATACATCTTCACGCATGCATGGATTCACACACATACACGCATTCCCACACAAACACCCAGGTTGTTTGTGAGCCTGGGAGAAGGGCAGAGCTAGGGGCTGTGTTAGCGAAGGGAACAGCGTGTTCAGAGGCAGGGTGGCTGGGTGAGCTGTCAGGGAACAGCTGGGTGAGCTGCTGCCCCAGAGGCCCAGCAGGTGTCCAGAACTCACCCTCTGCTCCCAGCTCACCATCAAAGCGCTGCATGTGGCCCCCACTACCAACCTGGGTGGGCCTGAGTGCTGTCTCCGCGTCTCGCTGATGCCCCTGCGGCTCAATGTGGACCAGGTGAGTGGTCTACGTGAGGGCAGAGCCTAGGGTGACCCCACTGTCTCCAGGCCTCTGAGTCTGATCCACATCTGGACCTCTCCCTTGCAGGATGCCCTCTTCTTCCTCAAGGACTTCTTCACTAGTCTGGTGGCCGGCATCAACCCCGTGGTCCCAGGGGAGACCTCCGCTGAGGGTGAGAGGCTGGGCCAGGGAGGGGAGCGTCTGGGCCTTCTGCCTCCCAGGACAGCACAGGTTCCCAGTCATTCCTGGCCCCATCCCCAGTCTGTGACCTCCCCTCCCCTAGCTCGCCCCGAGACTCGAGCCCAGCCCAGCAGCCCCCTGGAAGGGCAGGCCGAAGGCGTAGAGACCACTGGTTCGCAGGAGGCCCCAGGAGGTGGACACAGCCCCTCCCCTCCTGACCAGCAGCCCATCTACTTCAGGTAGGCTGCTGGACTGCGGGTGGGGGGCCCTGGGCCAGATTGCTGGGGGCCAGGCCAGTGAGCAAAGAACCCCCTCTTCCTGCTCCCCTACCCAGAGAGTTCCGCTTCACGTCTGAGGTCCCCATCTGGCTGGATTACCATGGCAAGCACGTCACGATGGACCAGGTGGTAAGTGGGGCGGTCGGATGGGGTGGCCATGTGGGGTCAGCTGTGGCTGAGTCCCTCTGGGGGCCAGGTCTTGCATCCAGGCACTGTTAGCAGCCAGGGCGCTCTCCAGTGGCTCCCATGGGCTAGCTAGCTCCCTGAGTCCCATTGGGTAAACCTGGACCCCCTCCCTCTCCCAGGGCACTTTTGCTGGCCTCCTCATCGGCCTGGCCCAACTCAACTGCTCCGAGCTGAAGCTAAAGCGGCTCTGTTGCAGGCACGGGTGAGTCCCCAGCACCCCAGCCTCTCTCCAGGGTCCCTGATCTTCCTTCTGTTCTGGTCCTGACTGGTTGTGTGGCCTTGGCCAAGTCATCACCCTTCTCAGGGCCTCAGTTTCTCCTCTGTAAAAAGGACGCAGTTGGCTGGGCATGATGGCTCACACATTCAGGCATTCGAGACCAGCCTGACCAACATGGTGAAACCCCCCCGTCTCTACTAAAAATACAAAAATTAGCCAGGCGTGGTGGCATACACATGTAATCCCAGCTACTCAGGAGGCTGAGGCAGGAGAACTGCTTGAACCTGGGAGGCGGTTGCAGTGAGCCAAGATCGCACCACTTCACTCCAGCCTGGGCAACGGAGCAAGACTCCATCTAAAAAAAAAAAAAAAGGACACAGTCCCTCTGCACATGACTGGGTGGGACCACAGGGAGGGTAGAGTGCCCACAGTACTTGCCACAGGGGTACTGAGTCCTCCTGACCCCACAATCCCTCCATGTGTGGCTCTGCCTCACCTTCTGCCTCCTCACCTCCCTGCCCTGCCAGGCTCCTGGGTGTGGACAAGGTGCTGGGCTATGCCCTCAACGAGTGGCTGCAGGACATCCGCAAGAACCAGCTGCCCGGCCTGCTGGGAGGCGTGGGCCCCATGCACTCGGTTGTCCAGCTCTGTGAGTGTCTAGGTTTGGAAGCCCTCGAAACTGCTTTTACCCTTGGGCAACCTAGAAGCTGCCATTGGGAATAAGAGGAGGAGGTGGGGGCAGGGCAGCCTCGGGTGTCTCTGAGCGCTCCTTCCCCCTAGTCCAAGGGTTCCGGGACCTGCTGTGGCTGCCCATTGAGCAGTACAGGAAGGATGGCCGCCTCATGCGGGGGCTGCAGCGAGGGGCTGCCTCCTTTGGCTCATCCACAGCCTCTGCCGCCCTGGAACTCAGCAACCGGTTGGTACAGGCTATCCAGGTGAGTGGGTGCCCTGTATCTGGGCTGTGCAGGACAGAGCAGCTGGAGCCCTCTGCACCACAGCTCCCTGGTTCTGTCCTCAAAGCTCCTCAGAGTGGGCAGTCTGGGTATGACAGCCCTACTTTATAGAGAAACAGCCACGGAGAGGCTAAGTGACTTGCCTGGGACCTCCAAGCCAGGTCTCCCGAGGCCCACAGGGGCTCCCATGCAGGAGCGGGAGTGCCCCCCAGGCCTTCAGAGCCCACTGTGTCTCCTGCTCATGGCATGTCTTGTAAAGGGGGGTGGAGGACGGCTGTGTTTGCAGACTAAGAATCTGAGGCGCAGAGGCTGCCCTGGTTCATTCAGGCCATACGCTTCGCTAGGCCAGAAGGACCCCAGGGAAGCTGGGGAGCCAGTCTCGTGGGCAGTTGTCAGATGAATTCTGTAGGGGATCGATGGTCCTAGGCGGCTAAGGGGTGAGTGCAGGTGCATGGTGCATTCTGGAACCTGCAAGCTCAGACCCCAACAGGACAGAGGGCAGGGCTCCAGGGGAGGTGGGAGGGATGCATGGGCACCAGGGAGCCCCCGGGAGTGTTCAGTCAGGTGGGAAAGAGTGATGCCAGGTGAGATGCTGGGCAGAGGATCTGGCAGACAGAAGGAAGGATGGGCCTCTGACCATCTGGCAGGGGCGTCTGGGGGGCCAGGCAAGGAGCGGTCAGTCTCAGGCGTGCAGCTGCGGCAGCCATGTGGAACCTGCTGAATGTGGTGGTCAGCAGGAAGAGAGGTTTGGGTTGAGAAGACTTTAGGAAAGTCCCCTGAGGAGTCCCACGTTCCTAGGTTCCCTCAGCAGAGTGGCAGGTGCCTAGGAAGGGGAGGAAGAGTGGGAGGAAGTGGGGAGTGAGGCTGAGCAGGACCCCCTAGGCCAGCACAGTGACAGGCAGGGAGGCTGAGGGCTGGTGGGGTCTCAGACTGTCCTGGGGGCCTGGGGCTGACGTGTGCCCCAGCCAGCTGTCCTCATCCAGTGCTCCCATGTCCCCCAGGCCACAGCTGAGACCGTGTATGACATCCTGTCCCCGGCAGCCCCCGTCTCCCGCTCCCTGCAGGATAAGCGCTCTGCGCGGAGGCTGCGCAGGGGCCAGCAGCCTGCCGACCTGCGGGAGGGTGTGGCCAAGGCCTACGACACAGTGCGAGAGGTGACCAGGCCCCCGCCCTGCCCCAGTCCCCCATGCCCATCTCCTCACACAGACCCCGCCCTGACCTCTGGCTTCCACAGGGCATCTTGGATACAGCTCAGACCATCTGTGACGTGGCATCGCGGGGCCATGAGCAGAAGGGGCTGACGGGCGCCGTGGGGGGCGTGATCCGCCAGCTGCCCCCGACTGTGGTGAAGCCGCTCATCCTGGCCACGGAGGCCACGTCCAGCCTGCTCGGGGGCATGCGCAACCAGATTGTCCCCGACGCCCACAAGGACCACGCCCTCAAGTGGCGCTCGGACAGTGCCCAAGACTGAGCCTGGGGTGCCCGGCACCCAGAGGGTGCTGCCCACCATGCTCCTGAGCCTCCCAAGAGCTGCAGCCCACGGGCCCGGCCCGGCCTGGCCCTTCAGGGGATGGCCACTGTGAAGGACGCCTTCCCAGCCTGCCCGTTGCCAATCTGCTGTGAGAGGGGGGCCTCCCTGCCTTGGGGCCTTAGCCCTGGCTCTGCACTTTTCCTCCGGGGAGAAAGGACACTGCCCCTCCCCCGACCTGGGCCCACACTGCTGCCTTCTCCCAGGACGGAGGCTTTTGGACCCTCGGACCCCATCCCACTCAGCCAAGTGTCTTTCTGTGTCTGGGGGGAGGAGGGGATGATATCCGTGTGGTTCGATGTATTATTTTTAAGCTCCGTGAGTGCGTGGGTCAGTGTCTGCATGAAGTGGAATAAACTGCCCACCGCCAGCCCCCCTCTCAGATCCTCTGTCCCTGTGAACCCTGGCCTCAGCCTTGACCTTGGCCCCGCCCCAGATCCCACCTCTGCACCCAGCACCTCCCATGTCACCACCAGGGGTCGCCATGCCTCCTGGCCTTGCCCAGCAGATCAGGGCACAGGGGGACCCAGAGGCACCCAGCCCTGCACGCCTTCCCCTGGCTCTGGGCTCTGCCTTGCCCCTCCCAGGAGGCTGCCACTCCAGCCCCACTCCTGATGTGGCAGGAGCTACGTGGGGCTGCCAGGGGAGGGAGGGATGGTCCTTGGAGCCCAGCTGACCCTGCCTGGTTGTCACTTGAGGCCACTCGGGGAAGGCTGAGCCTGAGGCATTCTAGATGTTGCTCTCACCATCCCTAGTGGGGGCTTTTGGGGTGGCCCAGGCCTTGGCCCCTTGGTTTCCACTCTGATCTGGGGTCCCAGCTCCAGCACTTGGAGGGGGGAGGGGTGCTGGAGCAGCGCTGCAGCCGGAATCCCAACCCTCACTGCACAAAGCTTTACACAGGACCAGGGAGCGCCCATTGCCCCCCACACATCTTGTTTCTTGTGAGCTGCTCCCATCGCGCTCCTCCCTGCCCTGCTTCCCAGTGGCGCTGCACAGAGGTGGGTGGGTCCATGGGGAAACCAAGGCTCGGGTTGGGAATCAGGGAACCCTCACCTTGCTAGGTTCCGCAGGCCTCTGGGGTTAGCAAAGGTCCCCCAGCCCTGCTCTGTGGCCCCTTCTGAGTGGGGGAGATCTGGGTACTGGGAACAGAGCAGAAGCTTTGTCCCGAGGGACCCTGGGGTCCTGGCTGCCCACGGACAGCTGGGGCAGCAGGCTGGTAAGAGACCAGGAGGGCGAGGCCCTGGAGGAGACAGGGCTGTGGAGACTCGGTGCTGATGCCACCCGGAGAGGCAGATGGGGCCCAGCCTGATGCTTCCTGGACCCGCCCCACCCTGCCCGGGCACAGTCCAGGGCTTCCTGCCCTTCGAACCGCACTTGTGATCAGTATTGACGGTGGTGGGATAATCATTAACCACCACCAGGGGCTGGGTCAACGGCTCAAAAGGCCCTGGGCCCAGGGTGTCCCCACTTCCTCCTTGTGCCCCGAAGGCCAGCCCGGCACTCAGGTAAGAGGCTTCCTGAGTGGTAGGACCCCTGCCGCCCTCCCTGTCCTAGGAGGCTCCTGAACCCAGGCACCTCTCTGAAGGGTGGCCAATCCTGAGGAAGAAAGGGACCTGGACAGCCATGGGGTGGCCGGGACGAGCCCCTTCCTCTCTGTGCCTTGGTTTCCACTGTGGGATAAGGGGGCCTTAGCATCAGCGCTCAGAGCTGTGGAGCCAGGATTCCTGATCGGGCGCTGTCTCTGCCAGGCCAGGGCACTTGGACACCACGCTGCAGGAGGCTGGTCTCGCCCAGGCCTCTGTGGGAAGGGCCGCCAGGCTGAGTGGAGGGCCAGCCACCAGCTACGGTGTCTTCCTTCGCAGGTCTGTCCCCCCAGGCAGAAGGATTCCAGCCCAGGGATCCCCCATCCCACCCTGACTGCATCCTGAGAAGGGGGGACGCCACTTCGGGAAGGTTGTTGGGGCAGCACAGGCCCTGGGGCCCTGCTCTGTGACCTTGGGCGGCCCCCTCTGTCTCTCTAGGCCTGTATGCACCACTGGCAAAGGGGGCAGGGCCCAAGTCTACTCTAAAAGCTCCCCTTTCTCTCCAGAAGCTTTGGAGTCTCCCAAAATGCCTGCTGGGTCTCTGCAGGACTGGCACCTGTCACCGGAACCTGTCTGGGAGGGACGAGAACACGCTTTGCAAGAGGAAGCTCTGCCTCACAGAGCCCTGGGCTCACTCAGGGACCCTGGCCAGCAGCTGCTTCCTCTCCCCACAGCGGAGAGAGACCCAAGGGTCCCAGGGCGGATGCTTCCCACCAGGCCAGCCCAGCGTGCAGGGTGGCCTCGTAAGTCCTGATTGACATATGGACAGTGGTTCAGAGAGGTTACGCTACTTGCTCAAGGTCACCCAGCTCCCAGGCCCCTGCTGTCTTCCAGGCCACTGAGGTCCTAAGCGTCCTTCCAGGCGAGCCACTGCTCACAGCCTGTTCCTCATGTTCTGCGGCAGGTTTGTGTATCTACATCTTTTCCAGTTCCCTGTCGTCCCCCTTCCTACACCTCGTCATCCACTATCCCTGTTTGTTTTCTCTGTTCCTTTCTAGTTCTCTACCTGCTCCTCTTATTTTTATTTGAGACAGGGTCTTTCTTTGTCACTGAGGCTGGAGTGCAGTGGCACAATCCCAGCTCACTGGAGCCTCGACCTCCCAGGCTCAAGTGATCCCCCGCCTCAGCCTCTTGAGTAGCTGGGACCACAGGCATGCATCACCACACCAGGCTAATTTTTTATTTTTTGTAGAGATGGGGTCTCACTGTGTTGCCCAGGCTGGTCTTGCACTCCTGGGCTCAAGAGATCCTCCCACCTTGGTCTCCCAAAGTGCTGGGATGCCAGGTGTGCACCGCCATCCTCGGCCTTACTCTTCTCTTCCTCTCTCAGCCCCTCTGCCTCACTATCCCTCTTTCTGTGCCCTCCCCCACACAGCCCCCCACACTTCTTCTTAGTCTCATCTTCAGCTTCCCATACGAGGCCATCCTCATGAAATCAGGCACTGGGAGGTCCCTGGGGACTGACAAGTGCCAGCTGTCCCTTGCTGTCTCTCTGCCCCATGGCTGCAGCAGGGAGGGTGGGCAAAGGGCAGAGGTGACAGTGGCCAAACCTGAAACTGAGGCCCAGCTCTGGTTGGGAAAGAAACAAGGAAACAAAATAACTTGGGGACAGAGGGCGTGGGGTCATCAGAGCGGGCAAAGGCTGCCCAGGAGTTGTAAATCCGAGCCGCTCCCGGCTTTATGAGGCCGATTTGGGGTTGAGCCTGGACTTTGCCCAGGAAGGAGTGCTGGCAGCACACGGGGCGCCAGGTGTGGGCCCCGGATGATAAGAAGCCTCGGTGAAAAGACCATGGACCTGGGGCCACGAAGACTGGGGAGCCCAGGTGAGTGGGCATGGGACACTCTCCAGAGCCCTGCCGAAGGCGGACGCCAGGCAGGGCCCCGGTCTCCAATTGGTTCCCGCCCCCTGTAACAGCAACTCCATGTGGAAGTGCCCACTGGTTCCAGTGGGGCTGCTGTTATCTGGGGCGAGGGCCAGTACCCACGAAGAAGGAGAGGCAGGTGCTGGCCAGCAGACCAGCCAGGACTACCGTGGCGACGCTCCCAGGCCAGATGGTGGCGGGTAGTGGAGGGCTGTCGGTGGGCTGCCGAGACCGAGTGCACAGGGCTCTGACCTATGAATTGACAGCCAGTGCTCTCGTCTCCCCTCTGGCTGCCAATTCCATAGGTCACAGGTATGTTCGCCTCAATGCCAGCCACCAGGACCTGCAGGGATAGGGGAGGGCCGGGGGTGTCCAGCAGTCAGCAGAGATCCTGCGACCCCAGTGCAGCACTCATGGTCCCACCTCCCTCTGTCTCATTCCCCGTGAATGAGCCTGAACAGCTTCAGTCCTGCCCCTGCCCTGCCTGCCCTGTGGCACCTCTATGCTTTGCCCATGCTGTTCCCTTGGGCTGCAATACTCTTCCTAGCTTATTTGCCAGGCTCACTCTTACTAACCCTTTCAAGCTCTGTCCAAGCATTTGCTGCCTCCAGAAGGCCTTATTGAAGCTTCTAAGTCCCCACCTGGGCACCCCCACACAGTGCTGCCGCAGAGCACTGCCCTCTCGGAGCCCCGGTGCTGGTTTCTGCTTATGTCTCGCTCCTCTCCCCATCTGTGAGCTCAGTTCCCAGCCCAGGCGCGTGCCCAATAAATGTTTGCTGAACCAATCCTGAGCCTCTGTCTTGCACCCTGAGGAAGCACCCACCGACATGCAGTGTGGCCAAGGGGGGCTGAGTGCTCTAGGCCCAGTGTTTGTGCTGGAGCCCCCCCACCCAGGATGGGGCCCTGAGCCAGCCTCCCCATCTGCTTCCTACTCTCCCCTCCTTTGCCAGTCTCATCTCCCTGGAGCACAGCCCTGTGGTTGGTGGAGCAGCTTCTCCAGCCCCTAGGATTCCTAAGAGGGCCCAGGACCCCAGCTGCTGGTAGAGGAAGAGCAGCCAACCCAGGACAGGACAGCTGACCCCACCCCTGTCCCGCCTCCCACAACAGCCTCATTTCCACCTATTTCTTTGTGGTGTTTGTTTGTTTGTTTTGAGACAGAGTCTTGCTCTGTTGCCCAGGCTGGAATGCAACAGGCTTCCTCCCAGGAGGAAGCCTCCCCTCCTGGCATGATCTCAGCTCACTGCAACCTCTGCCTCCTGGGTTCAAGCGATTCTCCTGCCTCAGCCTCCCAAATAGCTGAGATTACAGGCATGCACCACCATGCCCAGCTAATTTTTGTGTTTTTAGTAGAGACTGGGTTTCACCATGTTGGCCAGGCTGGTCTCGAACTCCTGACCTCAGATAATCTGCCCACCTCGGCCTCCCAGAGTGCCGGGATTATAGGTGTGAGCCACCGCGCCCAGCCCCACCTGTTTCTTATACAACGGGGTTCTGAGGAAATTTTCCTTTTTTTTTTTTTTTTTTTTTGAGACAGGGTCTTGCTCGCTTTGTCACCCAGGCTGGAGCGCAGTGGTACAATCACAGCTTGCTGCAGCCTCCACCTGCCAGGGCTCACACAGTCCTCCCATCTCAGCCTCCCAAATAGCTGTGACTACAGGCACGTGCCACCATGCCTGGTTAATTTTTGTATTTTTCGTAGAGATGGGGTTTCACCATGTTGCCCAGGCTGGTCTCAAATTCCTGGCCTCAAGCAGTCCTGCCTCAGCCCCCCAAACTGCTGGGATTACAGGCATGAGCCACTGTGCCCTGTCAGAATTTTTCATTTGAATAAAAAGGTTTCTGGTACTACAAAATAAAATTTGTAAAATGGGAAATAGAGACCTAGGAATAAATGTCAAATTGCTTAATAACAGGCGTTGGCTATTGAGCCCTTTCTGTCTGCTGGGCACGCACATCCAGGACCTGGTCCTCCTGGCATCCATCATGAACCTGTTTGGGACAGGAGGACACAGGCTCAGAGAGGGTGCACATTTGCTGAAGTCACAGAGCAAGTTGGACCTTCTCCTGGGGACTGTAGGCAGCCAACAAACATCTGGCCCCTAAGACACTGTCTCTCTCCCCTTCCCACAGGCAGCTCTGCTCACACTGTCCTGGCTGCTCTGAATCCCTGGGCCCCGATTGGCCCCTGCCGTGGCCCAGCTCAGCAACCCCTCCCTGCAGACCATCCCATGACTCTGCAGGCGCTGCTCCCCTCTCTGCCCACACCCCGGCTTCGTGGGCCTCTCCCGCCACCCTTATCTCATTCCCTACAGAGTTAAGGAGCCCTGTGTGCTTATCTAATCCTGTGCTAGTTTCAGACTCCTTGAGGGCAAGGTCCATGACTTACTCATCCTCCCTGGCTGCTTCCCCCACCCACCAGCATAGTAGGTGTTCAGGATACATGGGCTGGATGGTAGGGCCCTGGACTCTAACCCTCTTGGGGCTGTCAGGCCTCAGACTCAGAGCACTGGCATAGGGTGAAAGGGGAGCAGACAGCAGCCACCCTGCCCTGGGGGTCCTCCTGCATCTGCCTCTGCAGAGCACTGCGATCCCACAAAGGCCTGCGAGGGCTATTGGAGACCTGTTCCAATGCATGAGCAAGGCGGATCCAGCACCCTCCCCCAGCTCCTTGAGCCCACTGACCTGTGTCCTTTACCCAGCAGGCCCTGGGCCCATGCACATTTCCCTGGCCTGGGTCTCACCTCCAACCCCTCTCAGAACTCCTCAAGACCTGCCCAAGGGTCACTCCCTCGCGGACACCTGCCTGGCCCCCCGCCCCGCCCCCCATTACCCCACTCACTGGCTCCCTGGATGCTCTGTGGCTGGGATGTTAGCGCCCCCATCATGCCCCATCACCCACACCGGGCTATTTCCCCCACCAGCCTGAAAGCCCCCAGGAGTGGCGGCCACTGACTTTTTTCCTGTAGCCTCAGACTCAAAGGAGGCACTTAATAAATGCACACAGAAGGACTGACCTTGTGCATGAGCAAAGTTGCTTAGGGAGGGAGCCTAGACACAGTGGGGCGGTCAGCACAGAGCTGGCGGTGGGAGGCCTCAGTAGTATTGTCTTTGTCCCATCGTCCACACCACACGTGTGTGAAACGCTACGCTGACAGAGGCCCTGAGAGGTTGTGCAGATTGACCGTACGCCAGCCTCAGAGAGAGAAGGCCCAGGCGGGGAGGAGTAAAGCCTCCCTGGGAGAGGTGAGTGTGAGGTCGGCGTTTGCTGAGGTGAACCCCAGAAACAGGTCGTGATCACTGGAGGAGGAAGGAATGCCAGGGGCAAAGATGCAGAAACCGGACGGAGGCGCGGGGCGGGCGGGGACAGCTTCCTCTTCTGCAAGGCTTACTCCCGGTGGCCACCACTAGGGGGCGCCCCGGGCACCCCTCCCAAGCGGGGCGGGGCCAACCCTCCCCACCGCGCGGCTCCCAAGGCCTGGGGGAGCAGCCCCTGGGTTCGCCTTCCCCGGGCCGCCTAGAACTGCGCCTGGCCTGGCCAGGACACTGTCCTGGGCCTAGGGCACAGCCCAGGTGCCAGCGTCCTACACACAGTTGCGGGTCCCAGGCGCGCACTGCCTTACCCAAGGTGGCCCTGGTGGGGCTCTTCCCGCTGTGGTGTGTATAAAACATCACTGTATAATGTATATTCATAGAATTCACAATGAGTCCCCATGTAACAACCTGCAGAGCCCCCAAATATGCCCTTCCAGGTCCCCCCCGCCCATGGTCAGCACAGTTCTGAGTGTTAAGGTAATCACTTCCTCTCCTTTCTCTGGGATTTACTACCCCGTACACTTTCCCAAACAGTCTGCGAGCATTTTGTCTGGCTTTCTTGTTATTAATGTAAATGGAATCACGGTGCCGTGTCTGGCTGAGTCTCATGCAGTTGATGGAGCCGAAGCTTCTTCACTCTTGTTCACTGCTGTATAGTGAAGAGAACACTTGGGGTTATTATGAGCGCTGTTATTATGAGCACTGTTGGGATTATAATGAGTATTGTAATGCACAGATTCTACTGCAGGGTGCTTCTCCAGCAGGGGCTGTCAGGTCATGGAGTGGTGGACCTAACACTGGACCAGGCCACATGGTGTGCCTAATAAAGGACAGCTGGGTACAGGCCTTTTTTTGATTTTGTTTTTCTTTTTTTTTTTGAGACGGAGTCTCATTCTGTTGCCCAGGAATGCAGTGGCTTGATCTCAGCTCACTGCAAGCTCTGCCTCCCGGGTTCAAACGATTCTCCCGCCTCAGCCTCCCGAGTAGCGGGGATTACAGGCACCCACCACCATGCCCAGCTAATTTTTGTATTTTAGTAGAGATGGGGTTTCACCATGTTGGCCAGGCTGGTCTTGAGCTCCTAATCCCAGGGGATCTGCCCACCTCGGCCTCTCAAAGTTCTGAGATTACAGGCGTGAGCCACCGTGCCCGGCTGTCTTTCTGTTTTTCTTTTTGACAATGATGACAGCTTCAGAAAAGTTGCAAGAAAAGTACGAACAACATCCATATACTGTTTATTTTGATTCATTGACAGTTAACACTTTGCAATTATATATATATACACATATTTATATATATACATATATATACACATATTTATATATATACATATATATACACATATTTATATATATACATATATATACACATATTTATATATATATACATATATATATATACACATATTTATATATATATACATATATATACACATATTTATATATATATATACATATATATACATATTTATATATATATATATACACATATATATATATTTTTTGAGACGGAGTTTCTCTCTTATTGCCCAGGCTGGAGTGCAATAGCGCTCACTGCAACCTCCGCCTCCCAGGTTCAAGCAATTCTCCTGCCTCAGCCTCCCGAGTAGCTGGGATTACAGGCATGCGCCACCACACCTGGCTAATTTTTGTATTTTTAGTAGAGACGGGGTTTCTCCATGTTGGTCAGGGTGTTCTCGAACTCCCGACCTCAGGTGATCTGCCCGCCTCGGCCTCCCAAAGTGCTGGGATTACAGGCATGAGCCACCATACCCGGCCTGCAATAATATTTGCTCCCTTTTCTCTCTCTCTCTCTGTCTGGCACCCACATACACACATACACACACACATATTTTCTGAACCACGGGAGAGTAAGTTACATAAGTCCTAGCCCTTTACCCTTAAATATTTCAACATGTATCTCCTAAGAAAAATGACATTTCTTACGCAACCACAAGACAAGTACCAAATTCAGGCCTGATGACAGTGATGCAATGCTATTATCTAACGTACAGTCCACTTTCAAATGTCTCTGATTGTCCCAGTCTGCCAGGACCACGCTTCACATCTGGTGTCAGCTCTCCTCAGTCTTCTTTAATCCAGAACCATCCTCAGCCTTTCTTTGTTTTTCAAGACCTTGATATTTTTGAAGAGTCTAGATCAGTTGTTTTGTAGAGTGTTTCTCATCTTTTTCTCTCCATTTCCCCCCAATTAAACAAGTCAAGTACATCCATTATATACATTTGGACAACATAGAAAAGTAAATAAAAATTGCCCCAGTTCCTACGATGCAGGGATAACCCCGTAGACACTTCCTGTAATCACTGAGTAAGCTGACTCACTTGTTCTACGCACTCTGTGCACATGAACTCATGTCATCCTAGGAGGCGGGTGCTTTTGTTATCTCTTGAGTGCCTTGCTAAAGATCATATGGTCTGTAGGATTTGATCCTGAACAGTCTGCTCCAAAGCCCATGCACTTGGCCTTTATGCTATACTGCTTCTCAATAATGGCCAGCCACGTGCGTGTGGCGTGCGCGCGCTCATCAGGATGCCTCAGCTTCTGCCCTATTGGCATTTCGGGCAGGGTAATTCTCTGCTGTGGGAGTGCCCTGTGTGTTGTAGGATGGTCAGCAGCAGCCTTGTCCTCTGCCTAGTAGATGCCAGCAACAATCCCCAAAATAATCATACCAAGAATGTCCCCGGGGGAGCAAAATCACACCCAGCTGAGAATCACTGTGTGGGGTGTGTGTGTGTATGTGTGTGTGTGTAGCCAGGTGATGCTGTATTCCCTTCTGAAATCTATCCCAGTGATTGGTACTCCATGGTCACTTTTGGGTCCTTCCATTTTCTTCTCTGGTCCCATGTCTAGTGGCTGCCAGGTGTTGCCTGTGAAGGGACTCGTGGATCGACAAAAAGACAAATCTATTGCAGTAGCTACCTTCTACTGCTACACAACAAAGTGCCACAAACTTTGTGGTTTAGAACCGCCCCCATTTATGAGCTCCTGGTTCTGTAGGTTGGAAGTCTGGGCCCAGCATGACTGAGTTCTGTTCTCAGAGTGTCAGATGCTGAAGGAAGGTGGCAGCCAGGCTGCCCTATCACCGGGAGGCAGGGGAAGGAATCTGTCTCCAAGCTCATTCTTGTTGGCAGAATCCGGTTCCTTGCATCCATAGGACTGAGGTCCCCGTTTCCTTGCTGGTGGTCTGCTGGGGCCCCTCTCAGCTCCTAGAGGTCACCCACATTCCTTTCCACATGGTGTCCCCCAGGCTGGAGTGCAGTAGCACAATCATGGCTCGAAGCAGCCTCAACCTCCCTGGCTCAGGTGATCCTCCCACCTCAGCCTCCTGAGTAGCCGGGACTACAGGTGCATGCCACCACACCCAGCTAATATTTTGTATTTTGGGTAGAGATGGGATTTTGCCATGTTACCCAGGCTAGTCTTGAACTCCTGGGCTCAAGTGACCCACCCCCTCAGTCTCCTAAAGTGCTGGGATCACAGGTGTAAGCCACTGTCCAGCCAGCTCTGCTTTCAGAGGGCTCAGTGAGCTGGGGGGCCCACTGGGATTATCTCCCTTTGTACAGTGGACTGCACCATCTAACACCGCATGTCATGGAGTAAGTCACCAGATCCGCATTCCCAGCATTACACTGGATATGTACACCAGGGGTGGGGGATCTTGCAGACATCCTGAAATTCTGCTTAATGATGACCAAAGGGCAAGAGAGGTGTTTCTGGGACAGGACATGGAGCCAAGGGGCAGGGGACCAGGTTGGGTGAGCAGGAGACGGAGGCCTGACCCCACCTCTGAGAGGGTCCCACTATATTCCTGCCCTCGGGGACACCCCAACATGTACCTCTAGGAGCAAGCATGGTGCCTGGGCAGACGTGGGCCTCAGGGGAGGGTTCTGGTCTCCAGTCTCCTTGCAGATGGAGCGTCACCATGTTCTGTACTTAAGGGCACAGTAAAGAAGCTGCAGGTGAGAGGAATGTGGCAGCTGGGCCACAGGACGGGGAGGGAGACTGAGTGTCGGCAGACAGGCGGGCTGGGGGACCACCATGTACCACCCCAAGTGACCTACAAAGAGACTTTAATTTGGGGGGATGGAGGAGGGAGGTGTTCGCCCAGCAGAGGGGACAGGAGGGTGGCCTTGGGCACGATGTTTGACTCCTGAGGTGTGGGAGTGAGGAGCTGGGCTTGTTGAAGATGGGCTGGGCTCTGTGCCCTGGTGGCTGAGTGTGACACAGAGTTGGGGACAGAATTACCCTCCAGCCCCCCAGCCTGTGAGCCCATGGTGAGGCTCAGGGCCACAGCAGGGCAAGGCCAAGGCAAGGGAGAGGCAGCTGGAGCAGAACTTGGGCAGGCTCGTTCTTGCACACACGAGACACACTTCAGAGCCCCCGGAAATGCAGAGGGGCCGTGTGCACGGCAGCAGTCTGCACTCATACAAGGGAGGCTAAGACCATGCACCTCACTTGTACTCTCAGGCTGCTGAGGCTGGGGGACAATGGGGTTACACTCTCCATTTCATTAGTGTAGGGCAAGGGGGACCCCAGCACCCCACAAGGGACCCCCTAATGTTGTCACCACAGAAGGCGATTGCTTATGTGCCAAATAATAAGCCATTTCCTGTGGAGTCAGGCAAAGGCCTGGGCCCTCCAATAAGTTTAGGGCAAACCCTGCACCCTGCACTCAGCGGCAGCCCCAGCCTCATCAGCCCCAGCAAGGCAGGGCCAGAAGCTGCAGGGACTGAGACACACACACAGAAAACTGGCAGGTGAACTAGAGCTTTTACTGAAAGTGCTCAGAGACCTATAAGTCTCAGCTCTGCAAAGCACTGTGCAGTTATATGTGTACATCATCCTGATAAATGTGTAAGCCTGTCCCCCAGGCTGCAGAGCAGCAAAGGGGCTAGGAAGGGCTGGTGAGCTTCAGGGCAGAGATTCACTTCAGCCTGCATCTGGGGAAGAGGCTCTTGAAACCCTCTTTCTCTGCTTTTCCACCTGCCCGTCCTTGCAACTTCAAGTGGCTGGAGTGTGGAAAGGGCAGTGTTAAGATTCAGAAGGCCCTGGCCAGGCGTGGTGGCTCACACTTGTAATTCCAGCACTCTGGGAGGCCGAGGCAGGCAGATCACAAGGTCAGGAGATCAAGACCATCCTGGCTAACATGGTGAAACCCCATCTCTACTAAAAATAGAAAAAATTAGCCGACGGGCATGGTGGTACACGCCTGTAGTCCCAGCTACTCGGGAGGCTGAGGCAGGAGAATCACTTGAACCCGGGAGGTGGAGGTTGCAGTGAGCCAAGATCACGCCACTGCACTCCAGCCTGGGCAACAGAGGGAGACTCCCTCTCAAAAAAAAAAGACTCCGAAGGCCCAGATTCTCATTCAGTCTGGGCTACTTCGAGCAGTCACTGGACATCCCGGGCCTCAGGCTCTTTCTCACTGGAATTTGAAAGCAGCTAAGATTCTGACACGGTCACCTCCAAATTGGGCCATGTTCTGGCTGCCAGATGCCTTCAGAGCCCTCTGGGGCCCAGCAATCTCCCCAGAGCCATCACCCAAGGGCCACAGCTGCTGCAAGAGAAAGGCCTCATGGTGTGGAGAGGACACTCTTCTTGCCAGTGTGGGAGACCCGGCATTCAAAAGAACAGTCCTCCTCAGTTCCTCACCTTGTGTCGGGAAAACTGATTTGTTGCCCAAATCTCATGACTGTGAGAACAAAAATCTGTGCTGATATGCAAACTCTGTCAGTGGAAAGAATGAACCACTCCTCATCCCAGGGAGAAACCTATGTTTTGGTTTTTCTCAGCTCGATTTTTCTGCCATATTTGGAGAAAAACTCCTTAAAAAAAAAATATCGACTGGGTGCGGTGGCTCATGCCTGTAATCCCAGCATTTTGGGAGGCTGAGGTGGGTGTATTACTTGAGGTCAGGGGTTCGAGACCAGCCTGACCAACATGTATTTTTAGTAGTCTCTACTAAAAATACAAAAAATTAGCCAGGCATGGTGGCAGGCGCCTGTAATCCCACCTACTTGGGAGGCTAAGGCAGGATAATCACTTGAACCCAGGAGGTGGAGGTTGCAGTGAGCTGAGATCGCACCATTGCACTCCAGCTTGGGTGACACAGAGTGAGACTCTGTCTCAAAAAAAAAAAAACACTCTCAAACATAGTTTATTATATAGGTGAATCCTGGTCCCTGTGATGGGCTTATTGGTACGATTTCTGGTAGCAAGCATAGGTACCAGGGCCTCCAACGTTTTTGGATTTGCAGCAACGGGGGTCAGCTACTGACAGGGTCCAGTCATGCTGGATGAGGATGCCTCTGGTCCTTTTGGAAGCCTCATCCATTTATTTCCGGTAATAGGCCACTAAGGCTTTGGAGATGGACTGATGTTGATAGCATAAATCTGGGTCACATGACCACCACCCTTCACACAAACATGCGTGTGCATGTCAGCAAATTGCTCCTTGCCCAGAGGCAGAACTAGGAACTAGTTCCAGCAGCTTGAATTGCAGCGCTCGGCTCCATCATCTCCAGGGGCCATCCATTCACCTTGATGAGGCCACTGCCATGTTTGCAGTGGATTGCACGGACTGCAGCTGGCCCTTGGATGGCATAGCCAAGAGCACAGATAAGAGCTCCTCACTGCACGGCACCGCAAGCGGAAAAGGCACCTCTCTTTTTTTTTTTTTTTTTGAGATGGAGTCTCCTTCTGTTGCCCAGGTTAGAATGCAGTGGTGCGATCTTGGCTCACTGCAACCTCCACCTCACGGGTTCAAGCGATTCTCCTGCCTCAGCCTCCTCAGTAGCTGGGATTACAGGCACACGCCACCATACCTGGCTAATTTTTGTATTTTTAGTAGAGACGGGGTTTTGTGATATTGGCCAGGGTGGTCTTGATCTCAGGTGATCTGCTTGCATCGGCCTCCCAAAGTGCTGGGATTACAGACATGAGCTACTGCACCTGGCCTTTTTTTTTTAAGTTGTCTCTAGGGACCTTGTAGATGTTTTCCTAGATCAGGCCATGACAGGACCAAGCAGACCACTTAGAGGGGAGGTGAGGCCCCTTTCTGCTGGATGAGGGCGTTTCTGAGGAGAGCTAGGGGGTACCTCAAGGCCCTGGGTTTGCAGGGAATGGATTTATTAACTGAAGAATAAAACACTGGGAGTGGGGGATGGCACAGTTTCTGAGATAAAAGAAAAATACTTGAACCCTCCATCAATCTGCCATGGGCTCAGGCAGACAGGCAGAAAGTGAAACAGCGGAGAAACCAAAAGTGAAAGGGTGCATTCACATTTTATACAACTTTCCCACCAAACAAACTGCCCTACTCAGAAAACACAAAAGAAAAAAAAATTAGGACATTTTCGGTGTGGGGCATGACAAGATAAGGAAGCTGCCTGGAAGCTGGGTGCCAACTCCATGAAATTGGGGGAAACTAATTGCTGGTCACGTGGGCCTCACCAGGGTGACAGAGATCCCTTCTTTCAGTCCTTTAAGATCTTTGGAGAAAGTCAAGTGGCCATACATAACGACAGGGTCTGGGTTTTGTTTATAAATAACCCAGGAACATTTTGTTGTTTTCAGTTTTCTAGGGCTGGGTTTTCCCAGCACACAGGGCTCTGGGGAGATTTGAAAACCATGGCGCGTCAATGAGAATGCTGCCGGGGCGCCAGTTTGGAGCAGCCTCATTGAGACGACTGAACAACTACTTCATTCAGGATCCTCAGCCCTGGGCCCTTCCCTAGATCAACCCAGAAACTGCATCTCCGGGGTGGATCCCTAACAGTGCTGAGTAGGAGGCAAACACTGTGGCTTCTAAGGCTGACCCGGGAAGTCTGGACTAGGCCCGCCGGAGGCTCCTCGTCACCAATTGGCATGCAGCCTCTGGTGACAGCTCTGCCTAGGAGCCTCAGTATCTTCTTTTGAGAATAACACCAAAAAAAAAAAAAAAAAAAAAAAAGGGGGGGGGCAGTAGCTTGTGTGCTTTACTATGATGAAAAGAATCAAATCAAAGCACTAAGGGGCGTAAGATTGCAGGCAGGGTTGGAATTACTTATCCGCTCTCCAATGGTTAGGGAGCAAGAGGGGAGGGCAAGGGAACTATCTATTCCCTCGGAAGGGATCTTACAAGCGGTAGGCGAACAAACCTCCCATCGTGTCCTCTCTAGATTCCACCACTCAGTTCCCCTGAGATATCCCCCGTTCTCAGATTTGAGTTCCTGCCTCTTCCTCTTAGCCTACCAGCCCAAGTTATCCCCTGATACAGGCCCCTAGCCCTCCAGGCTTCCACATCTCCCAGAAGCGAGGAAGTTGGACCTGAGGCTTTCAAAGTCGCAGGTTCAATTCAGATCTCTTTAAGAGCCCCCAGGGTCCTGCTACCACAGGTTGGTGTCTTGATACTGGTTACATAACAATCAGTCCCCAAAGCTCTGACATCACCCACTGAAGATTCTCACCAGCCTGGACAGCCAAAGGGGTCTGTGTGTGGCCGGGGAGGATGGCGGGGGAGTGAGCCCCATGGAACAGCCAGGAACTGGTAAGGGGAGGTAGGGCACAGATCCCAGTAAATGATGGTAAATGGTGGTGACCCCGAGAGGAAAGTGGAAGTATTTGGGTTTTTAAACTTCCCCCTAAATTCCCACAAGATTTCATTGTTGCCCCCACACTTCCCCTCTTCCCCACATAGGGAATTTCCGATTTCACTTCCCAATACGCAAGTGGCCAGAGAGCCTCAACTTCCTCCTCATGCCCTCCCTGCCTTGCCCCAGCTATAGCCTTTGTGGGGAAGCCTTCTCTTCTCCCGCGCGAGTCCGGTGTCACCCATGTCCTCCCTCGCTTGCGTCCCTCTCCCATTCCCACCCCGTCGGCCTGAGGGGAGGTCAGGCCTCTCGCTGCCCATTTTTCTTTCCCCAGTCACCAGCCCGCCCCGGATTCTCTACTCCCTC
This sequence comes from Homo sapiens, assembly GCF_000001405.40. Classification (NCBI taxonomy): domain Eukaryota; kingdom Metazoa; phylum Chordata; class Mammalia; order Primates; family Hominidae; genus Homo; species Homo sapiens. The sequence continues at coordinate 64,879,202 of NC_000011.10, read as the reverse complement.
AGCTTGCTCTGCTACCACTTTCCTGTCTCTCCCTCTCCCAAAGCAGATAAAAGATGAGGGGACAAAGACAGTGTGTGTCTGGGAAGCTGGGCTGAGAGGAGGAGGTGCCGCCGCCTGGGGGTACTCCGATGCTTCCGGGGATTCCGAGCCAGCTGGAGGACCGCACGTGGCGAACGGCGGGCGCGGCGCGTAGTCAGGGAACCAGGGTGCCTGACTGGGTGTCTCGTGGAGCCATCCCGCGGGGGTGTGGGGGGGCCACGGTGCCGGAAGGCGCGCGGCCCAGAGGCCGTCTCCGCCGAACGCCCGCTCCTCGCCTTCCTAACCGCAGCACTTTCGCGAGCCTCCCTACGAGGGGCGGGGCGAAACAGGTGCGGTTGCCACGGCACCCGGACCACAGCCTCGCGAGATTTGGAATCAGCCAATGGGGGCGGGGTAGGGGAAGACGTGGCACCAGTCGGAGGGGCGGGGCTGGGAGGGGCTCCTCCCTACCGCCCCCAATTCCGCCCTGCCCCCGCCGCGGCGGCGCTAGCCGCCACTGAGGGACCGACCCTATAAAGGCCGCTCCGCGAGGGGTGCGCAGCATTCGGCAGAGGGCGCTTCGACGGGCTGGGCTGTGCGCCTGCGCAGTGTGGGTCGCTCCCGATTCCCTGCCCCGGCCGGCCCCGCCTCGGCTCCGCACCCTCGCCCCGCTCTCAGCCGCCGCTCTGCCCCGCAGCAGCCAGCCCCGTGTCCGGCAGTATGTTCAGCTGGGTCAGCAAGGATGCCCGCCGCAAGAAGGAGCCGGAGCTCTTCCAGACGGTGGCTGAGGGGCTGCGGCAGCTGTACGCGCAGAAGCTGCTACCCCTGGAGGAGCACTACCGCTTCCACGAGTTCCACTCGCCCGCGCTGGAGGACGCTGACTTCGACAACAAGCCTATGGTGCTCCTCGTGGGGCAGTACAGCACGGGCAAGACCACCTTCATCCGACACCTGATCGAGCAGGACTTCCCGGGGATGCGCATCGGGCCCGAGCCCACCACCGACTCCTTCATCGCCGTCATGCACGGCCCCACTGAGGGCGTGGTGCCGGGCAACGCGCTCGTGGTGGACCCGCGGCGCCCCTTCCGCAAGCTCAACGCGTTTGGCAACGCTTTCCTCAACAGGTACCCACCCATCACTCCAGGGGGCGGGGGGCGCGTCCGGGGCACACCCCTCACTCGGAGCCTGACCCTCCCGTGGCTGTCGCCCCGCCGTCCTTTGTCTCCGAGGCCCCAGTGAGACCCTCAGTGACCACTCCCTGGTCCAAGGGCCCTGCCCCTTCCCAGAGTAAACCCACTGGGGGTCTAAGAGTGGGCGTTGTCGGCTCCCCCAGCTTCTGTCCTCCCCAGAATCTTCCAGGGTAACCACCAAGCCCTCCTGCAGATCCCAGCCCCACTCCCCTCAGCAGCAGGGCCGCAGTAGGAAGCTGAGCCATTCCTGCGCTCCTTTTCTTGGTCTCCACCTCCGTCCCGCAGGCTGGATGCACCTAATTCACGGAAATCAACCCTCCCCTCCCTGTCTTCTTAAGTGTCAATAGCAAAACACAATGAAACTTTTAGCCATTCCCTTCTCTGGTGCGGTGTGGGTCTGCTCTGCCTCCCCTGGGACGGTGGTTTTGTGTAGGAGGGAGGAGGAGGATCGGCTGTGGCTTGCTGACTTTGGGGCAGCCCCTTGGAGGCAGGGGACAGTTGAGGTTCGAACACTTCTCCCAATGGCAGCTCTCAAGAGGTCAGTGCTGCCCTGAGGGGTTTCAGGAAGCAGGATGAGGTGGTGGCAGTGGGAGCCCTGCAATGAGATTCTGGCCCTAAGCCCTTCTGTGCACTGAGGGACAGAATCTGAGGTTCCTTCACCCACTTGGACCTCACTTTTCCAGTTAAGTGGCCTCTGCACGCGAGGAGAGTGAGCTCCAGGACTCTGCCTGTCTCAGTGCTGTGAATGAAACACAGTGCTCCCGCCCCTCAAGGAGTGCAATGCCCAAGCTCACTTTTCTCCAGAGAAACTCGAGACATGCCCGTCCCAACCCCCAGGCGACATACCAAAGTACTTCACAGACCCTGTCCTCCCTGCCACCCCACGTTCACGGACTCCACATGCCTTTCATAATTCTGCACCAGCGAAGAGCCTCTGAAGGAATCTTTGAATCCTGCCTTCCAGGTCCCCGCCCTGCACGGTCACATTCCTTTCCAGACGCCATCCAGCTGTGCAGGGCAGCTTGCCCTAGAGCCAAGCTGGTGGCCAGGCCTACTCCAGGCACAGAGCTGACCTTCAGCAGGGTCTGTTCACTTCCAGGCATTTCAGCCCGCCCTCCTGTTTTACGGCTGTTGATGTTTGTCTGTCAAGGCCAGGTTGAGTGCAGCCCTTTGGGCTAAGGGTCCTGAAGAGGCGGAGTCCTCTTCACTTTCCTTGTGAGGGCACACCTTTTTTGAAAGGAGAGACATGGCACAGGACCAGTTTTCTGAATTTGGAAGCCTAGAGTTTCAGAGCTGGAAGGATCTTAGACATCATCTTGGCAGCCCCCACCTGACTGGTTCAGGAAACCGAGGTTCAGAGGGTCTGGCTGATGTGTGGAAGTCACCCATTAGGTCAGCCAGCACTGACTGCCTGGCTTTTGCACAGCCAGTTACTGCTTTCTGCTGCTTCTACCCGAAAAAGAGCAATTCGAGATTGCTTTGTCCGAGACCGGTGCTTTGATGACATTGGTGCCACAGGATCTGAGAGGTGGCACACGTTTATTTCCTTCTTGCTGCCACCTCATCTCCAGAGGATCCCTGATCACTGATGGCCCTGCCGAAAGGGCCCTATCAGCCCACGCTGAGGCCCAGAGCTGTGCCAGGATGTGTAGTGTGGGGAGTGAGCCCGGCGAGGAGGGTGCAACAAAGGAGGCTTTTCTCTGGCTGATACAGCCTCTCCCAGCTGAGTCTTGAAGAGACTCATTGAGTCGTGAACTTGACTTGCCGGCCTTCTCCCCCTATGTGGCTGCTCTAAGAATAAAATCAGCTGGAGCAGACCAAGGCAAGGTGCAGTCAGGGTGTCTTAAGAGTGTCTTGCAAAAACTTATTGCATAACTGGGACTGCCACTTGTGCGAGATGAAACCTGTGCGTTCTTGGTGAGATGGAATCGGAGGCATCTTTGCTGCTTCCCCTTTCTTGTTTTCTGCCATATACCCTGGGCTCTGCAGAGCAACTGGTTTCTGGGTCCTATAGATATTAACTCACTTTCTGGGCTCATTTATGAGGCATTTTTATGTATGTGATTTCCCAGAGCCAATTCTGCTTCCCATCCTTCTATTCTGTAATCATCTCTCCAGCGCCTCCTGTCCCCAGCAGGAAGGCCAGGACTGGCCTTCATGCATTGCTACTGGCACTGGCGAGAGTGAGGCCCACGTTTTGCTCGCCCTGCAGGTCAGCTGGTCTTGCTCCACTGCCTTGCAGAGCACCCCTTGCCCTGGCCAGCTGCCCTCTGCCCGTGGGCCCCTGGTCACTGGGGGATGGGGCCAAAGGGAGAAGCTGATCGGCTCAGAGTCCTCCCGTCTGTTGGAAAGGCAGCTTCAAGTCTGTGTCCTACAGATAATGGGTCAGTCTTTTCTTTGCTCTCACTACCTTTTTCAGAGAAGTTTTTTGTTTGTTTTTTTGAGACAGAGTCTCGCTCTGTTGCACAGGCTGGAGTGCAGTGGCGCACAATTTCGGCTCACTGCAAGCTCCACCTCCTGGGTTCGAGCAATTCTCCTGCCTCAGCCTGCCGAGTAGCTGGGACTACAGGCGCGTGCCACCATGCCCAGCTAATTTTTCTATTTTGGGTAGAGATGGAGTTTCACCATGTTGGCCAGGCTGGTCGTGAACTCCTGACCTCAAGTGATCTGCCTGCCTTGGCCTCCCAAAGTACTAGGATTACAGGCGTGAGCCACCACGCCTGGCCTTTCAGAGAACTTTTCAAAGGAGCTTTTTCTGCGTCCAGTGAAGGATCCCTGCTCTCAACTGAGACTGCCCCTTGCCTTTCTGGGCTGTTCTAAGCTTAGTGTGAAACTCAGATATGCGTGGCTGAGCCCTGGCCCGCAAGTCGCCAGCCTCTCCACGGCTTTGTTCTTCCTCAGCCTGCTCGGACTTTCAGAGAATGGCGCGTCTGTGCTTCTCCGTCCCACCGTCTACCAGCCTGTGTGGTCCCCAGCTTTTGCCAGCCGTCCATTTCAATTCCCTCACCCAAGCGGCTGGTTGAAAGGGCAGGGCTGGCCCTAGCAGCAGTAGGAAGCGGCCAGCTCTCTTCAGTGTGGAGATTTAGCCAAGTGCTGGAGGATTCTGAGATGGGATTTCAGCGCCCCAGCGTGACCTTCTGCTTCCCCTCCGAACTGAATGGTGACCTAGGCTTGCACAGTTTTCACTAACAAGTCAGCAGCTTGAAAGTTGACCTCTCAAACTCTAGGGGAAAAGTGTGTGAGGAAGTGCTGATTTGGGTCAGTTTGAGCCTGCTGGTTGCATTCCCAGTTGAGAAAGTCCATACGATTTGCCGGCCACCCCGGGAAACTAAGACGATAGAAAACCACCTGTCAGTTCCCCGCTGCTGGAGAGGAAGCCAGAGATGGAGCGAAGGAGTACAGAGAGCCCTTTGTTGTGTCCGGAGCAGTGATGACTGTGTCTTGACGCCTCTCTTCTGGCTCTTGCTCTCATGTAGGTTCATGTGTGCCCAGCTGCCCAACCCCGTCCTGGACAGCATCAGCATCATCGACACCCCCGGGATCCTGTCTGGAGAGAAGCAGCGGATCAGCAGAGGTAAACAGCTGTGACCACAGCTCGGGCTGCTGGTGTTGTCACACATCCTTCTCTCTAAGATCTGCAACTTGGTTCAGATGCTGCCCTTGAGATTTCTCCTTTTTTTTTTTTTTTTTTTTGACGGAGTCTTACTCTGTCACCCAGGCTGGAGTGCAGTGGCGCGATCTCAGCTCACTGCAACCTCTGCCTCCTGGGTTCAAGCGATTCTCCTGCCTCAGCCTCCTGAGTAGCTGGGACTACGGGCATGTGCCACCACGCCCGGCTAATTTTTGTATTTTTCGTAGAGATGGGGTTTCACTATATTGGCCAGGCTGGTCTCGAACTCCTGACCTCATGATCTGCCCGCCTTGGCCTCCCAAAGTGCTGGGATTACAGGCGTGAGCCGCCACACCTGGCTGCCCTCGAGATTTCTTCCAGTCTCAGCCTTTCTAAAAAAAAAAATGTGGCCGGGCACGGTGGCTCACACTTGTAATCCCAGCACTTTGGGAGGCCGAGGTGGGCGGATCACGAGGTCAGGAGATTGAGACCATCCTGGCTAACACAGTGAAACCCCATCTCTACTAAAAAATAGAAAAAATTAGCTGGGCGTGTTGGTGGGCGCCTGTAGTCCCAGCTACTCGGGAGGCTGAGGCAGGAGAATAGCGTGAACCCAGGAGGTAGAGCTTGCAGTGAGCCGAGATCGCGCCACTGCACTGCAGGCTGGGCGACAGCGAGACTCCGTCTCAGAAAAAAAAAAAAAAGTGTCCGAGTAAGAACCCATTTTACATCAGCCTCCCATCTCCACAGTGCTCTGTGCACTGAGAGGGCGGGAGCTGCTTTCTTTCTTGGCTCCCTGGGCCTAGGCAATGGGAGCAGCCATGGTGAGACCACAGCCAATCTTATGTGGCTGTCATGCTTTTGAACCCCTGGGGCATGCTGGAAACAACAGGATCAGAATCGGGCCATGCTGTGAGGGTGCAGGAAGCATTGCTGACTCTGAACAAGCCCCTGGTCCCCAGAGCTTATTAGCTTTAGTCTGTGTTTAACAGCCTTTGCCCCCCAAAGCCATATACATTCCTCACACGTCCAGCAGGACTGAGAGAGAGCCAAGCAAAAGGAGAAGCTGGTAGAAATTCATGAAACGGGCTGGTGGAAATTTGCTTACATTTGCTTAGAGGTTGACAGCAGCCTCCCTGGCTGAGGCCTTCTTGCTATGCAGTAGTGCACCGTGCCCATTCCAATTGTGTAAACTCCTGCCTAGATTCTGCCAAGCTCTTTTGAAGATCTGGTTCAGGATGAGCCTGAACTGGGTCCTCCATCTGTCACTGCCCCTTTTTCACAGACGGGTGGGGCGCTTTGGGGCCTGATGCTTTCTGGGAGGAGCTTGAGGGTAGGCTGGTACCTGGCAGGTGAGGAGTGGAGTCTACAGCTCCAAATGTGAAAATGAAATAAGATCAAACTCAAAGAGGGGTTGAGGACAAGTGAGCAAGTTTGTTGATGATTAACTTGCAGATCCTTCCCGTGTCCCTTACCCTCTGGACTGGCCTTTGCTGGGTGAGCCTTGCAGTCAAAGCCGGCAGCTAGGATTTGGGGTGCACATGTCTCTCTGCTAGGGCTGTGAGGGCATGGGGACTCTGTTCTTGGAGCTGAGAAACCTTGCTTCTCTTTCCTTCCAGCCTTGCGGGCCTTGCCCGTGTGGGACTGCATCAGAGCGTACTGAAATCACTGGCCCTCATCTGGTTTCAGAGCTGCCAGTTAAGCTGTTAGATTCTCCCACCCCTGGTGACAGTGATGCACCTAGGAGTTAAGGGAGTAGATTTGGAGACCCCTTTAAAAAAAAAAAAAAGCGAGGGCTAGTATTTTTATTTCTTACTGCTATTGTTGTTCCAACCTAGTTTTAGTAAATGCCGGATAAGCAAAAGCCCTGTCATTTGCCAAAGCAAGGTCAGAAAATCTGATTAAGTTACTCTTTTATTTTTTTGAGACAGAGTGTCGCTCTATCGCCCAGGCTGGAGTGCAGTGGCATGATCTCGGTTCACTACAACCTCCTCCTCCCTGGTTCAAGCGATCCTCCCACCTTAGCCTCCTGAGTAGCTGGGATTACAGGTGCATGCCACCACGCCTGGCTAATTTTTATATTTTTAGTAGATATGGGGTTTCGCCATGTTGGCCAGGCTGGTCTTGAACTCCTGACCTCAGGTGATCTGCCCGCTTCGGCCTCTCAAAGCATCATCACAGCCTTGAACTCCTGGGCTCAAGTGATCCTTCCACCTTAGTCTCCCGAGTAGCTGGGCCCACAGGCGCGGGCCATCATGCTCGGCTGGGGTTGTATGTCTTGTGTTGCTTGCCTTGGCCCCTGCCCTCTGAGATGCTCCCTCCCCACCTCCCACTCCCTCTGCTTCCTTTCCCTGGTAGGAAAGAGGCAGGCAGAGGTGTCTACACTGGCTGTCTCTGGGACAAGCACCAAAGTGTATGCTCCATATCAGTGGATCTGCAGACACAGCATGGCGTTTTGATTGGGAGCAAGGGGTGGACGTAGGTGTTGCCTTGTGGTCCCTGCCCTGGAGTTGCCTGTGCAGACAACAGGTTGGAGGAACAAGCCAGCAGGACATGAGGCTGCTGTCAGTGTGCTGCCCTGCTCTGCCTGTGTGGCCTCCCTCTCCCCTCCAGGTGCAAAGTGTGGCCCCTCTGCATCCCTGAGAGGCCAGGCTCCCCTATATCCACAGAAGGTCATCTCTACCCATTATGGGCAGGAAGGAGCCGGTGGCTGAAAGAGAAGCACATCACGCTGATTGGAGGAGGGGTTTCCTGCTGTGAAGTAGCAGAAGATCAAACCGATTTTACTAGACCATTTCTTTTCCTCCATAGCCCTAGAGGCCTTGGTTTAGATGTGTTTTACTAAAAGTTACCTGGTTAGGGTTTGAATGATGGTGTTTTATTGTCAGGAGAAAGACCATCGCTCAGTACCTCTTGGAGGTGCTGGGTGTAAACTCCAGGATGAGCCCCGCTAGGTGTACACAGGAGGAGTGGATTTCTGTTTCCTGGAGGCCCCGCCCGTCAGTCATGGAAAGGCCCGTGTGGCCTGTCCAGCGGAGGAGGTCGGAGTGGAGCAGTGCGTTCCCGGCAGGGCTGGCCACCTGCTACTGCCTTTGCTGGTGGCGTGGAAAGCAGGTGTTTCCCTCTCGGAAAGATGGGGCCGGCAGAGCACGCACCAGGGCCCCAGCACAACACGCCTCCCCTGGCCTGCCAGCCCGTTCCCTGGAAACATGTCCTTGTGGAGGCCGTGGATGGACATTGGGGTTGCTAATTGCATTTACTTCCATTTCCCACCCCGTCTGGCCCCGCCTGGCCCCTCCTGACTTTTTTTCCCCTTTCCCCATGGTCCTAATGTGTGCAGGAAACACGGTCTGAAAAGATAAGGTGGGCTGGTGCAGGCCCAAAGCAGTCAGGATGCAGCCAGGCTCTGTCAGGGACCCCTGAGGACTGCCTCAGGGACGAGAAGGGGGCCGGGTTGGGGTCTCTTGGGCTGCCTTTGCCTGTGTGCTAATCTGAGTGACTTTAAAGATACCGTTCTCCTGTGTCAGCAGAGAAAGGTGGCCTCTGGGGGCTGCGTTCATTCTTGAGTGCTGCCTGTGTGACTGATAAGGGCATTCCAAAGGGCAGCTGGGTCCGGCAGGGGTGGTGCCCTTGGCTCCAGGGGCTGCCGACCAGTTGCGTGGTCCCGGCAGTGCCTCATGCCGAGTCATCCCCCGGCGGGGCCTCTGTGGGCAGCCCGGCCAGTTCGTTCGTTCCCCACCATGGTCACTAGGCAACTGTGAACTAAGCGGGAGTTTTTGTGTCTCAATCTCCCCATGAAAGCTGTATCAGCATCAGCAGGGTAGTGTTTCTACTTGCAGTAGCAGATCAGAGACCTGGCCAGCTTTGTGTCTGACTTTCTGCTGGCCACTGCCACATCAGTGAGTTCCATTGAGTTATCACAGCAGCTGCATCTAGGAGGAAGCTCCTGCCTTTCAGAGGAGGAAGCAGAGGCTTAGGAAAGTTAAGTAATTGGCCTAAGATGACAGGCAGGCCAGCAAGTGTCGGCGCTAGGATTTGAACCCAGGTAGGGGCTGTGCTCCTACTGCGGCGGAGCTGAGAAGGGTGCCTTGGCATGAAGGCTGTGGGCGAAGGAGTGCCGGGAGCTTGGGTCAGACAGACCTTTGCCCCTGTTGGGTCATTACTGTGGACACACAGTAATGTGTGTCCCTCCTGAGACACACAGAGGCCACCCTCTGTTTCTCTCCCACCCAAGGTTAGACTCCAGTCCTGAAATGGACCTGAGGTCTGGGGCTTTGAACAGCAGTGCTGGTATTGTGTTCCCTGTTCCCAGCCATAAATGATCCCTTGGGGTCTCCAGGGAGCCTGGTGGCCTGGGCTCTCGTTTGCCCTCTGGTGGTCTGCAGGCTCCCTCTAAGCCTGGGAGCTGTCCTGATCCTTAGTGGTTGGATGGGGCCTCCCTGCCCACACTCCCACCTGTGTGTCCTGAGCCCTCCGGCCCAGAGGCAGGCCTGCGCCGTGGGCCGCCCCCACTTCCTGCCGACACCTCCTGAGATGGAGATGCCGCTGCCAGCAGCACCCCCAGGCTGAGGTTTCACCAGGGTGCTCCGAAGACCATCAAATGCTCCCAGGGGCTGCCCAAAGGCCATGAGCCAGGCCAGGTGCTGTGTCCCTCTTGGATTCAGCATCCATAGCACAAGTAGATCAGAAGGTTCAAGTCCCACGTTAGTACTTGGGGAGCTGGGTGGCTCTAGGGAGTTGCTGTAGTCCCTGGGAGCTGCATCAGTCCATCAGGAAACACCATAGCCTCTCCAGTTATTGTAGATTACCAGAATTTACATGTTAAGCTCTTGCCCTAGTGCCTGGTGCACAGTTAAGTGTTCAAGTGTCAGCTGGTTCATAGTCAAGAGATTGAAAAGCCCAGGGCTTTCCAGACGGTGATCTGAGTAACATCCTGGGGAGTATCCTCGGGGAAGTGCTGACTCAGCCGGGGTTTCCCGTTGGGTTCCAGGCCCTCCTTTGCTCCCAGCTCCAGGCCTCCCAAAACCCTCTGCTCGCCCCACCTGGCTGTGGTCTCCCTCTGTGGCCCAGCAGGCCAGGATGCCAAGACAGCTTTTGGCCTCAGCCTCTGCTGGGGGCGTGCAGGCTCTGCCACAGAGGAGGCGTACCAGGCGCTGCCCGCGCTCAGCACCTGTTCCCCAGGCTGCGCACTGGCGGTGGGCTGGGGAGCAGCTGGCCGAGCGCCTGCAAACATTCCGTTTATATTTGGGGGATGAGGCATTCTTCATGCATTTGAAGTCCTTGCCTACACACCCATCAGAATCTGAGCTTCTTAAGCCCAAAATACAAATCCTGCGAGTAAATAAGAGCAAACATTTACTCCTGCTCGCAGTGTGCCAGGCTCACTCCATCCTCCCGCGGCCCTCCAAGCTGGAAACCTACTATCTTCGTGTTACAGACTGAGAAGCTGGGAACCGAGGCTCTGAGAGGTCAGAGACCTGCTGGGTCACACAGCTCGTTGTTGAGTAGAAGGTTCAGGATGGAAATGTGGGCCTGATTCCAGAGTTCCTCTGCCCCCTCCCGCCCCTCTTTTGTTGCTTCTGTCTGATTTGCTGGGGTCTACGTTGTGTGTAGTGAAGTCCACCCTCCTCAGGTGCCCTGCTGTACAAAGCATTCCTGGGCTGCCGCCACCATGACAGAGAGTATTCCCATCGCCTGAAAGTTCCCGTGCCCCTCATAGTCACTCCTGGTCCCAGGCAGCCCACTGACCTTTGTCTCTAACTTTTGCCTTTTCCGGAATGTCACCTAAATGGAATCATACAGGATGAAGCCTTTTGCTTCCACCTTCACTTAGCAGGATGCTTCTGAGCTGCATCTGTGTGTTTGAGAGCCCCTGTGGCCCGCTCCTCTTTGTTGGGGGTCCTTGTCCCATCATAGGGATGCACCATCCGTTGTCATCCATTCACCTGTTGGGGCGCTTGGGTTGTTCCACCCGGGGCAGTTTTGAGTCAAGTACGTGGTTCGTGTGGGCGTGTGCTGCTGCTGCTCTCAGGTAAATGCTGAGGAACGGAGGCGCCTCTGTGCTCCACTGGAAAACCCTTCCGGAGGAGCTTCAGCCTGAGCAAGCCCAGGAACGAGGCCCAGCACGCGTTGGAAACCTGTGTGATGGAGAGCTAGGGCGAGAAATACTGAAGCCCACGCAGCTTGAATGACAGGAAACAAAAGTCGATTGGAGACAAACCCTCTATGTTTCATGTTCTAGAAATCTTTGGAATGTATAAAGCAGCTTTTCCCCCTGCGGCTGGAACTACCTGTGTTTTGGAGGCTGCTGGGGTAGGGCGGGGAGGCCTGAGAACCTCCCTCTTCCCCTTCTGTGCTGGCGGGAAACATGGTCCAGCTGTTCTCAGGAAGGCAGACCCTGTAAGGCCAGCGCCTGGAGAGGGGCGCCCCAGAGCCGCAGTGGCCTGGAGGAGGCTGGGTGGGACGCGGGTCGCCATGAGAGGCACCTGCGTGCACGCTACCCTGAGGTGCCATGCCTGGCTCAGCCTGGTTGCCCGGAGCCACTCTGTTCTTTCATCCCACAGCCCCAGGACTTTTCGTTTTCACTTTTTAAAAATTGTGATAAAATACACCTAACATATAATATTTACCATTTTAATCTTTTTTTTGGAGGTGGGGGTACGGAGATGGAGTTTTACTCTCATTGCCCAGGCTGGAGTACAGTGGCACGATCAATCTCGGCCCACTGCAACCTCCGCCTCTGGGTTCAAGCAATTCTCCTGCCTCAGCCTCCCAAGTAGCTGGGATTACAGGCGCCTGCCACCACGCCCAGCTAATTTTTGTATTTTTAGTAGAGACAGGGTTTCACCATGTTGACCAGGCTGGTCTCGAACTCTTGACCTCAGGTGATTCGCCCACCTCGGCCTCCCAAAGTGCTGGGATTGCTGGCATAAGCCGCCGCGCTTAGCCTTTTTTTTTTTTTCTTTTGAGACAGAGTCTTGCTCTGTTGCCCAGGCCGAAATGCAGTGGTGCGATCTCAGCTCACTGCAGCCTCTGCCTCCCAAATTCCAGCAGTTCTCCTGCCTCGGCCTCTTGGGTAGCTGGGATTACAGGCGTGTGGCACCATCCCTGGCTAATTTTTGTATTTTTAGTGGAGATGGGGTTTCACCATGTTGGTCAGGCTGGTCTCGAACTCCTGACCTCAGGTGATCAGCCCGCCTTGGCCTCCCAAAGCACTGGGATTACAGGTGTGAGCCACTGCGCCCGGCCTCATTTTAACCACGTTTTTTGGTCATGGACCCCAGAAAAGTAGATTTTAACTATTTGTAGGTGTGCATTTCACTGGCATTTAGCACATTCTTCATTGTTCAGCCGTCACCACCATCCAGCTCCAGAGCTCTTCACTTCCCAAATGGACACTCTTCCTGTTCAACACCAGCTCCCCTCGTGGCTCCCTGCACCCCGCAGCCCCTGCACTCCCCATTCTATATTCCTTTTCTGTGCACTTGATTACTCCTGGTATCTCCTGTCAGTGGAATCCTACAGTGCCGTATCTGTCCTTTTGTGGCAGGATGTTTTAAAAAAACTTTTAGGTTCAGGAGTACATGTACAGGTTTGTTATACAGGTAAATGGAGTGTGGTGGGGTTTGGTGTATAGATTATTTCATCACCCAGGTAATAAGCGTAGTATCTGATAGGTAGTTTTTCTTTTCTTTTTTTTTTTTTGGAGACAGGGTCTCACTCTGTCACCCAGGCTGGGAGTGCAGTGGCACAATCACAGCTCACTGTAGCCTCCACCTCCCGGGCCCAAACAATCCTCTTACCTCAGTGTCCCAAGTAGCTGGGAATACAGATGCATGCCACCACACCCAAATTTTTTTAAATTTTTGTAGAGGGGGGTCTCGCTATGTTACCCAGGCTGGACTCAAGCAGTCCTCCTGCCTCAGCCTCCCAGAGTGCTGCGATTACAAGCGTGAGCCACCATGCCCAGCCTGCTAGGCAGTTTTTCTGTCCTCACCCATTCCACCCTCAAGTAGGCCCTGGTGTCTGTTGTTCTCTTCTTTGTTGCCATGTGTACTCAATGTTTCACACCCATGGATGAGTGAGAACATGCGGTATTTGGTGTGGAACATGCGGTATTTGGTTTTCTATTCTAGTGTTAGTTTGCTGAGGATAATGGTCTCCAGCTCCATCCATGTTGCTGCAAAGGTCATGATCTTGTTCCTTTTTATGGGTGGATAGTATTCTCTGTGGTATATGTACCATGTTTTCTTTATCCAGTCTACTGTTGATGGGTATTTAGGTGGATTCCATCTTTGCTATCGTGAATAGTGCTGCAATGGACGTATGTGTGCATGTGTCCTTATGGCAGAATGATTTCTCTTCCTTAGGGTTTATGCCCAGTAATGTGATTGCTGAGTCGAATGGTAGTTCTGTTTTAAATTCTTTGAGAAATTGCCAAGCTGCTTTTCACAGTGGCTGAACTGGTTTACATTCCCACCAGCAGCGTATAAATGTTCCCTTTTCTCTGCAACCTCACCAGCATCTGTTATTTTTAGACTTTTTAATAATAGCCATTCTGACTGTTATGAGATGTTGTCTCATTGTGGTTTGATTTGCATTTCTCTAATGATTAGTGATGCTGAGAGTTTTTTCATATGCTCGTTGGCCGCGTGTGTGTCATCTTTGGAAAAGGTCACAGACTTATTTCATCACTTAGCATCATGTCTTCTAGGTCCCAGGATTTTCTGAGCTAGAGCTTCCTGGTGGCTTATGATCCCTTATCAGAGGGGGCTCTGGCTTTTACTCACTAAAACCACTCCCTCTGCAGGTGGGCCTTTCTCTCCAGCCCACCCGCTTGGGCCATGTTTTCTGTGTCCTTTTGCTCGGCATCAGTTCTGTCACTCCCACTGGGGCCTGAGCTAGTCAAGCTAACAGCAAGGCCCCTACCTTGGTGGGTGCCAAAGCCTGAAGTCTTGTTGCCTTGGGCAGTGCCGGGGGTGCTGGCAAGCCCTGTTCTGTACTTGATACCGGCCGTCCAGCTCTGATCTAGAGAGTGGCTCAGTGTTACCGCTGTGCAGTGTAGCCTTTGGCACCTCTTGAAACCCGGCGTCTTTTAGGCTGAGTGAGGTGCCTTTGAGGGCAGCGAGGGCCTGGTGGGCTAAGGAGCGCCGGTGGGCCTGGTGGGGCGTGCAGTTACGTGGTCACTGCCTGCATGGCACAGGCCTGAGTGCTGTGGCCCTTTTTGTCACCTGTGGGTGTGGCTGGCCAGTCACTGTGTTTCCCTCACAGCAAAAGCACATTTTCTGTAATAAACAGGAAATTTTAGTCACCTGCAAAGAAATGGGCTTACCTCTGTTGACTCCAGCTTGAGATGACGGCCAGTAACTGGGTTTCAGAGCAGGTGGGGCAGGGCTTCTGGACCTGGGGCAGGGAGTTTTGGAGTGCTCACTCTTCTTTCTTCCTTCCCCTCCTTTTTCTCTCTTTCCCCAGGGCCCCCCAGCCATCCAGGGGGAGGGGGGAGTGGGGCCTTGCTGGGTGGAGTTTGGGAGGGTGACCTCAGCTCCCCAGGCGCCGTCCTGACTCCCAGGCCAAAGCTAACATGGGCTGAGCACAGCCCATCAGGGCGCCCTCATTCCCAAGAACTCGGTTTTGGCATCACAGCCTCCCCAGCTGTGTGAATTCTAGTTTCAGCTTGTGGCGGGCTGAAGACAAATGATTTGACAAGGGGAGAAGCTGGGCCCCCTTTTTGCTGAGCGAGGAACCTCAGTCCTTGAGTCATCGCCTTTTCAGTACTGACCTGCGTTCCCAGAGCTGGCCATAAAAGGCTGTGGGCTGCGGGCCCCAGGCAGGCGCTGCAGGCTTAGCTAGTGTGGCCTCATCCCCCGGGGGCAGAGGCGGCCTCTCCCTGCCCCTGTTTCCCTCATGTTGCCCTTGGCCTCTCTTTCTGGTTTTCTGCCGAGACTTCACTCTTTGGGCATCCTCTCCTGTGGAGCTCAGAGCCAGCTGCAGGGAGTCCGGGTGCCCGGGGCCTTGTACTTTGGAAGCAGGAGCCTGTGGTGGCATGAGGTGCCCTGGCACGATGCCCTTCCACACCTTCTGGGCACAGGGAACCTGGCAGCTCTGCTGTCTCCGACCATCCACCTGAGCCTCTGGAAGGCTGATCGGGCCTCCCCGTCCAGGCTGGAGGCCAGGACCCCGGCTCCCCTGCACTGCTACCCTGTTAAGAAGCTTGGCCCTCGGGGCTGCTTCTGGTCAGAGTGCCCTATTTCCTGTTGAGCTGGGGCAGGGAACGGCCGCACATCACCTGTGGAGAGGCTGCCGAGGCTGTGTGGCTGAAGCTGTGGATTTGGGATTTTCCTTACATTTTGGTGACTTTGCTCAAGGATGAAAGTCCTTGACCGGTGATGGGTCCAGGCCGCTGGCCCCTTGTTCCCACAGAGCCCTGGCTTCCCCTGCCCCAGCCTGCCAAGGAGGCTGTCCCTGTCGGGTCCTGGGCTGGAGGCCCAGTGCTCCCACACGCCCTCCTCCCTGCAGCCCGGCTGAGGAATTGGTATTTAAATTTCACAGATGGAGAAAGTAACTGAGAAGTTAGGAAAAGAACTTCAGGTCACAGAGTCAGTGGCAGGGGGCGGGAGTGGAGTGCAGAGCCATCTTAGTTAGTGGCCCGAGTTCCTTCTGGGAGCGCCAGGTGTGGGGAGGGGCTCCGCGCCCCTGTGGCTTTGGGCTCACAGATGGCGCCAAGCACGCTTGGGCCTGGGGCCGGGGCAGGCGGCAGGAGTGTTTATCCCATGAGCGAGCTTGACTCCGCACACCCTGTGGTGCCATTTATCTTGGCGTGCTTGTGCGTAGAGGCAGCCTCTCAGGAGCCTGGGCTGTGGACCTGCCTTTGTCCTGGAGGGCTTTGCAGGGTGGGAGCAGCGGATGCCACCAAGGGGGAACCCGTGTAGTGGAGGAGTCAGCAGCAGCTCCCACTGGGGGACGGCAGGGCTGCCCTCCCATCACCGTGGGCGACCCTGTCCAGCTGCTGCTTTTCCTTAACGCTTTGTCCTTGGACCTCCCACCTCGCTGCTGTTTTTCTGCCCCCTCAGTCTAGAGAGCGCCCATCTCCATCCCCAGCTTGGCAAGAGGGTGGTGTTTTTCATGGAGATGCCAGGAGCAGGTGGTGGGCTGAGGACTCGTTTGGGCCCAAGCTGTGCGACTCTCAGACTGTTGTGTGCAGGAGTGGCTTCTCCTGCTCTTTTCCGGAGCCTGACTGCTCTCTGGGAAGTACTTGGTGCTTCTGAAGAGGGCCGGCCTACATTTGGGTGGCCTGGGACCTGTGGGAAGACTGAGCCAGGGACGTGGAGGCTTGCCCAGAATCAGGCAGAGAGGATGTGGCCCCTCGGGGGTGGGGCCCAAGCTCCCCAAGGATTCTAGGCCTTTGTTTCCACATGGCCCGCCTGTCACTCCTTACTCTTCCTAGACCGGGAGGGACAGAAGTTTTACTCTAGGGGCAGAGGAAGAGGTGAGGATTTCTTTTGTTTTGTTTTTGAGACAGGGTGTCGCTCTGTCGCCCAGGCTGGAATGCAGTGGCATGATCACGGCTCACTGCAGCCTCAACCTCCTGGGCTCAGGTTATCCTCCTGCCTTAGTCTCCCAAGTAGCTGGGACTACAGGCCTGCACCACCTTTGTAGAGTCGGGATTTTGCTATGTTGCCCAGGCTGAAGTGGAAATATTTAGAAGAGGCCTAGTTGTCATATAGGATTCAAAACTGCTGTTGAAGAGGCCTAGTTGTCATATAGGATTCAAAACCGCTGTTACAGAGACCCAAAAATCATTGGCTTAAGTCAGATAGCCAATAGTTTATGTGAAAAACAACAGTCTAAGGCCATTCTGAACATGCAGCTTTCATCTCTGAACCCGAGGTGCTTCCTCCAGCTCCTCCCATCACATCAGCATCCCCGTCCTCAGGAGGGAGAAAACAACAGAGGGCTCATGCACCTTTTCTTGTTCATTCTGCTGAAGGAGGCTGGGAAATGCAATCTGAAGCTGGGAGGCCATGAATCCAGCTGAAACTGGATAGTTATATCTGGTTCCTTCCTTTAGGAGGAATTTCAATTAGCAGTCTCTGCCACAGGCGACAGAATTCACTTTAATTGGTGGGCCTTAATTGGGTCATAATGGGTTGGTGGGAAGCAATATAGAATAGAGTTTAGAATCCAGGCGCGGTGGCTCAGGCCTGTCACCCCAGCACTTTGGGAGGCCAAGGCGGGAGAATCTCTGAGCCCAGCAGTTCAGCATAGACAACATAGTGAGACCCCCATCTCTACAAAATAAAAATTTAAAAATTAGCCAGACATGGTGGCACACGCCTGTAGTCCCAGCTACTCAGGAGTCTAAGGTGGGGGGGATGGCTTGAGCCCAGGAGTTCAAGGTTGCAGTGAGCGAAGATTGTGCCACTGCACTCCAGCCTGGGTGACAGAGCAAAACCCTGTCTCTAAAAAAATGAATATAAAATTTTTTTAAAAAGAATATGGAGCTTAAAGCTGGAGTCTGTCCAGTCCAACCACTTTGTTTTGGAGAAGTGTTTAAGACCCAGGAAGGGGAAGTGGTTCGTAGCACTTCCTGGGCTTCTTGTAGAGCAGAGGTCAGCAAACTTTTTCTGTAAGGGTGGGATAGTTAATACTTCCAGCTTTGCAGACCTTATAGTTTCTGTCACAACGACTGAACTCTGCTGTGTTAGACAAAAGAAGCCATGGATAATACAAATGAGCATGGCTGTGTTTCAATAAAACTTTATTTATACAAACAGGTGGTGGGCCAGGTTTGATCCCTGAGCTGTAGTTTGCCAACCCTTGTTGCAGAAAATAAGTGAGATTCCTGCAAAATGGGGAGCCTGGCACATCAGCACTGAAAAAGTAGCAGCTGCAGTTACTTTTGCAGGCGCCTCTTGTCACTACCGTCCCAGGGCATACAGCAGGCAGGTGGCAACACTGGAGTCTATGTTCTACCCTCTGTGCTGTGCTGAGCACAGTGCTGGGTCTCCTCCTCACTCTCGCCCTCCTCTGACCCACCTTAGAGCTTGCACTGTGGGACGACCTTTGCATTAGCACCTGTTTATGCCAAGTGCTACATGGGTTGGGGAGTGTTATGGTGGGGGCAGGAATAGGGGAGATAATCCTGCCCTCAGGGTGCTGTGCTGTCTAGATGAACACCTAGGAATTTTTTTTTTTTTTTTGAGACGGAGTCTCGCTGTGTCACGCAGGCTGGACTGCAGTGGCACAATCTCGGCTCACTGCAACCTCTGCCTCCTGGTTTCAAGCAGTTCTCCTGCATCAGCCTCCTGAGTAGCTAGGACTACAGGCATGTGCCACCACACCCGGCTATTTTTTTTTTTTTTTTTTGAGATGGAGTCTCACACTGTTGCCCAGGCTGGAGTGCAGTGGCGCAATCTCAGCTCACTGCAACCTCTGCCGCCCAGGTTCAAGCAATTCTCCTGCCTCAGCCTCTCGAGTAACTGGGATTACAGGTGCCCACCACCATGCCGGGCTAATTTTTGTATTTTCAGTAGAGACAGGGCTTCACTATGTTGGCCAGGCTGGTCTTGAACTCCTGACCTTGTGATCCACCCACCTCAGCCTCCCAAAGTGTCGGGATTACAGGTGTGAGCCACTGTGCCTGGCCTTTTCTTTTTTTTTTTTTTTTCGCGACAGTTTTGCTCTTCTTACCCAGGCTAGAGTGCGGTGGCATGGGCTTGGCTCACCACAACCTCCACCTGCTGGGTTCAAGCGATTCTCCTGCTTCAGCCTCCTGAGTGCTCGCGCCACCCTGCCCGGCTAATTTGTGTATTTTTAGTGGAGACAGGGTTTCACTATGTTGGCCAGGCTGGCCTCAAACTCATGACCTCGTGATCCTCCCACCTTGGCCTCCCAAAGTGTTGGGATTACAGGCGTGAGCCACCACGCCCGGCCTATAGGAATTTTAAAAACTATCTCAGGCTGAGAAATACCAGGCCAGGTTGGAGATGAGAGCCATCAGAGCAGCAGGTCCCTTGGCGCCCCTGAGCTCTCCCTTCTCTTCCCCCCAGGCTATGACTTTGCAGCCGTCCTGGAGTGGTTCGCGGAGCGTGTGGACCGCATCATCCTGCTCTTCGACGCCCACAAGCTGGACATCTCCGATGAGTTCTCGGAAGTGATCAAGGCTCTGAAGAACCATGAGGACAAGATCCGCGTGGTGCTGAACAAGGCAGACCAGATCGAGACGCAGCAGCTGATGCGGGTGTACGGGGCCCTCATGTGGTCCCTGGGCAAGATCATCAACACCCCCGAGGTGGTCAGGGTCTACATCGGCTCCTTCTGGTCCCACCCGCTCCTCATCCCCGACAACCGCAAGCTCTTTGAGGCCGAGGAGCAGGACCTCTTCAAGGACATCCAGTCACTGCCCCGAAACGCCGCCCTCAGGAAGCTCAATGACCTGATCAAGCGGGCACGGCTGGCCAAGGTAGACCCTGGGGTGAGGGGAGCAGCCTATTGCCAGGCAGGGCCATGGGGCTCTGAGACTGGCACTCAGGGCCCCAGGATTGCCCGAGACCCTTCCCAGCTCACTTCACAGGCAGACCTGCACTGCGCTGTTTCCCTCTATAGAAACCAGTCTTTGGTCAGCACCCGCGTGCAGCCTGCTCTTAACTAAGATTCTCTACCCGGCCTCCCTCTAAACCTGTTCTGTTTGTGGTTTATACCCCATCTACTTTCAGGAAGGGTTTGACTGTGCTTACAACACAGAAACAGCACACAGGAAGTTACCGCTGAAGCAAAGGAGGCAGCCTCAGAAATGGAGTGTTGGGGGATAGAGCTCTAAGGCTTGTTGGCTTCCCTCTAGGGTTTTTTGTTTTTGTTTTTGTTTTTGAAGCGGAGACTCGCTCTGTTGCCCAAGCTGGAGTGCAGTGGCATGATCTCGGCTCATAGCAACCTCCACCTCCCAGGTTCAAATGATTCTCCTACCTCAGCCTCCCGAGTAGCTGGGATCACAGGCACGCACCACTATGCCCAGCTGATTTTTGTATTTTTATTAGAGACAGGGTTTCACCATGTTGGCCAGGCTGGTCTCAAACTCCTGATCTCAGGTGATCTGCCCACCTCAGCCTCCCAGAGTGCTGGGATTACCCCTCTGGGGTTTACTGAGCCTGAAGTGCACTCAGCACAGTGCTGGATGCCGGGTACTGGCGGGGAGTGACACACAGCCCCTGTCCACTCCTCAGCCTTCATGGGGAAAGCAGAGCACGCAAACAAAAAATAAACATCAGTTATTTGTGTCGTCTCGGAGCGAGCACAGGCTGCTGCGGGAGCTGGCGCTAGGGGCTGTCCCAGTGGAGTAGAAGGGCTGGGGGGGCCTGGCAGGAGCTGAAGCTTAAGCTGTGACAGGAAGCAGCTCGTGAGGAGACAGGGTGCCAGCCTGCAGCCCGGGGAGCACTGTGCATGGAAGCCAAGGTCACGCTGAGGCAGTGTCAGTTCAGCAGGCCTTGCAGACCATCCTTAGGTCTCCTGGCAGCCCAGGCCTGGTGGCACCTATCAGCAGCCTCTGAATGGCCAAAGGGTTTGGAATCTCAGTGGCTGACCAAGTACTTGAGTGAGAGCCGGTGTGGGTGGGGCCAGGAAACAAAGGTTAATGCCACCAGCGGGCCCTTCCAACACAGAATGACAGAACACATGCCCTTGGCGTGTCTGACTTTGGATAGCACCCTATCGTGAGCCAGCCTAGACGAGTCACCATGAGTGACAGTCCCGGCTGTGGTTGGGGTTGACCCCGTGGACAGGAGTGTTTGACACAGATTGTCTGAACAGCTGAGAAGTGACCAAGCCCACATTTGTATCAGCAGGGCACCTAGCTATTCTTTCAGGCTCTTAGCACAGGGCTCGGTTGTTTCAGAAATAGGCTCCAGCCAGGCATGGTGGCTCATCCTGTAATTCCAGCACTTTGGGAGGCCAAGGTGGGTGGGCGCATCACCTGAGGTCAGGAGTTCGAGACCAGCCTGGCCAACATGGCAAAACCCCATCTCTACTAAAAAAAATACAAAAATTAGCCGGGCGTGGTGGTGCGTGCCTGTAATCCCAGCTACTTGGGAGGCTGAGACAGGAGAATCACTTGAACCCAGGAGGGAGAGGTTGCAGTGAGCTGAGATCACACCACTGCACTCCATCCCAGGTGGCAGAGCAAGACTCTGTCTCAAAAAAAAAGAAAAGAAATAGGCTCTGGCCAGGCATGGTGGCTCACGCCTGTAATCCCAGCACTTTGGGAGGCCAAAGCAGGAGGATCCCTTAAGGCCAGGAGTTAGAGACCAGCCTGAGCAACCTAGTGAGACCCTGTCTCTATTTAATTTAAAAAAAAAAAAAAAAAAAAAGGCCCTTGCCGTAGCTCCTATCTCCAGGCCAGCCAGGCCGGAGCGTGGCTGGGGAACTGTCCTGCCTGCCAAGCCAGGCCCTTTGGTGATACGTCCCCAGTTCTTCAACAGAGCAGGGTGCTTGCCCCCACCTCATGGCATGCAGGGGGTACCAGGGTAGACATCATGTGGGCATGAAGGCTTCAGTGACAGATGTGCCTGTGGCCAGGGTCACAGTCCCCTGATCTCCAGAATATAACTGAGGACTGAGGATGGGCACTTCCTGGGGAGCCCATGTCCCTGCCTGCTCAGAGGCATGGAGACTGCAGGCGTTGAGCACAGTGGCCCTCGTACCCACTCTGTCTGGAGGCCAGTCAGAGGGCATGTGGGTGCTACCTGGTCTGAGCAGTGAGAACTGACCCTTCATCCTTTGCCACCACTGTCCTCCCATTGTGCCCCAAGTACCCTGGGCCCCACCTCACCCTGTAGATGAGGAATTCTCATTCTGGCCTGAACCTCCGTGAGCTGTGTGCACGGGCGTGGGTCAGATGCCGGCTCTGGAGGACAGAGGGCTGCGTGTTTTTCTTATTTTTAATTTTATTATTTTATTTTTTGATTTTTTTGGAGATGGAGTTTCACTCTGTTACCTAGGCTGGAGTGCAGTGGCGCAATCTCGGCTCACTGCAACCTCCGCTTCCCAGGCTCAAGCCATTCTCCTGCCTCAGCCTCCTGAGTAGCTGGGATTGCAGGCGCCCGTCACCACACCCAGCTAATTTTTATATTTTAGTAGAGACGGGGTTTCACCATGTTGATCAGGCTGGTCTCGAACTCCTGACTTTAGGTGATCCGCCTGCCTCGGCCTCCCAAAATGCTGGGATTACAGGCGTGAGCCACCGCGCCCGGCTGGCTGGATGTTTTTCTAGATCTCTCCCTTCTGGAGCCTCCCTGTGAGTGGAGCCAGCTTTGAGAGAGGAACCCATACAAAAACCCAGGTGACTGACCCTGGCCTCAAAGGACAAAGGACGTCCTGAGCTGAGGGGTGTGGGTGTGGCCCTAGCTGAGTTTCTCTCCTTGCAGGGCAGAGAGAGCTCCCTTGCTCAGCCACCTTTGAGGACAGACAGGACAAGGGGCAGGCATGAGCCCCTGCCTGGTCGTCTGTGAGACCATGTGTGACTGCCAGGCCCCAGGCACACTGAGTCACCGCGCCTGGAAAACCCTGTGGCCTCCAGTGTTGCCTCACACCTGCCACTTCCTTTTCCTGGAGTGAGTGGTGCTCTCTGTGATGACTCCCACCGGCCTGGGATCTGCCTGCCACAGTGTCCCTGGGGAGACTCTAGATCCAGACCCACATGGCACGGGGCTGCCTCCCTCAGGCAGTTCTCAGCCAGGCCCCCACCCAGGGCACAGGCTCAGGCTGAGCGGGGTGGTGGATGGGCTGGAGCCGGGGAGAAGGGCAGCAAGGCTGGCTGGCCGCAGCCCTCTGTGGCTGGACACGACTTGGCAAGGCCGAGGGATCTGAGGGCTGGGCTACTCTCGAGGGCTGCCAGGTTCCCAGCTTGCTGCAGGGAAATGAAGGGGGTGCCGCCCTGAACAGGCACATGCCTAAGCAAGGTATTGATGCTTGGATAAAGCTGGCAACCACCAGGAGAAGCCTTTTTGGGATTTTTCAAATCCTTCGTCATCCGAGCTGTGATGATGGAGTGGAGCGTGGCACGGGCCCATTGGAGTTCTGTGGGCTCCATCGGCACTCAGCAGGGATTTGGACGTGCAGGCTGGTGGGCCCTGCAGGAAGCCTGCTCCCTGCTCTGCTGCGTGGGAGGGGGCAGCTCGGGGGAAGGGGGCTTGCAGAGAAACAGAAGAACATGGGCTGTGGGGCACCTTCAGCAGCCCGGGGTTCCAATCCCAGCTCCTCCATGTGGGAGCCAAGCACCCCAGGCAGCCTTTCCCAGCCTTGCTTAGGGCCGGGTTGGGAGAATCCCACCCCGCAGGGCTGTGGTGAGGGTTGAACGGAGGGTGTGTGGTGAGGGTTGAGCGGAGGGTGTGTGATGCGTGGTGAGGGTTGAGCGGAGGGTGTGTGATGCGTGGTGAGGGTTGAGCGGAGGGTGTGTGATGCGTGGTGAGGGTTGAGCGGAGGGTGTGTGATGCGTGGTGAGGGTTGAGCGGAGGGTGTGTGATGCGTGGTGAGGGTTGAACAGAGGGTGTGTGATGTGCCCAGTGGTACACGACAAATTGCCTTCTTTGGGTTGACAGACTGGGTTTTACTCTTCCTGAATCATCACAATGATCCGTGCAAGGCCAAGGCTGTTGTCTTCTGTTTCAAGTGCGTTTTCCTGTCCTGTCCTCTGTCCTGTGGCAGTGGACAGCTGTGGCTCTTGCCAGATTGTGTCTGCTCCTAGGACTGTGGGAGCCGGTGGTGGTAGCGGCCTTGAGCTTGACCCATCCCTCCTGCTTCCCTGTTCCTGAGCGAGCACCTTGGAGTATCCTTGGAGTGTCCTTGGAGGCTCTGCTCTCGGGGGCAGCCTGGGCCAAGAGAGCGCCTGATGCTCACCCCGTCCTCACAGGTTCACGCCTACATCATCAGCTCCCTCAAGAAAGAGATGCCCAATGTCTTTGGTAAAGAGAGCAAAAAGAAAGAGCTGGTGAACAACCTCGGAGAGATCTACCAGAAGATTGAGCGCGAGCACCAGATCTCCCCTGGGGACTTCCCGAGCCTCCGCAAGATGCAGGTACGGCTGTCCCGAGGCCCCATGCAGGCTGGTGGCCATCAGGGCAGAAGGAAGGCCCAGGGCACTGGATTTGGAGGGAATCCCATCTCCATGGGGAAGGGCCTCCCTGAACGGAAGCAGCTGGGTTAATCACCAGCACCCCACCCAACTCAGAGTTGACCCAGGCGGTGACACTGCAGAGGGGAATGTGGTGACTCACCCTGCGTGGTGGGGGGAGGGCAGGGCCATGCCAGGCGCTCTGGTGCCCTGTCCATGAATCCTTGCCGCAGCCCTGCAAGGAAAGAGCTGGAGGTGCCTCCTGTGTACAGGTTAGAGAGCCAAGGGCCAGATGGTTTTGCCGAGTCGCCCCTGCTAGTGTGGGGGAGCAGCACTTTATGCTTGTGAAGCCCTGACTGGAACCACTTGGCCTGGAGTCTGGGAGGGGCCTCCCTTCCCAGCCCTTGTCCTTCCTCCCCCGCCCACAGGAACTCCTGCAGACCCAGGACTTCAGCAAGTTCCAGGCGCTGAAGCCCAAGCTGCTGGACACGGTGGATGACATGCTGGCCAACGACATCGCGCGGCTGATGGTGATGGTGCGGCAGGAGGAGTCCCTGATGCCTTCCCAGGTGGTCAAGGGCGGCGCCTTTGACGGCACCATGAACGGGCCGTTCGGGCACGGCTACGGCGAGGGGGCCGGCGAGGGCATCGACGACGTGGAGTGGGTGGTGGGCAAGGACAAGCCCACCTACGACGAGATCTTCTACACGCTGTCCCCTGTCAACGGCAAGATCACGGGCGCCAACGCCAAGAAGGAGATGGTGAAGTCCAAGCTCCCCAACACCGTGCTAGGGAAGATCTGGAAGCTGGCCGACGTGGACAAGGACGGGCTGCTGGACGACGAGGAGTTCGCGCTGGCCAACCACCTCATCAAGGTCAAGCTGGAGGGCCACGAGCTGCCCGCCGACCTGCCCCCGCACCTGGTGCCGCCCTCCAAGCGCAGACATGAGTGATGGCGCCCGGCCCCGCACCTGCCATTTGCACGCCCGGCCGGGAGGCAGAGACGGGGGGAGGGGAAGCCTCACCATTTCTCAAGGTCCATAAAGACTGAGCGGATGTTTCCTCGCCTCTCGAAAAGGAAAACCACCATCTTTCTTTTAAGGCTGTTCCTGGGCCTGGCGGGGGAGGCAGGGGTGAGAGGATGGAATTGTGTGCACAAGAACTGTGGCTATTTTAATATATAACGTTAGAGGCTGCGTTCTTTGTCGCCGCCTCCCCTGTGTGCCAGCCCTGTGTGCACGGCCTCTGCCCCCCGGCCTTTGCTGTGGCTGGAGCTGGACAGTGCAGCGACTGCGACCGTGGGGGAGCCAGGTCGCCCTTTTGGCAGCTGCTAGGCTGAGGCTGCATGGACAGGAACACCAGGCACCCTCCGTGTGCTTCTGAGCTGAGGTTGCTTCACGGGACCGTGGCTTCCTTCCTCACCTGGCTCTGCCTCCCCCGTGCTCTCGGGCGAAGTGGGTTCTTGTGCCTTCCCCTCCCGGGCCCAGGCTCCCCGTGCGCGGGCCCTGCCCTTTCCTCCCGCGCCCCACCGGCTCCGACGCGCAACCCCGCTCAGCAGTCACAGAAGCAGGGCCCAGCCACCTTGGTCTTTTTTTGGGAGTTCAGGGGAGTAGGAGAATGTCTTCCAGAAAAATACATAAGCTAGTTTCTGTTCTGTAAAGTGATATCTTTCATACTTGACCAAAGTTCCCAATAACTTCCCAACCACTGTTCAAAAGCTGTGATTTTTGTCTCCCCTTCCCACCCTCCAGCCAAGGAGCAGCCCTGCCCAGGGGGCATTAGGTGTGGGTACCCGGGGAGCACCCCGTTCCTGGACCCCAGTGTTGCATTTCCTGGCTGAGGAAGGGTGGTCATCCCAGCTCCTGCCCTACCCTCTCACTTAACTGGAGCTTTGGGACGCACCCTCCACAGTGGGAGGTGGTGGTGGGTGGCGGTGGCGGGGCCTCACGACAGCTTGGTGCTGGTAAGAGGAAGCCCGTGGTTCTGGCTAGGCTCTCATGTCCAGACAGCGGGGACCAGGGGAAAACCCAGCCCCTTCTGTAATCCCCCTTCATTTCCTACCTTCCTTCCTCCTCTGTTTAGCAAAGGAGGGCAGCTCACTTGGATGTCCTTACAACGCCCCTGGCCCCCAGGTTGAGCAATAAGAAACCAGAACCTTGCGGCCCAGTGGCCCGGGCCAGTTCAGGCCGCCTCCCCCTCCTCTGCCTGGGGCCATTGAGCCCAGCCTCCAGGGCCCGGGCGCGTTTGCAGGCCAGTGGCCACTGTCCGGGCTGTGATGGCACCAAGGCAGGTGGAGCACCAGGTACCACACAGCTGGGCTTCCCACCAGGCTTTCCCGCGGGGGTCTCAGGGAGCTTCTCCCCAGCGCTGCTCGGAGTCTGCAGGAACTGGCCTTGTTCTCCTTAGCCCGTCACTCCATACAGTATTAGGTGAGGATGGATGCGGGCGCTGTCCTTGCCGGGAAGTCACTGTTGAAGTTGCAGTGGCTTGTTCACACCTGTGGGAAGAGAAGTGAAGACTTTCTCCTTGCATTAAAAAGTCTGAACTGTGCGAAAGCTTCGGGTGCTTCCTTGTCTTTTCCAGGGGCAGCAGTCCTGGGCCATCCTCCCCTGGTGTCTGAGGGGGTGATGCCAGCAGGGACAGAGTGGCAAGGCAGCCGGGGCAAGGTGACCAACCCTGCCCAGTCCTGCTCTGCTGGGCAGTAGCTGCCCCCTCCTACTAAGAGGGCCAGGCCTGTAGGGAAAAGGGTTTCTGGGGTGATGCCCCCTTCCCTGAGCAAGGTGGGAGCTGAGCAGTTCACTTGGGGTGGGGAGGGGGGAAACAGTTGGGAGGATGTTGATAGCTGAGGCCTAGGCTGGCACCCCTCAGCCACAGACGGATGAGTGGGCACCTGCAGGCCCTCGGCACTGGGTGGCATCAAGTAAACAAGGGTTTCTGGGCTTTGGAGCCAGACTGGCTCCTTGCTAGCCCCAAGGACGGTTTAAGTACAGGGAAGCCGGGCCTCTGAAGACAAAGCAGATAGCCTGTGACAAACATGCAACTAAGGGTGGGGCCAGTCAGGCCCAGGTGATGTCACAGATGGGGGACTGTTTATACCAGCAGAGGGAAGGGTGACTGATTAGTGACCCTTCATAAAAGGGTGCAGACTTGAGGTGCCATGGGTAGAGGCTGCTCCAGCCCCTCTGGCAGAAGGCAGGACAGAAACAAGTTCCTGAGGGTTTCAGGGACCCAGTTGTGTGCTCCGAGCCTAGCTGGTGTGGTGGTGTCTGGTCCTATGACCAGCACTTGAGGTGCCAGTGGATGCTTCAGTTGCTGCAGGGCTGGCCGGCCCTCCCTGCGTCACTCAGCTGCCACCTGTGGGCATTCACCCTGTGCCAGGTGGAGCTGCGCTGTCACGATCTGAGGAAGTTCATGTTCCCCCATTTCACAGAGGGAGAGTCCGAGACTGAGGACTGCCGAAATAACAAAGGTGGTAGAAGCAGATGCAAACCAGGCCGTCCAACTCCAGCGTGCTTTCCATCAGGTTACTAATCCAAAGCACACACTAAGAGGAAAAAACGGTAGATCCCCCCAACCCCACCCTTAGACTGCAGCTGTACTCAGGGCTGAGAGACCCACATTAAAGGTTAAATGCTGTCACTCCAGCCTGGGGTCCTGAAAGCTTGGGGCAGGGGTCACCCAAGGGAGGTGGAGCATTTTTGTTCAAGCTGTGAGCACATTAGAGAAGGCACAGAACTTAGCAGTGCCCCTGAACTAGGAGGAAGGGAAGTGCTGCCTGGCCGCCCGCTCTCCTTCCCGGAGCACTCCACCTGCAGGGCTCTGTGTGGCCACAGAGGGGCTGTGAACCCCCTGGGGCTGCCCCAGGAAGCGCCTGCTGATCTGAGGCTTGAAAGGGGCTGAGGGCAGGTGTCTGCCCCAGAGTTCATAGCCCTGGTTTCGGTTCTACAGGTTGGGGATCATCTTTGGGCTCCGACCGGGGTTCAGGGAGGACCAGAGGATGTGGTCAGAGATGTGGCCGCCCACCTAGAGGGCTAGTCCCAGCCCTCGCCTCCTCCCTAGATCCATAGCTGGCCATGACCCTGGGGAAGAAGCCTCCTCTTCAGAGGCTGGCCTGGGGCAAAGGAGGGGCATTGCCACCCAGCTACCAGAGCCCGTGGACTGAGGCCTTCAGGGCAATCTGTCGCCCACGCAGCACCTCACAGCCCAGGACCCAAGAGGCAAAGGGCCCGCCCACTGCCTCTGGCCATGCACAGCTGTTTTCTATGTTGCAGTTCCTTGTAAGATCTCATTCAGAATAAACATTTCTGGCTGGGTTTGGTTCACACCTATAATCCCAGCACTTTGGGAGACCAAGGTTGGGGGTGAGGTGGGGTCGTGTGAGGCCGGGAGTTCAAGACCAGCCTGGGCAACATAGTGAGACCCGCCCCCCCCCCCGCCCCCACACCATCTCTACCAAAACAAAAATTAGCCAAGAGTGGTGATGGGTGTCTGTGGGTAGTCCCAGCTACTTGAGAGGCTGAGGTGGAAGGTTCACTTGAGCCTGGGAGTTTGAGGCTGCAGTGAGCTATGATGGCATCACTGTACTCCAGCCTGGGCAACACAGTGAGACACTGTCTCTATTTAAAAAAAATTTTTTTTAAATAAACATTTCTTCTCCTTAGAAAAGAAGTTAACCACAAATCCAGTCAGTGCCCTGTTCTTATCTCAAATGGGTGTTCTAGAAGAATAGACCAGTAAAAAATAAATAATGGCCGGGTACGGTGGCTCACATCTGTAATCTCAGCAATTTGAGAGGCCGAGGAGAGTGGATCACATAAGGTCAGGAGTTTGAGACCAGCCTGGCCAATACGGTGAAACCCTGTCTCTACTAAAAATACAAAAATTAGCCAGATGTGCTGGCTCTCGCCTATAATGCCAGCTACTTGGGAGGCCAAGGCACAAGAATCGCTTGAACCCAGGAGGCAGAGTTTGCAGTGAGCCAAGATCGCACCATCGCACTGCAGCCTGGGCGTCAGAGCAAGACTACGTCTCAAAAATAAATACATAAAATAAATCAAATGGGCTAGTCATAGGACTTGCCCGGCCACGGCCAGCAAGGTGGTGAGAGTTGGGAGGTGAGAACATCCGGCCACCACTCCTGTGTTAAAAGCGCACCAGGTCTGGCAGCACGTGGAGGGCAGCCTTGGGGAGACCGCCCTGAGTTCAACTCCCAGCTCTGCCACTCTAGCCAGATCTCTTCCCCCACTGAGGCCATTTCCTCAAGCCTTAATTCAGGAACAGATGTGGCCCACAGAGGCAGAGCCCGAGGACACCCACCTTGAGCGGCCTTTGCCAAGCACCCCAAGGAGGTTAGTCGGGTGGGGTGCAGGGAGCAGGGCACCTCACCCAATACCCAGAACAAAACAGGCCAGCCCCTCCCTTCCCTGAAGCAGCTCCCAGACTCAGTGGCGCCTGTAGGCTAGTGAGGTGGTGGCCAAGTGGGCTCGGGCCTGGCTTCCTGTGCACCCAGAGGGACTGATAATTGTAAAACCACATGGGGCTGCAGCCGCTGCAGAGCGTGGGAGCCCCTATGGCTTGTTGGAACACTGCAGGGAAGGTTTTTGGAAGAAAAACCAGGATGATGAAACCACCATATGTCCACCCATTTGGAGCTTTGGACTTTTCATAGGACACGCCCCTGGTGCTGGGCAGATGGGGTTGGGGAGGGGGCTGCCAGGACTAGCTGGGGGACTGGGGGGTCCACACCCCTAGCATTTGCATCAGCTCCTTCCCAAAGCCATCCCAACAGACGCACCTTCAAATAAGAGCCAGGCATCTGAGGCTCAAGGGTGGGCTTAGGGAGCTCCCCGGCTCCAATCACATTGCCGCCCGTGCTCCTTCAGAGAAAGGTTGGGACGGCCATTGGTGGCCATACTGGGAAGCTCATTTGTCTCTCACACCTGAACAGGTGCAGTTCTCCATTATACACAAAAAGACAGCGTCCAGAGAGTGAGGAAGAGATCTACCCAAGGCCCCACGCCTGGTCAGCAGCGGGCAGGGCTGCAGGACCCAAGGCCAGCCTCTCATGTCCTGACCTCCTGGGTAGGAGCGGGCCACTATGCCATGTGCACGTTTCCAGAGTGGCTAAGGGCAGGGGGCGGCCGCCATTCCTGCCAGCCCTGAAGAACCATCTGGTGGGAGCTGCTTCCCGAGGCCACGGCTGGAGACTCTCATCCTAGGCCTTCCCCTGAAGGCTGATTCTCAGGACTTTGAGGAAGGGGGCGCTCCAACCCTGGGCTCAGCAGCCCTCCAATGTGGCCAGGATGCCACAGACCTGGGCAACCTGCCTTGTGTCTGGGCTCCCAGCCACAGAGGGCTATGCCCTTGGGGGCAGACACAGGGTTCCCTGCCACTTCCTCATGCTGGGTTCTCAGGTCCTCTCCCTGCCCCAACACACCTGCCCTCTGCAGGGCGAGTCTGCACTCAAGGAAGGAGCTCAAGGCTGGCACCACCTCCCTCCCCAGCTTCCATGCATTAGTCTATAAAGGAGGGTAATAACTCTCTCCTAGTGTGGCCCTTGTGAAGATAATAGATCTAAAGTCACTTTAAGTTACCAAGAGGCCCCTTACACTTGCAAGCTGTTATCAGCATGAGTGCTCCCCACAGAGCTGGGTGAGAGAGCTAGTGATGTCCCTCAGTACCAAGGGGCTTGCGGGATGAGTGAGAGGCTGCGGGGGGTAGCTGAGCCCTCCTGCACCTGGGGAGTAGTCGACCATGGAGGAGGCATTTGAATGAAGGTACCCTGGTGAGAAGGAAAGGAAAGAGGGTGGCCTGACTGCCTGGACAGGGTGTGACTGAGGCTCTCGGGGGTGTCTCCTGTCAAGACTCACCCATCCCTGTGAGCTGGGCCTTGGGCTGTGCCATGCTCAGGGCTCTGTGGGGAGCGTGTCAAGGCTGCTGTGGCCCTAGTGGTCTGGCCCCACAGGATCAGAAAACAGATCTGCTGAGCCAACATGGTGCCATGCCCTGGAGCTGCTTCGGGCAGTCAGGGCTGGAGGCCTGGCTGCTTGCTAAGGCTGGAATAAGCTCAGAAAGAGACTGAGCCTTTACAGACTTCCTTCCATTGGAGCTGCAAAGGAATGAGCAGGGGGCCCAACCCTCCCCCTTTATTTTTATTTATTTATTTATTTTGGAGACATGGTCTCATTCTGTCACCTAGGCTGGAGTGCAGTGGCACAATCTCAGCTCACTGCAAGCTCTGCCTCCCAGGTTCAAGTGATTCTCCTTTCTCAGCCTCCCGAGTAGCTGGGACTGCAGGTGTGTGTCACCATTCCAGGCTAATTTTTGTATTTTTAGTAGAGACAGGGTTTTGCCATGTTGACCAGGCTGGTCTTGAATTCCTGGGCTCAAGTGATCCGCCCACCTTGGCCTCCCGAGTAGCTGGAACTACAGGCTCTCACCACCACACTCAGCTAATTTTTAAGTTCGTTTGTAGAGATGAGGTCTCACTATGTCACCCAGGCTGATCTTGAACTTCTGGGCTCAAGTGATCCTCCCACCTCGGCCTCCCAAAATGCTGGGCTTACAGGCATGAGCCACCATGCCCGGACCCAACCCCCTTTTACAGACAAGGAAATTGAGGCTTACAAGACAGATGTGACAAAAACTAATAAAGGACCAGAAAGAATCACGTGTGAGAGGCGGGAGGTGCCGAATGCCAGTCCCAGCCCTGCCCCGTGCAGCCCTGGCCTCAGCCCTGGGACTCAGTGTCCACTCAGCTATACTGTGTGGGGATGGACAGATGGCTGGGGATGAACCTTTCTGAGAACTTACCAGAGAGGTTAAGGGACTTGCCTGAGGTCACACAGGGAGTGAGGCAGGGCCCAGAGGCCTCACCAGGGGTGTCCACGAGGGGCAGCGGAGGAGAGGCCCATCTTCCCACCCAGGAGCCCTTCCCTATCTCCGGTTCCCTAATGCTGGCTGGAGCGCCTGTCCCTCCTCTGGTCTCTGGCGCCCCCGTGTGGCCTCAGTGAGCAAGCCCCTTCCTACCTCCTGTGGGCTCCACCCCTGCCCCGCCCCTATAAGGAGGGCTCAGAATCTCTCAGGTGAGAGGGATCTGAACTCCTGCCCCCTCCCCCTTCCAGGAGACCAGAGGCAATGAAGGGGATCCCCAGAGTTTGGTTTGAATCCTGGCTCCCCATCCCATTCTGGTTGATTTAGGTAATACACCCAGACTCTGTTTCCCCAAACATTTCTCAGCCCATGGGCCCTGCGTAGCTACAGGGCGGGCCTCTGGGGAGATCACATGGGAGGCAGGGCGAGTCTGAGACCAGCCCCGGGCAATGTAGAGAGACCCCAGCTCTAAAAAAAAAATTAAAAATTAACCAGGCGTGGTGGTGCAGGCTTGCGGTCCCAGCTACTCAGGAGGCTGAGGTGGGAGGATCACTTGAGCCCAGTATGTTGAGGCTGCAGTGAGCTGAGATTGCATCACTGCACTCCAGCCTGGGTGACAGAGCAAGACCCTGTCTCAAAAAAAGGCTGGGTATGGTGGCTCATGCCTGTAATCCCAGCACTTTGGGAGGCCGAGGTGGGCGGATCACCTGAGGTCAGACCAGCTTGGCCAACGTGGCAATATAGTGCAACCCTGTCTCTTTAAAATAAATAAATAAATAAACAAATAATCACATGAAAAACCCTTCGTGGGGAGAAACACCCTGTTTGCTTCAAACATTCATGGAACACCTCCTCCCTCAACCTGATCCTGCCCCCATCTCAGCGAGGTCCCAGTACGAGAGGAGAGGCAAACCCCTAAACAGGTCTTTTAATGAAATAATGTGTTGGCCAGTGGCTACAGCCTGTAATCCCAGCGCTTTGGGAGGCTGAGGCAGGCAGATCACTTGAGTCCAGGAGTTTGAGATCAGCCTAGGCAACATGGCGAAACCCCATCTCTATAAAAAATACAAACATGGCTGGGCCCAGTGACTCACGCATGTAATCCCAGCACTTTGGGAGGCCGAGGCAGAAGGATCACCTGAAGTCAGGAGTTTGAGATCAGCCTGGCCAACATGGCAAAACCCTATCTCTACTAAAAATACAAAAATTAGCTGGGTGTGGTGGCACATGCCTATAATCCCAGCTACTTGGGAGGCTGAGGCAGGAGACTCTCTTGAACCTGGGAGGCAGAGGTTGCAGTGAGCCGAGATCGTGCCACTGCACTCTGGCCTGGGTGACAGCGTGAGACACCATCTCAAAAAACAAAACATCAGCCTGGCCTAGTGGTGTGAGCCTGTAGTCTCAGCTATTCGGGAGGCTGAGGTGGGAGGATCACTTGAACCCAGGAGGTTGAGGCTGTGGTGAGCTACGATTGCACCACTGCACTCCAGCCTAGGGGACAGAGTGAGACCCTGTCTCAAAAAAGAGAAAGAAGTGTTGTCTAGGCCGGGTGTAGTTGCCCATGTCTGTAATCCCAGAACTCCGGGAGGCCAAGGTGGGAGGATTACCTGAGCCCAGGAGTTCGAGACCAGCCTGGTCAACATAACAATAACCCTTGACTCCAAAAAGTAAAATAAAAAATCAGCTGGGTGTGGTGGCATCTGCCTGTAATCCCAGCTACTCAAGAGGCTGAGGCAGGAGCCTAAGAGGTCAAGGCTGCAGTGAGTTATGATTGCATCACTGCACTCCAGCATGGGTGACAGAGAGACCCTGTCTCAAAAAAAAAAAAAAAAAAGTGTTGTCTGAAGCCACCAATATGTCCCACCCTTTGATCTCTCCTCATGGTGCCTGGTCCATCCCAGCTGGACAGAAATCAGAAATACCACTGGACAGAGCCAGCCCCTCCCCTCCCCAACCTCCTCCAGCCTATCTCAGACCTCTCCTTGCCCTTCACGTTCCAGGTCAGACCTCAGGCCCTGCTCCTACTGAAGCTTAAAACGCCTGTGGTGTTGGTACCAGCCCAGCTCCACCTCCACCCCAGGGTCTAACTTAAGAGCCACCTTGTCCTCAGCCCCTCAATTCGCCTTCCTCCTTCCCAAGCCTCAGTGTGTCCATCTGCCAAATGGGCGTGACCATCCCTACCCCAACTTCCTGTCTCC
The DNA here is from genome assembly GCF_000001405.40 of Homo sapiens. NCBI lineage: Eukaryota > Metazoa > Chordata > Mammalia > Primates > Hominidae > Homo > Homo sapiens. The sequence goes on along the minus strand of NC_000011.10, from coordinate 64,845,215 downwards.
CACATCAACTCTAATGATACAATCAAAGTAAGATTCAGAAACTTTTTTTTGGGCGGGGGCGGGGGGGCGATGGGTGCCAAGCGCGGGCAAACCATGGAGAGAGCGAACTACAATTCCCATCCGGCTCCGGGGCCGCGGGCGTCCCTAGCCCCTCTCTCTTAGCCAAGGGCAAGGCGGCTGCGACCCAGGGGGCGAGAGAAGTTGCAGTGCTCCGCGCCTCCTGGGTCAGGGCCCAGGGAGGGCCCAGGTAAGTCTGGGTCTGGGGCCGCGCGGGGATCTGGGGAGTCTTTCCGACCCCGCAGAACCCCACCGCGCCCCGCGCAGAAGTCAGTTGTTCTCCCCGGCCCGCCCCCGCACTTCCTGGCCGGGAGTTGGGCCCGCCCCCGCGCGCCTCCGCCCCCACCTTCACCTCTAGCCGCGGCTCCCATTGGCCGGCGCGCACCTGCCCGTCCGTCGGGGGGCGGGGCGCGGCGCCCAGGTGAGGGCGCGCTGGCGGCGGCGGAGGAAGGTGACAGCGGGGAGGGCGGGAGAGGGGCGGGGGAGGACGCGCGGACAGAGCCTCAGACGGTTGGGCGGACGGACGGCCCGACAGGCGGGCATGCGGGCGGCCAGACTGTAGCCGAGCAGCGAGGCTCCGGCCGCAGCCATGGAGCGGCGGCTGCGCGCGCTGGAGCAGCTGGCGCGGGGCGAGGCCGGCGGCTGCCCGGGGCTCGACGGCCTCCTAGATCTGCTGCTGGCGCTGCACCACGAGCTCAGCAGCGGCCCCCTACGGCGGGAGCGCAGCGTGGCGCAGTTCCTGAGCTGGGGTGAGTGGCGGGGCGGCACGGAGCGGGGGCGGGCCTAGGGATATCGCGCCGAGACCCCCGCACCCGCAGACTTTCCCGCAGGGACCCGCACCCCCACGGGCTTCCCTCGCAGACTCCCTGCAGTGGCCCTGACGCGTACCACCGGACCCCCGCGGCCCGCACACTCGCCTGCACACCTCACCCTCACTCCAATTCTCACACACGCTCTCTCCCTCTCACAGACCCCGACACATGCACACACATACCAACTTGTGCTCAGGTATCGACCGCAGACGCATGTACCCAGTGCACCGCCTAGAGTCCCTTACAGATTTCCTTGCTTACAGGCCACACCTGACGCAGGACACACACAGACCCTCATGCATGTCACCCACTGATACACGGGCTCTGTTTCTCCTTCCTCTCGGATGCATTGAGACACACAACTCATGGAGAGACCCAGGGAGCGCTGCAGACCACCCCGACCGCATTGGCACTGCAAAACACACAGATCTGTAGGTATCGCACACTTGCAGACCTTCCCCCCACCAACACACACACCCCCAGCTCCCTGGGTACAAGACCACTGCAGCCTGGACTCAGGAACCGATCTCCAACCCTTGGCCTGTGCAGGCTGCTGGCCAAGCTCCTTGGGGGCTGTGGCGCCGGGGCCGGGGAGGGGGGCCTAGCTGGAGATGGGTCTGTACCTTTCCTGGTAGACTCATCTGAGTCATTGGGAGTGGCTGGCCCGGGGTGACCCTGAACCCACTGTGGGCACTGGCGCCAGCTGGAGGGTTCCCTGGTCACACCCTGCCGGGCCATGGGGAAAAGGCACGGGGGCCTGGCCAGGGCGGGGTGAGGCAGGTGTTTGCCCAGTGGGCAACTAGCGTTCCTGGCACTCCTGAGCTCTGGGAAGGCACAAGGCCTGGGGTAGAGGGGGAGGCTGCCACCTAGATGTGCCAGGGAGTTGTCCCCTAGCCCCAACCCTTCCATCCAGGGCGAGGCAGTCAGAGGCCCCTGCCTCTGTGCCTGTCTCCCTGGTATGCCTCCGTGCTATGCCTGTCTGCCTGTGTTGTTGTCACCCCCCCCATGACACCCACACACGTGTGTGTGTTTGCACACACATGTGTGCTCCTCCCTGACTGCCTCCAGCACCTCTGCCTGGGACCCCGGCATGGGGGCCCTCTGTTGACAATCTCCCAAGGTAACTCAAAGGGCTGTGACTCATTCCTCTCCTGCTTGTCTCTACTTGTCCCTGCTCCTGCCCGGAGCCCCCATGCCCTGTGGGAGGCCAGAGGATTAGGCAGCCTGTCCAGGGGCCTGGATCCTCCTGCCTGTGGGCCTGGGCTTCGGCCCTCTTCTGGCGGGTGGGTCCCTATGGTGCTGGCTTCAACTCCCACGGGGAGGCCCGGGGCTGCTCCTCCCCAGCTCCACACACAGACCTGGGAAAGAGACAATGAATTTCTGTAATGAGGTTTCCACCCCGCCCCCGCTGCGGGCTTCTGCCTGATAAACCTGTGGAACAGCTCTCTGTCCCACCCACAGACCCGCCCAGCTGGCAGGGAGTTTACCTCCTGGCAGGGGGAAACTGAGGCAGGGCGCCAGACCACAGCTGCCCCCCATCCTGACTGATCACTCCTGCCTCCCTAAGACCCAATTCCTTCCCAAAACCTGGGGCTAATCCAGGCCTGGAAAGTGCCTGGGAGTGGCTGGAGTTGCCCTTCCTGGAGGTATCTGGGATGTGAGGAAAGAGGACGTTCTTGACCAGACAAAAGCTTCGTCCAGACAGGGAGGCAGGGCTGGGAGTGAGAGAGCCGGTCAGGCCTGGAGGCATCCTGAGCACTCACGCCTTCAGGGGCTAGTGCTAGCACCAGGGAAAGGCATCTTTGTCCTGTTTGTGAGTCTCAGCACCTTGGCAGACTGGCATCCATGCCTCCAGCCTGAGGGGCCCCACGTGGGAAGCATAGAGCCTGTCCTCCCTGCCCTAGGGGCTGCAGGCCTCACCCCCAACCAGGCACCTCTATGCCTACAGGGTCCCGGGACCCAGGCCCACAGCTCCTGAATGGGAGAGAAGCCTCTCTGGGGATAAGGAATGTCACCCGTCCAGTTTCCTAAGACAGGCCCTGGCCTGAACCTGTGAGGGGGCCAAGAACTGTGAGGTGGGGGTAGGAATGGTGTCCCCATGGTCCCCAGGGTGACCTGGCCAAGCAGAGTCAGGCCGCAGACTGGGCAGGACTACAAGTCCCATCAGCCCCTGGGATGGAGGCTGCCTAGAGTCTGGGGCCAGGGGTCCAGGGAGGTCCAGGGACCAGGCGGTCAGCTGAGCCCGGCCTCTGACCTTCCGCACTTCCTGATCATGGCCAAAGGAGCACCAGTTCCTGCCACAACCCCTTGGCCCGAGGCTGTCCCTGGGGAGGTCATCCCTGCCTGGGCTCACAGGAGCGGCAGCTCCTGGCTTGCCCAAGGTGAGAGGGGGAATGGAGCCCTCCCTCCCTGCACTCTGAGTCCCGCCCTGTGTCCCCTCAGCCAGCCCCTTCGTATCAAAGGTGAAAGAACTGCGTCTGCAGAGAGATGACTTTGAGATCTTGAAGGTGATCGGCCGAGGAGCCTTTGGGGAGGTGAGCAAAGGGCCTGGGGTAGGTGGGGGGAGGTGTTCACACCGGGCTGGGCTCACCCCGGTCCTCCCTGTGGCCTTAGGTCACCGTGGTGAGGCAGAGGGACACTGGGCAGATTTTTGCCATGAAAATGCTGCACAAGTGGGAGATGCTGAAGAGGGCTGAGGTCAGTGTGGAGTCTGGGGGGCCCTTGGGCACCCTACAAATGGGTGTGGGGGAGGTGTATGCTGCCAGGGCCTATGGCGCGGGGGGGGCGGGCAAGGCTGCAGACCAGGCAAAGGGTGCCACCCTCAGCAGCCACTGATTTGTTATCTTTCTCACAATAAACCCTTTATTTAATTTTTTAAATTTTTTTTTTTTTTTTGAGACGGAATCTTGCTCTGTCAACTAGGCTGGAGTTCAACGGTGCTATCTTGGCTCACTGCAACCTCCGCCTCCCAGTTCAAGTAATTCTCCTGCCTCAGCCTCCCGAGTAGCTGGGATTACAGGCACCTGCCACCACACCCAGCTAATTTTTGTATTTTTAGTAGAGATGAGGTTTTGCTATGTTGGACAGGCTGGTCTCGAACTCCTGACCTCAGATGATCCTTCTGCCTTGGCCTCCCGAAGTGCTGGGATTACAGGCGTGAACCACCGTGCCCAGCCTACAATAAACTTTTTTTTTTAAGATAGAGTCTCACTCTGTCACCCAGGCTGGAGTGCGGTGGCGTGATCTCGGCTCACTGCAACCTCCACCTCCTGGGTGCAAGGGATTCTCATGCCTCAGCCTCCCAAGTAGCTGGGATTACAGGCGTGTGCCACGACACCCAGCTAAGTTTCTTGTATTTTTAGTAGAGATGGAGTTTCACCACATTGGCCAGGCTGGTCTCCAACTCTTGATCTCAAGTGATCTGCCTGCCTTGGCCTCCCAAAGTGCTGGGATTACAGGCCTAATAAACCCTTTTGAAAGCAAGCAGAGTCGTTCCCATTTTCCATATGGTCACACTGAGGCCCAGAGCTGTAGAGCGTGGGCTTGGGCTCAGTCGCAGCCAGACAGGGGACAGTAGAGCTATGACCTCCATCTGAGCTCCCAGACTCACAGAATCTTTCTCCATCCCCTGAGCTGGCAAGGGGGGCATCCTGGGCTCTGATCCCACCCCACCCCTTACTTCCCCAAACCTGCTGCAGACAGCCTGTTTCCGGGAGGAGCGGGATGTGCTCGTGAAAGGGGACAGCCGTTGGGTGACCACTCTGCACTATGCCTTCCAAGACGAGGAGTACCTGGTGAGGATACGTGGCGGGGCTGGAGGGGAACATCCTAGGGACACAGGAGAGGGCCCTTGGGGCCAGGGGCACTGGGCCCAAAGAGAGACCCCTCTTGGGACCAAGAGACTCCCACTTCCCACCAGTTCCTGGGCTTGGCGCCTCCTGCCTGAGCCCTGGCTGGGAACTGGCCAGCCCAGAGCTGCTGGGAGATGCAGGCCTGCCTTCCCAGAGCCCTGCGGGACCGCGGTGAAGTGGCCAGGTGCACCCTTCCCCCGGGTCTGATTCTTGTCCGCCACCTCCAGTACCTTGTGATGGACTACTATGCTGGTGGGGACCTCCTGACGCTGCTGAGCCGCTTCGAGGACCGTCTCCCGCCCGAGCTGGCCCAGTTCTACCTGGCTGAGATGGTGCTGGCCATCCACTCGCTGCACCAGCTGGGTTATGTCCACAGGTGGGGCCCCAACCCCGCTGCCCTGCCCAACCCCGCTGCCCTGCCCAACCCCTGCCAGCTGTGCTGGGGACAGCTGATGTCAGCTGAGCACTCATCATGTGCCAGGCACTTCTCTGGGTGCCTCATCCGTGTGCTTCCTTGGAATCATACCAAAGAGCCCTCTGTGGCAGGGGCTGCTGCTGTGTCCGGCCTGCAGCTGAGGGGGTCAGAGCTTAGCACAGGGAAACACCTGTCTCAAGGTGACTCGGCTCTCGGGTGGCAAGCTGTGGTCTGCACTGGGGAAGTCTGACTCCTGCGTCCCCCATAGCACACTCTGCCACCTCCAAGGGTTGTCCCCACACATCCTTTCTACAATCTAGCCATCTTCCTCCTTCTGGCCTGTGGGATCATCTACACACACACACGTTGCTCATCACATGAGCACCTACACACAGGAATGTGTGTGAGCTGGTGCTGGCACACACCGTGCATGTGCACCTGGGCGTGTGCCTAAATGGCCACTTACACACAGGTCAAACGCCTCACTCTCCCTGCCTGCCATCCCCCAGGGATGTCAAGCCAGACAACGTCCTGCTGGATGTGAACGGGCACATTCGCCTGGCTGACTTCGGCTCCTGCCTGCGTCTCAACACCAACGGCATGGTAAGGACCCCGCCCCAGAGTGGGAGCAGGGGATACAAGGCGGGCCAAGCTCTCAGGAAAATGGGAGGCCCCAGGCCTAGTGCAGAGGCATCAGGCCCCCCGGGGAAGGTGGGTGAGACCCAGGCCCCAGGTGGGCAGCAGCAGGCCAGCCTGGCAGAGTAGGGGTGACAGGGCCATCGCGAGGAGCCAGCAGTCCCAGCCAAGCCCAAAGCTGTCCTCATGGCTTCACCACCACCACCCACAGGTGGATTCATCAGTGGCAGTAGGGACGCCGGACTATATCTCCCCTGAGATCCTGCAGGCCATGGAGGAGGGCAAGGGCCACTACGGCCCACAGTGTGACTGGTGGTCGCTTGGAGTCTGCGCCTATGAGCTGCTCTTTGGGGAGACGCCCTTCTATGCTGAGTCCTTGGTGGAAACCTACGGCAAGATCATGAACCACGAGGTCTGGACACCAGGCTCTGGGCTTCCAGAGGGGGCAGTGGGACCCCTGAGTCTGTGTGGTTGGAAGTACCGGCAGGTGAGGCTGGGTTCCTGGACACTTGACCCAGCCTGCCCCCTCCCCCGACCCACAGGACCACCTGCAGTTCCCCCCGGACGTGCCTGACGTGCCAGCCAGCGCCCAAGACCTGATCCGCCAGCTGCTGTGTCGCCAGGAAGAGCGGCTAGGCCGTGGTGGGCTGGATGACTTCCGGAACCATCCTTTCTTCGAAGGCGTGGACTGGGAGCGGCTGGCGAGCAGCACGGCCCCCTATATTCCTGAGCTGCGGGGGCCCATGGACACCTCCAACTTTGATGTGGATGACGACACCCTCAACCATCCAGTGAGTGGCAAAGGCCACTGCAGGAGGGGAGCTGCCCTACCCCCTTGTTGGCTGGGGGAACCCTCCCTCTGAAGTCCCCTGGGGTGGGCTGGGGGTGAGGCCTTCAGACACCGGGGCTTATGATTTATGGACTCCCAGACTGACCCGTTCCAGCCACCATCCGCTGGCCCAGCCTCTTCCAGCCAAACTGGGGTGGGGGAGCATCTCCCACAGGCTCCCCATGCTTGCCTGCACTGAGGTGGGCTGTGTCAAGGGAAGGGCCTCTGACCACAGGTATCATTCTATTAACTAGAATCCGTATAAGGAAGAAAACTCCCAGCAGCTCCTAGGAGACTTGTGGGAGCTGGGGGTTTGTTTGGGTTGGGCTGTGTTACCCCCCTGAGTTCCCACCTGTGCAGGAGGTGGTCGCACCTGGTCCCAGGGGGCTCCTGGGCCTTGGGCCTCGGGCCTTGGCCTGTGGACTCTGACTCTCCTTCCCTCTCCCTCTGCAGGGGACCCTGCCACCGCCCTCCCACGGGGCCTTCTCCGGCCATCACCTGCCATTCGTGGGCTTCACCTACACCTCAGGCAGGTGAGGCTAGTCCTCACACACCTGGTGGGAGGCTCGGGGTTGCCTGACCTGGAGGACACTGGGCGCGTAGCCCACTGGGGCCCTGGGAAGGAGGGCAGAAGGGCTCCCCAGTATCTGCATGTGGCAGGTGCTCTAGCCCTCATCCTCGGGGTCCTGGTGAAGCCACACCCAGGTCCTGCTGGGCCACATGCCAGCACATGGCTCTCATGGCGCCTTCCACGAAGGTCGAGGGTGCGCTGCACCTAGAGCCAGAGGTGCAGGGTTCGAAGGCCCCTACTGCTCCCAGGCCTCACTTTGTGGCTCTGTAAAATGGGTGGGATGGACCAGGCGTGGTGGCTTATGGTTGTAATCCCAGCACTTAGGGAGGTCGAGGCGGGTGGATCGCCTGAGGTCAGGAGTTCGAGACCAGCCTGGCCAACATAGTGAAACCCCATCTCTACTAAAAATACAAAAATTAGCCGGGCGTGGTGGCGGGCGCCTGTAATCCCAGCTACTTGGGAGGCTGAGGCAGCGAGAATCGCTTGAACGCGGGAGGCGGAGGTTGCAGTGAGCTGAGATTGCGCCACTGCACTCCAGCCTGGGTGACAGAGCGACTCTGTCTCAAAATGGGTGGGATTATCTCCACCTACTCCCATTCGAGGGGCTGGCCTGAGACCGCAGTGAGGTCCTGGTGCGGTGTGCTCTGAGGTGGAAGGAAATGGGTCAGATCCCCACTCCTCTAGACCAGCCGGGCCACTGTCACCACATCCTGTCCTCGACAGCCCTGGGGAGAGGCCTTGTCACCACCATCTTCCCCTGGGGAAACTGAGGGTAAAATACATTGGGTTCGAGGTGATACAGCTTGTAAGGGCCAGGATGAGGGTTTAAACCTGGGCCTGGACCCGGAGCCTGTGCCCTGCAGCTGCTACCCCGGGCTGCCACCCGTGGCACCAGTCTGGGGTCTCCCGAGGGCAGGGTCTGTTTTGGCTGTTTCACAATTAATGAGTGATTCGGTCCAGGAGGATGGAGGAGACTCTGTGGGGTGAGGTTTCTACCAACAAACATGGCCCCTGTCCCCCTACAGTCACAGTCCTGAGAGCAGCTCTGAGGCTTGGGCTGCCCTGGAGCGGAAGCTCCAGTGTCTGGAGCAGGAGAAGGTGGAGCTGAGCAGGAAGCACCAAGGTACTGGGAGCGGCTGGGCCGGGCCTGGGTGTGCTGGCCCTAGGGGCTGCTGCTGCGGGAATGGAGGAGTGGACTCACCTGTGGGTACCACCTCCCCTCCAGAGGCCCTGCACGCCCCCACAGACCATCGGGAGCTGGAGCAGCTACGGAAGGAAGTGCAGACTCTGCGGGACAGGCTGCCAGGTATCCCTTCCGCCCACCCCCCCCCCCCCCCCAGGGCTGAGTCCCACCTGGGCTCGGGTCCTGCCCTGCCCTGGACAAGCTGTATGATCCTGGGAGAGCATTTTATACTCTCTGAGCCCGCGTGTGGGAAACAGGCCAAGGAGACTTGCTCCTGGGCTGAGAGGCTGGGGCCGCCAGCACTCGAGGTCTCAGTGACTCTTCCTGGCAGAGATGCTGAGGGACAAGGCCTCATTGTCCCAGACGGATGGGCCCCCAGCTGGTAGCCCAGGTCAGGACAGTGACCTACGGCAGGAGCTTGACCGACTTCACCGGGTGAGGGCTGGGTGAGGTGGGTGAGGGCTGGGTGAGGTGGGTGAGGTGGGTGAGTGGCCCTGGGCTCCATGGACGGTTCGTGCCTGACTCTGGGCCTTGTCCTTCCCCGCTCCCTCCCCTGCCTCCTCAGGAGCTGGCCGAGGGTCGGGCAGGGCTGCAGGCTCAGGAGCAGGAGCTCTGCAGGGCCCAGGGGCAGCAGGAGGAGCTGCTTCAGAGGCTACAGGAGGCCCAGGAGAGAGAGGCGGCCACAGCTAGCCAGACCCGGGCCCTGAGCTCCCAGCTGGAGGAAGCCCGGGCTGCCCAGAGGGAGGTGAGTGACCAGGGTGGGTAGGGACAGCACCTGGGCCCTGCCCCCAGTGTGCCTGGAGGGAGCATGGGGAGCTTGGTGGGAGATGCTGCCTCCCGGTTGTAGCTGGCAGAGGCTAGGCCAGGGGATGGTGGCTGGGACGGGGCAGTCTGGGAGTCCATGCCTCCTCATGTCCACTGTGGCTGGCAGGTCTGGAGTCCATGGTAAGGTGGGCAGAGGGGCTGCCGAGGGCAGAGTTGGCAGTGGCCTGCCTCTGCACCCCTCACAGCTGGAGGCCCAGGTGTCCTCCCTGAGCCGGCAGGTGACGCAGCTGCAGGGACAGTGGGAGCAACGCCTTGAGGAGTCGTCCCAGGCCAAGGTAGTCAAGTCCTCCCCCTTGGCAAGAGGTGCTTCCCCACCAGCCTGACCCCACTCAGAGCCTCAGGGCCAGGCCTGTGTCCCAGGTGGGTGGGCCATGGCATCTTGGGTCTCTGCCCTGACCCCCTCCATGTCCCCAAGACCATCCACACAGCCTCTGAGACCAACGGGATGGGACCCCCTGAGGGTGGGCCTCAGGAGGCCCAACTGAGGAAGGAGGTGGCCGCCCTGCGAGAGCAGCTGGAGCAGGCCCACAGCCACAGGTGAGCCAGGCAGCTGGTGGCAGGGAGGGGCCGGGCCTGGCCTGGGCGGTGAGTCACGGCCTTGGCCTTCTCCTCCCCAGGCCGAGTGGTAAGGAGGAGGCTCTGTGCCAGCTGCAGGAGGAAAACCGGAGGCTGAGCCGGGAGCAGGAGCGGGTGAGCAGGGTACAACAGACGGAGGGTACAACAGACGGACAAGGCAATGGGGAGCCAGTTGAGGGGTGGGCAAGCTGCAGCCAGTGAGCAGGGTGGACATGGACGGGGCTCGGGGTGCTGGGGTACCTACAGGGAGACGGCAGTCCCAGGACTGCTGGGGCCTGGGGCTGACCTTTCCTCTGGCCGGCCCCAGCTAGAAGCAGAGCTGGCCCAGGAGCAGGAGAGCAAGCAGCGGCTGGAGGGTGAGCGGCGGGAGACGGAGAGCAACTGGGAGGCCCAGCTCGCCGACATCCTCAGCTGGTGGGTGCCAGGGGTGGGTCGGGGTGGGGAACGCAGGCGAGACTGAGGGCCCAGCCCATGACCCTGAGCCCCTTCCCATTCAGGGTGAATGATGAGAAGGTCTCAAGAGGCTACCTGCAGGCCCTGGCCACCAAGATGGCAGAGGAGCTGGAGTCCTTGAGGAACGTAGGCACCCAGACGCTCCCTGCCCGGCCACTGGTGAGCCCCAGAGATGCCCCTGGGGGCTGGCTTGGGCAAGTCACTGACCTTCCGTGAGCTCAGCATCCCTGCTACTGAAGGTCACTACTGGAGGTGGGGACACCAAGCTCATGAGAGATAGTGATTTCCCTGAGCTCACAGTGGGTCATTGGCTGAGCTGGAGCTTTGAGCCTGGCTGGGTGGCATGGGTAGCAGGATGCTCTGGTAGCAGGGGGTCCCTGAGGCAGCCAGGCCTAGAAAGCATCTTATACGGGTGCTCCGTGGCCACCAGGACCACCAGTGGAAGGCGCGGCGACTGCAGAAGATGGAGGCCTCGGCCAGGCTGGAGCTGCAGTCAGCGCTGGAGGCCGAGATCCGCGCCAAGCAGGGCCTGCAGGAGCGGCTGACACAGGTGCAGGAGGCCCAGCTGCAGGCTGAGCGGTGAGGCTAGGGGCAGGCACTGGGGGCCAGGGCCCGCACAGAGGCCAGTGGCGAGCCCTTGCCATTCTCCCCAGCCGTCTGCAGGAGGCCGAGAAGCAGAGCCAGGCCCTGCAACAGGAGCTCGCCATGCTGCGGGAGGAGCTGCGGGCCCGAGGGCCAGTGGGTGAGTGGCTGCCAACTGCTTGCCCCGGAGCCAGGCTCCCCCGCGGCCTCCCACTTGCCAAGGGGGCTCCACGATGGCCTGGCAGGGTGGTGGAGACAGGAGTCTGTTCCTGGACTCTGCCGCTTACTCCATCATCTGTGACCAGCACTTCTGGAGTGCCTGCTGTGCCCAGCCCTGCCCCACCCTGTGGTCATTTCCCATTTTACTGAGGTGGGAACTGAGGCCCCTCCTGGACCCTAGTTCCTCAGGCCAGGGACCCCAGGCCAGTGACCCACCCTTTCTTTGCAGACACCAAGCCCTCAAACTCCCTGATTCCCTTCCTGTCCTTCCGGAGCTCAGAGGTAAGGACCAGGCCAAGGGGCTTGTTGGGGAGAAGTTCTGGGAGAGGCACAGGGACCTTGACTTTGCTCCTCTCTCTCCCACCCCCAGAAGGATTCTGCCAAGGACCCTGGCATCTCAGGAGAGGCCACAAGGCATGGAGGAGAGCCAGATCTGAGGCCGGAGGGCCGACGCAGCCTGCGCATGGGGGTGAGGACAGGTGGGTCCATCGTAGGGGGCCTGGGCCCCGCCCTTGCCCGTCTCACCTGCTCCCCCGCCCTCCTGCAGGCTGTGTTCCCCAGAGCACCCACTGCCAACACAGCCTCTACAGAAGGTCTTCCTGCTAAGGTCAGTGCCCAGAGGGGCAAGCAGGGTGGGGGCACCAAGCAGTTCTGCCAGGCTGAATGGGCACTGTGGGGACACTCCACGTGCATCGTGGCTAGCAGGCACAATTGGGGTGGAGGTGGTGGCGATGAGCTTGCCTGCCGCCATAGATTGGCTGGGACTCGGAGGTCACTGTTGCCTGGCTCAGCCCCTTGTCTTTCCTGACCCCTCAGGGATGGGGCATGGGGCCCTGGGAGGCCTTGGGTAATGGCTGTCCCCCTCCCCAGCCCGGCTCACACACGCTGCGCCCCCGGAGCTTCCCATCCCCGACCAAGTGTCTCCGCTGCACCTCGCTGATGCTGGGCCTGGGCCGCCAGGGCCTGGGTTGTGATGGTGAGAGTCCCCACCCACTATGCTCCAGCCACGGTCCCAGGTGTGTGGCCCTGGCATACCCAGGCTGTTTCTCCCATCCCAGGGTCACTGGCACCTGCTGGTCAAATTTCCTCCTGCTCAGCTTTGTTCCTTTTCTCACTTGATGAGGAATTGGGGACAGTTCGGGTGCCACCGTGGCTTCAGGGAAGCTGGCTCTGGACATGCCCCCGTCCTGGTTTGGGGCTGTCCCCTCCCAGCCTCACCTCATCCACCTTCTCCACTTTCCCCACAGCCTGCGGCTACTTTTGTCACACAACCTGTGCCCCACAGGCCCCACCCTGCCCCGTGCCCCCTGACCTCCTCCGCACAGCCCTGGGAGTACACCCCGAAACAGGCACAGGCACTGCCTATGAGGGCTTTCTGTCGGTGAGTGGGGGCCGAGGGAGGGGAAGATGGGCATGGGGGGCTGAGGGTCCCTGCAGCCCTCCCATGCTTGCCTTTCCGCCAGGTGCCGCGGCCCTCAGGTGTCCGGCGGGGCTGGCAGCGCGTGTTTGCTGCCCTGAGTGACTCACGCCTGCTGCTGTTTGACGCCCCTGACCTGAGGCTCAGCCCGCCCAGTGGGGCCCTCCTGCAGGTCCTAGATCTGAGGTAGGTGCCGGGCAGTGGCATGGGGCAAGGGACTAGTGGTAAGGGGGGCAGTCAGGGACAGGGAGATTTCTGACCTGTTCTGTGAACCTCCCAGGGACCCCCAGTTCTCGGCTACCCCTGTCCTGGCCTCTGATGTTATCCATGCCCAATCCAGGGACCTGCCACGCATCTTTAGGGTGAGTGCCTGGGATGAGATGGAGCAGCCACCATCCACCTCCCCATGCTGTCCCAGCTCTGGCCACTGTCCCCCCACTTCATACTGCCCTCTTGGGCCAGCCCACAACCACAGCACGCTTTCCACGTGAGCACCTGGCCCGGTCTCACCTCGTTTAGGATCTGCTGTGGCTTCCCATCGTCTGCGGGGCTCGGGGTGCTCCTGACCTAGCCCTTGAGGCCCCAAGGCTCTGACCCTGCAGGCCTCCCAGCCCTCTCCCTTGGCACCTGTCTCTGCTCTGGTCACACCTTGCTCTCTCCAGTTCTGAAGGCGCCCTGTGCCTGTGTGCACCACATTCTCAGTCCTTCACATCTGTCTTTGCACGAAATTGCCGGCCCTGCACTGGAGCCCAGCCCCTCACCTACCTTGACTACTCCTGGTTAGTTACTCGTCCCTCAGGCTTCAGCAGAAATGTCTGGTCTCCTGGGAAGTCATCCTTCACTTCCCGGCCCCGGTTTGGGTCCCTCTGTGTTCCCACTAGGCCCGTCCTTGCCCCATTATGGCGCTGGTCGCATGGCTCTGGAGTTGTCTGTTTGCCTGTCTGGCCTACTCCCTGCTGCTGACAGTGCACGCTAGGCCCCCGGGGCACAGCGGCTGCTGGAGGCAGGAAGGGAGGGAGGACAGATGGCTCTGGTCCACGGCCCTCCAGCTGGGGTCCTTGCCCACAGGTGACAACCTCCCAGCTGGCAGTGCCGCCCACCACGTGCACTGTGCTGCTGCTGGCAGAGAGCGAGGGGGAGCGGGAACGCTGGCTGCAGGTGCTGGGTGAGCTGCAGCGGCTGCTGCTGGACGCGCGGCCAAGACCCCGGCCCGTGTACACACTCAAGGAGGCTTACGACAACGGGCTGCCGCTGCTGCCTCACACGCTCTGCGCTGCCATCCTCGGTGAGCTGGTGGAGGGGACTGGAGGAAGCAGTTCAGGCCTGCGGGAGTGCTGGTGTCTAGGAATAGTCCCAAGGGCCACTGCTACTGCCCATTCCCTGCAGCCACGAGACACAGACTGCCTTGCACCACGTATGTGCTCCAGCCTCCTGTGTGCATGGCTGGGCCCCCAGGTAGGGGGCCTGGCTTATCCCCACTCCATTTCGCTGTGCCTCAGTTTCTGCTTTTTCCAAAAGAATCTCAAGCAAGTGGAAGGAACAAAGGCTTTTTTTTTTTCTTTTTCTTTTTTTGAGACAGAGTCTCGCTCGGTCGCCCAGGCTGGAGCTCAGCAGTGCAATCTCAGCTCACTGCAACCTCCGCCTCCCAGATTCAAGCGATTCTCCTGTCTCAGCCTCCAGAGTAGCTGGGATTGCAGGCATGCACCACCTCGCCTGGCTATTTTTTGTATTTTTAGTAGAGACGGGGTTTCAGCATGTTGGCCAGGCTGGTCTCGAACTCCTGACCTCAGGTGATCCACCCACCTTGGCCTCCCAAAGTGCTGGAATTATAGGCATGGGCCACCGTGCCCAGCTGGAACAAAGGCTTTAGAAAGAGAGAAACGAAGGTTCAGTCCTGGCTGTCTCACTACAAGCTGGGGGACTGGGGGAGCTGCTGTAGAACCACCCAGAGCCTCATAACATCTCCTGGGTGGAGCTGCGAAGAGCTTCACTTGTGCTCAGCCTTGAACCTGGGGCTCAGCAGGGCTCTTCTGTAACTAAGGCTGGGAAAGAGGCATGAAACAGAGCTCCTTGGCGTTCCCCAGCAGCTGAGGCCCTGAGCCAGGCCCGGCTCTCAGGGCGGGAGACACAGGAGAGGTTGTGCGGGTCCCTGGAGCAGTCGGGAACCAGAGGGGAGGGGATTTATTGAGCAAGGGGCTCTGCTGAACCCTCCCCTGCATCACTTCCTCGCTTCCTCAGAGTTGCTCTGTGAGGAAGTACCATCGTTGTCCCCAGTTTACATAAGGAAACCAAGGCTCTGAGAGGTGACATGACTTACCCAAAATCCCACAGCTCAAGATGATGGGCCTCACCCCAACCCCTCTGGAAAAGCCTGTCCAGACTGGGAGAGAAGGGTCAGTGAGGCAGGGACAGCGGGATTATTGCCACCCCCATTTCCTCAAGATAAACAGGCACAGCAGGGCAGGTGGACTGCCCAATCTCCGTGTCATTGAGTGGGACTGCTGACCTCTGACCCTCTGCCTCCCTCTACCAGACCAGGATCGACTTGCGCTTGGCACCGAGGAGGGGCTCTTTGTCATCCATCTGCGCAGCAACGGTACCTATCAAAGCTGGGCTAGGGTGGGCGTGGGCAGGGGCAGCCCCAGCGGGCAGAGGAGGATGGGGATGGGTCACTCTTCAACCACCTGCCAGTGACACTCTCCCCTCGCCAACCCTGCAGACATCTTCCAGGTGGGGGAGTGCCGGCGCGTGCAGCAGCTGACCTTGAGCCCCAGTGCAGGCCTGCTGGTCGTGCTGTGTGGCCGCGGCCCCAGCGTGCGTCTCTTTGCCCTGGCGGAGCTGGAGAACATAGAGGTAGCAGGTGCCAAGATCCCCGAGTCTCGAGGCTGCCAGGTGCTGGCAGCTGGAAGCATCCTGCAGGCCCGCACCCCGGTGCTCTGTGTAGCCGTCAAGCGCCAGGTGCTCTGCTACCAGCTGGGCCCGGGCCCTGGGCCCTGGCAGCGCCGCATCCGTGAGCTGCAGGCACCTGCCACTGTGCAGAGCCTGGGGCTGCTGGGCGACCGGCTATGTGTGGGCGCCGCCGGTGGCTTTGCACTCTACCCGCTGCTCAACGAGGCTGCGCCGTTGGCGCTGGGGGCCGGTTTGGTGCCTGAGGAGCTGCCACCATCCCGCGGGGGCCTGGGTGAGGCACTGGGTGCCGTGGAGCTTAGCCTCAGCGAGTTCCTGCTACTCTTCACCACTGCTGGCATCTACGTGGATGGCGCAGGCCGCAAGTCTCGTGGCCACGAGCTGTTGTGGCCAGCAGCGCCCATGGGCTGGGGTAAGGCCTGCTGAGGGCTTGGCAGGGGGGCCAGGCACCTTCAGTGGGTGGGTGAAGACAGGGTCCCGCCTCAACTCATGAGCCTGGCATTGGAGGCCTTTGGTGCCAGTTTGCATCCTCCAGCCCAACAACACCCTGTCCCACCCTCTGTGGCTTGCAGGGGACCTTCCTTTTCCATGGCTGAGCTCATGCTCCTCTCCTGCCTGAGCCGCTCTCCTTTTGTTTCTATCTAGCAAACTTTTTTTTTCTTTTGAGACAGGGTCTCTGTCTGTCACCAGGCTGGAGTACAGTGGCACAATCTCGACTCACTGCCACCTCCGCCTCCTGGGGTCAAGTGATCCTCCCACCTCACCCTCTCGAGTAACTGGGGGCACAGGTGTGTGCCATCACGCCTGGCTAATTTTTGTTTTGTTTTGTTTGAGACAGAGGAGTCTCACTCTGTCGCCAGGCTGGAGTGCAGTGGTGTGATCTCGGCTCACTGCAACCTTTGCTTCCCGGGTTCAGGTGATTCTCCTGCCTCAGCCTCCCTAGTAGCTGGGACTACAGGTGCACGCCACCACACCCAGCTAATTTTTGTATTTTTAGTGGAGACGGGGTTTCACCATGTTGGCCAGGCTGGTCTCAAACTCCTGACCAAGTGATCCACCTGCCTTGGCCTCCCAAAGTGCTGGGATTACAGGCGTTAGCCAACGCGTCCAGCCTAATTTTTGTATTTTTTCAGAGATGGGGTTTCGCCATATTGCGCAGGCTGGGAGTCTCAAACTCCTGAACTCAAGCAATCCTCCCGCGCGGCCTCCCAAAGTGCTGGGATTACAGGTGTGAGCCACCGGCCCCGGCCTGTACCTGGCAAACTCTTAACTAGGTACCACCCCAGTGTCAGCTCAGGGCCTGGAGCTGGTAGGCGCTCCAAAGATAACCGCTGCGATTGCTGTGGTCACCATTGCCTTCGTGCTCCCCGCCCTGCTTCCCCGTCATTGGTCCTTTCCTTCTCTTTGCCCCACTCTCTCTCCGTCCAGACCTGTGTCACGGCTCTCATCGCCTCCACTTCATGACTGGCTTGGTGCACTGGGGTCCCACAGAATGGGCCGGGGCTGGTTTCCTCATCCACATCAAGCCCCCAGCCCAGGGTGGCACACTCCAGGGGCGATGGGCTTGGAGGAATGAGTGGAAGAGTGAATGAATGAATGAATGAGGCAGTGGGGCAGTCTGGTGCATGCACAAGTAACTAGCATGATGGGTAAGGGCTGGAAGAGAGGGGCAGAGTGTCCTTCGTGAGCAATGGCTCTTTGGGGTGGGGCCTGCAGGTTGGGTGCCGCATATCACCCAAGCTGCCCAGGGCCAAATCGCAGCTCTCAGGACCAGCTGAGTGACCTGACCTTGACCATCACATGGCTCCAGGGGTTCCATTCCCTCATCTGGAAATTAGGGATTATAACAGTAGTACTTGCTCAGAGTTGTTAGAAAATTAAGGCAGGAAAAGCATGTCGTGTTTAGAACTGAGCCAGGCATGTGGTGAGTGGTCCAGGGTTATCTCTGATTTGATGTGGAGGCTGGGCCGGGCGACAGGGAGTCTTCAGAGGAAGGACCTTAGCGTGGGGCATGGTAGTTACTGTGCTGTGGCAGGGGACAAGGTGTTCCCTGTGGAACAGAGGGGGAAACAGCTCAGAGGTGCCTGGCGTGCCCGCAGGGTATGCGGCCCCCTACCTGACAGTGTTCAGCGAGAACTCCATCGATGTGTTTGACGTGAGGAGGGCAGAATGGGTGCAGACCGTGCCGCTCAAGAAGGTGAGGGTCCGCCAGAGCCCTGGGGTAGCGCCGGGGGTGGAGGCGTGGCCTGACCGCTGTGCCTGCTGCCTCAGGTGCGGCCCCTCAATCCAGAGGGCTCCCTGTTCCTCTACGGCACCGAGAAGGTCCGCCTGACCTACCTCAGGAACCAGCTGGCAGGTGAGGGAGTGCGTGTGTACGGGTGTGTGCGTTCCCCAGTGCGCACGTGTGGCTGTGTGGCCCTGAATGCCAGCTGACTGGGCCCCGGGAATGTGTGAGCACAGCCCAGCTCTCCACTTCTCCCACAGAGAAGGACGAGTTCGACATCCCGGACCTCACCGACAACAGCCGGCGCCAGCTGTTCCGCACCAAGAGCAAGCGCCGCTTCTTTTTCCGCGTGTCGGAGGAGCAGCAGAAGCAGCAGCGCAGGTGCGCGTGCACGACGCGGGGGCTGAGGCTGGGTGGGGCCGCCTCCGCTTGTGGACGGGTCGAAGGGAGGGTGGAGCTTCGCCACCCACTACTTACACCTCCGCCCACAGGGAGATGCTGAAGGACCCTTTTGTGCGCTCCAAGCTCATCTCGCCGCCTACCAACTTCAACCACCTAGTACACGTGGGCCCTGCCAACGGGCGGCCCGGCGCCAGGGACAAGTCCCCGGTTAGTCCTCTGGAGCCAATCACAAGCCACTTTGGTGAGGCTGAGCCAATAACCGGCCTCTGTGGTGAGCTCTAGCCAATCACGGGCCGCTGTAATTACTCCTAAGGCCTGGGACTCACACTTCTGCTACCTGGGACTTAAGTAAAACCAGGCTGGGGGCCCAGTGGCGTTCATTTGTCCTGGTCTGTTGTGCCTTGGGCCTCTTGTCCTCCTTGTGCCTGCTAGTCCCAGCCCCTCCGCACTGTCACCCAACAGGCTCCCGAAGAGAAGGGCCGAGTTGCCCGCGGCTCCGGCCCACAGCGGCCCCACAGCTTCTCCGAGGCGTTGCGGCGCCCAGCCTCCATGGGCAGCGAAGGCCTCGGTGGAGACGCAGACCCCAGTAAGGGCAGCCCCTCAGCCTCCAGTGTGCCACCCCCCACCCCAAGTTTCTACCCCCTTTGGATCCCTGAAATCTGATCTTGGTATTTTTGTCTCCTCGTCTGCTGCTGGAGCAGTGAAGAGGAAACCCTGGACATCCCTGTCCAGCGAGTCTGTGTCCTGCCCCCAGGGATCGCTGAGCCCTGCAACCTCCCTAATGCAGGTGAGCGGGTCCGGGAGGCTTGTCCGTCCCCTATTCAAACGTCAGGCAGTTCCGTTTTATGCTAGGCCTTGCACAGTGACCTAGGCTAGGGAACAAGCTGAGCCCATCCCTGCCCTCGATTCTACGAGATGCAGATTCTTACCTGTCTCACCCCACCAGTGGGCACCAGCAGGATCCTGGATGCAGGCCAGCCTAGGTGGGAATCTTGGCTCTGACTGTTCCAGCTGTGTGGCTCTGGGCAAAATGCCCAACCTCCCTGATCTTGTCTTACCTGTAAAATGATGTGGTTTCTGGGAGGCCTGCATGAGCTGATGATACCTGCGAAGGGCTCAGCATAGTACCTGGCATGGGGAAGGTGCCACAGAAGGGGAGCTCTTGGGATTCTTTTTTTTTTTTTTTTTTCCAGATGGAGTCTCACTCTGTCACCCAGACTGGAGTGCAGTGGCACAATCTCGGTCAGTGCAACCCCCACCTCCCACATTTGAGCAAGTCTCCTACCTCAGCCTCTCCCAAGTCGCTGGTATTACAGGCATGCATCACCATGCCCAGCTAATTCTTGTATTTTAAGTAGAGATGGGGTTTCATTATGTTGGCCAGGCTGGTCTCGAACTCCTGACCTCAAGTGATCCGCCCACCTTGGCCTCCCAAAGTGTTGGGATTACTGATGTGAGCCACCATGCCCGGCCACTCTTGGGATTCTTAATAGAGGCCCAGTCCACAGCAGGGAGTTGGGGGGTCAGAGGAGGGAGCAGTCCATTCTGAATGAGGGCAGGGGAAAACCTAAGAGAAGCCAGGGAGGTTCCCATTCCCCCTGCAGCCACGTCTACAGCACACACATCCACCCACTCCCGTCACACCAGGCCACTTGGAGCCCTGGGGCTTGCCATGTTCTTCCACACCTGCAGGCTCTTGCCCCTGCAGTCCCCTCTGTTTTGAATGCCTTTTCTCTATCTTCACCTTAACCAACATCAGACTGCCCTCCAGGTGACCCACCAGGATCATCTTCAAAGGAGCCTTCCTGGCCGCTTGGTCAGGTAGTCATTGCCTCCCTGGGGCTGGTGCCACCTTTGCCACCCCGCTCCCTCCACACCTTCCTTGCAGCTTCTGCTGTGCTGTGGGTTTCTTCTGGTGCCTGTTCTCCTCTGTTGACTGTGGGCTCCTTGGTGGTGGGGGTCAGGCTTCATTCTTCTGCCCAGAGTAAAGCATGTGGTCGACTGAAGGAAGAATGGAGTGAATGAACAAAGGGACTTTGAGGCTGGGCGCTGTGGCTCACCCCTGTAATCGCAGCACTTTGGGAGGCTGAGGCAGGCAGATCACTTGAGGTCAAGAGTTCAAGACCAGCCTGGCCAACATGGTGAAACCCTGTCTCTACTAAAAATACAAAAATTAGCTGGGCCTGGTGGTGCATGCTTGTAATCCCAGCTACCTGGTGGGCCGAGGCAGGAGAATCACTTGAACCTGGGAGGCGGAGGTTGCAGTGAGCCAAGATCATGCCACTGCATTCCAGCCTCCAGAGCGAGACTCTGTCTCCAAAAAAAAAAACGAAAAACAAAAATTAACTAGGCATGGTGGTGCATGCCTGTCATCCCAGCTACCTGGGAGGCAGAGGCAGGAGAATCACTAGAACCTGGGAGGCAGAGGTTGCAGTGAGCCAAGATCATGCCATTATTGCACTCCAGGCTAGGCGACAGAGCAAGACTCTGTCTCAGAAAAAAAGAAAAAAAAAAGGACTTTGAGTCCATTCAAAGTTAAGTAGGAGCTCTCCAGGTTCTTCCAGTGACCCATTTACCACCTCTACTCCTCACCTCACATCTGGCTTCCTCCAGGGGCCCTGATACAGTGGGTGATGGGTCCTAAGGGGGCCTCCAGGACCCACCAGCCCTATGAGGAAAGAGTTCTTCCTGATCCTACCCCTTGACTTCCTTTTCTTTCTCCTGCAGGTCTCAGAACGGCCCCGAAGCCTCCCCCTATCCCCTGAATTGGAGAGCTCTCCTTGATGCCCTCTGTTAGGGCCCACCCCAATCCCAGGGCAGAAGGACATGAGGGAGCAAAGAGCTTGAGGAATGCCATACTCCGGCTGGTCCGGGACATGGAAATTCGGACTCAGGGAGGACCCGGGCTGGGCAATGACTGGGAGACTTGCCTGGGTTCCCAGGACTTGGGGGTCCTGACTCCCAGCCCTCATCCTGCCTTACCCCTCTGTTCCCAGCCCCAGCCTTTCTAAGCCATTGGGAATAGAATGGCCCCTTTTGTTCTGGTGTCCAGGGGTGATTGTGCCAAAGCTCTTATTTCCAGTGCCAAGCCCCCAGAGGCTTGTAAGAGTTGGGATGAGGGATGGAGAGGGACTGGGTCTCTGGGAACAGGTTGGAGGTCTTATCTGTGGACTGTCTGACTCCCAGCTGAGGCCAAGATGGGGCATGTCCCCGTCTCTGCTTAGCGTCTGGGTGAGAAAAACAGGCTGTGATCCAGAAGAAGGGAAGATAGAGAAGGAGGGAAAGGATGTAGGCGAAGGAGGTGAGAGACAGGATAGGAGGAAGGAAGTGGAGGAGGAGGTGATAGGAATTGGAAGGAGGTAGAAGCCGTGCAGAGGAAGAGGGGAGAGGGACGAAGGAGGAGCGATGAAGAAGAGGAGGGAGACAAAAAGAGGGATGGAGGAGAGAGGGAGTCTGGAGAACAAAGGGTCCTTTCTCTGGGGAGGGGTGCAGTGGGCGGGGCTGACACTGTCAGCCAATCCTCCCATCGGGGAAGAGAATCCTGGACAGGGACAGGATGGGGAGGGTATTTATAAGGGCTTTTTGGTGGGAGATGGGTACCCAGTGGGGGCCACTGGAGGGTCTCCGGGCACACTCTGGCCCTTCCCAGAAAGGGGGTCGTTTTTCTCGAATCTTCAACCAGTTGTGTATTGGAAACTAGGGCGCATTTTACTATTGATCACAGTCATTATATTGTTATTATATTACTATTTTTATTAAACCTCCCCCCACTGAAGTGTGGGGGGCAAAATAAGTATTTATCTCCTCAAATGCCACATTCCCAGGAGGGACAGACCCTGATGCTCTGTGAGGCGCAAGAAACCAATAAAGATGCCGGGCGCGGTGGCTCACGCCTGTAATCCCAGCACTTTGGGAGGCCGAGGCGGGCAGATCCCGAGGTCAGGAGATTGAGACCATCCTGGCTAACACGGTGAAACCCCATCTCTACTAAAAATACAAAAAATTAGCCGGGCGTGGTGACGGGTGCCTGTAGTCCCTGCTACTCGGGAGGCTGAGGCAGGAGAATGGCGTGAACCCGGGAGGCGGAGCTTGCAGTGAGCCGAGATCGCGCCACTGCACTCCAGCCTGGGTGACAGAGTGAGACTCCGTCTCAAAAAAAAAAAAAAAGAAAAGAAAAGGAAACCAATAAAGACAGCTTTGTAAGCTGCTGGCCTCCTTGCCTGGATCTGTCCTCTTGGGGTTCAGAAGGTGGGAGATTAGGAATGGAGGGAACAGTGGGGGTGTCACAGACAGTTAAAGGCCAGATTGTCTTCCCTGCCTTTTCAGGAATCAGGTGACATTCAAATGGGGTAAATGAAGGGACTTAACTAACGAAGGGCAGTTTACAGAAGCATGCACAGTGCTAAGGGAACACACCAATGAATGGCAGTGCCTCAGGGCCCGGGCAGCAGAGAGGAGCTCTTAGGACCCCCAGGCCACCCAGGCAGGAAGAGGCAGTGGTGCTACCCGACAGGAGCTCTAGCTTTTGGTAAAACTTGACCATGGCTGAGCTGAAAGGCAGCCTAGGAAATAAATTCCTCCGCCTCACTCCCTCCCATTTTCTGCCTCCCTTTGTCCAAATTCAACCAGCAGCCAGAGGCTCCAAGAATTCAGTGAACTGGCTGGGCACGGTGGCTCAAGCCTGTA
Source organism: Homo sapiens (assembly GCF_000001405.40). Lineage (NCBI taxonomy): Eukaryota > Metazoa > Chordata > Mammalia > Primates > Hominidae > Homo > Homo sapiens. The sequence goes on along the minus strand of NC_000011.10, from coordinate 64,822,570 downwards.
ATCCCAGCACTTTGGAAGGCCAAAGCGGGCGGACTGTGCCACCGCACTCCAGCCTGAGTGACAGAGCAAGACTCTGTCTCAAAAAAAAAGGAAAAAAAAGTCGTGGCTTGGTGGCTCACACCTGTAATCCCAGTACTTTGGGAGGCCTAGGCAGGTGGATCACCTGAGGTCGGGAGTTTGACATCAGCCTGGCCAACATGGTGAAACTCCATCTCTACTAAAAATACAAAAATTAGCCGGGCATCGTGGCGGGCACCTGTAATCCCAGCTACTTGGAAGGCTGAGGCAGGAGAGTCGCTTGAACCCAGGAGGCGGAGGTTGCAGTGAGCCGAGATCGCGCCATTGCACTCCAGCCTGGGCAACAAGAGTGAAACTCCCGTCTCAAGAAAAAAAAAAAACTCAGTAACTGTAGGTTGTAGTGGGCAGTCTTGGCACAGAGCAGGGTGGAGAAGGGGGAAGTGGATCCGAAGGGCACACCATGGGTATCCAGTGCCCTGCTGCCCACCCAGGTGAGGCTGATGAAGAGGGAGCAGGGGAAGGTCTGGGAGGGGTTTCACTTATTCTTGGCTGGGGTGTCCAAGACTTAGCAGGACCCAGGCCTCAAGGCTGGGCTGAATGGGGAAGGAGGGGAAGGAGTGTGCCCTAGCTTCAGGGCACGCCTGGGGCAGCCAATGGCTATGCTCTGAGGCTTATGGCAGGCCCTAAAGCTAGGGGAAAGTACTGAAAAGAGACGGGGCCACTACGTGGTTGGGAATGGGGATTGGAGGGTGTCTGGAATTCTAGGGCCTGGTTAGGGGCCCAGGCATGAGAGTCAGGCAGCCTGGATTCTGGTCTAGCTATGCAGCCACAGGCAAGTTACCTGGCCTTAGTTTCCGCATCTGTAAATGGGAATCGTAAAACCTATCTCAGGGCTGGCACGGTGGCTCACGCCTATAATCCCAGCACTTTGGGAGGCCGAGGTGGGCGGATGAGTTCAAAACTAGCCTGGCCAACATGGTGAAACCCCGTCTCTACTAAAAATACAGAAATTAGCCGGGTGTGGTGGTGTGCACCTGTAATCCCAGCTACTCAGGAGGCTGAGGCAGGAGAATGGCTTAAACCCAGGAGGCAGAGGTTGTGGTGAGCTGAGATCGCGCCACTGCACTCCAGCCTGGGTGGTAGAGCAAGACTCTGTCTCAAAATAAAATAAAACTTATCACAGGCTGGCTGAAGTGGCTCACACCTATAATCTTAGCACTTTGGGAGGCTGAGGTGGGAGGATCTCTGGAGACCAGGAGTTTGAGGCTGCAGTGAGCTATGTTTGCACCACTGCACTCCAGCCTGGGCAACAGAGAAAGACCCTGCCTCAAACAAACAAACAACAAAAACAAAACAAAACAAAAAAACTATCTCATGGGAGGTTCTGGTGAGACGAGTAAGATCATGGTGGAAAATGCCTTCGGCCCACTCAGGAAATATTCTTCGGCCTACTGAGGTGCAGAGACTCAAAGAGAGAGCCCTGTATGGAGATACTCAGGCCTGTGGCAAGCTGAGACCTGGAGCTGTCCCTCACTAAACTGGAGAAACGGCTGCTTCCCAGTGCCCAGCAGTAATTCAGCCAAAAGACTTTCAGATGTACAAATTTTTACACTTCTAAAAAATTAATTTTCTCCCAATATTTTATGTTAACTTTCTTTTTTTTTTTTTGAGACAGAGTCTCACTCTGTTCCCCAGGCTGGAGTGCAGTGGCGTGATCTCGGCTCACTGCAAGCTCCGCCCCCTGGGTTCATGCCATTCTACTGCCTCAGCCTCCCAAGTAGCTGGGACTACAGGCACCTGCCACCGTGCCCGGCTATTTTTTTGTATTTTTAGTAGAGACGGGGTTTCACCGTGTTAGCCCGAATGGTCTGGATATCCTGACCTCGTGATCCGCCCGCCTCGGCCTCCCAAAGTGCTGGGATTACAGGCGTGAGCCACCGCACCCGGCCTATGTTAAATTTCAAACCTGCAGAAAGATGGAAAGAATATGAACTCCGGCCAGGCACTGGCTCACGCCTGTAATCCCAGCACTTCGGGAGGCTGAGGCAGGCAGATCACCTGAGGCTGGGAGTTCAACATCGGCCTGGCCAACATTGTGAAACCTCATCTCTGCTAAAAATACAAAAACTAGCTGAGCATGGTGGTGCGCACCTGTAATCCCAGCTACTCAGGAAGCTGAGGCAGGATAATCACTTGAACCAGGGAGGTGGAGGCTGCAGTGAGCTGAGATCGTGCCACTGCACTCCAGCCTGGGCGACAGAGCAAGAATCCATCTCTAAATAAATAAATAAATAAAAATTTAAAAAGGCCTGACGTGGTGGCTTACGCCTGTAATCCTAGCACTTTGGGAGGCTGAGATGGGTGGATCACCTGAGGTCAGGAGTTCAAGACTAGCCTAGCCAGCATGGTGAAACCCTGTCTCTACTAAAAACATAAAAAAAAAATTAGCCAGGGCGGGTGGCGGGCGCCTGTAATCCCAGCTACTTGGGAGGCTGAGACAGGGGAATCACTTGAACCTGGGAGGCGGAAGTTGCAGTGAGCTGAAATCCCACTACTGCACTCCAGTCTGGGCAACAGAGTGAGACTCCATCTTAAAAAAAAAAAAAAAAAAGGCCGGGTGCGGTGGCTCACGCCTGTAATCCCAGCACTTTGGGAGGCCGAGGCGGGTGAATCACGAGGTCAGGAGATGGAGACCATCCTGGCTAACACAGTGAAACCCCATCTCTACTAAAAATACAAAAAATTAACTGGGCGTGGTGGCGGGCACCTGTAGTCCCAGCTACTCGGGAGGCTGAGGCAGGGGAATGGCGTGAACCTGGGAGGTGGAGCCTGCAGTGAGCCGAGATCGTGCGACTGCACTCCAGCCTGGGCGATAGAGTGAGACTCCATCTCAAAAAAAAAAAAAAAAAAAAAAAAAAAAAAACTCCATATACTCTTCCCCTAGATCCACCAATAAACATTTTGCTGCTTCTGCTTCCTATCTATATAGCATGTATTTTGCTAAACCATTGAAAGTAAGTTGCAGACATCTTGAATCTCACATCTAAATATTTCAGCAATTATGTCTTAAGAATAAGAAGCCAGGCCTGGTACAGTGACTCACACCTGTAATCACAACACTTTGAGAGGCTGAGGCAGGAGGATTGCTTGAGCCCAGAGTTCGAGACCAGCCTAGGCAATATAGCGAGACTCTGTCTCTACAAAAAGTAAAAAATTGGCCATGACAATTAATTTATGTTGTTTAAGTCACCTACTTTGTGGTACAGTTGTGTCAAAAATGTTATTTGGCAAGGTACCGTAGCTCACGCCTGTAATCTCAGCGCTTTGGGAGGCCAAGGTGGGAGGATCACTTAAGGCCAGGAATTTGAGATCAGCCTGCACAACATGGCACGACCCTGTTGCCTAACATGGCCCTGTCACCCAGGCTGGAGTGCAGTGGTGCAATCATAGTTCATTGTGGTCTTGAATTACTGGGCTCAAGTGATCCTCCTGCCTCAGCCTCCCAACTAGCTGGGATTACAGGCCCATGCCTGGTGGATTTTTTTCTTTTTTTTTTTTTTTTTGTAGAGACAAGGTCTTATTATGTTGCCCAGGTTGGTCTTGAACTCCTGACCTCAAGTGACTCTCCTCAAGAGCCTCGGCCTCCCAAAAGTGCTGGGACTACAGGAGTGGGCCATTGCACCTGATCTAGATTAAACTTTGTTTTTATTTATTTATTTTTCCATTGCCCCCTAGATTAAACTTTTTAAGTCAAGAATATTACCTAGCTGGGCACGGTGGCTCACGCCTGTAATCCCAGCACTTTGGGAGGCTAAGGCGGGCAGATCACAAGGTCAGGAAATTGAGACCATTCTGGCCAACATGGTGAAACCCAATCTCTACTAAAAATACAAAAATTAGCTGGGCATGGTGGCACGTGCCTGTAGTCCCAGCTACTCGGGAGGCTGAGTCAGGAGAATCGCTTGAACCCAGGAGGCGGAGCTTGCAGTGAGCCGAGATCGTGCCATTTCACTCCAGCCTGGCGAACAGAGTGAGACTCTATCTCAAAAAAAAAACAAAAAACAAAACAAAAAAAAAGAATATACCTAGCTGGTGTTATTTTAAATTAATTTTAATTACAACAATACACAAAATTTTTTGGAAAAGAAATTAGGGGCCGAATTCCCCTTTGACTCCCTCCCCTCCACCCATGAGATGACTTTCTCTTAGCTTGTTCAATGCATACCCATATTGGCGATGTCCAGAGGGACCACCCTCCCAGGGCCTCCTTGTCTTTAGCAGCAGAAATCCCACTGGAGCTTCAGACCCTTCCATCCCCTGTCCTCACACTCACAGCTGGGCCCCCCAACCCCCAGCCAACCTCGAGACCCTCAGAAGTGGTCTTGCCCTTTATTGCTGTGTGTCATTTCACCACAGGAGGCTCAGATGTTCCAGGGACAACTCCGGCCATCCCCTTTTCTGACTCCATCTCCACCCCTCCCCAGCTCCTGGCAGATGTCCTCTGTTCCCTCTGGGGGTGATGGTCCATCGTTAGCAAAATCTCCTGGTCTTCACTACCTTCTCCAGACAGTTCCTATCCCTCCTGCTCTAGCAGAAACCTTGGACTCCTGAGGTCACCACCACTCCTGTCTCCCCCGCAACCCCCCGCAGGCTCTCCTGCACCCCTCCTGCGATGGGCCTGGAAGAGTTGGGGTAGGCATCCTCCATAATCCCTCATCACTTATAGACATTCTGCTCCCTCCTCTTTTGCTTTCCTTTTTATTTTTTTTCTGCCCAAGATAGTACTTCACCTCCTCCTTTCAAACACTCAGGTTTGAACTCCAGTTATCAGCTGATGCCACCCACTTGGTTTCTGACATCTCCCAACCCATGACGGCCCAGTTCTAGATCATTTTAGTTCCTGGCTTGCCATCACTCCAACCTACTTCTGTCTTAATTCTTAGACATGTTGATATCTATGCTGGGCCTCCCAGTTCCTTGAAGCCCTCTTCCCACTGGATCTTGTCGTCTATCCTACCTCAGCCACTCACTCCCACAGTCATCCTGGAGAGCCGCACTGTCCTATACAGGAGCCCAGCCACACATGGCCACGGAGCACTGCATCTCTCCCGAATTGAGATATGCTGTGAGTGCAAAACACATACTAGATTTCAAACAGTCTGTGTGAAAGAATTGTAAATTATCATTAATAATTTTTATTATTTTATTTATTTATATATTTTGAGATGGGGTCTGGCTCTGTCACCTAGGCTGGAGTGCAGTGGCATGATCTTGGCTCACTGCAACCTCCGCCTCCTGGGTTCAAGCGATTCTCATGCCTCAGCCTCCCGAGTAGCTGGGATTACAGGCGCATGCCACCACACCTGGCTAATTTTTTTGTATTTTTAGTAGAGATGGGGTTTCACCATGTTGGTGAGGCTGGTCTTGAACTCCTGACCTCAGGTGATCCACCAGCCTCACCCTCCCAAAGTGTTGTGATTACAGGCATGAGCCACTGCGCCCGACAATAATTTTTTTTTTTTAGATGGAGTCTGGCTCTGTAGCCCAGGCTGGAGTGTAGTGGCGTGATCTCGGCTCACTGCAAGCTCCACCTCCCGGGTTTAAGCAATTCTTCTGCCTCAGCCTCCTGAGTAGCTGGGACTACAGGAGCCCACCACCACACCCAGCTAATTTTTTATATTTTTAGTAGAGATGGGGTTTCACCATGCTAGCCAGGATGGTCTCGATCTCCTGACCTCGTGATCCGCCCACCTCGGCCTCCCAAAGTGCTGGGATTACAGGCATGAGCCACTGCGCCTGCCCCAATAATTTTTATATTTATTACAAATTGAAATCGCATTTTCAGATATATTGGGTTAAACAAGATATAGGATTAAAATTAATTCCACCTCTGTCTTCTTTTATTTTTATTTTTATCTTTTTGAAGACAGGGTCTCACTCTGTTGCCCAGGCTTCAGTGCAGTGGCGTGATCATGGCTCACTGCATCACTGCAGCCTCCAGCTCCTGGGCTCAAGTGGTCCTCCAGTCTCAGCCTCCTGACCTGAGTAATCGGGACCACAGGTGTGAGCACTTGGCTAACTTTTGGGGTTGTTAGAGACAGGGTTTCACTATATTGCCCAGCCTGGTCTTGAACTCCAGGACTCAAACGATCCTCTTGCCTCAGCTTCCCAAAGTGCTGGGATTACAGGCATGAGCCACTGTGCCCGGCTTCTTACTTTTAAAAATGTAGCTACTTAAATTAGCTGGGCATGGTGGCACACACCTATAATCCCAGCTACTCAGGAGGCTGAGGCAGAATTGCTTGAACCCAGGAGGCGGAGGTTGTAGTGAGCCAAGATCGTGCCAATGCACTCCAGCCTGGGCGACAGAGTGAGACTGTGTCTCAAAAAAAAAAAAAAGTAGCTGCTAGAAATGCCAAAATCGTATTGTGGCTCATGTTATATTTCTGTTGAAAGCTCTGCTCTAGATCTTTTCTTTGCCAATAATGACAACCCCCTCCCCATAATTTCAATCTCAAGCATCCTACTCTCTCTTTTTTTTTTTTTTTTTTTGAGACAGAGTCTCGTTCTGTCACCCAGGCTGGAGTGCAGTGGAACGATCTCAGCTCACTGCAACCTCCGCCTCCCGGGTTCAAGCGATTCTCCTGCCTCAGCTTCCCGAGTAGCTGGGATTACAGGCGCCCACCACCACCCCCGGCTAATTTTTCAACCGCCTCAGTTAAGTGCTGGGATTACAGGTGTGAGCCACTGCCCCTGGCCAAGCATCCTACTCTCTAACCAACACCACTCTCTTTCCAGCCCACTCTAGCACCCCAACTCGAATTGACGGTTGACCCCACAGAAACCTGCAATCCATTGATATTACTACACATTTGCTGTCTGTCACCCTTCTCTTGTCCTTACATGCCTCCTCACACAGCCTACATTCCAGGTCAATCATTAATCATGACTGCTTTGGCCAGGTGCAATGGCTCATGCCTGTAATCCCAACACTTTGGGAGGCCGAGGCAGATGGATCACCTGAAGTCAGGAGTTTGAGACCACCCTGGCCAACATGGCAAAGCCCTGTCTCTACTAAAAATACAAAAATTAGCCGGGCATGGTGGCGGGCACCTGTAATTCCAGATACTCGGGAGGCTGAGGCAGGAGAATCACATGAATCCGGGAGGTGGAGGTTGCAGTGAGCTGAGATTGTGCCACTGCACTGCAGCCTGGGAGACAGAGGGAGACTCCATCTCAAAAAAAATAAAAATAAAAATAAAAAAACAATAGAAAAATAAAAACAAACAAAAACCCTACTGCTTTGCATGCATGCGTGTATTCTTTAGCAAATATTTGTTGAACACCTATTATGTGCCAGACACTATTCTAGGCCCAGGGGACACATCAGTGAACACGGCAGACACATTTCCTGTCCTGTAGAGCTTATCTTCTGGTGGTAGGGGACAAACAATAAATAAATCAGGCCAGGCATGGTGACTCATTCCTGTAATCCCAGCACTTCGGAGGCTGAAGTGGAAGGACCACCTTGAGCCCAGGAGGTCAAAGCTGCAGTGAGCCATGGTTGCACTACTGCACACCAGCCTGGGCAACAGAGCGAGACCTGTCTCAAAACAGAGAAACAAAGTGGTCATATCATATGTTAGAATAGTGGTTCTCAAGCTGGGGCTATTTTGGCATCCCAGGGGACATTTGGCAACATCTGGAGACATCTTTAGTTGTCCCCACTGCGGGAGCTGAACTGGTGGCATCCAGTGGGTAGAAACCACAGATGCTGCTCGTCATCCTACAATGCACAGGACAGCCCCAGTCACAGAATTACCCGACCTCAAGCGTCAACAGTGCCTCCTTCCAGAGCCCCTGTCTAGAAGGTGTTAATGCTAACAAAGCAAACAAACAAACAACAACAACAACAACAAAAAAAACGTAGAGCGGGCTGGCCGCGGTGGCTCATGCCTGTAATCCCAGCACTTAGGGAGGCTGAAGTGGGCGGATCACCTGAGGTCAGGAGTTTGAGACCAGCCTGGCCAACATGGCAAAACCCCATCTCTCCAAAAAAACACAAAAATTAGCCAGGTGTGGTGGCGTGCACCTGAAGTGCACCTGAAGAGGCCGAGGCAGGAGAATTGCTTGAACCTGGGAGGCAGAGGTTGCGGTGAGCCAAGGTCGAGCCACTGCACTCCAGCCTGTGTGACAGGGTGAGACTCCGTTTCAGAAAAACAAAACAAAAAGAAAAAAAATATATAAAGCAGGGTTGAGGGATGGATAGAGGAATTTCGAGTGGAGGGTGTGATTTGAAGTAGAATGGTCAGGTCTGTGTCAGCCTTTTTGAGGTGACGTTTGAGCAATATTGTGAAGGTGGGGAACCCGGTAGACATCTGGAGAGAAGATGGTAACCCACTGGGCTTCCTATTTCACTGAGAAAATCTAATTACCCACCACATATGCCCAGGTAGTAGGCCTTCTTTCCAGTCCTTGCGAATAAACTGCCTGTGCTCCTAGCCAAGGCCAAACCTGCCACTCAAGAATGCATTCCCACTCTCTGTCCAAGGCCATCGCTCCCGCAATTCTCTTATTAACCAGCAATAATCTATTTGACCCCCCTCTTCTCTAGCTATTTAATGCACTCTCATTTTCCTCCTTCCCTTTGCTGCAAAGATCCCAAAAGACTTCTGTATTATCACTGTCTCCAATTTCTTTCCTCCCATTGGTCCTGAGCCCAAGCCTACAAGACTTTTGCTCCCAAAGAGCCTTTTATTTTTTAATTTTTTTTTTTTTATTTGAGACAGAGTCTCGCTCTGTCACCCAGGCTGGAGTGCAGTGGCGCGATCTTGGCTCACTCCAACCTCCACTTCCCGGGTTCAAGCGATTCTCCTGCCTCAGCCTCCTGAATAGCTGGGATTACAGGCACGTGCCACCACACCTGGCTAATTTTTGTATTTTTAGTAGAGACGGGGTTTTGCCATGTTGGCCAGGCTGGTCTCAAACTCCTGACCTCAAGTGATCCGCCCACCTCGGCTTCCCAAAGTGCTGGGATTACAGGCGTGAGCCACCGTGCCCAGTCTGGCTTTTGTTTTTGTTGTTGTTGTTTTTAGGGACAGGATCTCACTGTGTTACTCAGGCTGGAATACAGTGGTGCGATCACAGCTCACTGCAGCCTCGAACTCCTGCCTGAGCTTCCTGAGTAGCTGGGACTACATGGTGCACACCACTGTGCCTGGCTAATTTAAAATAATTTTTTTTTTTTTTTTTTTTTTTTTTTTTGTAGAGGCAGGGTCTTGCTTTGTTGCTCAGGCTGGTCTGGAACTTTTGGCCTCAAGCAGTCTTCCTGCCTTGGCATGTCAAAGCCCTGGGATTACAGGTGTGAGCCACTGAGCTTAGCTTTGACTGTTTTTGAAACACAAAGTGGCTAAAGCCTGTAATGCCACCACTTCTGGAAGGCTGAGGTAGGTAGATCACCTAAGGCCAGGTGTTCAAGACCAGCCTGGCCAACATGGTGAAACCCCATCTCTACTAAAAATACAAAAACTAGCCGTGTGTGGTGGCGGGTGCCTGTAATCCCAGCTACTCGGGAGGCTGAGACAAGAGAATCACTTAAACCTGGGAGGCAGAGGTTGCAGTGAGCCAAGATCGTGCCATTGCTCTCCAGCCTGGGCGACAGAGCGACTCTGTCTCAAAAATAAATAAATAAATAAATAAATTAATTAATTAATTAAATTAAATTAAACTCAAAGTCGCATACTCCCGAGTTGCCTCAGTTCTGGGCCAGCTTGGAAGGCTGGTTACCCTGTTTACTAGTTTTTCTACTGATGTCCTTTTTCTGTTCCAGGATTTGATCCAGAACACCACATTGCATTTAGTTGTTCTGTCTCCTTGGTCTCTCATCTGCAATGATTTGTGGGTCTTTCCTTATCTTTCATGACCTTGGCTCTTTTGATTTCTTTTGTTTTTTGTTTCTGAGGCGGGGTCTCACTGTGTTGCCCACGCTGGAGTGCACTGGCGTGACAGCTCACTGCAGTCTTGACCTCCTGGGCTCACATAATCCTCCTGCCTCAGCCTTCTGAGTAGCTGGGACTACAGGTGAGCACCACCACACCTGGTCAATTTTTTGTTTTTGTAGAGTCCGGGTCTCCCTATGTTGCCCGGGCTGGTCTTGAACTCCTGGCCTCAAGCAATCCTCCTGCTTCAGCTTCCCAAAGTGTTGTAATTACAGGCATGAGCCTGGCATGAACTTGACACTATTGAGATATACTGGTCAGGTATTTTGTGGAATGTCCCTCAACTCTGTTTTGCCAGATGTTTTCTCATGATTAGAGGAGAGTTATAAATTTTGAGGAAAATCCAGAGAGGTGAAGAGGTGAAGTAGGGCAGAAATTTAATCTGTTTTATTTACTGCTATATACCGAGTGTCTGGAACTTGGCCCATGGTAAGTACCAAAAATCTGTTTTTTTTGAATGAATAAGCAAATAAATGAGTGACCGTGGAAATTTAGTATTATTTCAAAGTTTCAAAGCGTTGTTGATACAGGCCAGGCACAGTGGCTCACACCTGTAATCCCAGCACTTTTGGAGGCCGAGGTAGGAGGATCACTTGAGGTCAGGAGTTCGAGACCAGCCTGACCAACATGGTGACACCCCTGTCTCTACTAAGTAAAATACAAAAATTAGCCAAGTGTGGTGGCAGGCACCTGTAATCCCGGCTACTTGGGAAGCTGAGGCAGAAGAATCACTTGAACCTGGGAGGCAGAGGTTGCAGTGAGCCGAGATCACCCCACTGCACTCCAGCCTGAGTGACAGAGCGAGACTCTGTCTCAAAACAAATAAACAAATAACTACTCTTTGGCCGGGTAAGGTGGTTCACGCCTGTAATTTTAGCACTTTGGGAGGCTGAGGCGGGCAGATCACTTGAGGTTAGGGGTTCGAGACCAGTCTGGCCAACATGGTGAAACCCCATCTCTACTTAAAATACAAAAAGTTTTCTGGGTGTGGTGGCGGACGCCTATAATCCCAGCTACTTGGGACTTTTTTTTAAGACGGAATCTCACTCTGTTGCCCAGGCTGGAGTGCAGTGGCAAGATTCTGGCTCACTGAAGCCTCCGCCTCCCAGGTTCAAGGGATTCCCCGCGCCTCAGCCTCCCAAGTAGCTGGGAATCCCTGTCTCTGCAAAAAAAAAAAAAAAAAAAAAAAAAAAAAAAAATATATATATATATATATATATATGTGTGTGTGTGTGTGTGTGTGTGTGTGTTATATGTATATATATTTATGTATATGCACATACACACAAAATTAGGCGGGAGTGGTGGCGCACGCCTGTGATCACAGCTACTCGGGAGGCTGAGGCACGAGAATCGCTTGAGCCCGTGAAGTCGAGGCTGCAGTGAGCCCAGATCGAGCCACTGCATTCCAGCCTGGGCGAAAGAGAAAGACCGTGTCTCAAAACAAACAAACAAAAGCTACTCTTAGCACGTGTTAGAGTATCTCGCGGGCGGAAGTGGGAAACGAGTGCTGCACACAGAGTAGGCATCTTTATATGTTAACAGACACTGATACCCAGCTAAAGCGGCTGAACACATTTACTCTCTGGCAGTGTTTAAAAGTATCTGTTTTTCTCATATTGTTTTATTTTAATTTTTTCTGGATCAAGCAACCTGATCTTTTTCCTCATAACTTGCCGACCGACCCGTGACAGCAAAACCGGCAGAAGCTCGGCGACCTCCCACCCCGAGTCTGCAGGTAGTGCCCCCGGACTACATTTTCCAGAAGGCACTGCGGGCACGCTTCCTGCCTGGTCGGCCTGAAGGGAAGGGCCAATCCCTGAGTATCTCGGGAAGGAGGTGTCCGGAGCCGCGGACCTAGAGATCCCAGAAGCCACAGCGCAGCGGCCCGGCCCGCCACTATTTCCAGGCTCAGCGGGGCAGGGGTGGGCCCAGACTCCACTTCCCGGCGGGTAGTGCGACCCTAGGGGCGGGACTTCATGTCCCAGCAGGCTCCGGGCGGCGTGCGCCGCGGTGCCTAGTGTGGGATGTAAGCGCGGAGGTGGGCGAGGGGGACCGAGGCCAGGACTCTCCTTGGGGTTTGGGGGCTTGACCTGGGTGCGCTTTCTGGACAGACTTTACAGCCCCGGGGGCACAGTCGTAGAGAGGGGGCGGGGCGGCCATTGGGGCTCCTCATTGGGGTGCTTGGGGCGCACCCCATCGGGTACCGGGCGTCCCGGAATTGTGGGGGACAAAAAGGCTCTGCAGTCTCGGCTGAGGGGTCTCACCGACAAAAGAGGGGAAGCCGGTGAGCAGAGGCTGAAGAGGGTGGGGAAGCAGGGGAGCTGTGCGTGTGTCGGGGCGGGTGGAACCTTAGCGGACCCTGGGAGGAGGCTCCCCGGCCGAACCTGCCCGACCCTCCCTCCCCCGGCTTGCCTTGCAGGCCGCCGCCCACCGCCCGCCGCCATGGGGCTGAAGGCCGCCCAGAAGACGCTGTTCCCGCTGCGCTCCATCGACGACGTGGTGCGCCTGTTTGCTGCCGAGCTGGGCCGAGAGGAGCCGGACCTGGTGCTCCTTTCCTTGGTGCTGGGCTTCGTGGAGCATTTTCTGGCTGTCAACCGCGTCATCCCTACCAACGTTCCCGAGCTCACCTTCCAGCCCAGCCCCGCCCCCGACCCGCCTGGCGGCCTCACCTACTTTCCCGTGGCCGACCTGTCTATCATCGCCGCCCTCTATGCCCGCTTCACCGCCCAGATCCGAGGCGCCGTCGACCTGTCCCTCTATCCTCGAGAAGGGGGTGTCTCCAGCCGTGAGCTGGTGAAGAAGGTCTCCGATGTCATATGGAACAGCCTCAGCCGCTCCTACTTCAAGGATCGGGCCCACATCCAGTCCCTCTTCAGCTTCATCACAGGTTGGAGCCCAGTAGGTGGGAATCTTATCCATGACCCACTTCTTCAAAACCCTCCATGGTTTACAGAACCCTTTTAAGAACTGTAAGCCTTGTGAGGTTCGGCAGGTGTTATTTTCCTCTTTGCAGTTGGGAAACTGAAGCCCAGAGAGGGGAAATGATATGCCAAAGTCACACACGGCATGGCAGGGCTGGAAGTGAAGCCTGATCACTTGGCTCCAAATCATCAACCTCACCTCTGCCCCCTCAGCACCCCCACCCTTGCCACTGAACAGCTACAGGAGTTCTAAGCATGAGACACAGAGGGCGGCAGCAGATTTAGGGGGCAAGAAGATGAAATTGGGCTGCATTTGAGGCAGTTAAACAAAATAATGGCTATGAAGATTTTTTTTTTTTTTTTTTTTGAGACAGGGTCTCACTCTGTCCCCCAGGCTGGAGTGCAGTGGTGTGATCATGGCTCACTGCAGCCTCAGTCTCCCTGGGCTCAGAGATCCTCCAACCTCAGCCTCCTGAGTAGCTGAGAGTACAGGCATGCACCGTGGTGCTGGTTAATTTTTTGTATTTTTTTTGTAGAGATGGTGTCTCACTATGTGGCCCAGACTGGTCTTGAACTCTTGGGCTCAAGTGATCTGCCCGCCTCAGTCTCCCAAATGCTGGGATTACAGGTGTGAGCCACCGCAACTGGTGGCCTATGAAAATTTTTTTTTTTTTTTCAGACGGCGTCTCACTCTGTCGCCCAGGCTGGAGTGCAGTGGTGCAATCTCGGCTCACTGCAAGCTCTGCCTCCTGCTTTCATGCCATTCTCCTGCCTCCTGCCTCAGCCTCCTGAGTAGCTGGGACTACAGGAGCCTGCCACCATGCCTGGCTAATTTTTTTTTGGATTTTTAGTAGAGACGAGGTTTCACCATGTTAGCCAGGATGGTCTCGATCTCCTGACCTCGTGATCCGCCCGCCTTGGCCTCCCAAAGTGCTGGGATTACAGGCGTGAGCCACCGCACCTGGTCAAAAATGTTTGAGACAGAGAAGGGGCTTGACCTCAAAAGGCTTAAGAGTCAGGGCTTGCAAAGAGCTTTGCACCAAGCCCGGTTGACTGGCAATCCCATCCTGGTGTGCCATATTGAGAAGGAATCAGAGGCTGCTTCTCAGCTTAGCAGGAAAAGAGTGCAGAGATAAATGAGGGTTATTTGTTGGTGGGTGTATAGCCAGAGAGTGTTGGCCAGCGTCCTGTTTTTGCCATTCCTGTTTTAACCTAGTAAGTGCAGTAAAATGGAATCCCTAAATCCATAGAATATATAATAGAGTTGCAGAGAAAGACGAGGTAGGGCCAAAGGCTGGGTCAGCTACAGGATATCCAGAAAGGTATCTTGTTGGACATAGAGGGTGTAAACAGGGAGAGAGTCTTTGAACACGTGGGAGGGAAGGGATGGAGGGATAGTGGGCAGGAGAATCTGAGGTTGGGTCACAGGCTTGGAAAGGGAGTGGGAGGGAGTGTGGCCCATCACTACCTGGCCCCCTTTCCCCATGTTAAAGCACAGAGGACCCTCTTTCATTACCTCCCCCTTCCACAGGCACCAAATTGGACAGCTCCGGTGTGGCCTTTGCTGTGGTTGGGGCCTGCCAGGCCCTGGGTCTCCGGGATGTCCACCTCGCCCTGTCTGAGGATCATGCCTGGGTAGTGTTTGGGCCCAATGGGGAGCAGACAGCTGAGGTCACCTGGCACGGCAAGGGCAACGAGGACCGCAGGGGCCAGACAGTCAATGCCGGTGTGGCTGAGCGGGTATTGTTCCCTCCCCCCAGCCTTGTCCCCTTCATACTGTAGTAGCCCAAGCCACCCAAGGGACTCCATTTTCTTGGGCCACACCCCTTTCTTCCCATCACCACCCACATAGGAAGGGAAGACAGAAGAGCCCCTTTTCCTGGCTGTCATTCCCTGAAGCAGGCACAGGGTGGGCCATCATGAGACATAATGATCTCATCCCCCCCTAAGAGCTGGCTGTACCTGAAAGGATCATACATGCGCTGTGACCGCAAGATGGAGGTGGCGTTCATGGTGTGTGCCATCAACCCTTCCATTGACCTGCACACCGACTCGCTGGAGCTTCTGCAGCTGCAGCAGGTGAGGGCTGAGCCAATGGGGCAGGACTGGGCTAGGCCAGACTTGACTTGCTGTGGGACCCTGGGCAGGGGCACTTTCCCTTCCTGAGCTTCAGCTTCCCCTCCTGGAAAAATGGGTTAGTAATTCCTGGCCTGGCCTTTCCCAGGGCTCTTGGGAGAGTAGAATTGAGATGTGAAATTGCTTTGACTCCATTAAAGGGCTGGTCCCAGAATTTTGGCCCTTCCACATGGTGGGTGGTCCCTGTTGGTTCTGACCCCCACCTCTGCCCGATAGGCTAAGGACCCGTTCTCCTCCCTGTTCCGTGGCTCATAACTCTCTCCTTCGGCTCCTAGAAGCTGCTCTGGCTGCTCTATGACCTGGGACATCTGGAAAGGTCAGTAGAGGGAAGTGGCCAGGCTGCGCCTGGTGAGGCCGGGGGGCTGGGTGGCAGCCTGAATTATGATCCTTTCCTAGGTACCCCATGGCCTTAGGGAACCTGGCAGATCTAGAGGAGCTGGAGCCCACCCCTGGCCGGCCAGACCCACTCACCCTCTACCACAAGGTGGGGGCATCTAAGGAGGGTGCAGAAGGGAGACCCTAACAGTGGCTGAGGCAGGGGCCCTCATCTGGGCAGATGAGAAGAGAACTTTGTGTGTTGGGGGGTATCGCCCATCCAGTCTCACTTTGTGTCAACTGTGTGCAGAATCAGTTCAGTCAGGGCTGTCTGAGGGGTGTCCAGGGTTCCCCAGCCTGGGAGTGGCAGGGGCTGCATTTGTCCCCTCAGCCCTGCCTTTTCTGCCACTGCTTACTGTCCTTCCTGGAGTATAACAGAGGTCAAATGTGGCAGGAGCACTGATGAAGAGGGGGTGTTCACTTGGTGGGTGTAGGTGGGGAGGAGGGCCATTGGGCTGGGCTTGAAAGTCTTTGGTGATGTGTAGAAGAGTGTCTGAGAAAGAGAAGGGCCCTGAGCTCGGAGGGCAGGCCCCACCCCTGCAGTCTGCCCCAGGCCTCAGCCAGCAGTCCTGTAGACCCAGGGAGGAGACCAGGTAGAAGGGCTGGCAGCGAGTGGAGGTGGGAGTGGAGATGGAGAGGACTCCCTGGGATCTTCCTGTGGCCCCTTCTGGGTGTGCCCTGGTGGGGCATTTGTGCCAGCAGGGCAGCTGGGGCTGCCTCCCTGAGGATCCTCTGCCTCACCTCCATCCAGGGCATTGCCTCAGCCAAGACCTACTATCGGGATGAACACATCTACCCCTACATGTACCTGGCTGGCTACCACTGTCGCAACCGCAATGTGCGGGAAGCCCTGCAGGCCTGGGCGGACACGGCCACTGTCATCCAGGAGTGAGGATCCCCCTACTAGGGCCTGCAGCCTGTCCTTTCTTCCCCTCCATCAGTTTCCAACCACCCTCGTCCAGGACTGAGGCCTGGCTCCCACGCCCCATCCCCTTTCCATCCAGTCCCTAGGCAGCAAGGCCACCATTACCCAGGAGGTAGGGACCCTGATTAAGGTGTCACATCTTTCCCTCCCTCCCCTCTCCTCCTAATTTTTTTTTTCTCAGAACAGTCTCAAATCTCCAATGTTTAACCACCATCATCCAGCAGTGGGACTTCCACCCTCGGCCCCATGCCCCCCTCCTCATTCTTGCTTTCTTCCTCTGGGCTGACCCAGACAGCATCATTTTGCAGTGAGGACCCCACCTACTCCCCCAGCCCCTGGGGGCTCCATCCCCCGCCAGGTCCCTGGGGCTACCCCCGATGGTGAGACCCCTTCAGACCCTACAGAGACCCCACTGCTCTCACAGCTACAACTACTGCCGGGAAGACGAGGAGATCTACAAGGAGTTCTTTGAAGTAGCCAATGATGTCATCCCCAACCTGCTGAAGGAGGCAGCCAGCTTGCTGGAGGCGGGCGAGGAGCGGCCGGGGGAGCAAAGCCAGGTGAAAGGCTGGAGCTCCAGCCTGTGTCCAGCCTCCCACCTGGACAGGGCTCCCTTCCACAGGCCATGGGGGCTGCATGTACGGGATTAGGGATGGCAGGAGGAAGGTGGCCCTGAGCAGACAGCTATGTTCCCTTTTGCTATAACTGAGGTCCTGGGCCCACGTTGGACGGGACTGAAGGTATTTTAGAGGTTTCTACCCTGTGCCTTCAGTTTCATGGCCAGACTCCCTCCCTCAGCTGAGGGGTGGAGGTAGGGATGGTACGTCCTGGCTATGGATTGGCTTTATAAAAGGAAAGAGGTTCTAAGAATGTTCCCAACCTATGCTTACCTTTTCTGGAGCCAGGGGTCTTTGCCTAGGTGGGGGGCCTGGCCTGTGCCCTCTGCTAAGGGGTGAGTAAGAGACTGATCTGTGCCCTCCCTTCCCCCTCGTCCAGGGCACCCAGAGCCAAGGTTCCGCCCTCCAGGACCCTGAGTGCTTCGCCCACCTGCTGCGATTCTACGACGGCATCTGCAAATGGGAGGAGGGCAGTCCCACGCCTGTGCTGCATGTGGGCTGGGCCACCTTTCTTGTGCAGTCCCTAGGCCGTTTTGAGGGACAGGTGAGGGACAGCTGCACAGAGGTCTGGGCACTACAGGTGGTGACAGCAGCCACGGGCTTGTCAGACTTTTCTGGCCCAGGGGCAGCATCTGCCCATCCCCTTGGGTGCCGATGGGACTGAGACCCCCTGGGTGGGATGGGATGGCCAGAGCAGGGTCCTGGAGTTCCAGCCACTGGCCGGCAACCTTGCTCTCACCTTGCTCTCCCCACTGGCCCAGGTGCGGCAGAAGGTGCGCATAGTGAGCCGAGAGGCCGAGGCGGCCGAGGCCGAGGAGCCGTGGGGCGAGGAAGCCCGGGAAGGCCGGCGGCGGGGCCCACGGCGGGAGTCCAAGCCAGAGGAGCCCCCGCCGCCCAAGAAGCCAGCACTGGACAAGGGCCTGGGCACCGGCCAGGGTGCAGTGTCAGGACCCCCCCGGAAGCCTCCTGGGACTGTCGCTGGCACAGCCCGAGGCCCTGAAGGTGGCAGCACGGCTCAGGTGCCAGCACCCACAGCATCACCACCGCCGGAGGGTCCAGTGCTCACTTTCCAGAGTGAGAAGATGAAGGGCATGAAGGAGCTGCTGGTGGCCACCAAGATCAACTCGAGCGCCATCAAGCTGCAACTCACGGCACAGTCGCAAGTGCAGATGAAGAAGCAGAAAGTGTCCACCCCTAGTGACTACACTCTGTCTTTCCTCAAGCGGCAGCGCAAAGGCCTCTGAACTACTGGGGACTTCGGACCGCTTGTGGGGACCCAGGCTCCGCCCTTAGTCCCCCAACTCTGAGCCCATGTTCTGCCCCCAGCCCAAAGGGGACAGGCCTCACCTCTACCCAAACCCTAGGTTCCCGGTCCCGAGTACAGTCTGTATCAAACCCACGATTTTCTCCAGCTCAGAACCCAGGGCTCTGCCCCAGTCGTTAGAATATAGGTCTCTTCTCCCAGAATCCCAGCCGGCCAATGGAAACCTCACGCTGGGTCCTAATTACCAGTCTTTAAAGGCCCAGCCCCTAGAAACCCAAGCTCCTCCTCGGAACCGCTCACCTAGAGCCAGACCAACGTTACTCAGGGCTCCTCCCAGCTTGTAGGAGCTGAGGTTTCACCCTTAACCCAAGGAGCACAGGTCCCACCTCCAGCCCGGGAGCCTAGGACCACTCAGCCCCTAGGAGTATATTTCCGCACTTCAGAATTCCATATCTTGCGAATCCAAGCTCCCTGCCCCAAATAACTTCAGTCCTGCTCCAGAATTTGGAAATCCTAGTTTCCTCTCCTTCGTATCCCGAGTCTGGGACACAAAACTCCGCCCCCAGCCTATGAGCATCCTGAGCCCCGCCCTCTTCCTGACGAAACTGGCCCCGGATCAGAGCAGGACCTCCCTTCCGACCCTCTGGGAACCTCCCAGAGGTCCAGCCCATCTCGGAGCATCCCGGAGGAAATCTGCAGAGGGTTAGGAGTGGGTGACAAGAGCCTGATCTCTTCCTGTTTTGTACATAGATTTATTTTTCAGTTCCAAGAAAGATGAATACATTTTGTTAAAAAAAATATAAAGCGCAAGTCCATGTTTATCTGGGAAATTGGGGATGGGGCGGGGAGTGGAGCGCCCCCTCTTCCCTCTGTCTTCTGGCTCCCGGGACTTTGCGCTCCCTACCTGTGGAGCGCGAGCGACAGTGGCGGCGGAAGGACGTAGGCTCCGCCCCGGCCTTGGGGCTTCCCCGCGCCGCCGAGGGCCCGTCCCGCGGGCGCCTCCTCCCGGACTGGCGGTGGGGCATCCCCGGCGCGGCCCCGCCCCCGGGCCTCAGCCCCGCCCCCGCGGCCTCAGAGCCACGGGCGCCCGCCCCGCCCCGCGCCGCCCCGCGCCGGCTCCGCAGCTCGCGCCCGCCCGCCTGCCGGCCCGCCCGGCGCCGGGCCATGGCGCTGCTGCGGGATGTGTCGCTGCAGGACCCGCGGGACCGCTTCGAGCTGCTGCAGCGCGTGGGGGCCGGGACCTATGGCGACGTCTACAAGGTGCGACGGGACGGGCGGGAGAGCCGGGAGGAGGGTGCCAGCCCCGCACCCCGCGGCAGGATCTAGCCCCCGGCCCCGCCCCCCATCCCGCTTCACCCTCCGCCCCTGCAGGCCCGCGACACGGTCACGTCCGAACTGGCCGCCGTGAAGATAGTCAAGCTAGACCCAGGTGAGGGCCCGGGTCGGGCCTCTGCGCCAGAGGAAGGGCAGAGCGCCCGCGGGCGCGGGGTGCGGGCGGAGGGTTGACGTTTCCGAGACCCCTGAGAGGCGTGCCCCGGGAGGTGCTGTCACCTGCACCTGCCTGGCCCGGAGGGAGGCACTCTGTGCCCATTTTGCAGATGGGGGCACTGAGTCAGGGCAACCCCAGCGCGCCTTCCCCATGATGCTTTGTGCTTCCCAGGGGACGACATCAGCTCCCTCCAGCAGGAAATCACCATCCTGCGTGAGTGCCGCCACCCCAATGTGGTGGCCTACATTGGCAGCTACCTCAGGTGAGGCTGCCTTATCCTCCTGGCCCCAGGCAGCCCCCATGTGACCTGCTTTGTGCCCACCCCAGCTCTTTGTCCCTAGGAATGACCGCTTGTGGATCTGCATGGAGTTCTGCGGAGGGGGCTCCCTGCAGGAGATTTACCATGGTGAGGCCAGGGCTCCAGGCCCCAGCAGGCCCCAGCCTTCCCCCACCCCTACCCCACTGGGGTACCAGAGGGGACTCTGGGCCCTGGACTTGGGCTCCTCTCCACTCCTGCCTGGCTGTGTGACCTTGAGAGAAATACTGTCCATCTCTGGGTTCAGTATCCTAGACTAAACTGGGAGGGGACGTGGCCAACACCGCTTTCATTTAACAGTGCCTGCTGCTTTTCCCACACACGGTAGCCTGGGAGGGTGGGCATGACCCCCGGGCCCCCAAGCCAGCCTCTCCCTTTTCCTTTCAGCCACTGGGCCCCTGGAGGAGCGGCAGATTGCCTACGTCTGCCGAGAGGCACTGAAGGTAGCTGGGCCTGTGAGGTGCCCACACCTCTGGTCTCCAGAAGCTGTGGGCCAGGAGCCCAGATGACCAGCAGGGAGGCGGGTGGAGTGCCTCGGGTGGGGCTGGCCCGAGGGGCTGTAGGTCCTGGGGAAAAGGGGCCCCAGCCCTGTTGCCGGAAGCAGTCCATTTCCCTCTTGGCTCAGTCACTTCCTGTTTGGGGAGAGGGGAGGAAGAAGCAGCCTGAGTGGGGGGCCCCAGTCCTGAGAGGGGGTTTGGGGAGGTGGGACAGTGCTGGGTGGCTGCTCTCAGGGACTCCTCTTTGTCGCCAGGGGCTCCACCACCTGCATTCTCAGGGGAAGATCCACAGAGACATCAAGGTAGGCACCTAGCTGGGGGCACTCCTGGGGAGGGAGGAGGAGGCCCTCGGGGGCACCAGATGGGATTGTCTCTCCTCCATTCCCACAGGGAGCCAACCTTCTCCTCACTCTCCAGGGAGATGTCAAACTGGGTCAGTACCCTGGGGACACCATCAGGGTGAGGGCTCTGTGGACCCTCCCCGGCTACCCTGGACTCAAGGGTTGGGTGTCACTGGGCAAGTCACTTTGCCACTTGAGTCTCAGTTTCCCTGCTTAGAAGATGGAACGGTACTCCCTCCCTGCTGGAAAATAGAGGAGGTTGGGTCTGCACGGAGTTGACATGGGACCAGGCACTCCGTCAGGGATAGAGGGTGGTTGACCCCTCTCAGGAGAGGGACCTGGCCTTGCCTAGGGCCTGCGGCAGCTGTGACCAAGCGGGGCCACCTGCCCGTCTGAGCCCTGCCAGGTGCAGCCGAGCCAGAGCCCTGGGCGTGGGAGGGTGAGTGGCAGCCAGAGGGCTGGTGAGAGTGGCTGTTTCTCCCCACAGCTGACTTTGGGGTGTCAGGCGAGCTGACAGCGTCTGTGGCCAAGAGGAGGTCTTTCATTGGGACTCCCTACTGGTGAGGCTGCGCCTGGGGCGGAGGGGTAGGGGCCACAGAGCAGGGCACCCGGCCATCCCATCTGTGACCCCACCTCTAGGATGGCTCCCGAGGTGGCTGCTGTGGAGCGCAAAGGTGGCTACAATGAGCTATGTGACGTCTGGGCCCTGGGCATCACTGCCATTGAGCTGGGCGAGCTGCAGCCCCCTCTGTTCCACCTGCACCCCATGAGGTCAGCCCAACACTTGCCCCTCACCTGACCCTTGATCTGCGGCCTGTGGCCCCTGACCTCGCGCCCTCCACAGGGCCCTGATGCTCATGTCGAAGAGCAGCTTCCAGCCGCCCAAACTGAGAGATAAGACTCGCTGGTAAGGGCCACACCCTGCTGCCGGGACCCCCTTTTCTGTCAGCCCCATAGTGGACAAACAGCCTCTGCCAACTCCCGGGGGGCAACCCCAAGAGCCCTGTCCTTTCTGGGCTACTACAGACCATCTGAGTCAGGGGCCTGGTCCTTCTGTGGGTTGAAGACCCAGCGTGGTCAGGAAAGAAGGGCAGAGGGTTGGTGGAGGAGCCGCTGTGTCGCAAGGCAGCGTTGCTCGGCCAGTGGCCCTTGGCCTCGGCTGGCTCCTTCCTGGGTGGGCCCAGCAGACGCCTCTGGAGGGGTGGTAGGGCAGCTGGCAGGACACCCTGCACGAGGGCTAACCTGGATCTGGCGCTGGGGGGCTCTTGTGCCTTCTAGGACCCAGAATTTCCACCACTTTCTCAAACTGGCCCTGACCAAGAATCCTAAGAAGAGGCCGACAGCAGAGAAGCTCCTGCAGGTGGGAGGCAGGGGGCCGGGAGAGAGGCCCAGTACTCAAAAGCAGGGCCCTGGATCAGGGGCCAACCTGATCACCCCCCTCCCCCACTTTCCAGCACCCGTTCACGACTCAGCAGCTCCCTCGGGCCCTCCTCACACAGCTGCTGGACAAAGCCAGTGACCCTCATCTGGGGACCCCCTCCCCTGAGGACTGTGAGCTGGAGGTAGGTGAGGGGGGCTGGAAAGTGAGTCTTGGGCTGGTCTGCTTAGAAAGAGCCCGAGGGTGATGTTGGTGGAGGTCCTTTAACTGGCACCATTCCAGCTCAGGGAGCTGGCCTCAGCTGAGCCCTCCCATTAGGAGTCTCTGTCATGCTGACTTTTGTTTCCTGTACCACCCCCTTGATAGGTCCCTGCCCTTGAGTCCAAGCTGACCATGACCACGACTGTGCCATTTTCTTGCTTTCTGTGTGATCTTTGGCACTGCTCTGTGTGGGTTCTCTCATCTGTGAAGTGGGGTTCCATTTTATTTTACAGTAGTCCCAGAGGGCTGTCATGAAAGCAAAACGCACTGGTGCGTGTGAAGCTCCTAGAGCAGCCCCGGCATGAGGCGCGTGCCAGGTGTGTCCACACTGTTTCTGTTTTTCCTTAGACCTATGACATGTTTCCAGACACCATTCACTCCCGGGGGCAGCACGGCCCAGCCGAGAGGACCCCCTCGGAGATCCAGTGTGAGTCTGCAGCAGGGGCTGTGTGTGTGCAGATTTTGGGGGGCCTGTGTGCACATGGATTTGGTGTGAGTAGAGGTCCATCCTGAGACTCCAGCTCCTTCACTCTTGTACTCTGGGCCCCCCAGTTCACCAGGTGAAATTTGGCGCCCCACGCAGGAAGGAAACTGACCCACTGAATGAGCCGGTGAGTGGGCAGGCCTTGAGGGGAAGGTGGTGCCCAGAGGTGGGGCAGGGAGGTCGGATGGAGGCCGAGCAGCTCAAATCAAGGGAGATTTGAAGCTGGGTGGCCTCGGGCCTTGGGCCTTAGACTGTCCAAGCAAGCCTGTCCTACCCAGGGACCTGGAGGGTTAGGGGCTCCTTCCTGGGCCAAGTTCTTTTAGGTGGGTGTCTGGAAGGTAGCACAGAGACCATGCCTTTCCCAAAAGGAGGCCGTCATGTGCCTGAGCCCTCACCCTACCCTGCTCAGCCTCGTTTTCCCACCTGTGTGTCCCCAGTGGTCTGACTTTCTGTCTCTGCCCTCATCGGCTCTGTCACTGGTCTCTCCTCACCCCCCAGCCTGTCTCTTCCTCCCTCGCTGTCTGTTGCCCTTTCTTTCACAGTCTTCAGCTCTGCCTCCCACTGTCTGTCTCTCTCATCTTCTGTGTGTTTCCATCTCACCTTTCCCGTCTGTCTGTCTGTCTGTCTTTCCTTTCCTGAATCTCTTGAGCGCCCTCTCACGTTGCATCTGTCTCTGCTTCTTCCCCGGTCTCTACCTTGGTTTCCCCCAGTGGGAGGAAGAGTGGACACTACTGGGAAAGGAAGAGTTGAGTGGGTAAGTGAGGTATGGGGAAGCTGCAGGGGGTGGCAGGGGCGGCAGAAAGGCTGACCTCTGACCGGGCGTGGTGGCTCATGCCTGTAATCCCAGCACTTTAGGAGGCTGAGGTGGGTGGATCACCTGAGGTCAGGAGTTCAAGACCAGCTTTGCCAACATGGTGAAACTCCACCTCTACTTAAAATACAAAAATTAGGCTGGGCGGGTGGCTCATGCCTGTAATCCCAGCACTTTGGGAGGCTAAGGTGGGTGGATCACCTGAGGTCAGGAGTTCGAAACCAGCTTTGCCAACATGGTGAAACCCCATCTCTACTTAAAATACAAAAATTAGGCTGGCTGTGGTGGCTTACGCCTGTAATCCCAGCACTTTGGGAGGCCGAGGTGGGCGGATCCCAAGGTCAGGAGTTTGAGACCAGCCTGGCCAACATGGTGAAAGCCCGTCTCTAGTAAAAATAGAAAAAATTAGCCGGTGTGGTGGCAGGCGCCTGTAATCCCAGCTACTCAGGAGGCTAAGACAGGAGAATCGCTTGAACCCGGGAGGCGGAGGTTGCGGTGAGCTGAGACTGCACCACTGCACT
This sequence comes from Homo sapiens, assembly GCF_000001405.40. Lineage (NCBI taxonomy): Eukaryota > Metazoa > Chordata > Mammalia > Primates > Hominidae > Homo > Homo sapiens. The sequence goes on along the minus strand of NC_000011.10, from coordinate 64,798,215 downwards.
CCAGCCTGGGCAACAGAGCGAGACTCCATCTCAGATAAATAAATAAACAAACAAAAGTTAGCTGGGCATGGTGGCCCACGCCTGTAATCCCAGCTACTAGGGTGGCTGAGGTAGGAGAATCTGGGAGGCAGAGGTTGCAGTGAGCCGATATCTTGCCATTGCACGCCAGCCTGGGTGACAAGAATGAAACTCTGTCTTAAAAAAAAAAAAAAAAGCCCGGGTGTGGCTCATGCCTGTAATCTGAGCACTTTGGGAGGCCGAGGTGGGCGGATCACAAGGGCAGGAGATCGAAACCATCCTGGCTAACACGGTGAAACCCCCTCTGTACTAAAAATACAAAAAATTAGCCGGGTGCGGTGGCGGGCGCCTGTAGTCCCAGCTACTTGGGAGGCTGAGGCAGGAGAATGGCGTGAACTTGGGGGGCGGAGCTTGCAGTGAGCCGCGATTGCGCCACTGCACTCCGGCCTGGGTGACAGAGCGAGACTCCGTCTCAAAAAAAAAAAAAAAAAAAAGGAAAGGTTGACCTCTGACCCCTTTTCCCCACTGCCCAGGAGCCTGCTGCAGTCGGTCCAGGAGGCCCTGGAGGAAAGGTGAGGGATGTGGGCCTGGGGGAGGGGCAAGGGGCAGGTGGCCTTGGTGCCAGTCACACCTCATGCCTCACGCCTCATCTCCCTCCCACAGGAGTCTGACTATTCGGTCAGCCTCAGAATTCCAGGTGCCACACAGAGGGAGGCTGGAGCTGGGATCCAGGCCACTGCAGAGGGTACGATTGGAGTGGGATGTGGTTACAGGGCAACCTGGTAACGGCCGGGCTGGGCCCTGCCCCTCCTACCAGGAGCTGGACTCCCCAGACGATACCATGGGAACCATCAAGCGGGCCCCGTTCCTAGGGCCACTCCCCACTGACCCTCCAGCAGAGGAGCCTCTGTCCAGTCCCCCAGGTGAGTCTCAGGCTTGGGAGGCCAGGAGGCAGCCCCAGGGTGGGGGCTACAGCAGGAAATTACAGCACGCCTGTGCCTGCAGGAACCCTGCCCCCACCTCCTTCAGGCCCCAACAGCTCCCCACTGCTGCCCACGGCCTGGGCCACCATGAAGCAGCGGGAGGATCCTGAGGTAAGAGGGTGCTACAGTGGGGTGGGGAGACGGGCGGCTACAGCTGTCATATCAGCCCTGACTCCTTTCCTCCCTCCCAGAGGTCATCCTGCCACGGGCTCCCCCCAACTCCCAAGGTGCATGTAAGTGTTTGCCCCAAGCCCTGCAGTCCCACAGCCCTGCCACCCACCACCCCTGCACTCCCTCGCCAGCCTCTTGCCTCCTCTGCAGATGGGCGCCTGCTTCTCCAAGGTCTTCAATGGCTGCCCCCTGCGGATCCACGCTGCTGTCACCTGGATTCACCCTGTTACTCGGGGTAGGTGGGGGCAGGGAGGAAGCGGGAGCCCAAGGAATCCCTCAGCTTGGGCCAGGGGCCATGTCTGACCTCTGACCCCATGCCCAAACTGGCAGACCAGTTCCTGGTGGTAGGGGCCGAGGAAGGCATCTACACACTCAACCTGCATGAACTGCATGAGGATACGCTGGAGAAGGTGAGGCCCGGCTGGCTGTGGGGGGCAGAGGCCTTGTGGGGGCCTGGGGTGCTGACCATCTGTCCCTCTGTGGCCTCCAGCTGATTTCACATCGCTGCTCCTGGCTCTACTGCGTGAACAACGTGCTGCTGTCACTCTCAGGTACAAGGTGGGATGGGCAGGGAGGCAGGGTCCGCAGGGGCTCCAGCGCCTCAGCATCCTGCCCACCAACACCCCAGGCCTGGCCTCTTCCTGTTTCTGCAGGGAAATCCACGCACATCTGGGCCCATGACCTCCCAGGCCTGTTTGAGCAGCGGAGGCTACAGCAACAGGTTCCCCTCTCCATCCCCACCAACCGCCTCACCCAGCGCATCATCCCCAGGTCAGGGATCTTGGGCGTGCAGGGAGCGGGAGGCAGAGGGGCAGGGAGGGGCTGGAACATGGCCTTGCCAGTTCCTGGGATTGCAGCAATCTTAGACGTGTTGTCTCTCTGAGCGCCCGTTTCCTCCTCTGTCAATACAATTGATGGCCTTCCCACCCCCTCCCGCCGGCTTGTTGGGAGGCAAGAAGGAGACAGTGGATGTGAAAGTGCTTTCCAAGTTGTAGGAGCTGTGGTTGTTCGGATGTGGGGCTTGACAGTTAAGCAAACGTTTACTGAGCACTTATGCTATGTTGGCCCCTATGCTGGGCTTCGGGACATGGAGAATCCCATGAGTCCTCGCTTTCAAGAAATGGGGGAGATGGGCAAGTCCTTGCTTTCAAGGATTCCCATGAGTCCTTGCTTTCAAGGATTCCCATGAGTCCTTGCTTTCAAGAAACAGCGGGGCTGGGTGTGGTGGTTCATGCCTGTAATCCCAATCCTGTAATCCGAGGCAGAAGGATTGTGTGAGGCCATGTGTTTGAAATCAGCCTGAAAACACAGGGAGACCTTGTCTCTACAAAAAATCAAAAAAGTCTGGGCGGGGGGGCTCACGCCTGTAATCCCAGCACTTTGGGAGGCCAAGGCGGATGGATCACGAGGTCAGGAGATGGAGACTATCCTGGCTAACATAGTGAAACCCCGTCTGTACTAAAAATACAAAAAAAATTAGCCGGGCGTGGTGGCACATGCCTGTAGTCCCAGCTACTCGGGAGGCTGAGACAGGAGAATCGCTTGAACCTGAGAGGCAGAGGTTGCAGTGAGCCGGGATCACGCCACTGCACTCCAGCCTGGCCGACAGCAAGAGTCTGTCTCAAAAAAGAAAGAAAAAAAGCCCAAAAAATCAAAAAATGGGGCCAGGCGCAGTGGCTCAGGCCTATAATCCTAGCACTTTGAGAGGCCGAGGTGGGCGGATCATGAGGTCAGGAGTTTACGACCAGCCTGGCTAATATGGTGAAACCCCGTCTCTACTGAAAATACAAAAATTAGCTGGGTGTAGTGGTGCGCACCTGTAGTCCCAGCTACTCGGGAGGCTGAGGCAGAAGAATCACTTGAACCCTAGAGGCAGAGGTTGCAGTGAGTGGAGATTGCACCACTGCACTCCAGCCAGGGCGACAGAGTGAGACTGCATCTCAAAAAAAAAAAAAAAAAAAATCGAAAACTTAGCTGAGCATGGTGATGTAGGCATGGCGTTGTGTGTTGGTGGTCCCAGCCACTCAGGAGGCTGAGGTGGGAGGATTGCTTGAACCCAGGAGGTTGAGGTTGAAGTGAACTGTGATCGCGATCGTACCACTGCATTGAAGCCTGGGCAACAGAGCAAGACCTTGTCTCAAAAAAAAGAAAAAGGGAAATGTGGACAGTTAGCAGCCGGTACTGAGGTCCAGTTAGAGGGAGAGCTGGGAGGTGTGGAGAGGCCTCAGAGACCGGGCAAGCTTGGGAGGTTCGAAAGTGTGTCAGGGTTTCTAGGCAGGTGAGGTAGGGAATGGCACTCCAGGCAGGGGGAAGAGCAAGTATATGTTAGTATGTGTTGGGGCGGAGCAGCCTGGTGAGCTGGGGAGCTGTTAAGAGTTTGCCTGGGGGCCAGGCACAGTGGCTCACGCCTGTAATCCCGCACTTTGGGAGGCTTTGGCGAGTGGATCAACTGAGTCAGGAGTTCGAGACCAGCCTGGTCAACATGGCGAAACCCCGTCCCTAGTAAAAATACAAAAATTAGCCGGGCATGGTGGCGGGCGCCTGTAATCCCAGCTACTCGGGAGGCTGAGGCAGGAGAATAGCTTGAACCTGGGAGGCGGAGGTTGCAATGAGCCGAGATCGCACCATTGCACTCCAGCCTGGGCAACAGAGCAAGACTCCGTCTCAAAAAAAAAAGAAAAACAGAAGAGAAAAACAGTCAGATTCTGATTCTCTTTTGCAAGTTGAGCCAGTAGGATTTCCTGATGAAAGAGAAAGAGGAGTCAAGGATGGCTCCAAGGTTTTTGGCCTGGGTGTCAGGAAGAATGCAGCTGTCATCAGCTGAAGGTGGAGCAGTTTCAGGGGGAGCTGAATTCAATTTTGTTGCATGAACATGCTTATTAGATGTGCAAGTGGGACCTGCGTCAGTCCATGGCTTGGTGGGGCTGGGCTCTGAAGGGAGGGGCCCTGGGCTATGGGCCCCCGACATTGTCATGACCAGGTGGGTGGTGTGGGAAGCAGTGGACTGAGTGCAGAGGGTAGGGGAGGCCAGGCCAGTGGCTGCAACAGCTGGGGAGCTCAGGAGCCCCCTTCCTGCAACGTGCTCACTCCAGGACCACATCTGGAGCCCGGTGGCCTTGGGGCTTCCTGAGCTCAGTCCCCAAGTGAGTCTGCTTTGGCGCAGGACCTACAGGAAACAGGCCCATCAGAGCCCCAACAGGTCACAGGCAGCTTTGAGCTTGTGTTCGGGAAATGGCAGAGGCACAGTGAGCACTTTGAATGCAAAGAACAGAGAACTGGAGTTGTTTGGAGAAAAAACAAATACAAAATATATGCTTTTGTCCCATCCAAAGACCAGATGGGGAGGAGAGTGGGAGGAATGTGGGGAGAGGGAGGGACGAGGACCAGGGACAGTGAGAGACAGACATTGGCTTCCTCCATGTCCTGGCAGAAGGTACAAACAGGACATGGGCCACTGGGTGGAGGTGGCAGGGCTGCTGACAGGAAGCCCCATTCCCCAGAGGAAGAAACAGGCTGAGAGGGTCCCCTGGAGGGTTAGGGGACACTCAGTGGCCAAGGCAACGGCCCCTCTGATAACTTTTCCTCACTACTTCTACCCCGACAGCAAGGCAAGCCACCCCCTGGCCCCACAGGGCTGTTGCCTCTGCTGGAGAAGCAGAGGGCAGGCCATTTGCCTTTTGAAGTTCATTCACTGCCCCGGGCCTGTTTTCCCATCTGTGAAATGGGCCGTGTGCAGTCTGTGCAACCTGGTGGGGCTGGAGCCTGCATCCTCCCCAGCCCCTCCATGCTCTCATTTCTTCATTCCTTTTTTCTTTTTCTTTTTTTTTGAGACCGAGTTTCACTCTCATTGCCCGGGCTGGAGTCCGATGGCACAATCTCGGCTCACTGCAACCTCCGCCTCCTGGGTTCAAGCAATTCTCCTGCCTCAGCCTCCCAAGTAGCTGGGATTACAGGCACGCGCCACCACGCCTGGCTAATTTTGTATTTTTAGTAGAGACAGGGTTTCTCTATGTTGGTCAGGCTGGTCTCGAACTCCCGACCTCGGGTGATCTGCCTACCTCGACCTCCCAGAGTGCTGGGATTACAGGCGTGAGCCGTTGCACCTGGCATCATTTCTTTCTTTATACCCTGCCTTTACCTGACAAGGACTTTCAGTGACTCAAAATAGGTGGAAAGTCCTAATATGGGATGATAGGAGCTGGCCCTCTGTGAGCACACACGATTCCCAGCACTGCCGAGAGCACCTCCCCTGTATTAACTCATGAAGCCTTCACTGTGACTCTCTGGGGTGGGGCCCGCCATTATCCCCAATCTACAGATGACGAAACTGAGGCATGGAGAGATTAAGTGGCTTGCCTGGAGTCACACAGAGCTAGAAGCAATCCTGAGACCCAAACCCCTGGCCTGGATGGAGACACTCCCTCCTGGCTTCAGGGCTGGGAGACTGGCTTCAGATCCTCCACCTTTCCCAGCTGTTCTTGGGGCAAGTTACTCTGTGTCTCTGAGTCTCAGTCCCTTACTTGTAAAGAGGGAAGCTGATAGTGCCCACCTCATAGGGCTCTGCAGGGGCCTTGCCCATGGATGGCATCCCAGACACAGGCCCTGGTTATCACCCCTACAGGCGCTTTGCTCTGTCCACCAAGATTCCTGACACCAAAGGCTGCTTGCAGTGTCGTGTGGGTAAGAAATGGGCTGGGCGGGGTGGGGCGGGGCCTGGTGGGGGGCAGCGCAGGCCCAGCCCGGTGCCCACTGCCTGCTCCCCTGCCAGTGCGGAACCCCTACACGGGTGCCACCTTCCTGCTGGCCGCCCTGCCCACCAGCCTGCTCCTGCTGCAGTGGTATGAGCCGCTGCAGAAGTTTCTGCTGCTGAAGGTGAGGGGCGGTGGGGGGAGGCCCAGGGCACCCTCAGAGCTCTGGGGGGAGAAATGGAGACCTGAGCATCCCTGCTGCCCCCTAGAACTTCTCCAGCCCTCTGCCCAGCCCAGCTGGGATGCTGGAGCCGCTGGTGCTGGATGGGAAGGAGCTGCCGCAGGTGTGTGTTGGGGCCGAGGGGCCTGAGGGGCCCGGCTGCCGCGTCCTGTTCCATGTCCTGCCCCTGGAGGCTGGCCTGACGCCCGACATCCTCATCCCACCTGGTGAGCAGAAGGGCCAGGCTGCTGGGGGTGGGTGTGTGTGCATGAGAGACCGAGGGAGGGAGGCAGGGAGGGCCAAGGCTCCCAAACTAGGCTCCCCACAGCCAGTGGCTCCACAGAGACCTTGAGGGCTGCCATGTGGGGTCTGGGGCCCACAGCCTCCCTTCAACAAGCTTCACCTGGGCTTCCATAAAAGGGTTCATTAGACGGAAGGGCTTGGCAGCTAAGAAAATCCTGGCCAGGCCGGGCACAGTGGCTCACGCCTGTAATCCCAGCATTTTGGGAGGCCAAGGAGAGAGAGGGGCTTGAGCTCATGAGTTTGAGACCAGCCTGGACAACATGGCGAGACCCTGACTCTACAAAAAATTAGCTGGGCATGTTGATGCACGTGTGTAGTCCCAGCTACTTGGGCTGAGGTGGGAGGATCACTTGAGCCTGGGAGACAGAGGCAGTTGTGAGCCATGTTCGCGCCACTGCACTCCAGCCTGGGTGACAGAGTGAGACCCTATCTCAAAACAAAAAACAAAAACAAAAACAAAAACTGGTCAACATTGCTCCGGGCTGCAGGGAAGAGGCAGATCTGGCAAGGCAGGGCCTAGAGGCCCCATTCTCAGCCAGGAAGCAGGACTCCAGGTGTTGTGGCAGCTTGGGGTGATAATGAGCAGTGATGGGTAAGGGAGAAAGGAGGGCGCACGTAGTTAAGGCACCTGGTGCCAGGCCCTGAGCCAGGGGTCTCACACACAGGATTTTATTCTTTATTTATTTTTTTATTTTTTGAGACAGAGTCTTGCTCTGTTGCCCAGGCTGGAGTGCAATGGCACGATCTCGGCTCACTGCAACCTCTGCCTCGTGGGTTCAAGCTATTCTCTTGCCTCAGCCTCCCGAGTAGCTGGGATTACAAGCATGTGCCACCACGTCCGGCTACGTTTTGTATTATTAGTAGAAATGGGGTTTCGCCATGTTGGCCAGGCTGGTCTCCAACACCTGATCTCAGGTGATCCACCCGCTTCGGCCTCCCACAGTGCTGGGATTACAGGTGTGAGCCACTGCGCCCAGCCCAGGATTTTATTCCTGATCCTCATGATAGCCTCTCAAGGCAGTGCCATCTTGTCTGTGTTATGAGGAAACAGAGGCTCCGAGAGGTAAAGTGATTTGTACCAGGTCACACAGTGACTGGGTCACGAGGCCTGGTCCCCTTAAACCTGGAGCCCTCCCGTGGCTCCCCGTGACTCCTCCTCCACTCCCCATGAGCCCTAGGACGGGTCACTCATCCTCTCAGAGCCTCAGTTCCCAGCCCTGGAGGGAGATGAGGTTTCCCAGCCCCACAGGGCTGTTGTGAGGCTGACGTGCCCTCATGGCCAAGGGCTGTCTGTAGCCTGGCCCCCGTATCCTCTTGGGGTTGGGGGACTGGTGGCTCAGCCAGGCCATGTCTCTCTTCTCTGCCTGCAGAGGGGATCCCAGGCTCGGCCCAGCAGGTGATCCAGGTGGACAGGGACACAATCCTAGTCAGCTTTGAACGTGAGTGCCCTGGGGGCAGGGCTTAGGGCAGGGGACTATGGAGGTAAGGCGACCACGTGGGTCTGCCTTCCCAGAAGGGAGCCTCCCCGTCCCCACTCACCAATTCCTTCCCTGTGCAGGCTGTGTGAGGATTGTCAACATGCAGGGCGAGCCCACGGCCACACTGGCACCTGAGCTGACCTTTGATTTCCCCATCGAGACTGTGGGTGAGTGAGCCAGAGGTGGGGTGCAGGCCTTTCCCTGGCCTGGAGCACGTTGTTGCTCAGGGGCCTGGGGCTGGCGGTAGGATGAGGAGGCAGATCCCCTAGCCCCTCTCCTGAGCCATCCTGGTCACCTGAGGTCAGTGAGGACCCCTGTGGCCCAGACCCAGGCTCAGGCGTGGCTGAGGGGGTGCCAAGATGGGTGCAGGGCTGATGGTGGCCTGGCCCCCATAGTGTGCCTGCAGGACAGTGTGCTGGCCTTCTGGAGCCATGGGATGCAAGGCCGAAGCCTGGATACCAATGAGGTGAGTGGGGCCCAGGGACCTTGCTGTCCCCTGCCTTGTGGTCCCTACCTCTTTGGAAAGGACCTACTGGAGTGGCCTCAGTGCTTCCCACCTGTCTTCCCAGGTGACCCAGGAGATCACAGATGAAACAAGGATCTTCCGAGTGCTTGGGGCCCACAGGTAGGCGGTGGTACCCTAGCCTCCCCTTCAGATGCCCCTGAGGCCAGAGAAGGGGCTGATGTACCAAGTGTCTCCCGCCCTGCCCCCTACTCCTCTCTCCTCCAGAGACATCATCCTGGAGAGCATTCCCACTGACAACCCAGAGGCGCACAGCAACCTCTACATCCTCACGGGCCACCAGAGCACCTACTAAGAGCAGCGGGCCTGTCCAGGGGCTCCCCGCCCCACCCCACGCCTTAGCTGCAGGCCCTTTTGGGCAAAGGGGCCCATCCTAGACCAGAGGAGCCCAGGCCCTGGCCCTGCTGGGGCTGAAGGTCAGAAGTAATCCTGAGAAATGTTTCAGGCCTGGGGAGGGAGGGGAGCCCCCGACGCCTCTGCAATAACTGGACCAGGGGGAGCTGCTGTCACTCCCCCATCCCCGAGGCAGCCCAGTCCCTAGTGCCCAAGGCAGGGACCCTGGGCCTGGGCCATCCATTCCATTTTGTTCCACATTTCCTTTCTACTCTTTCTGCCAAGAGCCTGCCCCTGCATTTGTCCTGGGAAACACGGTATTTAAGAGAGAACTATATTGGTATTAAAGCTGGTTTGTTTTAGTCCTCTGGTCCCTCTGGGTAGGGGGAGTGAACCCACCTCATCTCCCGCCTCCTTCCCTCCAACACACGTTTCTGTGGGCACCACAGAAGGGCAGGGCCCCCAGGGTTTTGGAGAAGCCAGGTAGAGGTGACAGGAGGCCATGGCCCCCAGCAGCCTTCTAGGGGCACTGTGCCTTCCCCTGCATCCTTGCTCAGAACTGACCCTCAGCTTTGCAGTTTGAGGGCTCTGCTGTAGTTTAGCACCCCAAGGACTCATGCAGATGGGGGGACCTCAACAAAGGGACTCTCATCCAGGGCACCCTTGCCCCACGTAGGATCTCACTGGGTGACCCCTGGAAGGGCCCAGGAGGAGCCCCCAGAGGGCTGTTCCCTCCATTCCCATGGAGGCTGCTGCCCATGGAGGTAGCCTGTGTGACCTGTATCCCCTGCCTCCACCTACTGCCTAGGTGTTAGACCAGGAACATCAGATGACAGCACGATCATCAGATTGGATGGGAAGGCTAGCCTGTGTCCGTCTACCAGACTCCCAAGGGCTGCCTCAGTGCCAGGCCCTGGGGTCACTACCAGAAACAGACCAGCCCCCAGGGAGGGCGTCCTCCTTGCTGGAGCCTGCATCTTGAGGGCATGGCCATTCTCCTGTAGCTTGTGCTTACGCTGTCATTCTCCAAGGGTCTGTCTGCTCAGCTCTGAATGCCAGGGCCCCCAGGGCTGGGCATCCTCTTTTGCCCCAGGCACTGATCAGCCGCTCTTGACTGGAGCCTTTGGGCAGCTGCAGCCCAGGAGGCAGGATGGGAACTGCCTTGAGGGCCCACAGCTGGGGGGCTGGGAAGGTGGGGGCAGGGTGGGGGGAACAGCTGGAGCAAAGGCCCCATGGTCACCCCTACATTCAAGGCAGGTGTTGGAGGAAGACCTTTGCACCTGGTGGGTGGCAATAAAGACTTGCGGAGTGACGTGGTAGGTGGATGGCAGCCATGCGAGTAGGCTCAGTGGTTCCCAGGGTGTCACACTGTCCCCTCAGCCACCCTCCAGCAGAGTTTCAACTGTTCTGACTCTGTCCAGTGACTGGGAGGGTTTCTTGGCTGGAATGGGGAGCCAGCCCAGGGGAGGGAACACATCTCTTCACACCAGGCATTCACACCCATGTTCCCGTGAGCCCCAAGGAGGGTGAGGGGCACCTTCCAAATTGGGGTCGGTGGTAACAGGGATACAAAGTGAATTCCTAACTTCCAATTTTCCAGATTTCTCGGAGGAATGTTGGGACCAGGGTGGGGTAAGTGGGGACAGGGAGGTGAGCTCCTGCTCAGCAAAGGCCCTGACCAAAGGCGCCCTGGGGAGGACTGGCTTTCCGTTCACCAACCGGCCAGCAGCAGACAGTGCCTCCTTGTGGCGGATCTTCCCGGACCTCAGATTCAGTCTGGAAACGGGGTTTGGACTGCAGAGTGTAAACTGCCAAAGTGGGGGCCTCCCATAAAACGCTTGCTGCCAGCAAAGGCAGGCCAAGAGCAAAGAAAGGCCGAGAAACCAGGGAATATGCACTGAGAGACTAACACTTTAAATTTTATTTATGTATTTTTAAATGCGTAACCTTTGCCCATGGTACATATTTTTTTAAATACAGCAGAGATATAATGAAGTCTCCCTCTTACCCCGTCCCCAGCCACCCTGGTCTCAGTTACTTATGAACCCTTCTAGAAGTATTTTGCGTATTTAAGCAATTTGGTATATTTTATTCTTGGCGATTTTTTATATACGTATTAACATATTCCACATACTGTACTGACCTTGCCCTTTAAAAATATATCCTGGGGGGCCAGGTGTGGTGGCTCACACCTGTAATCCAAGCACTTTGGGAGGCCGAGGCGGGCGAATCACGAGGTCAGGGGTTCGAGACCAGCCTGGCCAACATGGTGAAACCCCGTCTCTACTAAAAATACAAAAAATTAGCTGGGCATGGTGGCGAGTGCCTGTAATCCCAGCTACTCGGGAGGCTGAGGCAGGAGAATCGCTTGAACCTGGGAGGCGGAGGTTGCAGTGAGCCTAGAACATGCCACTGCACTCCAGCCTGGGCGACAGTGCAAGACTCCGTCTCAAAAAAAAAAAAAAGAGAAAAAAATATATATATATCCTGGAGAATATGAATGTATTAAATTATCACATGCACCCTGAAAAGATATGTATATATCCTGGAGAGTTTTGCGTTAAAGATCTCCCTTTAAAAAAAAATTTTTTTTTTTTTACAGCTAGTGGTATTCCATTGTGTATGTTTCCCATAACAAATGTTAATGACCTGCAGTGAGATCCCTATTGGTGGAAATTTGAGTTGTTTTTACTACTTTTATATTACAAACAATGCTGCAATAAATATTATTAGGCTAGTGCCCCTCTGTACATATTCAAGCACTTCTAGAAGATAAGTTCCTGGAAGCAGCATTAATGAGTTAGCGGTGGCTACATATGCCGTGGTGATAGCTGCTGTCCAGTTGCCCCTCCATGGGCAGAAACCTGTGGGAGGGTCAGACCAGACTCTTTAAGTCATTCTTGAGGACAAGTAGAAGGGACGTGGGCCCCCCCAGGATGTTCAGGTAACTGGCCCATACCCGGAGTCATCCTGGTGAAAGTCAAGGGGAGCACCATGATGTGTGCTTCGGGACGGCGGAGGATCTGCCGTGTTCCCTGTGGCATGTCCAGCACCTGCTCACTACCAGTGCTCAGGAGACCCTCACGAGTAAGGGAATGGACAAGATGTGGTGAAGAGGAGTCCCTGCAATCTGCCCTTGGACTGGGTGAGCCACCCCAGCTCGCTGAGCTTTACTTTCCTTAGGTTTACCATATCCAAAGCCAACTGCAGGGCTGTCAGGAGGATCAGAAATACTGTAACAGACATAATGCAATAACATAGATGACTCTTAGAGGTAAATTAAAACAGCACTTTATGCACAGTACGATAGCATATTATAAAGCTCAAAAACAAAATGAAACCATCTATTGTTTAGCAATACATGCCCAAGATACAACCCTATTAAAAAATCATGGGAAGGAAAAGCACAAAATCTGAGATGGTCGTCCCTGAGAGGAGTGTGGGATGGGATAAGGAAGGAGCCCAGGAATTTTTAAAGGTATTGGTAATATCTTAGCTCTCAGGTTTGGTGGTAGGTTCATGGGTATTTAAGTTATAACTCAGTTCCTAACTCACATAAGGTGCCACACATCCTTTTGTATGTATCAAATATTATGTCATAAAATTTTAGTTTGGGCATGGTGGTTCATGTCTGTAATCCCAGCACTTTGGGAAACTGAGGCAGGCAGATCACTTGAACCCAGGAGTTCTAGACCAGCCTGGGCAACATGACAAAACCCTGTCTCTACAAAAGATACACAAATTAGCTGGACATGGTGGCACTCGCCTGCAGTCCCAGCTACTCTGGAGGCTAAGGTGGGAGGATTGCTTGAGCCTAGGAGTTCAAGGCTGCAGTGAGCTATGAACTTGCCACTGCACTCCAGCCTGGGTGACAGAGTGAGAACCTGTCTCAAAAAGAAAAAAAAAAAAAGGAAAAAAATTTTTAAAAAATATTTAAAAGTAATCACCGAAAAAATAGAACTCGCTTGAAAGACAAGACCAAAAACGAAGAGGACGTTTCCCTAGATGGTGAAAACAAGTGGGGCGGAATCACTGCAGCGTCCTGCACAGAACTCTGGAATTGCCACTTTGCAGTTGCTGCCTTCTAGTGTGTATTGTTGAAAGACAGTTTTATTGAGGCATAATTGGCATACAATAAGCTGCATATAAAAATGTGTACGTGATGACTTTTGACATACGTGTACACCCGTGAAGCTATTTCCACAATCAAGATAATCACCATCCCCTTCACTCTGGAAAGTTTCCCATGCCCTTGGTAAGCCCACCCTCCTGCTTCTTGCCTCCCATCCCCAAGTAACAACTGTGCTGCTTTCTGTCACTACAGGTTAATCTGCACTTTCTAGAATGTATGTAAATAGAATCACACAGTATGTACTTGTGTTTTGTCTGGCTTCTTGCTTAGCTGAGCATAAGGATTTGCGAGTCATCCCTGTTGCATGCATTAATATTTTATTCCTTTTTATTGCCAAGTAGTATTCCATTGTTTGGATGCACCAGTTTGGTTAGCTGTTCACCTGTTGATGGACATTTGGACCATGTTCCGTTGTGAACTATTACAAATAAAGCTGCTATAAACATTCATGTACCTGTCTTTGTTGGATATATTCTATCATTTCTTGTGGGTAAATAGTTTGGAGTGGAAGGGCTGACTCACAGTTAAGTGTCGTTTAATTTTTTTTTTTTTTTTTGAGACGGAGTCTCACTCTGTCACCTAGGCTGGAGTGCAGTGGCCTGATCTTGGCTCACTACAACCTCCGCCTTCCTGGGTTCAAGTGATTTTCCTGCCTCAGCCGCCTGAGTAGCTGGGATTACAGGCATGCCTGGCTAATTTTTGTATTTTGAGTAGAGATGGGGTTTTGCCATGTTGGGCAGACTGGTCTTGAACTCCTGACCTCAGGTGATCTGCCTGCCTCGGCCTCCCAAAGTGCTGGGATTACAGGTGTGAGCCACTGCGCCCGGCCGCATCTTTTTCTGTTTTTCTTTTTCTTTTGAGATTGGAGTCTTGCTCTGTTGCCCTGACTGGAGTGCAGTGATGCGATCTCGGCTCACTGCAACCTCTGCCTCACGGGTTCAGGTGATTCTCCTGCCTCAGCCTCCTGAGTAGCTAGGACTTCAGGTGTGCACCAGTACACCCGGCTAATTTTTGTCTTTTTAGTAGAGATGGGGTTTCTCCATGTTGGACAGGCTGGTTTTGAACTCCTGGTCTCAAGTGATCTGCCTGCCTTGGCCTCCAAAAGTGTTGCGATTACAGGTGTGAAATACTGTGCCCAGCCTTTTTTTGTTTTTTGAGATGGGTTCTCATTCTGTCACCCAGGCTGGAGTGCAGTGGTGTCACCTCCACTCACTGCCACCCCTGCCTCTGGGGCTCAAGCCATCCTCCCACCTCAGTCCTCATGAGTAGCTGAGACTACAGGCTCACACTACCATACCCAACTAATTTTTTATTTTTTGTAGAGACAGAGGTCTACCCATGTTGCCCAGGCTGGTCTTGAATTCCTGGCCTTGAGTGATCCCACTTCAGCCTTCTGAGTAGTTGGGATTATAGATGTGAGCCACCTCAATGTATTTTTTATTTTTTATTTTTTGAGACGGAGTCTCGCTCTGTTGCCCAGGCTGGAGTACAGTGGCGTGATCTCAGCTCACTGCAAGCTCTGCCTCCCGGGTTCACGCCATTCTCCTGCCTCAGCCTCCTGAGTAGCTGGGACTACAGGCACCTGCCACCACACTCAGCTATTTTTTTTTTTGTATTTTTAGTAGAGATGGGGTTTCACCGTGTTAGCCAGGATGGTCTCAATCTCCTGACCTCATGATCTGCCTGCCTCGGCCTCCCAAAGTGCTGGGATTACAGGTGTGAGCCACCGCACCCAGCCTTTTTTTTTTTTTTTTTTTTTTTTTTTTGAGACAGGGTCTCCCTCTGTCACTCAGGCTTCAGTGCAGTGGTGTGATCACAGCTTATTGCAGCCTCAAACTCTTTGGGGTCAAACAATCCTCCTGCCTCAGCCTCCCAAGTAGCTGGAACTACAGGCACACATCACGCTCAGCTGATTATTATTATTTTTGTTTCTGTAGAGACATTCTCCCTATGTTGCCCAGGCTGGTTTCGAACTCCTGGCCTCAAGCAATCCTCCTGCCTTGCCTTCCCAAAGTGCTGAGATTACAAGTGTGAGCCACTGCACCCAGCCCTTGGTGCATTTCTCAATGCCTATAGTTATATAATGTTGCAAAAATGGAATCATGTAATACATTTGTTAAGCGTATGAAGCATTTTTTTTTTAACTTTGGATTTTTAGGCTGGGTTTGGTGGCTCACGCCTGTAATCCCAGCACTTTGGGAGGCTGAGGCGGGCGAATCACTTGAGATCAGGAGTTTGAGACCAGCCTGGCCAACATGGTGAAACCCCGTCTCTACTAAAAATACAAAAATTAGCCAAGCATGGTGGCGCATGCCTGTAATCCGAGCTACTCTGGAGGCTGAGTCACGAGAATCGCTTGAACCCAGGAGGAGGAGGTTGCAGTGAGCCAAGATCATGCCACTGCACTCTGGTCTGGGTGACAGAGCAAGACTCCATCTCATAAGAAAAAAAAAAAAAAAAGTTGGATGTTTAAGATGTGTTGGGCAACTTCCAGCCGCCCATTTCACTCTGCAATAGAGCATGTGCTGTGTATCCTTCTGTAGCCTTTGTTATGCTCAGATAATCATATGCAAACATGCACACATCTGTATGGGGTTTGTGTTACAAAAACAAAGCCATGTCATATGTATTTCTTTGTTAACACAGAACAGTAGTTACTTTAGGTTGGTTGGTATGAATTAACAGCTTTTCAAAGCTGCCTAATATTCTAGGTTATGGGTTTTCCAATTCAGTCGTTCATATATTGATGGAAATTCACTCTGTTTGCCCATTTTTACCACTACAAACAATGCTGCAGTAAATGCAGAAGACTTTGAAAACATTATATAATCACATGGCTTGTTTGGGGGCAGATTCCCAGGAGTGGGATATTGGATCGAAAGGGTTTATGTTTTCTTTCTTTTGAGACAGAGTCTCACTCTGTCGCCCAATCACAGCTCACTTCTGCCTTTACCTCCTGGGCTCAAGGGATCCTCCCACCTCAGCTTCACAAGTAGCTGTGAGTACAGGTGCATATTTTTTTATTTTTTGAAAGGGGGAACAATTTTAATAGACAACAGAATGCTTTCTAAAAGATTAACGATAGTAGGTGTTAGCACATTTATGTTCTGCTATTTTCATTTATTTTGAGATTCCTCATTATCACCTTAATTTGTATTTCCCTTATAGGCAGTGTCTAAATACTGGTAAATAAATTAGCTAGTCTCAGTCGCACAAACTCAGCACAGTCTAAGGTGGTACTGCTATAACAGAATCCCTGAGACTGGGTAATTTATTTATTTGAGACAGGGTCTTGCTCTGTTGCTCAGGCTGGATTGCAGTGGCGTGATCATAGCTCATTGCAGCCTTGATCTCCTGGGCTCAAGTAATCCTCCTGCTTCAGCCTCTTGTGTAGCTGGGACTATAGACATGGACCACCATGACCAGCATTTTTTTTTTATTTTTTATTTTTTTAGTAGATGTTGCCCAGGCTGGTCACAAACTTCTGAGCTCAAGAGATCCTCCCACCTCAGACTCTCAAAGTGCTGGGATTACAGGCATTAGCCACCACACCCAGTCTGGGTAATTTATAAAGAATAGAGATTTCTGGCTGGGCACGGTGGCTCACGCCTATAATCCCAGCAGTTTGGGAGGCCAAGGTGGGTGGATCACCTGAGGTAAGGAGTTCGAGACCAGCCTGGCCAACATGGTGAAACCCTGTCTCTATTAAAAATACAAAAAATTAGCCAGGCATAGTGGCGGCACCTGTAATCCCAACTACTTGGGAGGCTGAGGCAGGAGATTCATGTTGGCCAGGCTGGTCTCGAACTCCTGACCTCAGGTGATCCACCCACCTCGGCCTCCCAAAGTGTTGGAGCCACCGCGCCTGGATGGAGATTAAGTTTCTAACACATGAGCTTTGGGGGACACATTCAAACCTGTCCACCTAAAGTAATCAAAAGGGTCAGAATCTAATTTCAATAGTTTATTCAAGCACAAAACATGAGGGTGGACTACCTGGAAACACCGACTCCAAATGAATGGAGTCAGTGTTTCGAAGTAGAGAAGTTAAGGTTTCATTTACACACACAAAGGCAGAGGAGTTTTAGGATTACATTCTTCATATATGGTCAGTGCGTACTTACAGTAATTTGGTTATAGGCCGAGTGCAGTGGTCCACTCCTGTAATCCCAGCACTTTGGGAGGCCGAGGCGGGCAGATCACCTGAGGTCAGGAGTTCAAGACCAGCCTGGCCAACATGGTGAAATTCCATCTTTACAAAAATGTAACAATTAGCTGGGCATGATGGCAGGTGGCTGTAATCCCGGCTACTCAGGAGGCTGAGGTGGGAGAATCGCTTGAATCTGGGAGGCAGAGGGTGCAGTGAGCCGAGATTGTGCCATTGCACTCCAGCCTGGGCGACAGAGCCAGACTCTGTCTCAAATTGAAATAATAATAATAAATAATTTGGTTGTAAGCAGTGTTTCTTTTTGGGAGGCATACATTTAACATTTTTTACAGAGGGTGTAATAGTCATGGGTTTGCTGTCATCTGGTCTAAGTAAAGCAGGACAACAAAAGGGAAGTTATCTATAAGAAGGGTCATTAAGAAGGCAGCAGGTTTTTGTCCCATGTTTAATTCTCTCCAATAATTGTACAGAACAAGAAAAACAAGCAGGTCTAATTTATTATCTCAGAAAAAATTATAACCATACATGGCTGAGATCACAGTCACCTCTCTCTCCAGGTTTCAAGTGTTGTGGGGGTTCCAACATCTTTTCTATTTATTTTAAAAAACCACAGCAGAGGGGTTGTGCACCCTTTCATATTTCTTGGCTATTTGGATTTGTTCTTCTGAGACATGTCCATTCCTATTTTTTGCTCATTTTCTATTGTTTTTGCCTTTTTTCTAATTAGTTTTTAAGATGTATTTGTATATTACAGGTATTGGCTCTTTATCATGTATGGCAAATATTTTTTCCTCATCTATCATTGTCTCTTGACTTTTATCAGTGTTAATTTTCGGGGTAATCAAGTATATCTTTTTACAGTTTGAGGTTCCTGTCTTTGCAGTCTCTCAACCCCTAGAATACCCTTATAGTCTCCTAAATTATATTCTAAATGTTTTGTTGTTTAAATTTAAGATTCTACGCCATTTATCAACGAAATCATCTTTTCCTGATTGAAATAAAATACTACATTTGTGGTATTTCCGGATTCTGTTGCACTAATGTGTCTTTCCTACCAACAATATCATATTGTTTTATTATTGTGGTTTTTTGTTTTTGAGACGGAGTCTCATGCTGTTGCCCAGGCTGGAGTACAGTGGTGCGATCTCAGCTCACTACACCTCCGCCTCCTGGGTTCAAGCAATTCTCCTGCCTCAGCCTCCTGAGAAGCTGGGATTATAGGCGTCTGCCACCACGCTCGGCTAATTTTTGTACTTTTAGTAGAGACGGGGGTTTCACCGTGTTGGTCAGGTTGGTCTCGAACTCCTGACCTCAGGTGATCCCCCCGCCTTGGCCTCCCAGTGCCTTGGCACTGGCCTATTGTGTTTTATATACTATGTTTGTCATCTGGAAAGGCAAGCTCCTGCTCCGTCTTGTAAAGTTTTCCCAGTACTGTAGTAGTTATTTTTATTTTTATTTTTGACAGTCTCGCTCTGTCACCCAGGCTGAAGTGCAGTGGCCCCATCTCGGCTCACTGCAACCTCCGCCTCCCGGGTTCAAGCGATTCTCTTGCCTCATCCTCCTGGGAAGCTGGGATTGCAGGAGTGCACCACTACACCCAACTAATTTTTGTATTTTTCGTAGAGACGGGGTTTCGCCATGTTGGTCAGGCTGGTCTCGACCTTCTGACCTTGTGATTCGCCCGCCTCGGCCTGTCAAAGTGCTGGGATTACAGGCGTGAGCCACCGCGCCCGGCCGTAGTTATTGTTTTATACGATTTTAAGATCATTTAATTAAATCCTCTGAACTCCGTGGAGATTCCAATAGAAGTGTGTATTTGTAATTTTTGAACTGACAACCTTCTGTTACCTTTCATCTAATATGTTGTTGCATCAGTTCAAATACTGTTTTAAATCCTTCGATAAGTCGTCTCTATTCGTAGCTTTTTGGGTCACTTTTTTTTTTTTTTTTTTTTTCCAAAAAAACAGGAAGTCTTTTTACCTGCAGCGTCAACTGAGCCGGTTTTCCGGCGCGCGCCAGCCCCTCCCCTGCTCCCGCCCCAAGGTTCTGCGTTACCATGGGAACAAAGGTTGACGTCACTTAGGGCTTCCTTGCTGGACCCAAGGGTCGATGGTGAAGGGAGACGGGTGGAGAGGCGGTTTTGCTCCATCTACGCATGCGCACTTCCTGCTCCAGGACTCCCCCGCCGTAAATCTCGTTCCGGCTGGGCCTTTTCCGCCGCGACTCTCGCTTAATCCCGGAGAAACTGCCCCCTGGGGGAGGGGAGTAGAAAAAGGCTGGAACCAGCGACAGCCAATCCCGCGACACTACAACGCAGGCGAGATTGATTGAGTCCACCACCGCAGCCAATGAGAGAGCTCGCCGTCGCTCCGTCATAGAGTTCGCCCCACCCCATCCCCTCCTTTCTGGACTCGGAGCTCAGTTCACGCAGTAACAAATGAAGTGCGCGCTGCGACACCTCCCAGCCCACCGAACTCCGCCGCCATTTCCTCGCTTGGCCTAACGGTTCGGCCAATCCCAGCGCGCATCAAGAAGGACTGAGGCTCCGCCAATCGGAGGCCGCCGATTTCGACCCTTCGCCTCGGCCCGGCCCAATCCAGGCCCCGGCCCCGCCGCCCCCGGCCCGCCCCCGCGGTGCCCTCTCTCCTCCCTCTTTGTGCGTCTCGCGCCGCCGCCGCCCGCCGCGTGAGAGGACGGGCTCCGCGCGCTCCGGCAGCGCATTCGGGTCCCCTCCCCCCGGGAGGCTTGCGAAGGAGAAGCCGCCGCAGAGGAAAAGCAGGTGCCGGTGCCTGTCCCCGGGGGCGCCATGGCGACCGGAGCGAACGCCACGCCGTTGGGTAAGCTGGGCCCCCCCGGGCTGCCCCCGCTCCCCGGGCCCAAAGGAGGCTTCGAGCCGGGCCCTCCGCCTGCACCCGGGCCTGGGGCGGGGCTGCTGGCTCCCGGGCCGCCGCCGCCCCCGCCCGTGGGCTCGATGGGGGCCCTGACCGCGGCCTTCCCCTTCGCGGCGCTGCCTCCGCCGCCTCCGCCGCCGCCCCCTCCGCCTCCCCAGCAGCCGCCGCCGCCTCCACCGCCACCGTCCCCCGGCGCCTCGTACCCGCCGCCGCAGCCGCCCCCTCCGCCGCCGCTCTACCAGCGCGTGTCGCCGCCGCAGCCGCCGCCACCCCAGCCGCCGCGTAAGGACCAGCAGCCGGGCCCGGCCGGCGGCGGAGGAGGTGAGTCGGGCCGAGAGAGCGCGAGAGGCGTCGCGCGGACGGGCCCGGCCGCCTGAGGGGCGCGCGGCGGCGGCGACGGCGGCTGCACGCGGCAGGGGCGCGCGTGCGCGCACGGGGAGGCCCGGGCGGAGGCGCCCCTGGGCGCGCGCGGCCTGGTTCTAGGGCCTCGAGTGCGCACGCGCGCTGTGGGGGGAGGGCTGGGCGGGCGGGAGGCGCTCTGTGCGCAGACGCAGTGAGGTGGCCGGGCTGTGCGGCGCAACTGTATAGACTGGGGGCCCACTATTGCTGTCCAGTCCGCTGGTGTCGGGAACAGGGGTGGCGGGTGTTCAGCGCTGGACGGGGTGCTAGCTGTGAATGCCAGCAGGGCGTGAAAGCCTCACCTGATGACGTGCAGCGACTCCCTTCTGGTCTTGAGGAACCAGAATGGGAACCGTACCAAGGATAGCTCCTCTGCTTCTACAGCAAGGCAGGGTTTTCATCCGGGAGAGGTTGGCATGCTTCAGATGATGGTTGGGTCTGATCTTTCTTGGTCTCTTTTGGGGAGAGAATTTTAGTTTGTTTTTTTTTTTAAATCTGTTCAGTATGTTTAGATCTCAGTCTGATCGGCTGCCCTGTCGCTTTGTTTTAAAAAGCTTTTCCCTCTGATCCTGTACCCCTTGGGAAATAGAAGGACTCTTTTGTGGCAAATGTAGGGAGTTTCTGCCTATGTACGGGGAAAGGAGAACTTGGCTGCTATTGTATAGGTTGTTGAATTTTTGATAGATCCTTTTAAGAGTTCAGACCCTCAGTGTCCAACTGGCCAGGAAAACTGAATGCTGATCTTGGCTAAACTTATGAAGACAAAGGTGATCTTGTTGAAGAATTGGGCTTTTCCCACTTGGTAGGGTGTAACTAGGTTTAGTTGTGGTCCGGCCTCTCGTACAAAAGTGACTGGTGAGGGGAGTGGAGGTGGGTGGAGCCCCCAGTCCCATCAGGACTGCTTTACAAATCTATGATTCTTCAGTGTATTTTTGTCTCCCCTGGGGATTTCAGAGCACTCATGGTTGATGTAGTATCTATCTAACACTCTCTGCAGCCATATGCATTAAGATTACCACGTTTATATATCTGACAGTTTTTCTAGACAAAAGAAGGTGAAATGTTAACTTGCCTGACCAAGGACCACATACCCTTGTAGTGGCCATAAGCTTTAAATCTCTGATCTCTGAGGTTTGTTTTCTGTTTTTTTAATGTTTAAGTTTTAGGTTAAGCTCTCAGCTTCACAGTCTGCTGAGTTTCTGTGTAGTACCTTAAATACCCTTAGCTGTCTGTTGATAACTACTTGTATTTACATCGGATGGATTTTGTCTCTGCCTTTTAGACTTCCCAAGTAAGAAGCGGAAGAGGAGCCGCTGGAACCAAGACACAATGGAACAGAAGACAGTGATTCCAGGAATGCCTACAGTTATTCCCCCTGGACTTACTCGAGAACAAGAAAGAGCTTATATAGGTAAATATACGTTCTGCATCCAAATGCACTTTGAGATTGTTACGATTTATTCTGAGCAAGATCTGCATTTTTTGAAAGTTTGAGATTGTAGTTATCTTTTTTGAGATGAGATACTTTCACGACTTTGGTATCATCTGTCAGTTTTTGCCCAGTGAGTTCTGCATTTGCAGCTCCTTGTTTTGGTCTGTTCGTAACTGCAGTGTTCTCCATGAGTATCAGGAAGGTAGGGTTTCACTTAGGAGTAAGAACAGTCCCCAGTCCAGCAGCCACCCTTTTCAGCTGCTGTTCATTGCCAGTTGATGAGGTGAGTGTCATCTGCCTCTCTGGACAGGCCCCAGTGGAGAACACCGCAGGTACTGTAAACCAAGTACTTTTCACAGCGTGGCCTTTCACCATAATTTTATATTTCTCCCCCTAAAATGTGGTCTTTTACTTTTTATAGGTACTTTCTGAAAAAAAAAAAATGACAAAAAGTGGTTCTGAAAGTGTGTTTACAATTTACCCCTTTTTATTTTCTTGAATTTAAGAGTTTAACCTTCCCTTCAACATCTTTTCTGGTTTGGTCTATGGAGAGCTGTCTTAAAATGAAGGCTCTTGTATTTACTTTTAAAGAACTCTGCTGGGAAAGGGATATTGCATGGATATGGAATGAAGTGCTAGGATAAAAAGGTTTTATTTGCTGGGAGGTTTTGAGAATTAATGACTATCCACAGTGGAATTGAAATTAACCTCAAAATTGCTTTTTTGGAAAAAAAAGTTTTTAATGCAAGTTTTATCTTTATATACCTGTGCAGCTGTCTCAAAAAAGTTCACTTTATAAACATTTCCTACTAACCAAATAAACATCCCCTTTGGAGGAAATTCGGGCAAAGACCTCCTAAACCTACGAGGCTGTGGCCTTCACAACCAAAAAGCTTCAAGGCCAGCATGTTACTACTTTTGAGGGTCTTAATTTCCTGTTTTTTAGACTGCTGAGAATTTTGAGGCGTTGGAATTGTCTGTCTCCTTTCACAGTACTACTAATACTTGTTCTTTCCCCTACTGTTCCTGTCTACTCCCACCCATTCCATTGTGTCTCATATTAGACTAGTCTGGGTCTTTACATCCTTGTGAAATGCCCCTAGTGGAGTGATATCCCAAGAACACAAGCATACTTAGAAGATGGGAAGAGCACAAATTCTTTATATCTCCATTTCTGTTTTTGTGGAGGGCTAGTTAGTTCACTGGGCCCTAAGGACTATTTATAGCTATAATCAAAATAGAATCAAAGGAGAGGTGTAGTTCTCCACAGAAGAGAATGACCCTTTTTATTTAGATCAGGCCCCACATCTCCATAGTCAGCTAGGAAGACTCACCTTCTCCCCTCAGTGAAGGTGACTTTCACCTCGAGTTGTTGAGCTTAATACTCAACTGCAAAGTCAGAACTTTTTAGGCATAAAGGAGCTTGGGGAACCATGTGTCTTACTACTTTTCTGTCTCCCACGGTACATACTGCTTTGTCCAGGATGCCCTCAATATCTTTTTTTTTTTTTTTTTGAGAGACTGAGTCTTGCTGTGTCGCCAGGCTGGAGTGTAGTGGTGCGATCTCGGCTCACTGCAACCTGCGTCTCCCGGGTTCAAGTGATTCTCCCACCTCAGCCTCCCAAGTAGCTGGGACTACAGGCGCACGCCACCATGCCCAGCTAATTTTTTTTGTAGTTTTAGTAGAGACGGGGTTTCACCATGTTGGCCAGGATGGTCTCGATCTCTTGTCCTCATGATCTGCCTGCCTTGGCCTCCCAAAGTACTGGGATTACAGGTGTGAGCCACTGTGCCCGGCCAGTATTTTCTTTCGATAATAATGGGTTTTCATTTCTTCAGGGTTTTAGTGTGTGGGTGTGGTATAGCCCTGTGGATGTATTTAAAGTTAGAAGGAATCTTTGGTTAGACACGCATTAATCCTATCTTGGAGCCAGCTCAGTTTTAACCCAACCTAGTAACATTTGCCCTTATTGGAGATGCCTGCTGAAAATTCTCAGATGCTGCGAAGGTAAGGAACAGGTGGTTATTCCGCATGTTGAAGAAAGCTGCTCTGGCTCTGCAGTTCCCATTATCTTGGAAAATCAGCTGTGTAACATTTCCCTGGCGTCACTGGCAACTTTTGTGAAACCCTCATCTCTCTTTTTCATGCACAGCCTCATTGGTCAAGGCCCGAGGGCCAAGTACATTGTCCTTGAACACACATTCCATTCTTCTACACGCCTGCTCCCCATATGAACAGTGAGCCTGAAAACAAATTCTTAGCACTTTATGGTTACTGGTTTATTAAGATATGTGGTTTGTCATTTAATATTTGAATAAATATTTCATATAATTGAATAAGAGCTGCAGGTATTGGGAGACCCTTACTAGTACAGGTCTGGTTGTACAGAAAGAGTATGTACAAATTTCTATAAGGTGTTGAATTTTGTTATTAAATGTCTTATTTAAGGAATTTTAAATGTATTAATGAAAATGATCTTTGCTCAATTGGTATTTTTCCTTGTCCCATGTTAATTGGGTCTCATTTTGGGCTATGTTTAACATTTAATGAAGAAAAAACTCAATTCTTGCCCTCAAGTAATTTGATGGGAGTCGGGTATTGGTGACGTAACATGGTTTATGGTTCTGGGTACCAATGGTAAGCAAGCCTTGGTGGGGAGGAAGAGGTGAAACACCTCCTAATAATTGCTTGGATGTTAGCCTTAGTGAACAGTCTTTATTGCTAACCCCTCTTCCAACAAACTGTTTGCTTCCTTAAGTGATAACCATTTTGAAGTGAAAAAAACCTATAGATGTAAAAGGACTCCTGCCGATAGGTGGTTGGGGGTTTTTGCTTCAATGTGTTCACTGATCAGTCGTCCCTTTCAAAGTCTCCGAGTTCTTCATGCTTGTTGTTGAGATTTGAGATGTTTATTGGTAACATTGTCTTTTTTCCATCCTTTTTTTTCTTTCCTAACCTGGTTTCTTCCAGTGCAACTGCAGATAGAAGACCTGACTCGTAAACTGCGCACAGGAGACCTGGGCATCCCCCCTAACCCTGAGGACAGGTTGGGAAACAGTTTTAACCAGCTGACAGTAACGCTTTTACCTTTTTCTCAATACGTTTTACTGGTGGCAACATATTGTGTCAGTTCAATAAAATCATAGTATGACGACTGTACCCTGACCACTTTGGGGATTAAGGTTTAATTAGAAATATGTATGGTCAGTCAACAGTTAGAAAATTGGAATAAAACTTAAAAATGTTGGGAGAATAAAAAGTTACAGGAAAATGGACAACTGGTTTCCAATTGGTAAGCATGTAGATCTTAACCTGATTTACCCACCCTTAGGGGACAGTGAGGTGGCCCGTTAACCTGCCTTTTCAGTACCTGCTTTGGCCAAAAGCCCAGGGCATAGAGTTTTTCTCACAGGTACACAGTGCAGGGACTAAAAATATTTTTGAGCATCACTGAACTTGAGCAAGCCAGGAGCTCTGGTCAGCTCATTGCTGCAGTCTTCCTGCTCATGGTTTTGAGATGGTTTCAAAATCAGATGAGATTTCTAACCAACTTCTTTCACTGCCAGTTAACTTTCAGCCTTGGCCATTGCCTTGGGGGTGTTGGGAGGGGCCAGAATATTCTCACCTATTTTGGGAAGGCATGCAACCAACCCTAAATTACTTTTTTTTTTTCCTTAAAGGGAGCGTGGGCCTCAAACAGCTGTGGTCATGTCATTTCAGTTTGCAGTTTCTCTCACCTCAGAAAAATAAATTGTGTGGGGGAGATGAACTTTTTTAAACTGGAATTTTATTAGCTGATTGAACAGCTAAAATTGGTCATTTAATTAGAAGGGCAGTAAGTCTCTCCCTCTCACTGAATTTTCTCTTAGTACATACAGAATAGTTGAAAAGACTTTGCTTTAAAAAGTAGTGTTTTTGGTTTTTGTTACCCAGTTAATAGCTTATTAAATCAGGAAGATGATGTAATGGCTTTAGAAGTCACTCACTCATGCATCTTTCTTCCGCCCTTTGCCAGGAAACATTAACTTCCTTGTTTCTCCATATTGACTCTTTAATTTGACTTACTACATTTGCTATATTTTACCTATAGATAGATTTTGGTTGTAGGGTTGTGTTGTGTTTCGTTTCTTTTTGAAGATTTTTTTTTTTTTTAAATTTACATTGTAGGTCATAGACCACAACTGTTTAGTGCCTTTTTGGCCTTTTTCCCTTTAATAATATGTCTACAGGTCACCAGTCAATTCCTCCAAAGGTTGAATTTTTAACAAACCTTCTTTGCTTCCTGGATAACTGGGATTAGAATTTAGTTGATCTAGCCGATGCCTGTTGGAGGTGAAGAAGTCGGGCCAGTCTAACCTCTAGAATACTAGCTTTTGCCTTTCACTTCTGCAATTTGGGAGGAGGTTAAACTGTTGTGAGGCCTTCACATGGCCAATTGGGTGCTGGTAAGACTTGTTTTTGTAACTAGCTAAGAATGCTTAATTCTAGACAGCTGTGGGGTGGGAATTAGAAATGTCAAGCATGTTAGAAATAAAACCAGAGCAGGGTTTTTCCTCCCTTCTATTCAGTTTTGAAAGAGGCCCTAATGCCTGATTGGTTTTGCTTT
Source organism: Homo sapiens (assembly GCF_000001405.40). NCBI lineage: Eukaryota > Metazoa > Chordata > Mammalia > Primates > Hominidae > Homo > Homo sapiens. The sequence goes on along the minus strand of NC_000011.10, from coordinate 64,771,869 downwards.
TGAGCCCAGGTTGGAGGGAAATGCATGGGTTTTCTTAATTAAGATAATTTCTTAAAAAGGTGTTATATCACTTAAGCCACTTTATTGTTATTTTGATGCTGCTTAACTTGCACAGTAAAAACATGTTTAAAACTTTTCTTGTAGACTTAAATGTATAAGATGGTAGTCTAATGAGCTGGGGTATGTTTGCTTTTGTTCACTCTTAATGGATTGTGCTAACAGTTTATACAAATGCTAGAAACGGAGGTGTCATTTAGCCGTCATTAGCCATGAACAAACCTGACCTTTTATTCCATCGTGTGTGTAACGTGGTGTGACATGGTTCCCTTTAGGCTGAAGACAGTGGGAGCAGCCGAGTTCAGTCCTTGCTCTCCAACTAGGCAAGGTTCTCTCAACTAAACCAAGGGTATAGGAGTCTTGATTACTTTCAGTATGTTTTTTTAATAACCTGATCCACATGGTCTCTTCCCTTCTTGCAGCTGCTACTAAATTTTCATTCAGAATATCAAGCTATGGTCCTTTTTGTAATCTTAACTCAAAATTCTAGGAGTGTAACCTCTCTTTTTTATTACCGCAAAATCCAGCTGTGGTAAACTGACCATTTTATCATTACATTTTTTTACTTGTAGCAACAGCATTTTACTCCTTAAAAAAATGAGAGAGAGAAAATCTGCTTTCTGGACTTGTAAACTCTGGTGGAGAATCATAGGTTTTCCCCTTGCTGTTTGCAGGTTCAGACCCTAGACAAGTATGACCAAATCTGCATTTGCAGCCTCTCGCAGAAGCTGCTTTAGCACTTTAACGTTTTTCTCTACCCAGACTCCCCAACCTCGAACAGCCAGAAAACAGGTTGTCTCCTGGGCCTTGGACACAGCCAGCCAGGCCATTGAAGGAAAAGCAAAGACGAAGCGAACCATCTCTCTCCATTGTGGGGGCCAAGTAGCTGCAGTAGCCTTCAGTCCCAGTTGCATTGGGTTAAAGAGCTCATACATACTATGTGTTAGGGGTACAGAAGCTTTTCCTCATAGGGCATGAGCTCTCCAAGAGTTAACCTTTTGCCTAAACTTGGGGTTTCTGTGGTTCATAAAGTTGGGATATGTATTTTTTTTCAAATGGAAGAAAATCCGTATTTGGCAAGAAGACTCCAGGGGATGATACTGTCCTTGCCACTTACAGTCCAAAGATTTTCCCCAAAGAATAGACATTTTTTCCTCTCATCACTTCTAGATGCAAAATCTTTTATTTTTTTCCTTTCTCACACACACCCCAGACCCCTAACGTTAAGCCAGCTTCCATCTCCCCATTCCACACGATCTTGAGTAGCACACGTTATGGTCGGTTCCTCCGAAGAGTGTTGTATTAGGGTCTGAGAGGCAGAGGGGCTGGGAAAGACTTGTTATAGTCCGTGTGGGAATGAGAGAAGTCGGTGCAGAATAGTAAACGGGAGTCTGTTTCCCACAGGTCCCCTTCCCCTGAGCCCATCTACAATAGCGAGGGGAAGCGGCTTAACACCCGAGAGTTCCGCACCCGCAAAAAGCTGGAAGAGGAGCGGCACAACCTCATCACAGAGATGGTTGCACTCAATCCGGATTTCAAGCCACCTGCAGATTACAAGTAAGCGGAGGGGCTCGGTCATCTGGGATGAAGACACATGCAGATCATGGGTGACCTGCTGGGATGGGACAGTATTGGTACTACTCACCTCTTGCCTCAAGTCACCCATAATTAGCACTTGGTACCAATATTTGGTTTTAGAAAAGCCGCTGGCTGTGTCATTCTCCAGAAATGTGCGGTGACACAGGCTTTTCTTTCTTAGACCTCCAGCAACACGTGTGAGTGATAAAGTCATGATTCCACAAGATGAGTACCCAGAAATCAACTTTGTGGGGCTGCTCATCGGGCCCAGGTGAGTAACTGCTGGTCTATAGGATATAGAATTCCTTTAGAGCCTGTGAGATGTGTCCGTTTTGTGCCTAATTGGGGACTGTTGGCTTACTTTTCCCCTTTTTGGTAGGACATTTCATTTTGGCTGAATTAATGCCTTTCTGTGAGAAGGTGTCTTAACTTCCCCACTAGTGCGGAGAAGTCAAATCCTCAGGTTTACTGTGGCTGACCATAATATAGAGTTCATGGAGCTCTTGGTGGGAAAATCCAATTCTCTGCGCTTGTGGTTTCCCACCAATGCCAAATTGGTCCAGCCTCTCTTCCCTCTTGAGTGTGAATTTGTCAGGTATAAACTTAGTCATTTCTGCCTCTCTAGAGGGAACACCCTGAAGAACATAGAGAAGGAGTGCAATGCCAAGATTATGATCCGGGGGAAAGGGTCTGTGAAAGAAGGGAAGGTTGGGCGCAAAGATGGCCAGATGTTGCCAGGAGAAGATGAGCCACTTCATGCCCTGGTTACTGCCAATACAATGGAGAACGTCAAAAAGGCAGTGGAACAGGTGAGCGGTGAGCCCAGAAAGGAAGCCTCCTAGCAGAAACCTAGGTGGAGGCCCTAAGCACTTAACTGTCCATTGCATTTTCACTAGATAAGAAACATCCTGAAGCAGGGTATCGAGACTCCAGAGGACCAGAATGATCTACGGAAGATGCAGCTTCGGGAGTTGGCTCGCTTAAATGGGACCCTTCGGGAAGACGATAACAGGTATGTGATCAGTTTAAAGGAGAGTGTAGAGACCTGAAGAACCTATGGAAGTAGAGATTGTTCCCTTGCATTGACCTCTTTTTCCTTTAATAGGATCTTAAGACCCTGGCAGAGCTCAGAGACCCGCAGCATTACCAACACCACAGTGTGTACCAAGTGTGGAGGGGCTGGCCACATTGCTTCAGACTGTAAATTCCAAAGGTGAGGGGCTGGCTCTTGCGGTTTCCTGGTAGCCTGCGATGTGCAGGACAACTTTTCTGGCACATTCATTGGTTGCTGTTAATCTTACCAAGAGAAACATCCTTTCTGTTAGTGTGGTCTGTAATGGTGTGATTTAAAGCCCAGGATGATTAGAAATAGGCTGTACAGATACCCCTGTTTGTTTGTCTTGAGCCCAAGAAAACTGGAAGTTTCCATTTTGGGTATGTTTTTACTGGGGCTCAATAGGAAATTCACTGCTTTTGCTGTTCAGAATTGGTTCAAGAAGACTAAGCAATCTCTACAGATTTCTGACCAGTTGCAAGTCAGCACTCGATATCAACACTTTCTGACTGGCTGGCGAATATGTAAGGTTTTGTTTAGGAAGTTCGTTCTGGCAGTTGTGCCAGTCTTGCATAGATTTTCCTTTCCTCAAACTGGGAATGAAGTTTGATGAAATTGACTTGAGAGAACCTGTGCTTCATCGGTGCTCAGGGTCTCCTGTGCTCTTCGCCCAGGGGCCCCTCTACTCTGGTGATCCCAGATGCAGAACTGGGCACGAAACTGAAGATCTGATGAGACTGTTGAGAGCCATGCCCAGTAAGGGGTTAGAAAGATGTGTGATGATCTGGTGATTGAATTCTTCAGAACTTTCCATATGTTGGTTCCTCAGGATAAAAGCTTCCTTCTTAACAAGTTTTTCCCCTTTCTCTGTTTGTGTCCCCCACCCCACTTCAGGCCTGGTGATCCTCAGTCAGCTCAGGATAAAGCACGGATGGATAAAGAATATTTGTCCCTCATGGCTGAACTGGGTGAAGCACCTGTCCCAGCATCTGTGGGCTCCACCTCTGGGCCTGCCACCACACCCCTGGCCAGCGCACCTCGTCCTGCTGCTCCCGCCAACAACCCACCTCCACCGGTGAGCCTGGGGGCTGGCTCTCTTGGTCTGGCTTCCCCATTCTCTACTGCAGAGACTGGGAGCTATGGCCACGTGGTTTGGGTAGAGCAGACAATGGATGTGGATGGCAACATTGTTCTTCCGGGATCTCAGGCCAGTTTGGGGACTTCTCACTTCGGGAAGACCTTGTTCTTGTGTTCTGGTCCTGTGTCATAACCCGAAGAACAATGTTGCCACTAGGAGGCGCAGGCAGGGACGTTGGCAGGAAATGCTCTCACGTAGTCTCTCATGTCTACCACCCAGAGCCGCCCACCCTGGATGAATTCTGGCCCTTCAGAGAGTCGGCCCTACCACGGCATGCATGGAGGTGGTCCTGGTGGGCCCGGAGGTGGCCCCCACAGCTTCCCACACCCATTACCCAGCCTGACAGGTGGGCATGGTGGACATCCCATGCAGCACAACCCCAATGGACCCCCACCCCCTTGGATGCAGCCACCACCACCACCGATGAACCAGGGCCCCCACCCTCCTGGGCACCATGGCCCTCCTCCAATGGGTAAGTAAGTGTCAGACCAGAAACCTTGGGGGCTTTGGGATAAGCAAGGGGTTACGTCAGGTCGCTGTTGGCTAGAAGCAGCTCTCAAGTGGCTGGGCAATGTGCTGGGTCTGCCTGGCTTGCCAGGGTTGTGGCTCTGGAAGGAGCAAGACTCCATTCTGGTTCAGGGAGTGATTCTGTGTTGGGTAAGCACAGACCTGCCTTTTACAGGCATGGTTTTCAGAACTCGCGTAAGGATAGCAACTGAGGTTATCACAGGGGTGGCTTCCCTGGCCAGTTCCAATGTCCTGCTAAGTCCCTGCTCTTTCCTTCCATCAAGATCAGTACCTGGGAAGTACGCCTGTGGGCTCTGGGGTCTATCGCCTGCATCAAGGAAAAGGTAATGGCTGTCTGCTGGCTGTGGGTCTTCACCTAGGCTTGGGTGAGTGGGGGTTCTGGCCCAAGTCCCCGCCTTTCCCTGAGGCCTCATCTTTGCCTCCACCTGTCCACAGGTATGATGCCGCCACCACCTATGGGCATGATGCCGCCGCCGCCGCCGCCTCCCAGTGGGCAGCCCCCACCCCCTCCCTCTGGTCCTCTTCCCCCATGGCAACAACAGCAGCAGCAGCCTCCGCCACCCCCTCCGCCCAGCAGCAGTATGGCTTCCAGTACCCCCTTGCCATGGCAGCAAAGTGAGTAGAATATTTTGGGCTTGTGGGGGTGGGTGGGATGGGGGTGGGGCTGACAGGAACCATAGAGCCTCACACAAGCAGGCAGGTGTCTTGGGATGAGCCCCTGGGCTCTGCTGGGGTTGTAAACAGAAAGGGCCTCCTGGTCCAGGGGGTGGAGGGGCATCTTGAAGAGGAGAGCTGATGTTTGGTGTGGTTGTGTCTGGGGAGAGGTTCGTGGGGGCCTGGAGGGGAGCCTGCTATTGTAGGTAGGGGGCCAGAAGTCCAGACCCTCGCAGGCTGAGTGAGCGGCTGGCTGGACTGAGCCTGGTGCATATGGGTCGAGTGGGATGGTGCATGCTTGCTCTGGCAAGGGCTGCGATTGGGGTGAGAGACTGCAGAGGTGGGACTGGGCAGTGGGGAGACAGCAGCTGTGGCCTTGAGGTTGAATGTGCCGTTCGGTGGTGGCGGCGGCTGGGCGGAGGGACATCAGAGCTGTTCTTGTGTCTGGTACCTTCCCCTCAGCCCTTCCAGGGGCATTGGTGACAAAGGGCTTACTCTGTTAAGCCCAGAGACCTCGAGGCTGACCCCAGGGTAGTCCTGCCCACCCCTCCACTCCCCATCACCAGCCCCGCCCACCCGCCCCCCACCACCGTACCGCATGCCAAGCAAGGAGCAGGCGCCCCTCGCCCCCATCCCAAGGCAGCAGCCGCAGACAGCCGCGGTGTGCCCCCGCGCGTGTGACCTTGGGCTTCTTTACCACCCCAGATACGACGACTACCACCACGAGCGCTGGCACAGGGTCCATCCCGCCATGGCAACAGCAGCAGGCGGCTGCCGCAGCTTCTCCAGGAGCCCCTCAGATGCAAGGCAACCCCACTATGGTGCCCCTGCCCCCCGGGGTCCAGCCGCCTCTGCCGCCTGGGGCCCCTCCCCCTCCGCCGCCTCCACCGCCTGGTTCCGCCGGCATGATGTATGCCCCGCCCCCTCCTCCTCCGCCTCCCATGGACCCTTCTAACTTTGTCACCATGATGGGCATGGGGGTGGCGGGCATGCCGCCCTTCGGGATGCCTCCAGCTCCCCCACCGCCTCCACCACAGAACTAGACTTGTTTTTTAAGAAAATATATATTATATATAGAGAGAATTGGTCTCGTTTAAACACGCCGAACCTCACCATATGGAGCCAGACATTGGGACGCACGCATGTGATTGTGTGTGCACGCATGTGTGTGTGTGCACGCACTGGGCTGGGCCAAGCGACTGAGGATTCGCTTGGGAACGGGCAGGTGGTAGTAGGGGCGCCAGCTTGGGCTCTCCTGGCGCCCCGTAGCATCGAGTGTCTTCTTTGTCTTCTTTCTCTCCTCACCCAACTCCCTTTGCCTCTCCCCAAACCGGGCCGCCAGGATCCCTCCCCGCGGCGGCGATGGCCCGAGCCATGAGAGTGAGGACTTTCCGCGCCCATTGGTGACCCTTCCAGGCAGACAGCCTCAGCAACGCCCCTGGTGGACAGGATGGTTCGGCAAAGCAGCCTGAGTTATTTTTGTGGACGGAATCGGAACACGCTGGCTCCATATCGTGAAATTTTTATTAATTTTTTTCTTTTTCCTTTGTTACTTCTTTATCTTTTCCTTTCTTCAGACTCCGTCCAAGGAGATGCTCTCCCCGGTCTTCTGCTGCAATTTAGATTCCTTTCCCTTCTCTCCAGTTCTCCTTCCCTTACCAAGGAGAGGGGAGCAAATGGTTTTGGGCAAGGGCTTTGGCCATTCATGTCAAGCTGGTTGTGGGTTTTTCAAGGTGCCATAGCCACCCCCAAAGATGTTTGTTTAAAGCGTGGGGTTTTTTAATCTCTGCCACCCTTGTCAAGGGAGTCTTGTAAAGTTGCCGAGGGTAGGTTCATCTCCAGGTTTCGGGATTCCCATCCGTCCTGGCGATCCTGCCAGCAGTGGGTGGGCAGCCTGAGCTCCCTCGGGCTCGCCTGCCAGCCTGGAGTTCTTCCTGTGCTCCTTGATCACCTGAGCTGCCTCAGATTCCATTTGGTCCTCTCCTTCCTGGAAGGCTTCCTTTTATGTTTTGTTTTAATCCCAAATGTCTGAATGTTTTGCAGTGTGTAGGGGTTTGAGCCCCTTGTTCATTCTCCTTCCTTTTTCCTCCCGCTTCCCTCTCCATGAAGTGATTCTGTTGACAATAATGTATACTGCGCGTTCTCTTCACTGGTTTATCTGCAGAAATTTCTCTGGGCTTTTTTCGGTGTTAGATTCAACACTGCGCTAAAGCGGGGATGTTCCATTGAATAAAAGAGCAGTGTGGTTTTCTGGGTCTGCTTCTTTATTTTCTTTTTAATGCCTGCCCCGCCCGGTTTTTCTTTTCACATAAACTTCCTCTACCACCAGCAGCAGCAGCAGCACCAAAGGTGCCTTAACTTTCGTTCAGCACCAGGTCCGGGGGGGTGAGACTGTGGGTGGTTAATTAGGGAAGCCCACCACCTGCCTCCTGTGTGTGGCTTTGGTGGTGGGAGCTCAGTGTGTGGGTGGCTCCACAGTCTCCCCTTTGGTGACTAGTTAACATCGCTGAGAACCAATTTTGCCCCTCCTTGTTCACTGCTCATTTTTCTAGTCTCTGTCCTTTGAAGGCTTTTTCCTGGGGCTCAGACGTCCACGTTTGATGAGCTCCAGTGGTGATTTGTGCCTGGAAGCTGCCACCTAAGGCCCTGGGCCTGGGGAGGCATCAACACTAAAGGTCAAGCCAACTAATCCTGCCTGTCAGGCACAGAGCAGCTAAAATTAAAACCGCCAAGTGGCTTTTTTCCTTCTCTGCTGGTGACTTGCAGCCTGCCAGCGCTGTAGGCTTTGGCGGGGGTCGGGGGGACAGGATAAAGTGCCCCATCTTGTGCTTTGCAAGCACTTTTCAAAGGGTCTTCTGCTTTTTTTCCATGTCTTGGGCGGCGAGTGGGTAGTTACTGTTAGGGTTCCAGAAAAATCCATGTGGAGTCTCCACCAGGTAGTGAGGTCCTCTCCTGGGCAGAGGTGCCTTAGAGCTGCCCTGGTTCCACCTGCCTCTCCTTCCTTCAGGGCGGCTGAGGGACAGTAGGCTCCCCCAGCATCTGGCTGCTGGGGCCAGCAACTGGCCTGGGCTGCTTTCCAGCTGTGAGCTAGGGCTGGCTACTGCTGTTTACTGGGGTGTCTGGTCCCCCGTCCAGGAGGCCTGTGCTTTGCTATGGGTCTGCCAGGCTTGAGGAGCCCTCAGAAGCAAGGCAGGCTCAGTGCGTTTCCCCAGCCAAGCCCTAAACTTCGGCTCACCAAAAGGAGGACATCTTTTTTGCCTTTGTCCTTAAGTGGCAGAATGGGGGCAGGGCCTGGGGCCTGGCTACCCTCTTTGACCTTGGCTTCACCTCATTGCTTCTCCCACAAGCTTGGTTTCCCTGGTGGGCTCATTGGGTGGTTAATTAGCTCTTTGAAGCTCTGGAAGCGGCAAAGTGGCGCTATGTGGGTTTTAGAAATAAAATCAATAAATGACTTAACCACAGCTTAGCTATCTCCTCCGCTTCTCTCCCCCAGGCCAGCTCCATTCCTGTGCTCCCTCCCTTTCTGCTCCCTGCCGTCAGCTTTTGTTAAGGTTTTGGAGAGGAAGTGGCTGACTAAGGCATCAGTCTCCAAGGTGCTAGAGGCCCTGAAATGGAAGAGACAGCAGGAAGGCTTGGCCCTCTGAACCGTGGCAAGCACTTGCCTCTGGCAGAATCAGAGAGAGAAAGGCCTGCCCACCTGTCTTAAGACACCTGGGGTGGGAAAGCAAGCCATTTACTCCATCACATTGTGACAGGGCTGTGCTTGCCCCACCCCCTCTCCTCACGTTCATTTCTGCTGCTGTAGCAGCACTGTCCCCGTCCCTCAAGGCCTGGCAAGGCCTGGCAAGAGGAATGCCAGTGGGGAAAGGTCAGCCTCAGGGCTCTGTTACTGAGGTTCAGCCAAGGGCTCTGGAGAAACCCAGGATTGGTCCAAGGAAGGAGGCCGGGTTTCTAGTTAGAAACTTAGACATAAATAACCTCGAGTGAGTTCAGGTTGTAAAAGTGCTTCAGGGTTCATTAAACCTGCATACACAACACCAAGGAGGGGCGGAGGAAGCAGGGAAACAGATGAGATCGTGCTGCCCAGGTGTGATCATGCTGGGCTGGGGCATGCAGTGTCACCCCGGGACAAAGCCTGGAAACAGTGGGGAGTGATGGCATGACAAAGACGGAAAGAAGCCACAGAAAAGGTAGTTGGAGAAAGTTAAAAATTTCCCAGTAAAAATGTTCCTGAGAGCAAGCGCCCTGGGTGCAAGAGGGGAGAGTAGCTGGGAAAGGATGGAATGAACTTGGCCTTCCCTGCCTGTAAGATGTGGATGGTCTATGGGGATCGGGTCCTCAGTGGCAGGAACATAAAGTCTTGCAGGAAATAGGGGTCAATGCAAAGAAGGTGTGTGTGGCCAAAGCAGGCTGCCACGATTGGGCTGTGAGGTGACGGCATGGTTAACAAGCTACTGCCTGCCTGGCAGTGGACTGCCAAGAAGTCTCAGCTCTACTCACAGCAACCCTCCAAGGGACAAGTGCGGGCTGTGAAGAACCTTGGATGCCAGGCCAAGCTGGAGTCCAAGCTGTGCTTAGTGGAGGATGGGGATGAGGCCCAGGAGCTGAGGCTGGGGTGCAAACTGTGAAAGGGGAAGAGACCAGACAGCTGCCAGCATTGTTTTTTTGTTTGTTTTTGAGACAGAGTCTCGCTGTGTCGCCCAGGCTGGTGTGCAGTGGCGTGATCTCGGCTCACTGCAACCTCTGCCTCCCGGGCTCAAGTGATTCTCCTGCCTCAGCCTCCCGAGTAGCTAGGATTACAGGCATGTGCCACCATGCTTGGCTAATATTTGTATTTTTAGTAGAGACGGGGTTTCGCCATGTTGATCAGGCTGGTCTCGAACTCCTGACCTCAGGTGATCCACCCACCTCGGCCTCAAAGTGCTAGGATTACAGGCGTGAGCCACCGCGCCCGGCCAGCATTGTTTTTTAATGGTTTATGAAACACTTCTTAAGAGAAATTGGAAATTAACAGAAAAATGTAAGGAAAAGTTGTTTGCATCCCCGTGTCTGTGGAGGTGTATTTTGGTGTTTTTTTCCCGATCTTTTTTCTCTACTTGGAAATGTGGCAGGCACCACAGAAGACAGTGTGCCCGTGCCTTTTGGGGGCAGGGGTAGAGCAGGGCTTGGGAGCCTGGAGACCTCTGTAGGACTTGAAGTTTGGCCCACATACTAAGCCGGTGATTCCAGGGCTGGGTCTGCCATGGCTCAGAAAGTGATCGGAGGCCGGGCGCTGTGGCTCATGCCTGTAATCCCAGCATTTTGGGAGGCCAAGGTGGGCGGATCACCTCAGGTCAGGAGTTCCAGACCAGCCTGGTCCAACATGGTGAAACCCCGTCTCTACTAAAAATACAAAACTTAGCTGGGCATGGTGGTGGGTGCCTGTAATCCCAGCTACTCAGGAGGCTGAGGCAGAATTGCTTGAGCCCAGGAGGCGGAGGTTGCAGTGAGCTGAGATCATGCCATTGCACTCTAGCCTGGGCGACAAGAATGAAACTCTACCTCAAAAAAAAAAAAAAAAAAGTTCTCAGAAACAGCTTGGCTTTCTCCGAACCAGGCTCTCAATAGTATCCTGCAGCTGTCCAGGCTTTTGACCTGCTTCCTTGGCCTTCAGAACAGAACACCCAGCTCTTCCCCTCCACCGGCCCACCACCCGGGAGGCCCAAACAGCCTTTGAACTAGCACAAGGTCCTGGTTCCTTTCTCTTAAAGAACAGCAGGATCCGAAGCCTGCCCTCACAAGATGAGGAGGCAGCAGCTGAGAGGCAGGGATTTTTTTTTTTCTCATTGGAGAGTCTAAATTTGGTGAAGGAATCCAAAGCTCAGAAAGGTAAAGCAACCAGCTTGAGGTCACACAGCAAGTCAGTGCTGGGGCCAGAACACAGCAGTGAATGGGAGGATAGCCAAAGCCTCCAGGGAAGGGCTCAAAGCTGTGGGGCTATGCACACAAATGGGGTGAGGTCCTCGAGGTACAGATTAGGCACCCATTTTATAGGCCAGGTCACAGAGCTGGTTTACAAAATCCTGCTCAGAGTGTGGCCCCAGGTGGCAGGAAGAAGTGAAAGAAGGCCTCTAATCACTTCCTAAGCAGTGGAATCACAGGGAGAACTTACTGTCATTAAACCAGTATGATGATGGAGTGGGGAATGCCTCAGTTTCTCCCACCGCCGAGGGCCTATAGGACTACAGTTCCCAGGGCCCCGTGCTGCAGGCTAGCGGCCTCCCGCCAATGCTGGCCAGTAACCTGAGCATCCCTCTCCAAAAGGTCACTTCAGGGCTCCTTGAGGGACAGCAACAGGGGGAGCCTAGAGCTGCTCAGCTTCGGTGGGGGTGGAGTGAGGGCTGTGGCCCTGCCTCACACAACCTCCCTCACACCACCCCTGCAATGCAGGGTCGTGGGCCCCTTTCTCAAAGACATCCAGTGGCCTCTGCTAGTTGCACCTCTTCCGTCAGGGGACACTGACTTGGCTCCTGCACCACAGCCTGCAGGGGGTCCTGGTTCCTTTTGCCACAACACATGGCCTCCCATCCTGGTTCAGCCACTGACAGACAGCTCCCCAATCCAGCACTCTGCCTGCTCCTTCTTGTATCCAACCCTCCAAAAGGCAGGGACAAGGGACAGAAGACCATGTGCAAGGCCTGGAGGAAGTGGGTCAGCACAGGCCTGTGAACAAGCCAGGCCAGTCTTGGCGGCCCAAGTGGAGCTCACCTCTCCCTCCCCTCTCCTCTCCTCCCCTTGCCCTCAAAATAGCTCCCTGAGCTGCCAGGCCAAGACCCTCCCATTGCAGGGGAGGCGGGGCGTGCTGCCCAGAGCCAGGCTTTAAATCCCCTTGAGGCTGGGGAGCTCCACTCCTTGGCTGGAGGCAGTGCTGAGGCCGCCGTCCCCTCTACCATCAGTCCAGTCCGGCCCGCCCTCCTGCAGCCATGTCCCGGCCCCTGTCAGACCAAGAGAAAAGAAAGCAAATCAGTGTGCGTGGCCTGGCCGGCGTGGAGAACGTGACTGAGCTGAAAAAGAACTTCAACCGGCACCTGCATTTCACACTCGTAAAGGACCGCAATGTGGCCACCCCACGAGACTACTACTTTGCTCTGGCCCATACCGTGCGCGACCACCTCGTGGGGCGCTGGATCCGCACGCAGCAGCACTACTATGAGAAGGACCCCAAGGTGCTGCTGGGGAGCCTGGGGTGGGGGTATGGGCTGAAGGCGCTGCCAGGGAGCTGGCGATCTTGACTTAAGTGGCTGCCCCTCGTCACTCTAGGTTCTTGGGGGTGGAGAATCCAGGGGTGCCAGGCACAAGGGGTGCTGGGACAATCTGAGGGAGAAACCTGGGGCAGGAGTGGGGGTCAGGGAGCTCAGAGCAGGTGGGCTGGCTGCAAAGGGTCAGTGCCCACTCGGAGAAGGTTGGAGTGGGTGCTGGTGGGCAGGACGGCGCCTGTGGCCTGGCTGGGCCCAGGTGGAAGGACACATCAGTTGCTGCATGTATGCGCGGTGTGCCTGTGCAGCAGGCGGGGCTGGGGCAGCTGGGGCGGCAGAGATCAAGTGTCCGGTGGGGTCACTGGTAAATGTCAGCAACCTGACACGCCTCGGTGGGGAGTGGGGGAGGGGCGGGCAGACGGCCCAGGAGGGGACCCAGGAAACTGGGAGACCAGGCACTGGCAGCATCCTAGTTTCTGGTGCCTCTGGGTCTCCTTGGGATTGAGGCTTGAGGGCCAAGGGGAACTGGACAGTGCAAGGATGGGAGGTGACAGTCTCTAGCCCAGTCTCTAGCCACTGTGTGACCTTGAGCAAATGACTTTTTTCTCTGGGGGTGTGTGCAGGGGGAAGGGGTGCCCATTCTCCCGAGTACCTCAGTCCCTGAAGTGGGTATGGCCAGCGCTATTTCCCAGATGAGGAGACTGAGGCCAAAGAGAGTGATTTGTCCAAAGTCAGAGGAATGCTGGGACCAGAACCTTAACCGCTGGGCCCCAAAGCCTGAGACAGGGAGAAACAAATTGGGGACAGGGATGGGACTGCTGAGCAGGGCAGGCGGGCCAGAGGTCCAGGCGTGGCTGGGCCTGGCTGAGTGTTGGTGTGTGGCCCTGACCCCATTCCCTGCCCATCCGTCTCTCTGGGCAGAGGATCTACTACCTGTCTTTAGAGTTCTATATGGGACGGACGCTACAGAACACCATGGTGAACCTGGCCTTAGAGAATGCCTGTGACGAGGCCACCTACCAGGTGTGTGTGGGGTGGGGCAAGCCGTGGGGACTGGGGGATTCCACTGCTGACACTTGACCCTGACCACTGTCACCCTCACTCCTCCAGCTGGGCCTGGACATGGAGGAGCTGGAGGAAATTGAGGAGGATGCGGGGCTGGGCAACGGGGGCCTGGGCCGGCTGGCAGGTAAGAAGACAGGGCCGTGAGGGTGGAGTGGGCCGATGGGGTCCTCCTTGCTGGGTCCCTGACAGCCACCTCCCTGCACACCCCCAGCCTGCTTTCTTGACTCCATGGCAACACTGGGCCTGGCCGCCTATGGCTACGGGATTCGCTATGAGTTTGGGATTTTTAACCAGAAGATCTCCGGGGGCTGGCAGGTGAGCAGCCTTGGCTCTAACTTGTGGGGTCTAGTCAGGATGGGGAAGACCCCCACTTGTTTATCATCTCTGGCAAGGTCCGAAACAGCCCCGCAAGCTCTGTGGAAAGCATCCTTGCTGCTCCCCACCCCCCGACCCAAAGCCAGCTGGTGCCCCTGAAACAGGTGGTCCGTGTCCCACTCGATAGCCCAGCAGACCAGGGGCCCACCTCAGAGCTCCTGACTTATACTTGGTGTAGGGTACACCGGCCCACGGCCCCCACCCTGCCCCACCGTGCACTGTGAGTGCCTGTACTGATACTGCTGGCCTTTCTCCCTGACCTGCCTTGGGTGCAGATGGAGGAGGCCGATGACTGGCTTCGCTACGGCAACCCCTGGGAGAAGGCCCGGCCCGAGTTCACGCTACCTGTGCACTTCTACGGCCATGTGGAGCACACCAGCCAGGGTGCCAAGTGGGTGGACACACAGGTGAGGATGAAGCTGGGGGTCAGGGGAGCCCAGAGAAGGGGAGGGAAGAGAAGGAAGCCCAGAGAGGAAGCAGGACCCAGTGTATTTTACACCTGAGGATGCTGAGGCTCAGAGAGGTTAAGTGACTTACTCAAAGTCACACAGCTGAAGCCAGGAGAGACTGGAGACAGGGACACAGGGGAGCCAGCCTAAGTGCAGAGTCTGGAAGGGGAGAGAGGCTGCCCTGCTCCCCCAGTGTCTCCCCATGACCTGGCTCCACTCCACACCATGAGATTTATCAAAGGACCATCTTGGCGACTTGAGTCTGCCCTGAACATCTCGACAGCAGCAGCCCAGAAAGGGGGACAGGAGAAAACTGGAGCCTTCCGAAAGGAATTCACTCATCACACAGCAAGTTAGAGGGATCCTAAAACCAAACCAAATCTAGACACAGTGGCTCATGCCCGTAATCCCAGCACTTTAGAAGGCCGAGGTGACAGTATGGCTTGAGTTCAGGATTTCAAGACCAGCCTGGGCAACATAGAGAGACCCTGTCTCTACAAAAAATAAAAAAAATAGACTGGGGCAGTGGGTCATACCTGTAATCCCAGCACTTTGGGAGGCCAAGGTGAGCAGATTGCTTGAGCTCAGGAGTTCGAGACCAGCCTGGACAAGAGGGCGAAACCCCGTCTACAAAAAATACAAAAATTAGCCAGGCGTGATGGTGTGCGCCTGTAGTCCCAGCTACTCGGGTGGCTGAAGTGGGAGAACTGCTTGAGCCCAGGAGCCTGGGTGACAGAGCCAGACCTCGTCTCAAAAAAAAAATTTAAAAAATTAGCCAGGGTGCTGGTGCATGCCTGTAGTCCCAGCTACTCTGAGGCTTCAGTGGGAGGATCACTTGAGTCCAGGATTTAAAGGCTGCAGTGAGCTATGATTGTACAACTGCACTCCAGCCAGCCTGTGTGACAGAGTGAGACTGTTTCAAAAAGCAAAAAGACCAAAAACTGAAAACCTTAAAACCAAACCAGGTGTACAAATCCCAGTTTAGGCCGGGCGTGGTGACTTACACCTGTAATCTCAGCACTTTGGGAGGCCAAGGCAGGTGGATCACCTGAGGTCAGGAGTTCAAGACTAGCCTGACCAATATGGTGAAACCCAGTCTCTACTAAAAACACAAAAACATTAGCCGGGCATGGTGGCACGTGCCTGTAATCCCAGCCACTCAGGAGGCTGAAGCCAGAGAATCGCTTGAATCCAGGAGGTGGAGGTTACAGTGAGCCAAGATAGTGCCACTGCACTCCAGCCTGGGTAACAGAGTGAGGTCCCATCTCAAAAACAAACAAACAAAAAACAAATCCCAGTTCAGGCAATCTTCCTGCTGAAGCTTCAGGTCATCAGCCCCCAGATGGGCTGCAGATAAACCACTAGGCTTTCAGAACTGAGCATTTGTTTGTTGTCCTCCAGGTTAAGATGCAGTGGGGGCTGCTGGCAGTCCATGCCAGGTGCACGTGGCAACTGGCACAAGTGGCTGTGGCTGGAAGGCAGGAGACCTGGCTCCCTCTGGTGCTGCCAGCCTGGCTGTGTGCTCGGGGATGGGTCCCTTCCCTCTCTCTGTGTCAACTCCCACCCTGCACCAATCAGGGTGACTGAATGTGGGGAGGGAGGGCGATGCCCCTTAAAAGGGCTCGCTTAGAGGAGTGAATGTACCCCTGGCACCGTGGTAGCAGACAATTATTGATGTTTGCTAGTTATGGAAGGCGGGGCAGAATTAGTCACCGTGAATTAGCCCTGTGGTCAACCAGAGATGAGACCTTTGGATGGACTTGACCTCTGTGACCCCTTCAGCCTGGCCCTGGGTTCCCCCAGCCCTCTCATGAGTCCACAGTGTCCTCTAGCTTTTGCTCAGGCCAGGCTGGCCAGCCCAGCCCCCATTGCTGCAGAGTGGTCGCCAACAGAGCCCCTCCTGGGTTCCGGGCTTATCACCTGCCTCCTTCCATTTTCCTCACCACCGTCTGCCCAGGCAGGGCTTATGGGTGTCGGGGAGGTGTTGAGGGTGTCTTTGCTCTAGATGCGGTCCAGAGAGACTATGGGGTTTGCTCATGGTTACCCAGCTCATCGATGCTAGACAAGGACAAGAGCCTGGGTCTGCAGAGTGCAGGGATAAAGCCTTGAGTCCCAGCCCTGAGGGGAGGGAGGCAATTGCCAGGGCTGGCCAGCTCCTGACAGGATTGCCCCCCGCAGGTGGTACTGGCCATGCCCTACGATACGCCCGTGCCTGGCTATCGCAACAATGTTGTCAACACCATGCGCCTCTGGTCTGCCAAGGCTCCCAATGACTTCAACCTCAAGGACTGTGAGTTCATCCACTGGTAGCCAGCAACCCCAGCTTGCCCGCCGGCCACGCCCAGCGCAGGCCTTACCCTGTCCCCACTTTTGTCCCTCAGTCAATGTCGGTGGCTACATCCAGGCTGTGTTGGACCGAAACCTGGCGGAGAACATCTCTCGTGTCCTGTACCCCAATGATAATGTGCGTCACCCCCTGGGCTGGGGGCTGGAAGCCTGAGTCCTTGGCAGCAGGGGTCAGGGAGAGCTGGGGAAGGACACTTGCTGGTGCCCTAGTCACACCCAGGGCATATTGCTGGCCTTGTGCATCCTGTGCCCCCACCTCAAGTCTTTTGAGTGCAAGGACACCTGAGTCCTGAGGAAACTGGGTTAGCGAAGGGCACTTTGGAGGGGCTGTTCCCTGGCGACACCCACAACACACTCGGTTCTTGTACCCCTCTTCCTGACACTGTCTCTCGCCACTAGTTCTTGGTGGAGGAAAGGCCCCTGGGTCCCAGAGAGGGGGCCGGCTCAGGGCTCAGGGGTCCCGGTATGGGTGGGAGTCCCTCCTGGCCACACCCACCGCAGCTTTAGGCCATGCCCCCACCGCCCTGACTCACGCTGCCTCATGCTGTCCCCAGTTCTTCGAAGGGAAGGAGCTGCGGCTGAAGCAGGAGTATTTCGTGGTGGCTGCCACCCTCCAGGACATCATCCGTCGCTTCAAGTCTTCCAAGTTCGGCTGCCGTGATCCCGTGCGCACGAACTTCGATGCCTTCCCAGATAAGGTACCATGCGTGTGGAGGGCGACTCTGTGACCGGACAGTGTGTGCTAGGCCTCTCCCTCCAGCCTCGGCCTGCCTGCCCCATGTAATAGATAAGGGAGTGGAGACTGGGAGTGTGGGAGGGTCAGTTGTTCAGGATTCACAATCCACAGGCTCAGAACCTGGGCTTCCCTCCTCCTCCCGCCCCACTCCCCCCATTCCTCCCACCCCCATGAGCACCGGCCTGCCTCTGCCCACAGCCCAGTCACAGAACCGTGCTGGGCTCTCTGGGGGCCTCCAAATGGCATAGGGCAGTGACCATAGCATGGAATGTGGTTTGGAGCCCAGACTGACCCCTCCCCCTACCCCAGGTGGCCATCCAGCTCAATGACACCCACCCCTCCCTGGCCATCCCCGAGCTGATGAGGATCCTGGTGGACCTGGAACGGATGGACTGGGACAAGGTGGGCTTCAGGGCCCCTCTGCCCCATCTGATGCTCTCTGCCTCGGGGTTCCCTTCCCAGTTTGGGAGCGTGGGAGGATATGAATGGAGTGAAGGGATCAGAGCCTGAGGCCAGAGGGACCGTCCTGGAACCTGGCACTGCAGTGGGGGGGCCCACTGGGATGCGTAGTGTGTGAGGAGACCCACTGGGCTGAGGTCAGCATCCTGACTGCCCACCCCGTGTGCCAGGCGTGGGATGTGACAGTGAGGACCTGTGCCTACACCAACCACACGGTGCTGCCCGAGGCCCTGGAGCGCTGGCCGGTGCACCTCTTGGAGACGCTGCTGCCGCGGCACCTCCAGATCATCTACGAGATCAACCAGCGCTTCCTCAACGTGAGTCCGGAGGCTTGGGGGATGGTGTGGGGGTGAGGGGGGACACCCAGTCTGGGCCTGGGAGTCGGGGCGTCCAGCCAGGGCCCTGAGACTCTGGGGCAGTGGGGGCACTGGGCAGAGCTCTGGGGGTGTGGGGCTGGGGACTGGGGATGGGGGTTCCTGGGTCTGGTTCTAGCTCTGGGCTCTCTGGGCACAGCGGGTGGCGGCCGCATTCCCAGGGGACGTAGACCGGCTGCGGCGCATGTCGCTGGTGGAGGAGGGCGCAGTGAAGCGCATCAACATGGCACACCTGTGCATCGCGGGGTCGCACGCCGTCAACGGCGTGGCGCGCATCCACTCCGAGATCCTCAAGAAGACCATGTGAGCCCCGCTTTCCAGATCCCGCCCCTCTCTAGGCCCCACCCACTCCACGCCTCTGTCACACAGAAGCCCCGCCCTTCACCGACCACTCTCTGGTCTCTGGGCCCTGGCGCCTTTCACAGGTGGCGTCATTCTTACAAGCACAGCAGCCCCTTCCAGTGCCGCCCTGTCCTGAGATGACCTCCTCTTACACACAGCACCCCCAACCTTCCCCAGGTCTGCATTCCCTGCCCCAGGCCCCTTTCAGCAAGACACCAGGGTAGGGGCCCCAGGGCAGAGGCCTTCATTGTACAGGGGTGAGTGGTGACCCTCGTCCAACCTCATCCTGCAGCTTCAAAGACTTCTATGAGCTGGAGCCTCATAAGTTCCAGAATAAGACCAACGGCATCACCCCTCGGCGCTGGCTGGTTCTGTGTAACCCCGGGCTGGCAGAGGTCATTGCTGAGGTGAGAGGCCACCGTAGGGCCAGTAGAGTCAACATGGGTCCCTGCAGGGATCAGCTGGGTATGGTCGTGTAGGTGGTTCACTGCATCAGGGCTCCCAGCTGAAGGCTGAAATCCCTCCTGCACTGTGTTCCCCAAGCCTCGCATCCACCTGGAGGAGGGACACCATCTTAATTGCATGAGGGTGCTCTGTGTGCTAATGGAGGCCCTGGCTGTGGAGGTGAACACAGCAGAGGGAGTCATCCATGGGTCACATCTGAAGTGAGCCTGGAAGGGGGCAGATATCTGGTAGGGAAGGCGCAAGGTCATGCTGGCGTTAGGAAAAGGCCAGGAAGCCAGGAAGGCCTGCTGGGGTCAGGTGGGGTCAGCCATCAGAGCTCAAGGACGGGAGGGGAGGAAGGTGCATGGATGCCCCGTGCCCCATCTGGGCGGCTGGAGGAGGAGGGGCTGGGAGGGCCCCCAGAGCAGCCTGCTGGGTGAAGGGGGCTTGGCTGACCTGGAAATGGCCCCTTCTGTGTTGGGAGGAGGGAGGACATGGGGATGGGCTTGGCTGAGAGCCGTCTTCCCATAGCGCATCGGGGAGGACTTCATCTCTGACCTGGACCAGCTGCGCAAACTGCTCTCCTTTGTGGATGATGAAGCTTTCATTCGGGATGTGGCCAAAGTGAAGCAGGTGGGGAGAGATGCAATGTGGGACAGCTGTGCTGTGTGGAGAGCGCTGGAGGGGCCAGATGTCTGGGTCAGGCGTGGCAAATAGAGCTCATCTCTCCTGCCAGCCCAGGCCGTTGGTGGAAGTTGCCTGGAGTCTGTGGTGGGAAGGCATCATCTGACCTCACATGAACAGTGCTGACATTGATTAGCAATGTCTGCCCTGGTACAGGAGTGGACAGAAGTAGCCAGTGAGCCTCCTGGTAGCCATCCTCCTGGGGCTGACTGGAGTGTGGACTGTAGGATTTCCTGAGGCTGTGGCCTGTTGGTGAGCCCTTCCCCGTCTCTGCCTCCAGGAAAACAAGTTGAAGTTTGCTGCCTACCTAGAGAGGGAATACAAAGTCCACATCAACCCCAACTCACTCTTCGACATCCAGGTGAAGCGGATTCACGAATATAAACGACAGCTCCTCAACTGCCTCCATGTCATCACCCTGTACAACCGTGAGTGGCAGCCACTCTACCCTGTCTCTCAGTGCTCCCCCGTGTTCCTGCGGCATAGTACATATTGCCCAACCAACATCTCCTTTGGACTTGGGACTACTCTTGGGACATGGAATTATCCCCATTTCACAGATGGGCAAACTGAGGCTAAGAGAGCATAGCAAGTGATTGTTCGAGTCAGGCCTACGGTGTCCCAGCCCAGCCTCTGTCAGGAGCTACTACCCAGAGGGAAAGGTAGGCCCACTGGATCCCTCTCGTTTCTCCACAGGCATCAAGAGGGAGCCCAATAAGTTTTTTGTGCCTCGGACTGTGATGATTGGAGGGAAGGTGAGAAGCCAGGCTCCAGCCCTGGGCTCCCGTCCTTTGATATATCCAGGTTGAGGTCAGCCCAGCTGAGTTGCAGGATAGGGGGTGGGGGGCCAGGCAGTAGAGCTGACCCCAGACTTTGTCCCCTCAGGCTGCACCTGGGTACCACATGGCCAAGATGATCATCAGACTCGTCACAGCCATCGGGGATGTGGTCAACCATGACCCGGCAGTGGGTGACCGCCTCCGTGTCATCTTCCTGGAGAACTACCGAGTCTCACTGGCCGAGAAAGGTGGGTGCTGCCAACAGGGACCCTAGGGAGGCTCTGACTAGTTCAGTCTCAGGAAGAGGTATCAGTCGTCTCTTCCTGGGATACTTGTACTTGAAAGAAGAATCTGGAGAGGGCAATGCTTAAACCATGAGGAGGCCAGGCGCAGTGGCCCATGCCTGTAATCCCAGCACTTTGGGAGGCCAAGGTGGGTGGATCACCTGAGGTCAGGAGTTCGAGACCAGCCTGGCCAACATGGTGAAACCCCGTCTCTACTAAAAATACAAAAATTAGCTGGGCGTGATGGCAGGTGCCTATAATCCCAGCTACTTGGGAGGCTGAAGCAGGAGAATCACTTGAACCTGGGAGGCGGAGGTTGCAGTGAGCCGAGATCACGCCATTGCACTTCAGCCTGGGCAACAAAAGCAAAACTCCGTCTCAAAAAACAAGAGGAAACAAAACAAAGCAAAAACCCCATGAGGATGCCCTCTAATGGTGGAATTTCAGGCAGTACAGGGTGAAATTACCTTCAAATCTGCAACAGAGGTGGGGAAATCCAGGTTGGACCTAGATGGTCAAGAATCAACAAGAGGTAGAGGGCAGTGGGGGTGCGGTGTGAGAGGGAGGCTTGGCTGGTGAAGACTGGGAGTTTGGGGTGGGGCGACTCTGAGTCCAGCTATGCCTGGGGCCAGCCTAATCTGAGAGTCCCCAGCTGGTGTGAGGGTCTTCCCTGAGTTGACTTGTCCCCCTGCTGCCACCCCACAGTGATCCCAGCTGCAGACCTCTCTGAGCAGATCTCCACTGCGGGCACTGAAGCCTCAGGCACCGGCAACATGAAGTTCATGCTCAACGGGGCTCTGACCATTGGCACCATGGACGGGGCCAATGTGGAGATGGCAGAAGAGGCGGGAGAGGAAAACTTCTTCATCTTTGGCATGCGGGTGGAGGATGTGGATAAGCTTGACCAAAGAGGGTATGGGGGTCAGGGTTCACGGGCAAAAGACACCCAGGTGTGGCTGCTGGAGAGTGGTGCTGGGAGCAAGCGGCACGTCTGGAAAGACTGGTCCAGGCCCAGCAAGGTCTTGGTCATGGCCAGCAGGATTCTGGGAAACTTTAGAGGGCGCTTACAGCAAATAAGGTTAATGAAATTGGAAAAGAAAGAAGTAATATAGAACTGAAGGAAAAGGAAGAGAATATTATATCAACCCTAAGAGATAATATTGTTTGGGAAATGGAAGTAAAAAAATCCTTGCTCTACGCCGGGTGCGGTGGCTCACACCTGTAATCCCAGCACTTTGGGAGGCCAAGGCGGGCGGATCACAAGGTCAAGAGATCCAGACCATCCTGGCTAACACGGTGAAACCCCATCTCTACTAAAAATACAAAAAATTAGCCGGGCGTGTTGGCAGGCGCCTGTAGTCCCAGCTGATCGGGAGGCTGAGGCAGGAGAATGGTGTGAATCCAGGAGGCGGAGCTTGCAGTGAGCCGAGATCGCGCCACTGCGCTCCAGCCTGGGTAACAGAGTGAGACTCTGCCTCAAAAAAAAAAAAAAAAATCCTTGCTCCCTGAAAGCCATGGGCAAAAGGGAAATATGGGCACAGTAGTTACAAGGGGCCTATGGTCAGAAACAGTTCTTCAGAGAAGACATTATCCTGGCATTACATTAAAAAATTTTATTTTATTTTATTTTAATGTATTTTTTTTTTTGAGACGGAGTCTCGCTCTGTCACCCAGGCTGGAGTGCAGTGGCGCGATCTTGGCTCACTGCAAGCTCCGCCTCCTGGGTTCACACCATTCTCCTGCCTCTACCTCCCGAGTAGCTGGGACTACAGGCACCTGCTGCCACGCCTGGCTAATTTTTTGCATTTTTAGTAGAGACGGGGTTTCACCATGTTAGCCAGGATGGTCTCGATCTGCTGACCTCGTGATCTGCCTGCCTCGGCCTCCCAAAGTGCTGGGATTACAGGCGTGAGCCACTGCGCCCGGCCTTTTGTTTTGTTTTGAGATGGAGTCTTGCTCTGTCACCCAGGCCGCAGTGCAATGGCACGATCTTGGCTCACCGCAACCTCCACCGCCCGGGTACAAGCGATTCTCCTGCCTCAGCCTCCTGAGTAGCTGGGATTACAGATACCCACCACCACGCCCAGCTAATTTTTGTATTTTTAGTAGAGACGGGGTTTCATCATTTTGGCCAGGATGGTCTCTATCTCCTGACCTCAGGTGATCCACCCTCCTCGGCCTCCCAAGTGCTGGGCTTACAGGGGTGAGCCACTGCGCCTGGCCTATTTATTTTTATGTTTTTGAGACAGAGTCACTCTGTCACCTAGGCTGGAGTGCAATGGCATGATTTTGGCTCACTGCAACCTCCGCCTCCCAGGTTCAAGTGATTCTCTCACCTCAGCCTCCCGAGTAGCTGGGATTACAGGCACCCACCATCACGCCCAGGTAATTTTTGTATTTTTGTAGAGATGGGGTTTCATCATGTTGGCCAGGCTGGTCTTGAACTCCTGACCTCAAGTAATCCACCCGCCTCGGCCTCCCAAAGTGCTGGGTTTACAGGCGTGAGCCACCGCGCCCTGCTTGAATCCTGATATCTTAGCATTGGAGAGAGATTTTCCATGTTATTAGTCTTCAAAAATATTTTAAATGTTTGTATAACATTCCATCCTATGAGCATGTCACAACTTATTTAATCAATTCCATGTGGCTGGACACTAAGGTTAATTTCCGGTTTGTTAAATATTACTGTGATGAGCAACCTTTTAATGTCTACGTCCACATCTGATGATTTCCTTAAGATAATTATCAGAAGGGTGATATTTCTGAGTTAAAAAGTATGAGTTCTTAAGGCTCTTGATACAGATTGCCAAACTGCTTTCCAGAAAGTTTCTCCCAGTTTACACTCCCACAACAGCTTCCCAGAGTTGGCATTAAACACTGAAAGAAGTGTCTCCTGTGAGGCTTCAC
Organism: Homo sapiens; assembly: GCF_000001405.40. NCBI lineage: Eukaryota > Metazoa > Chordata > Mammalia > Primates > Hominidae > Homo > Homo sapiens. The sequence continues at coordinate 64,748,381 of NC_000011.10, read as the reverse complement.
TAGAAAGCTGGCTGTCCCATGGGCAGGAGGGAGCTGTGAGATGTTGTGAGCATGGTCCCGCATGCTCAGAACGAGGCCTGGAAGAACCCTCTGGCTGCAGGATGGAGACAGTGCTGGAGGGGGCAGGTGGGGGACCACTGTGGGGGCTGACACCATAATGCAGGGAGAGTTGCCTGAGAGTCGCACAAGGGACTAGAGAGTCGCACGAGGGATTAGAGATTTTGTGGGGAGCGCTGGTTTCTGGTTGGAACGGTTAGGTTTTGAGACTGGCCTGTGGAGCGCTTTGAGCCGTGGTGGGGGCGCTGAGGGTCAGCTGAAGGGTTATCTTTTTTTTTTTTTTTGAGATGGAGTCTTGCTCTGTTGCCCAGGCTGGAGTGCAATGGCATGATCTCGGTTCACTGCAACCTCCGCCTCCCGGGTTCAAGTGATTCTTCCACCTCAGCCTCCCGAGGAGCTGGGATTACAGGCACACGACACCATGCCCGGCTACTTTTTGTATTTTTGTAGAGACTGGGTTTCACCATGTTGGCCAGGTTGGTCTTGAACTCCTGACCTCCTCAGATGATCCGCCCACCTCGGCCTCCCAAAGTGCTGGGATTACAGGCGTGAGCCACCATGCCTGGCCCAGTTGAAGGGTTGTACCTGTTAGCTGCTCTTGCTGCCCCAGGGCAAGGCCGGATATGGACTTGGGCTACTGGAGGAGAAAAGCCATTTTGGAGCAAACAAACTGGTTAAGAGACAGCAGTGGCGTGTGGGAGAAAAGAGCTTGTTTGGGGGCCTTGGCTCTAACACTTAGCTTTCTGTATCCTCCGGGCCTCAGTTTCTTCATTCACAAAGGAGGGATGAAAAGCTGAGCAGAGAAGGGGAGTTGCAGGGAGGCCCTGCAGGGGCGATGTGGCAGCCCTGGGGAGCAGCAGGCTGGACCTGGGTTTTGACCCTGGGGCATGGGACTTCTCAGCTTTTCTCTGGAAGAGGAGCCAGGAACCCCTTTCCGGGGAGCTGACCACAGCTCTGTCCTGGCAGGTACAATGCCCAGGAGTACTACGATCGCATTCCTGAGCTTCGGCAGGTCATTGAGCAGCTGAGCAGTGGCTTCTTCTCCCCCAAACAGCCCGACCTGTTCAAGGACATTGTCAATATGCTCATGCACCATGACCGGTGAGCTGGTTGGCCCGGGAATCACTCAGGTGGGGCCGCAGGGCAGATCGAGGCTCAGGTGTGTGGTGGGGAAGCCGGACGCGGGTCCTGGTAGTTGGAGCCAGGCGCCTTTGGAAGCAGCATGACCCTCTAGGTCCCCGGCTGTCCACTGGGACAGGGCAGGCTTGGCCCTTGACCTCATAGAACTTATCCTAGCCCCCTAAAGGAATAGCACATGCCTATCCTTTCCCCTCCAGGTTTAAAGTCTTCGCAGATTATGAAGACTACATTAAATGCCAGGAGAAAGTCAGCGCCTTGTACAAGGTGAGGGGTCCTGGGCCAGGGGTTGGCAGGGCTTTGGTGGCCCTGGTTGGGATGAGGCAGAAGGTGGAGATCCTGCCAGCAGAGTGAACCAGAGCTTCCCTTTGACCTGCAGAACCCAAGAGAGTGGACGCGGATGGTGATCCGGAACATAGCCACCTCTGGCAAGTTCTCCAGTGACCGCACCATTGCCCAGTATGCCCGGGAGATCTGGGGTGTGGAGCCTTCCCGCCAGCGCCTGCCAGCCCCGGATGAGGCCATCTGAGCCTCCAGACCAGACCCCAAACCAGCCCTTGAGTCTGTCACACTCTCTTGGGCCAGCCCCAGCACCTCATGCAGAGGGTGGGGTACTGGAGTTAGATCTCTAAGCCCCTCCTGGAACCCTCATTTTCCCCACTCTCAATGTCCCAGTGTCCAGCGTGACTAAGGACACGGGCCCCCTTCCGTCCTCGGGCTCCCGGTCCCCTCCTATTTATGGGGTCTGACCAACTGCACCCACTCCCTAATAAATTCATTCTCCTTGGGAGCCTCCTTACTCCTCTTTGTTGGGAAATATTTTTAGCTCTTGGCGGGCTCAACAGCAGCCGCGCAGTCACCCCCTTATCCTCCACCCTCGGCAGGTGCGTCCCACGGCGGGACGGTGATGGGAGGTGGAGGGGGCGACCCGTGGGGGCGGGGCCTAGGCCTCTCCAGCCCCTTTCCTGGCGTCACCCTCCACGCCTCTCTTCCCAGTGCCGTGTCCATACTAGGTCAGCGGCCAGCCTCGCTGGCCGGGGGCGGGGCGTCTGCCTGGGTGGGGCCCACCGGGGCTGGGAGCCGGGACTTGGGCTGAGGCTTCCCGGACCACGGAGGATCCGCGCTGTCGAGGGCAGGACCCAGGAGGGGGAGGAAGCAGAGGATGCTCGGCGCCTTCTTGGCTCCGCCCTTAGCCCCGCCCTACTGCGGCGTTTAAGGGTCTCTTAGCAGGTGGCTACACTGGATCCAAAGTCGGGGGAGTGTTACGGCAGGGAACACTCGCAGACCGCCTAGTCTAGGCCCTCATTATGGGGAAACTGAGGAACAGAAAGGTCCTGTTTCTAAGTCTTACATTACCAAGACTGAGGTGCGGGGGCGGTCCTGGATCCCCCGCCCCAAGGCTGGGAGGGGCACGCCTCGGAAGGGAGGTTTGGGGTCGGTGGTTTCACAGTGAGTGTGTCTGAAGCCAAATGGTCGGAAACCGTTACCCGCTCTCCTAGGCCCGGCTAGTGGGGACCCCAACCGCCTGCGGCTGCCCCTCCCAAGTTCCTCCCTGTTGGCCAGGCATCCAGGTCTCCAGTCTCCGAGCTGCGGAGAACCCACCGCCACATGCGGCTGCCCCTTTCCATTCGACCCTGTGGGGAGCCAGGCTTCCGGGGCCCCGTTCCTCCTGTGTGAACTGGGCCCCCCGCCCCCATTCCCAGACATCAAGGCCGCGTCTCCAGATAGCCACGATTTCATTCCTCGCTCCCCACAGGTCCCTCTCCCCAAAATATTCCCATCTTGTCCTAGCCCATCCCCCAGACTATCTCAAGGACCAGCTGTCCCCACGCCCCCGACCTCCACTAGGCCTGTGCCACCCGCTGCCTGCAGGAAGACGCCCGGTCCCGGGCCGGGTTAGCCCCATGGGAACGGTTTGTCTCGAAAACAGGAACCCGAGCTGGGGGCTGGGCGGGGCGCCCCTTCCCCACCGCAGTCCGCTTCCTGCCCCTCCCGGCTTCCTCCGCCCGACACCCAGGCAGGGCGGGGGGCACTGGGGCGTCCGCGGTTGGGGGAGGGGCTCTTCGTTTCGGTCCCCCCTCCGCGTCCCGGGCGGCGGGGCCTCCGGTCGCCCGCCCTCGGGGCAGCTAGTGGCGCAGCCCCCCGCCCGCGGCCCTGGCCTCCCGGGCGGCGCGGCAGGGGAGGGGTTAAGCTGCCGCAGGGACCGCCGCGTGCGGGGCGAGAGGGAGCCCCCGGTGGGGGTGGCGCAGCCGGCGGTGCGGAGCTCCGCGCAGGGGCGGAGGGGGGAGGGGGCAGCCTGGCGCGGGGGCGGGGGCGGGGCGGCGGGGAGCGGGGCCGCGGCGTGGAGAGCGGGCGGGAGCCGCAGCCGCAGCGAGGCCGGCGGGCGGGAGCGCACGGAGGTGGGGTCGGCCAGGCCGGTGCGGGCTCCTTGCGGCAGGTCCCAAGAGTGAGTGGGCGAGCGCGGGCGGGGCGCCAGGCGAAGGAGGGCGCGGCCCCCAGCGACTCCCCCCCCGCCCAGGGCGGCGCGGGCGGGCTGGGGGCGGCGAGCGGGTGGGGAGTCTGCGGCCCGGGTCTGGGAGAGGGGGCAGCGGCCACGAGAGCTAAGGCGCGCTGGATCCCCGGAGGGCGGAGGACCTCCACGGTGCACCCAGCTTTTCCCAGCCACCTTCCAGCGGGGCCCTCCCCCGCGTACCCCCATTTGGCAGATGAGAAAATTGAGGCTCCCAGAGGCCAAGTGATTCTCAAGGTCACACGAGGAAGCGGTAGAGCCAGGCGGGGACGGCTCTGGGTGGCTCTTAGGAAAAGTCCGCCTGAGAACTCCGTACAGGAGCTCCCCTGTCCTCCAGCCTGGGGGAGTGAGTATGTGTAGGGCCGGGGTACCTTTCCGTGGGGCAAGGCTCTGCCAAAATCTGGGAGTGAGGGGAGTCAGGGAGCTGGGGCCGCAGGGCGGGCCCTGCACCGCAAATGGGAGGGGGGCGACGGAATGGGCGTGCGCACCCATGGGGGTGTGTGCATGTGTGTGGGAGTGTACATGCGTGGAGAGGCACTGCCTTGCGTGTGTGCACACGTGTGAGGATGTCAGCGCCTGTGTGGCCGCGGGACTCAAGGCTGGCCTGGCTCAAGTGAACAGCACGTCCAGGAGGCGACCTCGTCCGCGGGTTTGCATTCTGGGGTGGACGAGCTGGGTATGTGTGCCTGAGGGTTTCTTCGTGCAGGTGTGCACAGGGTGTGGGTGCCATTGTGTGTGAGAGACGGAGGATGGGAGGCCGGTGCCTGTGGCCCGGTGCGTGTAAGTGCGGACGCCTGCACCTCCACTTAGGTCCCCGGCCTCCGACGAATAACTTGGGTGTGGAGTGTTTGCCCCTGCCAGGGTGCGTATGACCCCGCCAGTGACCGGAGTTGCTAATGGTGTCATGCACCCACCGGCCACCCTTGGCGCGAGCGCCCCCCTCTGGACACCCTGCTCCGTGCGCGCTCACAGTTCGCCTGTGCGGGGCCGGGGCCAGGGTCAGGAGCCGGGGATAGGGAGGAAGAGGGCCTGTGGACAAGCTGAGCCGGGACCCCTGGGACCTTTGCGGAGGTGGCCTGGGAGCGCTCAGTTCCCAGGCTCAGGCTTCCCGCTGACGCCTCCTGGCCGCAGCGGGCTCCCCCCGCCCCAGGAATGTTCCTCTCCCATCCAGTCCGCCTCCCCTAGGGCAGGCCCCCTGGGGGCTGCCGCAGCCCCGCCTCGCCTTCCTGGGCTCCCGGGAGGGGGCGAGGCGGGCAGGACGCCTGGGTTCTCTCCCCCCACCTCCCATACCAGGGAGAAATTCCTCCGAGGTCCCCTCAGGCTCTGGGTTCCCAAAATAACCCTGCGGGGGAAGGGAGGCTGTGGAGGGAGGGAAGCGGGAGGGGCGCAGAGCCGAGCTGCGGGGTGCTGCAGGTGCCTCTGGGGAGAGGGCGCGAGGAGAAGGCGCCCTGCGGGGGGCTGGGCGCCAGCCAGTCCTGGGATCTTGGTTCGTCCCCATCCTCGTGAAGCCCCTCGGCCTTCCCGCGACTCCGAGGGTGGGCCGGAAGCCTCTCTGCGGGTCCGTTTCCCAACTGGCGGGTTGCACCATCCCGGGCCAGACCGTTTAACCCCGGGAGTGGCCGCGGGGGACAACTCCGCCCCTGTCCAGCAGGGGGCGTGCCCGCCCCGCCCCGTTTCTGCCCGCGGGGCCGCTCCCCCGCCCGCGACTCCGCAGACTCCCGCTCTGCCTCTCCCGGGACAGGGGTTCGGTCCGAGCCCGGTGGGAGGCTCCCGGAGCGCAGCCTGGGCCCAGCCCACCCCGCGCCGGCGGCCATGGCAGGCACCCTGGACCTGGACAAGGGCTGCACGGTGGAGGAGCTGCTCCGCGGGTGCATCGAAGCCTTCGGTGAGTGGCTCGGGAGGGCACACGGAGCCTGAGCCTAGCCCCGAGTCTGAGCCCGGGTCCCTGCCTCCCAGGCACAGTCCAGGGCACAGCCCTGACCCGGACCCACCCTGCTCCGCAGCGTGCAGTCTCTTTAACGAAAGCCTCCTCCGCAACGCAGGGCAGAGAGATGCACGCCCTTCAGACAGATGAGGTTTCCCTTCTCTAGCCTTCCCCAGCGGCGGCGAAGGGAGGGCCGGGTCCCGGACTCTGACACTTGAGGGGCATTATCTGTCTCCCGGGGAATCCGGAGGAACTCGCTATCTCCGGCCTGGGAGCTGTTTCCGGCTAATGGGGGGCGGCTTATCTGGTGAAGGGGTGCCCCTTCCCCCCAAGCGCTCAGGAAATGACCTCTGGATTCTTGACCCCGGGGAACCCAGGCTCCTTCCGCCCCAGCTGGTTCCCCTCCGGACGATGGGCGGCTCGGGCGCTCCCCTCCTCCAGTCCTCAGGGCGTGCCTATCTCTCGCCCACCACACCTTTCCTCTCTAATTTGCCTCCTGCTCTCGGAGTCCTGGGCAAGCAGGAGGTGGGCGGGGTCGAGCGTGCACCCGAAGGACCGATACCTGGCGGGTTGCGGGGTGAGGATGAGGCATGGTAGCTGCGGACCCAGCTCAGCCACCTGTCTTTGACCCTTCGGAGTCAGATGACTCCGGGAAGGTGCGGGACCCGCAGCTGGTGCGCATGTTCCTCATGATGCACCCCTGGTACATCCCCTCCTCTCAGCTGGCGGCCAAGCTGCTCCACATATATCCTTCGCCGGCCTTGCCAAGGCCCCCGCCGTCGGAGCCCATGCGCAGCCCCTCTGCCCAGCCCAGGTGCAGAATGAGCCTCGCTCCTAAGTATAGGCCACTCCTTATCCCAGAGCTCAGGCGTCGTCCCAGCCTCCAACTAGGGCCTAGGCTCTGCCCCCTCCTTGCTCCTAGCGACTCGGTCCTGTCCCCAGGCTCTGTCCCCAGCCGAGGCCTTGCCCTCCTTCTCCCTAGAGTCTGGGGCCTGCCCCTGCTTCAGGCTTGGGTGCGCCCCGTGCATCTCTCTCTCCCAGAGCCCAGGCTTTGCTTTCAGCCTCCCTCAGCACCTAGTCCTCCACCCCCACCTCCAACCCCTCCCAGAGCTCAAGCCTCACCCCCAGCATCTCCGCAGAGCGCAAGCCCCATCCCTAGAACGTGTCTCCTAGAACCAGGCCCCGCCCCCAGCCTCCCTCCACGCAGGCCTCCCTTTCTAGAGTTAAGCGGCCTCCTTAACCCTCTCCTTCACCTACCAACAATCCCGGAAGGACAACTCCAATTCCCTGCAGGTGAAAACGTGCCACCTGGTCAGGTGAGTCTTTCCCCTGGGGCTCTAGCCCCTCCCCTTTCTCCCTTCTCTCTGGCTTCAGGCTGGCCTGGAGGAGGGGGCAGGGCGCTGTTTCTGGGAGTGGGTTTGAACCCTGGCTTGTCCGGGTGGGCAGTGCTGCCACAGGCTCACCCCTTCCTGGGTCTGGGCCTTAATTTTCTTTTCTGCGCAGTGCGGGTGGTTGTCTCAAGGGTCTAATGTACACTTGGAGTGGCGAAGGAAAGAGCTGGAACCATAGTTTGAGGGTCTTTTTGCTTAGGTGACTATAATCTCAAATAGCTCCTTGCAGCCTGCTGGGTGATGGTGGGGGAAGGGCTATCTTGGGTGACTCCCCGCTCCTCCAGGTACTGGATCTCCGCCTTCCCAGCGGAGTTTGACTTGAACCCGGAGTTGGCTGAGCAGATCAAGGAGCTGAAGGCTCTGCTAGACCAAGAAGGGAACCGACGGCACAGCAGCCTAATCGACATAGACAGCGTGTGCGTGGGGGGAGCACAGAGGGCTGGGGGGGCACTCAGTATCCTATACCATCTGTGCTTAATAAATGTCTGTTGAACTGAATGAGTGAGGGTCATGTTGCTCTCTCGCTTAAAAACCTTCCATGGCTCCCTATTGCCTTCAACATGCCTCCTCTGGGCAGCTTGGCGTTCCTGCCTCATCTTCCACTGCCACCACCCATCCCACACACCTCCTCCTGTAGCTGCGCTGGGTCGGCTCCCCGTCGGCTGAGCTCTCGAGTCCTTTCTCATCATGGTGCTCTGCTCATATCATCCCCCTTGCTGCCTCCTCCGTGTTACCAAGACTCAGTTCAGGCATGAAGTCTCCGTGGGCTCTGAGGGTTCGGGGCTCTTCCGGGGTAGAATTTGTCGTTCCCACCTCTGTTTTCCATGGCACTTTGTACAGACTCCTGTACAAAGACCTCTGTACATGTGTCACGCTGTTTTGTGATCATGTGTTTCTGTGTCTGTCTCCCTCAGTAGACTGTGAGCTCCTCGAGGGCAGGAACCGTGTCTTACTCATCTCTGTATTCCCAGCGCCTAGCACAGTGCCTGGCACAGAGTACGTTGTTCATAAATGTGTGTTGAGTGCATGACGGGGTCGGGGGAGATGAGGAGGAGTTGCTGGGACTGGGAACATTCGTGCCTAGGACAGTGCCTCGCATTATGTAGGTTCTCAGTAAGCGTGAATGGTGTGTCTGTGTGAGTGGGGGGCCACGAGTCATGCGCATGTCCAGCAAAGGGCTCACTACCCCTGCCCCCCCAGCCCTACCTACAAGTGGAAGCGGCAGGTGACTCAGCGGAACCCTGTGGGACAGAAAAAGCGCAAGATGTCCCTGTTGTTTGACCACCTGGAGCCCATGGAGCTGGCGGAGCATCTCACCTACTTGGAGTATCGCTCCTTCTGCAAGATCCTGGTGCGGCCCGAGGGCTGGGGGGTCAGGGGTCCAATGTGGGCTGGAAGAGAGTTCTAGGAGGGGCAGGGTCCCTGGCGTAGGCTGGGTCACAGGGTGCATCAGGGGTTTCAGTGTAACCACTGAAGGTCAGCTGGAGGGTGAGGAGTGGCTATCAGTGAGGGGAGAGGCCAGCAAGGTGCTGAGGCCACTCCTCATGCCCCCAGTTTCAGGACTATCACAGTTTCGTGACTCATGGCTGCACTGTGGACAACCCCGTCCTGGAGCGGTTCATCTCCCTCTTCAACAGCGTCTCACAGTGGGTGCAGCTCATGATCCTCAGCAAACCCACAGCCCCGCAGCGGGCCCTGGTCATCACACACTTTGTCCACGTGGCGGAGGTGCCTGCCCCTCCCTCCCGGTGTCTCCCAACCACCCCACATGCCAGTCAGGCCAACCCTTCCCTTCCCCTAACCCACTGCCTTCTCTCTAGATAAGCTGGGCCAAATTCTGGGCCCACTCAGTGACTCCCTGCCTCTCCGTCCCCATTTGCCTTCCAGAAGCTGCTACAGCTGCAGAACTTCAACACGCTGATGGCAGTGGTCGGGGGCCTGAGCCACAGCTCCATCTCCCGCCTCAAGGAGACCCACAGCCACGTTAGCCCTGAGACCATCAAGGTGCCTGGGACTGGGGAGGGGCCGGTGCTTCCCAGGTCTGTCTTCACTGGGTCCTCCCAGCAGCACTGGGGGCTGGGCACAGCTGTCCTCATTTGATAGATATGGAAATGGAGGCTCAGAGGGGTTAAGTGCTTTTCTCAGTTTGCACAATGGCAACAGCAGAGTGGGGGCTCACAGGTCGTCAGGGACCCCAAAGCTAGTACTTTTTTTTTTTTTTTTAAGACAGGGTCTCTCTCTCTGTTGTCCAGACTGGAGTTCAGTGGTGCAGTCACAAGCTCACTGCAGCCTTGAACTCCTGAGCTCAATCGATCCTCCCACCTCAGCCTCCTGAGTAGCTGGGACTACAGGTGTACGCCACCATGCCTAATTTTTGTATTGTTATTAATTTTTTTTTTTTTTTTTAGAGATGGGGTTTTGCCATGTTGCCCAGACTGGTCTTGAACTCCTGGGCTCAAGTGATCCGCCTGCCTTGGCCTCCCAAAGTGCTGAGATTATGGCTTGAGCCATTGTGCCTTGCCACTTGTAGTTTCTTCTTTTCTTTCTCCTTCATTTTTTATTATTTTTGAAGTATTTTGAAGTATTGAGTAACATACATATAGAAAAGTATATAAAAACATATGAGACTGGGCGTAGTAGCTCACACCTGTAATCCCAGCACTTTGGGAGGCTGAGGTGGGCAGATCACGTGACATCAGGAGTTTGAGACCAGCCTGGCCAACAAGGTGGAAACCCATCTCTACTAAAATACAAAAATTAGCCAGGCATGGTGGCACGCACCTGGAATCCAAGCTACTTGGGAGGCTGAGGCAGGAGGAGAATTACTTGAACTCAGGAGGCGGAGGTTGCAGTGAGCCAAGATTGTGCCACTTCACTCCAGCCTGGGCGACAGAGTGAGACTCCATCTAAAAAAAAAGAAAAGTATATAAAAACATATGAATAGTTTAAAGAAAAATTGTAAAGAAAACACTGTGTAACTACTGCCCGGGTTGGGAAATAGAACCTTGCCAGGCCCCCAAGCGCCCAGCACTTTAGAGCATAACTCCCTCCCCACGACTTTTGCAATGATGATCTTGCTTTTCTTTATAGCTTCACCATGTAGGTATGCGGTCCAAAACAATGTGGGGCTTTTTGTTGTCTGTTTTGAACTTTCTATGAATGGAATGTTGTTTGTGTTATTTTATGTCTTGCTTTTTTCATTCCACATGGTTCTGAGAGTCTTTTCATTCTGTCATGTGGAGCAATTGTTTTTTCATTTTCATTGCCATATAATATTTTATTGTACGTCTACCCCAATTCATTTATTTATTTATTTTTTTGAGATGGAGTCTGTCTCTGTCATCCAGGCTGGAGTGCGGTGGCGAGATCTCATCACTGCAACTTCCGTCTCCTGGGTTTACGTGATTCTCGTGCCTCAGCCTCCTGAGTAGCTGGGATTATGGGCTCGTACCACCACGTCTGGCTAATTTTTTGTAGAGACAGGCTTTCACCATGTTGCCGAGGCTGGTCTTGAACTCCTGAGCTCAGGCAATCCACCCGCTTTAGCCTCCCAAAGTGCTGGGATTACAGGTGTGAGCCACTGCCCCCAGCCTACCCCAATTTATGTATTGATTCTATTGTTGAATGTTGGGGTTTTTCCTTTTCTTTTCTTTCTTTCTTTTTCTTTCTTTTTTTTTTTTTTTTTGAGATGGAGTCTTGCTCTGTCGCCAGGCTGGAGTGCAGTGACGCTAATTTGGCTCACTGCATCACTGCACCCTCTGCCTCCCGGGTTCAAGCGATTCTCCTGCCTCAGCCTCCTGAGTAGCTGGGACTACAGGCATGCACCACCACACCCGGCTAATTTTTGTATTTTTTTAGTAGAGATGAGGTTTCCACCATGTTGGCCAAGATGGTCTCCATCTCTTGACCTCATGATCCATCTGCCATGGCCTCCCAAAGTGCTGAGATTACAAGTGTGAGCCACCACGCCCAGCTGGTTTTTCCAGTTTTTGCTGTTTGGACGGGGTGGCTGAGTATGTTCTTCCAGGTCATTGTCCTGTGCTGCCTTGCCTCCCTGAGCCTCTGTTTCTCCTGTTAAATGTTGATGATTCCCTGCATCCAGGCCTGGTTTAGAGGTGTGGTGCTTTTGGCAGTGAGTATTGCCTTGAATTCATGGCAATGAATTCAATCCCCAGGGGCTGAGAGAGCCAGTCGTGGGGGACAGTAAGGGAGGTTTTTACTCTTTCACCTGTCCCTGACCCTGACTCCTCCTCACCCCCTCCTACATTTCCAGGGCTGAGGTAGGGAGGATAGTTGTGGGGGTATGACTCCTCTGTCCTTTGTCCCCAGCTCTGGGAGGGTCTCACGGAACTAGTGACGGCGACAGGCAACTATGGCAACTACCGGCGTCGGCTGGCAGCCTGTGTGGGCTTCCGCTTCCCGATCCTGGGTGTGCACCTCAAGGACCTGGTGGCCCTGCAGCTGGCACTGCCTGACTGGCTGGACCCAGCCCGGACCCGGCTCAACGGGGCCAAGATGAAGCAGCTCTTTAGCATCCTGGAGGAGCTGGCCATGGTGACCAGCCTGCGGCCACCAGTACAGGCCAACCCCGACCTGCTGAGCCTGCTCACGGTGAGGAGCAGGGGGCAGGGAGGTGGGGAGCTGGGCACCAGGGGTTGACAGTTTCCCCAGGTCCTGGCTGTGGGCGTGGCCTGGGGCTCTGGGTTCTGGCCAAGAAACTGAGATCTAGCGTGGGCTCTGGGGTTTGGAGTGGATGCTGAGAAGGGGTCCAGGCTCTGGTTGGGGCTGTGGACTGAGGTCTGATCTCCAGGCTGGTATGTGGACTGTGGGCAGTTTGAACTGGGCCTGGGTCCCGGGTTGAGTTCTGGCAATGGGCTGTGTTCTAGGGCTGGGCCAAGCTCTGCATTCTGTGGGCAGGGGTGGTTTCTAAGCATGGCCCTGGGCTCGGAGTGAAGTTCTGGGCTTGGCTTTACACTTGGTCTTGGGGTCTAGGGTGGGAGTTGGGTTCTGGTTTAGATCCAGACAAGGTTCTAGACATTGGGCTGGGGCTTAAGTGTTAAGGTTTGGAGTGGATTCTTAGCTGCTTCTGGGCTCTGGAGGGGATCAGGGTTGAAATCAGAGCTTCTGGCTGGGTTCCGACCTGGCTTCTTCCCTGACATCTTGGCAATATGTTGTGTTCAAGGTTTGGGGCCATGCTGTGGTTTGATCTGTGCGCTGGGATGACATGGGGGTTGCTGTGCTGTGTTCTAAGCCAGGCTTTGTCCTGAGTCTAGCTTCTGACCCGAGCTCTGAGCTGAGCTGTGGCCTCTAGGTCGACCTTTGGCCCTGGGCTCTGTGGCTGTGGGCAGGGGCCAGTGGGGGTGATCAGATCTGTGTGTCCCAGGTGTCTCTGGATCAGTATCAGACGGAGGATGAGCTGTACCAGCTGTCCCTGCAGCGGGAGCCGCGCTCCAAGTCCTCGGTGAGGGGGTACTCCCTCCTCTCCACTCTGCCCTTCCCTCCTGAGAATCCCAGGATGTGAGGATGGGAAGAGCTCTTAGCAGCCACCTCACCCATCCATCTTGTAGGACAGAGGCATCCTGGGGGTAGGGCAGTAGTGTTGGGCAGACTTCCCTCTCCCAGGGATTCCCCTCTCTGTTCCCCGGGGCTCTGGGCTTCCCCTGCCTCTGGCCCTAGCTCAGGCCCGACCATTTCCATAGCCAACCAGCCCCACGAGTTGCACCCCACCACCCCGGCCCCCGGTACTGGAGGAGTGGACCTCGGCTGCCAAACCCAAGCTGGATCAGGCCCTCGTGGTGGAGCACATCGAGAAGATGGTGGAGGTGAGCTCCTGCGGAGCCTGAGCAGTGTGTGGGGAGAGGCCAGTTTGCCGGAGCACTGCCCTGGAAGCCAGCACGAGTGTCCTGTTCAAGACCCAGCACTCAGCCCCTAGGAGTCACAGGGCCTGGCAGGCCAGCTGCACGGGGCTGAAGTGCCCCTGGGTAGGGTGGGGGTGGAGGTATGGAACGGGGGTGGTGTCAGAGACCTCTCTGAGACACACCTCATCAAATGGACTGGGAACGTGGGAAGGGACAGGACCTGATGTCCCCTTTACTCTCCCCTCTTCTGGCTCTGCGTGTCCCTCTGCGTGCCCCAGTCTGTGTTCCGGAACTTTGACGTCGATGGGGATGGCCACATCTCACAGGAAGAATTCCAGATCATCCGTGGGAACTTCCCTTACCTCAGCGCCTTTGGGGACCTCGACCAGAACCAGTGAGGAGGGCTGGGGACCTGGGGGAGAGGGAAGGCAACTCAGCCCACTTCTGCCTGGGCTTCAGTTTCTTGTGTGCAAGATGAGGTCACTGAGCCAGATGATCTTGGCCTGGGAAGCTGCCAGTGTGGGAAAGGGCACTTGCTTTTGTGGGGAGGAGAGGCTGCCAGCTGTGGAGGCGCAGTGGTATCTCACAAATTCAGACAGATGGGGGGCTCCACCTGAGTCTTGCAAAGACTGTGACCTGGGGACTGTGGCTACAAAAGTGCTGTTTTATTTGTGGAGCTCACAGCTGTCAAGAAGTGTGGGCAACTTGAGCTCCTGGATAGTCTGTTCTAATGAATAGATAAGAAAGGTTTGTAATTAGCAGTACCCAGTTGTTTATCAACAGTTCATATGCTGACAATTTGGAAAAACAGCTGGTTCTCTGAAGTAGGTTAAACATGCCCCCTGAAGCCAGATTCATGCCCTATTTTTGCTGAGCAGAAAAAACTCCATTCAAAATTTAAAGTCCATCTCAGGTCGATTTATTTTTTAATGTTACCTGTATTTCAAAAATCTGTTGTTTTTTATTTCCACATTACAAAAATCCACGGTAAAATAAAATCTAGGTGGTAAAATAAATTTATAGTGAACAAAATGTTTAAAGTAAGAAGTGAGAGGCCAGGTGCGGTGCCTCACGCCTGTAATCCTAGCACTTTGGGAGACTGAGTTGGCAGGATCAATTCAGGCCAGGAGTTTGAGCCCAGCCTGGGCAACAGAGTAAGACCCTGTCTCTACAAAAATTATTATTATTATTTTTGAGACAGAGTCTCACTCTGTTGCCCAGGCTGGAGTGCAGTGGTACAATCTCGGCTCGCTGCAACCTCCACTTCCTGGGTTCAAGTGATTCTCCTGCTTCAGCTTCCTGAGTAGCTGGGATTACAGGCATGCATCACCGTGCCTGGCTAATTTTTGTATTTTTAGCAGAGATGGGGTTTTACCATGTTGGCCAGGCTGGTCTCAAACTCTTGACCTCAAGTGATCTACCTGCCTTGGCCCCCCAAAGTGCTAGGATTACAGGCATGAGCTACTGCTCCTAGCCTAAAAAAATTTTTTTTGGGCATGGGTGGCACGTGCCTGTAGTCCCAGCTACTCAGGAGGCTGAGGCAGGAGGAACCCTTGAGCCCAGGAGGTTGAGACTGCAGTGAGCTGTCATCACACCACTGCACTTCAGCCTGGGTGACTGCGCGAGATCACCCCCATCAAAAAAAAAAAAAAGAAAAAAAAAGGAAGAAATGAAAGTCCCCTCTTTCCTTTTCCACTGGTAGAAGTTGCCATGATTAAGCACTGTTAACAATATTAAGCTTGGCAGTATGTGGATTCTTCCAGTCTTCTTTTCCCAGGCAGGTGCACATTGATAGAGATTTTGTTTGTTTGGTGTCTGTTTCATGGACAAACAGGATTAGAGCATAAATCTAGTTCTGCTTGTGGCTTTTATCATAGCTGCTTTATTTCTTCTCCCAGATTTTAGGCAGAGGTAGTTGAGTTCCATGTTTTCTCCCTGGGTTGGTGGGTGGATTTTTATCTAGACCACCTTTTCAGTGAGAATGACCCTTTGAGACGATGGAGGCCTCAGCTTCATGCAGCGGTCTCAGCCTTAACCCTCCACCTCCTGCAGGCCCCAGGCTGTGTGTGTGTGTGTGTGTGTGTGTGTGTGTGTGTGTGTGTGTGTGTGTTGGTGAGGGGGAAGCCCTGGTTGGGTATCAAAACCTAGCACCTGGTTCGGCAGGAGGGAGACCAGCACCGGCTCCCAGGACCAGGCCCAGCTCACCACTTCATTGTAAAGCTCCCTCTTTGTTTCTGGAACTTGGGTGTTTCCATTTCTTTCTTACAAAATTATCTATGCATTTACAGCAATTGTTGATATATCTTTAGGCAGCATCTAGGTACTTGTAGTGGGTTCTCTTTTTTCTTTTTTCTTTTTTTTAATCACCCTCTCTTTTTTTTGAGACAGAGTCTCACTCTGTCGCTCAGGCTGGAGTGCAATAGCGCGATCTTGGCTCACTGCAACCTCTGCCTCCCAGGTTCAAGTAATTCTCATGCCTCAGCCTCCCAAGTAGCTGAGATTACAGGCACTGGCCACCAGACCCGGCTAATTTTTTTTTCTTTTCCTTTTTTTTGAGACGGAGTTTTGCTCTTTGTTGCCCAGGCTGGAGTACAGTGGTGTGATCTCGGCTCACTGCAACCTCCGCCTCCCGGGTTCAAGTGATTCTCCTGTCTCAGCCTCCCGAGTAGCTGGGATTACAGGCGCGCGCCACCATGCCTGGCTAATTTTGTATTTTTTTTTTTTTGAGACAGAGTCTCACTCTGTCACCCAGACTGGAGTGCGGTGGCGCGATCTCGGCTCACTGCAAGCTCTGCTTCCCGGGTTCATGCCATTCTCCTGCCTCAGCCTCCGGAGTAGCTGGGACTACAAGCACCCACCACCGTGCCCGGCTAATTTTTTGTATTTTTAGTAGAGACGGGGTTTCACCGTGGTCTCGACCTCCAGACCTCGTGATCCACTAGCCTCAGCCTCCCAAAGTGCTGGGATTACAGGCGTGAGCCACCTCACCCAGCCTAATTTTGTATTTTTAGTAGAGATGGGGTTTCACCATGTTGCGCAGGCTGGTATTGAACTTCTGACCTCAGGTGATCCGCCCGCCTCGGCCTCCCGAAGTTCTGGGATTATAGGCGTGAGCCACCGCACCTGGCCTAATTTTTGTATTTTTAGTAGAGATGGAGTTTTACCTTGTTGGCCAGGCTGGTCTTGAACTCCTGACCTCACCTCAGGTGATCTGCCCACCTCGGCCTCCCAAAGTGCTGGGATTACAGGCATGAGCCACTGTGCACCCGGCCTAAAAATCACCATCTTGACAGAACTTCACGCCTTGCTTTTTGTTTTTTTTCATCTTTGTGCTTGTTTTCCACTTAACCCTTGATCACAGACATCTTTCCATGTGGATTCATGTAGAACTACCTCATTCGTTAGAACAGCTGCAGAGTATTCCACTGTGCGGTTAGTCCATCATTTCCCTAACCATCCTCCTGCTGATGGACAGTTAGACTGTTCCAGTTTTTCAGTATGATTCTATGCCAGGCTGCCATGAACGTCCTTTTACTGATCCACTCAGGCCAGTATTTCTGTAGGAGAAATTCCTAGAAGTGGGATAATTGGATCAAAAGATATGCACATTCTAAATTAGGAGAGAGACTGCCAAACTGACCTCAGACAAGGTTGTACCAGTTTGCACCCCCATCAGCAGCGTACAAGTGCCTGCTTCCCAACTTCCTCGCCAACAGTGGATGCTATAAAAAGCTTCACAATTTTGCCAGTCTCATTGGCAAATGGTATCTTGGTTAAATTTGCATTTCTTTAATACTAATGGGGGTAGGGTATCTTTTCATATGTTTATTGGCCATTTATTTCTTCTGTCAATTGCCTGTTCTGATTCCTTGTCCATTATTCTACTGGGTTTGTTGGTCTTTTTCTCATTGATTTTTAGAATCTCTGTTAATGGATATTAACCCTTTGCTGTTGAATGTGTTTGCAAATATTTTCTCCCTGTCTGTCATTTATGTTGTCTTTTTCCATATAAAATTTAAAAACTTTTGTGTGCTCAATATGTCAGTCTTTTCCTTTCTGGCTTCTTGGATTTGTGTTCTGTGTAGAAAGGCCCTCAGCCCCTCAAGATTATAAAATTATTATATCTTTTCTTTTTTTTTTTTTTTTCTGAGACAGGGTGTCTTGCCATGTCACCCAGGCTGGAGTGCAGTGGCATGATCTTGGCTCGCTGCAACCTCCACCTCCCAGGTTCAAGTGATTCTCGTGCCTTAGCCTCCCGAGTAGCTGGGATTATAGGTGCCTGCCACTATGCCTGGCTAATTTTTTGTATTTTTAGTAGAGACGGGGCTTTGCCATGTTGGCCAGGCTGGTCTCGAACTCCTGACCTCGTGATCCACCCGCCTTGGCCTCCCAAAGTGCTGGGACTACAGGCGTAAGCCACTGTGCTCGGCCCTATATTTTTTTCAGATAGCCAGTTATCCTAATGCTCCCTTGATTTGATGGACCACCTGGATCACACATTATGAGCCCCCTCATAAGCAGGTGGGAGTCTCAAGCGAGGGCCAGTCCCGATGGGAATAGCACTTGGTGGCTGAGGACCCTCCTATCTGTGCAGACACTGTTGTAAAACTTCACATGCATCATCTAATTTAATCCTCACCAAAATCCTATGAAATGTAGGAATGATCATTACACCCATTTATAGATAAGGAAACGGAGGGACAGGGAGATTACTCCGCTACAGGTCAAGAGGCAGGGAAGTAGAGCTGCGATTTGAACTGAGGTCTGTGTCTAGAACACGTGCTCATTCTTTCCCTAAAATGTATTCATAGGTGAAAAAGGGCTTCTGCGGAAAGCCCTGGGTTATGTGGGAAACCCTGGATTTACAGCTGTCTTTCCAGCAGGATGATGCAGGAGAGAGAGGGATGCGATTTCTCCCAATCTCTCCTGGTCCCAGAACTCATTAGAGAGTTCTCCCTGCTGAGGGCTCCCGACTGGTGTTGCACACAGTACACTTCGGGAGCCCGAGGCTGATGGTTCCATGGAAAGTACACAGTCATTTTAGTTTGCACACCAAGTGTGAAGTGGGCAGGACAGGCCACTGTTCTGAGAAGGAACCCAGGGAAAGGGACTGGCCCAAGACCACACACTGGTTAGCGGCACTTCCCACATCTGCCTGACCCCTAGTCCAGTGCCGCCTTTTCTTTACTCTGCAACAGGAGTCCAAAATCAGGAGTTCCATGAGGACACTGGGAACAGTGGGATGGGTTAGGCCAGCGGTGGATGGTTCTGGGGAGGGCCCGAGCTGAAGCGCCCCCGCAACTCCCCACAGGGATGGCTGCATCAGCAGGGAGGAGATGGTTTCCTATTTCCTGCGCTCCAGCTCTGTGTTGGGGGGGCGCATGGGCTTCGTACACAACTTCCAGGAGAGCAACTCCTTGCGCCCCGTCGCCTGCCGCCACTGCAAAGCCCTGGTGAGAGTCCCTTTCCCGGCTCACGGCCCAAGCCACGCCCCTCCAGCCCCGGCCCCGCCCTCCCTTCTGGCCCCGCCTCTGCCAGAGCCCTTCTCAAGCCAGGAAAACCTGGTAATTCTATTTGCCTCTCCTCCTGTGGTTCTGCCCGGGGCCCTGAGGCGGGCTCTAAAGCCCTAGTCTCACCCTCAAGAAGGAAGAAGTAGAGTCATCACCTCTAAATCCCTCCTCCCACCACGGCCCCTCCTCTATTGCAGATCCTGGGCATCTACAAGCAGGGCCTCAAATGCCGAGGTGAGATGGAATGACTGGAAGGGCTGCTGGGCAGTGTTTTTTTTTTTTGTTTGTTTGTTTGGGAGAGTTACTGTTTTGGTGGGGCAATTGCCAAGGAGTGAAGTACCTTAAAATCAGAGGCGCATGGCCGGGCATGGTGGCTCAAGCCTGTAATCCCAGCACTTTGGGAGGCCGAGGCGCGCAGATCACCTGAGGTCAGGAGTTCAAGACCAGCCTGACCAACATAGCGCAACCCCGCCTCTACTAAAAATACAAAAAGTAGCTGGGCGTGGTGGCACCCACCTGTAATCCCAGCTACTTGGGAGGCTGAGGCATGAGAATCGCTTGAACCTGGGAGGCGGGGTTTGCAGTGAGCCGAGATCACGCCACTGCACTCCAGCCTGGGCAACAGAGAGGGCTCTGTCTCAAAAAAAAAAACAACAAAAAAACCCCCAAAACCAAAACCCCACAAAATCAGAGGCTCAAGATGACTGATGTGAAGGGAGTGGCGTTTAAGAGGCCATTTATTTTGATGACGCAGCTGCCCAGGAACAGAGAACATGGGAGAAGGCATAGACTGACAATTAGGAGGAGGAGAACACTTTGGAAGGAGACTCTTATTTTGGTGGGGCAGCTGCTCAGGAACAAAGGTTCCTGGTAGGGGGGCACAAGCCTGCGGGATGGGATGGAGGGTATTCTGACCAATGTCCCTGGCTGGCTCTCCATTTGCTCTCCCCCAGCCTGTGGAGTGAACTGCCACAAGCAGTGCAAGGATCGCCTGTCAGTTGAGTGTCGGCGCAGGGCCCAGAGTGTGAGCCTGGAGGGGTCTGCACCCTCACCCTCACCCATGCACAGCCACCATCACCGCGCCTTCAGCTTCTCTCTGCCCCGCCCTGGCAGGCGAGGCTCCAGGCCTCCAGGTAAGAGGGAGTCATTCTGTACTGGCCTGTGGAGGGAAGGATGCAGGGCTACTGGGGCAAAGAACGCAGGATGGAAGCCATTCCAAAGTGCATAATTCTCTTTTTGTGGTGGGATAATAAAGAAGGGACAGGCCGGGCGCGGTGGCTCACGCCTGTAATCCCAGCACTTTGGGAGGCCGAGGCGGGCGGATCACGAGGTCAGGAGATCGAGACCATCCTGGCTAACACGGTGAAACCCCATCTTTACTAAAAATACAAAAAAAAAAAATTAGCCAGGCGTGGTGGCGGACGCCTGTAGTCCCAGCTACTTGGGAGGCTGAGGCAGGAGAATGGCATGAACCCGGGAGGCGGGGCTTGCAGTGAGCCGAGATCGCGCCACTGCACTCCAGCCTGGGCGATAGAGCAAGACTCCGTCTCAGAAAAAAAAAAAATAAAAAATAAAGAAGGGACAGGTAAGGGTGCCAGAAAGTGGCCAGGAAGCCCTGGACCTTCTGAGGCTGAGGAGAGAGACCCTAATTTATAAAGAGGTATAAAAGTGAAAGAGGCTTCAAGATTCCAGTTACAGTCTTATTTTGTTGGAGGGGTTAACAAAGGATTGGAGAAGGTGTTATATGAGCCATTGGCTTGCCTTTCCCTTTCTGGCTGCTCTGGAGGCTCTTCTGGGGAAAGTCCCTTGCCCTGATAATGTCCTGGCAGCTCTCTTGGGGTATTTGATGGTTTTAGGTCAGTTTGCTGAATGACAACTGGCCAAATGATTATTTTGCTGAGAACAGTCCGAACAACTATGTTAAACTGGGGTCTAAGGTAGTTGATCACAACTGTTTGGGTTGGCATAAGTCCTCAAAAAACAGAGGCAGGCACAGGGCATACATCCTCAAAAATAGAAAAGATAAATCCATTTGCATTGAGCCTTCCAGAAGTGCTGGGGTCTAAAATGTGAAATACACACAAAATTGACATTTAAGCAAACTGCGCTGACAAATCTGTGGCTGAAAAAGCTGTGGCAAAACAAAAACATAGAAAAAGAGCCTCAAAAATTGGGCTGAGGCCGGGCATGGTGGCTCACGCCTGTAATCCTAGCACTTTGGGAAGCCAAGGTGGGTGGATCACCCGAGGTCAGGAGTTGGAGACCAGACTGGCCAACGTGGCAAAACATCATCTCTACAATACAAAAATACAAAAATTAGCTGGGCGTGGTGGCAGGCGCCTGTAATCCCAGCTACTTGGGAGGCTGAGGCACGAGAATCGCTTGAACCTGGGAGGTGGAGGTTGCAGAGAGCCGAGATTGCGCCATTGCACTCCAGCCTGGGCGACAGAGAGAGACTCTGTCTCAAAAAAAAAAAAAAAAAAAAAAAATTGGGCTGTGAGGTCATGCAGGGAATTGATTTTTGGTGGGTGGGTCTGCTTCTGGGATGATGTGGATGCCTCCCGTGGAGAGGGGAAGGGTTGATGAAGTCCCAGGGACCTGGAAGTGTGTTCTGCAGCAATCCCCCTCCCAGCAGAGATCCGTGAGGAGGAGGTACAGACGGTGGAGGATGGGGTGTTTGACATCCACTTGTAATAGATGGTGAGTCCTCCCACAGCTGGCACCAGAGCTCCCCACTGAGGGCTGGGGGGGAGCTGGGGAGTATCAGGGAAATGGGTGCTTTATCCAAATGGCTCCAAGCCAGGTGGGCTACTACCTTGTTGTTAGGGGGGTGTCTTCCTCACAACCTGTTTTTCTCTTCCCAGCTGTGGTTGGATCAAGGACTCATTCCTGCCTTGGAGAAAATACTTCAACCAGAGCAGGGAGCCTGGGGGTGTCGGGGCAGGAGGCTGGGGATGGGGGTGGGATATGAGGGTGGCATGCAGCTGAGGGCAGGGCCAGGGCTGGTGTCCCTAAGGTTGTACAGACTCTTGTGAATATTTGTATTTTCCAGATGGAATAAAAAGGCCCGTGTAATTAACCTTCACCATCAGCGCCTAGAATCCCGGGGGGTAGGGGGATGGTATACTTTACAGGATGACAATCTTGGGAGCTAGAACTTTGTAGCCAGAGAAACTTGGGAGGTCTGGAATCTCATGTGTCTGGAGTCTTGGGGAAGAGAATCTTAGAAGCAGAAAACCTTGGAACATAAGAATCTTGGGGAGGGTCTAGGATCTTGAGGAGACCAGATCCTTGGACATCTAAAACTTGAAACTAGTAGGTCTGCACCCGAGAATTGCAGGGCCAGTCATGCATACCCAAAGCCTTCAGCCCATGGCCGAAATTCCCTTGCTGGACAGGGGGCCTTTCAGCCCCTGCTTGGACGCTTCCAGTAACAGGGCCCTCACTGCAGGAATCGTGGGAGGGAGAGGGGCAGCACAGAGTTGCTGGCTGTCGGGGAAGGGAGGGAGGGCCCTGGGCAGTCCGAGGGCCCTGCTGGGCTTGTGCCTCAGGGTGGGGGCTGCACTCCTCCGCCTTGCAGCCT
Source organism: Homo sapiens (assembly GCF_000001405.40). Lineage (NCBI taxonomy): Eukaryota > Metazoa > Chordata > Mammalia > Primates > Hominidae > Homo > Homo sapiens. Next base: position 64,726,412 of record NC_000011.10, on the reverse strand, counting down.
CCTGGCCTGGTGCTGCTGCCAGCCGGAAGGACAGTGACTTCCAGAGGAAATGCATATTGATCCTGCTTTCAGCCTCCGGTGGTGGCTTCTCCCAACCCAGCTCTTCCCTCCTGAGCCTGCAGCACGGAGGTTTTGGGGGTCACTGCTACCTAAAGAAGGCTAAGGCCACTTCTGAGGCTGGTCTGGGAGTTTACTAAAGGTTCTGAAGCTGGGCCGGGCTGCCCCTGGGATCAGGAGACTCCAGACAGCAGTCCTGACAATGGGAACTACCTCCTCAGTCCCCCAAACTGGGAGGTGTCCCACAGCAGCTGTAGGATTGTCCTAGGGGTGGAGACCTGAGCACCTTCCACTCCAAAGCACAGTATCTGTGGGCCTGGCAGTGGCCTCAGTTCCCCCATGAGTGCCCCGGTCCCCCACCCCAGGGTTTCCCCACATCACATCCATCCCTGCTTTGAGACCCCACTCCCCCTGGCCTGTTCTTTATTTTGGGTCACTCCCTTCTCTTTCCTGGTCATATCTCTCCTGCAGGCCTACCCTGTGTTGGGCCCCCCAGCCCTGTCTCTGCATCGGGTGCCCCCCTGCCCCTCCTTCTGTCCTCAGCCCCCTCCGCCCTTCCCCCTCTTGAGGCTGTAATATCCGTTTCACGATTTGGGGGCTGAGTTGCTATAACAACAGACGGCGATTGTGTTGTGAAGAGCAGCTCGCTCCTGTGCCGCCTGCCTCCTGTGCTGCCTCCATCCCTGCAGCCCAGTCGGTTCCTCTTGGCTCCTCTCGTCACTACCCTCCAGTTCCAGTCTGGCCTCTTCCTGGTGTGTGTGTGTGTGTGTGTGTGTGTGTGTGTGTGTGTGTGTATGCATGCATGCATATGTGTGTCCAGGTCTGCCTGCCCGGGATGTGACAAGTAGCGGTCTTCATGGTTGCATGTGTCTGAATTTGGTGTCTGAGCTTCACATTGTATGCGCCTGTGTGCATGTGTGTGCATGGACATGCATGCTGTATCTGCTGTGTTTCCCCTCCCCCATGTGTCCCCACTGGCCTTTGCACATGGGAGAAGGGCATGTGCTCAGCATATCACTCAACTGTCCACATTGGGTGGGTACCTGTGTGTGGTGTGTGTGTGTGTGGGGTGTGTCTTGAAGTGGCAGGTCCCAAATGCTTAGGCAATCTGAACCTTGGACCTTGCAGAGAGGAGAGATGTCCCTGTAGGTGGGAGGGACAGGGAGATGCAGCAGCTGCCCGGTGACCTTTTCTGCCCTTGATGGGCAAAGCTGGGGGTAGGGAAAGGAGACAAGTGCTCATACTTACCTCCCTCCCTGCCCAGGCTCCTCTGTAAGGGTCTGAGTCTGTCTCTGTGAGCCATTGCATCTGTCTGTCTATGCCCTGATGCCTGGATGGACAAGGGGTGTGTGTGTGTGTGTGTGTGTGTGTGAGTGTGAGGAGGCTGCAGGAAGAGGAACAGTGGGGGATGGGCAGGAAAGTGGGCTGTGGGGTCAGGGAGGCGATTTCGCATTCATAGGCCCTGACGCAGCAGTTCCATTCTCTGGCTCCTTCATTGGCTTTGGTGGGGATGCCCTGGGGGTCTCTCCAAGGTCAGAGTGGGCCCTAAGTCTGGGACCTGGCTTAGGGATCACCCTTCTCGACTCCTAGGAAAAACTCCTTGCAGCCTGGGTCCCCCTCTTACCCCTTCACAGGCTGGGGAAGGAGTTTCCCACCCGGGGGGTTGGTGTCCGCATTAAGCCACTCAGTAATTGACCACTCTCTTTGAAGTGCCTGGGCAGGGGTCCAGGATGACTGTGGGCAGGTCCCCTGGGTGCAGCTGTTCTGGGCATGCATTAATTGCCTGGTGTAGGTACCTGTGTGCACAAGTGTGTGTGTTCTTGGGCAGTATATGCTTCCTGTGGGTGTGTTACCATGGTGGGGCATTTCTGCAGGTGTTCTTATGTGTCTCTGGGAATGCCCAGTGTTCACAGATATGTGTGCATGGCTGTGAGTGCCCCAATGTCCATGCATTGGTGGTTGAATGTAAGTGTTCTTGCATGTTGCCTCTGGCTAAGGAAGTGCCAACTACCACCAGCTGTGCAGATCACAGACCCTGCAACAGAAACCAGGGTCCTGGAGTGAGCTGGCAGAATGGTCTGGCACACATACACACACACACTCTGTCTCTCACTGTCTCATTCAGCAGCCCAGTGACCAACCTCGGGGTATACACACTAAGTGCCAGTGTGTGTACACTTTTATTGGCGGAGTGAGTGAAGGGTGTCCCCCAGTCCCCCACACTCATACACATGCACAGTGATGCATGTACCCTTACAGGAGAGACCTGCGCCCCCCAGCACCACTCTAACTGAAACTCATGGATGGGAGGAGGAGAACAGAGAAGGGGGCTGCTGCCAGGTGCCCTCAGTCACCAGGCATGTGCAGGCGCAACCCTGCCCCCACACCTACTCGTACCTCGGTCCAGGGTTCCAGGCAGAACTGAGAGTTTGGCCTCAAACTCTGGGATTCCCATGAGGCAGGACTGGGAAACCCCCAAGTTCCTAGGTCTACCCCGCCCCCATCTCTGCCTTTCCTTCCCCCACCGCCTCCGTCTTTATCCCAGCAAAGCCCCTTCCTCTTCAGTTCTGGGGGCTCCAAGCCAGGGGCCCTCCGGACGGTGGGAGGTGGGGGCCAGGCTACCGACTGGAAAAAGCCCCCAGCAGCCATGGACCCACCGAGTCCCCCTTCTCTAGGCTCCTCGAAGCCCGGGCCCGCCCCTGGGGGTAGCCAGCAGAGGGCGCTGCGGCCCAGGCCCCGCATCAGCCCTGCTCTCGCGGCGTCCCAAGTCGGGGTCCACAGCCTCTCCTTCGGCTTGTCCCAGCCCCGCGCTGCGCGAAGACCTGCTGGCCGTGGGGGGAGGGTGCGGGACCCAAGGCCCCGAACTAAGGGGCGAGGGGCGAGGGGCGAGAGTGCTTGGGTTCCCGGAAAAGACACTGAGGCCGGGTTTGGGGCCCGCCTGGTTGGGGGCCCGGGCGCCCGAGAACCTCGAGAGGCTGGGAGGAGCGCGGGTGCTGGGGCCGGGACGCCTGGGTCCCGCGCGAGGGAGGGAGTGGGCCTGTGGAGCCGCTGGACTGGCGGCTTCTGAGCCCTTGCATTGGCTGCGCTGCTCGCCCGTCAGCGCAGCGTGGTCCAATGCGCGCGTCTCGGGGGCGGGCACTGGTGCTGATGCTGCCGTCAGTCGGTGTTGCAGGGATGCGGCGGCGGGAGCAGCCGCCCTGACTCGCGGAGCATCCTCCTCGGAGAGGCACCGCGGCGGGGCGGGCGGGCGGGCGGGGACGCGGCGGGGAGGGAGAGAGGCGCGAGGCGGCAGACACCGCTAGCCCTGGCTCTGCCACCCGTCGGAGACGGGGCGGCCCTGTAGCTCTGCTACCCACCCTCCAGCTTCTGGCGCCCCGAGAACCAGGTAAAATGGGGGGGGGGGGGCGCTGCGGCGGAGACGGGCGGGGGGCGGGAGCCGATCGGGGGAGGGGAGCGGATCGGAGGGGGCGAGGGAGGCAGGACGGATGAATTGGGGGGCGGGGGCGCCGCGCTGAGAGGGCTGGCCCGGTGACAGCGAGGAGGCAAAGCCGCTGGGGGCTTGGGGGTCGGAGGCTCCTGTGGAAGGGGCACTGGCCCTGAGAGCTGAGGAGAATGGGGAGGGGTGGGAGGAAGGGTCTTTGGGGGAAGGGATGGAGAGAGGAGGGGCATCCAGAGGACTTAGAGGGGGTTCTTAAAGGGGGGTCCCCAGTCTGTGCTAGCCCCAGAGGCTTGAAGCAGCGCCGGGCCAGAGGAGCTGTTGTGTTCTGGAGGGTCTAACCAGCGAGAAACTGGGCTTCGTGGGAGGAGAGGAGAGGGGGCTGGAGAAGAGAGAGAAGTGGAGAGGGAAGGAAAGGGGCCAGGCCAAGGGCTTCGTCCTGAGGGGACCCACTGAGGACCAGGCTTTCCTGGGGGATGGGAGCCAAGGGGAGAAGAGGTTATTGGGAGAGAGCAGAGGGGAATGTGCCAAGGTGCTCCAGGCAGAGATGGGTCTGTGCTGGTGGAGAGCTGGGAAAGATGGGGTCTGAGGGAGAGGAGCGGAAGCTTGCGGGGGAAGGCTGGGGGTGATGAGACAGGGAGACTGGGAAATCAGTAGGAGGGGGCTTTGCTGGGGTGGGAATGCGCTGGGGGCGGTGACAGGGTTCTGGTCAGAGAGTGCTGCAGGGGGAGAGGAAGCTGCAGGGCCCTTGGCTTGCTCCCCCACCCCTAAAGAGGAAGGGACCATTTCTCATGTCCCAGCCTCCTCCCCCAGCTGAAGCAGCAATCTTCCCTGGGGTCTTTGGGTTGGGGTATGAGCCCTTGAACCCTTGATGGGCTTTTGGGGCACAATTGGCTTTGGGGTGCTGTTGTCTCCTTTACTCTCACCCCCCTCCTGAATCTTGGGAGAGGGCATTCGATGCCTCATTGAGCTAGCAAGGGCTGGGAGGGGCTTTTTCTTGGTGTCTGGAGGTGAAGGAGGAGGCTGTCCACCTGGAATAATGAAATAGATTTTTAGGGGGTGGGTCTTGGGTCCCCAGTCCCTTGGCTGCCCTGGGGGCTTCCAGATAGCCCTGTTTTTTCATGTGTTGGCGGGTGGGCGTCTCTCCTCTTCCATTCATTCTTATCCTTCCCTGTTGTCTACCTTCCCAGTGTCTGGGTGTTCCTTTTGGAGGAGGGTGGACATTAGGGTCTTACTTTCTCTGTCTTCTGCCAGAGAAGGAGAAAGAAAGAAGGGAGAGGGAAGGAGAAGGGGAGGGAGGTCTGCAGTCTGCTAACTGTGAGGCCTTCTGTTTTGTGGGTGCTTCAGCCCCTCAGTCCCTACCTCCTCTTGCTTCCAGGGATGGCTCTAGGGATGCTGGCATCTGAGGTGTGGCTGGATCTTTTGGGAGACAGGGGAGAAGGGTCTGGCTGGGGGCTCTTCATTCATGCTAGAGGAAGTGTTCTCAGACCCATCCTATCCTCAGATCCACAGGGGTGGGCGGGATGGACCAACCAGCCACGGCTGCCGGGCAGTTCTTTCCAGCCCAGGCCTGGGCTGAATCCATATGACATTGGAGTTCTGAGAGGAGGGGCTGGGTGCGCGAGTGGCTGGTGGGGACCCCTCTTTCCTTCCAGGCTCAGTCACTACCCAGGTCCAGCTGCTCCCTCCCGCTTACCCTTGCCAGTGACACAGACACTCTGACAATGATACACGCGCTCGGTGGCACCCACCCAGACACACACCTACACAGGCACACACACCTGCGTACACAATACACCTCCTGGCAGCATACAGCCCACACTCCCCACCCAGAGAGGCTGCCACCTCATGCCTGCCTCCTTGAGACCTCCCCCAGGTGCCTTGCTGCCATGTACACAACACACACACGGCCACTACGTGCCCCCAGAGCCCCCAGCGCAGCACTGCCAGCCCTCACCCTTGGATGCACACAGCCCCCATCCAACCACTCACCTCCCCAGGCTCACAGCCATCGCAGGCACACCTGTGCTTCTTCCTCATACACCTTCAGTCCTTGCAACACACCCTCTCCTTCCAGACACCCCATCCCTCCCAGGTCTACACAGCATGTGGGCACACCCTCCCAGACACACCAGTCCCTGCCCCCCAGCAAGCTCATCCTGAAGTACCATGTGCATGTCTGTCTGGGTGCTGAACACCTTGCCCCAGGCCTTTGTGTGTGTGCACGTGTGTGTGCACACCAGCACATGTTTGCTAACACACTTAATGCTGTGGCTCACCCCCTAAACCTCTCTTCTACTTTCTCTCTCTCTCACTCACTTATCTTTGTACCTTCGGCGCAGGGCCTCCTACCCCTCCTGGCCACAACCACGACCCTTCCCAGTGGAGTCCAGCCCCCACCTACACCTGGTTTCCCTGGGAGCCTTCCCATTTCTAAGTGGCCCCACCCCCCGCATTAATCCTCAGGCACAAGGGCCCCTACACCTGCCTGTGCACTGGAGACACTGTCCTTTCATTCGCAGCTCCCAAGCCCAGCCCCCACGGGGATGCCCCGATTGTGTGTCCTCACACGCCACCCACCTTGCTGCTCCATCTGTTGGTGCAGCTCCCTCGCCCCTGCCCCTTCCACACTGATGGGCCTGTGGGCTCTCGGAGACTCATTCAACAAATAGTCTGGTGCACACTTTCAAGGATGTGTGTGGCACCTTGTTATTTACGAAGCTGCTTCCCCACTGCCACCACCACTGTTTGGCATGGTGGGGTGAGGGTGAAGGTGGGACTCCGCTGTGCTCCTCAGTGAGCCTCAGTTTCCTCACGTGTGAAATGGGATCCTCATCCCTACCTAGTGGGATGTTATGAGGACTCACTGAGAGGACAATGATGGCAATGATAGTAGTAACAAGCATGTTTATTGTGTACCTACTGTGTGCCTGGCCTTGTGCGAAGCACTCTGTAAACCTTACTTTGAGGTATTTGTAAGACACATAGAAGGTCCCCGTAAATGGTAGCTATTTTTATTGTCATTATCATAACCTTCCCTGCACGCACACACACGCGCACACACCTGTCATAGATACCTTTAGGAACATTCCCAGGCACCTCATGCTTACTCACAAGGCCGCCCCTGGAAGCCATCTGTCCCCCTCTGCATCACTGGGGTGCACCCGCCCAGGCTGCTGTGCCCCAGCTGTGCACAGCATAGGTAAGCTTGGTGCTCATCCCTCCCACCACCTACCTCCATGCTCCCATGCACCTGTCCTCCGGCCCCCACTCCACCAAGTCATTCCATTGCACCTCTGTCCCCAGCCCACCCGCTTCCCCAGCTCCATGAGGCGGCAGCAGCCTCATCCTGTGCACCCCGAGCTACCAGCTCCTGGGCCCAGCCCGCTCCATGCTTCTCTCCATGACACAGAGAGCTGCTTGGCGACCTGCAGACATGGCCGCTCATGCCCAGCCCACCCTGGCATGGGACTCCGACTTATCTTTAGACCTGTTTGTTCCTTCTACTGCCCTCTGAGTCAGGACAATTGACCAGCAGAGTTGAGGAGGACACGAGGGATAGGGATTAGACAGAACCAAATCTGAATCCCAGCTCTGCCATTTATGATTTGTGGGACCTTGGGTGGGTCCCTTCTCCCCTTTGAGTATCTATTTCCTCATCTGTAAAAGGGGCAGTGATAATACTTGTCTTGCTTACTTTTCTCACCAAGCCCTGGTGAGGATCAGAGGAAACACTAGGCACTCGGTACTGCAAACTGTAAAAGGCCGAGATGAGAAGTTTTAAAAAAATCATTAATACGACACACTTTTTTTTCACACGTTAGTCTATGCCAGGCAGTGTACTAGGAGCTTTATGTATGTTAATTCTAATTTTGACAACACTATTATTATCTCTATTTTATACATAAAGAAAGTGAAGCACAGAGAGGCTGAGTAACTTACCAAAGGTCACACAGCTGGATAGGGGTAGAGCTGGCATTTGAACCCAGGCTTCAGAGCCAGTGCCTCTAACCACTGTGCTGTCTTGTTTTTGCTGCTGCTGAGGTTGTGGCTGGGTGTGGAAAGGCATGGGGTCTTCCCTTTTTTCTGCCAGATCATCACGGCTGGAAGGAAGGGGGAGGTAGGAACTGTTCACCGTCTGCCAATCTTGCCTGGAATTTCACGGGGGAAAGGGGACCCTCCAAAAAACATTCTGCACCTGAAAAGGACCTCAGGGGTCAAGCAGTCTGCTGTCCTCTTCCATATGATTCAAGAGCCTCCCCCACACCGAGCCTCTCTGAGCAGCAGTCATCCGGTCTCACCTCGAACACCCCCACAGACGGGGAACTCACCACCCCCCGAGGCAGCCTACTCCACTGTTGGATGCTTTAGATTGCCAGCCAGCAAGTTTCTCTTTAGCCTGAGCCAGAATCTCCCCCCATAGCACGCACTTCTCCCACCTGTCCACGGGCTGCCTTCTGGGGCCACCAGAATGTGTGTAAACCCAGCTCTTCCTCCCTGGCGCCTGGAGGAGGCCCCTGCTGTCTCACTCCCAGCTGGCATGAGAGGATGCTGGCGTGAGGAGAGGAGAGCCAGAGGGAGGCCGGCATCCCCATGGCTGGAGGTGTGTGTATGGGCGTGTGTTTGTGTGTGTGGGCATTGACAGAGAGGGGGCTGTGTGGATGCGGGGAGAGGGCCCCTGGCCAGGGGCTCTGCTTGTGTGGGCATGGATCACCATTTGCATACTTGCCCCTGATGGCGTAGGGCTGAGGCCTTTGGTCAGGTTGGAGGGCCCAGGTCTAGGTCAGCAAGTGCAAGGGGAAATGTCTGGAAGGGAAGGCCAGCGACTTTGGTTCTAGTCTTGCTTTTCTGTGTGATCCCAGGCCAGCTCACTGCCCCTCCCTGGGACTCAGTTTCCACATCAGGAAAAAAAAGAGAAGATGAACCCCATGAGCTCTGAGATCTCTGTCTCCCAGTCCCAGGAGTGGGCTTTAGAGTGGGGCACCTGAGAGAGCTATGTCCCCTGTGAAGGCCAGATCAGAGGAGGGTGGGCTCTGAGCCCCAGACACAGGGGAAAAGAAATGCCTTGGAGCCCTCACACCCTTTACCTGGACTGTGGCCTTGGGCAAGTGAATTCATCGTTCTAAGCTCAGCTTCCTGGTCTGTAAGCCTGAGTGACAAAATGACCTCCTAGAAGCCGAAGGATTGACTAAGACAGCGCACATGGGGTCCAGCCTGGTGTCTGATGCAGACGGAGCCCAAAGCTTGCAGCCCAGAGGCTTCAGTGGCACTGGCCTCGCCGTGGGAAAATGAGGAGGAGGCTTTGGCCTAGGAGGACCCAGGAAGAGTTATCGGGAGAGGGTAATGTTGAGTTATCGGGAGAGGGTAATGTTGGGGAGAGTCAGCAGAAGTCCTGAGGGCAGCCTAGCCACCCCCTGCCCCACCCACTCCAGCTCTGGGCACCACTGGCCCAAGGCTGCTGAGTCTATCTGTGGGTAGGGGCAGGGTGGGAGGCACTAGGGAGCTGACTGGGTACAGAACCCCAGGATTACTCAGGAGGTCGGCTCCCCAGAGGTGTGGCGGCTCTGGGCCAGCAGTGGGTGGCAGTGTGCACTGCACTGACGTCAGTGAGCAGACAGGTACCCCAGGGTCACCCTGGCAGTGTCCCTGCACTGGCAGTGGGCAATGGAAGAAGAAAAGTGGGCCTTGCGGGGGCAGTACTTGGACGCTGTGGGTGCAAGGCGGCTTCCTCTGCACTGCATAAACCTGGGGAGGAGCTGTTGCCTTGTACAACTCCAGGGGACACCGTTTACTTGATGTGGTCGTGTGAGGCAATTACCCTGGCCTGTGGGGAGACCTCTGGAGAAAGGGTTGCTGCTAAGTTCCAGGAGCTCAGGAAGGATGGAGCATCCCAGGGTAGCAGGAGCCCCCTGTATTCTGGGAGAAGGGTGGGTTGGAGGCTGGGTCGGCAGCAGCCTTGGCCTGGGTGGGAGAGGCGCAGGGAGGGGAAAGGCGAGGGGAAGAGCAGCAAGTTTCCTGGACACTGGGCGGGGGAATGGAAAGGACCCAGGTGTCCGCTGGCTCACTCCTCCTGGGACCATCTCTACCTGGCAAGCGTGAAGCTGCCCCAAGGGTCTGTGGATCCCGGGGGAGAGAGGACTCAGGGAGTGCTGGGGCTTCCTCCTGGTTAGCTCCGCAGTCCCTGTGCCCCCAGAGGCCTGGCTGGCCTCTGCTGCAGAGCTGTGGGCTGCGGGAAGAATGAGTAATGAGCCTTGAGGGGCCGCAGGCCCAGACCCTGCTTCCGACCCTCCCTGGAGGCACCACATAAGCCCAGCCTCTGCCCCTGAACCGGCTCACAGAAGCCTGCCTGCACGGCACCCCTCCCACTCTCCCTCCACACGGACCAGTAGAACCTCCACCTCCTGGACTCTCAGCCGCTTCGCCCCCCTGCCCCTCCACCCAGATAACATTCCCTTTGGCTCTCAGGACCCAGGCGTCTGCCTTCCAGCCTCTGGCAGCCTCCCTACCATCTTTCACTCTATCTGTCCTCCCCCAACTTCCTGCCCCTCGCCTTTCCCACAGAACCCGTCTGCCATCTCCCTAAAGGGTGGTGGATGTGGCCATGGCAGGGGGACTGGGATGGGGGTGGGGCGGGGGAAACAGTCCCTCCTGTTCTGAGCTTGGGGATGACTGGACAGCAGCACGAAATCCTTTTCCCTCCGCCAGCGGAAATCGATAGCTAATTAATTCCCTCCCCAAAATAGTGTCCGGAGGTGGGGGTGGATGCTGGGAGAGCAGCAGACAGAGGCTAGGCCAGGCCAGACTGAGATGGAGACCCTAGCAGGGAAGGAGGAAGGGAGGCTGGTCACTCTTCTGGCCACAGGGTTGTCCCTTTGCTGAGGGTCTTTGGCTACCGCTTCTGGAAAAGAGGGAAAGCTTAGACCTTTCCCTCCCCCCATGCCTGAGGAGCCCCCTTCCCTGCCCTGGGCTGGGGATGCTTGTGTGTGGGGGGGTGAGGGCGTCAATCAGGCTGGGAGCAGGTGCTGCATTTAATTTGATTGGCTAATTAGCCCGCACATGTTAATTATCTCCATTACCCAATGAGGAGAGGCAGTGGCAAGGCTATATATAACCCGACAGTGTTTGTAAGGAGTGGGGGTTGCTTGCCTGGATCTCCTCCCCACTGCCCGGGCAGAGGCAGTCCTTGGAGGGGTGTTGGGGCAGGACATTCAGGTCCCCATTGGAGCCTTGTAGGATTGGGAGGGCAGCAGTCAGGAGCTGGATGGCAGGACCCGAGGGCTGAGCTTTACCGGCCTCTTGGAGATGGCTCCCCCAACGCTCCCGACTACCTTCTGAGGCCTTTTCTGCCCCATCTTCCTCTGCACACGTGTCACTCTCCAGACGCCCCCTCACTATGGTTTTTTAGGGGGTCCCTCGTTTCCTTCCACATAGCTCTTCAGCTCCTCACTGCACCTCTGCAGCCTTCCCCTCCCGAAGTCAGCCCTCTCCTTATCTTCTGGTTCTCACCTCACTGAGCTACACCTGTGGCTATCCTGTGCTTGTCTATTTCCTGGGGATGCTGCAGTCGAGCAGACTTGGATCTGAGTCTCAGTTCCCCGCTGACTGGCCGTGTGACCTTGGGCAAGTCCCCAGATCCCTTTACCTGGGTTTCCCCAGTGGTTAATGAGAATAATGGGACTTCTCAGAGTGATTAAGTAAAATGACATTTGTAAAAATGCCCAGCACCCAGGGCTCTGACAAATGCTGTTTGGATTTGGAATTTAATTTTCTCTGTCTTTTCTTTCATTTCTCCCCACTAGGCCACCTTTCTCCTCCATTACTCTTCCATCTCTGTTACTTTCCAGGCGCTTCCTCTCCTTCCTCTTTCTCTCCCCTCTTCCTTCAGTCTTTCCCTGTCTCTTCCTAAACTCTAGCCCCTCCCTGCTTCTCTCCCAGGCTTCTCCCCACCTCCTTCTCTCCCTCCCTCCCCAAAATAAAATCAATGCAATATTCAGGAGGGTTGTTGGATATAAATAATTACGACTTGGAGTTTAACGAGATGCAAATTCCCCTCCCCGGCGTGGGGTATAAATTGCTCTCTGACAGCCCGTTACAAGGGTAATCATTTCAGAAAGGCAATTTTATGCAAATGAGCCTGCCTGCCTCCTGGTGGCTCCCCCAATCTTGGGTGGGGGGTGGGCAGAGGGAACTGAGGGGTAAAGAGAGCCCAGGTAGTGGGGCCAGTCCTGAGGCTGAGCACTGAGAGCTGGAAGTTGAGGATGACAGACATTTAGCTTCAGAAAGGACCTGGGTTGGTAAGCAGTGAGGCTGGGGCCTGGGAAGGGGTGAGCGTGGTTTCGGGGGAACTGGAGACACAGAATTGGATGCCTGAGTCCCTGCTTGGATGGAGAGGGCTTGGGGCCTGGATATCTGGGTCCTGGCTGGCTTCTCTCCCTTGCCCCCTTCCCAGTCTGGTTACCCTGTGATACCATCGACGAATTGGCATTTAATTAATCCCAATGAATTATTTAGCAACTTCATTATCCAGTATCAAGAGCTGATGAGAGGAACAGTGGCTGGAGGTGGGAGCCAGGCAGAGGCTGGGCGGTTCAGAGAAGGGGCTGGGGTCACCAGGCGGAGGAGAGTTCCCAGGCCTCGCTCAAGGAGCTGGCCTTGGTCCTTCCTGACACTGGGGTCCTTTGAGAGGGTGAGGGAGCGGGCTGAGGTTGGGCTCCTGCCGGGCTCGAACGTGTCACCTCTCCCTGTCCACATCTCAAACCAATGCTGCCCCTAGTGCGTGCCATCTCTCCTAAGTGCTGGCCCCCGGAATCCGCGTCTCTTGCCTCGGGACCCTCTGCAGGTCAGGGCCTCTCTAAGTTCTGCAGGGAAACAGTCTGGTGCCTGCTGATATGCGTGGGGAGCCCGGCACCGACGGCCCCTCTCGTTGGACCTTTCCTCTCTGTTCTCATTAACCCTTTCCTCTCTGTTCTCCCGCAGGCATCCCTCCCTGCTCTTCTGTCGGAGCCCGCGGCGGGGGAGGGGCGCCGCCGCCGCCGCCTGAGGGAAGCCGGCATCTGGGCCTCTGCGCGCCTCGCCCCGCGGCCGGGCCCATGGCACTGTGAGCCTGCAAGGGAGCCCCGCTCAGCGCGGGGAGCGCCCGGCCCCCTCCCGCCCCATGCGCCCGCGGCTCTGAAGCCTGAGCGGGGGCCGGGGGCCGGGCGGGGCCGGGGCCGCCGTAGGCATGGCGTCCGGGAGCCGGTGGCGGCCGACACCGCCGCCGCTGCTGTTGCTGCTGCTGCTGGCGCTGGCGGCGCGCGCGGACGGCCTGGAGTTCGGCGGCGGCCCCGGGCAGTGGGCTCGCTACGCGCGCTGGGCGGGCGCGGCGAGCAGCGGCGAGCTCAGCTTCAGCCTGCGCACCAACGCCACGCGCGCGCTGCTGCTCTACCTGGACGACGGCGGCGACTGCGACTTCCTGGAGCTGCTGCTGGTGGACGGCCGCCTGCGGCTGCGCTTCACGCTTTCGTGCGCCGAGCCGGCCACGCTGCAGCTGGACACGCCGGTGGCCGACGACCGCTGGCACATGGTGCTGCTGACCCGCGACGCGCGCCGCACGGCGCTGGCGGTGGACGGCGAGGCCCGCGCCGCCGAGGTGCGCTCCAAGCGGCGCGAGATGCAGGTGGCCAGCGACCTGTTCGTGGGCGGCATCCCGCCCGACGTGCGCCTCTCGGCGCTTACGCTGAGCACCGTCAAGTACGAGCCGCCCTTCCGCGGCCTCTTGGCCAACCTGAAGCTGGGCGAGCGGCCCCCCGCGCTGCTGGGCAGCCAGGGCCTGCGCGGCGCCACCGCCGACCCGCTGTGCGCGCCCGCGCGCAACCCCTGCGCCAACGGCGGCCTCTGCACCGTGCTGGCCCCCGGCGAGGTGGGCTGCGACTGCAGCCACACGGGCTTCGGCGGCAAGTTCTGCAGCGAAGGTGAGCCCCGGGGAGCGGCCGCCCGGTGCCTGGGCGCGGGGGTGAGGGCCTGGGGCGCTTCGTGGGGGTCGGAGTGTGTGTGGGCTCCTGAGGCACGGGGGCTGGGCACGAGGGCTTGTGAGTGGGTGCGAGCGCTCCAGGGCTGCGGGGACGCGTGTCCGGGCGAGGGCGCGTGGGGTTGGCGGTGGGCGGGGCGAGTGGGCGGGGCCGGCTTGGGCGTGGTCAGCGTGAGTCCTGCGGCGACCTGTGGGCAGCCTGTGTGGTCAGGTTCTGAAGGGGCTGCTGAGGGTGGGGTGCATGAAGCCCCGTGGGCTTGGTGGGTGAGGGTCTGTGAGGCGTTCGTGAAGGCTTGTGGGTGGGGGTCTGCGTGGACAGGGCCCATTAAAGGCAGTGGGCGGGGACCATGGGGCCCCTGAAGGACAGTGGGTGGGGCTTGTGCATAGGGCGGGGCCTCGTATGAGGCCGTGAGGGGTGGTGAGTGGGGCTGGCGTGGAAAGGCCAGTGTGGGTGGGGCTTATGAGACAGGGGGCGGGACCTCGTGTGAGGCCGTGAGGGGCTGTGAGTGGGGCCTGTGTGGAAGGCCAGTGTGGGCTGGGCCTATGAAACAGGGAGCAGGACCTCGTGTGAGACCGTGAGGGCCTATGAGTAGGGCCTGTGTGGAAGGCCAGTGTGGTCAGGGCCTACAAGACAGGGCAGACCTTGTGTGAGGCTGTGAGGGGGTGAGTGGGGTCTGTGTGGAAGGCCAGTGTGGGCGGGGCCTGTGAGACAGGGGGCGGGGCCCCATGTGAAACGGTGAGGGGCTGAGTGGGGCCTGTGTGGAAAGGCCAGTGTGGGCAGGGCCTACGAGACAGGGGGCGAGGCCGTGTGGCGGGGCTTTGGGGCAGGGAGCGTAGTCGACAGTGGGTCGCAGTCTTTGAAGGTCCGCGAGCCAAGGGCGGGAAGTGCGGCCTGTGCGGCCTGGACAAGCACTAAGGGATGAGGGCCTAGGCGTGAGGACGCTGAGTGTGAGAAGGGCACGATGGCGATTCCAGCGCAGGCGAGGGAGAATGGGGATTGCGAGGCTGTGGCCAGGAAGCGAGTGTTTCTTTTTCACCACAAAATCCTCAGAGCGCCTCCGAAGAGTAAAGGGAAAACGAGGGAGAGGGTGGCTGAGGCTTCTCAGGCTCTTGACGAGGAGTGGACAGTTTGGGTGAGGGTCAGAGATGGCCAATAGTCTCTCTTGATGACAGACGGGGCGTGGAACCCCTGAGAGCGTGGGGTTTGATGGGAGATTGCTGGGCTGGACAGGGCGAGGTGGGACCCTGGGCCGTGGGGCTGACTATGGAATGGCGCTTGGGAGAGAGGCTCACCGGAGGGAGGGGTCCGGCCAGCACCCGCGCTGCCCGGAGGCCGAGAGTCTGGCCAAGACCGTGAAGTGGTGAAGTGCGGGCGGGTCCTGGGCTGAGCGGCCCGGGGCGGGGCTGTGGTGTCGGGGGGCAGGGGGCGCTGAGGAGAGGAAGCACTGGGAGGAGCCTCTTCCATTAGGGTCTGGCTGGGCGTGGGGAGGGGCTCCCCCATCGGTCTGGGGGCGGCGCATGCGCGTCTCTCCCCGCCCCTCGTCCCTGTTCTTCCAGCTCGTGTGTGCCTCAGGCCTGACGTTCTCTCCCCTGGTCCCTCTAGAAGCTGTGGGCCACTCAGCGGTTGTGTGTGTGTGTCCGTCCCCCCAGAGTCAGAGGCTTTTGAGGGAGCGTGTGCATGTGCACGTGTGCGCTGGCAACATGAATGTGGCCCGGCACTGCTTTGGGGATAGGTGTCCTGTGGCTGTGTGCCTGTGGACAGCCATGGGAGGGCCCAGCCTGCAGGTGTGGCCCTGGGTGTGGGAAGTCTGCACTTGGGAGAGTCGTTTGCCTGTGTATCTGTAGTTGTGGTCGATGAATACATCCAAAAGTTCTGGGGATTGTTTTCTTGGGGTTATTGGTACAAGGTTGTGGGTTACGTCATCAGGAACTGTGTATTAAGTTAAGCTGACACCTTCTCACCCTTTCTCCAAGGAGTTCAGCTGTTTCCTAAACTGTGAAATTCTGTGTCGGTGTGTGTTTGCCTGCGTGTAGAGGCCCGCGAGTCTGGCAGTGTGTATTTGACGTGTGAATGGGTCTGTTTGAATACCAGTGTTTGCAGATAGAGGAGTCTAGTGCCTAGTAGAGTGAGTAGTTCCCAAGTGTGAGGGTGTCTGCTCATGTGCTTGTGTTTTAACGTGAGGCCTCAGTAAGACAGCCGGATTGCATGAGGACTCTTTCTTTCCAGAACCTTAATTTGATCCTCTGGTTCCTCTACCCTTCCCCCAAAGCCTGCCTAAGAAAACAGGATGAATCATCCTCTGATTTGATGGAGGGAAAGCTCGAGCTACGGGAGGTTAGGGTAACCGGTCCCTGGCCTCACTGTGGCTGAATTGGGCTTGGGTGTGTGAAAAATGCAGCCAGAGGCACCTTGGTCAACCAGAGCCTTTGTATCCATTCCCTGAGAGGATTCATTGGCCAGAGGCTTCCAGTGAGGCAAACAAGTGCATGCTTCTGAATACGGGTTGTGTGGTTGTGTGTCTAAGATGTGTTTGAGTAACTGTGTGAGAGGGATGGCTGTGTGTATAATATGGCTTGGTATCAGATGAATGTTTGTGTCAGCTGTGGTGAAGCTGTGAGAGATGGTTGAATATATGTATCTGACCCATTGTGTGTGTGTGTGTCTGTGTGTGTGTGAGAGAGAGTCATGTAAGAAAAAGAAACGTGAGCCAGGTGCAGTGGCTCACGCCTGTAATCCCAGCACTTTGGGAGGCTGAAGCGGGCAGATTACTTGAGGTCGGGAGTTCGAGACCAGCCTGGCCAACATGGTAAAACCCCGTCTCTACTAAAAATACAAAAATCAGCCAGGCATGGTGGCGGGCACTTGTAATCCCCACTGCTTGGGAAGCTGAGGCAGGAGAATTGCTTGAACCTGGGAGGTGTAGGTTGCAGTGAGCTGAGATGGCACCACTGCACTCCAGCCTGGGTGACAAAGTGAGACTCCATCTCAAAAAAAAAAAAAAAAAGGAAGAAGAAAAGGGAAAGTGAGATATAAGGCGGGCGCCAGCTGGTAGGGGCAGGGTTGCTTGTGTATATGTGGAGTGTGTGTGATGTGTGTGTGGTATCTGTTGAGAGAGCAGTGCTTTGTGGTAAAGGGGGAGGGTTGTGTCTTTATTCATTTCTGTATTCCCAGCACCTAATCTGGTACCAGGCACTTAGTGGGTGTTTGATAAAGATTTGTGGAATGAATGGAGAGATATTAATAAGTAATTGAGAGAATAAAGGCTTGAGGCAAAGCTGTATGTACATATGAAAACATGTATGTATATATTTTCAGATATATGTTGTGGGTGGGCATGGGGGTTGTAGGCACTGATTGCATCTGGAGATGACAGGCACAGCAATAACCCTACTGATTCCCTTCTTTTCTCTCCCCACTCTGCAACCTCATTTCTTCTTCTATTTGTTCCTTATTTCCTAGGTAGCTTTTATAATATCTTGTGCTCATTATACTTCGAGTACTTTCTCATCCAGTCAAGGAGGAAAGGCATGGGCTCCCATGGTTGGGTATTGGGGTGAGGAAGGAAGACTTTAAGGGGAGCAGGCCTGGCTCCTGCTCTCTGACACAACTCTAGGGGTCAGAATCCCCAGGCTTCCTTGGAGTTATAATCACTTTATCATCTGTTGTGAATGGTTCCCAACTCTTTCTGAGACTGAGGACTTTTTTTTTTTTTTTTTTTTTTTGAGATGGAGTCTCGCTCTGTGCCTAGGCTGGAGTGCGATGGCACGATCTCAGCTCACTGCAATCTCCACCTCCTGGGCTCAAGCGATTCTCCTGCCTCAGCCTCCTGAGTAGCTGGGATTACAGGCGCCCGCCACTATGTCCAGCTAATTTTTGTATTTTTAGTAGAGACGGGTTTTCACCATGTTGGTCAGGCTGGTCTCGAACTCCCGGCCTCAAGTGATCCGCCCGCATTGGCCTCTCAAAGTGCTGGGATTACAGGTGTGAGCCACTGCGCCTGGCCAACTGAGGACATTTTTAAAAGTCAGTAATTCACAGTACCCCTTCCAGTTATTATTTTTATATCTGTTTAGTGTGAGTATAAATGACTCAAAGCCACTGTGAATTTGGAAAAGCTTTTAGATGACTTTGATATTATATTTGCCATTGTGGTTAATAAAATATACATTAGAAAAATGGTTTTAGCTTTATATGCAAGATGTTTCAATCTGCCTTCAGATGTTTGGTGTGCATACGAATTTGTGTATCCTTTGGAATCCCTCCTGCTCTCCCAGGGTCTGGGCTTACTCATTGACGGAGAACCTCCATGCTAGGAAATTTGCATTTTCTCTCTCTCTCTCAGAGATCTGGCCACACGTAATTGAAGACAGAGCTCAGTGGGAGTGGCTGAGTCTGTCTACCGTTGCTGATTATCTGCCAAAGCTGGGATAGAGTAGACTGGGATCTTGCAGTGGTTTGCATGACAGTGCTTCCTCATGTCACCTGTGTGTGTGGAGAAGGGGCTAAAAAGGGATTAAAGAAGAAGGGATGTGCAGGCATGTGTGTGAGACCTCAGGTGGAGTGATGATGCAGGTGTTCAGGACAGAGTGTCAGGTGTATACTATTTGCTCAGGAGAAAAATAGGAAACTAGTCGTAATGTGTGTGCTTGCAGGGAGGTAGACACACGTGTCTCATGTGTTTTGTGATAGTGATTTAATTCAACAGGTAGTTGCCAAGGCCTCTTTTGTGCTAGGCTGTGTGTTGGGGGCTACAGTGTGGTCAGAGATGAATAAGATGACTCTGTGCTCTGGGAGTTGACTTTTTTTTTTTTTTTGAGACGGAGTTTCGCTCCTGTTGCCCAGGCTGGAGTGCAATGGCACAATCTTGGCTCACCACAACCTCTGCCTTCCGGGTTCAAGCAAAGTGATTCTCCTGCCTCAGCCTCCATAGTAGCTGGGATTATAGGCATGCACCACCACGCCTGGCTAATTTTGTATTTTTAGTAGAGATGGGGTTTCTCCATGTTGGTCAGGCTGGTCTTGAACTCCTGACCTCAGGTGATCCGCCTGCCTTGGCCTCCCAAAGTGTTGGGATTACAGGTGTAAGCCACCACACCCAGTCTGGGAGTTGACTATTAAATTGAGGAAGCAGATAAAAAAGCTGTCCAGTGTGTTGTTAAGAGATTCTGCCTCCAGACTGCCCAGGCAGTGACTTTATACTTAAACTCTCTTTGCCCCCATTTCCTTATCTATAAATGAAGATAATAATGGTACCTACTTTATAGAGTTGTTGTGAAAATTAAATTAGCTAGTTCATGTAAAGTGCTTAGAACAGTGCCTGGTACATAGAAAATGCTCAATACATAGTAGCAAAAAAACAGCACAATAGTGTGTGGCCCAGAGATGCAGTAAAGCAGTGTGGCTTAGTGATTAAACCACAGACTTCTGTGGCTCTGGTCTGGGTTTAAATCTGTCTTCTCTACTCCCTAGGCCCATGACATTAGGTGAGTACCTAACCTTTAGACTCATTTTTCTTTTTTTTTTTTTTTGAGACGGAGTCTCGCTGTCTCCAAGGCTGGAGTACAGTGGCGTGATCTTGCCTCACTGCAAGCTCTGCCTCCCGGGTTCACGCCATTCTCCTGCCTCGTCCTCCTGAGTAGCTGGGACTACAGGCGCCCGCCACCACACCTGGCTAATGTATTTTTAGTAGAGACGGGGTTTCACCATGTTAGCCAGGATGGTCTCGATCTCCTGACCTCGTGATCCACCCACCTCATGATCCGCCCACCTTGGCCTCCCAAAGTGCTGGGATTACAGGTGTGAGCCACCGCACCTGACCCATTTTTCTTTATGTATAAAATGGTGATACATGGCTGGGCACTTGAACCCAGGAGGTGGAGGTCGCAGTGAGCTGAGATCGCGCCACTGCACTCCAACCTGGCTGACACAGCAAGACTCTGTCTCAAAAAAAAAAAAAAAAATGGGGATACACATGCTTATCTCATAGGTTTGTTGTAAGAATTAAATTAGCATCTGCTGTATAAAATTAGTGATGAGTAAATGGTAGTTACTCTTACAAGCAAAGTGCAGGGGAGAGTTTCCAAGTTGAGGGGATCAGTAATAGGTTTATGAAAGGCATGCTGTTTACAATTGGCCTCGAACATTGATTAATAAACTTGGTTGGGGGAAGTCGTTTGAAGCAAAGGAGCTGATATGAGCAAAGGCATGGACACAGGGAAATGTACATCATATCTGTAGAGGGCACCAAGGGGTATAGGGAGAATAGTAGAACCTAAAGCAGGAGAAGCAGGTTGAGGCCAGGTCTTGATGATCTGGCTTAAATTATTTAACTCACATTGAATGCTAACTGGGTACAGTGTATTGGCAAATGGAGCCACAAAAGAATTTTGGGGAGGGAAATGGATAAGATGAGTTCATGTCCTTTGTAGGGACATGGATGAAGCTGGAAACCATCATTCTCAGCAAACTATCGCAAGGACAAAAAACCAAACACCGCATGTTCTCACTCATAGGTGGGAATTGAACAATGAGAACACTTGGACACAGGAAGGGGAACATCACACACCGGGGCCTGTTGTGGGGTGGGGGGAGTGGGGAGGGATAGCATTAGGAGATATACCTAATGTAAGTGACGAGTTATTTGGGTGCAGCACACCAGCATGGCACATGTATACATATGTAACTAACCTGCACATTGTGCACATGTACCCTAAAACTTAAAGTATAATTTTATATATATATTATATATATTATATATATATACTTTATATATATAATATATATTATATATATTATATATATATACTTTATATATATAATATATATTATATATATTATATATATATATAAAAGTGCTGTACTTAGGGAGCTGGGAGTGAAGTGCAGAGGGATTATAGAGTTATGTAGTGAAGAAATCAATTGGGAGATAGGTCACACAAGAGATATTGAGGCCCTGAGCCTTGGTTGTCTTGGGGAGTGGCAAGGAAGGGTAGTGGCAGTTGTGGTGGCAGTGATTGAAGGCCATTGCTGAGCCTGAAACTGTAGGATTCTTCCTCTTGGATGTGGAGTGGGAGGAGAGGGGTCAGAGATGATGAAGTTTCAGGTCTGCACGGTTGGAAGTTTGGTGGAGGGGTGAGAGGAGAGGGGAATGCCAGGAAGGGGAGCAGGCTTGGCACAATAGATCATGCTTGTGTTAAGTGGTGGTGCCTCTTGACATTCCAGGTGATTGGGAATGTGAGACCAGAGCTTTGAGTTGAAGCTGGGGCTGCAGATGGAGCTGTGTGTGTGTAGAGATAGTATTTGAAGCTCTGAGATCAGATGAAGTGGCCAAGGAGAAGGTGAGAAAAATTGAGCACAAGACTTCAGAGGGGCAGACAGCTGGGAGGAGGAGGAAGAGCAGTAGTGGCCGCAGACCCAGCAAAGGAGCAATTGGAACACAGAGAATTGGATCACAAGGTCGGGGGAGGAGAGAGGGGGGACTCGCAGCTATTGAGCATTTGCTGGGTGTCTTCGATGTTTTATCCCATTTAGTCCTCATGATCACCACATGAGAATAACTTTCTCCATTTTACAGAGGGTCAAAGAGAGGCTCAGAGATGTAAGAGCTGGGATCTGAGCCCTGAGCTGACTCAAGAGCCTGTTGCTCCCTACCTGTCTCCATGCTGCCTCCTGAAAGGAGAGCTGGTCAGTTGGTCTATTGATTACCTGCATTTGGTTTATTTGGGCTATTTAGGGACAAGGTTTTATCAGAAACCAGTAACTACCCTAAATTCCTTGGGCCACACCTTCTCCCTTAAGCTAGTGTGTGCTGAGGGTGTTCCTGTGTTTGTGGGTCAGCTGTCCCAGCACAGAGAAAGGTCGATGGAGATAGATCAGGAAAATCTCAGTTTTCCAAGTCCTTGGAGAGGAACCCATCCCAGAGAGCAGGGCATTATCCTATTAAAACACACAACTAACCCACATTTAACACATTTTAGATGGAAATCTCTTCACAATGTGTTACACACCTCTCTGCCTCCCTAAGCATAATAGCTGGAACTTGATTTAACTTTTTTCAGATGACTCAAGGTGGTCGTGATTCCCCTCAGGTATTATGCCAAA
Source organism: Homo sapiens (assembly GCF_000001405.40). Classification (NCBI taxonomy): domain Eukaryota; kingdom Metazoa; phylum Chordata; class Mammalia; order Primates; family Hominidae; genus Homo; species Homo sapiens. The sequence continues at coordinate 64,704,812 of NC_000011.10, read as the reverse complement.
CTGTCATGCAGTGGTTCTTTCACTGAGGTTTGTCCCTGCCTGAGATGATGCCTGACTGCTGTACTTCTGAATTCTTATATTAGCTTTTTCTAGTTTTTCTGTCTCCACCCGTAGGAGGAGCTGTCAGGTAGCAACTGACATCTCTCTCTCTCTCTCTCTCTCTCTCTCTCTCTCTCTCTCTCTCTCTCTGTGTGTGTGTGTGTGTGTGTGTGTGAACCTGGAAATCAGCATTCCTAAGTTAGGAATTGCTGTTAGAATTGTGTGTCACTAACAGTAGGTGGACTCTGGCTAGGGCCTGAGAGGTCCTATGAGAAAATGACAGTTCTTTTTTTTCGTTTTTGTAGAAGTAGCTTTATTAAGGATGCAGTTTTACAGCTCCATGACTCCTATAGAGCAAGGCTACCTTCTAGGCAGTGTGTGTAGAGTAGCCAGAAAATAACAATTCTTAATTGCCCGGGTGTTAGATGCATGTTTTGGCTGTTTAGAGTCTTTTCTTTTCCCTTTTGTTCTGGTCTTCATCACTGTCCTTGATCATCAATCTGCTGGAATCCTGACATGTTAGGCAAGACATACCATCTATGACACCATCTCTGTCTTCTGCTGGGGGAGTGAAGTCTTGTGTCTGAAAGTTAAGCAAATGAAATCACCTATGTTGGGTTATTCTGTCAGCTCTAACATCCAGTACCTGTGGTCCTGACAGTTTCTGTGAGTAGAAGTGGCTCCAGGTAGAATGGGACAGGCTTCTCTAGAGGGTGGTATAGACAGCAGTTGCTCTCAGACCCAGAGACAAGCTAGATGCCCCTACGTAAAGATGGCAAAATGGGTAAGAGCATAGGCTGCCATGGTTTGAACCTAGCTTTGCTACTTGTTAGCCGTGTGAACTTGGGCAGTTAACTTATCCACATTGTTCTTCAACGTCCTACTCTGTAAGATGGAAGTAATATCGTTGTAAGAACTAAGTGAATTAATATACGAAAATCCTTTACAATCCAGGCACTATTCTGAGTGATCAATAAATGGTACTATGGTTATTAGCTCTAGTGGTCAGGGAAGGCTTCAAGGAGGAGGTGGGACTTGGCCAGACCTTGAAGAAGGATGACTGAGTGTGAGTTATAGAGGTGGAAAGGAAAGGGCAGGGCTTTCCCACCAGGAGAGTAGCCTACATGAGGAATACAGGGGATGTGAATTGAGTGGGTCAGGACATGATGAAGAGACAAAGTTGGTTGTGTTTTATGGTAGATAAGATCAGAACCTTAGATTAGAATCAGTTTCTAGAAGTCTTGACTTCCAGGCTAAGCACGTAGCCCACTGGAAGTTTTCACCAGACAGATTTGGGTTCAAATTTTGACTGTCACTAACTAGCAGTGTGACCTTGGCCAAGTTACTCCTACTTTCTGAGTCTTGGTTTCTTCAGCTCTAAAAGGGAGTGATAGTAATATCCATTCACAATGTAGCAGTGGCGGGTAAAGGAACAATGGGCGTAAAGAGCCAGGCACACCCTAAGTGCTCAGTATATGCAAAGTGTTATTTTTATTATTCACTCAACAAACAGGAGAATGCCTTTTTTTCTGAGCCAGGAGCCATGTAAGCAGCTGGATATAGAGAGATGAATGAGGCATTGTCCTCACTTTTGGATATTTCACAGTCAAGTCAGGAAACAGACATGTTAACACAGATGCAATAGAGATTCAATAAGATAATTAATAATAGAATGTACATTTCTAGAGTTGGCACAAAAGAGGAAGGCTAGCTCTCCTTTGTTTAGAACAGAGACAAATGTGTATTGACCTGGATCTTTTTTTTTTAATTCTTTCTTTCTTTTTTTTTTTTTTTTTTTTTTTAGAGACCTGGGCTGAAGTGCAGTGGTGTGATCATAGCTCACTGTAACCTCAAACTCCTGGGCTCAAATGATCCTCTATTTCAACCTCCTGAGTAGCTGGGACTACAGGCGCACACCACCATGTCTGGCTAATTTATTTATTTTTCTTTTTTTTTTTTTCTAATTTTTTTTTTTTATTGATCATTCTTGGGTGTTTCTCGCAGAGGGGGATTTGGCAGGGTCACAGGACAATAGTGGAGGGAAGGTCAGCAGATAAACAAGTGAACAAAGGTCTCTGGTTTTCCTAGGCAGAGGACCCTGCGGCCTTCCGCAGTGTTTGTGTCCCTGGGTACTTGAGATTAGGGAGTGGTGATGACTCCCAAGGAGCATGCTGCCTTCAGGCATCTGTTTAACAAAGCACATCTTGCACCGCCCTTAATCCATTCAACCCTGAGTGGATACAGCACATGTTTCAGAGAGCACAGGGTTGGGGGTAAGGTCACCGATCAACAGGATCCCAAGGCAGAAGAATTTTTCTTAGTACAGAACAAAATGAAAAGTCTCCCATGTCTACCTCTTTCTACACAGACACGGCAACCATCCGATTTCTCAATCTTTTCCCCACCTTTCCCCCCTTTCTATTCTACAAAACCGCCATTGTCATCATGGCCCGTTCTCAATGAGCTGTTGGGTACACCTCCCAGACGGGTGGTGGCCGGGCAGAGGGGCTCCTCACTTCCCAGTAGGGGCGGCCGGGCAGAGGCGCCCCTCACCTCCCGGACGGGGCGGCTGGCCCGGCGGGGGGCTGACCCCTCCACCTCCCTCCCGGACGGGGCGGCTGGCCGGGTGGGGGGCTGACCCCCCCACCTACCTCCCGGACGGGCGGCTGGCCGGGCAGAGGGGCTCCTCACTTCCCAGTAGGGGCGGCAGGGCAGAGGCACCCCTCACCTCCCGGACGGGGCGGCTGGCCAGGCGGGGGGCTGACCCCCCCCACCTCCCTCCCGGACGGGGCAGCTGGCCGGGCGGGGGGCTGACCCCCCCACCTCCCTCCTGGACGGGGCGGCTGGCCGGGCGGGGGGCTGACCCCCCCCACCTCCCTCCCGGACAGAGCGGCTGGCCGGGCAGAGGGGCTCCTCACTTCCCAGTAGGGGCGGCCGGGCAGAGGCGCCCCTCACCTGCCGGACGGGGCGGCTGGCCGGACGGGGGGCTGATCCCCCCACTTCCCCCCCGGACGGGGCTTATTTATTTCTTTTTTTTAGGCAAAGTCTTCTCCGTCGTCCAGGCTGGAGTGCAGTGGTGTCATCATGGCTCACTGCAGCCTTGACCACCCAGGCTCAAGTGATTCTCCCACCTCAGTCTCCCAAGTAGCTGGGAGTACTGACACGAGCCATTACATCTGGCTAATTTTTGCGTTTGTTTGTAGAGACGGGTCTCCCTATGTTGCCCAGGCTGGTCTCAAACTCCTGGGCTCAAGTGATCCTCCCACCGTGGCTTCCCAAAGTGCTGGGATTATAGGCGCGAACCATTGTAGCTAGCCCTTGACTTGGGTCTTAAAGAAAGAGTAGATTTTCTTAGCCAGCTGTAGGTGAAGAGTATTTCAAGCACAAGAAATATTATGTGCAGAAACATAGCATATTATAGAAACAGGAAGAAGTTGGGGTGGCTGCAGCCTGGATTGTCGCAGGAAAAGAGGTTAGAGGAAGAAACAGTCAAATTTCGGATGGGATTTTCTGAGAAGATTCGACTTTAACCTACAGGCACTGAAAAGCTTTGAAGAGTTTTCAGCAGGGTCGTAACATGGTTGGAGTGGACCACTTTGTTGTGCTGCGGTGTATGAATTTCAGGGTGAAAAGAGTGGCGGTAGAGGGCATCATCTCCTAGGCTTATTAATGTTCCAAGGAGAGGGACTGATCAGGGCCTGGCCTCACCAGGGCCTGGCCTGGGCGGTGCCGGTGGAAATGGAGGGATGATAAGGATTTCTAGGAGTTTAGTTTTGTTTTTAGGGTTTTAGAAGGTGGAACCAGTAGGACCCGGTGATTGGCCTGACAAAAGGAGCAGGTGCTTTCTGGGTGCCTAACTTGATCAGGGAATTTGGTGGGGTGAGGAGAGGGTTATGAGGCCCACCCTAGACATATTGAATGTGAGAAGCCCATGAGACACTCAGAGACAGCGGCTCTAAAGACAGATGGGTACATAGGTCAAGAGCACAGGAGAGAGGTTTGTATCAGAAACACTGAAAGGTTCTCATCACAGCGGTATTTAGTAAGGCGTATCTGTTACCTCTGCCAAGAGGGTCAGGCTGGGGATGGGTAGGGAGACTGACCAAGAGGAAGCTATTGCAGGAAACCAGGCACAAGGAGTGAGGCCAGAGGCTACGATGACCTAGGATTGCAGTGGAGAAGGGCAAAAGTGATTCTGTGCTCCTGGGTGTGTTTTCTTCTCTGTACAGAGTCGATAGATAACACCGAGCTCTGTGTTGCAGTGAGGCTGATGTGTGATATTGCATGTGAGGGTCAGTACGGTGCCCAGCACATGGCTAACTAATGGAATCTCTGGAACCTATGAGGGCAGTGTGGGGCATGTAGTGGGAGCTCAGGCAGCACTGGTTGAAAGCAGGGGCTTTGCTAAGCACAGGGGAATAAGCACTTGGTTGTAGGAGTGGAGGTGTCGAGAATGGCTTCAGTGGTGGAGTTTAGATGTCAGAGAGTTGGACGAGCAATTGCACTGCTGGGTGGACACATGGTGATACAGGACTGGTACTCAGGGAGGAGGCCGGGACTACCCATGGTTTGGGAGTCTCTGAGCACGAAAATGAGCCATCACTGAGGAGAGCGAGGAGAAGTAAGAGGAATGTGGAGGGCAGGGGCCAACCCTGAAGGGGACTGAGGTGGCAGGTGAGGGGCATAGGTGAATCAGCAGAAAGCAAAGAGCAGCAGAGGAAGAGAGATATGTGAGTTTCTAGGTGCTGTCTCTCAAAAGCCAGAAACAAACCAAGCCTGGTTGTTTCACCTTCCTGAGCATAGCATGACGTACATTTCTGGCAGGTGGAAATACTTTTTGAAATACCTACCATGTTGGATTATCTAGAAATCACCATGCCTCCTTATTTGCACAGGTGCTGGTGAGACAATTGTGCTGACTGACCAGGGTCTTAGCATACTGGGACCAAAGAAATCCTGGCACAGCAGTCTTCACGAGAGCCAAAGGGTTTCCTGAGGGCCCCTTTATTAGCCAGCTCCCCCCATAAATGAAATGTGATTCAGTTTACTTAAGAAAACTATTGCTGGGCACTGTGGCTCATGCCTGTAATCCCAGCACTTTGGGAGGCCGAGGCGGGCAGATCACCTGAGGTTGGGAGTTCGAGACTAGCCTGACTAACATGGAGAAACCCCATCTCTACTGAAAATACAAAAAGTAGCCGGGTGTGGTAGCGCATGCCGGAGGCTGAGGCAGGAGAATCACTTGAACCCGGGAGGTGGAGGTTGCGGTGAGCTGAGATCGCACCATTTCACTCCAGCCTGGGCAACAAGAGCAAGACTCCATCTCAAAAAAAAAAAAAAAAAAAAAAGAAAACTATTAGACATGTATCTTTTAGGTGATGCAGCTGTCAGGTAGAAGCAGCTCTGTGTTGTAGAGGAGTGTGTTTGTAACACATGTTGACATGGAAAGACTGTGTATGTAGGTTTAGGAAATGGGAGATAAAGAGCTGTGTTCATCGCTGGCTGTATGGCTTTAGCCACTGGAGTCACTGTGGGGTGGTGGTGTGTGTGTCTAGTGTTATGTAGTAGATTACTGTGTAGGTATTGGTGCTTGCATTCAGCCTGTGTATGTGCGTGGATTATGGGAGTGGTATAAGGTATGACAAATGACTATGTTTGTTTTCAGAGTATAGCTACCTCTCTATGAGCGAATGAACAGATATCACCAAATGGGGTTGGAGGTAGGAGGAGATAATGTGTGCATGCGTGAGTGTGAACTGGATAGCTGTGTGTACATAAGTGTGTATCCTGGGGCCTGCATATGCAAGTATGTGTTTCCCCACTGGGTTTGTGTGTTTGTAGATTGTGCTGTTTTCCCCCTCCTGCCTATTGCTTCATCTAAAGGCTCCCAGGAGGTGGGCACATGGCAAATGTTTGGAGCTGGGGGCACCTCCATCCTCTTACAAAGAAGATCAGAGCCCAACCTGCTTGAGGAGTTGTAGCTTAGTTGAAGGAATTGTCTCCATCTTCTCGTTGTTCCATCTTCTCCCTTGACCCATTTGGTGAGCTCCAAGGCCAGATCCAGGCAGGGCCCTAATAGGTGAGGTCTGCCTATCCAAAGGATGTGGCATGGTCTAGGTCTGGGCCCAGTGTGGCCCACTGAATTTGGACTCTCTTCCCCCACTGGCATGGCCATCCAGCCTGGGGGCCCTTGGCCTCATCCAGATGTTAAGAAGACATTTGTCCTAGAATCAGAATCAGAGTCAGAAGAGGCCTCAGAAACTATCCAGTCCACCCCTCTCATTTTGCAGAAGAGGCAGTAGGGACTCAGAGAGGTTAAGTGAATAGGATGAAAGTCACACAGTGCTGTGTGGCAGAATCATGTTTGTTCTCTCTGTGTCTTGATGTCTTTTCACCCCTGGGAGGGTCAGGGGCCGTAGGTGGTTGGGTCCTGTGTGCAGGGGCTTTATATGTGAATTGTGTGAGACAGTGTGTGTCACTGGATTGCTAAGTGCCTATGTGTGTCAGTGTGTCACTGAGCATGAGTGTGTCTCTAGTGAACCCTGTGAGACAATTAGTGGTGTGAGTGTGTCCCCATCTGTCTGTGAGATGCAATGGAATGCAGGGTAGGAGCCTCTCTGGGGAAGTTGAGAAGCCTGACTGCCACTCCTGGCCCTGCCTCAGATTCTCTGTGTGACCTTGAGTGGTTACTTCCCTGTCCTGGGCCTCGGTTTCCTGAAATGTTACTTGAGGGTTGGGTGTGATGGGTACTGGCTGACTGTGTGTGAGGTTCTGACTCAGGGAGCAGCTCTGTGTCTGCCTCATCCCCAACATAGCTGTTTCTTGAGATTTGGGCCTTCCACATTGGGTGACTCATGTCAGGGCCTGGGTGGGCTTGGACTCCTCTCTCCCCTTGGAGCCCCTGTCCGTGGTACCTTTGCTAACAGCCCTCCTTTTTCTTCTCTCTCTGCCTCCGTCTTCTCCGAACCTCGCTGGCTGCAGAGGAGCACCCCATGGAAGGTGAGTGAAGCCTCTCTGTCACTGGGGTAGTGGATCTGTTGCCATGGGGATCCTACATGAGGGACTGTCGTTGGCTACCCAAGGACTCCCTTTCCTGCCATGTTTAGGGCCTCTCCGGAGAAGGATGTCTGGGGTCCTCCCTTGGCTGCCTTGCCCCACTCTCTTGCGTCCCCTCTTCATGAGTTTCGGGGGAGCTGCTGACTGGCCTTTCTTCTTCCTTTCCCTCTCCACGCTGGAGAGGGAAAGGGAAACTTAGGGAAGAGATGAGCGGTGGGGGTGGAGGGATGGGGCTGACAGGATTCCGAAGTGCCCAGAAGTGAGTGGGTAGACAACGTTTAGCCCAGCCTAAGTTAGGAAGCTTAGAAAGGCAATTTTCCAGATGCTGGGGCAGGCTGGGGTGGGCTGTTGCCCCAGAAACCTGTGCTTGGGGAAAATCTGCCCTGGAATCTGGTGCCACTGTGCAGGGCTCAGGGGACTGGAGGGTGGTGGAGTGCACTGGCAGAGTAGGGGGTTGGAGGTGTATAGTGGGAGCAGCTTCTCTGCCCCACTGTGACCAGCACTTGCCACTTGCGGCAGGCCCCTAGCTGCTGCCCCACAGGTTGCTAGGTAGGGGTGGGCTGCTTCTTCCTTCATCCAGGTCGGAGGGCAAGGGTGGGGTGTGTGCCTCTCTCTCAGGTCTCTCTGTATGTTCTTTCTTTATCTCCTGTTTTGTTGGCCTCTTCTCCCTCTCCAGTTTCTGTCTTTACCTCCTTTTCTCCAAGACTCTGTCCCTGGACCATGTGTCTCTCCTTCCCCAGGCTCTCTCTGGGTTTCTGTCATTCTCTGAATCTTTCTCTTGCAATTTGGCTTTCCCTGTTTCTTCTCCTCCTCTGGGATGGACTGAGAGCAGGAAGAAGGTAGTCCTGGCTTGAAGGCTGTGTTGAAGATGAGCTCACATAGCTACCATGAAGAAGGCAGCAGAGCAGGCATGAGGTGGCATCCCAGTCCCTTCTCCTGGGAAGGTGGAGTGGGAGGGCAAGGGCGTCCCTGGGGAGGAGGAGAGGAAAGTGCCAGGGATGCAGTAGTCCTGGGAAAGAAAGGCAGCAAGAGGCTCTTGGCCTGAGTGTGGGGCTGGAACCCATTTTTCCTCGTGATGTCCATGGTCTGACTTGTCTCTCTTGGATGTCTCTTTTCCCTGGGGGTCCTCAGGTCCCCAGGGCCCAGCAGGCAGGTGTGTGTGTGTGTGTGTGTGTGTGTGTGTGTGTGTATGTATGTATGTGTGGGTATGTATGTCTGCATACACATACATTTATACAACTCTGCTGGTCTGTGTGTCTGTGTGCACGCCTGAGGATATATGCTGTGTACACGTAACATGGTTTTGTGTCTGAGTGCATGGGTGTGCTGTGCGCCTCCATCGATGCATATGTGGTGTGGCCCACATTTCTGTATGCCTATGTAGAGCATCAGCATCTTTGTGTGTCTGCATCTGTGTTTGCATCTCCGTGTGTCAGTGTTTACCTCTGCGTGTGTGTCACAGAGAGAGTCTGCGTGTCTGGGTGGACGCAGCCTTCTGAGGGCTGGAGATAAGATTTAGTGTTGATGTGACTTTTACTTGCTCTTGATGTCATGTCTCCTCCGGAACAAAGGGTGAGATGGAGGGAGGAAGAGAGAAAGGGAAAAAAGGGTGGAGGAGAGAAAAAAGGAGGGAGCAGAGAGATGGAGGAAGGAGAGGGGGTAAGTGAAGGGTGGGAAGAGAAAGACTCAAGCCTCAAGCTGTAGGGGGTGGGGCAGGAACGGGGAACAGCTTGGCCAAAAGAAGAAAGGCAGGGGGGCACTTGGGAAGAAGGAGTCTGGTGGGAGTAGGGAAGAGGAAAGGGGCTGATAGACAGGAACAAGAAGGGAAGCTGGGCTTTGGGGACCCATGGGGAAGGAGGCCTGTGGACGCCACCTCGCCATTTCTTTGGGTGGCATGGTGGTCTGCTGGTTTAGATGTGGCACTGTGGATGCCTGCATGTCAGTGGCTGTGCAGGGCTGTGTATTGGAGGCTGTGTGTGTGTGTGTGCGCGTGTGTGTATACACACCTAGGAGTCTGACACATCTCTGTGTCACTCTGAGACATGTCTGTGTGCCTGCTTGTGTGTCTCTTAATTTGGTCACCTATCACCATCTTTATTTCGATGGTGGTTCTCTCTGGGGTTTCAGTAGGAGAGTTAGGGGATGAGACTGAAGATGGGGAGGTGGGTTTAGCAGGTGGTGGTTCCACGTGGCTGGGCTGGCGGCCTCCTCTGTGGCACTGTGCTCTGGACCCTGCAGCCCTCCTTATATCTCTAAGGAGTCCTCTGTACCTTCGCCTTCTTCCCACTTGACACTGTGCCTGAGGCCTAGCTTTCTCCAGGAACCCCAAGATCCTGCTCTGCACCCCTGCCGAACACCTCCTTTTTCCTCCCAGCCTCTAGTGGCAGGGCAAAGAGACCCAGAAGTAGCCAGATAAAGTGCCCTAGGAAGGGACCCATGGCAATGCCATCCATCATTGCCAGTCTCTTTTCCAGCAGTGGGAGGAGGGGCTGATGCCACAGGTGGATGTGGGGAAGTGAATACCCCAGTGGGGCTGGGGGCCAGGAGGAGGGAGCAGAGATTTCAGATTAGTGGGGAGACAGACTTTAGGGAGAAAACCCTGGGGCCAGCTGGGACTGAGCCAGGGGTAGACAGGAAGGGAACCAGCCTCCCCTTCACCAAGATGGCTGGTGCTGTCACGCCTGAGGGAGCTGAGCAGCTGGTTGCCGTGGTGACAGAGGGAGACTGCCGAATGCTAACGAGGCTGGCGAGGAGCTGGGCAGTGGAAGGGTCTGGGAGAGGGAGATGTGGCTTCCTCCAGCAGCAGTCAGGCCTGTGGGAGACAGAGGGTGGGTTCACAGGGCACCTGGCTCCTGGGCTGGGGGTGGGCAGAGACCTGGATTCTCAAGGGTGGGATCCTGAGAGCAAGGCTGCTTCTGACCGGGAGAGTCGGATGTGGGTTGAGGGCTCTGGGTCTGGGTCCTGGGTTTAGGGGGTTTGGAAGGAGATGCTGGTAGTTTTTGGGGAAAGGGTTGGTGGCAGAGTAGGAGGGTATTCAGAGTAAGGAATGAGGAGACTCGGTTCAAATGCTTGGGTCCTTACCTGTGTGATGGATAAAAACCTACATCCTCCCAAGAGCTGTTCAGTCCTGAGGCTGCCCTCAGCGGCTGTGGCCTCCTCCTCCAAGTGGCCTCAGACTCAGAGGTGGGGAGAAACCAGTGCCACCCTAGAGACATGGGGCAAAGAGGGCAATGTGAACCATCTGCCACGGGGTCCAGGCCTTTGGCCCCTGGCCATGTCCTTCCTGTCCTCCTCACTGCCTTTCCTCTTAGAATCCAGGCATCCTGGCCCCCAGCTTCGTCTCAGAAATACTTGTAACTCTTTAACCTTGCTACTTCCATCCTGGCCCCAGCTTTCTATCCCTAGGGTTCACATCTCATTGCCACAGCAGTGGGGCTGGTTTCCAAGGGTGACAGTGGCACTGCAGGGCTGTTCCCCTTCCTACCCTCTTGGCCAGACACCACAGGGGAGTGAGTGGGGCTGGGGGGGCTCTGAGGTTTGGTGGAGCTGGCTGGCCATCTCAGGAAGCCCTGGGGTCTCAGCCCAGCTGTGGGGCCTGGTGCTGCCAGCCTCTCTAGGAGAGAGCTTTCCTTGGCTGGTGCCTGTTGGGGACAAGGGTACTGATCCAGTGGGCCAGATTCCTTCCCACTAAGGCTGGGGAGGGGTACTTTGGGTTAGGGCTGACAAGGCTGTCTCAAGGGGCCAGTGTAATCCTGGATGGAAATCCTAGCTGGTCTTCCTATCAGTCCATTTTCTATTTTCAAAATCCAGCTTTTGGGTCATTTGAGAGAGGTCCTGGTCAGAGAAAGGGGGTCTGTAATTTATGAATGATGTACTTGGACCTTTCAGAGAGCTGGGCTTCCTCCCATAGGGCTCGGCTGTCCTCTTTGGACCTTGCTGTCTGAGAGCTCTGACCCCAGTCTCTCAGTGTCTCTGTAGATTCTACCTTCTCCTACCTGCTTCCTCTCTAATTTTGTCCTCTTGAACCCCAGTTTCCTCTTAGAACCCAGGTGTGCAGGGTCCCTACTACCCCTACAGAGGTTATTGGGAAGGGTAGCTGGGAGGATTAGAACCCAACAGGTGTCCTTCCAAACCCCGCTTTAGTGGGGGATGCTTTTAGGCCCAGGTTCTTTATATCCCCCCATCTTTCCCCCTTTTCTACCAGCATCCTAGGGGTAACTGGGATTAGGGGTGTTGGGGGGTTGGAGGCCCCCTTGCCCGCTTAATCCCATGCTAACAGGACACTCTCTCTCTCTCCAGGTGGCTTTGATTTTTGTGTCGTGTTTTATTTTCTCCTCCATCTGAATCGTTTTTCTCGTTGACTGTTTTTTTTTCTCTCCGCCTCCCGGAAGAAAAAAAAAAAGAAAAAAAGAAAAAGGAAAAAGCAACCCTCCTAGCCTAATGCTTCTCCTCCTTTTCCTTTTTTTTTTTCCGGCAAGAAGAAAAAAAGAAACCAAAATCTCCTCTCCCCGCTGCAGTGCCCCCCGCCCCCTCCTTCCTCCAGTTCTGCCTGTACCCCTCTCACCCTCTCTGACGCCCCTAATCTCTCTTTCTCTCTTCCCCTGTTGTGCCCTCCACCCGCTGTTTCGGCATCGGGCCCCTCTCCTCAGCTCCTGGGCTGGGGCTCCCCCCGATGTCTGTCACAAGTTAAAAAAGGTTTTTAAATTGTGGCAGCAAAAGCTTTTTTCTCCCTTCTCTCTGGCTGATTTTGATGACTCGTGTTTTCTTTGTTTCTTTCCCCTTTTCTTTCTTTTTTCTTCTTCTTTTTTTCTTTCTTTCTTTCTCTCCTTCCCCTTTCCAAGGTCCGGCTCACCTGACGTTAAACAGCGAAGGTATGGTTTGAAGTTTTGGTTTGGTTTGGATTGGATTGCCCCCAACCTGCGCCTGGATTTTCTGTTCTTCTCCCTGTCCTTCCCCTGTCCCCTTCCCCTCCTCCACCTGTCCTGACACCTTCCTTCCTTTCCTACCCGCTTCCTTTGCCATTTCTTAATTTTATTTGGGGGGTGCTGGGGTGGGGGTGGGGGCTTGCCCTTGTCTGTGTGCTCCCCTCTCCCTCACCCACCCTGAAGCACTCCATCCACCCACATCTCACCTTGGTTTCTGACATCAAGAGATGTTTGAACTCCTGCCGTTGTCTCCAGTCACCCTTTTTTTGCGTTTTCCTGGTAGTGTATCTTGCTTTTTTTTCTTTCTCATGGTGGTGTTTGATTTCCTTCCACTCATTCTGATCATTCTTTCTTTTCTATGGACCTAAGTAACAAGAGAAAAGCATGGGCTGGAGAAAGAGGGTCTTAGGCAGTCTCATCACCCTCACCTTGCTACTGTGGGAGGCCCCCATCCATGACGAGAAGGGAAATGGGAGTAGAGGTGTAGGGTCTCTCCGTTTCCACAGTGTGCGCTCCCAACCCCCTGCCCACCCGCACGCCTTCACCCTTGTATCTTTTGAATGTCTCTTAACCCTGTTTGACAGATGACGACGTTGAGGACCAGAGAGATGAAATGACTTGTTAGTGATTCCACAACCCTTATTGGTGGTATGGTTGGGACTAGCCATTTAATTTTAGCACTCCTTTGACTAAGTGCCTACCATCTTTGAGAGCCCTGGTGTTAAGCAAACCTGGAGACAGAACTCAGGAGTCCTGTCTGAGCTCCTCCAGCTCTGGCCTCCTCTAGCCCTCTGCTGTCACTGATTCTCTCTGAGCTCAGGGTTTTGGCCTTTCAGACCCTTTGGCACTGTTGGACCTGCCCAATTCAGCCCTCTGTGGGGGGGTCATCTTACAGAGGAACAGAGTGGGGTCCTTAGCCGGTAGGCAGGACCAAGATTGGGCTGCAGGGAGAAACTCATATAGATATGAAATTTGGGATGGATTTAGGTCTGGGGAGGTAGAGGCCTTGGAGTCTTGCAGGGATGTGGAATTATGGCAAGAAGTGTGGGGAAAGAGGAAGTCCCAAATGGAGAGCTAGGAGTAGGAACCCTGGTTGGTTCACTCACATCCTTCTTGCCTCTCAGTGCCTGGTTCTATGGGTGCTGGCTGTGGCTCCCCTTTGTCATAAGTGAAGGCCCTCCCAAAGGATCTCAGAAAGCCCCCCTGGAAAGTTCCACAGCTCAAGTATTATTCTAGTTCAAGTTTGGGGATTTGCAACTGGGGTTGAAGTAAGAGCCCATTTAGAGACTTTTCCCCTTCATCACTGAGTTTTCTCATCCTGAAGCCATCCTGTGGATCTGGCAGTAGGGCTGGGTACCTGGAAGCCAGGTGCTGAGTATATAGGTTCACTGGAGCGGGGAGAGGTGGGGTGAAGATTCGAGCTGGCCTGGAACCCAGACATGGTAACATGTGCCCACCGGGGCATTTGGACTGAGGCCTAAGTGCTGCTGATGAGTGGGGTGGTAGGGAGTGAGAAATAACTCCTGAGAAAGGGCTTGCCCACATCCAGGCTGAGCTCCAGGGAGGATCTCCTTTGACTTGCACAGCCCTTTTGTAGGCACAATGGTGGGATGAAGAACAGACAGGAATTACAGGAAGCCCCTGGAAATCTCTGGGAAGCTCCAGGGTCTAACTGGCAAAGAAGTGGGCAAGGGTGAGCTTCCGAGCACTCACTGTGGTGAATGAAGCAGGTGTGGATGGCCTCAAGGTGTAGTGAGAGCCTCAAGGACAGGAAAGAACAGAAGAGGAGCTTGGGATATAAATCTGGAGAAGTTTCTGGAGGAGGGGGTGTCTGCGTCAGGCTTTTGAACGAGTTGGGAAGTGTGAACTTAACCCAGCATAAAGGGTGTGAGCAAAGGTGCAGAGTGGTGGGGAGAATGTGCCTCATGGAGGAGGCAAGGAGAATGAGCGAGCAGTTGAAAGGGGGAACTGGGGGCCTCCAGTGCTGAGGGCTGGCCTGTTTGCCTGCTGTGGGGAAGGAGGGATCCTGCACTCATGGTGAGGCCTCTGTTCCTCTGCCCAGTCTCCCCACCCCAGGCAAAGAGTGGAAGTCGGTGATCATGAATCTGATGGGGTCTGTGGGGCTGATCGCCCTCGGTTTGTCAAGCGGCTCCTTCCTTAGAGGTCTTGAAGGCAAGGGAGTCCCCAGAAAAGCCTCTCCTCCCCTGTCCGTGCAAGCAGCACCTCCACCCTGGAGAGGGCCCTTCATCCCCTCAAGGCTGGGGAGGGACTGGCTCGGTACCCCCTGTGCCTGACTCCCCAATTCTGCTTCTCCAGTAGGGTCCTTACTGTTCTCCGAGGGGGGGGCCGGGAGAGGAGGAGCCGGCGATGTGCACCAGCCAACAAAAGGTCAGTGACCCCCATGGTCCCCAGAGAGCCCAGCCCTCATCCTGCTGCAGGCTAACTGTGCTTCCTGGGGGGAAGCCAAGTCAACGCAGGCACATCCCCTTGTCCTCTCTGAGGCCTGTGGGAAGTGATGGGTCTGCTCCCCGAGTGCCATTCCAAAGGCCCCATTAGCTGCCCTGATGTGAAGGGCCACAAACCTCCATTTCTTTCGCAAAGCCCAGTTGTTCTGATGACTTCTTTCTAGAACACAGGTATCTTTTTATGTGGCAGTTGTTCAGGCTGATCCCTAGGAAGTATCTGTTTCTTTGTTAAGGCAACCAGGCAGCACGGCAACCCCAATTTAACCATCAAATTCTGGAAGCCTGCTAGGTGCCCAGTCCAGGGAAATTCTGATTGGGAGCTGTGGCCAGCACAGGGCCTTTAAGCCTGCTTGGGGGCTCTAGCTCCTTTTTCTGTACTGAGGCTGCCTTTCTTAAGACAATCTCTTTCCTAAGAAGTTTACAAGCCACTATAACAAGTCCTCAAGGAACTCCAGTGGGTGCCAAGCACTGGGGCTATGGAGTCCCATTTCCATTCTTTAGTCTGCTCTTCTGTTTGCCTGGATTTCCGCCATCCTTGTCCTCTCCCCAATGACTTGGTGTGTCTCTTTCGTCTGACTCTTGAAAAAGCAGCCAGGCCATGCACACTGGAAGTCTCCTTGAACACCCCAGGTGAACCTGGTCACTTCCACACTTTGTCCACACTTCCACTAGAAGGCTCATCACACTGTATCATAACTGTCACTTTACCTGTTTGCTTCCCCAACTAGACCAAGCTCCTTGAGGCCAGGGATTGGATATTTTTGTTCCTATGCCCCCGGTGCTTCACACAGCTCTTGGCACATAAGTAGCTGTGTGCTCAGCAAATTTATTTTATATGAGCCAATGGGCTCTGTTACTAAGGGGCTGATTGATGTTCTAACACCTACAATAAAGTGTGGTCCATGCAAAGTACATGAAAAGTGCAGACTCTTTTCAGAGGAGTTAATTTATTCATTGAGGCCAGGCACGGTGGCTCATGCCTGTAATCCCAGCACTATGAGAGGCCGAGGTGGGAGGATCACTTGAGGCCAGGAGTTCAAAACCAGCCTGGCAACATGGTGAGACTCCATTAAAAAAAAAAAAATCATTGAGAAAGAGAGGGAGACACAGAGAGAGGCAGGACACTAGCAGAAAGTTACCAACTGGCATGAGTCGTTTATTTGTGGGATGCTTTATGGTTGAGGAAGCTGGACCCCACCCTTTCTCTTTCTGAGGTGCCCACAGCAGCCTGTGCAGTTCCTGATGATCAGCTCCATTTTCCAGACGGGGAAGCTGGGACTTAGAGCCCAGCTTTGTGACCAGCGAAGGTCACAAAGCTGGTGGTGGAGCCAGCACTAGCGCCCAGGTCTTCTTTCTCACATCACATTTCCTCTCCAGGGAGCAGTACAAGATGTTATTAGGCAGTAAGTGCCAAGTGAGCAGAACAGACAGCTGTAGAGCTCGAGAGTAGGGAGGGCGGAGGGGGGCGCTGGAGACCTTCCCAGAGGAGGTCTGGGAGCTGGGCCTGGAAAGAAGGCAGCTGCTTTGTCCCTCATGCATGGTTCTCAGAAATGCAGGACCACAACAACTAGTCTCTAGCCACATTCACTGGGGACACTTGTAGGGCTACAGACTCCCCAACTGTGGGAGATAAACGAGCATCAGCTATTATCTTCCTTTCTCGGTCCGGAGCAATTAGGGGCGGTAATTGTGCAAGCGCTGCTGGGAGTTGTAGTTCCCAGTCGCGCCAGACCGGCGAGATAGGGGAGAGCGCCCCCTGGTGCTTCAGGGCTTGTTCAGCCCAGATCTTGTTTGTGCTCTGCTGAGCCCCTCCGCCGCCCCTACAGGCTCACCCCAGTAGAATCCCTCCACCAGTCCCTTGAAGTCATGCTCCGACCTCCCCTACTCAGGTTCTCTCTCTCTCTCCTCACCATCTTCGGGTTTTCTTTCCACACTTGCTCATCTCTTTTTCTGTCCCTCTTCTCGAAGGCTTTCAGGTTCTCTTTGGCTGCTCCTCAGGCCTCTTGGCGTCTCTGGGCTGACCCAGGTCTCCGGTGGTAAAGGGACTGGAGCCCGTGGAGGCGCAGGCTCCAGAGTAGCTAGCTTTGCCACCCACCCCAGGAGACTGGAGGCAGGGCTGAGGAGTCGAGAAATGGCCTCGTTTCTCCACTTGGCCTTGGCAGCCACTGTCCAGCCCCAGACCCGCCTCTTTCCTTTTTGCTGGCCTCTTGTTCTGTCCCAATCACTTACTCACATGGTTGCCTTATTCTTTTCTTTCTTTCTGTTTGACTCTCTTTAATGATACTTTCTTTGACTGCAGTGAAGGTGAGGGAGTGGGAGGAATGGCTTCTGGGTGGGACTAGTACATGTGGCAAAACCAAGGTCAAACATTCCTTTTTCTGGTCCTTGAGCCCCCTGGTTCTCCTAGTGCCTGGGCAGCAGGCTTCGTTGCTATGGAAACAGCAAGGCCCCAGAAAGCCTTGGCTTCTGTTCCCTAGAGGTCCCTGTCCACTTTCGTTGCTGGCTCTCTTCCCATCTCCTGTACCTGTTCCCGCAGGGCTTGCTCCTTTTCTTTATCCAGATAGCCGCGCTCATCCCTTCTTGCTCCCTCACAGCCCTGAGCCGTCTTCATTTCTTGTCTGTCTCTGCGATGGTTCTCCTTTTCCTGGCTCTGCCCCACCTCCCTCCTTCCCTCCTCCTTGCCACTCTTCCCCGCCTTACCCTCTTGTCTCTGCTGGGGTCCTCACTTTTGCTTTCTGGCCCTCCCCGCTGGTACCATAAGTAGACAGAGGAAGGGATTCAGACTGTCCCGATGTTGCCCAGGCCCCCACCAGCCTTGCTGCCCTGTGGCCTCAGGAAACCGGGCCTTGCCAGCTGCAGTGAGTGCTGTGCCAGGCTCTGGGGCAGCAGCTGGTGCCTTGGCATCCGGAGGCAGTGAGGACAGAGGCTGTGGGCAGCCTGCCTAGAGAGAGAGAAGCAGGCTGTGTGTGGAGGGGAGGGGATCTGCAGAATCTGCACTCCGAAACTCCCCCCCCGCCACCACCCCACTGCCTCAACACATAGCACTGCTGCTGAGCCCTGCCTCCACCAGGGGAAGGCAAGTGCTTCCTGGTGGCCCTGGATGCACCCTGGCATTGTGCCTGTTCTTGCTTGGGCATTGGGAGCATCTATTGAGAATTCCTGCATTTGGTTAGCTCGGCCTCTTCATAAAGACCCTCACGGCCAGTGTTGTTTGCCCTGCACCTGTCCAGTGAGGTAGGCAGGGCCAGCTGTGTGCCACTGCTTAATGGCCAGAAGTGAGCCACTGGTAGAGCCCAGGTCCTCTGGTTTGTCCTGACTTCATATCCGGTTCTCTTCTCTCTGCTTGCACTCTGGCTTGTGCTGGTGTTGGACAGAAACCTCAACTTCTTGGTACTACTGAGTCATTGTCTTCTCACTTGTTACCAACTTACAGAATGCTGACAATCCCTCAGCCTCTCCCAGTAGTTTTTGCTTCTGCTTAAAAAGTGCCAGTGGAAGGGCCCTGTGCCGGGTGCCTATGGACATACATGCACACACACAGACATGCACACACACAAGGCCCAGGCCTGCTCTTGCCCTGTTACTCTCTGGGCACACACAGGTCACATCCAGGCACTCTTTGCCCTCCATCTTGGGCCTGTCTGCGCCGTCCTTGGCTTGGAGTAGGGAGCTGGGGGTGGAGATGATAGCTGGGGCTGTGGCCACCCATGTGAGCTCTGCCTGGTGGCCTGTTGCTATCCGGTGCATATCCCTGTCACCTGCATCGCCTTCGTGTGTGTCTTCCTGGCCCTCCCCACATTCCCCCACCTCCCATTCTCCTCATCTGCTCCTTGCTGCACAACAGGCCTATTGGTCCCATCCCATATGGTGAGGCTGAAACTGTCTCCAGGCACTGAGATTGGCCATCGCTGGAGGAGGGGCAGGAAGGGAGGTGGGCTGTGCGTAGGAGACCCTTGAGGACCCTGCCATACGGGAGGAGCACCCAGGGAGAAGTAAGGCAGAGCCTCTTATTTCCCTTCTATGTCCCTTTGTTAAGGGGAGTGGCCGATGGGAAGGTTGGTGGGGAGGAGACAGTGAGCACCCTCCGCTCTGCTGGGTCCTGTGGCAGAGTAATTGTCAGCTGTCAGTGTGGGAGCCACTTAGCAGCCTCCTGGTTTGGAAATGGACACAGGGGACATTGACTTTTGACAGCAGAGACGGCAGGGTCCTGAGAGGATGGTTGACAGGCCGAGGGAGGGAAAGGGGCCTAAAGCTACAGGTTGGGACCTCTGGGCTCCTGGTGCCCAGGACCAGTGCCTGCGTTGCTGGAGGGGAGAGGGAAGCACTGGTGTACCCTGCCCCATTCAGCCTTCTCCCGTTTCCCCACACCACGGCATCCAGGCAAGGAGGAGTTTGTGGCGACCTTCAAAGGCAATGAGTTCTTCTGCTACGACCTGTCACACAACCCCATCCAGAGCAGCACTGATGAGATCACACTGGCCTTCCGCACCCTGCAACGCAACGGCCTGATGCTGCATACAGGCAAGTCGGCCGACTACGTCAACCTGTCCCTCAAGTCTGGGGCTGTCTGGCTGGTCATCAACCTAGGCTCAGGTGCCTTCGAGGCCCTTGTGGAACCCGTCAATGGCAAGTTCAACGACAACGCCTGGCACGACGTCCGGGTCACCCGAAACCTGCGCCAGGTAGGAGGAGTGAGAAGAAGGCCAGGGATTAGCTATACCTGGGGTAGAATGGGGGTTGGGAGAGGGGGCTGCCGGGAGCTTGTGGTGGAGGGATCAGGGCTGGGCAGTGAGGTGTGGTTCTGGAGAAGAACAGGAGTTGGGGCTGTGAGGGTCCCGACATAAGGCTGCAGTGGCTGGCAGGCTTCAGAGACCAGGGAGCTGAGCTGAGGAGGCTCCAGAACTGTCCCTGGGCAGGAACCTGAGGGCAGGGGAAGGACTGGGCTCAGATTGTTGGGAGCAGCTGGGCTCTCGAGGGATGGGGCTAAGAAATCAGGTGATTTAGCAGGAGGGCAATTCAGGAGATGGGAGGAGTGAGCCAGTGCCTGAATGGGTGCTCCTGGGTGCCAGGGGGTGGGGAGGGGTTCCTGTGGAGTGGGCAGGCTTTGGCCTGGTGGAGCAGATGAGGGTGTCCCAACACTAGGGCAGCAAGGCACGAAGGCAAGCCTGAGTTAATGTGTGCGGGCAGGATGTGTTCTGCCCCCAGCCGAGGCTTTTTTAGGGCAGAGGCAGAGATGGAGCCAGTGAGGTGGTGGCATAGTAGGTAGGTGACAGAGAGCAGGAGCAGAGAGGGGGCTTGGCCCTTCATCTCCTCTGGGCAGGACATGCCCTTCTTTTCCTTCTCTTTCTTTCAAAGGAGCCAGGCCCTCCCAGCATCCATGGCTTGCTTTCTGCCTCCCCTTGGCTCCTGGGCAAGCCCACGCAGGTGCTCAGAGTCCTTCCTGCATTGGCTCCTGCAGACAGGAGCTCCTGTTCCCAGATGCTCCCACTGGACAGGTCCTCTTAGAAGTGGTCCTCTTCACCTTTCCCAAGGCCCAGGATGGCTAGTGCAGGTGAAGCTGTCTCTGACCAGTCTCTTCCTAGTTATCTTCTCTGAACTTCCTGGTTCTAGCGGTGTGGTGGCTAACTTTCCTTGTCTCTCCTCCTGTCATCCTCCTTCTCCTCCCCTTCCTCCCACTGAAAGCCTCGTCAGCAGGCTCAGGATCTTGGCTGGCCTCCCACTCTTCCTACCTGTTCTCATTTCACACCATCGATGATGATCTAGTGGGGATACCTCTCATTAATGCCACTCCTCCTTGCCAGGAGAACGCAGTGACTAATCCTGCTGCTTTTCCTCAGGCCTG
This sequence comes from Homo sapiens, assembly GCF_000001405.40. NCBI lineage: Eukaryota > Metazoa > Chordata > Mammalia > Primates > Hominidae > Homo > Homo sapiens. Next base: position 64,684,485 of record NC_000011.10, on the reverse strand, counting down.
CCACTACCTGTTGCAGCCGGGCTCCTACTAATGTGCCTATTCTTAGGGACCCCTGCGTTTCACAGAGTGACGTGCTTGGTGGAGTCACTCCTTAATGCGGGGCTCCTCTTCTTGTCAAATCATCCCTTTACCCAATCAGAGGGCTGTCCCGCGTTGTCATTACCGAGCACATCTGAGTGTGTCATGTGCATTTGTGACAGTTTCAGATGCCACACACATTTTATTGGGGGGTATAGAGGAGTTGCCTCTAGTGCTTCCTGCTCACTTTGCTCTCTCTAGGACCAGCGCTGTCACCTGGTACCGACTTCGGCAAGATGCTCCAAGTTCAGAGTTCCTATCCATGCATCATATGACCAAAAAATACATGGCACATCCATACTGGGAACAGAGGGGGAAAAAAAGACATGGTCCCTGCCCTTCCAGGACTTCAGCTCTTGAGGAGACAGGATGAGTCTGTTAAAAGTGAATAGAGCAAAGCCATGCCAGTGCCAAGTGAGCAGCAGAAACCTTAAACACCCTAGGACTCAAGTGATACCCAAGACGAGGGAGAGGTCTGTGGCTAGGGGAGGTGGGAAAGCCACACAGAGGAGGAGACACTCGGCCTCAGCAGTGCTGAGTGTAGACAGTGACCCTCGGCTGCTTCTTCCTGGGGTTCCCGGAGTCGAGAGTCCAAGCTGGTAACTGATGGAAACTTCTTCCCCTGGATTGTTCTACCAGAAGTCTCAGAGCAGAGAGGCAGGTCATATTGACCCTAAAGCAGGTCCTGAGGTCCACAGAGGGTGTCTGCTTAAAGACTTTGGTTGAGTGCTCTCTTTAAAAAGGGATTCTGGGGGAATTTCTTTTCTTTTCTTTTTTTTTTTTTTTTTGAGATGGAGTCTCACTCTGTTGCCCAAGCTGGAGTGCAGCGGCGTGATCTCGGCTCACTCCAACCTCTGTCTCCCAGGTTATAGTGATTCTCCTACCTCAGCCTCCCGCGTAGCTGGGATTACAGGTGCCCGCTACCACACCCAGCTAATTTCTGTATTTTTAGTAGAGATGGGGTTTCACCATATTGGCCAGGCTGGTCTTGAACTCCTGACCTCAAATGATCCTCCTGCCTTGGCCTCCCAAAATGCTGGGATTACAGGTGTTAGCCACCACACCTGGCCTCAATCAAGTTTCTGTAGTGTCTGGGTGACATCCTGGGATTGGAACAACACTTACATGATAAAAAGGGTGATGATGGGTGGAGTGGTTTGAATCAATATTCTGTCTTCCCCAGGTTTTGTGGGCCAGGAGCAAGGACAGGGAGAAATGACATCTGTCTTCAGCTTTACAGGATAGAGTGCCAGGATCTGAGAACACTGTGGCTTCCAGGTTATTTTTCTCATTTGATTAGAATGGCCAGGGAGATGGCCTTCTGGGGAGGACCTCTCTGAGAACCAGCACTGAGGGGTCTCCATTCCCTTTGCTTCTGCAGCCATGGGAGTGGGTCAAAGGCCAGCTCCAAAGACTGGAAGGAGGCAGAATTTCCCTTTTTCCCTTGGACTTGGTAATTATCCCTGGAATCATCTAGAGGCTCTCAGAACATAGCAGTTAGGACCAGGGGCACCTGATGAGACAGTGTCTCCTTCTCTCCTCTCTCTCCTTTCAAATCCAGCCCTTGAGGTCACTGTGACCAGAGGTGTCTCTTGGAGGATCTTGGCAGGAATTATTACCTCTGAGGATTCCCCGAGGTCTATTTTAAATCCTGGGCCCACTCTCCTCCCATACCCAGTATGCTTCCCAACTGCCTCCCACCACCATGCAAGCAGTGTGCAAACCCATTTCCTCATTAGCCAGCACCAAATTTGGAAGACAAGCTGGCTATCGAAATATCACATGGTGCTTCCTCCTGCCCAGCTTGGATAACTGCTCTCATTGGTGCAGAGGCTTTCAGGAGCTCCTCCAGGTCCCAAAAATGGAGTCCCCAAGGATGCAGTCCTCAAGGATGGAGTCCCTCAAAGATGCGGTCCGCAAGGATGGAGTCCCTCAAAGATGTGGTCCCCGAGGATGGAGTCCCCAAGGATGGAGTCTCCTAAGGATGCATTCTCCTAGGGATGGAGTCCCCAAGGATGGAGTCCCCTAAAGATGCAGTCCCCAAGAATAGAGTCTGCCAAGGATGGAGTCCCCTAAAGATGCAGTCCCCAAGAATAGAGTCTGCCAAGGATGGAGTCCCCAAGAATGGAGTCCCCCAATGATGGAGTCCCCAGAGATGGAGTCCCCAATAATGGGGGACTGCCCCAGGGGCAGAGTCCTCTAAAGATGCAGTCCTCAAGGATGGAATCTGCCAAGGATGGAGTCCCCAAGGATGGAATACCCAAAGATGGAATCCCCAAGAATGGAGTCCCCAAGGTTGGAGTCCACCAAGGATGCAGTCCTCAAGGATGGAGTCCAGCAAGAGTGTAGCCCCCCAAAGATGGAGTTCCCAAGCATGCAGTCCCCAAGGATGGAGTCATTAAGGATGGGGAGACCCCTGGGAGTCTTGGGATGCATTCCTTAGGAACGCATTCCCCTAAGGATGGAGTCCCCAGGGGTGGAGTCCATCAGGCAATTAGATTCCTTTCCTCTCCTTCCTGCCCAGGCCTCTCTCCCTCTCTGGCATGGTGTACACCCTGTCTCAGGGTCTGCTGTGCTGTTCTCCATACTCATCCAATTTTCTTAGTTTTTCCCTTTGTTTTCACAGTTCTCCTACAGATACCACTTAGTTGCCCTCCTTTCTTTCTGGTGATATCCTAGATCTGAGGTTTGAGTCAGAAAGACCAGGTTCAAATCCCAGCTCTGCCAATAGTTTGAGTGCTTTTAGGCAAGTTATACAACCTCTGTGAGCTTCAGCTCCTCATCAGTAAAGTGAGAATGAGTCTTTTGATGACTAACTGGGGTATTGCCTTAAAACACTCAACACAGTGCCTGGCACGAATTAGTTGTATTTTTTTCAATCCTTCAGGCCCAGCTTAAATGCCACCTTCTTCAAAAAGCCTTCCTTGATCCCTTCCTCCAGCCAGCCTTCCTTCTTTGCTATGTTCTTTGAGCCCTTGGAAACGTGTATTTGAGCCGTCTCATCACATTCTGCCTGTGTTGTCAATATTTGTATTCATTCCTTATCTGTACTTCTAGGTGGTAAGCAAATTGGTTGCTTAATACCTGCAACTATTGAGTGTTTGTAGTTGTTTTCCTAGTAGTTTTTTTCTGATCCATTTGGTCTCTTTCCTGAAGGCAGCTGGTAAGGTTTTGGACACGAGGACCCATGTCCAAAAGTAGCAGATCTAACTACTTCATGTGAGCACTGAACTACTTCTTGTCCTCTTGGAAAAAAAACCCTCCAATTCACAATTCACTTTTTTTTTTTTTACTTTTTTTTTTTTTTTTTGGAGATAGAGTCTCACTTTGTCTCTCAGGTTGGAGTGCAGTGGCGCAGTCTCAGCTCACTGCAATCTCTGCCTCCCAGGTTCAAGTGATTCTCCTGCCTCAGCCTCCTGAGTAGCTGGGATTACAGGTTCCTGCCACCATGCCCGGCTAATTTTTGTATTTTTAGTAGAGACGGGGTTTCACCATGTTGGCCAGGCTGGTCTTGAACTGTTGACCTCAAGTGATCCACCTACCTCAGCCTCCCAAAGTGCTGGGATTACAGGCGTGAGCCACTGTGCCTGAGCCTAATTCACTTTACAAGACCAGAAGAACACCTCTCCTGGTCCTTCCTCTAAATTTCCTCAGGACTTTATCTTTCTGTCACAGCGTTTCTCAGATTGCACTGTAACGTCTCTCCCCACTAGCCCCTGGCCTCAAGGATCTCATTTCTCTTTACTATCTCACCTAATTTTTATGACAACTCTGTGAGGTGGAGATATTATTCCCATTTTACTGATGAGAAAAACAAGATGCAGAAGGTTAAAGAACTTGCTCAAGGTTATCCAGTTAGGAAGTGGTAGAGTTGAAAGTCTGATTTTGAAACCACTCTGTTCCTCTGCCTCCAAGTGAGGGCCTGGTTGTTGTCATTGGTGCAAAATGCAAAGGAGGCTGGGGTTTGTCCTGTGCTTCTGTCGTTCTTGGATGTTCTCAAATTTTGAAGCCATTTCAATGTTCTGCTTGTATGTCTGAAAAATGGGTCCCTCTTATGTGCAAGTGGAGTGGGTTCCTCTTCTCTTTGTCCTGAGCTTCTCTTACTCAAGGTCCACAGATTGTCTTCACCCCAGATTTTTATGATTTGTGTAAATATTCCCTCTCTTGGCTTTCTTGAGCAGGGCTGGAGCTACACTCATATTTCAAGGTGGAGATGGGGTATAGTTTTGTCCCGAGGCTCTCCTTTCTGCCTGGTGAATTCCTACAGTTGGTGTTTGAGTCAGAAAGACTTGGTAAAAATGACCACATGATATGATGTGTGACTTCTCCCCTCTGTGACTCTGATGCCCTTCTCATTCATCATGTGTTGTCATGCTTGTGCTCCCAGGCTCCAGGAGCTCTCTAGCTCTTTCTATGAGTGGGATAAAGCCTTTGTTGCTCATCTGTTAGTCTGAAGCCTCAGTTCTCCAGATCCTGGCCATAGGGAAGGCCTGGGCTGCTGTGTACCCCTTCCCTGTGCTGTGTCCGAGGCCACCAGGAATGGGTTCCAGTGGAAGCTGCATTCTAGTATTTCACAACAATTGCCCCCATAAACATGATCTCCATTGGACTGGGTCTGGATCCTTAATCCCTAGGTCTAGAGGGGCCCCATCTCATCTACTCCAACCCTGCTATTTTTAAGAGGTAGCCTGGATCTCTTGTCAAATTAGTGGAAGGCCCAAGGGTTAGAACTCACATCTGTTTCTTCTCAATCCTGATTCTTTTTTTTTTTGAGACAGAGTCTCGCTCTGTCACCCAGGCTGGAGTGCAGTGGTGTGATCTTGGCTCACTGCAAGCTCCGCCTCCTGGGTTCACGCCATTCTCCTGCCTCAGCCTCCCAAGTAGCTGGGACTACGGGCGCCCGCCACCACGCCTGGCTAATTTTTTGTATTTTTAGTAGAGATGGGGTTTCACCGTGTTAGCCAGGATGGTCTCAATCTCCTGACCTCATGATCCGCCTGCCTCGGCCTCCCAAAGTGCTGGGATTACAGGTGTGACCCACCACGCCTGGCCCTCAATCCTGATTCTTAATTTGCTGTTCTACTTCTTAAAAATGGAATCTTGTTCATAAAGTTGAAAACTTTTGAATCTTATTTTATTCTCCATAACCAGTTCTAACTCAAAGAGTAGTAATTGGATTTTTACCTCCAATGCCTTTTTCTTCCTGCCTTGTTCGACTAGTGCAGTGATACCAGACAACACTTACCGTTCTGGGCCTGGTTGTTTAGCTGGCCTGAAGCTAATTGTTCCTTGTTCTGACTAGTTGGCCTCTTCATTTCATGACAGTCCTACCAGCCACCAGTACTAATCCTCTTACCACACGCTATCCCCTGACTCCCATCACTGCACCTGCAATTAGACTCTTCTCTTGCTATGTAAACTGCTTCTGCATCACTAATAATTAATATTGGTTATTCAGCACTTCTTCCGGCTGCTAAATATTGAATTCTGTTATTTTTAATTATATGAGGCCCTTATTCATCATCTTACTGAATTAGTCCTGTGCCCACTGGTTATAACAGCTCTCTAACTAATGGATCTGTCCCTAGAATACCTCTCCTTCTCACAATCACACTCTCGGGGGTGCAGTTTAGTATTTAACAGGCATCAAGCAATAATGTCCCTCCATCTCTAATACTCTTAATTAAAGCTGCCTCAGTGCCTCTGACATGTCCTCCCCAAAGACAGGGGTAATTTGGAAGGTGGTTGTTGCTGCTGTCTGTGGCAATGAGAAGAGAAAATGAACTTAGAACCACATGAGAGTGGGGACACTAGAGATTGGAGTAGAAAGATTGGGCTTATAGCTTAGGGAAAAGTCAGGGATTTTAGAGGTTCCTTTTTATGGGTGTAGGGGAGTGAATTTCTGGTGCTGGCTGTGGGAAGTGGAGACTCAGGGGTTTATGGGTGTACATGAAAGGAGGCTGTGCTGCTGGGATGGCCTTACCAATTCTAGAGACTGGTAGGGGTGGTGGTGGTGGGCACTTGATTCTGGGAGGGACAGCAGCCCAGAGAGTGAGAGAATGGGGTTGGGGTGATTGAAGAGCCTGGAGAACTTTTGGGGAAAGTTCTGAAAATTCAAGGTGGACACGTGGGAGGAGTCAGCTATGGGTGGGAGATGGGGAGGAGAGGGAAGAGGGTCTGGAATAATTTGATATAATGTGTGAGCCATCTGCCAGTCCGTGGAGGGCAACATTTCCTTTTCCCTGTTCTGGTGGCGACTCACTCTCTCTTCCTTTCTTAAGGATGAGAAGAAAACAAAAACAAAAACAAAAACAGAGGAGCTGCCCCTCTCCTCAGTGACTCCCTGGATCGATTTGCGTGTTCTCCATCCCCAGGAAAAGCAGGCATCCATGACCCCTCCTATGCTCCTTGGGAACCCCTTCCTTTTGCCTCCAAATGAAATTGGCTCTCATTCTTGCCAGTCCTTTGATTCTCTAGGGGTTATGCCCACTCTTCTCCCAGCCTGATAGCCAGCTGGCCCATCACCAACTGGTTAATCCATTAACCCGGCATGGCCACTGGTCAGCCAGTTGGCCAGCACCAACTTGCTCTTTAGCCAGTTCTCTGGAAAGCCATCTGGTTGATCAGTTAGCCAACAAACCCATAAGTCCATGGCTCCAACCAATAGCCCATCCCTCCTCACAGCCCTTGTTCCCTCCCTTCCTTCCCCTCCACTCTCTAACATTTCAGCTGATAGGACTTACTAATACTGCATAATTGGGTCTGCTTCTTAATCCCCTGCCTTCCCTCTCTCACCCTCTGTTGGAAAACCCCGTTGCCGACTCTGTGTGTGTTACTAACACGCTTATAACCCAGGGGACCAAGGGATGGGCAGGGACAGGTGGGGCAAGGTATGAGTGAAAAACCGAACTAACCTTTCTGTCTCATCTGCGGAATGTCAGCCATCTTTAAGTCTTTGGTTTCTTGGTCCAGTTCTTTTGTTGTTTTCTTCTCTACTAACCAAGGTCTCTAACTGTTCCCCTTCTCTGCAGACGGCTCTTCTTCGGGGAGGGGATGGTGGGGAAGAGGAATCCAGAGGAGGGGCGGGGTAGGGATGGGGAGAAGAAAGGACTTAATTTTTCTGTGTGTTTTATTTCTCCTCCCCCCATTATAATTTAATTTTCTTTAAACAAATACTTTTGCTGAACCTAAGGTGGGAGGGTTGGAACAAACAACCAAATATATATGGATATATATTTTTTCCTCGTTCCTTGAGTTTCACAGTTGGTCATTTTATTTTTCTTTTCTTTTCATTCTGTTCTTTTGTTGTTGTGTTTGTTGTTGTTTTTTGACACCCCCCTCCTCCCCATCCCCCCATATCTCCGGTGAAGCACGCAGGGATTGGACACGCTATGGTAAACAAACTGCATTATCTGGTAGATATCACTCTAATTGTCTTACCGTTTGGTTTGCCGTGGGTTTTTTTAACTGTTCGATTCTCCCTCTTTTGTTTCCTCTCCCTGTTTGGTTTTTTGGTTGTTTTGCTCTTCCAATTGTTTTTTGCGTCCTGGACAATCTTTAGATTTTGCTTCTCTTTTAGTTTCCCTCTTTCCCTTTTCTTTCTTTTTTGGTCCAAACTGAAATACAAAAGACAAATGGAAATCGAGGAATTTGGCTTGTCCCTGCTGTAATCCCTAACTCCTGAATTCAGATTCCTGGCCAGAGAGACCTGGGGGCAGGCCCCATGTTCATCGGCTCTGGTTAGACCAGCCCCGATGCCAGGCTGCTTATTTCTATTGCTTTATTTTGTTCTTTTCCCTCCCCTCCCTTGTTTTTTCTCTTTGATTTAGTTTCTTGGTCTCCTGAAAATCCATGGAAAACACCATCCCATGACATGCTATGCTCTGCTCACTGTCAGCTCCCTGGACAGGGCCGCTCAAGTTTGAGGAGGGGTCTGGGGGTGAGACCTCCAGTGGCAGCCAGTGGGGTGGGTTCCCAGGGGTGGAGGGCATGGCCTTGGGAGATGCGGAGCTGCCTGAGATCAGTCCAGACCTCATGCAAATCATCAGTTCATAGCAGTTTGGGGGCTGCCCCATGCTGGCTGCTCTGGGAAAGGTGCCATCCCCTCCCTCACTTCTCAGCCTTGAGGGTTCCTGGTTCCATGTCCCCCACATTTTGCATGGCATGAATGGTCTTTTCCCCTGACCAGGGATAGCGTCCAGTTCCCCCAACTGCTCCGCTGCTCTGACTAACACTGTGTTTCACACTGTCTTCCTTCCCGTCACCCCCTGCCCTCTCTGCCCGCTGCCTGCCCCGCATGGCCTCTGACAGGGGCTGGTTTCCTTCCCTGTTGAGGGGAGCGAGAGGAGGAGGCCTGCAGGGGTGGGAAGGGGCAGCATTGGTTGTCCTTGTCACCGAGCTCCTCTGTTTGGGTTAGGCTCAGTCCTGGTGAGTGTTGGTGTGGGTGTCTGTGTAAATGCAGCTGGTGTGTGTTGGTGTGTGGGTGTGACTGTGTGTAAATGTTGGCGTGACATTTCGGGGTGTTAGTGGGAAGCTGTACTGTGTGTGCGAGGCTCTGCTGGTGACTCTCCACGTGTGAGCTGGTGTGAGCTGGGGGCTGCGTGACTATGTGGGTTTTTGAGCCTGGTGAGGACTCTGTGTGGAGGTGGACTGTGGAGACTGGCCCTTCAGTTGCAGTGCCATGGCAGTCAGGAACAGGGAAGGAGCTGGGGCTAGCCCTTTGCTCCTTGCCTTGCCTCAGAGTGTGTGTGCGCAGGCCCTGCTGCGTGTGATCCCCTGGGATTCCCTCGTGCCTGCCCAGTCCTGGCTCTGCAGCAGCAGCCGGTTAGTCATCGCCTATTAATAATGCAGAGTGACTGAACACCAGGCTGGGGACCCTGCAGATGGACGTGTCTGCTCCCGTGGGGCAGCTGCCTGGCCTGCCCAGCCTCCCAGGTTTGTATGGCTGGCTGGTGAGGAGGGAAGCGTGACAGTTGGGGCTCCCAATCTGAGTGTCTCTCCCACTTCCCTAGGAGGCTCTACCTCTGAGGCTACATCTGGCTTTTCCTGATACTTTTGCAGATCCATGTTTTCCTGCACCCATATAGACTAGTGCCCATGGCCAAAGCCATTCCAGCCCTCCCCAATTTAAGACCTCAGGTGGCCACTCCCAGTGGTCTTGGTGTTCCAATGGGGCATACAGTGCCAGGTTTCTTGTTCCTCCAGCTGCTGCTTCTAGGAGTTAGCTGCTACCTGCCCGGCTCAGGCCAAGCCATTGAGTACCTGTCAGGAGCTGGCCAATTGGAACTTTCTTTACGGTGCTTCACTAGATAACCAACCTGTGACTTTAGGGACAGAAGGGAGGCAAGATCAAGCCATGTGGTACACCCCAAGCCTCTGGGGAATACCATCCTAGAATTAGGACCCAGCAGACTTTCCATCTAGCCTCAATTTGGTTAAAAATTGACCACATGGGCTGAGTCTACTAAAGCTCAGTTCCCTTATCTACCAAATGGGCTAATAGTGGTAGTATACCTGCATTGCCTACTACATGGGGTCAGTGTGAAGATCAGGTAGAGTAATAGAAGTGAAAACATTTGTACTCTGTAAAGGAAATTGTAATGTTACTAAGCTTTATAAAATGTTAACTGGTTATCTCAGTGTTTCCAGGGCAGGGATGTTTTGTAAAGAAATGATTCTCTTCCCTAGCAAACCCTGGAGAACACAGCATCTCTGGCCCACTGGAGATCCTATTACCATCTCTTCTTAAGAATCAGTCCCAAAATAACTGTATGAAACCCTAGAATGCTTCAGGAATTGGGCTGGAGAAGAGGAAGAAAAATGAATGACTTGATTAAATTGGTTAAGAAGCAACAACCAGCTAGGCACCTGTAATCCCAGCTACTTGAGGCTGAGGTGGTTAAGCTGGTTAAGAAGCAAACAACCTGCTGGGCTCATGCCTGTAATCCCAGCACTTTGGGAGGCTGAAGTGGGTGGATCACCTGAGTCCAGGAGTTCAAGGCCAGCCTGGCCAACATGGTGAAAACCTGTCTCTACTAAAAATACAAAAAAATAGCTGGGTGTGGTGGTGGCCATCTGTAATCCCAGCTACTCGGGAGGCTAAGGCAGGAGGATTGCTTGAACCTGGGAAGCGGAGGTTGCAGTGAGCTGAGATTACGCCTCTGCACTCCAGCCTGGGCAACAAGAGTGAAACTCCATCTCCAAACAAAACAAAACAAACAAAAAAAGGAAGAAGCCAACAACCAGCTATGCACCAGTAATTTCAGCTACTCAAGGCTGAGATGGGAAGAGTGCATGAGCCCAGGAGTTCAAGACTAGCCTGGGTGACATGGCAAGACCTCCCCACCGCCTGCTTTTTTTTTTTTTTTTTGGAGACAGAGTCTTGCTGTGTTGCCTAGGCTGGAGTGAAGTGGCGCGATCTCGGCTCACTGCAACCTCTGCCTCCAGGGTTAAAGCAATTCTTATGCCTCAGCCTCCTGAGTAGCTTAGACTACAGGTGCATGCCACCACTCCTGGCTAATTTTTTGTATTTTAGTAGAGACAGGGTTTCACCGTGTTGCCAGGCTGGTCTCGAACTGCTGAGCTCAGGCATTCCACCCACCTTGGCTTCCCAAAGTGTTAGGATTACAGGCATGAGCCATCGTGCCCCAGCAAGGCACCATCTCTAAAACAAACAAACAAACAAACACCCTATCTCTAAAACAAACACACACACACACAAACAAAACAAAAAAAAGTAAACAATACTGTCTTGTTTCAGTCCTGGAAAGGAAAGTATCTGCTAAATTCTGAGTCTCTAAAGTCTGCACTTTCCTGCATGAGCAATACTGACTGATAAACAGACCTGGTTGCCTTTTGGTGGCCTCATAGACCTTCATAAATCTGTACTAGGAATCAGCTCTTTCAGCCAAGACCAGAGTCAGAGGCCTTGTAACAGGGTTCAATGTGTTCTGATTCCCAAGGCATCCCCCAGACAGGTTTTGGTTAGTTTCCAATTTATTTTTACTAACTCATTTATATGGACTATTTTCATGTTGTTTGAGCACTTCTTCTTGGGGGAGAGGGTGGATATAAAGCAAAAAGGCCAACCTTGAGAAGGTTGAGAAGTTCGGATTAGGTGTGATCAGGCTGATGGAGTTTGCTTGTACAAATAATGATAGTTCTTTGTACACACACTGGGACTCTTTGAATAGCTTTCCCCTTTTGAATATCATTTAAACTTGAATGCCTGGACTGCAAGTAGCAGGCAGAGATTGTTTCCAGTTAACAGATGGGGAAAGCTGAAGCCCAGAGAAAGCACCTTGCCTAGGGTCAGATAGCCAGATATCGAGGAGTTTCACTTCAGTTTTCTCATTTGGTGCTCAGAGTAAGCCTGGAAGAAATGGGAGCGACAGTTGTTAAACTCCTGTCACAGATGAGAGTCAGAGGTAAAATGGGATTGTTCTGGAAAAGGATAAAGGCTGAATGAGAGCCCAGGATTTCTGACCTCTTTCCTCTCTATTCCCAAACTATCAAATCCAGACCTCAGGATTCATGACAGGGCTGTGCCTGCTGGTTCAGTCCATCTTCATGGTGTGTCTTTCCAACCCGAGTCTCTGGTTAGCTTCTGCCCTCTCATTGAACAGGTAGCTAACCCAAACCCTTAGCAGGACTTGCAGTACCTTACTCAGCCTGGAGACCCTTTCTTCCTCTTTGTCTTTGTCCCTTATTTCCACCCACTCAATCCTAAGGGGATGCCAGGACCTTTCCCCTAGACTAGTTGCTCTTAACCACCTTTGGCTCATGGATACCTTTGAGAATTTGATGACAGCAATGGACTCTCACAGGAAAAAAACCCACGGAGGCAGTTTTGCACACAATATCAAGGGGCTTGGAATCTCCCAAGCTCAGCCAGCTTGCCCACAAGTTAAAAATACCCGCCCTCCGTCTTGTTCTCCCCAGATTAAGTCCCCCTCCCAAGGAGGTTAGTGACCCTGTGATCATCACAGGCAACTGATAAAGGCTCCAGAAGATGGCAGAAGGATACTTCCCCTCTTCCTCAGCCTTTCTTCCTAAGGCATGTGGACATGGAGTGCCCACCAATGTGGAGTTATTTATGGCCAGGACTTAGTTTCATATCCTGCACAGCCTGCCACAGGGGAGGTGCATGGAGCAGAAAGAGAGGTGGGGTCAGCAGGGAGGGCTGAGAGCCCACCCAAGTCACAGGCTGCCCCTTGTGTCCACCTCCAGCCAGCCTCTCTGCTCCTGGGGAGTACAGTGGGGGCTGGGCAGTGGGCTCCTGCTGCCTCTGCACCCTCTCCCTTCTCTGGCTGGACACAACTCTTCCAGGGCAGAAGCTCTGGCTCATTCCCCTTGGCCAGCTCAGTACCCACTCGGCCTGCTTGTCTGTGTTGAGTGGGTTGGCATGGGTTGGGTGCAGACACTCTGCTGTGTCTCAGTGATGCTGTTTGGAAGGAGAGAGCTGGAAGGTCCCACTGCCCTGGGTAGGATGTGGTATGTACGCAGGTGTGTCTCGGGGTTGGTGATCGGTGGCGAATGGGTGGTGGAATGAGTGTTGGGTCGCCTGCTGTTGAGGAAGGTAGAGTCAAATGTCTTTTCTCTTTATTTTTCAACCCATAAGTGTCTCTGTCCTAGTGGTCACTCCTCTCTCTTTCCCCCCATCATCGGAAGGAAGCTCTCCCTACCTGCACCCCACAGCTCTGTTGCCTCCATCTCTGCTCCTCCCAGTGCCCCTGCCCCGCACGCCTTCTTACCTGGCTGCCTTTCTCTGGCCTGTCCTGCTGGGTCTAGCCCTCACTCTGCTCCTCTAACCTGCATGTGTCCAGCTGCAGTGGCTGTTCTGTGTCGCACGGCCCCCTCCCTTCCCTCCTCCCCCACCGGCCCCACCCCTTCCAGAAGATGCGTGGGGGGGAGGTTGGGGGGCAGGGGCATCATGAACCCCTGGGGTGGAGGGGGACCGGGGGAATTATTCCCCTGTTTCCTGCTTTTACTAACGAACCTGCCATTTTTGTGTCTGGACTTTGATTCGTCTGAGGGAACAGTCGGGTTTTACTAATCTAAGTCATCTCCCTCCTTGCCTTCCCCAGAGACCTTCCTCCATTCCCTCTACCCTTGGCTTCCTTTCCACCCAGAACCCGTCCCCACTATCTCCCTCTACTCCCCACCTCTGGCTGATCCCTTTCCTCAGGGCACTTCCTTATGTTGTCCTTCCTCCTGCTACTCCACCCCTGGGTCATAAGAGGGTGATTAAGGCAGCCCTTTCCGGGTAGGGAGCACATGGGAGTGATCTGCAAAAAGCCCAAGGGGGTAAGGTGAGATTGTGCCCAGTCAGGAGGGAAACTGAGGAGGGTGTTTCCTCTTCTCTACCCCACACTGTCACCTCTTCTAAGTCTGAGAGTGCAAAGGGAGGGTGACTTTGGCAAAGGGAGTGGGATAGAGAGAGCCCATAGGGTGAGGGAGATGGCCAGTGGCTGGTGCCCTGGCTTCTGAGGCCAGTGAGGGAGGACACAGCTGAGGGGCTCAGGTGGGCTGAAGGCCAAAAGAGGAGATTCTCTTCCTGGGGAGCTTTGGGACCAGAAGAGCCCTTTCCCTGCGCTGAAGCAGGAGTGCACTTGAGTTTCTGTCACCAAAGTCACAGGCTCCTTAGGTATTAGGTTCATAGATGGGGATGCAGGCAGTGTGGCCCTGGGTCATAAGGCGATCTTTAATGACTGTGTGCTGTATCCCCTGGATTATGTTCAGATTAGTGGGGTTACAGGGACATGTCAGGCTGGTGCCTGCCCCTCAGGAGCTGACCAGTTGGGGTGACCAGACTTAGGCACAGGAAGTAATCAGCAGCCCAGTTCCTGGTCCCTCAGTGCAGCATCAGGCAGAGTGGAGGTGGAGGGCTGGATGGAGCTGAATTTGCCCCAGGGAGGCCCATTCAGCCTATTACCCACTCCCTGTCTTATCCCTGACCTTTCATCCCAGTTCCTTCTTCCCTTTCTCCAGCCCTTCTCTGCCAGGTCTAATCTCGTTTGCATGTTTTTGTGACTAATACTTTGACCCTTCCCTCTTCTACCCAGACCCCTACTTCCCAGCCTTAGGGTGGGGTGGAGGGAAGAAGAAATAAACGATAATGACCAGCCCTCCCCTCAAATAAGACTCAAAAGCTTTCAGACTGCCCCTTTCCACAAAGACACCCCCTTACCTTCTGCTCTTGAACCTAGTTACCCCAGCACAAGGTTTGATGGTTCCCAGGAGGTGGAGAGTGGGGCTTAGCTCTACCCTATTCACTGCGAGGCTCCAGCCAAGCACAAGGGGGACTTGGGGTCCTGGGAGGGCAGGAAGCTCCCTTACCCCAGTTCTGCTCATGTCCCTTTGGAGTTCCTCCACCTCACCCACCGAGACCATGGACCCCTGGAGACCAGTCGCTGGAAGATGGCTGGTGGCATGTGCATATAGACTGGTGTGGGTGAGGAGGGCATAGGATGTGACTGGAAGGCCCCAATCTCTAGACTGTTCCCGAAAGAGAAATGGGGTGAGCTGTGGCCTGCAGAAGCACAGTGTTGGGCTAACCCTGAGCCAGCTTCCTGTTGACCCTGCAGAGCTCTGCCTTCTTTCCCAGCTGACCCTTCCAAACCACTGCCTTCCTAGAGTAGGGGCTCGTGGTCTCATAGCCCTTGGCCCTTCTCCCACAACCTTTCTGGGTGTCTTGAACCTTGTGGGCTGCTTGTAGAGTTAGATTTTTTGGAGAAGGTGGGCATTTGCCTGGGGAGACTGGGAGAGTTGGAGAGTTTCCTGTCCTTGTCATGCCCCGCCCCATCTAAGATTACTTCTGCATTCTCCAGGCCACCGCTGAGCCCCCCTGCCTCCTGGAATACCAAGTACTCCCCCATTCCTGCTCATCCTGCTTTCTTACTGAACTTTCAGCCCAGGGGCAAGGTATTCATTAAGTTAGCCCTGTCCCCGTCTGTTCCCTAAGCTGGCCCTGACTCCCTGGAGTAACTCTAGTGGTGTCAGTAGACAAGGCAATTAGACAGGAAGAAGGAAGAGTGGGTTGATGTAGCTAAAGGGCTCCCCTCTCCTTTGGAGGCAAGAGAGTGACCTGAATATAAGGAGACCTGAGGAGTGAAGAGACAGACTCAGGAAAGGGCTAGAAGTGCAAACCTGGAGATTGGGCTGCAGGGGTGGAAATCAACCCCAATAGGCAACCCCAGAAAGTTTCAAGACTTCCCAGGAATATTTGAGTTCCTGCTCCTCACACTGCTATCTTCCATCTCCCTACTGGGTCCAGACTGAAAGACTTTCCAGCACCCAGCAGAGAGGGCTGCAGGTGAGTCTAAGCCACCAAGGTCTGGGGAACACCATTCTCTGGCACACTTTTGAAAGAAGTTCTGGAGTTACGTGTGTGTCCAGAGAGTACCTTCAGGAGAAGAAAAGTGAGGATGCCATTTGCACCCATCCTGTGCCCCAGAATGGGGGATCCGTCCTGGAGCCCCCATTCCTGTTCAGAGTGCCCTCCAGGAACTACTTCTTGGGGGACCTCATGGGGAGCTCTCCAAGTACCCTTCAGGCTCCTGCCTGCTGAGTTGGGGGCCAGAGGGCAGGTCTTAGCCCACCCTGAAACCATCAAATCTTGTGCTGCCTCCTTTTCCTCATTTCCTCTCTTCCCCCACTGTTCCTCCTCCAAGACAAGCAGACATAAAAATGGGGGTCCCCCTCCCCTGCTGCCCTCTGGCCCCTCCTTTGCCTAGCCGTAGCTCTTCCTAGGGATTTGATGTTGGTTGTCTCCTGTCTTTCTCCCTCCCTCCTGGGCTGGACAGGTGACCATCTCGGTGGACGGGATCCTGACCACCACAGGCTACACGCAGGAGGATTACACCATGCTGGGCTCTGATGACTTCTTCTACATTGGGGGCAGCCCCAACACAGCTGACCTGCCGGGCTCGCCCGTCAGCAACAACTTCATGGGCTGCCTCAAGGACGTGAGTAGGGCTAGGGAGGGGCTGCAGGCTGTTCAGGAGCCCTTTGTCTCCTGTCTTCAGCGTGACTTAGTCTGACCTGGCTAGTTGTCTGGGTCATCTGTTCCTTCCAAGTCCATGGTGGGAGACACCCCCTCTTTAAAACCTAAGGCCCACTGACTCCATCAAGAGGCTTCTCCCCTTTGATTTCCTTGAGCCTTGGAAACCCCTATCCTCATAGAGGACCCTCAAAGGCAGCTGTGGTACAGAGGAAAGAATGCTGGGTATGAAGACTAAAGACCTTGCTTGAGTCCCAACTCTTCCACTCATTGGTTCTGTGACTGTGGTCAAGTCACTTGACTGTCTGATGCTGAGTTTCCTCCTCTGTGGATGGGTAGTCAGTGCCTACTTCATAAGGTTGTGAGGGGCACATGAGAGTGTAAGTGAACATACTTCATTGAGTGGAAAACAGCTACCACACGTCAGTGGCCTTGTCATTATTATGAACTGCAATTTAGTGGGCACTGAGAACCCACAGGCAAGCCACCATGCTCCTGCTGGGCCAGAAGACAGGACAGAGGACGGGCAAGGGAGGTGCTTGTTCACAGCCTCTGTGTCTGAAGCTGTAGAACAGAGGCCTAAGCGGGTGGTCTGGTGGAACTGAGCAGGGGCTACAGGGGTGGGTGGCTGGGTCCCCTGGTGCTCGCTGCTGGGTGGGAGTGGCCAGGCCCTAAGCTGCTTTCGGATTCTTTATCCCTGACCCCACCCCTCCCTGCAGGTGGTCTATAAGAACAATGACTTCAAATTGGAACTATCCCGCCTGGCAAAGGAAGGGGACCCCAAGATGAAGCTGCAGGGGGACTTGTCATTCCGCTGTGAGGATGTGGCTGCCCTGGACCCTGTGACCTTTGAGAGTCCCGAGGCCTTTGTGGCGCTGCCCCGCTGGAGCGCTAAGCGCACTGGCTCCATCTCCCTAGACTTCCGCACCACCGAGCCCAATGGGCTGCTGCTCTTCAGCCAGGGCCGGCGGGCTGGGGGTGGAGCTGGCAGCCACAGCTCTGCTCAGCGGGCCGACTACTTTGCCATGGAGCTATTGGACGGCCACCTCTATCTTCTGCTGGACATGGGATCTGGGGGCATCAAGCTGCGGGCATCCAGCCGCAAGGTCAATGATGGCGAGTGGTGTCACGTGGACTTCCAGAGGGATGGGCGAAAAGGTCAGGAGGCCTCTGGACCCTTCCCCTTCCATGGGCCACCCCTTTCCATCTGCCCTGACATCCTCTCCGTCTCTCTTCAGCGGGTCTCTTCTACACCATTTCCTATATTCTTCCCTGCCGCTTCTCCTCCACCCCCCTCACGTCTTCCCAATTGTCCTTTCTGTCATCGGACATTGGCAGAAAGAGCACAGCATTTGGCATCAGTCAGACCTGGATTACACCTCAGCTCCCCTACTTGCTGCATGTGAGACTCTGTTTCCTTATCTGTAGAAGGAATAACCCCACAAGGGCCATCGAGAGGAGAAAATAAGAGCACATCTGTGGAAGCATTAGCACAGTGGCCAACATAGAGTAGATACCCCATTCACCTTTAAGAATATATCTTCCGGCCGGGTGCGATGCCTCATGCCTGTAATCCCAGCACTTTGGGAGGCGGAGGTGGGCAGATCAGGAGGTCAGGAGATCGAGACCATCCTGGCTAACACGGCGAAACCCCATCTCTACTAAAAATACAAAAAATTAGCTGGGTGTGGTGGCGGGCACCTGTAGTCCCAGCTACTTGGAAGGCTGAGGCAGGAGAATGGCGTGAACCTGGGAGGCGGAGCTTGCAGTGAGCCTAGATTGTGCCACTTCACTCCAGCTTGAGCGACAGAGCGAGACTCTGTCTCAGAGAAAAAAGAATATATCTTCCCAGCCATGCCTCCCTTCTGTCTAGAGCCATTCAACTTAAAAAAAAATTAACTCACTAGGCCGGGCGCTGTGGCTCACGCCTGTAATTCCAGCACTTTGGGAGGCCGAAGTGGGTGGATCATTTGAGGTCAGGAGTTTGAGACCAGACTGGCCAACATGGTGAAACCCAGTCTCTACTAAAAATACAAAAATTAGCTGGGCATGGTGGTGCACTCCTGTAGTCCCAGCTACTTGGGAGGCTGAGGCAGGAGAATCGCTTGAACCCAGGAGGCAGAGGTTGCAGTGAGCTGAGATCCTGCCATTGCACTCCAGCCTGGGCGACAGAGGAAGACTGTCAAAAAAAAAAAAAAAAAAATTAACTCACTCAGCAGTTACTGAGCACCCACTGTGTGCCAGATGGTGTCCAAGGTTCTGTAGATATGGACAGCAGGGAAACTAAAGAGACGATCTTGGCTGTCACAGAACCCCTGTTCTGGTGTGGGGTGGGAGACCATGGAGTGAAAAAGACAGTAAACAGCCCCACACCCCTACCTAGCAGTGAGGGCTCTAGAACAATAAAGTGTCAGGGCAGAGGGTTCTGGGGTCAGACAGATGCCTGTTCTTGAATCTTCTGTTGCTTCTAGCCACTCTCTTCTTTACCCTTCATTTCAGTCTTTTGCATTCTCTTCTTGTTTTCTGTCTGCTAATTCTCTCTCCTTTACTCTTCTCCATCTTGTTGAACATGAGAGAATTATCCAAGAAAGGGAAATTGATATAAATGAGAACTGACACATTATCCAATTTAAGCACTTATCAACGTCAGCTAAATTTTTGTGCTCCTCCGCCTGTCACTGAGCTGGGCCTGTGAGTTTGGGTGGAGTGACCGCTCCTCCCCATGCAGGAAGGAGGGGCCCCTGTGGCTCTGGGAGAGTGACAGTTTCTAATGGGCTTGCTATTTCTTTAGCTTCCATCCTCGAAGTGTTGCCTCCCCCGGGCTTTACATTAAATGGTTTCATCCCCGGGGTGTGTCTCAGGACAGCACCAGGAATTCTTCCCAGAGCCCTCTGCCCCACAGGGTTTCTACCAGGTGGTCAGTAACACTCTAGGTTGGACGTCTGCCCAAGCCTTGCAGGGCACTGCAGGGCTTCCACTTCTCTGTGCTTTCAGGAAGTGCTCCTGTTAGCTCAACACCGATCTCTGGAGCCAGAGTCTGGACCAGGTGTGGCCAGTCTTTGGATTCCTG
Source organism: Homo sapiens (assembly GCF_000001405.40). Lineage (NCBI taxonomy): Eukaryota > Metazoa > Chordata > Mammalia > Primates > Hominidae > Homo > Homo sapiens. The sequence continues at coordinate 64,665,337 of NC_000011.10, read as the reverse complement.
TCTTGACCAATTCTGGACATTTCTGACGGCCCATTTCTTTCTTTCTTTTTTTTTTTTTGAGATGGAGTCTTGCTCTGTCGCCAGGCTGGAGTGCAGTGGCGCGATCTCGGCTCACTGCAACCTTTGCCTCCCGGGTTCAAGCAATTCTCCTGCCTCAGCCTCCCGAGTAGCTGGGACTACAGGCGAGTGCCACCACGCCCAGCTAAGTTTTGTACTTTTAGTAGAGATGGGGGTTTACCATGTTGGCCAGAATGGTCTCGAACTCTTGACCTCATGATCCGCCCGCCTTGGCCTCCCAAAGTGTTGGGATTACAGGCGTGAGCCACCGCGCCCGGCCTTTTTTTTTTTGAGACGAAGTCTCTCTCTGTCGCCCAGGCTGGAGTGCAGTGGCGTGATCTCAGCTCACTGCAACCTCCGCCTCCTGGGTTCAAGCGATTCTCCTGCCTCAGCCTCCCGAGTAGCTGGGATTATAGGGGCATGCCACCACACCTGGCTAATTTTTGTATTTTTAGTGGAGACGGGGTTTCACTGTGTTGACCAGGCTGGTCTCGAACTCCTGACCTTGTGATTCACCCGCCTCGGCCTCCCAAAGTGATGGGATTACAGGCGTGAGCCACGGCGCCCGGCCTCTGATGACCCATTTCCTATGTGCACACAAACACAGACTTGGGGCAGCTATTCCGAGAAAACTCTCTTAGATCTTTTCCATTTTTTTTTCTATTTTTGTTTTTGCAATTGTGGTAAATGATACATAATAAAATTTACTACCCTTTCCTGCAGATCACATGGGACAGAGAAAGAAATGAAAAATAAAACAGCAAAAAAAATTTACCATAGTAACCTTTTTTTTTTTTTTTTTGACACGGAGTTTCGCTCTCGTTGCCTAGGCTGGAGCGCAGTGGCGCAATCTCGGCTCACTGCAACCTCTGCCTCCTGGGTTCAAGTGATTTTCCTGCCTCAGCCTTCCAAGTTCTGGGATTATAGGCATGTGCCACCATGCCCAGCTAATTTTTTTTTTTTTTAACTAGAGACAGGGTTTCACCATGTTGATCAGGCTGGTCTTGAACTCCTGACCTCAAGTGATCCATTTGCCTTGGCCTCCCAAAGTGCTGGGATTACAGGCGTGAGCCACCATGCCCAGCCCATCATAACCATTTTTAAGTATGCAGTTCAGTGATGTTAAGTACACTTATATTGTTGTGTAAATATCACTGGTAACTATTGTTTATCTCCAGAACTTTTCTCATCTTCCCAAAATGAAACTCTGGCCCATTAAACACTAACTCCCTATTCCCTCTCCTCTTAGCCCTTGGCACTCACCATTCTACTTTCTGTGTAAGAATCTGGCTACTCTCGGTACCTCCGTTAAGTGGAATCATATAATATTTGTCCCTTTGTATCTGGCTTTATTTCATTTTGCATAATGTCTTCTAGGTTCGTTCATGTTGTAGCATGTGTCAGGATGTCCTTCCTTTTTAGGGCTGAATAATATTCCATTGCCTGGATATACACGTTGCATTTATCCATCTATCTGTTGGTGGATGCTTGGGTTGTTCTTTTCCATGTGTTGAGTGATCTTGGTGTAGAGGCCTGTACTCACTATGGCTTCCTCTTGTTGACCCTCCATTATACACCCCTTCCCCATCTCTTTCCTTCTCTCTCTCTTCCTTCTCCAACATTTGGTTCATTTGTAGAGAGTCTGGTTGAGTCGTGTAAAGCCCAGGAGGTCCTGCAGTGGGTGGGCAGAGCAGGCATGGGGGAATCTGGCTATAAATAGAGGTGTGGGTAATCAGGCAGGCCATGTTTGGTGGCCTGTTAGGGGAGTGGGCCCCCAGCCCTGGGAAGTGGGTTTAGAGTCAGGACCATGGGTCATCTGACACCTTGTATGGAGAGAAAAGCTAGGGACCATGTTACTAAAAGAGGGCACAGCTCTGGTTCAGGTGAGGTTTTTTTTTTTTTTTTGAGTCAGAGTTTTGCTCTTGTCGCCCAGGCTGCCAGGCTGGAGTGTAGTGGCATGATCTCAGCTCACTGCAACCTCTGCCTCCCAGGTTTAAGCGATTCTTTTGCCTCAGCCTCTTGAGTAGCTGGGATTGCAGATGCCCACCATGCCCGGCTAATTTTTGTATTTTTAGTAGAGATGGGGTTTCACCATGTTGGCCAGGCTGGTCTCAAACTCCTGACCTCAGGCGATCCTCCTGCCTCAGCCTCCCAAAGTGCTGGGATTACACGTGTGAGCCATTGCGCCCGGCCTCAGGTGAGGTTTTGAGCAGAGAGGAACACGTCCTGAATGAGGGGATGTGTCTGTAGAGGAGGTCCCAGTTCTTCCCTCTTGGGTTCCCACCCTGTGCTCACATTGATTCTCCTCCCAAAGCTCCCTGCCAAATTCAGGCCTCATGCAGACCCAAACCCTCCTTAACCTCTCTTTAACCCCATGAAGTTAGGCAGAGTCTTTTTTTTTTCTAACTAGGATGTCTGCAATGGGGTCTTGCGTGAGGAGAGAGATTGAACTCAACTCCCACCCTGACCCCTTTTATTTATTTATTTATTTTTTTTTTTGAGACAGAATCTCGCTCTGTCGCCCAGACTGGAGTGCAGTGGCACGATCTTGGCTCACTGCAAGCTCTGCCTCCCGGGTTCACACCATTCTCCTGCCTTAGCCTCCTGAGTATCTGGGACTACAGGCGCCCGCCACCACGCCCAGCTAATTTTTTGTCTTTGTTAGTAGAGACAGGGTTTCACCGTGTTAGCCAGGATGGTCTCGATCTCCTGACCTTGTGATCCACCCGCCTCGGCCTCCCAAAGTGCTGGGATTACAGGCGTGGGCCACTGTGCCCGGCCCCGACCCCTTTTAAACAGTTCTTCCAAACTTGAAAAAGGACAGAGGAAGGAATTTAAAAATACAAGTAGAATAAAATTTCTAAGGTATAGGTTTCTGCAGCTTAAGGTCTCAGTAAAGGCTATGGAACTCCTACCAGATCCCAAGTCTTTTTTCTAAGATAATCACCTCCTCCTCCTTCCTCCTCCTCCTCCTCTTCCTTTTCTTCTTCTCCTTCTTCTCCCTTCTTCTCTTCTTCTTTTTTGAGATGGAGTCTCGCTGTGTCTCCCAGGCTGGAGTGCAGTGGCATGATCTTGGCTCACTGCAGCCTCTGCCTCCCGGGTTCAAGTGATTCTCCTGCCTTAGTCTCCCGAGTAGCTGGGACTACAGGTTTGTGCCAACACACCCGGCTAATTTTTTTTTTTTTTTTTTAGTAGAGATGGAGTTTCACCATGTTGGCCAGACTGGTCTTGAACTCCTGACCTCAAGTGATCCATCCGCCTCGGCCTCCCAAAGTGCTGGGATTACAGGCGTGAACCACCATGCCCGGCCAAGCACCCTCTACTTCTGAAGAACTCTTCTACCTAAAAATTCTGTGCCTACCTCCTTTCTCCTCACTGCTGTCCTGCCCCGCAGGCCCTGGAGCCAATCTGCTTGTGCACCTTGCTGGCCGCAGAGTGGGCTCTTGGCTGAGGGGTGGAGAGTGCAGGCTCTGAGTTCTTGCTGCTGGGACCATACTTTGGCTGTGTTCCTTCCCCACTGTGGCGCTTTGGCACTGTTCCCCAGTCTCTGCAAGCCTCGTCTACCATTTCAAAATGGGATCATAAAGGACTGATTTCGTAGAGTTATTATGAGACTTAAGTGATATAATATATTTAAAGTGCTAGGTGCCTGGCATCTAGTCATAAAAGCTCAATAAATGTTTGTGGGGGGAAAAAACTCCTTTGGATTAAAGATCTTTCAGCCCCTTCTGTTCCTTGAGGTTCTCTGCTTCCGGTTCCCAGTCTAAGGAACTGGCTGGCAGGAATGACCCAGTGAATGATCCAACCCTTTCCGAGCTCAAGATTTCGGCATGCCCACTTCCTGCCTATCCTCTGAGGACTTGCTGAGGTGGGGAGGAGGGGTATGGACAGAGGCCCACAGCATTCTGCAGCTGGGCTGGGGCTGCGTCACAGAAGCCTCTGAGCCTGGGGGCCTTTGTCAAGCAGTTTTTGCAGTGAGTGAGGCCGAGCTTCCAGCCCAGGACTGCTGCTCGTCCTCCTGAGCCTGCTGCAGGGCACAAGGTGGAGGGGCCCACACAAGGTGGGGGGCCTTCTTGGCAGAGTCAGGATGTCCCTTTCTGGCCTGTGGCTTTTCTCCATCCTGCCTTCCCTTGATTCCCAGGCTCCATCTCAGTGAATAGTCGCAGCACGCCGTTCTTGGCCACTGGAGACAGCGAGATTCTGGACCTGGAGAGTGAGCTGTACCTGGGCGGTCTCCCTGAGGGGGGCCGGGTGGACCTGCCCCTGCCCCCAGAGGTGTGGACAGCAGCACTCCGGGCAGGCTACGTGGGCTGTGTGCGGGACCTCTTCATAGATGGGCGTAGCCGAGACCTCCGGGGCCTGGCTGAGGCTCAGGGGGCTGTGGGCGTTGCCCCCTTTTGCTCCCGGGAGACGCTGAAGCAGTGTGCATCTGCCCCCTGTCGCAATGGGGGCGTCTGTCGAGAAGGCTGGAACCGCTTCATCTGTGACTGCATCGGGACCGGCTTTCTTGGGCGGGTCTGTGAGAGAGGTGAGGCTGGTCTTCATCCTAGGTGTCCCTGCTCCCTATCCCTGTGCTCCTCCTTCTCAGGGTGACTCCTACTTTCCATCCCTGTGCCACCTCCTCCTAGGGGAACCCCTCATAGACCTGCCCTAGGCTTTTCGCCCTTGTAATGATTCTCTGGTCTTCTCCCTCCCCTGGCCTCTGCCTGTCTTCTCCTTCCCTCTTCCCCAACTCCTGTGGGCAGAGGCCACGGTCCTGAGCTACGATGGCTCCATGTACATGAAGATCATGCTGCCTAACGCCATGCACACGGAGGCAGAGGATGTGTCCCTGCGTTTCATGTCCCAGCGGGCCTACGGACTCATGATGGCCACCACTTCCAGGGAGTCTGCCGACACCCTACGCCTGGAGCTGGATGGGGGGCAGATGAAGCTCACTGTCAACCTCGGTAACCACCCTGCCCTGTGCTTCCTGACCCCTCACCTGGCCTTGTCTCTGACCCACACCTGCCTCTGTCTGGAGAAGCTGGTGGTGGCACCAGCAAGAGGTGCCCTCAGCAGAGTTTGGAGGTGGGGAGGCGCCAGCCTGGGTCAGAGACCCTGAGAGCTCTGTCCCTGGTGAGGACGCACAGTGTAGGGCGACATTCCATGCTCGACGACACTGTGAGGGGCAAGACCCAGAGTATCTGGGGTATGCTAACTGTCCTCCCTGGTGACTCATGTGGATCTTGGTAGCATCTGTCCTGCACACACACAGATGACACAGCTCATTTTTGGTCAATGGCTCATCCACTTGCTCATTCATTGGTTCATTCATTTGAGAAGCACTTGCTGACGCCTAGTGGGTGCTAAGCCTGAGCTCAGTGTGGTGGCAGATACAGAGATGAGGAAGGCCTGGTCCATGCACGCAGCTGCCCCCCACTGCTCTGCTCAGTCTAAACAGCAGTCTGTGTGTTGGTGTGTGGAGGTGCATGTGTGTACACTGGACACACAGACGTGCCATCTTCCCGTTTCTAGTGCCATGAGCTTTCACATTTGAGCCTCATGGCTGTCCTGTGAAGACACTAGATCACCAAACAAGCATTACTGTCCCTGTTTTATAGATTATGAAATTCATGTATTGACTTGTTCAACATTACAAAACTAGTGAAGGCAGAGGGAGGAGCCAGGACTCAACCTGGGCCATTTGCCTTAAAATTCAGTGCTTTTCCCATTGCCTCGGACAGGGCTGCTGACCCTCCCCCTCAGGCCACTCATGCTGACTCATGTCTCCACCCATGCCCAGGGTTGAGAGCAGGCCTTGACTCCACTTCACCTGGTGGTCCCCGGGGTGTCCATGAGGGCCAGACCATGAGCCTGTTAGGTTCTTCTCACGGGCTTCAGCTCTCCTAGTCAGGGCAAAAAGAAAACAGCAGGTTCACTCATTCAGCTATTTATGGGACACCATATAAATGCTAGGTATGTTCAAGCCAGGGGCTACAGCAGTGAATAAGCAGTCCCCACCCCTTTGGAGCTTTCAGAGCAGGGGAACCCTGGGAATGAGAGGTCCTAAGCTGTTCAGGCTGAGGTCAAATCTGTCCATTTCAGACTGGCCTCTAGAAGCTTATAAAGGTGTAGCACCAGCCGTATAGGAAGCTTGCAGGTCATCAGGGTCACTTGTTGTATCCTGGACCTAGAGGGGAAGCAGGGCTCTTCTGAGCAGGTTAGAATCCTCGACTGGAGAGAATACAGAGCTTTGACCATTTTTTTTGTTTTTTGAGATGGAGTCTCGCTCTTTCACCCAGGTGGGAGTGCAGTGGCGTGATCTGGGCTCACTGCAACCTCTGCCTCCCGGGTTCATGTGATTCTCTGCCTCAGCCTCCCGAGTAGCTGGGATTACAGGCACCCGCCACCACGCCTGGCTAATTTTTGTATTTTTAGTAGAGATGGGGTTTCACCATCTTGGCCACGCTGGTCTTGATCTCCTGGCCTCGTGATCCACCCGCCTCGGCCTCCCAAAGTGCTGGGATTACAGGCATGAGCCACTGTGCCTGGCTGAACTTTGAACTTTTAAATACTCATCTGGAGTCTCATCCTAACATTGGTCTCCGGGGCATTTGTGGGACAGACTGTGGCCTTTGGGGAACCCATTGCCTTGTAAATGTATTTATACTATGTTCTTTCCTTTTCCCCTTTTGGCCACCTGGCCTTTGTATTCCTAGGACAAAGATTTGCTGAGAGAGGTGGGGACTGGAGGTGGGGAGATATGCAGGTGGCCAGGGCCTCAGAGTTGTTTGAAGGGTTCCCCTCAGCTCTGTTTCTAACCACGATCACAGCCTGTAGAGCGGGTGGTGTGCAGCAGCTCTGCAGGGGAAAGCAGGCTGGGAGACACTCTAGTCAATGCTCCACAAGTCTGCACAATGCTCCCTTGCATCCCTGAAACTGTCACAAGAGGATAGCCCCAGCCAAGGACCCCATAAGTGGCTCTGTACTTCCAAGTCTGCCCAGATTTGTGTATCCAGTGTGAGTTCCCCCCTACTTTGCCTGGGCATATGTGTGTTGTCTGCATCTAAACACATGTCTCTGTGCTTGCTGGGGACACAGCAGGAAAAATCTGGGGCCTTGGATCTGCAGGGAAGGCAGATGCATTTTGCTTATTTGGACTGTCCTAGGCCCCTGGGAAGAAGATTGTGTCTCTTAAGATTAGACAGGAAACAATGTCCTTGGTCAGGAAAACCTATCCTGTGGGCCCTTGGGACCCACCCTCTCCTCTCCATGGGCACACTTTTCTGTCTGTGCCACATAAGTGCTCAGAAGTCAGATAACAAGGTGGCCTCTTGGAAGACACATCATGTTAAGAATAGGCTTCCCAGACTGACAGATAACAGGACTCTCCTCCCACCCATTTCTTACTCCTGGCTGTGCCCCTGCCCCCATCTGTAGACATGTGTGTGCTGAGATGCCATCTCTAGCATGACTCCTGACAATCTGTGACCAAAGGCTTGGTGCAAATGCATCCGTCTACAGATTCCTCCTCTGTAGGCACTGTGGACACGCAGGTGGCCCCTACCCAGCCACCAAGCCTTGGGTTGGGATGGGAAGAGTTCTGGGCTCCGGGCCAGAAGACCTGGGGCCTAACTTTGGTATCTTTTACTGTTGGGTAAGTCATTTCCCATCTCTGAGTCTCTCTCTCTTTTTTTTAATCTTTAAAATGGAGATAAGAATCTTCACTCTGCCTACGTCTGTGGTGGTTTTGAGGCTCAGATGGAAGAATGGGAATGAAACCATTGAAACCATTGTGTAGATGCAAGACCCATAGTAGAGACCCACCCAGCCTTCTTGAAGGAAAACAAAACCATATTGGAATAGAGACTTGAGTTTGGAGCCAGGCCTGGGGGCCACTTCCACATAGCATGGACAGACTGGAGTTGTCCTCTACTAGGTGTGCCCATGGGGTCCCAGCTGTCAGTGCAGCTGATGGGAAAAGTGCAGTGTAAAGAATCTCTGAACCACAAGGCGTCACCTCCTTCAGCCTCCTGGCCCACGTGAATCACTTCAAGAGCCCCATTCCTGTCCCCCATTGCTTGCTCCCCAGGACTTGCAGGGCCTCACAGACCGGCAGCAACACCAAGGCCCCAGGCCTGGGCTGGACTCACTACTGGGGAAGAGAGAGAAGCCTGGTGAGGCTTGGTCTCTGGCCTCATGATCTTATCCTGTAGAGGGAAGCTATTGCTCCAGGAGGCAGCTCTGCAGCTCCACAGGCACTCAGTGGATTGAAACAGGCCCCAGGCTGGGCCTGAAGAGGGAGCGGAGGCTGCGGGTGACCACTAGGTGGGATCGCTTAGTGCTAGCCTCAAGAGATGGGATATTTGCTAGATAAGAGAGGGACAAAAAGGCACTGCTGCCTCTTTCCAGGCAGAGGATCCTAAGGAACTTATCGTGCCTCCTGCTGCAGCTTCCCAGCCCCCACTATGTTTGCAAACACTGAGCAAGTTCCTTGAGCTCTGCTGTCTGCAGCCCCTGAGTTGGGGAGTTGATCTCTGTCCCTAGAGGATGGTAGAGTCCCCTGGATTCTTTGCCCTATCCCAGCATGGCCTGGGCCCCTCCCTGGAGGGGAGGAGAGGACAGGCCAGGCTGGGCACTGTCCTCTACTAGGTGTGCCCCTGGGGTCCCAGCTGTCAGTGCAGCTGACCTGAAGGGTGTGGTGTAATTAAAGAATCTCTGAGCTGCAAGGGGGTTACCTCCTTCAGCATCCCTCCCCACCCCATGAATCACCCATACACTCCCTACCAGTGGGAGGCCTTCTACCTCCCACCTCCAAGATCCATTCTGATCATTGAGTGGTTCTTTCTTAGTGTCACCCTGCCCTTCTGAAATTCCCACTTATTGTGAAATTCCCACTTATTGTGAAATTCCCGTTAGTTCTGCCCCTTGGAATCAAACGGAGAAATCTAACTCCCGTTTGTGTTTTAAATCAGGCTAAATACACATTGTATCCCAAAGCCCTTTAATCCCTGGGGCCATGGGAGGGTACATTGCCTTTCCACCTGAGGCTGATCAGTAATTATCAGGGGGGCTGCTGGGAGCCAGCTCTGAAGGAGGGCTATGACAGAGTGCATGCTGCCACTCTGTGATGTCACTTCTGAGACAGATGCCTGGGAGCCTTGGGCCCACTGTCTCCAACCCACAGGGCCTGGGCGGGGAAGGAACCCAGGTGAGGCAGGGCTGGGAAGCCAGTGTTCTTTCCCCTGAGTTCCTTTCCATGCAGACTGCTTTGTCTTACCTCCCCAACACGTGTTCATACTACGACCCTGCTCTCTCTGTCCAGCCAGGGCCTTCGTGGGTCTGTGCCACGAAGACCACTCACTTCTGCCTATTCCCTGCACTTGAGGCACAGGTCACTAGTTAACAGGTTACTAGTTAGTGCCCCCTGAACTTTGGTGAATGTGTATGTTGAAGAGGCTGGGTTTCTCCTGCTCACTCTCAGTCTCTGGCTTTCTTCTGGATGGGGCTGGCTTCCCTCTGGGTGCCCATCTTCAAGTCGTTTGCTCTTGCAAACCCTACTGGAGCCTGTGTTTCTGAGGGTGGAGTCTCTGCAGGGGTGGGCCTGGAGCTGACACCTCTTCTCTGGACAGATGGACCCCCCATTCCTGGTGCTCCCTTGCTGGGGAAGGAGAAGAATCAAGCTCCTTCTTTGGGTCTTTTCCCCAGTAGGGGACCTGCTTGCCCATCCAGCCTCCCCTTTTTTCTTTTTTTGGACCCTTCATTGGTGAAGACTCTGCTGGCCCCGAGAGAGCCCCCGTGACCTGACTCCAGGGCCTGGCACCCTTCTACCCTCACCCTAACAGTCCTCCCCTTCCTCTTCTGTCCAGCCTCCCCTGTCCCCTCTGTGCAGCCGCTCCTTCCTCTGCTCCGTTTTCTTCCTCTTTTCTCTCTGCACTCTCTCTACCTCATTCCTCTCACTGAGACTTCTCACTTCCCTCTGTGTCTGCCTTTTGACCTTTTTCTGCTCCTCTGCTCCTCCCTTGGTGCCAGGCTGTGGCCCAGGGTCCTGGCTGCTCGCCTCCACTCTTCTGCTGCGGTTGACAACGCGTGTGGAGCTCAGCTGTACTGCCGAAGGGCCGTGGCCCTCAAAGCCACAGGGGCATCAGTTTACCTCCACTGCAGGAACCTTCAGGGGCCCAGGGGATGCAGCTGCCCACCCCCTTTGCTTCCTGGGCTGTGGGGTAGGCAGAGCCTATTTGGGGTGGAGCGACAGGAGGCCAGGGTATTGGGCCTGTCAATCGAGGGCCGGGAGACTGCCCCTCTCTGAAAGGCAAAGCCAACCCAGTGTCTACCTGCTGCCTACTTCCTGCTCAGGATCCTACTGTTATCCATTCCCTCAGCTCACATGGAGGGAAGCTGAGGCATGGAGAGAAGTGCTTTGCCCAGGGTCACACAGTGAGTTAGTGAGTGTTAGGGTGGAGATGAGGACCCAGCTCCCTTGCTTCCCAGTAAAGGATTTCTGCAGCTCCAGCCAGTCCCCTCCCTTGGGCTGCGTCAGGCTTGGCGTTTGATGGAGTGGTGCAGACATCCTAAAGGCCTTAAATCTGGACTTCATAGGACCCTGGTCCACTGTTCCCTCTGCAAGACCTGACTGGCTCCCACCTTTGGGTGGTGTGTCTAACCAGAGGGATGGCCAGAGGCTTCAGGGCCCTGGGCTGCTGGCTCTGTGTAGCCACACGGGGCCTTCCCAGTCCTGAAATCAGAGGATAGCAATGCCAGGACCGGACTGGGGCAGGGGCAGGAAACTTTGCTTATGGTGGCTGCTTGTCCCCAACTGCTTTGTGTTCTCAGAGAAATCATATTTTGGGGGCTGCACTGTCTCTATCTGTGAGGCCTTGGCTCCTCTGACTAGGAAAGCAGGTTAATACTAGGTCCTCTTCAGGGTGAAGGACTCCCATGATCTATCCCCAGTAGCAGCCTGGCATTTCCCAGGATTGGAAAGGGTGGAAGGAAGGTTCCTGTAGGGGTGGTACTAGCCACTGGGGCTTTGGGAGGTGTATGGCCTCGGGAAGGGGGCCCTGGGGCAGACCCCTCCATTTAGCTCAGAGCCCAGAGGGGAACAGGGAGTGACAAGTCACACCTGGGCTCTGAGGAGGGAGTCGTCCCAGAGCAGGGGATGCAGGGATTCTGGCTCTCCCCACCCATCTCCCTCCCAGAGACAGGGGAGATGTGGGGTTGGTCAAGCCCTCGGCCCCCATTGATCCCCTGTACGACTGGGATTCCCAAGGTGCCCGTCTCCCTCAGACACTAGAGGCCTGGTACCCTCTAAGAAGGGGGCCACAAGCCCTCTTCCCATCATCTGACTGCCCTGCCTTCCAGCTCTGGGGAGGGTTGGAGCCCTCTTGGGGGCAGGAGGGACAGGGGTCCAACTGAGGAAGGGAAGAGGGCACCTGGGCACGCGTGGTCCCCGGAAAGTGGCCCTGGGGGGAACCCCGCCCGCAGACACCCCTCCCTGTGAAGGATGTAAAAAAAAAAAAAACTTGTTTTACCTTTTTGTCTCCCCTTCCCCTCTGCCCGCCCCATGGCCCCCCCAGACTGCCTGCGCGTCGGCTGCGCACCCAGTAAGTGGCTTCCCTCTTCTTCTGCAGAGACCCAAGGGGACTGGGATGCTGGACGCTGGGATTTAGGGAGGGAGGCTGGGAGGAAGAGAAGCCGTGATTGCTGGCTCGAATGGGGGTTGGGCCTTGAGTGTGGGGAGGGGTGCAGGCAGGAGGGTGAGGTTGGGTGGTTGTGGAAGGCAGGAGGGACCAAATGAAGCAGAGCCAAGGAGAGCTGGGGGAGGGCCTGCAGTCAGGATGTTCACTGGGTCTAGGAAGGGAGAGACAAGGACACCCTTTACCCAAGTCAGCAGGAGGGTGGGGAGGAGGTAGAAATCAAGGGCTGGGGCAGAGTCTTGGGTAGCACCTGTGGTCCTATGGACTGGCAGGGAGGAGCCTGAGAGGGGCTGGAATACGCTGCTGCATCTCCAGAATTGGCCACAAGGGGGAAGGCGAGGGATGCAGGAAAGAGGATGAGGGTGGGAAGGGAGCCCTCTTCAGCTCCTGTGTTAGCTGGGGTGAGTTTCTGCCAAATGGGGGCTCCTTCTATGGTGACAGTGAGGGCTCTCAGCAGGGGTGAGATGGAGAGTGAGCAGGTGGACATCTCCAGACATCCCAGTGCGCCTGGGCTCAATGCTGTGTCTCAGGGTGTTTCTGCATGGTGTGGCTTGGGGTCACATGGGGGAGCACATGCACGTGGTAGGCCCAGGCAGAGAGACTGTGTGTGCTGGGCGCCCTGCTCTTCATGTGTGTGTGGCATGCTGTGTGCGTGCTGGAGCCCTCGGGGTGGGGGGGCAGGGATGACCAGAGAGTGCTGCAAAGTCCAGCAGCATTTGAAAGATAAGTATGTTTTGTTTTAGACTCTGGAAGCTGATAATCCTGGTCTTGAGTAAATGGCCATAGTTCCTAAGAAACAGAACCTTCCCCTCTCTGGCCATCCTGCATATTTATGGGCAGTACGTGTGGTGGCGTGACTTGGTGTGTGACGTTAACCAGGCATGTGTATGTAGAAAGGTCCCATCGGGTCCCATTGTAGATGGAGGAGCTGGTGTCTGTGTAACAGAGGCCGAAGCTGTGGGCTCGCATTTACATTTGGGTACTGTGTGAAGTTTTGAAAGTTTTAGGTCTGTGTTTACACCCTGGGAATATAGCTTCTGGCCACACTCACTGAAGGCCCTTAGGAATCTGGGGGAAGAGTATGTTGGTCATAGGTGTGGGTGTCTGTGTGCAGGGCCTCAGGGTACAACTCCAGAGGCACCATTCACTTAATATTCTATGTGCATGGCACCTCCTAAAGTCACACAAAGGGCAGTCCTGAGAGTGGATGTATGACTGGGGTATAAAAGCTCTGCGTGTGCATGGACTCCAGGTGTGATGGGAGGCTATAAGTGTGTGTACTTGTATTCATGGGTGTGTTGCGTGGCCAAATATGAGCCACTGGTCATGTATGTGTTCATGTGTGGCATGTGCGGGGATGGGGAGGCTGTCTGTGTATCCAAGGTGATATAGGAAGTCACCTATGAGCATGTATAGGTGCCCTCCTCATTCCCCCCTTGGTGCCGCAGGTAAAGGCCCCGAAACGCTGTTTGCGGGGCACAAGCTCAATGACAATGAGTGGCACACGGTGAGGGTGGTCCGGCGTGGCAAGAGCCTGCAGCTGTCTGTGGACAACGTGACTGTGGAGGGTAGGTGGTCTGGGCCCAGGGAGGTGGACACATCTCCAGTGACCTATGCTTGGCCCTGTTCTACTTGGTGACTACTGCCTGGGCTGCCATTCCTAGGGCAGTGTTCTGGCAAGCTGCCTCTGCCATTTCTCCTTCAGGGGTGGAATGTTATGGGCATCTGGACCCCAGGAACGATTTCAACTCCCTGTAGGCAGCATTCCCCTGGCAGCCTGTTGGCTCTTGACTGGCGAGTCCTGCCACTCCTCTTGGAGCTGTGCTGGCTGCTAGTGCCTAGCCGAGGACATCTCTAAAGATGTCACTCATGGGTGGCCCTCCTGTGGAGGGGAGGCTCCTGGGAACCCAAGCCCCAGCCCTGCCCCAAAGCCATCCCCCTCATCTTGGTCTCCTGTCCTGAGCAGGACAGATGGCAGGAGCCCATATGCGGCTGGAGTTCCACAACATTGAGACGGGCATCATGACGGAGCGGCGGTTTATCTCCGTGGTGCCCTCCAACTTCATCGGGCATCTGAGTGGGCTCGTGTTCAATGGCCAGCCCTACATGGACCAGTGCAAGGATGGTGACATCACCTACTGTGAGCTCAATGCTCGCTTTGGCCTGCGTGCCATCGTGGCCGATCCCGTCACCTTCAAGAGTCGCAGCAGCTACCTGGCACTCGCCACGCTCCAAGCCTATGCTTCCATGCACCTCTTCTTCCAGTTCAAGACCACGGCCCCTGATGGGCTTCTTCTGTTCAACTCGGGCAACGGCAATGACTTCATTGTCATCGAGCTGGTCAAGGGGTGAGGGGCTGGGGATTGCACTGCTGTCAAGGAGGTGGCCCCCTCCCCCTGCTGAACCACATACAGCTCTCCTGGCTACTGGCCGAGGTGTCCAATCCCCCCAGATCACAAGTCAAGATTCAGGTCCCCGACCGTAAGTCGAGAGGCTCCCTCTTCAGCCAAGATGGAGAAGCACACCCTCTTCCACTGCTGACTCCCCAGCTGCTTCCTTGCCAGAGTTCCCTGTTATATCTGTTCTCTGTCCACTGTCACCTTCTCTACAGGCAGAAGTCAGTCTTGCCCCTCCGTTGCCTTAGGGGACCCCACTCCAGAGCAGCCCAGTCCCTGCCTCCAGAGGACCCTGCTGACCCACAAACCTCTCCCCTCTAGCTCCTCTTCTGAGGTTGTGTCACAAGAGCCGGCTCCTTGGTGGCCCTCCTTCCTTACATTCTCCCCGTGACAGGACCTCACACCATAGCCCTCTTGCCATTGGTTTTGGTCGCTCTCCTCTGGGGTCTCCCTTTCAATCCCTCTTCCCATGGCACCTAGGACCCCTGCCAGCCATAGCTCCTCCTCACCCCACCTTCCCAGCATCACCCCCGCCCTGACCCAGTGTCTCCTCCCTACTGTGGGGCAGGTACATCCACTACGTGTTTGACCTGGGGAATGGCCCGTCCTTGATGAAGGGGAACTCAGACAAACCAGTCAATGACAACCAGTGGCACAACGTGGTGGTGTCCAGGGACCCAGGCAACGTGCACACGCTCAAGATTGACTCCCGCACTGTCACGCAGCACTCCAATGGCGCCCGAAACCTCGATCTCAAAGGTGGGGCTGGGGCCTCTGGAGAAGGCCTGGCCCTAGCCCAGATACCCCTCACCCCAGCGAGATCACCCCATTCCTGCGACGCTGCTTCCCTCGGTTCCCTGCCCCCAGTTTCCACCTCTCTTTCCCTGTCTCCACTATGTCCAGCCTGACATCTTCCTGTCCAAGTTCTGCTTGGCTCTCTTGTGAGTCTGCATG
Organism: Homo sapiens; assembly: GCF_000001405.40. Taxonomy (NCBI): domain Eukaryota; kingdom Metazoa; phylum Chordata; class Mammalia; order Primates; family Hominidae; genus Homo; species Homo sapiens. Next base: position 64,650,252 of record NC_000011.10, on the reverse strand, counting down.
TCACCACTGAAAGCCTGGTTGCAGGATGCGTCTCACAGGGTGCTTGGTGGCCTCATTCCAGAGCTAGGAGTAGGTAACCCAGGCCCTCCAAGGACCTCCTGGGCCTCCAAGGTTGAGAAGCCTATGTTGGTTGAGGGCTGGAGTGAGAATAGGGAGCTTAGCATCCTCCTGGGTGAGGTAGACGCTATGGGGCAGAGGACGTAGCAGGAGCTAGAGTCCCCGAGTCACCTGTCTTGGGCATCGGCTGGGCTAGCTTGGGGACATTTTGGACCTAGGCTTCCCTGGTGTGCTCAGGGTCACATCAGGGTGCCACATTCCCCAGGGCCTCTTCAGTGGTCATTGAAGCAGTCATTGCCTGCCCCCAGAATGGGTGACTGAGAGATCAGGGAGGAGGAGGGTGAGCTAAGGCCTGAGCATTGGGACAGGAAAGATGCAGCTTCTCCAGAGCCTACTGAGGGCAATGTGATCTACTTTCTTGCACATGCCCAAAGCAGCCCTCAGCCCCATAGGAACCCCTGGGCATCAGCCTGCCTCATACTGTCAGAGCTTGGGGAGGGTCCTCAGAGACCATGGAATTAACTGCCCCACTCCCTCAGATCTGAGATCTGTCAGATCTCTTGACATAGTGCTGTGAATTCCCCTTGTTCTCAGAAGGGGGCGATGTGTCACAGAGAATCCAAAGTGGCCCCAAACCCCGGGGGTTATCTTGGCGGGTCTTGTGTTGTACTGAGCCCGTGGCCAGGGCAGCAGACTGACCAGTGTCTTGACTGAAGCTCGGCTGTGGGCTGGCTAGGGCTTCCAGGGATTCCAGGGAGTTAGGCTCTGTGGCAGGGGATCAGGTGTTGCGGAGGAGAACTTCCCAGAGTCCCAAGGCCAAGCCCTAGTTGTTGGGGGAAGGGAGCTGGGCTTTGAACTCCCTAGGAGAGAGCCCAAGAGTTGGGAAAGGCTTGAAGGAGTTCTGGGAATGGGAAACTTTGGGAGGGAGGGAATGGGGGTGGACGGGATTGGGCTGCGCATCTATGAAAGGCCCTGATTACGGGCCGGAACTGGAATCAAATGTGTGGGAGAGAGCACAGAGCAGGTTCCTCCAGCTGTCCCCCAGCCCCCACTCTCCCAGGCATCTGGGCTTCTCTGGGAGGGGAGCAGGCAGATGGCAAAGTGGAGAAGGAAGAAGTGTGTTGGGGGGGTGCGGGTTGTGCAGGTCTCTGGATCTCTGTTAGGGACCTGGAATCTGGGATGGAACGCAGAGAACCTGAGAAGGCTGGGAGGACCTGACAGCCAGATGCCATTGTCTTGGGATGGGAATGGGGACCTGGATGCCTTGGTTGACCCACTCCCTTTGCAGGGGAGTTGTACATTGGCGGTCTGAGCAAGAATATGTTCAGCAACCTGCCCAAGCTGGTGGCCTCCCGGGATGGCTTTCAGGGCTGCCTGGCCTCAGTGGACCTCAACGGACGTCTCCCAGACCTCATCGCCGACGCCCTGCACCGCATTGGGCAGGTGGAGAGGGGCTGTGATGGTGAGTGGAGGGTGGAGGAGTGAGGTGTGGCCCTACTGGCTACAGGATGGCCAGCTGCAGAGGCAGACCGGGGCAGGTAGCCTTTGCTCTGCCAAGGGGCCTTCCTTCTCAGGCCTTATGGGAGCTTGCCCCCACAGTTCTGGGGCAGGGATACAGGTGTGTGAAGGGTCACTTGCCCTCCCTGTTGTCTCACACCCTGGCCCCTTGTCACAGTCCAAGGCCAAGCCTAGCAGACCTGACCCTCCTGCCCCAATCCCTGTCATCAGTACTTGGCCCTTTCAGCCAGGCAGAGCTCAGAGTAGGACCTCTCTGCCTGGCTCTGAAGCTTCCACACCTCCTGGGGAAAGAGGGGGCTTGGCTGAGCCAGGGGTGTTCCTTTCTCCTGCCCCTTCCAGGCCCCAGCACCACCTGCACTGAAGAGTCCTGTGCCAACCAGGGCGTCTGCTTGCAGCAGTGGGATGGCTTCACCTGCGACTGCACCATGACTTCCTATGGAGGCCCTGTCTGCAATGATCGTGAGTGCCTGGGAGGGCTGGGGGCAGTTTGGGGAGACCAGGGTCCATTCCCAGCCATAGGGGCTGCCAGGGAGGAAACAGGGCCTCTGAGCATTCAGGAGCTGTGCTGCTTCTTCCTTCTCATCCCTTGTCTGCAGAGTCCCAGGGGAGCTGTGGCCTGCTGTCCCCTCATAGGGTCTTTCTCCTGGGGCTGTGCAGGATTGCTGCTGCCTGAAGCTCTGGGGGGACCCACTGATAGATGGCCTCTCCTCCTTGTTCTCAGCTGGTGGGACCCTGCTCCCTTCACCCAAAACCAAAGGTGTTGGCCTTAGTGGGGTGAACTTGCTGCTGTCCTGTGTAGTTTTGGTGATGGCCTTACATGTACTTGTACCTCACACAGACACACTATTGCACAGGGAGGGGGGCTGTTAACAATCTGCACCCCCTTTGGTGCCCTCAGGGCATGAAGTGGGAATCTGTTATTTCCTGCTGAGAGCAGGACCACACCCCAGAGGACAGGCTCTGGAGGCTTCCAGGAGGCCAGGCTGCTGGACAGCTGGTTTCCCTGGAATGGGCTCCTCTTTCTTCCCCAATAATCCCGGCTGCAGTTTGTCCCCTTGAGCCACAAGGTCACTCCCTACTGTCTTCGCTTGGTTCTTTTCCTCCTAGGCTGGACATCTGATTGCCAACTTGCATTCTGTTTGAGGCCCCTCCCCAGAGAGGGCAGGGTCAGCAGCAGCTCCCAGTCCCTAGTGGTTGGTGGCCTGCAGCTGGTTAGAGCCCTGCAGAGGGAGGGCAGCTGAGGCAGGAATGGCGGGGAGGCAACCTTCTACTCTGTGGGGTAGCTTTGGCATTTCCCTTGGATGATGGGGCTGGAGTGGGTGGGCAGAGTGCAGCCTCCTCAGCATTGCTTGAATCATCTTCCCTGGGGTCCTGCTGAGAGACCAAGCAGAAAAGTCAACTGCCTGGGAAGAAACACACACAGGCACGCACACACACATGCACACACACACACACACACACACACACACAACGAAGCGTCTCCATTTTACAGACATGGAATACGGCTGGAGAGGGACAGTCGATTTCTGGAGGTAGTTCATAGCAGATTTGGGGTGAGACTCCAGTCAGTGCCTTTGCCTCCATACCACACTGCGGGACCTTCATCACCTGGGCATGAGTCCTGAGTTTCTTACAGGAGAAACCTACTGGGTCCAGGAGCTCTTGGGTGGTGTTAGTTTTTCTTTCCCCTTTGAAAAAAATGTCTACCCCATCTCCCTCAGTGCTTTCCTCGTGTTCTTAGGCATGTCCAGCCCTTGGGTACCACCACATCTCCACTCTGTCTCCCAAGATTTTCCTTACTTGACCTGCTGCTGTCTGTGCCTTCCAAAGCCTCCAGACAATGGCCAGCTGAGGGTGTTCCAGCCTGACTGCCAAGGCATGGAGACCTGGCTGTGGCTGGACCTCTTCCCCTCCAGCTAACTCAGTTTTGCACAGATCTGGAGATGATGGTAACTTCGTTGCTTAATAGTAACACTCCCCACTAATAGTTTCATGTTTTGCTGCTACAAGGCCCTTTTAATTTGATCCTCAGAGAAGGCAGTGGCCTTTGTGTTTAACTGATACGGAAACCCAGGCCTCAGTAAGAGGCAGTTACTCACCCCAAGTCATAGAGTGTCGATGGTAGAGCTTGGCTGGAACTTAGGTGCACCTGACTGTTTGTCACTCCCTGCTGCTCATTTAGTCCTCGGGGGAGGGGTGGTGGTGGTACCCATGGTGGGCACTTCTTGCCTGGGGTGGAAGAAATCAGGATCACGAAGCGCTGCTGCCCGTCGCCACTGCTTCACTCCCACACAGTGGAGCCTTCTGGAAAGGGGGCATGAGATGGATGGGAAGTGAGGGTTGTGCTACCTTTCAGCAGGGATAGGAAGAGCAACTTCTTTGGGTACCAGGCTGGTGGGAGGGAGGGAGAGTTGGGGCTGGGGAGCAGGGTGCATCTTGGGAGGCGTCACCATCCCCAAGCACTGGTCTCTGCAAAGCTGTGGAGCTAAGACAAGGTGGGTGCAACCTGGGGGCCACACAGGGCTCAGTGTGCTGCTGCTCTGAGCTCTGGCTCTGGGGTAATGCTGAGATCTCCGCCCCTGGAGGGCAGGGCAGGAATCTTGGGAGTGGGACCCAATCCTCTCTTCTCCCAGGGCTACTCCTCCTTCCTAGCTTGTCTCTGGTTTTTCATGCTCTGTTTCTATGGCACGTCTTCTTGGGGCCCTGTGATGTACAAGGTCAGGCAGGAACCCAGCAGAGAGACCCGTTCAGTTAGCTCTGCCTTCACCCGTGGGAGGCCCTGGGGGCGCAGGCAGGCCCTGGTTTCAAGAGAGGAAAGAGGGTAGAAATGGCAAAGGTGGAAGGAGCAGGGCCTGTCCTCTGAAGGGTGGGGCTGGGGGTTGGAGCTGTCTGGTGGGGGAGAGACTAGGGTGAGGAGAGGTCACACCTTCAGAACAACTTTTCCCCACTTACCACCTCAATTTCTCCATCTGTGACATGGGGACTACTCCTGGGGGTGGAGGGGACTTTGTGTTCCTTTAAGGCTTATGAGTGTCTGCTCTGGGAAGACAGGAGAGAAAAGATGAGATGGAGGAAAGTGGACAGCAAATGAAAAAGAGAATATGAAATGAGAAAGGGTAGCTAAAAGAGACACTTCCCAGGGCTGAGATTTGGGACCGAGGTGTTCCCATCAGGCCTGCTTACTCCTCTGTCTTTCAGAGCCTGTCTCCTGCCTCTCCCAGGCGGTCAATTCCTTACCATCTCTGCCTCCCTGTCTCCGTTCATCTCTGCAGTCTCTATTGATCTCTTACATACCTCTGTCTTTCCCTTCTTTTTTACCCTCTATATCTCCCCCTCCCTTCTCAGCCTTGGCCCCCCCATCTCTCTCCAGTTCCCACTCACTGGTATTGATTGGCCTCTAGGCGGTTTCCCTTCCTTTCCTCTCGCCACCGGCTCCTCCCTCCCTCCCTGTGGAACCATAAATTTTCTGCCTGCTCAGAGCTGTGTCAGTCTATATTCCAGATCCAGGGGCCCAAGAACGTGATAGAGAGGGCAGGAGGACGTGGCCTCTGGGGGCCCCAGCCCTGCTCCTGGCATGCAGTCTCTCCTCCAGCACTGCATGGCTCGGGGCCCTGCACCACCGGAAGCCTCCTCTGGGTGCCTCTGAGGACCGCTTTCTTCACTTCTAAAGACCTGGGGGCCAAATCCAGCTCTGGCATGTAGTAGGGATGGAGGACTGGCAGCAGCATTGGGGAGATGTCCTGGGTCCTGACTGCATCCTGGAGCTGGGGGTGGCACATGGGGCTCGTGGTGACAGTTTTTGCTCCCAAATGGAGTTTAGAATCAATAAATAGGAGCCAGCTCTCTCCAGCCCCTCCCAGCCTCCTCTCTCCCAGCCCTCCCCTTTCTCACTTCACCCGCCCCTGCCTCCTGTCCTTTCCTTACCCAGCCCTCCTCCTCACTCCGCTGCACTGTTTCTTCAGCTCCCCCAGGTGCCCTCTCCACCTCTCTCCTCCTTTCCCTCCTCCTCTACCCTCTGCCTTCCCACCCTCTCCCCTGTCCGAGCAGGTTGGTGCATACGACCCGGTGACGGGAAAGGAGTCTCTCTGTGCTTACCTCTGGGGCCACAGGTGCTTTCCAGAGCGTCCAAAAGTTTGGGGGACAGAACCCAATTGGAGGGCATCCTGAAGGAGAAGTGGTTTCCTCAGCTTGACATACGTGGCCCAGGAAGGGTTTTGTCCTAAATGGGACACTCAGTGGGCAGGTGTCCTCTAGACCCCCCATGGAGGGAGAGGTTGGGGCTGGGGGAGGGGCAGTGGTAGTGGAGAGGAAGGATTGGAGGAGTCCAGGAGAGGCTTGTGCAGGGGGCTGGGGGAGCAGCTTTTTGGGGAGGTGGTGGGGAGTTGTACGTGTGTGGCATGTCTTATTCCTGAGTACCTCGAAGGCTCTGGGTGCACTGTATGCTGTGGACCCTATTTTGGAGGGTGAGCTTGGGGAGCAGGGGTGTCTGTGTGTATGTTGGCCATTCATGTCCTGTGATCAAACGTGTGTGTGCACGGATGTATGCCCTGTGAGCATGTGTATATGCTCCCCTGAGAGTAAGTTGGTGTGCCAGTGTCTGTGAGCACATGCATGCATGTATGTGTCTGAGCCTGTGTGCCTACCCGCACACTGTGCCCATATGGGCACGTGGATGTTTCCATACCCAAGCCGATACACATCTCAGTGTGCACGTGCGTTGCGAGGGGTGGTGCAGAGGTGGCCGCCGCGGCATCTCAGCAGGCTGTGCCAGAGAGCATTATTGGGGTTCATCCGGGTGGGGTGGGCGGGGAGGAAGAAAGTGGCCTCTCTTGCTAGCCTCAATCCCGTTCCATTATTCAGCAGGGTCCCTTCTCCAGGAGGGGGGTGCAGGAGGAGCGCGCGCGTCCAGGCGCGGGGGAGGGGCGGGCGCGCGCAGAGGAGAGGAGAGCGCCGAGCGGGCTAGCCAGGTGCCGCGCGGCTGAGCTGCCCAGCGCCGCCCGCAGATCGGGAGCCGCTCTGGTCCCTCCGCCCTGCCCCCTCCTCCTCCCGCGCTTCCCCTCCCCTCTCCGCTCTCCTCCTTCCCTCCCTCCCTCCCTCTCTCCCTCTCTCCCTCTCTCCCTCCCTCCCTCTCCCTTCCAGCCCTCTCAGCCTCTGCAGCAACACTTCGCTGCCTCCATCTCTCCGCCGGAATCTCGCAGGCTCGCGCCTTTCCTCGGCTCAGCCCCGCTCCCCTCCTCTCCTATCCCCTCCTCTCCTATCCCTTCATTCCCCCCTCACCCGGATTTGCTTCCCTTCCCCCTTCTCCCGCCCCCCCCTCCCCCGGCCGCTCCCTCCTTTCCCCCGGCCTCCGTCGGGCGGCAGCGGCAGCAGCGGCGCGGCCGGCCCCAGTCGCCGTCGGTCTCCCGCCTTCGGGGGAACCAGGTCTCCGTCCCTCTTCTCTCCTCCAGCCCGCACCGCCCCGCTCCCCAGCTCGGTTTTTCCGCAGGATTTCCCTCGCTCTCCCCTCCCTGCTTGGCCCCCGCGCTCCCCTCCCTCTCCACTCGGCACCATGCCCCCTCCCCCGGGCGCTCCCCCGGGTTTCTGACGGCCCTCTGCGCCGCTCCGACCCCGCCGGGATGCAGAGAGACCCCTAGCTCCTCGCGATGGACCCAGGCATCCTGGACCTTGGCGTTGCCGCTCCGCGGACCCCCGATTTCCCGGCGGGATCCAGTTGATTTTGTTGGCTCCGGACCGAGGCTTGGGCCCTGGTTTACCTCCGCTTCATCCCTACCCCGCTCCCGGAGCTCGGAGCCGGAGGGGGGCTTCGCGGGGCTGCGCAGCCCCGCGTCCCCGCCCCCGGCCATGGGGCTGTGAGGCGGTCGCCCCCGGGCCGAAATGCCCCCCGGGGGGAGCGGGCCGGGGGGGTGCCCGCGCCGCCCCCCGGCCCTGGCTGGGCCCCTGCCGCCGCCTCCACCGCCGCCGCCGCCACCTCTGCTGCCGCTGTTGCCGCTGTTGCTGCTGTTGCTGCTGGGGGCGGCCGAGGGGGCCCGGGTCTCCTCCAGCCTCAGCACCACCCACCACGTCCACCACTTCCACAGCAAGCACGGCACCGTGCCCATCGCCATCAACCGCATGCCCTTCCTCACCCGCGGCGGCCACGGTAAGTGGCACTGTAGATGCCGGCCACCCGGTTGGCCCGGGGGCGGGGGGCGCTTCCCGTGTGCGCAGCTGGGCCCCCGCGGGCCCCACCCCAGCTGTGCACGCCGAGCCTGGCCCCTCTGCTTTGCGTCCCGGAGCCCCTTCACCTCCAATCTCCAGCTCCCATCATCTCAGCCCCACCCTTGCCTCCATCTCTCCTCTCCCCCATCACCCTCATCTCTGTCTTCAGCACTTTGCTTCCTGGCCTCACCTAAACCTGCTTACCCCTAGGTCTGGTTCATTATCTCCTTCTACTTCCTTACCCTCCCCGCCCTGTCTGTCCTTTCATCCTCTCCGTGCAGCTCTGCCTTCCATTTCTCTTGCGCATCACCTTCTCCATCTCGGCCCCTTATCATCTCTCCATCTGTCTTGCCTCCACCTCTGCCTCACCCTCACCCTTCCATCGCTGGTCTGTCATCTCTCCCCCTTCACCTCTCTCCCACCTCTGTCACATCTGTCATTTCTGCCTCTGACATGTCTCTTCCTCCTTGACCTCTTCATGTATGTCTCTGTTTTACCTCCATCCCTCTAGCAACCTTCCTTTCTTTTCCCATGACTGGCCTTCCATCACCTCCCAACTCACTCCACTGTCCCGCCATTCTCCCATCCTTGTTCCCCTAATCTCTAGTGTCTCCCTTCCATGTCCCCTCATCTCTGCTCTGTCTCTACCTCTGACCCCCAGCATCTCACCTCTGTAGGTCCAGCACTTCCCGTTTCCAGGCTTCCCCTCCTGTGTCAGTCCTCTATCGCTGTCCACTTACAATCACCTCCTATCTCTGCCCCTCATAACCATCTATGGAAAAACTTAACCTTCCTTCTCAGACCCCATCACCTTCTCATTTCCGTCCTTCCTCAGCCCCATCTCAGGCCCCCCATCACTTCATATCTTAGACCCCTAAGATTCTCTGCATGCCATCTCTTCTCACCCCTGTACCTGTCACCTTCCATCTCTGTCCTCCATACTCTGTGCCCCCATCACTCCCAAGCTCTGTCCTCCCCATTACCTTCTACATCTGGCCCTCTTCACATTTTATTTCATCTCATGTCAGCCCCATCACTTTCCACCTCAGTCCCTCCACGTTCCATCTCAGGACTTCTGTCACTTGCATCCCAGGGACCTCCTCACCTCCCATTTTAGTCTATTCATCACTTCCCATCTCTGCACCTTGTCATTACCTTTCAGAGGGTAGCCCCATTACCTCTATCTCTGTACCTCTCTCACCTCCCATTTCTGTGCCTCCATCCCATCCCATCCTGTCCCATCTCATCCCATCCCTGTGCTCTCAACACCTCACATACCTGTCCTCCTATTCATGTCCTCTCCTCTCTGTGCCCCTCTCTCTTCACCTTCCATGTCCGTCGCCTCCCATCAGGGTTCTCTGACACCTCCATGCTCCCATTCCCTCTCATCGCTGTGCCTTCATCAGTTCTCGCTTTGTACCCAGGTGGCCTCCCATGTCTGCACTTCTCTCCCTTCCTATCCTTGTACCCTCATCACTTCCTGTTTCTGTCTCTCCATCCCCTCTTATTCTTTACTCCATTTTTGCTCCTCCATCATCTTCCATTCCTGTATTTTCACCCTTCCCATCTGTGCCCCTGGGTGCCTCCCCATTCTTGCTCCATGCCAGTCCCTCTTTGCTTCCCAATCCTGCCCCTGTATCACCTCCAATCTTTCTGCTCATTTGCTGGTCTTCTTCCTTTTCTCCTACTTTATCTTTATCTCCCTTTTCATGCTTCCGTTTTCTCTTCATCCAGTTTCCCTGGAGCACTTCCTTCAAACTCTTTCCTCCATTCTTTTATTCTCTCATCCCGAATACAGTTTGCCTCATCTTATCTCTGTCCCACCTGGCTCCTCTCAGGCAACACTCTTCAGTTTCCTTCTCTTCTTCCATGACCCCACCCAACCCCTTGCTCCTGGACCTTAACTCCCTCCCCCTCCCCAGGAACTCTCTGGCTCTTTGTTACCTTCCTCCCCCTTTCATTGTCTCCTTCTGGCTCCCTTGAGGCCCAGTGTTGCCCCCAAAGGTGCCCAGATAGGCCATGGTCTTTCTGGGCAGTGAGGCAAAGCATGAAGGAGTCAGATAGATAAAGGAAGTCAGGGATACTGGGGAGCTTTGCAGGATGAAGAGAGTGTGGAAGAGGAAGGTGTAGGAGAGAGGAACTGGCTGAGGGACCCTGAGCAGGTAGGAAGGAGGGCCTGGGAGCCAGAGTGCCCAAGGAAGATTCCGTGAAGGAGCAAAAGCTGGACAGAGGGATTGAAAGTGGCCAGAAGAGTATGGAGGACAGGGTATGGAATGTTGGCCTTAGGATCACCTCAGAGATGGCCACCCCTTTGCTGTGCAGAGGAGAAAGAGGACCAGTGCCTGGTGGAAACAGGAAGAGCCATCTGGAGGGTGCTCCAGGATGGCGATAGAAGGGGGTGGGAGGTGTGGGGGAGGAGCCTGTGAAGGGTGGGGCAGCTGAGAGGAAGGACGAGGGCCCAAGGAAAGGAGGAGAAGGGATGAGGCCACCTGTCCTGGCTGAACCCCACCTTTGCTCCCGTTAACCATTAACCATGGTGGGAGAGGTGAAAAGACAGGCTCTTCTTGGGACCCTACACTTGGCTGGAGGACCAGGCCAGCTCAGGAGGCCTTTCCAGGCCAGGCTTCCTCTCTGCCCAGTGTCTCCCTAGCATCCCCAGTGGGAGGCAGCCTCTCTCCTTTCTGCACCAGCTTCTCCACTTGCCTTCTTTTGGGGTCTCACTGTGTTTCTACTTGCCTTCTCTCCTCTCTTCTCTTCACACCATCCCCCATTTACCCTGCCATCCCCCCCAACTCTTCCTGTTACATAATGTCCTTACCTGCCAGACACCCATTGCCACTCCTGTACCTGATGTCTGTCTGGGGCATGGGAGGACTGGCACACCTGGGTCCTAAAAATGAGCTGAGCCCAGGGGTGACACTCTCCTGGTCCTGGATCCCCAATTCTGGTTTCAGAGTCCTTGAGGTTCCTCCCACCCCACCGTGTTCATTTCTGGTACTGTCGGGCCAGGAATGGAGTGGTCAATCCCTGCTAATTTCTGAGTCAGTAGCTTCCATGGGTTCCAGGTTTATCACTCCAGCTTATAAAGGGGGCTAGCATTTATTTTGTTTCTGAACAGGGTGTGTTAACTTGGATTTCTGACTGGATGGTTTATGGCCAAGCAGGGGGTTAGGAATTGAAAGGCTGTGTTCTGGGATCCTAGATCAAGAGACAGCTGAGCACAGGGATCTAGACCATTAGAGATCTCTCTATCTGGGATGTAAAGGTTCATGTACAAAGCGCTGGTGTGGGCTGCGAGCACTAGGGCCATGGCTTTTCTGGGTTGTGCAGGATGTTTTATCCTCTCACAAGTCTAGATATTCCAGAAGGTTTTCTTTCATGGCTTCAGATGCTGCAGGCACACAGGCAGGCAGAGGTTCTGCACATGTAGTTTTAACCACAGGGGCATCACTGCATGGGTGGTTTTCTACATGGATGATTATGTTGTTTGGGTCTGGGTTAGCTAACCATTATTAATGGTTGGTTGGTTTTTTTCTAGAATGCAGGTGTGTGTGGGACTGCATGGAATATTCTTGAACATTTAGAGTATTTCACTGGATGAGTGAATTTCTGGGTCTAGGAGGTATTGAGGAGACTATATTGGACATGGGCAGAAGGTGCCGAACCTGGGCCTATGGCATCTTGTGTTTGGCCAGAGGCTTTCTTGCCTTAGGCTTCAGGTGTGTAGTTCTCTCTGAAATGTTATGCACAATTCAGCTCACTGGTGGTTTCCTAGAGAGGTCAAAAACAATTGGTCTACACCACCCTTGGGCAACATTTTTGGGCCTTGGCTTAGGCCCCTCTTGCCTTTCAGACCCTTTCTGGAGCCTGTCAGGTTCTAGATGTGGTGCCCTATTTTGCGCTCCGTGTCTCCTAGAAGACAGCTGTGCCTTCCCTGGGGGAGTCCGTGGGCAGGGCCGAGGACAGCTTGCCGGGGTGAGAGGCTGAAGGCGCCTCCGGAGCGCGGCTGGGGAGGGGCCTGGCGGAAGCCACGCCTCCCAGCCCCGCGGTCTCCCGAACCCCAGCCTTCTGCGCTCCGGAGGCAGCCGCGGTGCTGGGGAGAGAAATGTCTCCCCAGGGTAATTACTGCCGCCCCAGTCCAATAAACCATTCATCCTTCACCTCTTCTGCCCAAGAAGTGTCTCTCCGCCCAGTCCCCCCACAGTGTAATAAACGCCCTTAGGCTTTAACAGACCCGCCCAGCGTAATAAACTGGCAGCAGTGTGAGAACGGCTGGGTGATAAATCCCAGGGGAGGTCTGGGCTTGGGCAGCCTGTGCGCCGCGGGCCTCGGGGGCGGGGACGCGTGCGCCCTGTCCCACGCTTGGCCAGTCCCTGTCCTGGGGCCGCCTTCCCTGGTCTGTCTTTGTGCCTTCACCGCCATGTTTCCTGGCTGCTTCGCCTCCTGTCGGGGGTCTGCCTCTCTACGCTGGGTCTTTGTGTGCAGCTGGGTGCGTCGCCGCCTGTGTGTGGGTGTGGGGCCTGGGGCTTGGGCGCTGGGCACCGCCTCTGATCCCTCCTGCCTCACTGCCTGCCCAGTGGGGCATTTGGCCGGCTTTTTCCTCCCGCCCTCTCTGGGCACAGACAGGGCTCTGTCCATGGTGATGTGCTTGCTGTCTGGAATCTGGGGTGGGAAGTGAAGAGAAAGGGCCTCTTTTCTCCTAGACCTGGGGGATTTGGAGGCAGCCTGCAGGTAGACTTGGTTTCCTTCCCTGGTCTGAGGGATCAAGAAACCCAATAAAGCCTTCTCTGAATGGGAGGCCCTGGAGCCCAGGGGTGAAGAGGCTGCAGCCTCTGATCAGGAAGGTGAGGGTAGGAATGTGTGTGGAGGAAGGTCAGCATCTCTGCTCCCCTGGCCCGCCCCACCCCCCAAATTCAGATGTGCATCTTGTGTGGAGTGGGGAGGAGGACCCTGGGTATTACAGTTGTCATGGAAACAGCCGATTTTCCAGAGTGCTGCAGTGCTGGGAGTGGAGAGACCGTTACCGGCTGAGGCCTACTGGGCTCCCCACCTCCAGGCGCTGCCCTTCCAGGCAGGTGACCACATGGGGTGGGGGTGGGGGTCACTGCATACCCCACTGTCAGCCAACTCTCCGCCCTCGACTTGGGGCCCCATCCTGAGGGTTCAGTGCTCACCACTGTGCTCCAGGGCCCTCAGGTAGAAAGGACACCTGGGTCTGGGGAGGGCAGAGCCAAGCCCCCTCTGTCTGCTGGGGGTGGTTTCTTGGCCACAGGCAGAGGTGAGATGTCAGTTATTAGCCATCCAGGTGGTTCTTTCCCTCCTGCCCTTCCTCCCAGGGTCACCTCTCACTCTGGGGGGATGGAAGGTGTTGATGGTGGGTGCTCTGGGGAACAGCAAGGGGACCCATGGCTCCTGCTTCCCCCAACCCCCTGCTGGCCTCACTACCTCTTTGGGAACCAGGCAACAATCTTCCCTTCTCTCCTCAGCACCTCCCTGGGCCTGCAGATGGTGGCTCCCCCCAAAGCACTCAGGCAGCCCCTCCCCTTTGGGGTCCTAGGAGCTCCCTGGGATGGAGCCTCCTCACCCCTGATTGCCCCAACTACAAGGGGGTTCAAGTCCCTGAGGCGAGAGACCCCGAGGTACCTGAGGGAACCCGGCCTAGTGTTACCAACTGGGCCACCTCCTTGGCTGCTGGCAAGGCCTGCTCCTTAGAAGTGCTGCAGGCCCTCCTGCCCCCCACTGCAGGCTCCTAGTTCCTGACTCCAGAGTTCTCCCACCCCCAGACTGACATTTTCTCCCTGTCTAGGCTTTTGCCCTTAGGCCTCATCTGTTTCTCTCCTTCTTTAAGTCCTCCCTTGAACCCCTCTCCTCACAAGAAGTGCTTTGTGAGGAGTCATTAGTGGCTAATTATTTAATTAAGCATTTTATGAATCTCATCTGCTCCATTTATGTTCTAAAGAATGCAAGATTGTTCTCTACCCTTCCCTTCTCTGCAGGCCATGGAGTACTAGTCCTCCAGGCCTCCCAGACAAGGCTCCTTTCCGGGAAACTGGGTGACCAGCCCCCCACCCCCACCCCCACCCCCAGAGAGCTCAGTCAGCCGCAGGAGGGAACATGGCGACTAATGGGGTTTATTTTGGGGCTGAGATCGTTAGGGACCTCACACCCGCCCCCAGCAGCCGGCTGGCGAAGAAGAGAAGGAGAAGGGGAGAGAGGGTGGGGTAGGGGAGGGCTGGGAGAGGGAGCCTTCATCTCCGGCTCCCACTCTCCTGTTTCTCTCACTTACACCCCTCTCTGTCCTTCTCTGTCCATCTGTCTCTCTGCCTCCTTCCTCCTCTGGCTGTCAATCTCCCCTCTCCCCCCTCCCCCACCCCCACCTCATGGCTGTCTCTTCCTTTCTGGGCAGGGCTCCAGGACCTTCCTGCTTTGGGACCCAGGCAGCCCCCTGGGTGAGGGCGGAAGCAGGGAGTCCTGGGCAAGCCAGGAGAGGGGTTGGGATGGGAGATGTTGGAGGGCGCCAGCTCTGGCCGTGAGTCAGAGCTGCACACAGCTCTGCTCATCTTCCTGCCATCACCTGGGGTTCCTTGGTGCCTGCTTAGCTCTGGCCCCAAAGAAGCACACACCTTGGATCTGTCACCTCTGCCAGGCCTGGGAGAAGTGGAGCTAGTCAGGACTGGGCCCCCTGGGTCTTTCCTGCCCACAGCACTCTTGTCTTCTCAGTCTCCTTACAGCTTCTCTCTGGGCTCTCTCTCTGTGTCACTCTATTACCTCTCTATTTTGCTGTAATTAAAGCTAGCATTCTTGATGAGGCAGCTACATCTGTCTGTGCGCGTGCACAGGCTCTCACCCAGGCACCCGCCTGCCAACTTCTCCCTGGGGTGGCAGGGCTGGTGGCTGCTGTGGGTATCACAGCTGAAGTCCCACATCTAGACCTGGGGTTCCATCCCTCTGGTCACAACCCTGAGGACCTGCTGACCTCGTCCTCCTGATGTCATTTCTTCTTGTCTCCCTTTCCTTCTCTCTGCAGCCGGGACCACATACATCTTTGGGAAGGGGGGAGCGCTCATCACCTACACGTGGCCCCCCAATGACAGGCCCAGCACGAGGATGGATCGCCTGGCCGTGGGCTTCAGCACCCACCAGCGGAGCGCTGTGCTGGTGCGGGTGGACAGCGCCTCCGGCCTTGGAGACTACCTGCAGCTGCACATCGTAAGGACCCTGGGCCCCAACCCTTCAACCTCAAGCTTCCTGCTCCCAAATCAGTTCAGCCCCTCATTGCCATGGGATCAGCACCTCAAGTCTTCCCTCATGGGGAACCCTCAGAACCTCTGTTCCCTCATTGCTGGAGCTTCCTGCTAAGAAGTTCTGCTTCTGAGACCCTTCCCTCTCTCAGTTATTCACCAAGACTCCCAGATCCACCCTCCCATCTGATTCGAATTTCTCCAGCTCCCCACTCCCTGAGACCACCTGTGTTTTCTGACCTTCCTAAAAGTAGTCAAGGGCCTCTTTGGGACTTCCAGGCCATTCTCCTGTAGCCTTCGGAGGTGTCCCACATTTGTGACTTCCCCTGGGCTGCTGCCTGCTCACTCCTAGACCAGCTAGGCCAGCCTACTGTGTCCTGCACCTATTCCTGCCCCTCCTTCATACCTACCTGCCCCAGGGCAGCCCACCCTTGCAGCTTCATCTTGCCTCTGGATTCTGCCCCTGCCTCTATGCTGCCCTTGACTTCTGCTTCCGTGACCTTTGCCCTCCCAGCAGCCCCCTTACCCTGTCTCCTTTACTGCCTCTCTAGCCAGGTTCACTCCTCACTGACCTCTTGGCCCAGCCCCACATCCTCACCCTGACCTCAGCTCCCACCTGGCTCTGCCTTTCTCTGCTCAGCTCCACAGGGAGAAGCCCTAGCCCCTCCCTGTGCCTGCTACCCACCTTGACCTTGGTTCCTTCCCAGGGTCTCCCTCTGGGCCTCCTACCATATCTGCAGCTCCTTGACTCACCGTTTTGAGTCCTGTTGAACTCTAGTCTGCAAGTGGCCCCTTTTCTTTCCCTGCCCTTTCCCCCATCTCTGGCTCTGCCCTACACCCTTCCCTACGACCTCTGGTATTGCTCCATTTCATTTCTGGTCTCAACCTCTCCCCTGACCCCTCCCCACAGTCCTCAATCCCGAGCCTTTGCCCTCAGTCTTCATCTGTACATTTCTGGCCCCTAACAGCCACCTTGTTTCCCTGCCTGTATTTCACATGCTCACCCTGGCCAGGACCCCTGTGCTGTGGGGATCAGGCAGGCTGGCCAGGCTTTGTGGGCTGGAAAGCTCTGGGTGAGGGGCCCCTGGCTTTCAGGAGGGCATAGTTAGTTGGAAGGGGAGAGAGGAAGCCAGGGGAGAGGCTTGTTTGGGCTCTGATCTCTCCCCATCTGCTTGGGAACGCAGCCACTGGCCTTCATTACACAGTAGCTTTTAAGCATCCCAGGTCTGCACCCCACCCCAACACCAGGGTGTGAAGGAAGGAGCATGAGGGGAGACTTCCTGTGGGCAGAGCAGAGCTGGGGTGGAAGTGGCAGCGGATGAGGAAGGGGTGCAGAAGGAGGACTAGCAAGCAGAACAGTAGTCAGGCCCAAGAAGAGGCCTGGAAGTTCTGTACCTGTGTCAGCGGGACAGGCAGTTATCTAGAATGGTGAGAGGCAGCTGGCAAGCGAAAGACAGTGTGGCTGTAGACGACAGTGTGGGACTGGATGCATGGTGATGTGTGTCAGGAGTGACGGCTGTGACAGTGGGGGATGAAGACAGAGACTGGATCTCATGATTTCTGATGGAGTGTATCTATAGATGTGTATTTCCCCATGTAGTGGTGTTTGCAGTTGTTTCAATTGCCTTTCTGGGTGGCGGGGTGTGACTGGGTTTCCCTGTGTCCTCTGTGAGTGAGGGCTGCTCCTTCTCTCTCTTCTCCCTCATGCGAAGCTCTGCATGGCTTGCAGTAGATGGTCTGGGTTTGAATCCCAACTTTGCCACTTCCTTGCTGTCTTTGTGCAAGTCACCGCAGCTGTCTGAGCCTCAGTTAGCCCATCTATGGAGTGGCATAGGAAGAGGACAGAGGGATGTTTGGAGGTTGAAGGAGATCACTTATGTGAAGAACGTAGGGAGCATGCTGTGTTAGCTAGTATCCCGACCATCTCTGATCAGCTACCTAGGCAGGACTGTGGGCCTCTGTGCCTGTTAGGTTAGGGCGTAGGGCTCCCCTAGTACTGAGGAGAAAGGGTAGGGGGATCAGGATGCGAGGAGAAGGGATTTCCTCCTTTTCTCTCCCAACAGTTGTGAACAGGCCTTAAAGGTGCAAGGCTATGGAGGAACAAGTACTGGTGCCGGGTACGGCAGAGGGCAGGGAAGACGGGGGTCTGCCTGAGGGTGGAGAGGCCTGGCAAGGGTGGGGGTCCATGAGAGGAGCCAGCCATGAGGTGGGAGGTGGGCACCAGATGGGCTGAGGCCCCCTGGGGGCAGCCCCCAAACCCCTTCCTCCCCTGGTGACACATCAGCTCCCACCACAGCGTCAGTAGCAGCTCTCAGAGAGTGGGGAGGCGGCAGCAAAATAAGAGAAAAGCAATTTGACGTTTCTAATAAAGCGTCGCTCCACTTTGCCAAATTAATTTTGACTCCCATAATTATTTGCTGTAGGAGCGGCTTCGTTCTCCCCACCGCCGCCTAATGAGGTAATTGGGGAATTAGGAATTAATGACTTTAACAGAAGTGACAACTGACTTCACACTGGGAGAGGCTCTGGGGAGCTGCCTCTCCCCCGGAGTGCAGGGCCCTGAGCTTGACTGCCTCCTAGGAAACCCAGGTGTCCTGCCTCCCAGCTCCCTGGCCGGCACTCTGCCAGCCTGGCTCTCAGACTGCATGTGCTCCTTGACCACCATCACTGCCTGGGCTGAGCCTGTGGGGAGAAATCCTCAGAGGAATCCAGGGAGCTGATACTATTCTGGGTGGTATTATTACTAACAATAGTACCGAGGAGGATCGACTGTTCCTTCCCGTGTGTGGGGAGCAGATGATCAGCCCGTCTCCCTGGGGATGTTGTCAGTCTGTGGGTGGTGAATGGGTGGGGCTTGCTAATACTCTTTGTTAGGCAAGCCCAGCCTCAGTTTCCCTGCTTTACTGCATCTGAGGAGAGAGGCTGCATGCATGTATGACTGTGTGCATGCATCTGTGTGTTAGCGTGCATGCATGCATATATGTATGTGGTTTTCCCAGGTTCTGAGAAGGAGACAACTGGACCCCACAAGTGGGAAGGGATAGGACATGGGTCTCCTGAGCCACAGCTGCAAACCTTGTCCCCCAACTCTCTCTGCCAAACCCCAACCCTTGCCCCATCTGTGAGCCACCCCTGCCAACACCCCCAGTGCCACCAAGCCTCTCGGCTCTGCTAGATGCAGGAAGGAGGTGGCAGCTGAATGTTCCACATGTCCAGGCCAGACTGGGGCAGTCTTTCAAGAAGACCCCAGGAGTGTAGTGTGTTTCTATGATGGGTTGGGTGCCTGAGAGTGTGTGAGCCAGGGGGTTTGAGTGAACCTGTGTGAGTGTCTGTTCCGTGTGGGAGGAGGGCTGAGACCGCGTTCAGGAGTGCTGCTGGGAGGTGCAGGGAAGTGAAACAGGGGCTCAGGCTTAGTACCTAATGGGCCTTCGTTGGCTTGGTTAGATGCCTTTGGTGTTGAAGGTAGGCCTCAGCAGCCTCTTGGATCATCCCACACCCCCACCTCCTTGAGTCAGGGTCTTCCTAGACTGGTGGGCAAAGGGAGAGAACACTGGCTTTGAAGTCAGACTAGCTGGGGTTCAAATCTGGGGCTTCCTTCTCATGAGCTGCAAGATTTTGAGATGTTATTTAACTATGCTGAGCCTCAGTCTCTTTCTTGATGAAATGGGGAGCTATGAGCTTCTTCAGCGGGTTGGTGTAGGGAAGAGAGCATGCGTGTACAGTACCCACTCAGGGCCTGGCATGATTTAGGGTTTGGTGAAGCCCTCCCTCCCACTCTAGCACCACAAGCAGAACTCTTCCTGGGCTGATCCTGGGTTGCCTCTGCAGAGTGTCCCGTGGGCCTGGGTCCCAGAGATTGCTTAGGCTCTTTGCTCCCCTTCTCCAGGCCTCCGTCCCTGTCTGTCCTCTGCCTGTCCTTCCCCAGCCCCTAGCTCCACCCCCTACCCCGAAACCCCCACGATCCCCTTTCTTGGTCAGTCTAGCATAGTTTGACCCTCAGCTCTTCTGGTGTCCATCCCACCATACACACAGTCCACACCCCCCACCTCCACCCCCATGGCTGCAGAGGGTCCACCCCCACACTCAGAGCCTGACCTACTTTGGGCCTGAGAGGCTGCCAGGAGAGGCATGCTAATGCCCTGGTGTGGGTGGAAGCCCCCTGGGGGCCTGCTTGGTACAGAGCATACCAGGGAGGAGAGGCTGGAGACTGGGGACTGGGGAGGGGCTGGGGGTCAGACCTTCCTCTGGCAGAGGCCGGCTTCTGTGGACTTCTCTGCTGATCTTGCCTTAGAGAGGCCTCTGCCCTCCATGCCCCGAGCTGGTCCCCAGCTTGGCCCGATCACCCCTGTCTGGGCCCAGTGGCCCTTGCACAGAGTAGGTGCTCTGTGAATACTTGTGAATATCCAGGACAAACCAAAAGGCAAGAGACAGGTGTGGTTAGTGGAAGGCGCTCTGGGCCCAGGCTCTGCACGCACCTCCGGCCTCAAGTTACTCCCTTGCATGTGGGGAAGGGGAGCGAGCCTGCCCACCTCCTCCAGCGGTTGAGACCTGGGAAAGGTGCCTTAAGTGCTGCGGAGCTGGGCTAGTGGTGGTCACAGGAGTAGCCACTAGAAGGGATGAATGGTTGCTCCCTCTGGTCGCTGACCTCCACCTCCATGTCCCCAGGACCAGGGCACCGTGGGGGTGATCTTTAACGTGGGCACGGACGACATTACCATCGACGAGCCCAACGCCATAGTAAGCGACGGCAAATACCACGTGGTGCGCTTCACTCGAAGCGGCGGCAACGCCACCCTGCAGGTGGACAGCTGGCCGGTCAACGAGCGGTACCCGGCAGGTAGGCGGCGCGGGCCCGCGGAGGAGGCGCGGTGGCGGGGCGGGTGGCGGCCTCTGATAGGAGTGCGGCCGCACCGGGGCGGGGCTAAGCGGCTCTGGGGCGGGGCTAAGCGGCTCTGGGGCGGGGCTACTGGAGAGACGAAGCTTGCGAGGCGGGACTAGGGCAGGGGCGTGGCTAGGAAAAGTCGGGATTTGTGGCGGCGGGGCGAGACCGTGGTGGTGCGAATGCGCCCCCTATGGGGGAGGGTGCAGGGCTGAGCTGGGAAGGTTGCAAGGCCAGGGTCCAGTTTGGGGGTGGGGGGAGAAGTGGAGGGAGGGTAGAGGTGAGGAGAATCTGATGCGATTGCGGAAAGGTTGAGTTCAGAAATGAGGGAGACAGATGCAGAAACAGGAGAGAAAATCCAGAAGTAATATAAAACGTGTCTTGGCAAGGAGACAGGGCTGTTACCACGGGCAGAGCCAAGGAAAGAACCGAGGTCCTTATAAAGAGCAAGTCAGAGATCCATATTAGGAGATCTAACGAAGGAAGAGGAGTAGCCACGGAGACTCAGAGAAAAGGACCCCCAGTGTCCAAGGCGGTGAGGGACATGGTGAAAGGGAGGAAGAGACAAGTGACAACAAAAATGAAACACAGGGTCATGTGCGTTCAATAACCTTTGTTGACAACCTACTTAGATATCAGGGCTTGTGCTAGGTCCGGGGCACTCAGTCCCTGCTTGCAGGGAGCCTTGAGAATGCAGACAGACCAAGTTCAACAGGGTGACAGCTGTGGCGGCCAAGGACAAACCAAGGTCTGAGGAGCACAGGAGAGGGATGGAGATGAGGACATGGAAGAAATGAGGAGGCAGAGACTCTGAAAGATATTGAGGGAGGCAGAGACAGAGCCTTAGAATGAGAGGAAACCAGAGGGGAAGCAATGGAAAGATATGGAAATAGCACTGAACTATATGCAAAGATGAGGAGAGATGTGGAGAGGTAGATGGAGATGCTGACATGCAGGCCCAGGGAGAGAAGAGGTGGACAGAGCCTTGGGAGGGAACGGAGGAGAGCCCCAGCATGGGAGATAAAGAGGGAGGGGAAACAGGAACGCTGCAGGGAGAACTGCAGAAACACAGAGATGGTGAGATACAGTCTGAGCGACATTGCAGTCACACACAGGGCCTGACTGAGAAGCAGAGTGAGCATCTGCGACCTCCATCACTCTCCCAGGCGGAGAGATAGCCAGGCTGAGGCAGAGAAGCTGCCCCATGCTGACTGCGAGGGGCAGGGGCAAAAGGCCAATGTGTAAACTTTCATGGGCTCACCTATGCTGGAGTAAAGATGCCAGTACAGGCTTATGACACCAATTACGCAGGCTTGTACCCAGACATTTCTGGAAAGTCCCTGGAGATAAAGAGGCCTGCGTGGCCCCCTAATACATACAGAGGTTCATGTACACACAGGTCAACCTTAGACATATGGACAACTGCAGACATTTGTATGGTCAGACAGACACATGAAAAAACAGCTCTGCAGAGGGATGCCAGCCTACATCAAGTCCCTGGGTACATGTAGGGACACTCAACACACACCAACCCTCCTACACTAAATTCCACCTATCCCCCACGCCCCCCAACAAGCCAACACTGACAGCTCTGGCTGTGTAGGCATGATTCCTGTGGGCAGCAGACTTCTCTCATTCTCCGATGCACACATACTAGGGCAACCTTTGTAGCAGTGATGACATTGGCCTGTGCTGGACAGGGCTGGGCTTGGAAGCATGAAGGCCTCACCATGTCAAGCCAGGACTTGGATCTAGAGCTTCTCCCCTTGGGGCCCAGGAGGCCAGCAGTCAGGGTGGAAGAATTATTCCTGCTCTCCTCTCCTCAGGGACCCCTGACTAGGGGTGAGGAAAGGCTGCTGGGTGCCCCCGCCTGTAAAGGGGAGTAACATGAGGGTCTGGTGGTTGCCTGTATATACTGAGGGCAGATCCTGAGCAATACCAGCAGGTCAGACCATCAGTATGCATGGGCCCAGAGTGGGGGGGGACCCTCTGATTCTTTGGGAGCACAGAGACACAGCCCATGGATTCTGAGTCAGAAGAACCTGGGTTTTAATCCTGGATCTCCCACTGACAAGCGTGTAACCTTGGACAAGTCATCTAGCCTCTCTGAATCTCAGTTTCCACTTCGGAAAGGTGATGATACCTACCTCATAGCAATACTGTGAGAATGTCATTAAACACTAGAATGGCATGGCATAGCAAAGGTGCTCAATAAATAGGACTTTTATTAGAATTTTTGTATACTCAGCCTCCCTCCAGGCAGATGTACATTTTTCTCTTCCTCTTGGAGACACACACACAGGATTGAATGATCTGTTTTTAATTTAAACACAAATATCCTGAATCTATAGGGAAAGCAGAATCTCCTTGCCTCATAAGCACCCAAGGAGGCACCATCCATACCCACATGAACACATCGTGTGTACCTTCATGGGAGGTGTACATAGGCAGGCCCAGGCCCGGGTCTCTGGGCAGGTGAGCACAGCTGTGCAGTGAGAGATGAGAGGAAAAGCCTCCTGGCCCCACCAGCGTGCACTGAATAGTATGTCAGTGGCTTAAATGGGAGGAGTGGCCAGATTCTCAAAGGAAATCAGTTCTCTTTCCACTGCTGCAGACCAGGATCACCCACAGCTCACAGAGGTGTACAGATCCTCTCAGGTGCACTGACAAACCTCTTTCCACATAGGCGTCTGTGCACACACACACATTCACACACATTCCCTTTCCCAGTCTCCAGGGGCTGGAGATTGGTGAGCGCAGAGAGGAACAGGTGGGTATCCAGATGGGCAGCCAAGCTTGCAGAAGAGATGGGGGCTGGAACTGGGGGGAGGAGCCTGGAAAAGAAAGGCTGAGGGCCTGGCAGGGTGAGCAAGATGAGGTCCTGAGACAGCAAGGAGAAGAAACTGGGCTCTGAGTAGAAAATGGTCAAGGTGCATTCGGGGCAGAGGAGGGTGCAGAGGAAGGCGGGGGGTGTCTGCAGGGGAGGAGAAAGGGGCCGAAGAGGAGGTGAGAAGGGGAAGGGGGCTGCTGGATGATGATCCAGCTCCCACACCAGGCGCCACACCTGTAGTGGCTGCCCAGTAGAAAGAGAGCCCTGACCAGGGTGAGGAGGCCTTGCAAAGGGAGTGCAGTGGTGGGGTTGGGAACGGGAGGGGCTTAAGGGGGGTCATGGGTGTGGTATGAGGTGGCGGGGTCATAGGTGTGGTATGAGGTGGAAATTGAGGGGAAGCTGGGAGTGGAGCACGAAGGCAAAGGGAGTTGAGGTGGCCTGGAGAAGTGGTTTAAATCTCACTGTTCAATGTGCGTGCTGGGTGGCCCCCTAAATGCCGCATAAACCCCGCTTAACCCATCCTTCCCACTTCTAAACCGCCCTCTAAACGCAGAAACCAGTTGGGCCACTGATGCCTCCCGCCCCCAACTTAAACCTGCTAAATGCCCCTCCCCTGCCCGCCCCCCACTTTGGGATGGGGAAGGAAGGGGGCCACAGCAGCTTAACCACAGATAAACCTGTTTAACCTCTGACCTTTGACCTTCCAGCTCCCTTTCTTTTGTGTCCCTTTCCTTTTCTTCTTTTCTCATCTCTTTTGCTTTGGGTTGCTCCTGCCCCCAGGGTGGGGCTGGCTCTGAACCGGAGCCTAGGGAGGGGGTCAAGGGAAAAGAGGGGCCCAGCGTTTCTTTTCCTCCCTTCCCCTCTTTCCGTGGATGTTGCTGCTTACTCTGAGTCTCCTGAGGATTGCATAATTACTTTTCTAACTCCTTTGGACTTCGCTGCCTGAGAAACCTACTGTCTTTCTAAACTTTTCCAAGGAAACTTTGATAACGAGCGCCTGGCGATTGCTAGACAGAGAATCCCCTACCGGCTTGGTCGAGTAGTAGATGAGTGGCTGCTCGACAAAGGTAATTAACCAGAATTAATTAATTAATTAATTAACTTTAAAAACACTATCTTAAAGGTGCAGAGCTCTCTCTTTCCCCCTCCGTGCCTTCACCAATGCCCACCCCCAAGTGAAGGGACAATTGGCCAGCCAGAATGCTCCCTTCCCCTTTGGAGTCAAGGGTCTGTCTGTGCATTTCAGAGTGGTGGTTTTTGGGGTAGGAGTGGGGTTTTTTCTTAGAAGTAGGGAGAGTCTTGTTCTCTTTTTAAACCTGGGATCAACTAGGGTAATCCACAAGATCCCTACCATGGGAGCTCCCCACTGTGAGCCCGGCAGTAAATCACAAGCAGGCTGGGAATGCAGCTTGGAGGTAGGTTCCCTCTGCCCAGAATCATCTCGGAGGCTTGGTAAAGGGCTAGCTGAGGGCCACAGAGCATGCAGAGGCAGGAAGCCTTTGGGAAGCAGGAAGGCTGACCTGAGGAGGTTTAGGAAGGCTTCACCAGAGCCATGTGAGGAGAAGAGAGAAGAGTGGGGACCTCAGATCTTACTGGAAAGACCCCCAAAGAGAGTGCTGTGGGGCTGCTATCTCTGGAACAAGCCCAGGTTAGTCCAGAAGGCCTCTGAGAAGTTGAGGAGAGACTAAGGGAAGTGGGGCAGGAGGTGGTGGGCCCATAGGGATTTCTGCTCCTGCTTGGCTGATGAGGAAGACCAAGCAAGCCCCTTGTGAGGCCCCAGTGTGGTGAGGTGTCGCTGGGTGTGAGAGAGAAGGCTTCTTGTTACCAAGGGAAGCTGGGGACTAAGGACATATCCATCCCATTCCCTTTGGGGAGGCGGGGCGAGCTCTGTACCTCTAAGGCTAAACTCTAGGGGGGAAGTAGAACTGTTAAATCTCCACTTAACCAGCTGATAACTGTGCTTTTAAATGTCCACTGGGGCCTTCCCCAACTAAAACCCCCAAATGTAACTTCTAGCCCCCCATGCCTGTGGGGCCTAAACCTGCTGATAACCAGATGTGATAAACCCATAACAGGACAAAAAGTTAAAGGGACTGTAACAGACATCGCTAAAACCTACAGCCCCCAGCCACACTGGGCTGCTCTCTCCAGCGGGGTGAACTTTAACCCTTTGAGGAGTTCATGGCGGATGGGGCCAGGGGCCACAGGGACCAAGTTTGCTAACACTGTGGCTTCCTCTTCATTACCCACCTCCCTCTTCCAGAATCAGAGAGGCCAAGGGAGCAGCCTGGGCTGAGGCTGGGACAACTTGTGACCCCAAGAGCAGGGAGAGCTGGACAGGCCCTGTTGGGGGGTGGGGGAGGAATTGTGGTTTAGATGAAGGAGAGCCAGGGCCCTCCTTCCTTTTTGCCTTAGATCTGACTTTCCTCTTCTAGAAAATAACCAATTGGATTAGAGAGGTAGTGCCCGAAGTGTGAAAGAAGGAACTCACTTTTCTGTGGCCTTAGCCAAGTACTTCCCCTTTCTGAGGCTCAGCTCTCTCCTGATGGGGCAGTGATGGTTACTCAGCCCACCTCACAGGCATGTTGTGAGGGTGAGAGGAAAGAAACAGCAGGAAAGTATCCCAGAACAAGTTCTGGGGATGCTTGGAGGGAATATTTTATTGTTAGCGCCTGACTATGGTAGGTGCTCAATAAATATTTATTGGATGAATCCATTTTCCAGTTCCAAAGCATGTCCTGTGAAACAGTCCCATGAGATGCTTCACAATAGAGAGATTTGTGGTAGAATGAGTTTGGGAAGTGCTGAATCCTGTTTCTTCCTCTTGGAGATGCATATGTGCATTAGTTTAATAAAGGCTCTGAGAAGCCCTTGGAGAAAGAAACCTGTTCGATTGTGAAATGTTTCCTTCCCCAACTCATTTGACCACTGTGATCCTTCTCTCCTTTGTTTTCCTCATGATTCTTATGTCTGGGAAAAAACTTTGATGCAGAGGTCTTCCTGGGCCTCTCTGGGTCTGGTATTCCAGGACTTGTACCAGAGCTGCTACCACTGGCCCTCTGCCTCTTGGCCTCTTGGCCATTAGTAATGGGCGTTGCTGGTCCAGGGGCTATCCTTGCCTGAGTGGGCAGTGGGAGGGTGCTGGAGGAAGAAGGAAGGCTGAGTGGGGGGCTGGGGAGACACCCCAGTGGCCATCATTGGCTAGAGGCTGGATGGATGTTTGGATGTCCCAGAGGCCTGGGTGTCCCAGAGAACCTGTTTCCAAAGAGGTTGTGGGCTTCACAAGTTGGACTGTCCTCAGCCCGGGTTTTGGGGGCAAGGCTTACAGGCACCGAACTCTAAACCAGATCTTTAACGAGGCACTAACCAGAGGCTAACAAGGGCTAAGCCAGGTCTAAAACCCCCAGTGCCAGCAGCTGAAGGTTCCGGGGGAGATGGGGCAATGTGGTAGGCCCTCTGCCCACCCCCTCCCTCCCACAAAATAAGCAGCACCAAAACCAAAGTTAAATCTAAACTTAAACATAATAAACATCTTTTCTAAAAACCAAACCAAAACAACAAACTCAGAGGGTTAAACCGACCCCCAGATCCACTAAAAACAAACAGAACAGCCCAACCCCACCCAGCTGGGAATTCTGAGGTGTCATACTGGAGTGTGGGGTGAGATTGGAGCTGGAGCGGGTTTTATTGGCTGTCAGTGAGCGAAGCAAGGTCCCTTTAACATTTTCCACTTCTGTGCTTGCATGTCCAGGTGGGGAGGAAGGGCTCGGCTTAACAGGGCCTGGTCCCAGGCAGTGCTGGGCCTTGGCAGTCCGGGAGAAGAGAGGGGATCCTGGCCAGGGGTCAGAAGGCCTGGTTGTAGGTGGGAGGTCAGCCTGGGCAGGTTGCTGCTTCCACACACCATCACTCTGTCTCACCTCCTTCTCTGCTCTCACACGCACCGACTCCACCTTGGCCTGGCAGCTACCTCCTCTGTCTCTGCCTCTTTGTCTCCTCTATCTGCCTCTTCCAGGGGCTCCATGGCTTCAGGGCTTGGGGCTGGACACTGGGGCAGGATGTTTGGGGAAGCAGAGGGAGAAGATGGGGATGGACTGAGGGAAGAGGATGAAGAGGGGAGATGACCTTGGAGCTGGAGAGGAGAGGGAATGGGGAAGGTGGGAAGGCTTGCACATGGTGGGGAGGAGGGACTGGGCTCCCCTTCCCCAGCCCATGTGTACCCTGGGTGCCCTCCCCTTCTGGGGTCCCCACCTGGCTGGGCTAGGGGCTGTGGCTGACAAGGACTTTCCCTTTGGCTTTCTGCCCCTTCCTCATTTCTCCCCGTCCCCTCCTCCCTTACTGGCTTTCTCCTCCATTCCTCTTTCCTCTCCTTGGCTTCCTTCTTTTCTTCCTTCCCTTCCTGGTCTCCCCTCACTGCCTGCCCCTTCTCTGTCACCCCCTTCCACTCCTGCAAGGCCGCCAGCTGACCATCTTCAACAGCCAGGCTGCCATCAAGATCGGGGGCCGGGATCAGGGCCGCCCCTTCCAGGGCCAGGTGTCCGGCCTCTACTACAATGGGCTCAAGGTGCTGGCGCTGGCCGCCGAGAGCGACCCCAATGTGCGGACTGAGGGTCACCTGCGCCTGGTGGGGGAGGGGCCGTCCGTGCTGCTCAGTGCGGAGACCACGGCCACCACCCTGCTGGCTGACATGGCCACCACCATCATGGAGACTACCACCACCATGGCCACTACCACCACGCGCCGGGGCCGCTCCCCCACACTGAGGGACAGCACCACCCAGGTGAGGCCCCACTCTGGCTGGTGGATTAGGGCAGGGATAGGTGGGGATGGGGTTGATATCTGCATAGCCACAGTAGTGGTGCCTAGAGTGAGGGTCCAAGGGGTCTGTTGGGATCCTGAAGGCTGCTGTCGCTGACTTTGTTGCCATGGCGATGGGCAAGGTCACCTTTCAGGAAGTGGCCTTCACCCTAATGACCAGGGATCTTGTGATGTGGGGGTGACCACTATTTCTAGAGGGACCATTCCCAGAATTGGGGAGGAGTTTGATGGCCCAGTTATATGAGAGAAGACCACCCTACCTAAGAGAGATGAAGTCTGGACTTGGGGTGAGAGTAGGATGGCTCCTTCTGCTTCCCCAGTGAAGGCCATGCCTAGCGTTCTGTGTGGGCAGAGAGTGGGAGATGGATGGTACCAGGCTGGCCCTGCTGTGGGCAGGGGTGACAGCATGGGAGGGCTGGATGCAGTCACCTGGCATGGGCAGCCCCTCTCCAGAGGCTGGTGGAAGCTAGGAGGAGCCTCTCCTTGTTTGCTGGGGTCCCTGCAGTGGGAAAGCCCTGGCTGCAAGTCCATTGCCTTCACAAGCCCTCTCCATGTGACTATGAGCAGGCACCACAACTCAGGCAGCTTCAGTGTCCTCTCCGTCTGTGCGTCTGAGGGGGTCTCAGTGCAGACAGTTCCCTGGTGCTCACCCCACCTGCTGATCTGGATGGCCCCAGCTAGCCTAGTCCCAGGCTTCCTGCAGCACAGACTGGTAGGGAGGAGGGGCCTTGAAGCACATGGAGCCCACCCCACCTGCTCAGGTGTTTCCTGGGTCAGGTCAAGCCCTAGCGATAGGGCAGGACTGGAGGGGCCTGCACCTGGGGAATGGGGCTCTGCTGGAGCAGGACAGGCCTGTGTGACTTCCTGAGGCAGCCCAGGCTGGGCTGTTTTCTAGTTGTTGCCTCCTGTGCTTGCTCTGACCGTTAGCACAGGGAGGGCTCACACCTGGCATGAAGGCCTTTTTTGGCCACCCCTTCTCTTCCCATCGCCCTGTCTGGCAGCCTATGGCTGTTAGGCACCCTCTGTCCTTCTAGGGTGAGGGCAGGATCTGGGGGTGGCCATGAGGATGTGCTCCTCCCTCTGTCACCAGTCTGTCTTCAGCTTCTCCCTCTGAGGGGTGGGCTCCATGTGCTTTAAGACCCCTCCTCCCTGCCAGTCTGTGCTGCAGGAAGCCTGGGACTAGGCTAGCTGGGGCCATCCAGATCAGAGAGACAAGCCTGTACCCACTTCCTCTCTGCAAAGAAAGCTGAGGAGACCTGAAGACTTTGCCCCGAGGGAGCAGGGAGCCCTTGGGGAAAAGGTCTGGGCTCTACCCAAGGCTGGGTACCCACCATGCCCAATACCCTCCAAATCATAGGGGACGAGGGGCTGTCTGGTCTCAGTGGGAGGGTGATGGGCAGATCATCCTGGTGGAAGAGAGAGGTGGGAGTCCCAGGAGTCACTGCTGTGGTGGGGAAGCCCAAGATGGAGGCTGGTGCCGAGGGGGCAAGAATGCAGAAGGGAGCTGGGTCCTCCAGGCACTGCCTTGCCCTTGGGTGAGTGAGGGCTGTTGAGTCTGAAGATCATGGGCTGGGAAGAGGCAGGTTATGACCCTTTCAACCCTGCTCGTCCTTGTCCTTCAGCCTAGCTCTCTCCTCACCTTCCCGCAGTTTCTCGCGCTCCCTTCTTGCCTGGACTTTTGATTTCCCTCCTTGGGTCTCCTCCTTCATGCCCCTGAGCGCCCCCCTCCTCCTTACACTCACTCATCTTGGGGATTCTCTTTCTTTGCAATAAGTAAGAGAGAAAATGCTGACAAAGTCTTCTCTTGTCGTCATGGCAACCACAGCCCTAATTACTGTGTGCAGCCCGGCTCTCTCAGGCTCCAGGAAAGGGGGTTGGGAGAGAGATGAGGGGTGATGGGTGGTGAAGCTGGAGCCAGGAAACCCTCCAGGGCCTGGCCCTATTCTGCCTGCGCTGGCCTCTGCAGGCTCCGCCCCATAGGGCCTTGCCTCCCTGGCACCTTCCCTGAGGCATCCTAGATCCTCTTGCCCTGGCGCTGCAGGTCAAAGTCTGGCGTCCACTCTCCTCACTTCCGAGAAATAAAAAGCACCATGTGTGCTGTTTCACTGACCTTCGGAAGCCATGAAAACCTGCAGGGCTGTTGCTGGGGAGTTCCCTGTGCATAGCAGGAAATGGAGGCCCGAGGTCAGCCAGCAAGAGATGGGAGGGCTGGGACTCAGACCAGTCTGGTCCGTCTCAGCCCAGGGGCATCCCCCGTGCCACCGTGCACCTCAAGTGGCAGCTGTGGGATCTGCTGACCTGCCTGGAACCTCTCTTTCCCCACCCCTTCTCTCGCCCCTCAGAACACAGATGACCTGCTGGTGGCCTCTGCTGAGTGTCCAAGCGATGATGAGGACCTGGAGGAGTGTGAGCCCAGTACTGGTGAGTGCCTTTCCCCCCTCCCCTGCCCCGGGTCCCTCTGCGATGCTGCTGGGAGGGGGGCGACTGTCCCTGCCACCTGGCCCAAGCCCCAGGGCCTGCTGCCAGGCCTTAGCTTTCCCTGATAGTTCCCCCTTGCCTAACATCCTCCCAGTCCCTCAGCTGCTCTCTGGCAAGATGCCTTTTGGTTCCCAGCCCCTCAGAGGTAGTGAGGTCCTTAGCCTGGGGTCCTGGGGTTGAGAGCCAAGAGGTGCTGGGAGAGAAGGAGGGAGGCGTTTCCCTAGGAGGATGAGTAACTGCAGCTCCCATGAGTCCCTGGGGTGGGGGAGGGTGAACATGGCTTAGGAACTACAACTCCCATCAGTTCTTGGGTCCAGAACCACAACTCCCACCTGCCCCTGAGGCCTGGTGCTCTCTAGGCCACTAGTAGAGGAGATCTCTGCTGGATCCTGGGCCCTCCTCTTCTCCTGGGTGTTGGGAGGTGTCCTGTGCTCTGTCTGAAGTGTTCCCAGAGTGGACACTGCCAGGACTGCCAGGCCAAGGTGAGGCAGTTACAACACAGTGACTGCTCTGAATCCGATAGTGTGCTGGGTGGGAGGTTCCCCCTAGACCAGACTTGTGGTCTCCTGGGGAATATTAGGGCCTGAGGTCTGGCCCAGATTCTAGTGGGGGAGCTGCTGTAGGAGGAGAGCAGGGCTGGGAGGGAAGGCTCTCCAGGGCCTGGGGCAATGGGGCCAGGGAGTGCTTTCTAGGCCTCTGCTTGATACTTCTTGCTGGAGCCAAGGGTGCAGCCACAGAGAGAGACCAGGCTGGCAAAGCGGGGGTGGCCTTGAGTGCTGCTTGAGAAGTGTGGGATGTGGAGTGGTGCAGTGAGTGCCAAGGCTGCTCATTTGAGCAGGTTGGGGGTGGCCAAGAGCAGCTGGGGGAGGGTGGGATACTTGAGGCTGGCAGAGGGAGCAGAGAAAGGACTGGATGTGGCCAGATTTCCCAGTGGAGGAGTGTGGGCCTCGGTGGCTGCCAGATGAGTCTGTGGGAGTGGAGGGCCACCCACGTTTCTCGCTTGGGCTGCTGGAGACTTCTCCCCATTACCTTGCAATGGGTGGCACCTGGGTTGTTGGTACCAGAAGGCTGGAGGTTGGGGCCGGTGCTTGCGGGGTTGGGGGAGATTATGTGGTCAGGAGGTGGGCAGTGAGCCCTGGATACATCCTGTGAATCTGGCCTGGGGGCCTCCCAGCTCCAGAAAAGACATTCAGGCTGAGGGTGGGCCACGACCTTGGAAGGGGTGTGGATAGAGCAGGACCATAGCATGGCCTGTGGAGCCTTGGGGCAGAGGCTCAGCTTCAAAAACCAAGGGCAGAGGGGTTTCTGGGGCACAGGCGCCCAGACCCAGAGGCTAAAGCCCAGTTGCCCTCCATGTCCCCCAAGTAGGCTAGAGCTGAGAGGGGTCATTCCCATGGGCCTGGGCCCAGGGACCTTCAGGGGAGCTGCCAGCTGCTGGGCCAGAAAGGCCTTCCTTTCCATAGCCCAGGGCCTGTGCTTTCTGGGTCAGATGCCTTCCTCTCTAGGAGGCCCCTCTGCTGAGTGCTGTTACTTCTTCCCCTGGGGCGATCTTGGCTCAAGGATGTACACTCCAATGCCTCCATTGCTTTGGGGGGCTCTGGGCATCTGGTGACTTCAACACACAGTACCCCCTGCCCTGCTTTACTGCTCTGAGCTCTAGGCGTTTATTGGTGGCTCCTGTGGCCAACACAGCACTGCTAGCCCAGGCCTGCTGGAAGTGGCTGTGATGAGCGGCCCCATAAAAGCTCTGGGACGGGGCTCTGGGGACAACGGTCTTTGAGGGTCCTGAAGAAAGGGCACTGAGTGGCACCACATGTGTTTACACACAGGTGCCCATGTTCACACACTCTGGGACAGGAATTCCTGGGTAACAGGAGGAGTCTCTGCTTTCCCTGCACCCTGCAGAGGGGTATCTGGGGCCAGATGGTCACCACGTAGGGGCATGCAGTGCACACTGGATCCCACCTGGGCCATACTCTGCCCACCGAAGTTCTAGCCTCCCAGCCCTGTCTTGGAGTCTAGTCAGGGGCCTGGGTCTGATGCTGAATGGGTGCATTGGTGGTCTGAGCCCTTTTAGGCTGCATTAGGGCAGAGGGTGAGGAGGCGCTGAAGCAGGCGGGTCAGCTGGTTCCCAGTCAGGGATCTGTGAGGTCACTGACCACTGAGCCACCCTCTTGGGAAAAGGGCCAAGTAGAGGATGAAGGGTGGAGGAGGTCTAGAAGCCTGGGATAGAGAGGGGCTGATAGCCATTCCAGCACCCAGCTTTAAAAGTAAGGCCAGGAGGGAGGGCAGAGTACACTCTGGAGCCCCCAGAGGAAACTGCCAGAAGCCACAGCCTCTCCCCTAAGCCTGCATCGCACATGCTTACACGTCCACATTTGCACCACTGTGAAAGGTTTAACGATGGATCCTCATCATCCCAATGGGAGGCCAGGCAAGGACC
The DNA here is from genome assembly GCF_000001405.40 of Homo sapiens. Taxonomy (NCBI): domain Eukaryota; kingdom Metazoa; phylum Chordata; class Mammalia; order Primates; family Hominidae; genus Homo; species Homo sapiens. The sequence continues at coordinate 64,617,793 of NC_000011.10, read as the reverse complement.
AAAATGACTCCAGGGTCTCCCAGTCTCGTGTAGACCATGCCATGCCGCCCAGAGCCTCTCCCAGGCCCAAATGCAAGGAGGCTTTTCTCCAGCAGACGGCCAGGACTCCCTTGGCTCCAGTGTCAGAGGTGGGGGCAGCCTCGCTGGAGACCCCATGGGGTTTTACCTCTCCCACCTTGCAGATCCTCATCCCTGGGTCTGGGATCATTTCTGCTCACCTTTTCACCCTTTTCCCTAACCTGGGCTCCTCCACAGACCCTGGCCCATACTTTCTCCCTTGTTTAGTGAGACCATCATCTACACGGTTATTTTAGCTGAGGTTGGCTTTTGAATGGGAGTGCCTTTAGCAGGGCATGCACCATCGGTAATGTACCCACTCATAGTTGTCTCAGCTGGCCCAACCCACATATTGTGTCCTGGGCCTGGCCCCTGAGGGGATCTGACTTTGCACAACCCGAGACGTGCAGGAAGAGAAGAGCACACACAGGCTCAGACCCACAGAGGCAGGGTCTGTATGCACATGTATGACCAGAGGCATGCACACATACAGCCCTACACATACATACATTTACATACCCACCAGCAAGCTCACATGGGCCCACTTCCACACACACACATACACACACACACACGTTCAAACCTAGAGGAGCACACACTATTTGTACCTAGACCAACAGAGGCACACACATGCTTAGACTCCAAGAGACATGTGTGTGCTTATACCCCCCTGAAGTCCATAAACACAGATACACACCTGTTGAGACTCACAGAAGCATAAACTCATGCACACATGCATAGCCTAATGAAAGCACATGCATGCACTCAGAGCTACCAACTCTTGCATGTGTGTGCTTAGAGCTCCAGAAATAGCCGCAGAGGCACTCAGATGCACACGTGTGCACCTACTCAGCTCCCAGAGGTTCACACTTGTGTGTGTGTTCAGTTGCACCAAGGCACACATATTGTGTGTCTCACACCAAGGCACTTGGCTGTGTTCTGAGCTATGTGTGCATGCATGTTCAGACCCACTGAGGCACACCCACACACTCATATCTACTGACACCCATGCTGAATGTTCAGAATCACACACACATGCTCAGACCCAGAGACAGACTTGCATATTGCAGGCACTCAGGACAGGACACACACATCTGTGTTCAGACCTGAGTGTGTGTGAATATGTGCTTAGGCTCAGTGAGACATATACCTTGTGACACGCCCTCGGACTCACAGATTATACATCTGTGCTCAGCTCAGAGGCACACATATGTGCACAGATCCACCTGTGTAACACACACAGGTGCTCAGACCACAGAGTCCTACATGCATGTTCAGACAGGCAGATGCTCACATGTGTTTCAGAACCGCAGAGACCTGTATGCATGTTCAGATCAGGCAAGTAAGCAGTGTGCTTAGACCCACCACAGTGCACATGTGTGCCCACATGTACTTACAGAAATGCACATCTATGACCAGGCTCACAGAGGTACATGTGTGTATAAGTATACTCACCACAATGCACACATACATATCTGCAGAGAGGTGTACTCATGCACCAACATGTGTGTCCAACCCCCAGAGGCATGCCCACATGTACACAAATGTGCACCTGGGTAAGACTCACAGGGGTTCAGATGTGCACATTCTCAGAGGCAGGCTGTGTGCTCAACCCCAGGGGCCTCATACACACACAATTTGTTCAGCTTCACAGACCTGCACCTCTCCCACCAAGCCCGCCCCTATAGAAGCTCATACTTCCATGCACAGTCAATGTGCTGAGTGCCACAGCAGTGTACACACACACACACACGCTTACCTGCTGAAACATGCATACTGGTTCACACTCACAGAAGAATACATATGTACACACATATGCATAGACATGCAAGTTCATGTGCTTAGACCTGTACAGAGGTATACACATACACACACACACACACACACACACACACACACACACACACGCTTGGGCCTACATTAGCCCACACAGGTGCAAGTGCACTTCTGTGCTCCAAGGTACCCATGCAGTGGCACACAGAAGGGCACACACATATCCTCAGACTTGTAGGGCATGCACACATGTTCAGACACAGTACAAGGCATGCCTGTATGCCTGTGTGCTCCCACTCAGGTAAGTACACACAGTTGTTTAGACCCACAGGAGCACACACATACACACATGTGTATTCAGATTCACCCAGGCCCATGTATGCTCAGACCCACAGAAGCAGCCTCCTGCACTTACTCCATGCAAGCATCCCTCCTGAAGCATTGCCCTCATGCACACATGAATGAGACCCTCAGAGGCACATGCAGGCTTAACTCCACAGAGTCACAGACACATTTGCCGAGACCCGTAGAACCACAGTGTGTTCAGATTCCAAGAGGGTCTCAAGGTAGCACTAGTTGCTATAATAGACAACATCTATTGGTTTAACACATAGAAATGTATTTCTCATTCATGTAAGTTATAAACAAGTGTTCCTGATTGGTGGGCCACTCTTCTCCAAGTGATGACTCAAGGCTTGGACCCTCTCCATCTTGTGGCTGCACCATCTTCAACAGGTGACTTCCTGAGTTGTGGTGGAAGGGGACCCGGCATGGAGTTGTGAAGTGGAAGATTTTATGGGCCAGCCGTGGGAGAGGCGTGCAGGCTCCTGCCCACATTCTGTTGCCTGGAGCTCAGTCATGGGGCCCAGCCTAGCTTTAAGGAAGGCTGTGAGGTATGGCCTTGCTGTGCCCTGAGGAGGAAGCAGAAACAGGTCTGGGGCCCAGCTAGTGAATTATTTGTCACCGGCTTGCCTGTGGTCATCAAGGATCCGTTTCACTCTTTCTCACCTCCAGGACACACCCACCCCTCCCCAAGGGAGACCACCCAAAGTCCCAACCAGCTAGGGCATTCATCTCAAAGCTCATGATGTCTGGGAGATGGTGGCCCACCGCATCCAGTCAAGACCTGGCTCCTCTGGAATGGGGACCCATATGTGATCTGGATACCCAGGAACTAAATGGATCATTTATCTCACTGCTCCCACAGCCCGATACACACCCAGCATACTGTGGTGTGGGGCAGAGGGAAAAATGGAAGACACACAGCAGCCTAGATTCACACAGGCCAATGTGTGCTGCTAGCGCTGAGGAAATCCAGCAGGCAGGCAGGCCAGGCTCTCTGCCCCTGCAGTGGGGGAAATTTCTTCATTAAACCCTGGGAGAGATTCTGCTCTCTGGGGGAGACTCCCCTCTCCTTTGTCTGGGGTCCCTGGCTGTCCCCTCTGGGAAGTTCCTCCCAGTCCTCCTTCTCCATGGCCATGTCTGAAGTGGGTGTTGGGAACAATGTCCTCCTTGGGGGTGCTGTAGCATGATAGCCCACCCCTGCTCATGCAGATTTGGGGCCCAAGGGTGGTTTAAGGTTCAAAGTAACCCCACCTAGACACAGTTCTCAAGCCTCATTTATTTCCTTGTTGCTCTGCCCCCATGCCTCTTTCTCTTAATACAGTGGTGATTGTCTTGAGGACATTTGAAACAATAGGTGGGAGGTTGCGGGGGCGGGGGGCAACCCCTAAATCTGATCCTTGAGCAAGGCTGAGTGCTCTTATTCAGGTGAGAAGTTTTACTGCGCCATTGTCCTCAAAGCCTTTTTCACTTTTCTCTCTTACTGTTTGGAAGCAGTGGCCTCTTCTGACTCTTGTGGGATGCAGATTTCTGGGCTCTCTGTATTCTTTTCACTTCTGCTTGCAAACCAGCCAGTTCTTGCCTCCTCATACTCCTTGCCTCCTTGGTCTCTTCCTTGTACTATGTTACTAAAAGTAGAAAGTAGAAGCCTCATGGTCAGTGGCCTTTCCCAGCCCTTTCCCTCAGTGCCCAGACTCCACAGGCAGTGCCTACCCTCCAGGTTCTCATGAGCAACGGTGTGCACCACATGCTTTGCCACTGCATTATGTGGGTTTTATCTTCCCAGCCTCCACGCCTTGGATTGTCACGAGTGCCTTCTCAGGTTTGTGTTATCGTGACATCCATTTCTGGTGCCAGTGTCTATATTAGTTAAAGTAACATTTGTTTCTGTAACAGATAAGCCCCGGATCTCCGTAGTTAATTCAAGAGAAGTTTCTCACTCAGGTGCACCCTACCTGGGTATGCCTGATCAGCAGGTGGCTCTGCTGCCAAGGGTGCTTTAGGAATCCACACTCCTTCCATCTGTGGTGCCTCCATTTTCAACTTGTGGTTTCCAAGGTCACTGCAGGAGAAGGAGCATGGAAAGTGGCACCAGGAGGCTGCTGGGGCACTGGTACGGGCAGTGCCCACTACTCAGTCATACACCAGGCCTACTCACAGGGGATGTCAGGAAATGTAGTCTTGCTTCCCAGGAGAAGGGGAAAATGAGTTTGGTGAAGGACGCGTTCCCTGGGGTGCACCGCTGGTGCTCAGATGCCTGTGGTGCACTCACATGTTCTGGGGCATGTTCACATATGGACATGTGCACACGGAACTCAGACCCAGGCTCAGTGGCCGGCAGGCACATGCCAGAGCCAGAGGTCCACTCACTGACATGCACACGCTCATGCTCAGATCCATCTAGGTTCACATACATGCATGCACACATGTGCTTGGGGCACAGAAACACAGATCCTCAGTGTGTGTGTGTGCATGTGCATATGCCACAATGTACCGTTTTTTTCTTACCTTGAAATACCCTGGCCTCTGCCCTTGCAGTACTGGTGCTTGTGGGTGGCGAGGGGCACTGTCCTTCAGGGCACCATACACAGTGGCACAGGTTGCTCTCTGCTCGCACAGGTGAGTAGGGGCTGATATCTGCCCAGGGCTCTGCTTGCCCAGCCATGTGTCCTGAGCACCAGAACAGGACCGTGTCCACTGAGAGGAGAGAATGGTTTTTCCAATATTGCATGAAGGTACTGTTTGTGAAATCATGCACCACAGGGTCACGTCCGCATAGAACTGTGTTTTCTAACCCCCATGAAATGCCCTGTAGGCTGGTGGCTTTCTTGCCCCTCACAGCCTGGGCAGGGCCTCCAGCTCACTGCTTAGTCTTGAATATGCTCAACCTCAATTCTAGACTCCCCTTTGGGGGTGGGCACACCTTGCTTGGGTGAGAATGGGGTTCTTGGGTAGTTCCAGTCAGGGGCCTTCTGTGCCCTAAGGGCAGAAGGGGGCTAACTTTGTTGGGCCAGCAGTCCCCAGAGGAAGGAGAGTTGGGGAGGAAGGGGAGATCAGGAATGGCTGGTGGTCCCCCTGGTCAGGGATGGCATTCTCTAGTAAGTGGGGCCCACATGCACTGAAATTCAGTTTTTCTTAGGATGCAGAGGAGTGTTGGGTGGGCGGGTGGCATCTGTGCTAAGTGTGCACCTGTGAGTATTTTCCAAATGCTGCAGCTGCCTGAAGTTGGGGAGAGGCGGGAGGCTGCCTGGGGTCCTATCAGACTCCTCTGGCTCCTAGGAGCACCCCATTCCAGGATGCATCCTTAGTGTAGAGCTGGACCATGAGTCATTGTGAGTCTGCACCCACAAAACCCAGCAGCACGGGCAGCGGTTGGGCTTTTGGCAGGGAGGAGTCTTTGAGGAGCCCGGTCCTCCCCTCCTCCAGGTCCTGCCAACTCCTCACCAGGACAGCCTCTTCTGATCCTTCCTGAACTGGTGTGTGATCCGGGAAAGCCCAGCACCCTACGTTAGGTGACTTGATTGCCCCAGAGCCTAGGCCGGGTTGAGTGAGCCCAGGGAAGGAAGTCCTCATGCGTTCTCATGGGTTCTCCAGAGCCTTTTATCTTGTGGAGAGGAAGTGGGGTGTGGGACACTGGGAGGAAACGGAGAGGAAGCCATGTGGGAGACAGAGGCTACCATGAGAAGGGGGCACCGAGGGGGAGTCATGGCAGTGTGGGGGGGTGTGGGTGAGGGGAGGACACCTCAGGAGATCGTACAGTCAAAGCCTTGGGCAGAGAAGGGCCCAGGGAAGCCCCAGAGGAGCTGCAGATGCAGGGGACAGGGCTGGGACCCAGATATGGAGACCAGGAAGCAGCTGGGGTTGGAGGGGCAAGAGGTCAATGTGAGCAGGCCTGGGAGGAGTCTGGGGGCAGAGGAAGGCTGCAGAAGGGTGACCCGAGGAGCCTGTGTGTCCCAAGGGCTTAGCTAGGGAAAATGGTTGTAGGGGGCTTAGGCTGGGTAAGACTTGTTTGTGGTCCAAGGCCTGAAGCCCCCATGCCCTAGCCTGGCTGGGGACAGCAGGTTGGTAGAGAGCCAAGCTCTGTGCCCTGATCAGCCTGTCAGCCCCTCTAGGGCAGGATGTGGCCTCAGCAAGGGCCTCCTGGTCTGGTCCTGTGCCCTGGGCCTGGCACTTTGCTGGGGCCCCAGCTATGACCAGCCAGCTTAGGCCAAGCCTTGACGCTGGGGTTTCCAGCAGCAGCTGGTGGCCCAGTCTAAGATGGAAGGTGGTGAGCTGGGGTGGGAGCTGGTTTGTAGAGAAAGGCTGCTGCCAAGGTAAGCTCTCCATAGTGCCTGCTGCCTAAGAGGGTGGAGGGGGTGGGGTGTTTAGAACTCAGCTGCTCTGGCCTGTGAGAGAGACGCCCACTCCCTTCCCTAGATACCTAGCCTGGCCTGGCTCAGAGGAAATGCCTGAGGAATATTACTCCCCTTCCCCTGGAAAAGCATAACGAGCCCCAATTCTGTGCCAGGCCCACTGCTGGAGGTTAGGGAGACAGATAGGACCCGGGCCGTTGGCCCTTCCCTGGCAGTGAGTACAAAGCCATGCCTCCAGGACAGAATTGGGATATGGTGTCAGAGACACTCAAGGCAGGGAGCATCCTCTGCCTGGAAGAGGAGGTGTTTGGCCAGACTCTGAGATGTCAGCAGGGAAGGGTGTTCTGAATAGAAGGCAAAGGTCAGGTAGAGGGCTGGTGGTATGGACCAGCAGGAAGGACCCCAGAGGCACTCAGGGTTCATGCAGGGAGGGGAACCCTGCCATGATTGGGCCCAGGTTACGACCGCTCGAGAGGCTGCCAACCCTCCTGAGAGCTGACAGCTGAGTTTGCCCCTTACCTGGAGACCAGGGTGCTGGCTTTCCTTGTCTGGATCCCAGGTGGGTACAGGAAGACATATTTGTTCATCCAAAGGCTAGAGGTCCCACAAGAGCCAAGCCTTGGCCTCATCCTGGGCCTGGAGCCTAATACCCCAGTTTTATAGATGAGGAAACTGAGGCCTAGAGACTGGAAGAAACTTGCCCACAGTCACACAGGAACTCAGTGACAGAACAGGTGTTCTGTCATCCAAGTTAGCATCCAAGCCAAGAGTCAAGCAGCCCCAACAGATTCCTGGAGGCATTGGGAGGATGACTTAGGTTTTCTTGGGCTCCTCATGAGATCTAGCCCTTCCCCGGCCTCACTCACCTTGCTGGGCACCTACACCTGGTGATCTTGGGAAGTCCTGCCCACCCAGGCCTCAGCATTCTTATCCATAACGAGCTGGGATCAGATAGTCCCAGCTCCACAAAACATGCTACTTTGCTCGTAGCTCAAAGTTTTTCACTGTGACTGAGCCTTTGGAGGGCCAGGAGCCCTGGGGTTTCAAAATCTAGGGTGTAGGTGAGCCCCTGGCCAGGGGAGATTGGAGTCGGGTGGGAAGAGCAGCCTGGGGAGCTCAGCAAGCCTTCAAGTTCAATGGAAAGGTCTTGGCCACAGGCTGGCTGGCGTGGCCAAGGACAGCTCTGTAACATTGCTGGAGCTTGTGATCTGAAGGTTGGCAACAGTGTTTGAACTCAGGGCAGAGGCAGAGGGCTGTGGGTGGGTGGGGAGCAGGAGAAGAGCGCCAAGATGTGAAGGTGGAATGTGGCTGGCCTGGCTGCAGTGGGGCTGCAGTGGGGCAGGCGGGACCTGGCAGTGGAGGCCCTGGGGTGCTTTACCACCAAGAGGCTGAGGGGCTTCTGGGCGTGATCTATGAAGACCACACCCTGCAGAGACCAGCGAGAGGCACTCAGATGTGGGCAGGGCTTAGGCTGTGCTGAAGAGAGAGCCAGAGAGGAAACCTCCAACCCTCGTCAGGCCCAGAGGTGCCCCTGCAAGAGGAGCAAGTCCTCCCACCAGCCACCTAGAGCTGAGCCCCAGCTCCCTTCTACCCCAAACCAGGAGGTTGCACAATTTTGGTTTGAGAGGAGGACCAGGAGGCTGATGGGAGTCACAGTTGTTGACTCAGTGGCTGATGGGAATTGTGTTCTACACTCCTCCAAGGACTGATGGGAGTTATAGTTCTCACCTTTTGGGGGCTGATGGGAATTGCAGTTTCTGCCCAAGGGACTCCAGTTATCAGACCTAGAGATGGGGAGACCCATTCTCCCCTCACAAAGCCCTCCCCTCTCATTCCCATGGGCCCTATTTAGCAGGTGCTTCCCTCCCAGATGGCTGTGTATGTATTTTCTTTTCTTTTTTTGCTTTCTTCTTCTTTCCGTTGTTTTGTTATTGTTTTAACTATAATAAGAGGGCCAGAGGCAGTCAAGCCCTGGCCAGGTCCTGGCGGCCCATGGGGGTTCTGGGGAGGGGGAGGGGGGAAGTCAGTGGGGGTCAGAGGTGGAGGGTGAAGAATGAGAAAGTTGGGGAGTTAGGCTTAGCTCAGGAACCATGTGTCCCTGCCCACTCCCCTCCTTCCTTGCCCCTCCCTACCTCCCTGCCTCTACATGGCTTCTCTCCACCCCTCCCAGAGTCCTACGGGACAGGACCCTGCTCCAGTGGTATCCAACTCCTCCCTGCCCACTCTTCCTCATGGGCCACCTCACCTCCCACTTTCGATGTCTCGCCTCCCGTGGCCACCCTGCAATTAGCTTTCCAAGCCCCCTCCCGTGGCCGTCCCCTCCCAAGACCTCTCACCCATGTAGCAATCCCTACATGGCTGCCTGTCATGTCCCTACTCTCTAAGCCCTCCTGCCCACTGTTCCTCCCTCCCCGACATGCTGACACCAAGTGGTGGAAACCACCCCTCAGCCCCAGCCTGCCCTGTGCAGAGTTCAGCTTTGTGTTGAATGAGGGGGAGAGGGACAAGTGAGGGCGGAGAGAGAGTTCAGGAGGAGGCAGGATGCGCAGGGAGCAGAGAGTGAGGGAGGGAGATACCGAACAGATAGACAGAAAACGTTGTACGGAAAAGTTGTTTTTTCTTATTTTTTTTCCGGGAGAACCCGCTTACACAGCTCTGTTTGTAATTTTTTTCTTCATGCTAAAATCACACGGCCTATTTGTTGATGTAAGTTGCCTGAATTCCGTGGTATGCTATCTTCTTTTTTAAAAACAAAAGCAAAAAAAAAAAAAAAAAGCAAAAAAAGAGAAAAATCTAGAAAAAAAACCCTAAAAGATATTGTTGTTAGGTTTGTTTAAATGCTGCTGTTGTATCTGTTTTTAAAGCCTTAAACCAGTAGAGTTTTTTTTTCTGTTTCTTTTCAATTTCCTTTCCTTTCTGTTCCTTTTGATTTCTTAAGACAAACAAAAGACCAAAACCCAGAGAGTCACAGAGCCCGTGCGTGGGGTGCCCAGGGCATCTGAGCCGCTGCCCGCTTAAAGCGCAGTGCTCGGCCGGCTGGCGGGCGGGCCCAGCCCGCTCTAGTCTCCGCCAAAGCCAATTGGAACCGATTTGGGTGTGTGAGGCTGTTGTTTCTCTCTCTGTGCCGGCCGCCTGCGCCCTGGCCCTCGCTGACGCCCTCTCTTTTCTCTTCTCTCTCTTGTTCTAGGAGGAGAGTTAATATTGCCCATTATCACGGAGGACTCCTTAGACCCCCCTCCCGTGGCCACCCGATCCCCCTTCGTGCCCCCGCCCCCTACCTTCTACCCCTTCCTCACGGGAGTGGGCGCCACCCAAGACACGCTGCCCCCGCCCGCCGCGCGCCGCCCGCCCTCTGGGGGCCCGTGCCAGGCCGAGCGGGACGACAGCGACTGCGAGGAGCCCATCGAGGCCTCGGGCTTCGCCTCCGGGGAGGTCTTTGACTCCAGCCTCCCCCCCACGGACGACGAGGACTTTTACACCACCTTTCCCCTGGTCACGGACCGCACCACCCTCCTGTCACCCCGCAAACCCGCTCCCCGGCCCAACCTCAGGACAGATGGGGCCACGGGCGCCCCTGGGGTGCTGTTTGCCCCCTCCGCCCCGGCCCCCAACCTGCCGGCGGGCAAAATGAACCACCGAGACCCGCTTCAGCCCTTGCTGGAGAACCCGCCCTTGGGGCCCGGGGCCCCCACGTCCTTTGAGCCGCGGAGGCCCCCTCCCCTGCGCCCCGGCGTGACCTCAGCCCCCGGCTTCCCCCATCTGCCCACAGCCAACCCCACAGGGCCTGGGGAGCGGGGCCCGCCGGGCGCAGTGGAGGTGATCCGGGAGTCCAGCAGCACCACGGGCATGGTGGTGGGCATTGTGGCGGCGGCGGCGCTCTGCATCCTCATCCTCCTCTACGCCATGTATAAGTACCGCAATCGTGATGAGGGCTCCTACCAGGTGGACCAGAGCCGAAACTACATCAGTAACTCGGCCCAGAGCAATGGGGCGGTGGTGAAAGAGAAGGCCCCGGCTGCCCCCAAGACGCCCAGCAAGGCCAAGAAGAACAAAGACAAGGAGTATTATGTCTGAGCCCCCGGCACTGCGCCCCACTGCCAGCTGCCCCTCCTGGGAGGGCCCGGGAGGAGGGTGCCACCCTCTCCCTGCCAGGGGCCTGGGGACCCTCTCCCTGGCTGCCTCAGGCTTCTCTTACGAAGAGGAAACGCAAAAAAAGAAAAGGAAAAACCCCGTGCTCGCCCCCTTCCTCCTGCCGTCCACTGCGCGGCCTCGTCAGTCCCGGGGCTGACTGTCCCTCTCAGCTCTGCGCCTGCCAGGCAGGGCACGTGCTCACAGCCCTGGGTTGATTTATTTTTTTAAGGGGGTAGTTTTATTTTGGTGGGGTTGGGTGGGAAGGAAGGCTGGGGGTTTTGTAAAGTGTCCACTGCTCGTCCTGTTAATTTTCCTCAATTTTTCTTCTTCTTCCTTCTGTCCCTCCTGCCTTCCTTCTCTTCCCAAGCCCTCCAATCCCCATCCCAGGCTTGCTGTGTCTCACTGTCCCCACCCTCCTTCCCTACTTCTTTTTTTGTGTGTCTGGTTTCTCCCTTCCTTTCCTCCCTTTGGGTTTCCAGAGTCGGTGGGAGAAGGGCGGGAGGGTGGGCCCGAGTGGCCCAGTGGGTGGGTGGGGTGGGGTGGGGCAAGTGCCCCAACTCCCCTCACCAGGAGAGGCACCTGCTTGGTGCCGCCCAGGGAAGGGGCTCAGGCCTGACGGAAGGCCTGTTCTGTGTGTGCCGCCGGGCGACGTGCATTGATGGGGAAGCTGCTGGAGGAGCAGGGGTGGGGGGTGGGAGGGAGGGGAAAGGCAAATGCAGATATATATTACAGACAAATACTCTAGATTCCACGAGCAGCAGCCTGTGGCACCCGCTGGGCGCGGGCAGCAGGGAAGAGGGAGCAAGGCATTGTCCACAGACTGCTGGGGTCACTTCTTTGCCCACGGGCTCCCTGCTCCCCCAGTTTTTTTTCTCTCTTTGTTAACAAATGTGTCTGAGTCTTGGAAAACACCCCAACCCCGGAAATGTGTGGGAAAAAGAAAACAAAAACTTTCCAAATTCCAACGGTCCTGTGCAGTTTTTTTGGGGGTGGGTGCTGTTAGATCCTGGCTTTTGGCTGGGGTCTGGGCCCACATGGGGGCCCACAAGAGCTGGTAAGTTGCTCCCGAACTTTTGGGTTGAGTGTGGCTTTGGGTTCCTGGGATAACTTGTCTTTGTCTCACAGTGTCCTGTATCCCTGCTGGGCTGAGGAACGGGCGGGAAACATGGCTGGTCTCTGGCCGGTTCACAGACCTTAGCTTCTCAGAAAGGCAGACAGATCCCTGGAGACCTTGTGTTGCCCCCTGATGGCTACTGGATCCACACCTCGGGGCATGTGTGCCCGGGCACAGACCTGGGTGCGGGACAGATGCTGCCTCATCCTTCAGCAGCCCTTGGAGGGAGGAGGTCATTCCTGGGCTTGGAGACCTTCAGTGGCTGCTCCCAGGTCTCGAGGTGAATGAGTGACTGAGTCCCAGTGGTCTCCTGCTCTGCCTGACTCTAGAGTCTGTGCTCCTTCCCCTTCCTCTCTAGGGATTTGGACCCTGGTACCCTACCTTCCCCCAAGTCCACTCTGCTTGACTGGGCAGCTGCTGGGACTGAAGGTGGAACCAGGGCCAGCCACCTCGTCCACCGTTGTTTACTCCTCTGTGGAGACCCTAACAGGTCCATGGTCCGGAGATGCTAAGAGATGGATCTGTATTTGTTAAGCCTCTCAGTCGCAAGGGACAGATAACCACGTGTACAGCATTGTCAGGAGAGGAGAGCGAGGAGGGTTGCGGACCTCAAGGATGGCAGTGGTGGGGCGTTGCACCACCTGGCTCATGAGACATGACTCAGCCATGCTGTGTCACTCAGGGTCCCCCCCTCGATCGGCTTCTCAGCCCTCCCCTCCGCCAGGCTTCCTCACACCCTTGGCTTGCCATCCCCTCCACTGCCCGATTCTGCATCTTGATTTTCTGTCTGCAGGGGGCTCTGGCTGTTGGCCAGCTCATCCTCGAGGCATTTTGCTGTTCAAAAGCCTGGTCCATCTTTAGGCCTGGCTGCCTCCATGCCTGCAGGAGCCCCACCCTTCAGCTGGGGAACATCCCTTAGTGGGAGTGGCAGGTCCTGACCTGAGCAGCCTCCAGCTATCTCCAGAGGCCAAGGTCAGCCTCATCTCCTTCTCTTCCTTCTCTCCATCCCTGAAGGAGGCTTTTGTCTTGGGACCCTCCCCACCATGGTGCCTCTCAGGACCTCTTGAGATTCCTCCTGCAAAATCCTAACAAGGGTGAGAGAGCAGAGCTCCAGGTGTGGATTTCTATGGACTCAGCCTCTCCTTGCCCTTCTGATCCAGCTCCTGAGGGGTGAGGCTCCGGCCCTGCTTGTCCCCCAACTGCTCAGTCTTGGAGCCACGGTCAGCATCATTGAGGTCAGCTCTAAGCACCTGTGGAAGTCTGGGAGAGGCCCTGGTTTGGGGCATTCTTGCTAGGATGTCCTCCCGTTCCTGGGCTGGTGATTGGAACCTTTGGGGCCCCCTGCCGCTACTCTCTCTGACCAAGGGACGGAGACAGCTTGGATTCCCCTCCTCCCATCACAACTAGCCAAAGAAACAAAGACAGGCAGGCAGGGGCTCCTTGGTGTTAGGAAGGGAAGGAATATCCTTACTCCAGAAATTTCTAGAATGACCCTAAACAGGATAGGGGACAGTATATCAGGGTAGGGAGGCAGAAAGCGGGGCAGTCCAGGAGTTGGAAGGATGGACCCCAGTCCTGCTGGTTGCCATATGACTGTGGGACTTGGTCTTTCTCTCTGCATAAGGCAGCTCAGGGTTCCCGTCATTCAAGGGCTTGGTTATAAGAGGACAGATCCTACCCTCAGCCATTGACTCAGTTTACCCATCTGTAAGAGATGGTCACCTGATTCTCAGTTTATCATCTTGTGCCTCTGATGTTGGACTTAGCATCTGGGACTGAGCTGAGCTCCTCAGGGTCTGGCTGGCCTGGCAGTGACCCCAGCAGTGTCCCAGACAGGCCCAGTGTCCAGGGCCTGATGGTGGCTGAGGTTCCAGGCATCCTGGCTCCTTGGCGGGTGGTCCTCACAGGGATTTGTCAGGATATTTCACCTCAGGGTTCTCAAGGACAGGGATTTGGGGAAGAAGTTCACAGACTTGCCCTCATCAAGCAAGCCCCCTGGAGAGGGAACACCAGCCCAGCCAGTGCCCAGCTCTTCCGGATAGAACCCCCCTCTTGAAGGCAGATTTGGAGCCCGTGGGGCTTGGTGCTGCCTCTTCCCACACATCCTCCTGGGTGAGCTATGGGCTTGGCTGGAGGCAGGAGAATGGATAAAGTGAGTCCTGAGCCACTTTCCTCATCCCTGCTGCCTGAGGCCTCCACCGCCATGGGGATGACACTGATGGGGTAGTGATGGGTTCTTCTTTCCCTTGGCTCCTCCATAGCGGGGTGCCCCCACAGGCTCTGAGGTTGAAGCCTCCGTGGTGGGCATCAGAACAGAGTGTGTCCCAAGCATAGGCTTGCCATTCGGGTGGGCTCGAGGCTGCTGCTGAGGGGGGTCCCTTCTCCCTTTGCCGACACCCACTTGGCCACAGCAAGGCTGCTCACTCGCCAGAGGGACAGGGTCCTGGGCCCTCCCAGCTTCCAGGGCCTCTTGAGTTAATCCAGGAGTGACTTATGTTGGAAGCAAACAGGGCTTGGGTCCTGGAGGGTCGTGACTATCTGGAAGGACCAGGGGCAAGGCCACTCAGGATGTGGGCAGAGGGGTAGTCCAGACCCCCTTGGTGAGCTGGAGGGATATCCCAGAAGACAGGAGGGCCCATCTCCCACCAGCCCTGGGTTCTGCCTTCTAGAAACTTCTGGATACCCTGAGGTCCCAAGAATGCTGTTCAAGGGTTAGAAAGGCCGCTGGGCCTCAGCTGGGCAGCAGATAGACAAAAGACAAAAGGTCCAGGGCAGGCTGAGATGACCTTGTATTCAGGCATTTTCACAAACAGGATCCCTGCCCGGGGTTCTTTACTGAGGGGTGGCCCTAGGTAGATGGCCAGAGGACATGGCCCCCCAGAGGCCCAGGGGCTGCAGCTGACAAGACCAGGCCAAGCAGTGACCCCCTTCCTGTGGGGGCAAAGAGCTGCTTTCTGTTTTCCCATCCCATATGTGTGCATGTGCATGTGGGCACATGTGTGCACACACGGCTAATGTGTGTGTAGGGGTGGTAGGGCACTGCCCTCGGCCAAGGTGCCTGGAAGCAGCAAGGCAGGCACAGGTGGACCCAGAGACCATCTGAGCATGGCCCCAGGGTGGCTCAGGTGACTGGGCTGGCTGGCTGGGACCCGGCTGGGCAGCAAATGGCTTCTACCTGCACCCAGACCTCTGTGTGCGCTGCACTGCGTTTCCCCGCGAGCCATGCCTGTGGACACTGTGGGCCCCTGGCCTTGCCGCTGCCAGGAGAGTTACTGGACACCCAGATGGTGAGGCTGGGTTGGGAGAGGCTGGGGCTGTTGTGGCCAGAGTGGGGCTCTGGAGGCCTACTGATGGGTTTGAATCCTGATACTGCCCCCACCTAGCTGAGTGTCATGGGCAATCAGGTTCTTCAAGCCTCAGTTTTTTCATCTGTAAAATGGGGCAATGTTTGCCCTACAGGATTCAGGAAAAAGTGAAGTGAGATGATGCTTTGAGGTGTCCAGCACAGCACCGGGCCCACAACAGGCGCTGGAAACAGCAGCCACTCTGGCCTGGCACCTGGGGCAGGCAAGCTGGCCTGGGAAAGACCCACCCCAGAAAGCAGCCCCCAGCACTTTCCTCCTTCCCCCGACCCGGGAGGACCCTGGGGGCTCATCACTTGAGTCAGTGAGGGGCAGCCATTCATTTGTTTCTTTATTCAATCCCTCGCACCAATGCCTCTCTGGCCCAGCGCTGTGTGGGGAGCTGGGACATGGGGTCATGGGACTGCCCCAACCCTCTGGGAACTCATAGGCTGGCAGGGTGGGAGGAGGCAGGCTTGTGGCTGTAACTGTGGGTAGGAGTTTCACGGGCATCTCAGGCTGGCCCTGGACCCCTGGAAGGGGGGCTGGGTTTGGGGGTTAAGTGGAGTCGGTCAGGGATGAGGGTGGGAAGGGGACAGCAGGCAGAGGATGTGGCGGGCAGGTGGCTGAGGCCTGGAGGGACATGGGGAGGGGCCAGGGGCCAGGCTTACAGGGCTTCTGGGTAAAGCTGTGGAGCTGAGACTCTACTGCTTGTGTGGAGCTAGGAGAGGTCTTGACCATGGATGGTGGTTAGCTCTGAGCTCTGGGCAGGTGGACGGGTGTGGGGGGACAAGTGGCAGTGCGGAGTCAAGCAGAGGGTTGGCAAGGCCAGCTCGTTCCCCTGGGCCTGACCCCTCTGCTCTCCGAAGCCACGAGGGCAGGGCAGGGTGATGGTGCACTGGGTCACCTCCTGCCAATCAAACTGTCCTTTTCCCCTTCAGTATTGAAGGGGGCCCCTTGGACTGTGAGAGGGGCAGGGCTCACCTGGAGGGGCAGCCCTGGGGGAGAGTGGGGACCTCAGAGGGCAGCCTCTGGGCCTCTGGAAATGGAGGTCTTTGCTTTCCTCCTGCCTTCTCCAGAGAACAGAAGAAGTCTCTTCCTCTGACCGTCCCATCGCAGGTTCCCCAGGAGGCTAAAACTGTGTGGATTTTAGGACAGAGTTCCCCAGCGTGCCATGTGTTGCCTTCTTTACTGCCCTGTTCAGGAAGCACACGGGGGTGTGTCTTGGGGTGCGGAGTGGCCCCTGACCCTTGACCTGTGTCCATCCCAAGGACTCCAGGGAATGCCACCACCCTGCTCTCGGGGGCCCAGAACTGAGCTCCCGAGCATGTGATGGGTTGGGGGTGTGTGTGAAGTGACTGCCCTGCCAGCCATCAGGGCTTTAGAGGTAGAATCTGGGGCCTGCGAGGGCCCCCAACAATGGCTGGATCTCCCTCTCACAAAGGACTATCCACTCTTCTCCCTTTGGCCTCTCTCAGGGTGGACCTGGGGGAGCTTGTCCATTTGTGCCTTGAATGGTGGAGTGAAAGGCAGAGGACAAAGCCCTAGGTCAAAGCACTGCCAGCCGGAGACTGAGCCCTGGGTTGCCACTCTCCCAGAGATGTACTGTGTGACTCTGGGCCAATCCTATCTGTCTGGGCCTCTGCTTCCGCCTCTGTCAAGTGATGGGGATGGGTGAGCAGGCTGCCCTGTGCTAGGGTTCTCTGGTGGGAGGGAGGGGTGGTCCCGAGGCTGGGTCCACTCACTGGTTCTGCACATCTTGGATGGTGTCGGGCAGCGGCAAGCTCTGGGTCTCGGGCAGAAGCAGTGCGGCCAGGCCACTCAGCACTGGCACCGTCCCATACACCAGCAAGGGCAGCCAGGGGCCATGGACACCCAGCAGCCGGACCAGAGGCCCCAGGATGGCTCCTCCACGGGCTGCCATCTGGCCCAAGCCCACTGCCGTCATCCTGCCAATGCAGATGCACCTATAAGCGCCTGGTCTGTGTGCCCACAGCCTTGATCCTGCACGCCGGGCCAGGCCCGCTTGGCCCAGGGAGACCCAGGGGGTCAGGCTGGGCTTGGGATGCACCTGAGCAGCCCCGGGGACCACACAAGAGGGAGATGCATGACATGAACATCTAGGTCTGGGAGAAGCCAGTCCTGCCTGGGGGTGCCCCGCAGCTCAGCCCAGGGCTCCCCTCTCCTGGAGCCCAGGCCCAGCCTCACCTGAGCACAGTGGGGAAGAGCTCGCTGCTGTAGATGGTGATGCAGGTGAAGGCAGCCCCCACCCCGCCCAGCCCCAGCACGGCCAAGGCTGAGCGCAGAGCCCCCATTTCTGTGGGTAGAGATGGGATTAGTGAGCTTGGTGGGGGGCCCAAGATCAGATGAGGGCTCCCTTCAGCCCAGGGGGCTTGTCCCTGACTTTCAGGCCTCTTTGTAAATGTTTGGGAGTCATCTCCATCTGGGTATCCTGTCCTGAGTGGCCTCATGGCCACACCCACAATCTGCTCCACGCTCAGACACCCAGAGCCAGCCCCGAGGAGTCCTTCTTGACCCCGTTTCCCTCCTCCTGCAATCCATCACTTAGTTCTCATTTTAACTCCACACTTTTCCCTGGTGCCACCCATGCCACTCCTTCACCGCTCTTGCTGGCTCAGTGCAGACACTGCCGTCTGTCCCTAGACGGCTCCGGCAGCCTCCTTCCTACCAGGGTACCTGCTCTAGTCCAGCACCTCCAAGGAGGGGTGCTGTTCCCAGCCCGAGACCCCCCCAAGGTAGGGAAGTCTCTGGTGTACAGCTTTGCCCCCTCACCGTGGGGCACCAGCGTGTTGGCCAGAATGCAGAGCCCTGCCAGCAACAGGGATGCGGCCAGCGTGGGGCGGCGGCCCAGGTGGCTCAGCAGCAGCAGGGCGCCCATCTTGGCTGGGATGTCCACGACACCAATGAACATTTGGAGCAGGAAGATGTTGCTGCCCAGGGCCTGCAGGTCCAGGGCCAGGCCGAAGAAGGTGAAGCCAAAGGCGAACCTGGGGCAGGGGTCAGGGAAGTCAGGGTGGGGGTGGGGGGTGGGGGGGGGTGGTGGGCAGGGTGGGAACAATGGGCGGTGGGGGCTCAGGGTGGGGGTGTGCTGCTCTTAGCTCAGTGTTCTGGCCCTTCAGCTGCCAGCTCTGTGGGGCGGGGCCAGTCTCTAGACTATGTTTATCAGGTCCCCTTGCCAGCATGGCTTCCCTTTGGGTTTGGCTGATGGGAGGTGCTGGCAAGAGGTTGGAGGAGGGGAGAAGCAGGGGATTTCTGCCTCCCTCTCTGCTTGGGGGCTTTGTCTGGGAGTGACTATGTCCCTTCCGTGGCTCCAGCTGCCACTGAACAGTCCTTCCCTCCTTGGCCTTGGCGGTTTTGGTCTTTGCTGGATGGCCATGGGTCCTGGGCTCTGATAAGCCCTCTCCGCCCTCCCTGGCCCCACACCAGGCAGGGGTGCTTGCGGCCCATGCTGTTGCCTGGATCACCCCTTCGTCATGCCTGGCTCCCAGCCCTCCCAGGAGCTTTGTTAGGGATCCTACCTACTGCATCTCTTTTATCTGCCTTGCCCCTTATTAAGGCCCCCTCAGTGAGCCCACCCGGCCTGGGTTGTCTCCTGTCGGGAGTGACTGACAGAGGGGAAGGTGTCGGTGTTGCAGGCCAGTGGGACCAAGCGGAGCCAGCAGAGGCCGGGGCCGTGTGCCAGCGAGAGCCCCGATTCCAGGTTCCCCTGTGGAGGTGGGGTTGGGGGAAGGGCATCTACCAGCACAACGTGGAGATACAGGTCCGGAAGCGCAGTCCGGGCATGCGGAGCAGGGTGCCCAGGCTGGCAGGAGGCTGGCCCATGCTCAGCTCCTCCCGCATGGCTGAAAGCAAGACCTGTGGAGGCGGGGGTGGGTGCTGTTGGCACTGGGGGCGCCAGGCACCTCCTCCTCTCTGAGACCTTCTTCCCAGGGAGCTGAGGTCCTTGGTGGGTCTCCCAGGGTGCCCTATGCAGGGGCAGGGAGAGGGTCTGAGGGTCCGGGTTTGAGGAGGACCC
This sequence comes from Homo sapiens, assembly GCF_000001405.40. Lineage (NCBI taxonomy): Eukaryota > Metazoa > Chordata > Mammalia > Primates > Hominidae > Homo > Homo sapiens. Next base: position 64,598,647 of record NC_000011.10, on the reverse strand, counting down.
AGCCTTACCTCAGGGGTCAGGGTGTCCTGCACTGCCCCCTTTCCGTTGATGGCAGCCACCCTCCACAGCTCCTGCAGGCCCCAATCCAGCCTGCCTGTGGTGAGGAGCCATCGTGCCGACTCTGCCAGCCACCTTAAGTGGAGGGGGCGTGGGAGGGGTCATTGCCTGTGGCCCCCAGTGCCTGGCCTGCGCCAGCCTCAGACTGCTACCCTGTACCCACTGCTCCAGGCCCAAGGCTTAGGGCGGCTGAGGACCCCGAAGGGCGTTGTGGCAGCCAAGCCCTCTTGGGCACCCTCCTTCCCCAGCAGGAGACCCCTTCTGCTGCCTTTCTCCCTCCTAGGGATTGTGGTTGGGATGCTGTTCTCATCCTGGGGCTGGCTGCTGGGATGGAGGGAGGGATGACTCTGTGGAACCCTTCCTGCCTCCCTCCAGACCCCACAGCCCTTCCCCTGCCTCGCTAGGAACCCGGCCTGGTTGCAGTCAGGGCCCCTAGGGCTACAGGACCACTGGATCCTGGCCACTGCCAGGACCTTGGCCATCTCCAAGGCGACTGGGGTCCACCCCTGTCCTGGCACCTCCCATACCACATGGCCTTCCTGTCCACCCCATGGCTGCATCTTCCTCCTGCAAACAGCTTCACAGCCACCCCGGGGCTCAGGCTGGGACCAGGGTCCCCAACAGCACCAGCGCCCTCTGGCCGCACCCTGTCAGCTGATTCCCACACCTCCAGGACCCCTCGCACCTGAGTCTCTGCTATCTCGGCCTCATGAGCCCAGCACCTCCCCTCCTTGTGGCAGGACCCAGCCCCTCACACTGACCTGTCTCCCACTACCCTCAGTGTCAAACCGAGCTTATGCCACACCGTCCCGCCCCGCCTGCTGAGCGCCTGCCATGCCCACCACTCTACACGGGGCCTGCCTCTAGGCCTTGGCTCCTGCAGGTCCTTCAGCCAGACGTGTTGTCCCCTATGAGCAGCCAGGGTGGGGCCACCTGCCCTACACCCACCGGGGCCCTGAGCTCCTTAGGGATTTGCAGAACAGAGGGGAGAAGTGGAGATTCCAGGTGCATATTAGAGATAGAGCTGATGAAGCCTGGTGACCCAGTGGACTTGGTGGGGGGATGGTGAGGGAGAGAGAGGCGTCATGGCCACTGTGACTCTGGTGAGTTCAGGGGCTGCTCCCCACGCTGGGGAAGACTTGGGGAGGAGAGGTCTAAGGAGATGTGTGTGGGGATGAGACACCTATAATGGAACCGTCACGTGGGCAGTTGGAGGTGTAAGGCTGGAGGTCAGTGGGGGAGGCAGGACCAAGTGGAGATTTGGGGTCTGCAGTATTTGGAGGGAGCTGGGGCTGCAGGCAGGGGTGAGGCTGCCTGAGGGAGAGAGTGTGGACTGTGCCCGCCACATAGCAGGTACCACAAGTGATGGTGGCCAGATCATTGTGGGTGACCCTGGGAAGGGCAGTTTGGGCGGAGAAGAGGGAGAAAGCTGACTGGAATGTGTTGTAAGTGACTGGGAGGGAGAAAGCGGGGTCCCATTCTCAGATGTCAATACCCCAGGTTGTTCGTCAAGCCCTAAGCACAGTTTGTGAGGCCACGATGTGTGGGATTCCCTATGAGCTCCACGTGGGCAGAGACCACATATCTGCTCATAGCTGGTGTCAGCCAGCGCCTGGCACATGGTAGGTGCTCAGTAGTTATTTGTTGAATGAATGAAGTAATGAATGAATGAATGGGCACTTCTTCAGCCCTGTGGGAGCACGTCTACCAAGGAAAGGGGGGTGCAGCTCTGTGGCCCTGCATCAGCATGAGAACCAGGAGGGGTGCCTTGGAATTTTTATCACTGACCTTTACCTTCCACTCTCTACCCTCTTGGTGTTGGGAGTCAAGCTGCCATCCCAGAAGGCTCTTGTCGGACACGATTGCCTCCTTGTGGAGCCACTGTATGAGATGTAATTTTCTCCTGCTCTGAGGAGTGGCTGCAAATTGTTACTCCACTCCAAGCTGTTGGGTGGGAGAGATTTGTGGACTCAGCCTTCTTCTTAGTGTGGGTGCGGGCACCTGCTCACCACTGGGCCTCTGCTGTGCTCCTTTCTACAGTGGTCCCAATGACCAAACAACTACTAAGTGCAGGGCCTGTGTATGAATGATCCAGGCTCAGCCCTGCCCTCAAATGGCCTCCGTCCATCCATCTATCCATTCATCCATCCAGTTCATCCAATTAATCCACCTATCCATCCATTCAACCATCCATCCAACCATCCATCCATCCATTCCATCCATCCATCCATCCATTCATCCATCCATCCACCCATCCATCCATCCATCCATTCAACCATCCATTCAACCATCCATTCAGCCATCCATCCATCCATCCATCCATCCATCCATCCATCCATCCATTCCATCCATCCATCCATCCATGCATCCATCCATTCAACTATCCATTCGACCATCCATCCATCCATCCATTCCATCTATTCCAACTATCCATCAATCCATCCATCCATCCCATCCATCCATCAATTCCATTCATCCATCCATTCCATCCATCCATCCATTCAACCATCAAACCATCCATCCATCCATCCATCTATCCATTCCATCTATTCCAACCATCCATCCATTCCATCCATCCATCCATCCATCCATCCATTCCATCTATTCCAACCATCCATCCATTCCATCCATCCATCCATCCATCCATCCATCCATCCATCCATCCATCTTTTCCAACCATCTATCCATTCATCTATTCCAACCATCCATCCATCCATTCCATCCATTCAACTATCCATCCATCCATCCATCCATCCATTCAACCGTCCATCCATCCATCTATTCCAATCATCTATCCATCCATCCATTCATCCATTCCAACCATCCATCCATCCATCTATTCCAACCATCCATCCATCCGTCTATTCCAACCATCCATCCATCCATCCATCTATTCCAACCATCCATCCATCCATCTATTACAACCATCCATCCTTTCATTCCACCCATTCAACCATCCATCCATCTATCCATCCATTCAACCATCCATCCATCCATCCCTCCTTCCATTCCATCCATCCATCCATTCCAACCATCCATCCATCCATCCATTCCAACCATCCATCCATCCATTCATTCCAACCATCCATCCATCCATTCCATCCATCCATCCATCTATTCCAAACATCCATCCATTCCATCCATCCATCATCCATCCATCCATCTATTCCAAACATCCATCCATCCATCCGTCCGTCCATCCATCCATCCATCCATCCATCCATCCATCCATCCATCCATTCAACCATCCATTCAACCATCCATCCATCCATCCATCCATCCATCCATCCATCCATCCAACCATCCATTCAACCATCCATCCATCCATCCATCCATTCCATCCATCCATCCATCCATCCATCCATCCATCCATCCATCTATTCCAAACATCCATCCATCCGTCCATCCATCCATCCATCCATCCATCCAACCATCCATTCAACCATCCATTCAACCATCCATCCATCCATCCATCCATCCATCCATCCATCCATCCTTTCCATCTATCCATCTATCCATCCATCCATCCATCCATCCATCCACCCATCCATCCATCCATCTATTCCAACCATCCATCCATCCATCCATCCATCCATCCATCCACCCATCCATCCATCCATCTATTCCAACCATCCATCCATCCATCCATCCAACCATCCATTCAACAATCCATCCATCCATTCCATCCATCCATCCATTCCATCCATCCATCCATTCCAACCATCCATCCATCCATTCCATCTGTCCATCCATCCGTCCGTCCATCCACCCATCCATCCATCCATTCATCCATCCATCCATTTATTCCAACTATCCATTCATCCATCCATCCATCCATCCATCCAACCGTCCGTCCGTCTGTCCGTCCATCCATCCATCCATCCATCCATCCATCCATCCATCCATCCGTCCATCCATCTATTCCAACCATCCATCCATCTATCCATCCATTCAACCATCCATTCAATTCATCTATACAATCCAATCCATCTATCCACCAACTCACCCATCCACTCATCCAATCCACACATCTGTCAACCCATTTATTTATCTGTCTCTATCTATCTACCTACCTACCTACCTACCTACCTACCTACCTACCTATCTATCTATTTCTACTTACCTAACAATTCATCCATTCAACAAATATTTATTTAGCACCTACTATGTGCCAGGTGCTCGGCAAGGGCCACGCCTGATTTGTTTCAGGGCAGTGCTGACATTTCCTAACCTCCCACACATGCCGGCCCTCTGTGGGGACTGTGGACTCCCCTCTGATGAGTGGATCCTGGTCCCTGTCTTCCAGCAGACAGACACAAGCATTGATTCTGTCAGCCCATGAAGCAGACTGCGGCTGTGCGCTGTGTGTGCGGGCATGTGTTGTATCTTTCCACTCGCTCCCCTAGCCTAGCTCAGTGCTGCCATGCCTGGCACACACAGAGGAGGGGCTCAGAAGATGGGCCTGGCAGCATAGATGCCAAGGCAGGCAGGGACAGGAGAGGAGAATAGGCCAAGAGATGAGGAGGAGGGAGGAAAAGAGAAGAATAAGTAGGAGAAGGAGCACTTGAGAGGAGCAGGGGAGGCGCCCTGGGGACCCAAGCCCTGGTTGAAGTGGGTGTCTTGGGTTTGTGGGTGGTACACTCTGCCACGCTCCTGGCTTTCCTCCAGCCCATGCACCCCTGGCCTCTAGCACTCCCCAGCCCCCAGGGAAAGGAGAGTCTCCCATTCCCCCGGGTGGAGAGTGGGCAGGATCTCCTCTGAGGAGGGGAGTGGGGCACAGCACCCACCAGGAGTACAAAAAGCAGAGGAAGAAGGGGACCGAGACCACCAGCTGCAGCAGTGTCCAGTCCCGCACACCGTAGGCCACTGCAGCTGTCAGGCCATGGCCGAAGCTGAAGCCCAGAGAGTTCAAGGTCATCACCAAGGGTCGGGCCCGTGCCGCCGTCCACTCCATCACTGCAAGGAGACCGAGTGGTTCAGCCCTGGAGCCTGCATGGAGCCCCCCTGCATGGCGCCAGGTCAGAGACCTACGGAGAGTGCCCGTGTTCATCATGACGCCTGCCACGGCAAAGGCCAACAGGAAGCGGAACAGGCAGTACACGGGGAAGGCAGGGGCGAAGGCAGCTGCCGTACCCATCACAGCCATCTGAAGGTAGCTCCAGGTTAGCACCAGCCTGCGCCCAAACCTGCGGCACAAACCAGGAAGAGGCAGGGTCTGTGGCTTGCCACGGCACAGGCCACGGGGCTCTGGAACACCTAGAGCCCACCCTATGCTTGCCCGCTGAGCTGAGGCGGACACTGAAGCGGCACCTGGGTGAAACCTACATTCTCCACCTACGGAACCCTCCGGAGCACAAGGAGAGTCCCGAGGCCAGAGCCAAAGGGAATGGGCTCCAGTCACCAGGAGCACTCAGGTTGCTGCTGAAGGAAGGCGCATGGCCAAGCCAGTTTTAGCAGTGAATGTTTGCTGGGGAGCAGAAATCCTCTACAACCCCCAGAGTAAAGTTGGTGAACTCGAGGTTCAGAGAAGGTTCCAGACCTCCCTACCTGGCACGGCTGCAGGGTGGCTGGTCCGAGACCCACACCCAGCAAGTAGGGCGCTTTCTAGACTTGGTTTTGTGAGGCTGGTTTGGGGCCAGTCGGCCAGGGTCCTAGGAGAGCAGGGGTTGTGAGGGGAACTGGGACCTGCCTGGACTGGGGGTACTCACCTGTCTGAGGCAGGGCCGCACGCAGCAGCTCCCACCAGAATCCCAGCCAGGTAGATGGACTGGGCCATGGGCTTCAGAGCATGAGAGTCACACACGAGGTTCCACTGATGGGAGAGGAGGAGGCTGAGCTCAGGAGGTTGGGAGAGCCCCAGCAGAGAGGCAGAGGAACCGCATGGGAGGGCCCCCAGGGAGCTGGGTGCGGTGGGTGGTCTGGTGACCTCTAGGGTTTTAGAGCAAGACCCTGTGGAACAGTGAGGGCACCCACAGGCATAGTTTGGCCTTTTGAGGAGTATATCCTGCCACCCTCTGCCTGAACTCTTCCATGGCTCCCTATTGCCCAATGGGTCTCTAGCCACATCTGCCCCTCTCTCCTGTCTCTCCACTTGGAAGCAGCCACCCAAGCTGACACCCTCACCCCTCTCCCAGAGGTTGCTTCCCTCCTGTTCTTTATAAAGAGGTTCTTCCCACTTGTTGGGATGAGCTGCCCCTCTCTGCTTGCCTGGCTTTGCCTGGCGCCCCATCTGGGAGGCAGCCTGGGGTAATCCCTTACTCTGTGTGCTTTGGTCTCGGGGAATCCAGTGAATTGTCACTGAGTCCCCCTGCTGCTGAGTTGCCTGGAGTCACGGCTGACAGGTCAGCAGGGCCAGGACAGGGTGAGGCCGGTGAGTGTCCAGGTGCCAGCATTTAGAGGTGCCCGCCCAGGTGCCCCCCGCACCTCCAAGAGCCTGGGCTGGCCCCATTTGTAGACTGATCCCTGCCGCCCACTTCCCTGTGTGTGGCTGACGAGGGGCTGAGAGGCTCGAGAGTGAGTGGGGCCTGGGGAGGTGGGTCCCTCCCAGGACTGGACCTTTGAGTCTGACCCACCGTGATCCATGACTGACCTCCAAGGTGGTGGGACTCGAGTGGCTCTGGGGGAGGCCCTACCTTGGCCACGATTGTGGAGGTGAAGATGCTGCGGTCATAGACCCAGCCATCCACACACGGCTCCGTGTCGGCCTCGCTCCAGCTGGTGGCCGTGGCATTGGGGTCCAAGAGCTGCCACTGTGGCTGGCGGAAGCGGCGGCACTGGTGGGGCCTCTGGTTGGGGCCCGGCGGGATGGAAATAGCCAGGAGGGCCTCAGGACTCAAGCTCCCTAGGATGCTGGCCTGAGCCGTGCTGTTGTCCAGGAGGGGTGCCCAGCAGCGGTGGCTGGGCACGGCGGCCGAGAAGTTCTCCAGCATGCTCTGGGTACACAGCCACATGATGGAGACCATCAGAGCCATCGTCTGGAGAACCTGGAACCTGCCCAGGCCACCCACGAGGTCCAGGAGTTCAGAAAATGCCATGGAACCTACTCAAGGGGCCCAGAAGAGGGGCCCACTTCACAAAGGCTGGCCCAGGGCAAAGAGGCCAGGGCAACGGGCCTGTTTCCCCCACGGTGGTGCCCACAGTGGCTTCTCCAGCCCAGCGGCTAGGCTTCACAGACTCGGGGCCGGAGGCTCAGGCTCTCTGGTCATCTGCCTGCTGGTGTCACTTGGGGTGGCTCCAACTGGGCCCTGAGGCCGCGTGAGGTGATTCCGAGACCTCCAGCATCTCCCCAGAGAGGCAGCTGCTCCAGACCTCCCGGGAAAGCTGAATTTGGAAAGTAGGGAATGTGGAGACTGAAGACTTTAATTTTAGACTGGAATTAAAGTGTGACCGGTGACACTTATGGAATCGAGTTTAGCAATCATTTCCTTGGTCAAAGTTTAACCCGCGTTGAGGCAGGCACAGACGCGAGGGAGGTGCAGCCTCCTCTGCTTGGGGGCCAGGGCCGGCCTGCTCTGTGCCAGGTCTTGGGGAGGCCTAAGTTTTTCTCCTGGCGGCTGTGGGATGCCAGGGCTGCCTGCTCCCTTCGGTGCCCCTGTGTGCCCACCTCCCAGAGTGGCTGAGCCAAGAGAAGGTGGGCCAGGGGATCCCCCTAATTTGGGGCTGGGGCAGCTGTGCAAGTCTCTGTGTGGGCTTGGGTCACTGGCAGCTGCCCAGCCCCTGCGCCTCCCAGGCTGTGTGGCCTGGCCCCACCCGTGGCTCCTGCCTCCACTCACCTGCTGTGGTTGGCGTCCTGTGCCCGCTTTGCTGTTACCCTGTCCTGAGTCCTCGGTGGAGCTTCCCAGCATCAACAGACACCCCACAGACTCCCCAGGTTCGGTGTGCCCAATGCCACCCTGAGATCTCTGTCCCCTCCCCAAATCTATGCCTCCTGCAGAGCCCCACCTCAGCTATGGCCTCTCATGTCACAGTGTCTGGCCTGGAACCCAGCGTCTTGGTTCACGCCTCCTGCTCCCTGCCTCCCAAATCCACCAGGGGCCAAGCCTGGCTAGTTTTGCCTCCTAAGGATTTCTCTCTCCCACCTCCCCCACTCCACAGCTGTCCCTGCCCTTGTCTTTCTGCCTCAACTCCTGCCCCTGGACCCACCACGCACTGCGAGCCCTTGGGTCAAATCCTGCTTAAAAGCCAAGGGGCTCCCAGTCAACAACAGCTAGTGGTGACTTACTAGGGCAGGTGAGTGGACAGCAGTGTGTGCTGATGCAGGGTGTGGGGTTCAGGAAAGGCTGGACCGAGGCCAAGAGAACCCCCTTGGTCTCGATAGCTAATTCTGTAGGCGAAAGGGCCAGAGAACACAAAGCAGTTAAAAAGTGTGTGTGCATGGCCGGGCGTGGTGGCTCATGCCTGTAATCCCAGCACTTTGGGAGGCCGAGGTGGGGGGATCACTTGAGGTCAAGAGTTCAAGACCAGCTTGGCCAACATGGCAAAAACCCATCTCTACTAAAAATACAAAAGTTAGCTGAGCATGGTCGTGGTGCACAGCTGTAATTCCAGCTACTTGGGAGGCTGAGGCAGGAGAATCTCTTGAACCCAGGAGGCAGAGGTTGCAGCAAGCTGAGATTGCACCACTGCCCTCCAGCCTGGTTGACAGAGAAAGACTCTTATCTCAAAAAAAAAAAAAAAAAGAAAAGAAAAAAAAGAAGTGTATGTATATGTGGGTGTGTGCACATGTCTGTGTATGTGTGCACATGTGTTTGCACAAGTGCATGTGTGTACATGTGTGCATGCGTATATGTGCAGTGCAGCAGTGATGGCAACCCAGGTGTTTGCTCTTATGAGCTTTGGGCATAAAACTCTCCATTTGAGGCATAAATGCCCCTCCCATCTGCTTCTTTTTGCTTCACCGACTCTTCCCGCTGCCCCTCCACATGGCTTACCAAGCCAACTTCTTTGCCTCCCTGGGCTCTGCACCTTGAGTCATCCACTGCTTCCACCACATGCCCTGTACATGCTTTCTCAGTTCCCACCCTTGCTTATGTTGGACCTCCAGCCTGGAATGCTGTCTCCAGGCTCACCCTTAGGCCACATACTGTGTGGAATGGGCACAGTCCAAATACTCCTCCTCCAGCGGGCTCTCTTCACTTATTCCTGCCTACAACTAGGGCTCAGAGTTGTCAGTGGAATCTCATCTTTACACTGTCCTGCATTCTTCTCAAACTCCTGACCTCAGGTGATCTGCCTGCCTTGGCCTCCCAAAGTGGTGTGAGTTGCGGCACCCAGCCATGACCTGCATTCTTCTATTATGGTCCAGTTGGTCTTATTTCCAGTGAGCTCCTGGTAGTCTGGAACCCTTCTTTAGAGGCTCTTTGGAACTGATTTGGACAACAAATAAAGGTTCCATGGAGACTTGCTGAAGTGCATGGATGATTTTTTTAAAAATTTCATTTATTTTCTAATTATGAAATAATTTACACACTTCCTCAAAAATTCAGAACATATTGAAATGAAAATAAAGATCCCTCATATACTCATCAACCAGTGAGTTACACTACTGTTTACAGTTTGGTGTAAATATGTGCAGACTTTGTTTTAGTAACTGATATGTTTAGCTTCATCAGCTTGAGCTGCCAAATAAGCTTTACATTTCCTTTTGTAAAATCCAAAAGAAATACCTCTGCCTTTTAATTAGCGATTTTAACCTGTTCACATTTATTGTAATTATTGACATGTTTGGACTTACTGTATGTTTTCTTGTTTACCACATTTTCCCTTTAAATCTTGGTTTCCTTGTTCCTAATTTCTACTGAATCCATTAAGTTTTCTTGTTATATTCTTCTACTGTCTTGGTCTGTCAGTTGTACGTTTTATTTCTGTTACCCTTATATTTGAACACACAAACCAGGGGTTATTTGATACCATCTTCTCTCTTCAAACCTACCACCTTCTCTTCTATCCTCTCTCTCAATAGATGACCTTTTTTCTTATTTCACTAAAACAATAGAAGCCATCAGAAGCCAACAGTCTAATTCTCTCACCAGCTCACCTGCCTTGGTGCCCCCACATTCTGCCTTCCTTCCACCCAGTTTGGTTTCTCTCTCATCCATGCCAACCCCTCACTGTGTGCCTAGAGCCCACCCCCCTTTGCCTGCTCACATCTCTCTTTGGCATTTGTCTTTCCCTCGCTACTGGATAATTTCCACCAATGTACAAATATGCCATTTTTTTCTGTAGCCTTCCAAAAACTCCCCCTCCATTTGAGCCCCTCTTTCTTCTTAAGCGACTGCCCCACCTTTGCTTGTATTTACAACAAAATTCTATGAAAGTATTATTGACACTCATTTCCAGTTTCTGTCTTCCCATTTTTTTGTTTGTTTTTGGATTCATTCCCATCAAGGTTTTGCCCCTATCACTCTGCTGTCACCAATGACCTCCATGCTGCTAGATTCAATGACATTTTCAGTCCTCATCTTACTTGAGCCATCTGTCTCTGATCTCCATCTGAGAATACTTTCTTCCCTGGGCCTCCAGGACTCACTAGTTCTCAATCTTCTTGGTTGGGTTTTCCTCTTCTCCACACACTGTTAACATTGGAGGCCACTGAGCTCACTCCTTGGTCTTCTCTATATTCTCTATCATCTGGTCCATTCACATCTTTAGCCTGTACCTCTTCTTGGAATGCTAGATTTTGATCCAACTGCCTAATCTTAGGTGCTTAATAAACATCTCACACTTAGTGTGGCCAAAGCTGAGCTCTCCCAAAAAAATGCTTCTCATGCAGCTTTCTCCACTTTTTTTTTTTTAAGTTGAGTCAGAGTCTTGCTCTGTTGCCCAGGCTGGAGTGCAGTGGCGCCATCTTGGCCCATTGCAGTCTCCACTGCCCAGGTTCAAGCAATTCTCATGCCTCAGCCTCCTAAGTAGCTGGGTCTATAGGCATGTGCCACCATGCCCAGCTAATTTTTGTATTTTTAATATCGATGGGGTTTCACCATGTTGGCCAGGCTGGTCTCGAACTCCTGGCCTCAACTGATCTGCCCACCTCGGCCTCCCAAAGTACTGGGATTATAGGCATGAGCCACTGCACCCAGCCCCAAATCACCAGCATTTTAATTTCAGAATGTGTAATTTCCATTTCAGAATCCGTGTTTGGTTCTTCCTATAACTGCTTCTTCTTGTTTCCTAGTTTCCACTTCTTGTTTCATAGGTGGAATAATTTCCTTGATCTCTTAGTGGATATTACGAGTGTTTCTCTTGGGCCAGGCGTGGTGGCTCACGGCCGGAATCCCAGCACTTTGGGAGGCCGAGGCGAGTGGATCACTTGAGGTCAGGAGTTTGAGACCAGCCTGGCCAACATGGGGAAACCCTGCCTCTAGTAAAAATACAAAAATTAGCCAGAGGTGGTGGCACACACCTGTAATCCCAGCTACCAGGGTTGCTGAGGCAGGAGAATTGCTTGAATCCATGAGGCGGAGGTTGCAGTGGAGCCAAGATCACGCCACTGCACTCCAGCCTGGGTGACAGAGCAAGATTCTGTCTCAAAAAAAAAAAAAAAAAAAAAAGAAGAGTGTCTTTCTTCTTAATATCAATATTCATTTGTTGAGCTGAGTGTTGATAATGCACCAGCCACTGCTCTAGGCACAGGGATGCAGCGGTGAACAAACAAGATAATTCCCTGTTCTCATTGATATGTAGAAAGACATGCCAATGAGAGAGGAGAAACACATCAAGAAATAAATGAATATAGTGACAAGTAGTAATCATGCTGTGGAGAGAACAAGATAGCATAAGGGGCAGAGAGTAAGGATCATGTTGCCACTTTGGGTGGGGCAGTCAGGGAAGACTTCTCTGTGGAGGTGGCATTGAAAGAGACCCAAGTAGATGAGGGGACAAGACACACAGTTGACTGGGGAAAGAATATTGCAGGCAGAGGGAAGAGTATTATGCAAAGACCCTGGGGTGGGCATGTGATTTTATGCTCAAGAAGTAGGAAGGAGGCCAGTATGGTTGGGGAGAAGTGAGTGGGAAAAGTAGAGCAGTTTTGGGGCCAAAACATACACTTCCTTATAGGGTTTTGAGGAGAGAAGTGGCATGATCTGACTAATGTTTTTACAAATCTCCCTGGCTGCTGTGTGGAGAACAGACTGAAAATGGGACAAATATAGAAGAAGGGGTTCCCCCAGGAGGCTGTTGGGGTGGATCATGTGAGCAATGAGGGTCAGGGCTAGGGGATTAGGGCAGGTGGAGAGAAATGCTTGGGTTTGGGGCATATTGCTTTTCTTTGACTAAATACAGGGCCGAGGGTGAAGAAAAAGGATAAACTGATGATCAGGTGGGTGGTGGGTGGATGGTGGGCCATTTACAGAGAAGCAGAACACTCGGGGAGAAGCAAGTTTGATGGGAAAATAAATCTTTTTTTGTGTGATGATATTGACATGTCTATTAGCCATCCAGGTGGTGGCATCATGGAGCGACTTGGGAATAATTAGGGGATAAAAGGCATTTTAAGTCACAGGACTGGATAAGCTCACGTAGGGTGCAAGCTTTCATAGCAAAGAGATGACGTTTGTGATGGAGCCTTTGGTCTCTGATGTTGAGAGGTCAGTAAGAGGATGACCCAGCAAAAGAGCTGTGAAGGCAAAACCAGTGAGGCCTGGAAACCAGGACAGCAGGATGCCCCGGAAGCCAGAGTGAAAAGTATCTGACAGAGTCAATCAGCAATGTCACATCCTTGGCCGGGCGCGGTGGCTCACGCCTGTAATCCCAGCACTTTGGGAGGCTGAGGCAGGTGAATCACCTGAGGTCAGAAGTTCGAGACCAGCCTGGCCAACATGGTGAAACCCTGTCTCTACTAAAAATACAAAAAATTAGCCAGGCATGGTGGCACATGCCTGTAATCCCAGCTACTCAGGAGGCTGAGGCAGGAGAATTTCTTGGACCTGGGAGGCAGACGTTGTGGTGAGCCGAGATCACGTCATTGCACTCCAGCCTGGGCAACAAGAGTGAAACTCCATCTCAAAAACAAGGAAACAAAAAAGTCTCATCCTGCTGAGAGGTGGGGTGGGATAAGGTCTAGAATTAGCCCCTGGATTTGGCAGCATGGACTTCTCTGAGGGCCCTGGCTTGAGGGTTTACCGTGGAGGGGTGAGGTGAAGTGCACAGAGGCACAGGACTGTGAGAGTGCTGGAGGCAGGGAAGTGAAGTCGGTGAAGACAGGCAGCTCACCTACGGAGTTTCACTCTAAGGAGAAGCAGGAAAATGGGGATGTGGTTCGCATTAATTAGAGTAACGCTGGCTGCTGTGGCAAGCCAACCTCGAAATGTATAGCAGCTCAAACACAGTAGAAGTTTATTTATTGATTGTGTAAAGTCCCAAATGGCTGTTGCTGACTGTGGGCAGCTCTCCTCCAAGAGGTGTCTGGGAACGCAGGCTCTCCCCATCTCGCAGCTCTGTCCTTGGCATCCACGCTGGCTGTGCTCGTGTGCATCCAGCCACAGAGGGGAAGAGAGGATGAAGCATCCACCTGCGTTTACAAATTTTTTTTATTATTATTTTTTTGAGATGGAGTCTTGCCCTGTCACCAGTGAGCAATCTCAGCTCACTGCAACTTCCGCCTCCCAGGTTCAAGTGATTTTCCTGCCTCAGCCTCTGGAGTAGCTGGGATTACAGGTGCGCATCACCACGCCCGGCTAATTTTTGTATTTTTAGTAGAGACGGGTTTTTGCCATGTTGGCCAGGCTGATCCCAGACTCCTGACCTCAAGTGATCCACCTGCTTCAGCCTCCCAAAGTGCTGGGATTACAGGTGTGAGCCACTGCGCCCAGCCTGCATTCACCTGCATTTTGACCATCTTAGCCCAGAAGTGACCCACATTTATTCCATTCACATCCCACTGCTGAGAACTGGTGACAAGGCAGAAGGTGGGGAGGGACGCAGTTCCTGGCTAGGCTGCTGCTATCAGGCCACATCTCAACACTGGAATGGGGAAGCGTGGGTGCTGGGGGGCAGTTGGTCATCTCTGCTGTGGGAGCTCACACAATTGTGTTATGAAGCCTTGTTTTCAAGCAGAGGGGTTATTACAACTCACTTGTATGCTGATGGATCGCATGTTAGAAAGGGAAACCTTGATGTTGTTGGCAGGAGGGATATTTGAGCAGAGTCCTTGAGACTGTGAGAGGGGACGGAACCCAGAGCACAGTGGCCCCAGGAGTTCATTGCCAGCTGCAGGAGATGAGGGTGATCGTGCAGACACAAACGAAGCTCTGTGTTGGGAGGACAAGAGGGGCCAGTGAAATACGAAGCAAGGTAGACAGTTGAGCTTAGGGAGGTGTGGCAAGTTTGAAGACAGAGAGGCGGGAGAGCCGATGGACCAGAGTGGGATGGTTGCTGCTGGTGCCCCTCGGTGGGGTCTGTGATGAGATTTTGCCTCCTCTGCGGGGGGCAGGCGTGGTGTGGACAGAGTTAGGTTTGGGCATGGAGGAGCCTGGCCAGGCAGCAAAGGGGGAGAGAGATGGGGCCGCTGCATGGTGCGCATGTGCAAGGGCATGGCTACAAGATGTTCCCCGGAGGAGTCCTGAGCTAGTGGCTAAAGGGACGCGAGGCCACTGGGACAGTGCAGGAGGAGGGGCGCTGAGTCTTACAGCCCACAGGATGGAAGTACTGTTACAGTCTAGGTCTGGAGGGGAATCCAGGTGGAGAGCTGGGACACGGGCAGCTACTGGTCTAGCGATGAGCACTAGACCACAGGGGTGAGTGGCGGGTGGAGGATAAGATTTTGGGAGGGGGAAGGGTCAAGGAGAGTGGAGGCAATGACAGCGAATTCAATGAAGGGAGACCCCATGGTCGTGAGGCCTCAACCCTGTCCTGGGCCTGCCTTGTTACAGGAGAAATGGCACAGGCACGTGGTTTGTCAACGTATTCTTTTTTTTTTGGACCTGGGGTTGCGCGGTGGGCATCCTTCTGGCTGGTTCGTGCAGCAGGTTTTTTGTGATTCCTCCCAGCCCCCAATGTCCTGTGGTGACAGCAGCTGCCTCTGGTCCCAGGCCAGGCAGGAGAAAGGGCAGGCAGGAGAGCTTACTGTCCGTGACTCAGCAGGGCTGGCCGAATCCAGGCGGGCGGCTGAAGGAGGCAGCAGCCAAAGCTGGCTGGGCTTGCTCAGGGCCTGACAGGGCTCTGTGCCCCTCGAGGTTGCCTGGGGCTTGGAAACTATTACTGCAGGATCAGAGCCTCTGCTCTCCTCCCAGCCTTTGTCTCTGTGGGCTGGGTTCTCGGAGGTAGAAGTGCGCTCCTGGGAGAAGCTCTGTGTGGACCCTTTGAAGGATCTGCGAGCCTCTAGCTTGTCACCCCTTGCTTAGAGTCTGAGATCACTCCCTAGTGCCTTGGAGAGGAGGCCGAGGCCATGGGAACCCTCTTTTCTCCCTTCGGCTGCTTCCATCACGTGGCCTCGGCCCTGCCCACACAGGCACTGACTCTCTTCTGAAGAGGTCCTGCACTCCTGTCTTCGCTCCTTTGCTGTTTCTTCCACCTGAATGCTGTGGCCACCGTCTCCGCCCGTCCAGGCCCATCCCTGTCTCCTCGTTTCCCAATCCCTGAAGCCCTCCAGAACGGTGCCCACCACCTGGAGGTGCTTTGCGTGAGGTGATGGGCTGCAGGTTTTCTAAGGGCCAGGTCCGAGTCATCGTGCCTCTAACCGTGCCCAGCACAGGACTGGCACACAGGGTAGGGCCCAGCCAGGGCTGCAGAGAGGCGTGGCCATCTTCACAGTTTCAGTTTAAATCCAGGTCTTCTGGGCCTTGATTTCCTCATCTGTGGAAAGGGCATCATGCTCTCCACTCTACGAGGTGGTCTTTAGGGCAAGATGTCCTGGTTCTCTGAGGGTCCTCCTCCAGCTCTCGGAGTGTTTACGTGAGGATAATGAGGGCCCCCAGGATAATGAGGGCCCCCAACCCATGTTAGGCTTGGGACTGCCAGCTCCTCCAAAGCCTCTGAAGGTCTGCTCTCCTGGGCATTGCTTGCTCCAAACTGCTGTTTGGAATAGCCTGGGCCACTGCCTTTCTGAAAAATGGCAGTGGCTTTGCTACTCGTCACTACCAAATGTGCCCCAAACGCGGCCACAGGCTCAACTTGAAATTCCCCACAGAACAACTGGGAAATGCCCCAGTGCTTATGACTGTGATGATGATGGTGATGATAGGAATGACAATGATGGTGGCGCTGCTGCTGATGGTGGTGGTGGTGACTGAGATGGTGCTGGTGGTGACTGAGATGGTGGTGCTGGTGGTGACTGAGATGGTGGTGATGGTGGTGACTGAGATGGTGATGGTGGTGATTGAGATGGTTGTGGGATGATTGAGATGGTGGTGGTGGTGGTGATTGAGATGGTGGTGATTGAGATGATGGTGGTGATGGTGGTGATTGAGATGGTGGTGATTGAGATGATGGTGGTGATGGTGGTGATTGAGATGGTGGTGATGATTGAGATGGTGGTGATGATTGAGATGGTGGTGATGGTGGTGGTGGTGATTGGGATGATGGTACTGGTGGTGATTGAGATGGTGATGGTGATGACTGAGGTGATGATAATTGAGATGGTGATGATGATGATTAAGAAGGTGCTGATTGAAATGGTGGTGGTGGTGACTGAGATGGTGGTGGTGGTGGTGGTGGTGATGATTGAGATGATGATGGTGGTGATTGAGATGGTGATGCTGCTGGTGACGGAGCGGTAAGGGGGAGTGGTGGTGAGGGGGTCCTAGAGGGAGACTCAAATCAATCCTGTCCTAGTGCCCTCAGAGCCCAGGAAGAGCTCCCACACTTTCCACCCTCCAGCTTGGCCTCCTCTCCCGCTGGACCAGCTTCTAGCTTTGCGCTTGTGTACCCCAAAGCCCAGCAAAAGCTTTTCCCAGAAGGTCAGCCTCCCCATGGGCTGTCACCCCAGGAACAGCCATTTCCACCTCTGCTTCACATGTGTGGCCCTAGCCCCGTCCCCAACAGCACTCGCTCAACAGCCTCTCCCTGCCTCCCTGCACCCTTCTAGAGCATTCACAGACATCACTTGAATAAAAATACATTTTCCTCTGGCCTGAAGGCTGCTGATCCCTGGGAGCAGGCGATGGCCGGCCACCTGTGTGTCCCGCCGCCCACACGGAGGCTGCAATGTGGGGAGGCAGCCACGGGCTGCTGGCTCGGCACCAGCTCAAGAAGGTGGCCAGGGCCAGGGGAGCACACTCGTGGCTTTAATTTGTCCCTGATGCGAGCTGCCACAGCCCTAACCGCAGGCCCCACACTGCGCAGACCCCTTCTCTCCAGCCCCTACTGGAGCCTCCGCCTGGGGGGTTCCTCTGGCTCATTGAGCAAATCTGCCTAAGTAGGCCAAGGAGGGCGCAGGGCAGCATGGCTCAGCTGCCCTGCCCTTTCATGTGCCTGGCGGCACCTGTGAGCCTGGCCTTCCTGCTCCAAAGGGACTTTGCTCTTCTTGTTGTGTCAAAAAGATGTTTTATGTTAAAATTCAACAAAGAGATGTTAACCAGACGTCGGAACCAGGCTCGTCAAAATGGGAGCTGCTCAAACAGGTTGAACTTTGCACTGTTCTGTGTTTTTGGAGGGTCTTGCCCATAGCCAGCATTTTCTGGCTGGCACATTTTAACAAGGCTGGGTACAAATGCTTCCCTCTGAGCCATTCCTCTGGAGCCTGTGCCCAGGGCCCCCCTTCCTGTGGGCTCCCACGATTCTCGGCTTCTACCTTATGATTGCAGCATCTTTATTGGAGAAGTTTCATGCTGGTTGAGCTGCATTCTCAAGAATACCCGTCTTCTAGTAGAGAGCTGTCTCTTTTTGACTTTGTGAGTTGCAGCCTATTGTTCAGAGGAGTGATTTTAAGTGGATACAAGGACAAGTCTAGCTGTGGGGAGGGCAGGGGAAGGCATGATGTGGATTTTGGCAACATTCCTCTCATCTCATCGGAAAACAGTGTGGGATTTGGCCGGCCGTGTGCAAACACACTGTGCTAGCAGGAGCCTTCTTTCCTGCTTCTGTGGATGCAGGAGCCTCACAGAGTGAGCTCAGAGCAGCCAGTGCTGGCCAGGGCTTCAACAGACCCCGCAGACCCCCTAAACGAGAGGCAGTGTGGTCCAATGGTTACATGCACAGACTCTGGGCTCAGGCTGCGTGGATTTGAATCTCTGCTCTACCCAAGCTGTGTGGCCTTGGGAAAGTTCTTAACCCCTTTGTGCCTCCGTTTCCTCCTCTGTAAAATGGTGGTGCTGATAGTTCTGATTTCATCAGGCTCTTGAGAAGACTAAACGAGTTTCTACAAATCACCTAGAATAGTCCCCGGAGTGCAGTGAATGTTTTATTCGTATTGCTGTTGTTATTATGAATGATTTTTGACAAAGAGGACTGTGGGAAACACGTGGAAGCTGCCAGAGACTGAACTTCGAGAAGGACCCATGGAGAGCCAGGTCACCCCAGGGTTAGATCAGGCAGGCAGAGATATCATTTGAAAGACAAGGCACCAGGGCCAGGCGCCTGTAATCCCAGCACTTAGGGAGGCTGAGACAGGTGGATCACCTGAGGTCGGGAGTTCGAGACCAGCCTGACCAACATGGAGAAACCCCGTCTCTACTAAAAATACAAAATTAGCCGGGCATGGTGGCGCATGCCTGTAACCCCAGCTACTCGAGAGGCCGAGAGGCAGGAGAATCGCTT
Source organism: Homo sapiens (assembly GCF_000001405.40). Taxonomy (NCBI): domain Eukaryota; kingdom Metazoa; phylum Chordata; class Mammalia; order Primates; family Hominidae; genus Homo; species Homo sapiens. The sequence goes on along the minus strand of NC_000011.10, from coordinate 64,579,897 downwards.
GAATCCAGGAGGCACAGGTTGCGGTGAGCCGAGATCGCACCATTGCACTCCAGCCTGGGCAACAAGAGCGAAACTCTTGTCTCAAAAAAAGGAAAAGAAAAAGAAAAAGAAAAAAAAAGACAAGGCACCAAACTGTACACAGTATCATGAGGCTGCTGAAAACCCGGGGTGAGATGTTCATCTTTTCACCTATGGCTAATGTGTGCTTGGAGTTTTAACAAAGACCTCTCATTTTTTTCTAAAAAGAACACCCGTATCACAGATGTCAGGAGCACTGGACCTTCGGGAACTAAATACAATCGGCTCACTCTCCATTTATGCTTTTGAGCAAAGTTCAGGAGGGTTTGGGGCTGAGGAAGCTCTGTGTTCCTGGTTACTTTGTGCCCCTGCTAGAGTCGTCCTCTGCCATGGGGGCTTGTGGCCCTTCCTATGTCTCTATCCTGGAGGGATTCGTATCCTTGAAACATGAATGGCAGTCCCCAGCTTTTACACACAGACACACACATGTACACATAGAGACACACAGGCAGGTGGGCACATGTGTGGGCTCATGCACACACACAGCAGGCAGGCACACACACGAGCACACACACGCATGCACCGTCCACCTGAGTTCTCGGGGTTTGAGGAGATGGAGGGCGAGTTCGCCTTGCAGCCATGAAAACTGCTTGTGGCTAGACAGATAATGGACTGGACCATCCTTCCTGATGGATGCCCTGGGCCTCTGTTTACCACGCAGCTCCTCTCTACCCCTTTCTTCTCTGTTTTCTTTTTTTTTTTTGAGACGGAGTTTTGCTCTGTCACCCAGGCTGGAGTGCAGTGGCGTGATCTCAGCCCACTGCAAGCTCCACCTCCTGGGTTCACACCATTCTCCTGAGTAGCTGGGACTGTAGGTGCCCACCACCATGCCCGGCTAATTATTTTGTATTTTTAGTATGGGGTTTCACCGTGTTAGCCAGGATGGTCTCGATCTCCTGACCTTGGGATCTGCCCGCCTTGGCCTCCCAAAGTGCTGGGATTACAGGCGTGAGCCACCGCACTCGGCCTCTTCTCTGCTTTCTCTGGTGGTCTGTTAGTTCCAACCCAGGATCATCCTGTTCTGCCTCTTGGGGCTATTTCTCCTGAAAAAAAAAAAAAACAAAAAACAGGTGTCCTTAGGGTCTCACCTTCCTTCCAGTAGCCTAGCCAAGGGATTTTCCTAAGCCAACACAGTTTTATCCCTGAGAAAATTCAGTTCTTAGCTGTTAAGATCACATATACTCTCTATAACTGACTGGAAAAGCAGCGATTCTCCTTTAGGCACCTTCCTGGGGACCCAGATGGGGAGGTGGCCCCACTAGGCTCCACCAGGGCCACCACTACTCAAGCAGCACAGCTTGCCACAGGCTGACTCCCGGGAGGATATACATAGGTGGCTCCAGTGGGTGCCCCTGCCCTGTGCCAGGCCCAGTCCCCCACGCTGCAGTGGTAGAATGTTTGGGTTGTGACTGACAGGGCCCCAGGTCATACAAAGTTAGTGGGAGGGGCTCCCTGGAAGCTCAGGGCCTCTGGTCTGTGGGGTCTCCTGGGGACCTGTGGCTCTTCCGCCCTGTCCTTCCTCTAGCTCTTGCTTGTTTCTCCCTGTTGCTTTCATTTTTGCTACAGGTCTGTTTCTCCACAAAGCAGAGAGCATGGCCGACAGCCCAAATGCCAATTCCTGCTGCTCTACCCTGAGAGAGGGACTGATATTCTTTCTTCATTTTGGCTACAAGTGGCCCAGAGAGGGCTCTGGTGGCCCAGTGAGGGCACATGCAGCCTCCTGGACCCAAAGAACACAGCGACACCCGTGATGACCTGGGAAGGGAAGGGCCTGGGCAGGGAAGGTCACCTGAGGTCCCTGGGACCCCTGTCCAGCATCCCCTTTTCTATCTCCTGCTTTATGATGTCTGTGCCTGGGGGAGGGTTATTTGTGGATGAGTGTGGATTCCTGGAAGCTCTTGGCCACACTCTAACCTGGGAGGTGGGACTCAAGCCTGTCCCTCATGGCCCTGAGGAAGGGGTAGAGCTTTTAGCAGACACAGGCAAGGCAATGAAAACATAACTGAATGAATAGTCGCACACTCATTTACAACTTTCTTGAAGATTTTGGATAAAATTTCTATTATTTCTTGCTTAAATATTTGTCAGAATTTATCAGCAAAGCCATCAAGGCCTGGAATGTTCTCTGTGGGAATATTTTAAAATGCTGTCTTTGACCTCTTCACTCTCTTCTGTCCCATTTATTCATTCACCCACCCACCCATTCATCCAGCTACCCATTCATTCATCAACCCACCCATCTACCCATCCATCCCATCCATCCACCTGTCCATTAGTCCATCCATCCATCCGTCTGTCCATCCATCCACCCACCTATCCATCCATTCATTCATCCAGCCACCCCTCCATTCATCCATCTACCCATCGATTCATCCATCCATCTGTCCATCCATCCATCCATCCATCCATCCGTTCATTCATCCACCCACCCATCCATTCATCCATCTACCCATCCATTCATCAACCCAGCCATCTACCCACCCATCCATCCATTCGTTCATCCATCCAACCACCAAACCATCCATCCATCTATCCATCCATCCATCCATCCATCCATCCGTCCACCCGCCCATCCATCTATCTATCCATCTATCCAGTAAACAGTTATTAAAAAGATACCAGATTCAGGCCCTGGAGCAGAGCTTTGGGGACACTGTGGAGAAGATGGTGAAATTTTCCTGCCTGGGTCGTATGGTGCTGGCAGGAGGACAGGCTGACTGGCCACTGCCATTGGGAAGACAGACTCTATAAGGATCATGAACAAAATCAAGAGGTCATAGAATAACAGGAAGAGATGTGGAGGGCCACCCAGCCAGTGATCAGGAGGGAACAGTTGCTCCCACCTGAGGCTGGGAATGGAGGTGTATACAGTTGGGGAGCAGCACGTGCAAGGTCCCCATGATGGGCAAGGACCGGTCAGGTTCATGGAACCATGAGGGGAATGAGGATGGGGCTGGGTTGGGGGAGGCAAGCAGGTGTGAGATAAGGCTGGTCACACAGGGCCCCAGGGCATCTCAGAAGGACTGAGGGTTGAACCCATGATTAGACTGGGGTTACAGGTTTTCAAGAAGATCAGCGAGCTGGCAGGGCCCACTCATCACATCATTTTGGGGAGTGCATGCGCAGGTGCACGAACATCTAACCAGTATCACCAGTGATATTGGAAAGGGTGGTGTTGCCAGGTTTCTTGGGGACTATCACAAATGTCATCACTTTTATTGTGGGCTTCTGGTTCTCTGACAACCCATACCTGCCCCTGAGCAGCCAAATGTGGATGGAAAAAATACACACACAGCCCAGCTGACAGGCCACTCTAAGTTCATGGCCAGACTTGGGTGGGCCCTCCGTGTGCCTGGCAGCCTGACTCTGTTTCCCCATCTGCTCCACTGCATGGCCTGTTCCATGTCCTGCACAGCTCAACCACTAATGGGGATGTGTCTCAAACACATAATATTGGTTTGGAAGAAGCAAGTCACAGAAGACCACGGAATCCCACGCTGGTGTCACCAAACAGAATGTTGCTGGAGGATATATAAGTAGGTGGCACGCTTATGAGGAAAACAAGATAATTCGGGATAGCAGTTACCTCGGGTGGGAGGATTTGACTGGGGAGGGCCACTCAGGGGCCATCAAGCACCCGTGAGGCTGTGCTTCTCCAGCTAGGTCATGGGAACTTGGGATTTGTTTGATGATAATTTGTAAATTTGATTATACATTTGAATGTATAAGTTTTTTTTTTTTTTTTTTTGTTTTTTTGGCAGAGTCTCGCTCTGTCTCCCAGGTTGGACTGCTTGGCATGATCTCAGCTCACCGCAATCTCCTTCTTCCATGTTCAAGCAATTCTCCTGCCTTGGCCTCCCAACTCGGAGTGGTTGGGATTACAGGCATCCACCACCACACCCAGCTAATTTTTTGTAGTTTTAGTAGAGACAGGGTTTCACCATGTTGGCCAGGCTGGTCTCGAACTCCTGACCTCAGGTGATCCACCATCCTGGGCCTCCCAAAGTGCTGGGATTACTTACAGGCGTGAGCCAGCGCACCCGGCCTTGTTGTGGTTTTAATTTGCATTTTCCTAGTGATGTCGATCATCTTTTCTTGGGCTTATTGGCTACCTATGTATCCTCTCTGGCGATGCATCTGTTCAAACCTTTTGCCTTTTACAATTGGACTGTCATTTGATTTGTGCGTTGTAAATGTTCTTTACATTTTCTAGGTAGAAGTCCTTTGTTAGATACAGATTTTTCCAATATTTTCTCCAAGTTCGTGGCTTGCCTTTTCATTTTGTAACAGTGTCTTTTGGAAAGCAAAAGTTTTTAGTGTTTATGAAGTCCAATATGTTTTTTTATAGTTCATATTTTTGAGTACTAGTTAAGAAATCTTTGCCAAACCCAAAGTTGCCAAGATTTTCTCCTGTTTTCTTCAAAAAATTTTATAATTTTAGCTCTTATATTTAGGTCTATGATCCAGTTAAAGTTAATTTTTGGAAATGGTGTGAGTTAGGGTTGAGTTTCTCCCTTCCCCGCTGCCGTCTTTCCTTTCTTCCTTTCTTCTTTCCCTCCCTCCTTGCCTCATTTTCCCTCTTTCTTTCTTTGTTTATATATGGTTATCCAATTGTTCCAGAATCATCTGCAGAAAAGATTATCCTTTCCTCATTTTAATTGATTTGGCACCTTGATTGAAAATCTATTAAATTTAAACCATAAATGCATGGCTCTATTCTGAACTTTTGATTGTATTATATTAAAAAAAAGTTCTCCAACTTAGTCCTTTTCCAAAATTGTGTTGGATAATTTAGGCCCTTTGCATTTTCATATAAATGTTAGGGTGAGCTTGTCAATTTATCTAAAGCAAATCTGCTGGCATTTTGACTGGGATTGCATTGAATCTAAACACTACGTTGTGGAGAATTGACATCTTGATAATATCCAGTCTTTCAATCCATGAACAAGATGTGTCTATGTATTTAGCCCTTTAATTCCTCTCAGTTCTGTAATTTCCAGTTCATGGGTCTTGTCTTTCTTTTATTGAATTTTTCCCTGGGTGTCACATTTTTTCCATGCTGTTATTAAACGGTATCGTGTTAAAATGTTCAATTTCTGGTAGTCACTTGTATACAGAAATACAATAGGTGTTTGTATATTGACCTTACTAAACTCATTTATTAGTTCCAGTAGTATTTTTGTTGATTCCTTAGGATTTTCTACATAGACAATTATGTCATCTGCAAATAAAGAGAGTTTCGTGTCTTCCTTTCCAATGTGTATGCCTTTTACTTATTTTGCTCACCTTATCTCACTGACTAGGAGCAATGTTGAATACAAACTGTGAGAGTGGATGTCCTAGCCTCATTCCTGATCGGAAGGGGAAAGCAGCCTTTACCATAAGCATGATGGCACCTCTGGGATAACAGGGTGCCCATCTAGGGCATGGATGGCCTTGATCGGGCTGGAAAAGGTGCCTTGAATTCTTGGTTTGCTGAATATTAATGATCAGGAATGGCTGTTGAATTTTGTCAAACGATCTTTCTTTGTTTATTTGGATGACATATGGCTTTTCTGTTTTGGCTTGTTCATAATTTGGTTTGTTAACCTTGATTTTAAATGTAAAACTAACTTTGTATTCATGGGATAAAGTCCACTTGGTCATGATGTATTGCACTCTCTCTCTCTCTCTCTCTCTATATATATATATATATATGCACACACACACCTATATATAAAATATAAAACTACACACACATATGTAAATATATATACATGCATAGTTGGATTCAACTTGCTAAATGTTCCTTAAGAATTTTTATGTTTATATCCATAAGGGATATTTGTTTATAGCTTTATTTTCTTGTAATGTCTTTTTCTGGTTTCAGGGAAACAGAACGAATTGGGAAGTGTTACCTCATTTTCAATTTTCTGGAAGGTTTTGCATAGAATTGCTATTATTTCCTGCTTAAATATTTGTCAGAATTCACCAGTGAAGCCATTTGGGCCTGGAATTTTCTCTGTGGGAAAGTTTTAAAACATAAGTTCAATTTTAAAATAGATTTAGGGCTAATAAAGTTACCTACATCTTCTTGAGTGAGCTTTGGTAGTTTGTGTTCCTCAAAAAAATTGTTAAAGTGTTCAAAGTTTTTGGTAAAATATTGCTCAGAATATTCCCTTATTATCGTTTTAATGTTCGGATTCGTAGTCCTAGATTTGTAGTGGGTGTCTTTTCTCTTTTTTTCTTTTTTCCTTTTTTTTTTTTTTTTTTTTTTGATTCGGAGTCTTGTTCTGTCACCCAGGCTAGAGTGCAGTGGTGTGATCTCGGCTCATTGCAACCTCCGCCTCCTAGGTTCCAGTGATTCTCCTGCCTCAGCCTCCTGAGTAGTTGGAATTACAGGCACGCACCACCACACCGGGCTAATTTTTGTATTTTTAGTGGAGATGGGGCTTCACCACGTTGGCCAGACTGGTCTTGAACTTCTGACCTCAAGTGACCCGCCCACCTCAGCCTCCCACAGTGTTGGGATTATAGGCGTGAGCCACCGCACCCGGCCTCTTTTTTTCTTGATCAGTAAGTCTAGAGGTTTGTAAATTGTATTGATCTTAAAGAACCACCTGTAGGTTTCGCTAATTTTCTTTATTGTTTTTTCAATTCTCTGATTTCTCTTGTGTATTATTTCTTCTGCTTACTATAAGTTTAATAAACTCTTCTTTTGCTACTTTCCAGGTGAAAGCTGAGGTATTTGATTTGGAACGTTCTTCTCTTCTAATGTTAGTGTTTAATGATATCAATTTCCCCATAATCATTACTTTAGCTTCATCTCACAAATTTTGATATGCCATTTTTTCATTTTCACTCAGTTCAAAATCTTTTCTCATTTCCTTTGAGATTCCCTCTTTGACCCGTGGGTTACTTAGAAGTGTGTTGTATAGTTTGAAGAGGTTTTCTATATCTCTTTCCATAATTGATTTCTAATTTAATTCCATGCTGGTTCAAGAACATTCTTTGTATGATCCGAATCCTTTAAAATTTACCGAAGTGGGAGGAAAGGCTGGGGTCCCATGGCTGCCTGACCAGGCAGGGGGAGAAGTGTGATCCTTATTGTGAGCCACTGGAGGGCTTTCAGCAGGGAGGGATTTGGTTTGGATTGCGTTTCTTAATAAGCATGGTGGCTGTTGTGCAGAGTGCAATGTAGACATCAGGGACCAGTTTGGAGCTACAACCGTGGTGTGAACCAGGGTGTAGCCAGAGTGAAGGGAAGTAGGTGGATTTGGGAGCTGTGAGGAGGCAGGAGTGATTGACCCAGTGTACACAGGGTGAAAGAGGTGAGTTGAGGGGCCTGAGATTGAGGTGGCCCAGAGTGGGGTCTCCAGGGAAGGGCATGAGGGTAACTTTGTGGCAGGGCCACAGATATCAGTGGCATGGAGGGTTGGAGACGAGGGCTAGGAGCCTCCTGTGCTGGAAAGAGCCCTGGGCTAGGATCAGGGCCGGGTTCGGCCGTGTTTCTGCAAGCTGGCCCCTCCACCACTCTGCACTTTTGCTTCCTTGCCCATCTGAGATGGGCAGCCGGCCTCGACCATCCCAGAGTTTTCATGGCCTGGACAAGGGAGGTCTGGGCATGAATCAAGAAAAGGTGTCCCCTCCAGAAAACAAACAGCAAAAGGGTGCCGTTTGGTTGAAAGCCGAAAGTTAAGGTTCAGTATTAGGTGCTGCCCTTGACATCTGGCAAAGCCAGAAGGCCTTGGCAGGCCTGCCTGTGAGCTCCCCTTCTCCCCTTTCACTCCGCCCTGTGGATGAGGCTCCCCGGCCCAACAACCCTCATCGAGGGGACCAAGAGGGGTTCCTCTTATCCCTACGCTTGTAAGGCTCCGTTTCTCGCCAGCCTGCAGCATGATGAAACAAGCTGATTACACCTTCCCGCAGAAGCCAGGAGTTGCCCCACCCCCTTTGTGCTCCAAAGCTGCCTTCCTGCAGCCCTGGCTGCTCGCTCGGATCCTCAGTGCACCCCGCCCCATGCCTCAGTGCAGCGTCATCTTCGTGGGCTCTGCGCACGTGTGTGGTAACCTGCTGCCAGCCTCCTCTGTCTGGTGTTTGGTGGTGTGTTTGGCCGTCTTCGTAACCATAGGGCTGGAAGCCCTCCCTCACTGATGAGTAAATGAAAAGTGATTAAAACAGCTCCTTTTTTTGGAGAGGACACAGCCTTTGCTAGGGTGGGTGGTGGGGCCAGTGTAGCCGGGGCTGAGTTTCAGACCCCACACGCCTCCTTGGCTGCGTGCCTCGGGCCAGTGCACAACCTGGACACCTGTATCTGGCAGCTCTCTCAGCAGGTTCCATTTATTTGGCCGGTGCTAAGATCAGTTCACCCTGATACCTGCCCTGGGGGGTGGGTCACGTGATCATTCTCATTTCACAGATGAGGGCTCTGTATGTGGTGGGGTGAGATTGGAACCCAGTCTCTGGTTGGCGTGGCTGAGTGAAGGTGTAAAGACATGAGCCTGGCAGGGAAAGGGAGGGGAACCGTCTCGTTATTGGTTGGGCATGGCCATCTGCACAGGCTCCTGTAGGGCCCGGGTAAGGTGGGGAATCTGATCAGGGCAGGGAGAAGAGGAGTGAGCTGTGGAAGCTGCCTTCAGCCACAGCAGACGGCCACGCTGTCCACTCGGCCACGGCTGCCTGGCCTCTGCCATGCCAGGCCCTTGAAGTCGCCCAACTCGCCTCCACGCTCTGATTGGAGAAGAGGCAACTCCTTTCCAGGAGTCTTTGACTAAAGGGGCTCCATGCAGGCACAATTTCTAGAGCGAGGTACTTTCCACAGTGACGGCCTCTTGCCGGTTGCCCTGGGCTGCTGTTGATTTCCTAGAATAATCCAAAGAAAAGCAGTGCCATGTGGTGAAGTGGGTATGTACTCGGAGCTTGGGGCAAAATGGCGGTCAAGTCTTATTGGGGGGTAAACTCTATGGCATTAGGCTTTTACTCCCTTCTGTGTACCCAAGCGGGACAGTGCCTGAAACATAGTAGGTACACAACAAAAATCAATTAAATTAAAGAAAAAATGAAGTCCCAGCTTCTCCGGGTCTCTGCAGGTGTCCTTAGGCAAGTTATATAACCCTGCTGCATCTCAGTTTCCTTGGCAAAGGAATTGGACTGTAATAGCACCTCATGTGGTTGTTGTATCGATTAAATAAGGTGACATAAAACAATAAGAACTCAGTATTATTACTATCATTGTGACCTCGGTCACCATCAGAATTGAGGCGGCCCTGTGAACAGTCACCCAGGACACAATAACCACATGTCCAGAGTGCTTGCTGCAGGCCTGGCATTTTCCCAGGTGCTTTAAAATAATACTTCCCTTAAACTTGAAAACAACTCTGTGAGCCAGGCTGGGTTTTGTTTGTTTTTTCTAAACACCATCTTACAAAGGAGGAGGCTAAAGCCCACAGAAGTGGTTCTGGCTATAAAATGCAGCCAGGGAGTGCTCCCTCATTTCTCCCTGTCAAAGAATGGGTGTGAGATGGCACCATCTGTTCTCTGAGGGTTTGAAAGAACTCACCTGTTGATCTGTCTGGGCCTGAAATTCTTTGTGGGAAAATTGCACTAGGACAGTTGAGACTATCTGTATCTCCCTTTGTCAGTTTTGGTGAGAGAGGTTAAGTCACTTGCCCAGGCAGGTGGGGAACGTGGGCCCAGGCAACCTGGCTGCCAAGCCTGGGCTTTCAACCATTACATTTTCCTGCATGAGGTATGATCACTTTCTACCCATGAGACTTTGGATAAGTCACTTTCTTTCTCTGACCCTAGTAATAGTATGGGGATAGTAATAATACATTTCTGGCAGGATTGTTGGAAAGATTAAATGGTTTCAGAAACACAGGCCTTGGTACTCTTGAGCCTTTGCCCTGGGCAGCCCAGGCCTGTCTCCATCTTGGCCCAGGAGGAAGCCCAGCCCGATGCCCAGGGATCACAGGTCACTCACTGGCTCTCCAGGTCCTGGATAGTGTCAGGGAGCGGAAGTCCCTGGGTCTCCGGGAGGAAGAACAGCACAACCAGGCTGGAAGCAATGGAGATAACGCCATAGAGGAGAGGAGGCAGCAGGGGCAGGGCTTGGCGGCTCATCAGGATCAGGGGACCCATCATAGCCCCCAGCCGGCCCACTGTATGCAGAATGCCATCTGCTGTCATCCTGTGGGTGAAGGGGAGGGCCCAGATCCCTGTAACAGCTGGCCCTGTGGCAGGAAGACATCCTGGGCTCACAGATGCCAGGGGAAGGAAAGCTGGGCTGAGGGAATTGCCCTCCTCAAGGCCTCCTCTAATGCCACCTCCTCCACGGAGCCCACCCAGATTTTTGCATCTAGTGTTTCAGGGGAAATCTCTAGGGCCCACCTCATTTTCCCCACTCTTGGGCAACTTAAGGGCTTCTCCATACTCCTGCTAGGCCACTGAGCTCCCAACTCAGGCTTTCCATACGATATCAACAAAATCAATAAATGCTTGTCCAAACAACAAATTAAAATATGGAGAAATGAGTGAGTGGTGGAAAGAACATTGGGCTAAAAGTCTGGAGAGCTGGAGTCCAGTCCTACCCTTCTGCTGAGCCAGTCCTTCACCCCGAGCCTCAGTTTACCCAAATATCAAATGTGGGGGTGGCCTAGACTCTAGACCACTGGTTTTCCATTTGTGTTTTATGATGCCCTTGGGCTCCAAGGAGGTGACTTGGGGCTCTCTTGGGGCAGGGAAGGAGTGGTGGGAAGTGAGTTGAGGGTCCCCACTGCTACCAGGGCAGCTCTTGGTCTCCTAATCAGGATTCTTATAAGATTCCATCTGGACAGATGACTCTGTGGCTCAAAATGGTGTGAAAACACAGGCCCAGATGTCCCCAGGGCTCTACTGTACTGCTTCTGTCTGGGTCGAGACTCTCAAGGGGAAGAGCTGTCCTGGGGGGGACCCTGAGCGGCCCTGGCTGCATTTCCCTGGCTGCCAGACCCTTCTTTCCCTTCCCACCGCCCTCTCAGGACGGCCCTGCTGGCCCTGGGGCATGGCCTGCAGCCCAGCTTACCGCACTGGCGTTGGAAAGAGTTCAGCCTTGTAGATGGTGAGGCAGGTTAGGCTTATCCCAAAACATCCCTTTCCCAGCACAGCAAAGACCACACGCAGGGTCTGCAAATCTGGGTACAGGAAGGGGGTGAGAGTGGGGTTTGCCCTGGAGGGTACCCAGGGGCTAGTCAGTGTGCGGCCAGCCAGCCTGGAGCAGAGGGGACCCTGGGCTCCCTACAAGTCCCCGGCCCTGCTGGCTTGGTGCGGGGCTGCCCAGGGCTGGGGTTGGGGGACAGAGCATAGGATGCGATATCGCGGCAGGGGCCCGAGGGGCACAGGCAGAAACCCAGCCAGGTCTAGGGTAGCTGAGCCTGGCCGGCCGTGGAGGCTGCACTGAAAGAATGCCCCCCACCGCGGCTCCTAGGGTCCCGAGATGCCTCTTGCTATGACGGAGAGAGCGCCGGGCCCGGTCCACAGCAGCCTTCCTGCTGCCCGCCAGCCTGCCTGTGTGGGGATGGCAGAAGCCCTGGCCTGGAGGCGGAGGTCCGGGCCCCCTTTTGGCCGCAGGCCTGGCCTCCCCAACGCGTTGCTCCGTGGAGGTGCCTGAACTGCTGGGAGGTGCTCGCCGTTGTCAGTTTCCTCGCAGCTGCTCGCGCTCAGAGCTTGGGCTCTCGCTGCAGCCTGCAGGGCCCCGGCCGCCTCCGTCCCCGCTCAGGCCTTCTGCCAGCCGCAAGGCAGCCTCCTGCCTTCCTCCCGGCTCTGCCGCCACCGCACGACGTGCCGCCCTGTCCCTTTCCCCCAGTCTCCCACCCTCAGCAATAAAAGGAGACACAGAGAGGGATTCCAGGTCCTCATAGCCTCCCTCATTCAGAAAGAAAACAGGGAGGCAGCTCCTGGGGCCAGGGAGGGGATGTGGCCCCACGCTCAGAGCAGTGGGGTGGGCGGGGAAGCAGGGCCCGGTCCCACCGCCCAGTCCGCCTGCCTCACCTTGCGGCACCAGCATGTTGGCTAGAATGGCGAGGCCGGCCATGGCCTGGGAACCCGCCTGGATGGTGCGGCGGCCAAGGAAACTGAGCAAGAGGGCAGTGGTGGCCCGGCCCAGGAAGTCCACGGCCCCGAAGAGGGCCTGGAGGAGGAAGATGTCACGGCCCAGGCTCTGCAGGTCGAAGACCAGCCCATAGTAGGAGATCAATAGAGAGAAACTGCGGGCAAGGCTGGAAGTCAGGTCCCTGCCCTGCCGGGGAGAGGGCACCCCAACAGCAACAGCACCTCCCACCAGGAGCTGCCTGGGAGGACATGGCCAACCCCGGAGGACAATCCTGGGCTTGTCTCGGCCAGCGATCCCAGAAGCCTGCCAAACTCAGGACACAACCCCAGCGTCAGGCTCTTCCAGGAAAGGGCAGGCAGGGTGGCTCCACCATCCCTTCACACACAGGCTTTGTGTCAGGGGCAGCGATGCGCTGGGGCGTTGCCTCTCTGGCTGGGACCAAGTCTGCCCTCGGGGGCCTCTGAGCTGCCCCTCACTTCCGGACTAGCCCTCTCTGGCTTTGATTCTGATAACCAGTCACACTGTGCCTTTCTCTTGGAAGATGGGAATCATGGCAGGACAGGGCCTCTCGGGAGACCCTGGGCTGCATTGCCCAGACCACATTCAGGATGGAGAGCCTGTCCCCCAGCCCCTGGGAGTGCTGCCCCTTCTCTGGGGAGAGCAGCCTGTGACTGGTTCATGGGGCAGAGGGACCACCCAGAAAGGCCCCAGCTCCCACGCTCCCAGGGGCTGGGCTGGGCCCAGGCTGTGGCTGCATCTCCCCTTGCCTTCCCTTCTCCATCTCAGGGTCTGCTTTCTGCCCACTCCCCCACCCCACTGGCTCACGAGTAGCTGAATTTACGGTATTTAAATTCTCATGGTTTGGAGATGGGATTTGGATCCACAACTGGCTGCAAGGTAAAATTCTTCTCGGCCACGTTTAAAATCTGTGCTCTCCCTGCTTAACCCAGATGCTCCTCCCAGCCCTCCCCTTAGGCGTCACCTGATTGCATCACCCAATAAACATCGGACAACACCAGCCCAACAACATCAGAGTAAAATCGCACAAGCCGCGGTGTTTCATGAAGTTTATGTGAGTGACGTGAGAGTCACTGGGCTGGTGCTCAAAGCGGCCGACACTGGAGCCTTGGACAGATAACAACTGGGTTAACAAGACAGGAAAACCCACAAGGTCACCAGCTTCAAAGCCTCTGATTTGAATAACAAAGGTTGCAGAGCCGGCCCCTGGGAGAACTGAGGAATCCTGGAAGGTTTTTTTTTTTTTTAAAAAAAAAAACTGGTCCCGGGTGTTTGCAGTGAGAGCACTCCTTCTGATTTATCAGAAAAAAATTGAAGTTTTTTAAAAAAGGCATTTGATCTATCTTTGTTCTAAGATGTAGCAAGTATTTGCCATCATAACCCATATGTGGTTAAATATAGCATAAAAGAAACGTTTTCCTAAACTTCAGTTTTATTTCAAGATAAAAGTCCCAATCAAACCAGGTCCTTAGGTTTTTTTTTTTTTCCTTTGACGGAATCTTGCCCTGTCGCCCAGGCTGGAGTGCAGTAGCACAATCTCAGCTCAGTGCAGCCTCTATCTCCTGGGCTCCAGTGATCCTCCTGCCTCATTTTTTGATTTTTAGTAGCGATGAGAGGGTCTTACTATGTTACCCAGGCTGGTCTTGAACTCCTGGGCTCAAGCGATCCTCCTGCCTCAGCCTCCCAAAGTGAGGGATTACAGGCTTGAGCCACCGCGCCTGACTGGTCCTTGCTTTTTAATATGCTCTTTTGGATGTCACCGGAACTGAATTTGTTTTAAGGGCCTTTTCCTGGGCCCAGATGACCTTGGGTCCCGGGGAGGGCCAGGGTCTGGTCGCGCGGGCCCTGGCAGTGACAGTGCCGGTAAGCCAAGTGTTAGCTCAGCCCGGTTCCAATGCAGGCTCTATTATTTTGGGCTTGTTCCTTACCCCTCTGGGATCCTCTTTCCCCATCAGTGAAGTGGGGTTGCATGGAGGGGTCAGCGAATGCAGGTTCACCCTCTAGGAGCATGGCCATGGTCTCTAGGAAAGTGGTAAGTCTCTAACGATGACACACAGTGGTACTCCTCGGCCGTGGCTGGTCCCCTGGCTCTAGGGACCCTGGCTCTGCCTCTGTCTTGGGACCTCCCTGGGACCCTGGGACCCCCAGCCTAGAGCTGCCTTTTCCTCTGGCTTCCTGCAGATGGCAGCCTCCAGATCCCACCTGTGCATAGTCCCTCTCTGCTGCCTGCCAGGACTCCTGCCTGCTGGGGCTGTCTGCGTCCTGTCCCAGACAGAAATGCACCCCCTTGAGGCCTGCGGGTGCTGTTTCCCCTGGACGCTCTGCCTCCTGCCTGTCCCAGCTCTGCCTCCTGCCTGTCCCAGCCCTGCCTTGGGGAGGGACACCAGGACGGCGTACTTCACCACCAGCATGGCGCAGCTCCTCCAGCGGAGCACGGGCACGCAGAACAGGTCCAGCACCGACCGCGGCTCCTTTGCAGAGGCCACCTCCTCCTTCACGCTGGACATCAGCACCTTCCGGGGAGAATGGGGGCACCGTGAATGGTAGGGCAATGGCCCTGCCCCACCCCCTGTGCCAGAGAACAGTGTCCAAGTGGCCAGAGTGACGGGGAGCCTGTCCTGGGCCTCGGCCTCTGGAAGCTGGATCCCTAGGGGAAGGGGAGGGGATGGGGCAGAAAAGGTTCTCTCCAGGCCCTGGCTCTTCTGCAGGTTTGACTCAGCCCTGGTCCTCTCAGCTCTAGCTTGCCTCCTTCTGGAAGCCTTCCCTTATCCTCCGACCCCATCTTCACTCTAATCTCTGGCAGCGCCTGTTTCCTGAAAGCAGCTACCTTCAAATAAACACATTCTGTTTCCCCAGACACATCGAGAACCCCCATGAGGTGGGTGCGTGCTACATGCAGGTGGAGGTGGTGGGTGATGGAGGTGACGGTGTGGGTGCTGTTGATAATGATGGTGCTGTTACCGATGGTGACGATGGTGGTGAAGGTGGTGGAGATGTTTTGCAGAGATGGTGGCTGTGGGGTTAGTGATGGTATTGGTGGTGCTGGTGGTGATGGAGTGATGGCAGTGAAGGTGATGGTGGGTGTGGACAGTGGTGGTGCTGTTGGTGATGGTATCGGGATTGGTGGTGGTGGTGGTGGTGTCTGTGTGGAGGTGGTGATGGAGGTGTTGGTGGTGTCTGTGGAGATGCTGGTGGTGGTGCTGGTGGAGGTGGTGCTGGAGTGGGTGGTGCTGTTGGAGGCCACACGGATGATCCCTCAGTGCACGTCCTGTCCCAGGTCAAGTCTCGCAGACAGCAGCATCTCACCTCTATGGTCAGGTTCTTGGCCTCCTTGTGGCCATTTATCCTGGCCACCTTTCTGAGCTCCTGAAGTGCTTGGTCTGGTTTGCCCTTAATAATCAGCCACCGGGCGGATTCTGGCAGCCACCTGTAAGGAGGCAGGTGTGTAGCTGGGAGTGCACGCTGGGCTCTCCCCCGGGGCGGGGTGGAAAGGGGCAGTGGGCACGGACCCTCCAGCTGAGATGAGTGATGAGGAAGCACATGCTTCTGTGCCGCTGCTGCCCAGCCAGGAGCCTGGCAGTCCCCAGCGGTTTCAGAATAAAGCTGAGTCCCAATGCCTGGCCGCCCACCTTCCCAAGCGAGCCACCTCCATCTGGCTCGCCTGGCTGCCCGGGGCCTGCCCACCTGAGCCCTGCACACAGCCAGGGCACAGGTGGCCTGGGCATGGGTGTCCCTAGAGTTGGCTGCTTCACCAGTGATTCTGGGGCTATTTCTAGGATAGAAAGGTCACTTGGTGCTGGGTTTTTTTGTTTTTTTTTTGAGATGGAGTCTCACTCTGTCACCCAGGCTGGAGTGTAGTGGTGCGATCTTGGCTCACTGCAACCTCCACCTCCCAGGTTCAAGTGATTCTCCTGCCTCAGCCTCCTGAGTAGCAGGGTCTACAGGTGTGCACCACCATGGCTAATTTTTTTGTATTTTTAGTAGAGATGGGGTTTCACCATGTTAGCCAGGATGGTCTTGATCTTCTGACCTTGTGATCCACCTGCCTCAGCCTCCAAAGTGCTGGGATTACAGGCTTGAGCCACTGTGCCCGGCCTTTTTTTTTTTTTTTTTTTTTTTTTTTTAGCACATTTAAAATATCCCCAGGCAGAACCAGGTGATTTTATAAAACCAGTCTATTTCTCCCCAACCTCAGGGGCAGGTGGGCCAGGAGAAACACTTTCCTGGTGGAAGGCACAGGATCTGCCCAACCCACCGGCTCTCAGCCCTGTTTGCAGGGAAGCTAAGAAGGACTTCTGGAGGCAGTCTGACGTAGTGGTGAAGAGTTAGCCTGCCTAGGTTCAAATCCTGCCTCTGGCATTCACCGGCTGTGTGTGACCTTGGGTGAGTGACCTAACCTTTCTAGGTCTCGGTCCTTCATTTGAAAATGGTGGTAATCGCATCATCTTACTTATTAGAAGGTGTGTTAATACGCACCTAGTGTTATAAACTGCACCTGGTACACACCTGATCAGCGTGGCGGGGATGGCCTAATTATTGTAATTATGGGATGGCCTTCCTCTTCACTTATTGATCTGTGTATGAAACGTAAGCTCCACGGGGCCACTGGTTTTTGCCTGTTTTGTTCACTTGTGTGTCCCCAGCACCTAAGACCCTCTGCACCTGTCTGTGTCTCCTTCCTCAGTGCCAACCCAAGGAGGGATTTCCAGACCTTAGGGATTTTTGCGGCCCCTAAAATTGTAGTGACAACAATCTATTTTCATATCCAATGTTGGTCCGCACTGTATGTGAAGGAGTGAAGCTGGTGGGTGGGGGCTGGTGCAAGTATTGAGGAAGGACGATGCTCACAGCCTCAGCCCAGGGGACAGCGGCAGTGGGGCCTTGGGGACCGGGAGAGCGGCCGCTTCCACTGTGGCCGAAGTTCAGCCCAGTGCCCCTGGATCTTCCAGTTTTTCCAAAGAAGGTAAAAAATACTGTTTTTGTTTGTTTTTGAAAATCTTCTGATTTTTAAATGTTAGCAACTAGTTACAAATGTATTTTTTAAATCACCATTTGAGCCAATGCTGTGCCAGCCCATCTTGGCCTGTCTGGGCTGGATGGGAGCCACGGACCTCGGGCTGCAACACTTAGCCCAGGACTGCCAATCACCAATGTCCCTCCCTAGCGAGGGTGCCGCTCATGCCATGGCCCTTCTGTGGCACTCCAGGTCTCTGGACCTACTGCCAGCCAGAGAGGTGAAAGTGAAGAGTCCCCCTCCCACCCTGGGTCTCCTAAGGAAAAGGTCCCACATCATACTGACCAGGATATCAGGGAGATGGCAAAGAAGGGCACTGATGCTGCCAGCTGGAGAGTCCTCCAGTCCCGCAGGGCAAAGGCCAGGCCGCCCAGCGCCGCCTGGCCTGCGCTGAAGGCACATCCCACCACCGTCATGGTGACCGCCCTCCTGCTGGTCGTGGTCCACTCCACCACTGAAGGATGCAGACACGTGCAGGTGAGGCCTCATGCGGCGGCCTGAGCCCCATTCTCTCCTGCCACCCCCGCCCCCATGGCAGGAGCGCGCTGAGCCGGGGACTCACTCAGTGTCAGTGAACTCAGAAAGATGCCGGCCATCCCAAAAGCGGCCACGAACCGCAGGCCGCAGTAGATGACGAATGTTGGGGCGAAGATGGTGCTGGTGCCCGCCACGGCCAACTGCAGGCAGCACCAGCTCAGCATCGGCTTCCTCCCAAACCTGTCACAGGAGAGAAGCACACGGGGCCTGGAGAGGGGCCCCTGAGGACGTGGATATGTGGGCAGGTACTTGCCTTCTGGGAGTTCAACAACGCCAGGGGATCTCTTGCAGCCAGCTCCTCCTTCTTGGAACTTTTAGGGGTACACTCAGAGTGCTTCTGTTATAAAAGTGGCAGGTACCTTGCCATGGGAGGGTGCAGTTCAGTTTCAGTGTTTAAGAACATGGGGTTTGGGGCCAGGCACGGTGGTTCATGCCTGTAATCCCAGCACTTTGGGAGACTGAGGCTGGAGGATCACTTTAGGCCAGGAGTTCAAGACCAGCCTGGGCAACATAGTGAGACCTCAGTCTCTACTAAATAAATAAATAAATAAATAAATAAATAAATAAATAAATAAATAAATTAGCCAGGTGTCTGCGGTCCCAGCTACTTGGGAGGCTGAGGTGGGAGGATGGCTTGAGCCCAGGAGTTCAAGGCTGCAGTGAGGTATGATCACGCCTCTGCACTGCAGGCTGTTCAACAGAATGAGCCTCTGTCTCTAATAAATAAATAAAAAAGAACACAGGTTTGGGCATCAGATGCCTGGGTTTGAGCCCCAGCTCTGTCCTTCCTGGGTGACCCTGGGCATGTGATTCGACATCTCTGAGCCTCAGTTTCCCCATCTGTAACACAAGGGCATCCATAAGGACATGCCTCACAGGGCTGCTATGAGAATCAAGACACTGGGCAAGGGGCCAGGGAGTAAGGAGGCCGAGACTTTGCAATCCACTGCTCTCACCTGTGCGCTGTGAAGGGGGTGCTCATGGGGCGGATGCAGAGCCCTCGGCCCCTGCCCGAGTGCCCTGGGCTGCGGTGGCCTCCAGGCCGGCTGAGTCTGAACCGGAGATTGCATTTAGTGCCACTCAAGCCCGTTCTGCTCAGAACGGAGATGCGAGGCAGACCTTGGCCGCACCTGTCTGAGCAGCACCCAGGAGCAAGGACACTCGCTTCATCCTCACGACAACTGCGTGGGCAGGTGCGAGACCCCACTGCTGGGGGGAAACTGAGGCCCAGAGAAGGGAAGAGATCTCCAGAGAAGGGAAGAGATCTACCTTGTAGGACAAGGCTGGGTGGGATAAGGCTGGGATTCAGACCCAGGTAGTCAGACCCCAGAGCCAGTAGGGTGGTGGCAGGAGGGAGTGGGAAGGCAGTCCTCCATTCATGAAATAATGACTGCGTGTCTGCCACCGTGCTGAGCTGGGCTCTGGAGCACAGTCCCTGGGTCCCTGTGTGCTTGTGGGGACGTGGACAACAAACAAGCCTTGAGCCAGCCAGGCATCGTCAGAGCCAGGCACTGTGATGAGGGAAGCAAGGAGGGGCTGGGACAGTCATGCCTGGGGCCGGGCAGGAGTCTCTGGCTCCGTGGCCTCGGAGGGCCTCCTCAAGGAAGAGCATTGAGTTGCGGCCTGCGTGTGGGCACAAAGCAGCATAGGCAAGAGCTTCTGGGTGAAGCACAGTCACTGAGGCGCTCTGCAGGCGTGCAGGGGGCCCCAGGAGGAGGCTGGTGGAGCTGGGGGTGGATGGAAGCCCAGCGCAGGGCAGGGGGTAGGCAGGAAGGGACTGTCCTCAGTGCAGTGGGGCCCTCGGAGGACTTTGGGCCAGCTTTTATTGACCAGATCAACCTCCGAGATTTTGCAAAGTCACTCAGTGCTGTGGCAGCGTGGACGGCCACTGCAGAGGACACCTGCGAGGGGTTGCAGCCTGCCTGGTGAGAGGAGATGGTGGCTCAGGCAAGGGGATGCTGTGGCAGAGAGGGGCTTGGGCTGAGTGTGTCCTGGAGGAAGAGCCAGGTGAGTGTGGGGGTGAGGAAGGGAGGCCAGGGGACAGCGCAGGCGCAGAAGGGTCCCACAGGTTGGGGGTCTGTGTCCTCCGATGGAGGCTGCTGGGGGAGTGAGGGGGCGTGGCAAGGAATCAGCAGCTCAGCTCCCAGAACAGGAAGAGAGGCAGGAGGGGGAGCGGGAGGAGGGGGAGCAAGAACAGCTTCCTGGGAGGTGGAAGGAAAACCAGGAGTGAGGATGTTCTGGAAGCCAAGAGAAGAAAGTGTGTCACAGAGAACGCTTCTCCCCGCCAGCAGGCCTAGGCTTCAGTGTCACCTGGTACGAGACGTTTCCAGTCCTGCCGGCTGGCCCTGGCGTGCCCATCACCTGTGCCCTGTTCCCCTAACCGGCCTCACGTTCCAAGGTGGCCTGACTTACTTACCTGTGTCCTGAGCCCTGCTTGGCTCCAAGCTGGGGAAGAGCAGACACTTGTCTCCCACCCTCCCCACCGCCCCTTCCCCCATTTCTGCTGAGGCATCCCTTGCACCTGGCTAGTGTTTGGCCCACGTGAGGCTTCTGGAAAGGCCTTGAGACTGGGGGACAAAGGACAGAGGAGAGGAGGATGGGGAGCCAGGACAACTTTGAGGCACAGGGTCCAAGCACGGCCGCATGGAGGAGGCCTATGACCATCTGGCAGGAGTATGGGAGAGGAAATGGGGGCGGTGGGGGATGGCCTGGGGTGGCCTCCCTGTGAGGGGAACCAGGCCAGGGTCTGGGGGGCCTTGCTGAGATGGGGACCCGGAACAGCCTGTGGGTTGGTTCGGATGGCCAGGGGAGGGAAGAAACAGAGGAGGCAGGAGGGAGACGGAAGCAGGGATGGGGTGTTTGCCTGACATTTCTGAACCTTCTGCCCCATAGTCTTCAACAATGTTTTGAGGGAGCTGGGGGCTGGGAGGAGCGGAGGCACTCACCGGTAGGAGAGGAGGCCCCAGATAAAGGAGCCCACCAGGATCCCGGACATGAAGATGGACTGGCTTAGGGGCTTCAAGCCCTGGGAGCTGCACACCAGGTCCCACTGCAAGAGGAGGGTGCAGTGGCTCAGCTCGGGGGGTATGAAATCACAGGGCTGGGCACGGCCGAGGAACGCCTGACCCACACTGGGGTCCCTGGACTCCCAGTGCCAGGTCACAGAGGTAGAGAGGACCTGCTGGCCATGGGGCTGCAACTCCCCATGGGAAGCTCAGCTGCAGGACAGAATGTGACCTGGCTCTGCGTCTGCCAGCTGTGTGGAGGCCACTCCACGGGGTCCAGTGGCCCCCCTCATGCAGAGGACAGACTCTGACAGGCAGCAGGGCCTTGAAGGGGCAGAAGTGGTAGAAAAATGAACAATTTCTTGGTAAAAAGAACTTTGGCAGGCAATGTGTGGCTGTGTCTGGCAGTACCTGGCAGTGGTGGGCTGTGAGGTGGCAGGCAAGGTGGGCAGTGGGAGGCAGGGGCAGGGAGTGGCTGGCAGGGGTGAAACCATAGGCTTGGCTTCCACCTCTACTGAGTGCTGGCCAGGTGGACGTGGCAGAGCCACTGCCTCGGCTGGGCTATCCTTTCCTCTAGAGACGGAGTCACGGAGTCGTGATCTGGTGCTGTCATCAGCGGTGAGGGTGACTAGAGAGAGCTTGGCACGGTTCACTGGGATTTTTACAGTGGCTTCAGCCCAGGACCAGTCATCCATTGCCTGAACACCCCACACCCATCCCCAAGTCCGTCCTCCACTGAGGCCCGGCAGCTCCCTCCACCTCTCTCTTTCCCCTTCCCACCCGGGCAGCTGCAGTAGCCTCCAGTGGGCTCCCCATCCCCCCACAGAGCTTCTCTACTCTGCAAAGTGACTTCTTGAAAATGCAAGTCAGACCAAATCACTTCCATGCTCCAAACCCTCCAATGAGGATGACGAGGATGAGGTTCTTTTGCATTTAAAAGAAAATCCCGGGCACAGTGGCTCATGCCTGTAATCCCAACACTTTGGAATGCTGGGGCTGGAGGATCCTTTCGGCTCAGGAATTCAAGACCAGCCTGGGCCATGTAGTCAGACCTCATATCTACTAAAAATTTAAAAAATTAGACCAAGCGTGGTGGTTCATGCCTGTAATCCCAGCACTTTGGGAGGCCGAGGCGGGTGGATCACCAGAGGTCAGGAGTTCGAGACCAGCCTGACCAACGTGGTGAAACCCCTTCTCTACTAAAAATACAAAAATTAGCCGGGAGTGGTTGTGCATGCCTGTAATTCCAGCTACTCGGGAGGCTGAGGCTGGAGAATCGCTTGGACCCAGAAGGTGGAGGTTGCAGTGAGCCGAGATTGCGTTATTGCACTCCAGGCTAGGCAACAGAGCGAGACTCAGTCTCAAAAAAAAAAAAAAAAATTAGCTGGGCATGGTGGTATGTGCCTATAGTCCTAGCTACTGGGGAGGCCAAGCCACGAGGATCATTGGAGGCCGGGAGTTAGAGGCTGCAGGCAGTCATGTTTGTGCCACTGTGCTCCAGCCTGGGTGACAGAGTGAGACTCTGTCTCAAAAAAAAAAAAAAAAAAAAAAGAGAAAGAAAATCCCAGCTCCAGAGCATGTCCCCGCACCTGCTTCTGGCCCCTCAGCACCTGTGCGCAGACACACTGGGCCTTATTCTGCTCCTTCAAATCCCAGACATACTTCTATGCATGACCTTTGCTCTGTGGGGCTCCTGACCTTCACAGATTCCTCCTTTCACCATCCCAGCCTCGATGTCAATGTATCCTCTTTGGAGAGGCCATCCCCAACCATCTGCCTGAAGGAGGCTGCCGCTCCTCACCCCTCGCAACCTTGCTTTTGTCCCTCATGCAGACTGCGAGGATTGACTCAGGCTCCAGACCCTGACTGCCGGGATTGAATCAGGCTCTGGGACACTCTAGCTGTGTGCGCTGGGACAGCCCCTTAACCTCTCTGTGTTTTCCTTTTCTCCGTTATTAAATGAGGACTGTCATAGGACCCATCCCACAAGATTGTGGCGAGGTTGTGGCAGCAGGGACACATTTGGAAATGTGTCTGCCACTTTGCCGGTGCAGGGCGAGGGGTGGCTTTGCTGCTAGAAGGGGTTTAAATGTCAACTGAGTGAATTCACCGGTGGAATGGATGCTTCTTGAAGTCTCCCTGCTCATGTTGGAACCGGAGCCCCGATCCGAATCTGGGCCATCATCACCGATCAGGAAATGGGCGTGGGGTGACCAGAATGCTTTGCTTGGCCAAACTTTAGTCAGGTTCCTGAGCCTTCTCCTGGGCCCATCTGGCGCTTCCTCATAAAATCCAGTTTTAGCAAAGAACCCTGCTGAATCAGTTTAGCAAGAACCCCCCTCTGCCCCCAGCCTCAACATTGATCAGGTTCCTCATCCTCCACCATCTCTAGGGTGACGTGTGTCACCCTGGCCTGTCTCAGCAAGAAGCCTGTTGGGTCAGTTCAGCCAGACCCCCCTTACCCCTGATTTCCCCCTGCAGCTGAGTTGTCTGGAGTCACGGCTAATGGGTCAGTAGGGCCGGGACCAGGCGAGGCTGGCGAATGTCCAGATGCCAGCATTCAGAGGTGCCCACCCAGGTGCCCCCCGCACTACCAGGAGCCTGGGCTGGCCCCATCTGTAGACTGATCCCTGCCGCCCACTCCCCTGTGTGTGGCTGACGAGGGGCTGAGAGGCTCGAGAGGAGGCGGGTCCCTCCCAGGACTGGACCTTGGAGTCCAACCAACCTGATCCATGACTCTGACCTCCAAGGTGACGGGACTCGAGTGGCTCTGGGGGAGGCCCTACCTTGGCCACGATGGTGGAGGTGAAGACGCTGCGGTCATAGACCCAGCCGTCCACACACGGCTCCGTGTCAGCTTCGCTCCAGCTGGTGGCCGTGGCATTGGGGTCCAAGAGCTGCCACTGTGGCTGGCGGAAGCGGCGGCACTGGTGGGGCCCCTGGTTGGGGCCTGGCGGGATGGAGATGGTCAGAAGGGCCTTGGGGGTCATGTTTGTGGAAACCGCAGAGCCATTGTCCAGCATGTGTGTCCAGCATCGGTGGCCTGGGATGGCGGCTGAGAAGTTCTCCAGGAGCATCTGGGAAGGTATCATGAGGCAGGGGAGGATGAAGGTGAGCACCTGCAGGGTCTGGAAGAGGCCCACGCCTCCGGCTTGCTCCAAGAGCTTCGAGAACGCCATGAACAGAGCTGCCTCGGCTGAGCGGACTGCTGACCTAACTGCTGTTTGGAACCGATTGCAGCCACAAGATCCAGGGCCACCAAGACCTTCTGCCTTCCTGCCCCTCAGCCGGATTGGGGGTGGGGCACTGTCCAATAACCAGTTGAGTCAGTCCCTCAGTCCCGGGAAGCCCTGTGATGCCTCGGGGAAACTCCTCCTTATCTTGTGTCCAGGAGTGACTGTGCGGATGCCCCAGAGCTCTGCGGAGGGGGTGAAGGGGACTAAGCTCACTGTGCCCGGGCTGCCTGGGGCATCCGAGCTGCCCACCAAGTGTGGACCAGAGGGCTGAGCCACCTTCTGAGTTCTCCAGCACCAAAAGTGAAAGTCAGGCAGATTCTATTTAAAAAGACAGGGTGCTTTGATGTTACTGAATTACAGTTTGGAAGAAATATCAACTGGGCTGTTGCCTCACTGAGTTGGTTAAAGTTTAATCTCAGCGTGGGCTTCTGAGTGAGGAAGGCAGTTCATGTCTCAGGACCTGAGGCCTCAGCCACTCCCTGCTGGCCAGCTGATCTCATTCTTAAATCTTTAGAACCTTCTACGCGAGGCCCTTTAAATCAGAAAACGGTCAGCCTAAACTTCATCCCTCCTGACAACTGTTCAAGGCTCTGAAGCCAGATGTGGGGCCTGGGAAGGGCCTTCCCTAGCTGGGGAGATGGTGCTGGTGGGCGTGGGAGAGGACGTGGGGTGGGCACGAGCTGGCAGGAAGGCCCAAGTCTGTGCTCTTTTCTTTCCTGATGTGAACCTCCTACCAGGCAGTGCCGGGGAGACCAGCTTGCAGACTCACTATTTCGGGAAGCTTCTATTCCGAGGTTTTAGGTTGCCTTTATTAGACAGTAAGCTCCCCCAGTGGAAACCATGGCTACCATTTCCTGGCTTCTCTTTGAAGCCCCTCGTGGGCCCGCAGCTGAGCAGGCGGGCGGTTGGGGAAGTGAGCAAAATCACGACGCTGTGACCCAGCATCTGAGGCCAGCCCCGCTTCCAGGCTCCGGGCGAGGTAGAGTGAAGCCAGCCCTCCCCCATGGCCATCTGGGTGGTGCCTCTTAGTGTGCTCAGCTCTGGGCTGACCTCACTGCCTGCACCCCTTCCTTCACTCCTTATGGCAGCCCAGGAGAGAAACAAGGCAAATTCCCTTAAACAAGGAAACTGAGGCTCAGAGAGGGCAGGCAACTTGCCCAAGGTCACTCGCCGCAGTCCAGATCAGAGCCAGACGCCACAGCCTGAGCTTTCTCTGATGCCCCTGGGCAGCTGCTGTGTGGTCTCCAGCCTGTCATGGACCAAATCCCGGCCAAAAGCTAGAATTCAGGATTTGGGTCAGAATGAGGGCCAGCCTGAAGTCACCTCCCAGAGTGCGAGAGGGAAGCGGCTGAGTCAGTTCCGGAGAGAAGTCCGAGAAGTGCTGGAAGTGTGGGTGAGGTGTGGGTGGGTGTCTGGACCCTGAACCTCCGAGAACCTCCCTGGAGGGCTTGGGGAACTCAGCCAGGATGGAGGCCGGCCAGCAAGCTGGGGAGTCGGATTCCAGGCCTGGGCTTCAAAGCTGGGGCTCCTTCCTTCCTCGGCCTCTCCAGGCAGGAAATCATTAGGATAAAATAGCAAAAAGAGAGGGACTGGGGGAGGTGGAGAACCAACCCAAATTAAAGCCCAGGAGGCCGCAGGAGAGGGGCTCCTTGGATAGAGCCCCAGTCCAAAACAGCCCAAAGGCCTAATCTAACGTGCAAAGAATTGCACCCTATTCCTGTTTTGAGCAAGCACCGTGCTGTCGGGGGTAGGCCTGGCCCTGAGACATGGCCTTCCGTGGTGGCCTCCTCTCTCTGGCTCCTGGCTTCTGGCCTGTGGAGTGAAGTGTGTTGCTGTGTTGGTGTCTGCAAACCTCAGCAAGTGCCAGAAGTCACGGGTGTGCTGGCTAGAACGCAGTTTCTTGAGCGTCTGCTGCAGGGTGCGCTGAGCCCAGGAGTGCACGTTTTAAAGTAAGTCCCCAGCTGACTGCACCACACCGGGCCCGGGCCTTGCTTTGAAAATCTCTGGGCTGGAGGTGGCTGCCGGAATCCAAGGTGTCCAGGAAGCACTTCAATTCTTTCTCCTTCCTCCGTCCATATGCTTTCACATTTTTTCTTCTTCCCTGCCCTTTGCCTGTCATGGACACCCCTAGGCTTTGCTTACAGCAGAAGGTCAAACCTCCTGGACCTGCCAGAAGGCACCCGGAATCTCCAACTGACTTTCCACTTCCAGGCCAAGGAATTTTTCATTTGTATTTTCTGTTTTTCTGGGGCTGCTTGGGGCAGGGCTTAGTGCAGCTGCTCTGCCACCTGGCGGTCACACCTGGAACTGTAGCCTTTCCCAAACTAGGCACATCTTTCCCAGGTGCCTCAAGGGTCCTCAGGCAGGGGTGGGGAGAGAAGGGCTTGGGAGGAAGGCAGGTAGCCCCAGATTATAGTCCCCAAGCCCTCCGGGGTGTCTCTTTAAATTAATTTGTGTAAAGTAAACCCCTGTTATTCATCGAATTAGAATTGCTGTGGAGTTGACCTTCCTAGCCAAGGGTTCCCATCAATTAAACGAAAGGCCAGCATGGCCGCCAAATGGCCTTAGGCGGTTGCCTTCCCTGCTGTGAACTTCAGTATCTCCATCTCTAAGATAGGGCCTTCCACTTAAGGTAGTAAGATTAAACGAGATAATGAACGGGCCTGACAATAAATACTAGCCACCACCATCACCATCACCACAATCACTACCATCACCACCATCATCACCATCACCACCATCACTATCACCACCATCATCACCACCATCACCATCATCACCATCACCACCATCACACCATCACCACTACCATCACACTAGACCCATCATTCTTCCTTTTCTTCTTTTCCAGTTGAAGCCACAGTATTTCAGATCCAGCTGGAATCACAGGGGTTTCTTGTTTGGCCCCTCCCTGAAACCCTGGAAGAATCTGGAGTCAGCAGAAGGTGATGCTCTTTCTCAGTTTCATACTGCTGTAGGGACAGGGCTCTCCAGGGTCTCAGATCCCAACTCCAGTTTGATTGCTTTTTCCACTGTACCCTTGTGAAGATGCCCAGTGATCCATCAGAAAGTCAAAGAAACATTAACCATAAAATATCAAATTATCCTCCTGCTCCAGAGAACAGGCCTCACCTCATTGAGCAGGAGGTATTGATGAGCCACATAAGGCCAAAAGCAGATCTCACCTCTTCAGTTCTTTAATTCCTCTTTGAGGGACATAAATTTGGGGACTACCCGCCCCCCACCAATAACACCACAAACTTAAATCACTTTTCTTCCCTTTTGAATTCCTCTTCAATTCACTGCCCAGCAGCAGCTTAGAGCTCCTAGATCTTATGCCTTGCAAGAACTCATTTTTGCAAATCTTCCTAAATTCACCCACGTGCATTTTTGCAGGGAGGGAGGATGATAGGAACCTCCTTAACTCAGTTTTCTTGTCTTTTCTTACAGTGTGCATGTTGCAAAAATCACAGAATCATGTAAGGAATGAAAGGAAAGCCCCCTTCTTCAACCCTGACTCCAACAATCCCACTGCTCAAAGGAACCCAGATAATACGTAGGAAATACATACCTACGTGTTTCTTACATATTTAGAAATATGTCAACATAAGTCATTATAAACATAAGTCATTATAATTAGTCATTTGTACTTGAGAAGTCCTAATGTACATGGTTACAATGCAAATGATCTCAAAGTGTGTGAAATGGCAAGTAAAAGTCCTTTTCTCCTCTCACTCCCAACTGCCCGGGGCAACTGCCACCAACAAGGTATATTCTTCCAGAAAAATCATAATGTACCTTCAAACACATGCATAAAGTTTTAAAATTGTTCAATAGGTAGTAAATTCACATCATTCAAAAATAGAAAACTTACGAACATGTGTAGAATGAAGAGGCTCTCTCCCATCCCACCTCCACCCACCCTCGGGGAACCATTTTTAGTTTCTTGCGCATCCTTCCAGATTTTCTTTCTGAAAATATAAGCGAGGGGAGACGCACATTCTGATTTTACTCCTTTTACACAAAGGTACTCTTCCCCTTTGCGCTGACTTCCCACAACAGTGTACCTCGGACGGCTCTACTCGTTCCCATTTCACGGTAGCCTGGTAACCCACTGCATGGATTTACCATCACGCATTTAACCGCCCTCCCGTTCGTGGCCACTTGGACTGTGTCTAACATTTTGATTTTTTTGTTTGTTTGTTTTTTTGAGACAGAATCTCACTTTGTGCCCCTGGCTGGAGTGCAGTGGCATGATCTCGGCTCACTGCAACCTCCAGGTTCAAGTGATTCTTCTGCCTTAGCCTCCCAAAGTGTGGGGATTACAGGCGCCTGCCAGCACGCCCAGCTAATTTTTGTATTTTTTGTAGAGATGGGGTTTCATCATGTTGGCCAGGCTGGTCTCGAACTCCAGACCTCAGGTAATCCACCTGCCTCGGCCTCCCAAAGTGCTGGGATTACGGGTGTGAGCCACCTTGCCTGGCCCTAAAATTTTGATATTTCAAAAAATATTTTTAAAACTATGAAAAAAGCTCTATATCACTGATCACTAGAGAAATGCAAATCAAAACCACAATGAGATACCATCTCATACCAGTCAGAATGGCTATTGATTAAAACATCAAAAAACAACAGGCACTGGCAAGGTTGTGAAGAAAAGAGAATGCTTATAAACCGCTAGTGGGAGTGTAAATTAGTTCAACCCATTGTGCAAAGTAGTGTGGTGATTCCTCAAAGAGCTACCAACAGAACTACTATTCAACCCAGCAATTCCGTTACTTGGCATGTACCTAGAAGAATATAAATCATTCTACCATAGAGACACATACACATGTGTATTCATTGCAGCACTAGTCACAATAACAAAGACATGAAATCAACCTAAATGCCCATCTGTGGTAGATTGGATAAAGCAAATGTGCTACATATGGCCGGGGGCAGTGGCTCACGCCTGTAATACCAGCACTTTGGGAGGCCGAGGCGGGTGGATCACGAGGTCAGGAGATCGAGACCATCCTGGCTAACACGGTGAAACCCTGTCTGTACTAAAAAATACAAAAAATTAGCCGGGCATGGTGGCGGGCGCCTGTA
The DNA here is from genome assembly GCF_000001405.40 of Homo sapiens. NCBI lineage: Eukaryota > Metazoa > Chordata > Mammalia > Primates > Hominidae > Homo > Homo sapiens. The sequence goes on along the minus strand of NC_000011.10, from coordinate 64,550,851 downwards.
GTCCCTGCTACTCGGGAGGCTGAGGCAGGAGAATGGCATGAACCCAGGAGGCAGAGCTTGCAGTGAGCCGAGATCACGCCACTGCACTCCAGCCTGGGCAACAGAGCGAGACTCCGTCTCAAAAAAAAGAAAAAAAAAAGAAAATGTGCTACATATACACATGGCATAAAAAAGAACAAGATGGTGTATCTTGTGGGAACATGGATGGAGCTAGAGGCCATTATCCTCAGCAAACTAACGCAGGAACAGAAAACCAAACGCCACATGTTCTCACATGTAAGTGGGAGCTAAATGATGAGAACTCATGAACACAAAGAAGGGAACAACAGACAACACTGGGGCCCACTTGAGGGTGGAGGGTGAGTGGAGGGAGAGGAGCAGGAAAGATAACTATTGGGCGCTGGGCTTAGTACCTGGGTGATGAAATAATCTGTACCAACAAACCCCATGACATGAGTTCACCGACGTAACAAATCTTCACATATACCCCCCGAACCTAAAATAAAAGTTAAAAAATTAAAAATTTTTTTAAATTTAAAATGCTCGGATGAATAACTTCACATACATACTATTTCAAATGTTTGTTAGTATGTGGGTAGAGTAAAATTCCGGAAGTGGGATTGCTTCCTTGAAGGGTGAGTGAGCCGTGGCTTTGAGAAGCAGCCCACTGCCCTCCCCAAGGACATATTCATGTATCCTGTCCCCAGCTCCTTAACTCAGAAAGCCAGTGTCACACTTGTGGGGTTTGCCCAATATCATGGATAAAAAGTGCTATCAGTGTAGCTTTACTTTGCATTTCTTTTCTTATGAGTGAGGCTGAGCACCTTTTAATATATTTGAGATGCATTTGTATTTCTCTTTTTCTGTTGTTTCTTCATATCCCTTACCTATTTCAACTGTAGGTTGTTATTTCCTTACCAATATCTACAAACCTTTATAAATGAGGGAGATTGGATCTTTTTTTTTTTTTTTTTTTTTTTGACAGAGTCTCACTCTGTCACCCAGGCTGGAGTGCAGTGGTGCATTCAGTACTCACTGCAGACTCAAATTACCAGGCTCAAGCGATCCTCCCACTACTGTGGGAGAGGGAGTGGGTGGTGTGTACCTGTAGTCCCAGCTACTTGGGAAGCAATCCTCAGCCCCCCAAGTAGCTGGGACTACAGGTACACACCACCACACCCAGCTAATTTTTGTATTTTTAGTAGAGACGGGGTTTCGCCATGTTGCCTAGGTTGGTCTCGAACTTCTGAGCTCAAGCAGTCCTCCCACCTTGGCCTCCCAGTGTACTGGGATTACAGGCGTGAGCCACTGCGTCCAGCCCACTTTGTCTTTTAACAACTCATGTTGTTATTGATACTTTTCTGCATGCAGAATTCTTTTTGTAATTGAATTTATCATTTTCTTTTTTGATTTTTGGGTTTGAGTCATAATTAGAACAGCCCTCTCTACTCCATGGTGATAAAGGAATTGTTTCATGGTTGGATTTTTAAATCCAGAATGCTTGTTGGATTTGTCACTTTCCTCTCCAACACCTGTAGAGCTGACACTATGACTTTTCTTCTTAAATCTATGAATATGACGAATTATATTAATGGATTTCCTAATGCTGAACCACCCTTTCATTGGATGAAAGGGAGGCCGAGGCGGGGTGGCCGAGGCCAGGTGATCTGCCCGCCTCAGCCTCCCAAAGTGCTGGGATTATAGGCATGAACCACCGTGCCTGGCCTATTTATTAGTCTTTTATGTAGAGGTTTTCATTAATCTTTACATGTGAGATTGGGCTGTAGTTTCCTTTCTTTTCTGGCAAAATCTCTACTCACTCCTAGAATGAAAGGATGGTTCAATATTAGGAAATCCATTAATATAATTCATCATATTCATAGATTTAAGTAGAGTTACACAGCCACACACAGAGCTGGACAGATTGTATTATTTCTTTATTGTACTGCTAGGTACATTATTAATTTTTGTTTATTAATTTTTTCTTTTTTTTTTTTGGTAGTTTCTGGGAAGTCAGGTTTTAACCAGAGTCTCACCTCTGAGCTTCATTTCCTCAGATGGGTCCAATTGTCATGTGATCATGGGCAGGGGTTTGTTCTCATTCTTTCGTGTGTCTCCATCATCATATGCCCGTTTGGACTTTGACTGGCTGCAAGAATCAGAGTGTCTGAAAATTGGTGGAGTTACACAGCCACCCGCAGAACTGTCCTGCAGGTCCTGCTCAATGCAGGTGAGCTGAGGCTGGACTTGCCCCGAGCTCCAGTGATGGGGGTTCATTCCTTGCTATTTGGCTTCTGCTTATTTCCTTTCATTTTACGAGGAAGAGATCCCCAAGCCTTCTTTTCTGGTGCCTTCTGACACCTCATACTGCAAGTACTCCAGGACTTCTCTGGCTTCAGGAACTCAAAGGGTCTACTGGGAGCAAGACAGAATTAGTGTTGGGGACTTAGCACCCACAGAGTAGCCTCCACTCAGTGACTGTCGGGACCTGGTGGGTCAATACCCCAGCTCCCTGGCCCAAGTTGCTCACAACAGTAACTTGCTTGATGCCACACCCGTTGTTGACTTTCTTCCATTCCCCATCTCATTTCCCCTACCAGTGCCTCCTGGGATCGCCTCCCAAATAAATGACTTACATTCAAATCTTTATTTCATATTGGCTTTGGAGGGGACCCAACTTAACGCAGGGTTCCCAACCCTCTTTGGTGGGGTGCGACAGCTGGTTAGTGGCAGCCCTGCAATGACAAGCCTGCCCCCTGCTGATCACTGGCACCACCCCCCGCCCCGGTCATGCTCAGGACAATTGCACGGGTGGGTGTCTGGTGGGGTAGTGAGGCTCAGAGAAGTTAAATGGCTTCTCCAAGCGCAACGGCAAATGCACTTAGTTCTGAAAATTGTTTCCCAGCAATTTCCTTCCACCTAACAGATACACATCTGAAAGTTGTGAAAGAATTCATCATCGTGTCAGCTCCACAAACATGTATTAAAGGTGTACAAGGTTCCAGGCCCCATGCTGGGCCCTGGAGACCCAAGGTGAACCAGCAAGGAGGTTCGTCCAGTGGGGAGACGGATGTAAAAACCACTGCATCAGGGCTGATCATGCAATATCAGCCAACCCAACACACCACAAGACAAAGGCCAGAAACATAACTAGGAAGTACAGAGAAGAAAGAGCTGAGAGAAAGCACCGGTTTGAAAGGGTGTGGGGAGGTGAGGATGGGTGTTCCGGGAGCAAGAACAGCACATGCAAAGGCCCCAAGGCCAGACCAGGAAAGATGGGGGAGGAGGGTCTGATTACTAGGAGAATGTCTCAGGTGGATGAAAATGTAAGGTGGGCTCAGATGAGACAGGGCTACAGAGAGGAGAACCAGGAAGAGGCTTTTCCTGGCCTGAACGGGGCACAGACTGTGGAGATGGTGAGGAGAATGTGAATTCAATACATTTTAAAGAGGTGGGGAACAGGCACAGTGGCTCACGCCTGTAATCCCAGCACTTTGGGAGGCCAAGGCAGGCAGATCTCTTGAGGCCAGGAGTTCAAGACCAGCCTGGCCAACATGGTGAAACCCCATCTCTACTAAAAATACAAAAATTAGCTGGGCATGGTAGCACTCGCCTGTCCCAGCTACTTGGGAGGCTGTGGCAGGAGAATTGCTTGAATCTGGGAAGTGGAGGTTGCAGTGAGCCCTGATCGTGCCACTGCACTCCAGCCCAGAGGTGGATGGGCAGGGACTGCCTAGAGTGCCTCATGGTCCTAGCAAAGTCTCACCGGCTCTTGTGGCGATCTCAATGGCATGCACAGAGTTCCAGAACTTCAGAGCATCTCTTTTTGGTAAGGGGGCAGCATCCTGACCTCCACCCGCCGAAGCACACGCCTGTCCTGGTCACATGCTGGATTAACCTGTAAGCCTATTAACTATGGCTCAGCATCCTTCGCTACCTTGAAAGGAGCCCCAGAGCTCCCTGGTTAGGGAGACAGTTCCCAGCATGGTCCCGAGGATGGCCACATCTGACCTGGCCCTGAGCCACTGTCATGGGCAGCAGGGCATGACTCTCCAGTTGCCTGGAGACTTTACCTTGACCCTGAGTGACCTGAGAGAGCCAAGCCCGATGGCAGCAGTGACTGCTGCTGAGTCATCTGGCCCCCAAGACACCCAAGGGTCCCTGGGCACCCACCCTGTGTTAGCTTCCTGCGGAGGTCTCACTCAGTGCTCACGAGGACCCTACTACAAGCTCTGAAGCCCCAGGGCTGTGTGGACGGCTACAGAACATCATCTGACCCAGGCCTCCCCCAAGAACAGAGCCAATCCCCAAAATTCTGAAGAGAGGTCTTCCCTGACCAAGTCCACAGCTGCTGGGTTGTGTCCTGTCCAGGCAAAGCCACCTCCCAGCACTTTTCCTCTGGAGCAGCATGAAGGGCAGTGGGGGACCTGCAGCCCAGGCTGACCTGCAAACCGGCCTCCAGCCTGCCCCTGGGCCTGGGGTTGGGACAGGGCCTCTTTCAGAGGCCTCCGGAGCAGCAGTTCCTGGTGGGTTCCCACAGGTGCCCCCAGCACCCACAGGACAGCATCAGGACATGGCAGGAAGCTGGGGCTTCCCTCTACCCTTGCTACTCAAAGTGTGGTCCATGGACCAGCAGCATCAATGTCACTTGTGAGTTCTTTAGAAAGGCAGAATCTCAGATCCCAACCCAGACCTCCAGAATCAGAATCTGCATTTACTAAGAGCCCCAAGTGATCTGTGTGCCCACTGAAGTTTAAGACGCCCTGGCCTTGACCATTCTCCACAGCCACGACTATTCCACACCTTCTATCTCCTCGGAAGGGGTTTCCAAGAGGGACTTTATGTTTATTTCCATGGCAGCCTCTCCGTCGAAATATAAGCTCCTTGCAGATGGGAACGCATATCACTAAACCCCTTGGTGCCTGAGCCCTGCCTGCACACTGGAGGTGCCTACTCAGTGCTTGCTGAATAAGCGAGGGGATGTGTGTCACCATGCAGGCTGGCAGCGCGCCATGGCCAAGTCCATTCCTATCCTCTGCATCATCAGGCAATGGAGCAAGGAACGGAGTGGCACGTGAGAGCAAACAGACGTGCCGCCCCTGCCACAGCGCACTAGGATTTGTTCTTTGCGCAGACAACTGGAGAGGCAGAAGCCTGGGGGCATACGTTCTCCCCAGCCCCCCTTCCCACTCTTCCTGACATATGCGCCCTTGCCCTGGCGGCAGGTAGACTTCAGACCCTTCTCTTCATTGGTCTCAACCTAGCTACAGACTGAGTTCACTCAGCCACTTCTTTGCCAACTAAGGATCCTGCCCTTAAGGAACCTACTGGGTGACATCGCCCAAGAGGTGCAAGAACCCGAAGCTCTGGGTCACACAGGTCTCCTGGGTCAAACAGCTCTCTGTTTTCCCAGGGACATGGAGGGGCTCACGGTTCAGGATGGCTAGTGGGGCACTCATTTACCTCCTCCAACCAAATCCAAGTGGATCCAGAAAGGAAATAGTTTGGCAGTCCCAGAGCAGCATGGGAAAGGTGAGAAATGGAAAACTAGGGAAAGAATCTGCATAAGACATAAAGATCATGGGACAGATGGACAATGAAACCTCAGACCAAGGGACCTGCACCACATGCAGGAGGGAAAGGAGGCCCAAACACCTGAGCCTTCCTAGGAGGACAGCACTAGGTGAGAGGCTGCAGTGTGGGCACAGGCCAAGAACATCTGGGTAATTAACAGCATCAGGGTGAGCAGATTGACTGTGCCCCACCCTCCCTCCACCAAACACCACTTGGCATTGAATTCCATGTTTGCCTGGAGGTCAAGGTGCAAGAACAGCTAAATGGAGTTCTGAAACTGCATGGTAGGCCAGAGAAAAAGGGCAGCACCCCAGGCAACTTAAGGATCCCATGGGGAAGCAGAACCCTTTACTCAGAAAATCAGATCCACCAGTGCCTCCTGGCCACAGGCCTCTTTCACTTGCCCACACGTCACAATCACTGTAGACAGGGTTCTCCAGCACAAAGCTTTCATGCATGGCTAAGCCAACAGGAATTCCCACTTAGCCTGAGGAAGGACATTCTAGGAAACAATTTTGTCCATATCCCTCCCCCCACCATCTTCAAATATGAAGAGGCAACAAAGAAACACTAAAAATGCAAGAATCCAATGCACCAAAAGAGAGACACCAAACTCAACAAACAAAAGAACCAACACAGGAGGACGATGAAGTAATGCAGTAAACAGAAGAAAAAGGTAAAACCGCTGTAGTTTCTATTTCCAGGGAAATTTGAGAGGACATCAATTTTTTAAAAGAAATAGGTTCCCGAGAAAAGGAAATCTTTTCAGTTTTGGAAATTGTCAACTTGATGGGCAAATTCTGAAACCACTAATTAATAGATTGAATAATGAGGGGAATACAGTGACCTGGAAGTTCATGACAAAGGAGTTTCCTGGAACCCAGTGCAAAAGCACAAAGAGTTGAAAAGGAAGAAAAGAAAGGACCTCTGAGCTGAAGAAGATGGAAACGTTTAGACTGCAACATCCCAGTAGCTTTGGGTAGCAAGGATGAAAAATTGGCACATGCCTGGTGAAATGTCTAAACTCCAAGAATGGAGGTAGGTTTGTACATTAAATGTCCACCATAACTCTTGCAATTTATAGGTTACCTTGGCCTTCATTCATCTTTTTCCTTCCCTTCCCTTCCCTTTCCTCTCTCTCTCTCTTTCTTCCTTCCTTCCTTTCTTTCTCTCTTTCTTTTTCTCTTTTTTCTTTCTTTTTCTTTTCTTTTTTCTTTCTTTCCCCTCCCTTCCTTTCTCTCTCTTTCTTTCTTTTTCTTTCTTTCTCTCTTTTTTCTCTTTCTTTTCTTTTTTCTTTCTTTCCCCTCCCTTCCTTTCTCTCTCTTTCTTTCCCCTCCTTTCCTTTTCTTTCTTTCTTTCTTTCCTTTCTTTCTTTCTTTCCCCTCCCTTCCTTTCTCTCTCTTTCTTTCTTTCTTTCTTTCTTCTTTCTTCCTTTCTTTCTTTCTGACAGGGTCTTACTCTGTTGCCCAGGCTGGAGTGCAGTGGTGCCATCATGGCTCACTGCAGCCTCAAACTCCTGGGTTCAAGCAATCCTCCTGCCTCAGCCTCCCTAGTAGCTGGGACTACAGATGCAGCCACCATGCCCAGCTAATTAAAAAAAAAAAATAATAGAGATTGGGTCTTACTATGTTTCCCACGCTGGTCTGCAACTCCTGGGCTCAAGTAATCCTCTCTCCTTGGCCTCCCAAAGTGCTAGGATTGCAGGTGTGAGCCACTGTGCCCAGTCTCATTCATTATTTCAATCAGCAGATCTTTATTGACAGCCTGAGAGCTCTGCCAATTCCTATGCAGGTAAAGGAGAATAAAATAGACATAGACCCTGACTTCAAAAGCCCCATCTAACCGGGGAACAGATGAGAAAACAGGCAACTGTACAGTGGCCGAAACACTGGCACAGAGTCCAGCTCTGCCTGTTACCAGCTCAGTAACTTCGGGCAAGTGACTGACCCTCTCTGTGCCTCACTTTCCTTCCATGTAAAATGTATAATAGTAGTTCCTGTCTCGTAGGTCGTTTTGAAGGTGTAAGTAGAGCACTTAGGACAGTGACTACACACAGTAAAAGGAAGCACTAAATAAGAATTGGATAAATATGGAAAGACCGTGGTAAATGTTAACCACCAGGGATGTGGGAGTGTAACAGCAGTGCCTGACCCTCCTCGAGGGGTCCAGAGAGCTGCCCGGCCGGGCTTGGGCATCATCGTGCTGTAAGGAGCTTCCAGACCCGGGTTCACTTGAGCGGCCGCTGCCGCCTCCCCGGGCCCGGGGCCTCCGCTGTCCGCCCGGTGCATGTGAAGGACATCAGGCTGCTGCCCCGGGCCCTCGGCTTGTCGATTCCTGTCCGGGTAATGCTGACAAGGACTGCGGTGTCACCAGGGCCCGGAGGAAGCTGTCCCAGCACGCCAGGGATTTCACAAGCGATTAGGTATTTCTGCTCATCCACACCCTGATTTCTTCTTAGCATATCACCCTTTCTCAGCCCCCAACGCCTCAGGCCAGGGCCAATTGGTGGGCGGGGAGGGCCCTGACAGATGAAAATGACGGGGTGTGGGGGCTGCTGTGTCCTTCTGGAAGGGCGGCAGGGGAGGTGGCCGTGAGGTGGGCTGGGACAAGGGGGTTCGGGCCATGCTCCCTTCTTGGGGTCTGCCCTCAGGGACACGGGGGGTGGGGAGCAGAAGTGCCACCTCTGCATGGGGGTCCTGGAGGCAGGGAGATTTGAATCTAGGTTTCTATGAGGCCCTAGGAGGACAGACACAATGTTCACTCAATGATTCTCTTCTTCCCTTGAAGGATTCTTTTACGGAAGCAGGAGCGGGGAGAGCCACAGTGATGCCATTTTAAATTCGGCTCCATTTCGACACAAACAGGGACATTCTTTGCCGGTCGTGACTCAGTCATAAGATAATTACATCTAGGGACACAGCCTGAAGATACCTGCAAGGACATGCTCCTACAACAGCAGAAAGTCCAGATGTCCCAATGCCCATAACAATATATGCTTTCAAAAAATTATAGTTATGCTTTGATGTACTCACACACGAAGATGTCAAGGATAGCTTTCTTAAATAAATAGAATAATTATTGTTGTCATGCTGTCAGCCCAGCCACACGTAGGCACAGCTTAGTTTAGTCTTTACACAGATAAGACCCCTGTATAAGAGAAACTTAAGGACGGGGCGGTCCTCTGCTTGCTTTCTGAGGGTGCTCTACTCTGGAATGGAGGAGGGGTTTTTTTGTTTGTTTTTGTTTTTGTTTTTTGTTTTTTGTGTTTTTTTGAGACAGAGTCTCACTCTGTCGCCCAGGCTGGAGTGCAGTGGCACGACCTCTGCCCACTGCAACCTCTGCCTCCAAGGTTCAAGTGATTCTCCTGCCTCAGCTTCCTGAGTAGTTGGGATTACAAGCACGCGAGCCACTAGCCCAGCTAATTTTTGTATTTTTAGTAGAAATGGGGTCTCACCATGTTGGCCAGGCTGGTCTTGAACTCCTGAACTCAAGTGATCCACCCGCCTCGGCCTCCCAAAGTTCTGCGATTACAGGTGTGAGCCACCACGCCAGGCTGGGAATGGAGGAGTTTTAATAAACTTGCTTCTTTCACTGCACTCTGTGACTTGCCTTGAATTCCTTCCTGTGTGAGATCCAAGAACCCTTGCTTAGGGTCTTGATCAAGACCCCTTTTCTATTATAGTCACAGTTCCACTTCCTGACTTCCTCCTGCTTCTAGAACGATGAATATGGAAGGCAGATGCTCCTCTTGAGGGGTTGGACATGTGGTCGGGAGACCTGCAGCCAGGGCGGCATAGGGACTGGCAGCCAATGAACCCAAGTGCCAGACGGGTCCCATCGTGCATAGGATGACCTGACACCTCTGGCCACTGAGGCCTTGGGTCAGTGACTTTGGCCCCTAGGCAGGGCACCCTGCAGAGTAGGGGCCTCCAGCTGTTCACAACGCGGGCAGAACAGAACCTGGAGCCGAGGGGACAGCTTGACCCCAGAGCCTTTTGGGAGACTGAGGACAGGACGTCCCAGCCCAGCAGGACCCGGGCACCTCTGGGCTCTCTCTGTCGCCACCAGGGAGCCCTCTCCCTTGGAACTTTGTCCCTAGGACCTTGTCTTCTCGTTTCTTCATCATCGACCCTTTCCCTAGGACCTTGCTCACCGTCCTCTGAGTCCTGGGTAGTGTCAGTTCCAGGCAGAAGGAGAAAATCCCCCAGGCTGGCCATGCCCAGGAGGATGGGGTCAGTGATGGGAGGGAGTGGGGTGAAATGTTCTTTAGGGGTCCTCAGATCTTCAGAACCGGGGGTGAGTTTATATCTGACCCCTCCTCTGCCACTGTCCTGAAAGGAGGGTGGGTGCCTTCTCCAAATGCCCGGTCCTGGAGGGAAGCCTGGTGGCGCCTGTTATCACATTTAGTGACCAACACTCCCCTAACTCTGCCCTGGAAGGACAATAACAGTCACACTTCGTGCTTCAGCTTCCCTGGCCTGGGGACACCAGTCACAGCAGCGGCCACCCTAGTCTCAGGAGAGGATTTCCACCCCCAAGGATGTTGAGTCTCCCTCGGTGCCCACACAGCAGGGGCCCTGGTGGAGGCTGCGGCCCCCATGGCAGCAAATGACAAAACAACTCTAAGAGGCTCCAAGGCACCAGCACCAGGCAGGGCCAGGCCTGTGTTTCCTGCAGGGCACACGTTGAAAAGGTGACCCAGGGACACAACCGCAGCACCGACAATTGCCCTGCAGGGCGTAAGGGCTGAGACGCTGGGACCCCGGTGGGAGCTCATAGCACAGACCCTGGGCCAGGCAGCCACGTTCAAACCCTGGCTCTGCCACTCACCGGCTGGGCAGACTCAGAGCAGCTTGCTAAGCTTACTGTGCCTCAGTTTCCTAATCTGTAAGATGGGAACATTGGACTGATGGCATAGTTGTGAGGATGAAGTGAGGCCACATCAGAAAAGCACTTAGGGGAGTACCCGGCCACAAAGGAAGTGCCATGTGTATGCTTAATCAACTCACATCTGTTCTGGGGTTCCCAAATCCTCCAGGCCACCATAGCCTGAGAACAAGACACAGTCACAAAATAATGCATCCCTGACCCAGCAGGTGATCCTTGTCTTGCCTCAGAGCAGCATTTTCCAAACCTGTGTCATTTACATACCTTTGTGACTCCTGCCATATCTTCAGATCACATGTACTATTATCTAATTCATGGTTTTCTCTCGGCGAACTGACTTCTAAATCATTTATGTGCCCCAGAATGTCTACAGCAACGACCACAACTGGAAAACCAGGATCACTCGCCACAAATAGAAGAAAACTGTAAAAATATCCTGTGCAAATGAAACAAATGTGACAGTTCTGGCTGGGTACCTTCGCCTGCCAAGGGAGCTGAGCTGAGGCCAGCATTCTTTGTTTTTAAGAATAAGGCATTGCTAGTCCCAGGAGGCAGATTCTCCTGCTCGAGTGACTTAAGGGGGCTGAAAGAAAATTGCAAAGGGGGCCAGGCATGATGGCTCACACCTGTAATCCCCCCACTTTGGGAGGCCGAGGTGGCAGGATTGCTTGAGCCGAGGAGTTCAAGACCAGCCTGGGCGACATAGCAAGACCTCATCTCAAAAAAAAAGAAAAAAAGAAAGAAAGAAAATTGAAAAGAGACTAAGCATCCTGCTGTGTGAAGGCACATTGAACTCCTCTTCTACCGCTGCTCAGAGGATCCCTGCCCCACAGGGCTATGTGGGGAACCCAGTCTGTCAGTAAAGAACGTTTGCTGAGCCCACTGCAGCCAGGCCCTGGGTCAGGCCACACCTCACCTGATGAGGGCAGGGCTTTTACCCAGAGGAGAGGCCGGGGCAGATGGGGGCTTCCTGGGGGCCTCTGGCTACAGGCCCAGCCTCCTGCTGCCTCTGGTTGGGGGAGGGGACATCTGGGCTCTGGACTTGGTAAAATAGAGCTGGGTCCCTGCCCTGTAGTTCTGGGCACTGAAGGGTATGATGTCTCCCAGGGCGAAGGGCAGTGCCAGGCTCTGCCCCACCCTGCTCCTCCTGTCGCCTCAGGTCCTCTGTCAGGATAGGGCAGACCCCCAGACGCCCAGACCCCCACGACATCCTGAGGCTTCTCTCCACCTCTGCATAGCCCCCCGCCCCCCTCTGGCTCCGCCAGCGTGGCTTCACGATCCACCCACCCACCAAGCAGAAGGGGCTGTGTGGATGGTTTTGTGGAATCTAAGAAAACCAACAGGTGCAGAATAAATAATGGAGCCAGGACTTGAACCCAGATAGTAGGAATCCAGGGTCCAGTGATCTGGAAAGCAACTCGAAAAGGTGGGTGAGACTGAGGACCCCTGGGGCACTGGCCGCCCCGCCCTCCCTGCACACCTTACGTGGGTGCCAGGTGGTGACAAGCACACCAGCTCCACCAGGTGCAGGTAGAGGCTGCCGCAGTGACATAGGGCAGGCATGCCAGGTCCCGCTTCACCCGCAGCAGGTGGCCATTTCGCCACACAGCCTGCAGGGCCCAGCGAGGGTGACCCTGTGCTGGGGGCATGCTGAGGACGGCCGGGTGCCCCAGGACTGTGTCCCAAGGCAAGCCCAGGGCAGTGAGGATAGTGACAGTGAAGGGACAAAGGGCAGATCACACAAGAAAACGGAACCCCTCACTGCCTGCCATAACCAGCACAGGAAGCCACAGCCTCCACAGCAACGTCCCAGATGGCCAGGACTTGGCCAGCAACTGCCAGTTTCCTTAATTTTGGTCACAGTTTTTAATTTAGGATCAACTAAAGAAAGCCGGCCAGGCGCGGTGGCTCACACCTATAATCCCAGCACTTTGGGAAGCTGAGGCCAGCAGATCACAAGGTCAGGAGATCGAGACCATCCTGGCTAACATAGTGAAACCCCGTCTCTACTAAAAATACAAAAATTAGCTGGGCGTGGTGGTGTGTGCCTGTAGTCCCAGTTACTCAGGAGGCTGAAGTAGAAGAATCGCTTGAACCTGGGAGGCAGACATTGCAGTGAGCCGAGATTGTGCCACCGCACTCCAGCCTGGGTGACAGAACAGGACTCTGTTTCAGAAAAAAAAAAAAAAAGAAAGAAAAAGAAAAGAAAAGCAAGCAAGCAAGCAATCAAGCCAACCTGCTCCCTAACCAGACTCCCAAGAGGCCCTACAGCTTCCCCATGTGCCAGCCCCAATCAGGGCACAGCCAAGCCCGCCACCTTTCCCACTATCTGGCGTCCTCACTCCCTGGCCACCTTTGAGTCACTGCCAAACAAGTGACAGTGATTAACTCCCTGGATCTAGCAAATTCTGAACAAACAGCCTTGCTTGTTCTCATTTGGTTGGTCTTTTCTTATTTTCATGATAGTAAAAATAACAACAAACTTCTTGTGTATAGTGAGAGCCTCATAAATAAAGTTAACTTCTACCGGGGCTTTTACATGATGCAAACTTTATGATTGATACCAAACTTAATCCTTATTTACACATGAGAAAACTAAGGCTCATAGAGGTTAAGAAATTCACCGAGGTGTCCAGGCACAGTAACTCATGCCTGTAATCCTAGCACTCTGGGAGGCCGAGGAGGGAGGATTGCTTGAAGCCCAGGAGACCAGCCTGGGCAACATAGCATGACTTCACCTCTACTAAAAATAATTAAAAAAAAAAAAGCATAGCTAGGCATGGTGGCACATGCCTGTAGTCCTAGCTTGAGGTGGGAGGATGGCTTGGACCCCAGGAGTCTGCGGCTGCAGTGAGCTATGATCACACCACTGCACTCCAGCCTGGGCAACGCAGTGAGACCCTGTCTCAAAAAGAAAAGAAAAGAAATTTGCCAAGGTCACATAGCCAATGAATGATGGAGCCAGGACTTGAACCCAGACAGTTGGATTCCAGGGTCCTTGTCTTAAGGCCTTGTTATGCGACCTCCTTGCTAACTGTCCTATGGTGAGTATAAGCTGAGAGAAGTTTTCAGAAAGAACTTGAATTTTGGCTTTATGCACTTACCTGTGATTTGAATTGTTTTTTCCCAAAAAGCACATCCAATTGTCGTTGCAAAACCTCTGTCCCTGAGCTTCTGTTCCATGGCCACCTGATGCAGCCAGGAAGGTGCATGGCCTCCAGGGAGGTGCTAGGTTGGCCACGATCAAAGGAAAGGGACCAGGGCTTGGGAGAACTGACATCTAAACCACTCATTCCATGCACACAGTACTTCTGCCCATTTCTTGAGATCTTCTTGGATTTCTTTCATCTGTATTTTATAGTTTCACCATATAGAACCTGCACATATTTTGTTAGATTTATGCCCAAGTATTTCAGTTTTTGGAATTAATAGCCCTTTAAATTTTTAGTTTTCAATTGTTTATTGCTAGTATAGAAATGCAATTGACTTTTGTGTGTTGACCTTGTATCTATGATCTTGCTAAACCCTTAAGTTCCGGGAAGGTTTTTATTTGTTTGTTTTGTAAGTTCTTGGGATTTTCTACAGAAACAATCATTTTGGATAAAAATAGAGACAGTTGATGAGTCACACTCATCATGGTCCTTCAGGTCTCCCCACACAATCCTCATCCCTGGGAGCAGGCAGAATGCCGGGGGCTAACCCTACACTCTCATTCATTGATTCATTCATTCATGCAGCAGACATTTCCCGAGTGCATGCTGTGTGGCAGGCCCCGGGATACGACACAAAGCCCTGCCTCATGGAGCCGTCATTCCTGCAGCAGAAAAGAGGCAACAAGGAATGAATACTCAAAGATGGAATCGAGGGTGGGGACGACAGAGCAGAAGGGATCAAGAGGGGCTGGCGGTGCCTGACCAACATGGTGAAACCCCATCTCTACTAAAATACAAAAATTAGCTGGGCATGGTGGTGCACACTTGTAGTCTCAGCTACTCAGGAGGCTGAGGCAGGAGAATCGCTTGAACCCAGGAGGCAGAGGTTGCAGTGAGCCGAGATTGTGCCACTGCACTCCAGCCTGGGTGACAGAGCGAGACTTCCTCTCAAAAAAATAAAATTAAATTAAAAAATAAAAAATAAGAGGGGCTAGGGGATTTCTGTAATGCAGGCGGTGAAGGGAAGTCTCTGAAAAGGCGGCATTTGAGCAGAGACTGGAATGAAATAGTGGGGTGAGCCATTTGGCTCACTTTACCATTTATAGTCTGTGCTGCTGTTCCTCCCCACCGCCTCCTTCAGGACCAAAGCCAGTCCAGCTCAGAGCTGGCATGAAGGGACCTCTGAAGGGTCATCCCAGCTCAGAGCTCCCTTAGGATGGGCTGGGGCCTCTCTTGCAACCATCTCAGTTCAGCGGCTCCCCTTCCCATCCAAGTCCCTTCTTTCCTCCCCGGTGTCCCGGCTCCTGCCCCAAAATCTGCTTCCTTTCCTAGGAATTCCAGCCTAAGATGGCACATGGAGCTTTCTTGGCTCTGCTCATCTGAGCTCCTGAAACAGCTGGAAAAAAAGTGAAAGTTTTAAAAGGTCATGTTTGCAGAAAATCGTAAAATCTGTTTGCCTTGAGTGGCTGTGATCCCTGTTCATTATAGTGTCTTCTTTTTCTTTAGCTTTCTAAGTTTCAAAGTTAACTTGATTTTTTTTTTTTAGTTTTAGACAAAATAATATTTTTGAAGCAACAAAAGCACAGATTTATTGAAACGAAAGTACACACCACAAAGTGGGCGCAGGCTTGAGTAAACGGCTCAAGAGCCTGCCTAAATAATTTTATCTAATCATCCATGGACCTGTATGGAGTGTGCAAATACATGAGGTGGTGGGGGGTGTTAGTCTTTGAATCAGACGTATCGTTTGTAAGGACTCAATACATGTTTGTTGAATGAATGAATTAATGAAATCACGGAACAGGTGAGTTAGTGAATATACCAGGACATCCCTCCCAGTCATAGCAGCCCAGCTCTTCTTCCTCAGTCTGTGGTCAATGTCTCTGCAGTCCCTTTGCTCTCCTGTGCTCCAGCCACCTCTCTAGGTTCCTGCCACCACCCTCTGCTTTGCCTGTGATATGAAGCTAGCAGGCCTCGCCACTGCCCCTCAGATGGCTAAGAGGCCTGCAGACAGCAGGAGAGTTACAAACCTCGCCCCCTTCTCCAGGATCTTTGACGGTCCTCCCTCTCCCTGGGGAATGTTCCCTGGGGATGACAGTTCCCAGACTGGCTGCTGAGTTTCCAAAGTCTTCCCTCCAAGGGGGTGGAGACGGTGACTCCAGAACGTGGCTGGGGCTCAGTCTCCTGAGTGATCCATTTGTAAATCTTCCTCCTTCTGCCTGCTGTCCCCAAAGGGCAATTTAAAGCCTCTCAGCATCCCTGCCTCCCTTAGAGAGAGGAATGCTTGAATTCCAGTCTTGCCGCCTGCCTGCAGCACTAAGGAGAGAAGAAATTAAGGGGAAGGTAGGAGGTGTTAGCTAGAGTGGGCTCCTGGATTATTGGCGGACGTGCCTCCACGTGTTGGAGTCCCTGTGTTGTAGAGTCAGGGCGTCAGGCTAAGTGGAAGCAGGCGGTGTTAGAGCCTGATGGCCCGCCTGGGGTGGCTGCGAATTTCTTCTTCTTTCATGAGGGTGATTTGGGGGCACCAGGGGGCTTTTCTCCTCTGTGGCTGTGTCAGCCTTCACCTCTCCTCTCGGTTCCAGGAACCTCCTCCCTGTTGCTATCTAGCACGTTGCCTCTGGGCCCCCATCAGTGGGGCACTTTGTTCCCCAGGACGGGAAGGATGGAGGGAGGGCAGCCAACACCGACCCATGGGGACAAGGACAGCACGTGAGGTGGCAGCTCTCAGGAACCAGCGCTCCCGGGTGAGCACAGGGGCTGTGTGAGCAGGGCCCTTACGACATGCACCATGCACGGCACCAGCTGGGTTTGTTGTTTCACAGTGACAAGAAAGGAACATGCAGCTTGGCTTTGGAAGGACACAGCCTGGGGGGGGCATCTCGCATTGTCACTGTATGACCTGGGTCAATTATTTCACCTCTAGAAGCCTCACTTTCAGCGCCTGGAAATTGAGATGCAAGAAGTAGCTGTTTTGAGGCTTCCTGGAGATAACATAGGCGAGGTTTGGAGCAGAGAGCCTGGCTCCGGGAGGACCCCCCAAGAGTGACAAAAGAGCTATTGGGTTTGTCAACATGACATCAGCCACCCTAGGGGCTTAAGGGGTGGGTGGTGTTCATGTCCAAGAAGAAAACTGAGGCTGGCATGGCTCCATGAAGACCTGAGGCTGGGCTGTCCCGGTCTCAGCCAGGCCTGTCCCAGCTCGCCCCCCAACCTGGCCAAGGTTCTGGTCCCCGCTCTCCTTCTGCACCTGCCTTCCAAGGATATGTCTCTCTCTGTGTGTGTGTGTATTCTTTTTTCTTCCTTTTGTTTAAAAATCATAGCCCCTGGCCATGTCCACTAATAATATTTCTTGGAACTCATTTCATATCAGCACATACAAGGCGTCCTGACTCTCCTTTAAGCCTGAGTAATACTCCACCCTATGGATGCATGTAATTCATTTTTTACAGGTGAGGATATTTATCGGTAAATTCCCAGAAGATGAATGGCCAGATTGTGTTGCGGGGGCGTGTGATTCTGCAAACTGGCCTCTCAGCATCCTTGCCTTATGCAGCTCTCCTCTGATGAGTGGGCATCTTTTTGGCTGTGTAACAGCTCGCTTTGCTGAAGAGTCTGCCCATTCTACCCTCCCCACATTAGGCTGTTGGCCATTGTCTTGTCGATTTGTGGATGTTCCTTATGGTCCTGTCTGAGATATGAGTTACAAATATTCTCCCAGTTTGTCATTCAGACTCAGCACTTCTCTGCTCTCTGCTAAAGACTACACCCTGTGCTTTCTCTCTTTGTAAAATATTCCCACAGCAATTAGCACGGTTCTTTGCACATGGTAGATGATCAATAAACGCTCATCAATTAGATTAGTGGTGGGAAAACTTTCTTTATTCGTTGTCTTCATATCTAAAGATTTTGAAGCATTATGCTACCATTTTATGTTTATTTCTTTATAATTATATACTTATAACCCTGTTCTAATATATTAAGTATAATATTTGAAAAATGGCAATATAAAAGAATGAGGTAAAAATAAATGTAAATGGAAGTTCTGATATTTCTTCCCATATCCCAGCAAATTGTTTGGCACCACCTGCTTAGAGACTCCTGAATTGGAGGCAGTCACACGGACACATCTGGTTTCCTGTGAACTTCGGCATAGCCTTGATATGAATTGGCTTGGCCTGTGGGGTTTGTTGGGAAATGTTGGGCTGTCTCCCCAAAGTCCAACACCAGGCACTTCTGAGCCACCGTGGGAACCCAGACCACACTTGCCAAGAGTACAGGAAGAGGGCAGCCATGGAGAGTAGGGATGGTGAGGTACAAGAGGTGCCAGTCCGGGGTACAGTAGCTCAGGACTCCAGCAGTATCAGGCCAATGGGAAGTGACAGGTGGTGATGGTCACTGTGACGGCCTGGCCTAGTTTGCAATCCACTCCACCGCAGCAGGGAAGCTGCAGAAGAGGGCCACACTGGGATTGGTGGGTGCTAGGGTCTGAATGTTCCCTCCAAAATTCATGTTGGAATTTAATTGCCACTGTGATGGTATTGGGAGGTAGAGCCTTTAAGAGCTAAGGGTCATAGGACCCCACCCTCATGAATGGATTAATCCTGTTATCATGAGAGTGGGATTGTTATCTCAAGAGTGGGTTATTATAAAGCAGGACTAGCCCTTGGTGCTCCTGTCTTTCCCCCAAGCTCTCTTGCCCTTCCACCTTCTGCCATGAGATGATGCAGCATGAAGGCCCTTGCCAGATGCCCACACCTTGATACTGGACTTCCTAAACTCCAGAACTGGGAGAAATGAATTTCTGTTTTTTATAAATCACCCACTCTCAGGTACTCTGTTATAGTAGCAGAAAATAGATTAAGACAGTGAGCAAAGAAAAAAGGCTGGCAGCCCCGATGTCGGGCCCTGGGGGATTCCCTCCTGCAGCCTCATGGAAGGGCCCTAAGTTCATTATCATGCTAGTCTCAGCCACTTCCACCAGGAAGCACAGCCAGCAGTGACTGCAGAAGGTGCTGCCCATGACAGCAGCCAGCAGGGAGCTCCCCCTTCAGCACCAACAGCTGACCTGGCCACAGAAATGGCATTTGCTGCAAGACCAGGAGCAGAGAACAGAGCCCACAGCTTGACATGGGGCCAAGGGAAGCTCAACTGCCAGGTGGCAGGCTGCTTGCAAGTCCTCCCACCAGCTGCCCACCTGTGAGCAGGGCCTGTGGCAACTGCTTCGAGTCCTGGGAATCACACACCAGGCCCCACTGAAATGGCAGGGGACATGGATCTTCTGTGGAGGGAGCAGGAGAGGAGATCCGGGCCACTTCTGTCTGTGATCTATCACAGAGAGGCAGTGCCACAGCCAGCCCTTCTCTTTCCTTTGTCCTCACTGCCTTTTTTGTAAGTTAAATTCTTGCCGGCCCTGCCCCTCACTGATGCTTTTGGTCCTTCCAGAATTACTTGCTGTCCTTCAGGTCTGAGGCACCCACATCTCCTTAAATCCTACTGATTCTCACATTGCCTCTCCTGCTGTGGCTCTTCTTGCCCTTTGCTGAGTGGACCTGAGCCTGCTGCATGCCAGGCGCTGGGCTCAGTGTCATTCCCACCTCTTCGCATGTCTTCCTCCTACCTTGGTGGAGGGCAGCAAGTTGGTACTACAATTACTTGAGGCACAGAGAGGCCAAGTAAGTTGCCCAAGATCACACAGCCAGAAGGTGGTTGGGCCAAGATTTGAGTCCAGGTCACCGGCCTCCAGGGCTCATGCTTTGACCCGCCATGTCACTTCCTAAGAGAACAGAGCTAGGCTTGCATGGATGCCAATTAATGTTTGCTGAGTGAATGAGTAAATGATTTTGGTGCCGGATGTCTTCCATTTTCACCTCCAGAAACACTCTGCATCCTTCCACACCCGCACTGTGCCCCAGGAGACAGACCTGTACGGAAGGCAGCAGCAGACCCCCTCCCCTGCATAGAGGGCCTGGGAGATATCCAAGCAGCTACAGCCTATGGGGCATGGTGGAGACTCACACCTCAGTGGCAATGGTGGAGAAAAAGGTTTCTGTCATGCACTGCCGGACCACAGGCTCCGTGTCCTGCACCAGCACCCGCCCCATGCTTGTGTAGAAACTGACACTGTGGATTTGGGAATAACCAGCATTTCTCTGGCTGATGTGAGAGTCTGGGGGATTGAAGACTCCCAGGAGGGCACCAAGATGGAAGCTTTGCTTGGCGTTCGGGGAGGGGGGAGGGGAGTGTCATTGTCAAGTTCAGAGACAGATGCCCAGAAGTTCTCCACCAGATGGTGAGATGTCAGCAGTGTGCTAGGGAAGATGATGGCTGGGTCCAGGAGGTCAGCAGAGGCCATGGGCCCCAGAGGAGGAGCTCGGGCATCCAGGTGAGCTGAGAGCAAGGAGGGGCTCTGGGCAGGTGTATCTGCTTCCTCAGCCACTGTAACAATGACCACCAGTGCGGTGGCTTAAAATCACACACCTTTATTCTCTAACAGTCTTGAATCCAGGAGTCCAAAATCAGCCTCCCTGGGCTGACACCAAGGTGGTGGCAGGGACTTGCACCCTCCAGAGGCTCTGAGGAGAGCCCGTCCTCGCCTCCTCTTGCTTCCAAGCGGTGCTTCTGGCTTCAGTGCTCAGTGACCGTCTTCTTTCACCAAATCTCCCTCCACCTCCCTCTTAGAAGGACACTTGTGATTACATTTAGGGACCTCTCGGATAATGCGGGATAATCTCCCTTAATCTCAAGAACCTGAACTTAATCACATCTGCAAAGTCTCTGTTGCCGTGTAAGGGAACATTCGCAGGTTCCAGGGATTAGGACCTGAGTATCTTCGGGGGGCGTTCTTCTGCCAATCACAGAGGGCAACACCCAGCAGACAAGAGGCTCTGAAGACCCGGGTGGTTGGGCTGTCGTGGCTTGTTTTCACAGAGGCTGTGAGGCACAGTGGCTGGGATGCTTTGGTGACCCCAGGGCACTGCAGACTGGCCTGAGGGCTGCTTTGGGGAGTACCTCCGGGTCCAGAGCTGCTGGCTGAAGGTGAGTGCTCCGTGGCAGACTCAGGTGATAAGCACAAGAATAAAGTCCCATTTCTTTTAAAGCTTCACTTTCAGAGTAAGATCAAAAGGGAAATGAGAAAAGTGGTCCTTTCTAATGCTGTGGGCTGGGCTGGCTAAGGACGCCGTGGGGACCGTCACACAGCCTATAGCAACAGTCGGATCTCAGAGTGCCTGGGCGAGTCCTAAGCCTCCCGGGTTCGGCATCTGAACGGCATCTTCCAGAAGGCCCCGTGTCTGAGACAGCCCCACACCCCTCTCTCGGATCCCAAGCTCTGGCTCTGGGTGCTGAGGACAGAGTCGTCAATGGGACTGTTTTGTTTTCCCAGATGGGGCCCTGATGAGACCCACCCATCTCCAGAGAGGGGCTTAGCCAAGGTCACGGTGATTTCTCCATTGGTTCCGCACCTGCCGCTGACCAGGAAGTGCCTGAGCACTGTGGGGAGGGCCCCCCTGGGGATCAGACCCCTGCCCTAGGCCTCCATGGCAGCTGGGGCTTGAGGGAGTTGTGATGGGCAAATACCTGCGTATTTGGGGGACGATGGATGTGCTGGCCTCAGACTCCGAAGCAAGGCAACCAGCGAGATGCAGGGAGGAGGAGGTAGCAAGAAAACAGCAAAAAGCCTAAAAAGCAAAGAAGAAGAAAAGGAAAAGAAAGGAAATAAAGGGAAAGGAGGGGAAGAGACACAGGGCTCGCTGCTTACCCAGCACTGAGCACCTCTCTGGCAGGCGAGATGTGCCTCATAGCCACCCTTCAGTTCCCCTCCAGTCCCTGGGAGGAAACAAGAAGGTAGATCCATTCTCAGGCCACAACCTCAGGTGAGAAATAAATAGAGCCTATTTTGCTTGTGTTTGTAATTCATCTCCATCCACAATTTCAGCCTCTGTTCCCTCTAAGCTCACTCAGCCTGTCCCTGGGTTTGGGGACTTGTTCAGTGCTGAGACCCTGGGTCCGGGGCTCCTACTGAGCCCTTGAGGCCACCACCTGCCGTGCCTACCATCCCATTTGTCCTGGGCCTCATCTAGGCAGGTGACAGCTGGATCCACCTTATTCCAGCGTCCTTCTGGTCCAACTCCAGCGATTTTTTTGAGTGTTCTTGAAGGCAGCCTTTGAGGAGGGAAAAGACTTCAGAAATAGTTTGGTTTTTAAACTTGTTTTTTAGGCCAGGCTCGGTGGCTCATGCCTGTGATCCCAGTACTTTGGGAGGCCGAGGTGAGAGGATCACTTGAGCCCAGGAGTTCAAGACCAGCCTGGACAACATGGTGAAACCCTGTCTCACAAAAAAAATATAAAAATTAGCCGGGCATGGTGGCATGCACCTGTAGTCCCAGCCGCTCAGGAGGCTGAGGTGGGAGGATTGCTTGAGCCTGGGAGTTGGAGGCTGATGGAGCCGTGATCGCACCACTGTACTCCAGCCTGGGCAACAGAGCAAGATCCTGTCTCAAAAATAAATAAATAAATAAATAAAAGTAAAGTTGATGTTTAAGTCCTAATTCTTCCTTGAACTTTTAGCTCTACTGCTTTTTAAAAAATTGTGGTAAGAACACTTAACACAAGATCTACCCTCTTGACAAGCTTCTAAGTGTACGGTGTGGTACTGTTAACTGTGGGCCCTGTGCTGTGTGCATCTCTGGAACTTTACACCTTGTGTAACTGAAACTCCACACCTATTGAATAGCAACTGCCTGTTCCTCTACCCACCTTCCTTGAGCTTTTAAATGCAACTTACAAATCTTATTCTATGAGTAGATCCAGCAAATTTCAATCATCATTTATAAGGAGAAATTTAATTAATGTTTGTATTATTTACCTTCTTAGTTAATTTAAATTCCTTTAAACATTTTAAGCTGCAGTCAAAATTTATTATATTCCATTTTCTAAGTTTTTCAATTATCTGACTAACAAATCTTCCCAAGTCCTTACGTGATTCTCATAAATCAAATACATTAAACGTATAATTATGGTGATTTTTAAATATTCAAAAACTGTTTACCAACTTAGTAAGATTTCAGCTTGCAATCACAGATGCTGATTACTAGCATCAGGCTGGTTGGTTGAAGGGATCATGGGTTGAGCTCATGGGTTGTTTGAAGGGCTCAGAAATCAATGACTCAAGAGCACATTTAAAATTAGAATCACACGTCTGATGTGAAGACTCAAATATGCCAAATTCTCTTAAACTTTGTAAGTTCTTAAAATGCCAAAGATGTGTATTTCTGAACTTAGCACAAAAACATAAATGCTGTCATTTTGATCTACTTCATCATTGCCAGACTCAATTCTGGATGTCTCTGTGTTAAAACCATTTTCTAAACAGATGTGGGGTTCCCTTCTCAAGCACATTTCTGCTCAGCTACATGGGGTTTCTGAATATTCTGTTTCAACCCTGACTGGCGGATGGTAATTCAGTTCTGACAACCGCCTAGAGTTAGCGTCAGACTCCACGGGCTTAAGGATGTGGTTCCCAACAAGACGGCCCCCACTTCAGATACCAGCTACAAGTTCAGGGGTCCCCAGGCCACCTGCACTTTTGACTGGCTACCAATTCAGGAGTTCCCACAAACCCCTCAGGTTCAACAAATTGCTACAACAACTCACAGAACTCAGGGAAGCACTGTACTTATGATAACAGTTTTGTTATAAAATATACAGATCAGCACCGGCCAGATGCAGAGATGTGCGGGGCAAGGTCAAGGGGAGTCCTGAACACCGAGCCTCATGTCCTCTCTCTGGGGAACCAGGCAGCTCAGCTACCTGTGACATCCATGTGCTCACCAGCCTGGAAGCTCTCCCGAGCTTTGGTGTCCAGAGTTCTTAAAGGGTTTCACTGGGGTGATTCCAGTTCGAGGCTGTCTTAAGTAAGGCTTCTCTCGACGATCATGGAATAATGTCTTGGGGGACATCCACACTCATTCCCACTGGGTATGTTAGACAGACTTGAGCACATTAAAATTTGCAATAAGTTTATTTGAACGTTCAGCAGTTCATGAATTGAGCAGCACTGGATCTAGAGCTACCCAGGCTCTGCCGAGGGGCCATCAGGGGAAAACTTTTATAAGAGGCTTGCAAAAGCAAGACAAAGAAAACATTTGGTTAATTAAAGTGGAAAGTCCCTAGTTAGAGGTTACTTGGCAGTTTCTCATTGGTTATGCTTGAGTCTCTTGGTTTCCTAGACTGGGACCATTCCCTCTGCGTTGGGTTTCCGTTTGCTTCTGTCAGAACCGAAGGTATTGGCGTCATCTCAGCCTAATGCACTCCCAATTCATTATTGCAGCAGGTGTGACCCATGGTGGATTTGCTGGGCCAGGGGGTGAGCATCTGTTTAGCTTTGCTGATACTGCTAGACACTTTTCCAAATGTGCGCCACCGGCCTCCTTTCTTGAGAGAGGAAGCCCCAGGCAGAAAGGACTCAGCTTCCCAGCCTCAGTTTCCCCTCCATCTGCCTTGTGGGGAACCACCGAGTTCTTCGCGTTCTGGAGTTTGGAGCTGCCCCTCAAGTCCCTGCTGCGTGCCATGGTCTTTGAGCAGTCATGGCTGGGCGCTATGCTGACCCACAGTGGTCAACTGAATAGGGTGGGGTCCTGGTCACCAGGAGCAGGCGGGGCAGGGAGGCGACGGGCAAGTCAGCCATTGAGGACTGTGGTTGCAGTCGGGGCCAGGACTGATATATGTGCCAAGGGCTTCGGATGCCCACGGGAGCGCCCAGCCGGTGTAGCAGAGACGGCGGCAATGACTCGGGTAGACCCAAGCCTGAGAGCAGAATCTGTTTCTGTTGCATCCACAGGAACCTGGCCAGTCCTGAAGTCTTCCCTGGGGAGGTAACAGCCAAGCGGGCCCTGAGATGCACAGGAGTTGGTGGATGAAGGGTGGGAGGAGGGTGTCAGGCAGGAGGAGCCACCCTGTAAAGCCCAAGAGGTGACAGTGACCTGGGATGATGAGGAAGGCAATCCTCTCTGCACTCTGGGGGATGAAGTGAGAATCAGAGCTCCATCTCCTGAAAGGCCCCTCGGCAAAGCCAGGATGTTGGGGGGGCTTTAGCACAAAACCCAGTCATCACAGGGTTTTAGATAAAGGAGGTACCGCCTACTCAGATTTCCACCTTAGAAAGCTCACCCAGCCTTGATGAGGAGGGCCAGGTAGAGGTGGGAGAGCTGCCAAGAGGCTGCTGGGGTGGGCTGAGGCCCTGGGAGACCCAGCCTGGGACCATCGAGGTTTTCCAAGTGGGGCTAATCGGGTGTGGCTGGAGGGCAGAGACCGAGCTCTGACTGAGACCTGGGCAGACTTTAAACAGGAACCAGGCTGAGGGCCCTGCAGGGAGGCCCAGTTCACAACAGAGCTGAGGGGACAGTCATGCCCTGAGCCCAAGGAGCTGTGGACTTTCTGGAAGGTTCCCAGCTCTGCCCTGCCCCCGAGCCCTTCCTCCCTCACCTGCAGGGAGAATCCGCTGTTGCCTCTCACCTAGGACAACACAGAGAACAGCTTGGTCCTAACCCACAGAACCTGTGAGTGTTACCTTATATGCAAAAGGGACTTTGCAGCTGAGACCGAGTTCAGCATCTGGAGGTGGGGGACGATCCTGAGGGGCTGGAAGGAATCACAGGGGTCCTCCGAAGAGAGAAGCTGACAAGCAGACAGAAGCTGAGAGACTGGGAAAGGCGAGGCTGCTGGATTTGAAGATGGAGGGGAGGCCTCCAGCATCTGGGACCCCCAGAGCTTCCAGAAAGAACCAGCCCCACTGCCACCTTCATCTTAGCCCAGTGAGACCCACTTCAGACTTCTGACCCCCAGAACTGTAAGATAATAAGTGCTTTTAAGCCACTACATTTGTGGGGAATTTTTACAGCCTCAGCAGGGCATGAGTACATCTGGGTGACCGAAGCTGCTGTGTAAGATACAGGAAACAGCAGAGTGTTTCCCCACTCCTGAACATCCCGCACCACTCAACGCAGAATACACCTGTGCCCAGATGTGCGGGGGGTGGAGGCTCTCAGGGGGCACCAGCAGGGTGTCCTATAATTTAACCCAGTTCTGACACCACCTACCTGCAGTTAGCGTCAGATTTTCACAGGGTGAGAGTTCAGTCCCACAAGACTGCCCCCGCTTCTGATGCC